>NC_000003.12:71260000-72510000 GCF_000001405.40 Homo sapiens
TGAGACAGAGTCTCGCTCTCTCCCCCAGGCTGGAGTGCAGCGGCGCAATCTCGGCTCACTGCAAGCTCCGCCTCCCGGGTTCACGCTATTCTCCTGCCTCAGCCTCCGGAGTAGCTGGGACTACAGGCACCTGCCACCACGCCCACTAATTTTTTTGTATTTTTAGTACAGGCGGGGTTTCACCGTGTTAGCCAGGATGGTCGCGATCTCCTGACCTTGTGATCCGCCCGCCTCAGCCTCCCAAAGTGCTGGGATTACAGGCGTGAGCCACCGCGCCCGGCCAACACTTTCTAATACGTAGGGAAGGCTCGGGGCGCGGGGGGAGAAATGCAGAGATGAAATGGGCACATGATACTTTTACCCTTTTGGCCATGTTTTGTCAAAGAATTTATGGGATGATTCATTTTTGCCAACTATTTCACATGGTAGTGCTTTACACTTTACGATGAAGTCTGTTAAACATTCACATGTTCCTAAAATGGCATGCAATAAGTAATTTAATTATTTCTGTATCATATTTAGAGCAATTTCCTTTAATTTTTTTTTTTTTTTCCTGAGAAGGATTTTTGTTTTTCTCTGTCGCCCAGGCTGGAGTGCAACGGGGTGATCTGGGCTCACTGCAACCTCCGTCTCCCAGGTTCAAGCAATTCTCCTGCCCCAGCCTTCCAAGTAGCTGAGACTACAGGCGCACGTCACCATGCCTGGCTAATTTTTGTATTTTTACTAGAGACAGGGTTTCACTATGCTGGGCCAGGCTGGTCTCGAACTCCTGACCTTGTGATCCGCCCGCCTCACCCTACCAAAGTGCTGGGATTACAGGCATGAGCCCCCACGCCCGGCCTACAGTTCTAGTTATTAAAGAACAGAGGTCTCCGAGACCAAAAGTTAGGGGCAAAAGCTGGATTTTAAAAAAAGTCTACCAATTCACAGTCCCATGAGCTTTCGACCACACACCATCTGCCCTTCTCCTAAATGCAAATTGCTAATAAAGTTTAGAATTTGTTAAACCATTAACTCTGCATTTCCTCCTTTTGGGTGTCCTATTAAGCTAAGCAGGAGTCCCCTGGGCACATTAAGGTAAAACAGAAAGAGCCCCCGATAATATAGTTCAAGATAAGAATGTAGGGTATTACACAACCTATCATTTATACCTTTTAAAGTAATACAGGCCTCTCGCAAAGCTGTCGGATATTCTAAGTAATTATCTTCCAGCACATTAAGGTTTGGGCTATATTCTCTATTTAATAAATCGATATAAATAATGCCACTTTTAGTAAATTATCACTAAGTTTTCAACATAATATCAAATACATTAATAAAAAAATTAGATTTTTTTTAACTTTAGTTTCCAGTTCTGCAATCTGGAACTAAAGCCAATTCTTGTATTATTTTCATATATTTAAATTTAAAAAAAAAACATAAAATTGAGCAAACTGGTATAACACAGAGAAAAACAGACTTTTATTTCCGATAGTTAGACCAAAATATTATAATAGAAATCTACATTTGCTAAGATCTGATGTAATGCTGAAATTAACAAGATTTTTTTTTCTTTTGATTTATCAACATCTATCTACCCACAATAAAAGAACACAGAATACTGAGGCAGGTTAGCAAGCTCTGTAGACTAAAGCTGTGTTACTGAGAAATAATCTCGAACAATTGTGAAAACATTCGCACATTTCAAAATGACTGTCTCTCTTGGTGGCCTGATCTCCCAGCTAGGAAAGACACACTGATGTTACTCTCGAGGGGACGGAGGCAGAAAGATCTTTCATTGTGAATTACCTTATTTGAATCACTGCAGATTCAAAACAAAATCCAACTTCATAGCCTATGGAATAGTCGACATTTTCCAATAAGAGGGTACACAAGTTACTTGGAAATATACTTTTGGAACTGTCCTCCATACAAGTCCTGATTATTAAGTATCATTTATTAATTCATCATCCATTTGTTTGCTGAACAAATATTTGTCAAATCCCGGCCGAGTGCGGTGGCTCACGCCTGTAATCCTAGCATTTTGGGAGGCCGAGGCGGCGGGATCACGAGGTCAGGAGTTCAAGACCAGCCTGGCCAACATGGTGAAACCCTGTCTCCACTAAAAATACAAAAATTAGCTGGGCATGGTGGCACGCACCTGTAATCCCAGCTACTCGGGAGGCTGAGGCAGGAGAATTGCTTGAACCCAGGAGGTGGAGGTTGCAGTGAGCCAAGATTGCGCCACTGCACTCCAGCCTGGCAACAGGACAAGACTCTGTCACAAAAAAAAAAAAAAAAAAAAAAAAAAAAAAAAAAAAAATTGTCAGGTCCCTACTACATACCAGACACTCAATGCTAAGAATACAAAAAAGATATGATCCCAGCCTGCACCATGACTATCAAAGCTAGGACCTCTTTGGGGCAGAGGAGAGGGGCTGAGCAGATTTCTAATACTTCCAGAAATAAATAAGCAATAGAATTTTTATACTCATGGTTTACTTCCAACATCAAATTTATGTAGAAAAGAAAGAGGCTGCCCTTTAAAAGAAAAAAAAAAGTCAGCAGATCAAAAGCATCATTAATCACTGTCTCTTTTAAATTAAAAGGTTTGCAAAAAGGTGGGCACAGAACCAACGTGGGAAACAAATCATTCCCCTCATTGAGTGAGGGTCAGAGTCTAAATGGAAGAGTCCTCCGTATTTACCCAGCTCATCTCCTGTGTAATGGATTTGGAGGAGAGATTTCCACTGGGGCTCTGCTAATTTGAGGCTTGACTTTTTGCTTTTTAAAAATGACACTTGGGTGGTTACCCTAGTATTGTGACTAGTTTTAGAAATAAACCTTTCAAGTGTTCTCTCTGGGAGGTCCTCACTTACATGATCTGACCCGGTAGATCTTGAGCCGTTGCAAAGGTGCTCCACTAAGAAGCTGTGGGACTGAGTCTTCGGGTGGCCTTGGGACTCCATTGGCAAAACGGCTAGCCCTTTGAAAGCAAAAGTAAAACATGCCCAAAGCACCTGAGATAGGGCTTCTCACGCAGTGCCTGGAAGAGTTCAGGAGACCCTGAAAGTGATTCATTTCAAATCAGGAGTAGCTCAGCAAAACTAAGGTCAGTGTTTTTCCAACCCCTGCCCTTCAGAACACCTCTATACTCACCCTGGGCTAGGTCACAGGGTGCAGGGAAAGAAAACATGGCCCTTTTTGCTGTGTATGCAGCACAAAGGGGACACAGCCATGGACAGAATCAGACTTCCCGTCCTGTGGAATACCTACTGAGAGCAATTGAAACCTGTTTAAAAACTAAAAGTAAAACAACAAAACCGAGCCTGTGCAACACCACGAAAGCCAGGAATACCAGTGGCTGCTGAAAGAATATAAAAATCGGATGTGGGGGAATTGGGTTTTTATTGTTCTGTTGTTGCTTATCTTGAATTTTGCTGTCTACTCAGGCTGGGGCCTGAATTAAATGCTTGACCTTCCTTCTCAGTCAGTGTTCAACAACTATGTATATCATGTCCTACAACAAGCCAGATCTTTTGTGATGTGCGAGGTGTGCAGGAGTGAACTCTGTTCCTGACCCTTGAGGAAGGTGCCTATGCTTCACTACCTATGTTTCTACATAAGGCTGCTCCACCTACTCAAGTTCCAGCCATACTTAAGCTACTCCTTTGTGGAGATTCACTCACTTCAAAGCTCTACTGAAAAATTACTTAATAATAATAATGATCAGGTTGACCATACTCAGAGAAAATCCATATTCCTTTTTTTTTTTCTCTTCTGAAATAGGGTCTCACTCTGTCACCCACGCTGGAGTGCAATGGAGTGATTCACGGCTCACTACAGCCTCGACTTCCCAGGCTCAAATGATCCTCTTGACTCAGCCTCCTGAATAGCTGAGACTACAGGCACATGCCACGACTCCCAGCTAATTTTTTTTTTTTTTTTTAAATTAGAGATGAGGTCTCACTTTCCTGCCCAGGCTGGTCTCGAACTCTTGGCTTCAAGCAATCCTTCTGCCTGGGCCTTCCAAATTGTTGTAAGTACAGGAGTGAGCCATTGCACCCAGCCAGGAAACCCAGATTCAGAAAGGATATCTGTCTAGAGAAAAATCTCATTCAGTGAATTTAATACTTACATACAACTATGACTTGTAAGTCCAGAGTTTTAGGGTAAGAAGCATGTAACCATTGTACCCAATGGAGAATTTAAAGCTCAATGTAGTTTGGTGGCTCCAAGATCAAGCCATCCATGTTTATCACCTTATCATAGAAACCAAATATCCTGAAGACTTGCCCTGGAATGACTTCTAGAAAGAAGAGATTATTGTACCCAGACTGGAAAGCTAAACAAAAGCGATGTTTTTCAAAACACATGAATTCACAAGACCCAAGGCTTATTTATGGTAAACCGCCAGCAAATATAAAATCCATAATTCCAGAGTGCACTCAAATGAGGATGAGAAATGCAAGACTCATAAAATCTTGATATCAGGAATGGAGAGCCATGAATGGTGTTTTAGAGAAATTAGTTCAATTCTTAAGTCCTTAGACTTCAGAAAACATTGCCACTTGGAGGGATCTGATTAGATTTCCTAATTGCTTTATCACCTATCCTATCCTCCCTGGCTGGTTTGCTGAGCACTATATTAGAGGGTCAGGGAGGTTCCCAGCATCCTTGTCATCTGTCTTCTACTCTGAGTTTCCAAACACAAAACTCTCCATTCAACCATTATCACCCTGTAGTTCAGCTGGAGGTAAAGAATTACGCGATTGATAACAGTCTTGTATTGGGTACTCCCATCAATATGAAAAATAACTGTAACATTTATTGAGTGTTCATTATACACTAGGCTCTACTGCTTTTATATTCAATAATGGATTTAATTCTCACAGCTACTTTTTAAAAATGGGTACCATTTCCCCCTATCATACAGTTGAGAAAAGAGATAGTTACAGAGGTCAGGCAGCTTGCACAAGATCACATAGCGAGAAAGGTGCTGAGCTGGAATGCAGTCTGGCTCATCTGATTCTAGAGTGTGCACGTATACACACTCAGAGGTTCCAGCTGTAAGCTTCAGAGCAAGTCCAGCTCTGTTCTGTGAAGTGCTAGCTCTAATTCCAGGAATCTATAGGTGACTGGGGGAGGAAATACAGAAAGAGAAAACAACACATTCTACCTTCTTTTCTCTCTCAAGAAATTTCTGGACTGTTCAACAACCTTGGCCAAAATCAACTATATCTGCCAAACTTACTGAGCCCCGTGTTAGCGTTGTTCTAGGCACCTCCCACAACTGACTTGAAGAGAAATCACCCAGGAGACAAAGCACAGGATATAAGAAAGAAAAGAGAAGGGATCATTTTGCCCCTGATATCAAAGAAGCCTCAAGAACTGATGTAAAGAATGGCTCCTAGTTCCAGAAATCCCTTGGTAGTGAACTCTGAGGCAAATCCTCAAAGAGATGAGGAACACCCACTGCTAATATTCACTCATCCATTAGCTCACCTCCAGGCCTGGAAAGCCAACTGGATGGTTCTCTAGGAGGAAACAGCCAGATGTGAGACAAAGATACCTAGGCAACTAGCTGACTTGACAAATAGCCTATCTCTCTGTCTTGCACACACACAGAGGCAGAGAACAGAAAACATGCAACACGGCGGAAAATGTGCAGACTTAGGTTTCCCAGGCTAGCTCTTGCCCTAGTAATGTACACATGTTCACGGTGCAGTGATAATTTACAGCAACAGGCATGGGCACATGACGCGCTGGACCGACTCCAAAAGAACTGATAAGAGTATGAAGGAAACTGAGAACCAAGTGACAATCACCCAAAGACAAACCTCATTGGAATCACGTAGGAGGGGGCGCGAAAAGTGAAGGTCACATTTCAGGTATCAAAAGGCAGGAGCTCATTTCACACCTCAGGAAACAAGGATGCCAAAAGTTGAGAGCAAACCTCCAAAGTGCAAGAGGCCATCCCGGTCTAATGACTTGGTGTCGTCTTGACCAACCAGGCACACAGTGCGGGAATGGTGCCTGGTCCCGAAACCCATCAGATGGTGGGTTCAAGTTTTACCACTAAGGAAGAATTTGCTAGCGCTGCAAAGATGGATGAAGAGTTAACACAGCAAGCAAGCCAGGAAGAGAGAAAGAGAGTACATAGGTGTCTGGAAATGTGACAGCCTTGAGGCAAGGTGAGAAAGCCACCTAGCCCAGGACTCACATCCACAAAGGGCCATAATTTTGGACTTTTGTTTATTTTTTTAAATTTGTTTATTTTTTTTGAGACAGAGTCTCACTCTGTTGCCCAGGCTGGATGGAGCACAGTGGCTTGATCTCAGCTCACTGCAACCTCTGCCCCCCAGGTTTAAGCAATTCTCCTGCCTCAGCCTCCTGAGTAGCTGGGACTACAGGTGCCCGCCACCATGCATGACTAATTTTTGTATTTTTAGTAGAGACAGGGTTTCACCATATGTTGCCCAGGCTGGTCTTGAACTCCTGACCTCAAGTGATCTGCCCACCTCAGCTTCCCAAAGTGCTGAGATTACAGGCATGAGCCACTGCGCCTGGCCCCCAACTTTTGCTTATTTTTATTTTTATATTTTTGTTATTTTATTTTAAATTCAGGGTATATGTACAGGTTTGTTGCATAGATTTATTGCATAATGCTGAAGTTTGGGCTTCTAGTGAACCCACTGCCCAAATAGGGACCACTGTATCCACTAAGTAATTTTTTAACCCTCACCTTCCCCCTTTTTGGGGTCTCCAGTGTCTATTACTTCCATCTTTATGTTCGTGTGTACCCAATGTTTAGCTCCCACTTGTAAGTGAGAACATGTGGTACTTGATTTTCTGTTTCTGAGTTATTTCACTTACGATAATGGCCGCCAGCTCCATCCATGTTGCAGTAAGAAACATGATTTCATTCTTTTTATGGCTGCAGTTTTGGACTTTCAATGCTCTCTCCAAATCAGATTTAACCTCCCATCACAGATACACAGTGACAGGAGTGAATTTAATCCTTCATCAAAGAACTTGAACCTGCAGATCCATTATTGGGCCACATCACCTCAATACATCAGAAGTAATGTTTTGAATAAATCCTGTGAGTCACATTATTATCACGCTGCATTTTATGGGAGAGAGTGTGTGTGTGTGTGTGTGTGTGTGTGTGTGTAAACATTAACTTATTTGAGTTAAACATTGAGAATATACCATAAATTTTGTAAATCTGTTTTGCCTTTGCATTAAAGATTAGTATTAGGAGCTCTGAAGCAATGGAAGTGGCCCAGGTGTCTCTCCACTTTTGAGTGGTCCTTTTTTCTTACAAAGAGGTTCAATATTAGAAAAATTTAAATAAGTATACAGTAGATCCAGATGGAAAGAAATCTAAAAGAAAGGACTCGATGGCTAGATGTTCTTGAAGCATCCAAGAGAGGTCATGGAAAGACAAGAGTCATGTCCTTGAGGGCTGCAAGGTGACTGAGCATAGAACTGCATCTGCGAGTAGAAATGGCAAACAGGTGGAAATCACTTTGCTGATGTTGAGGACCAAAAACAAAAGCGATTGTATAAGGAAGGACAAGGTCATGGAGCTAAAAATGCAAGAATAGAGACACAGTTTGCAAAAGACACAACAGGTAAGGGTGGCAGATGTAATTATGTAAAATTATATAAGATAAAAGAGGTTGAACCAGGCAAATATTATCACTTCTGGTAGACAGGGTTAACAGATTACTTAAAAATGTCTGTGTTGGGCCAGGCGCAGTGGCTCATGCCTGTAATTCCAGCACTTCTGGAGGCCGAGGCAGGCAGATCACCTGAGGTCAGGAGTTCGAGGCCAGCCTGGCCAATATGGTGAAACCCTGTCTCTACTATAAACACGAAAATTAGCCAGTCATGGTAGTGGGTGCCTGTAATCCCAGCTATTCGGGAGGCTAAGGCAGAAGAATCGCTTGAACTTGGGAGATGGAGGTTGCAGTGAGCTGAGATCACAGCACTGTACCCTAGCCTGGGCGACAAAGCGAGACTCCGTCTCAAAAAAAAAAAAAAAAAGTCTGTGCTTTAATGATTTTAAAATTATTTCAGCTTCTTTTTTTTCTTTTCTTTTCTTTTTTTTTTTTTTTTTTGAGACAGAGTCTCGCTCTGTCGCCCAGGCTGGAGTGCAGTGGCACGATCTCGGCTCACTGCAAACTCCGCCTCCCGGGTTCACGCCATTCTCCTGCCTCAGACTCCCGAGTAGCTGGGACTATAGGCGCCCGCCACCTCGCCCGGCTAATTTATTTCAGCTTCTAAATTGCCATCAGCTAGATGAAGGAGGCGGAAAATAATTCTAAAAATCAGATACAGTCACATCACAAGGATAAAGTATTCCAAAATGCTTGAGAACTGACAAATGTATTTCCGAGATTCCAAGGGGCAGGAAAAGCCCCAGAAGACTGGGAAAGTTGGGGGGGTAGTGGGATATAATGAAGAAGCTTCAAAAACTGATGAGCCAAGTAATTAAAACCGATCTTCTTCTCTTCCACACCAGGGGCGATACTGAGGGGAAATAATCTTTTTACCATCACTTTGAGAAAAACAACCAACATGGTTTGCTTGGAGACACATCATGCCAGCCCCTCTGACCAAGTGATAAGACAGGTAGATAAAGGGGAAATGAGAGATGTAATCTTACAGACTTCTGTTAGTCCCCTGATTCTGTCCCTTGTGACATTCTCATCAGTGGGCTGGGAAGATGCAAGCAGGCATACCACACCCAAAGGGCGGTTATCGCTGGTGTGCTGTCAACCTGGGGATGTCTAACAAGTGATGTTCCACAGGTGTCCACCTGTCCACCAGGATGATTTAATATCTCTATCACTGAGATATTAAGAGAGAGCTTCCTGTGCCCACTGAGCCAGCCTGGAATCAAATTCCAGGGTCTCCCTATCACCAGCCTGTATCATTACTTCTTTTATTACCCAACATGTAGCCTCGTGGTTCATCTGTGCAGAAGGAAGACAAAAATCTGGGAAGGTAAATGAACGTAGACAGATAGAAACTTCACTCTGCAGTGGCACCACTACCCATGCAGGCCCTTCCTGGACTCACAGCTACTCAGAGTGGGGTTTTTTTTGTTTTTTTTTTTTTTCATTTAATGGCACATGATGATGCACACAAAACTTCAACTCTCAGTCTGGAATCAGCCCACAGGTCTGCAGCTATAAAAATCATCTCGAAAACATGAGATTTCAGAGATCCAGTTCTCAGTGTTACCTTGAAGATGACAATTTATGAAGAAACAGGTGATTTTAATCCGAAATTGCCAGGAAACAAATTACTCCTCAAAAGCCCTTGGAAAGTAATAAGATAGCTAGGCAGAAAAAAAAAGATTCTGCAAAACTAAACTTAATGTGTATTCATCTAGACCTGAATTAAAAATAAAATTCCACTATAAAAAGAATTTTTCAAAATGTTAGGCCCAAGAATATGGCCATATTGTTCCATCTTGAAGAACCCAGTTGATTCAGTTTCATTACTGGCCTCCCCACTCTTCTAAGTAAGTCCCTCACTATAAACATTTACGAATTCCATCTCAGCATTAGTACTAAACAATATTCATTAAGAATCCCGCCAAAGTGCAACATGTAAGTAAATCAAAGCTTTGATGCTCTATTTTGCAAATTTCACGGGCCACTAGGGATAATTAAAAGGGCAATTATATAAAGTTGGTGCAGTTTTGAGAAACAAATGACATTTTCTGCTTTAAAGCACTTGATAATTTGATATTTTGCTATTAGGGCCTTCATGTGTACTTTTATAGACAGGTAGCCAAATAAACAATAAATGTTCCTTAACAGCCTCTAATGATTGTTTTTGCCCACTGATATCACTCACCATTCCAGTCCATAAATCATATGCTAAGAGATTAAGGTAAAGATAATGAAAAAGTATTAGAAACCAATAAGTTAGAGGCAGGGGGGAAAAGGCTGAAAGTGTTGATTTCTTCTATACTTTTTGCCAAAGCACCTAGCAAAGTCTGAGTTTCCGAGTGCTGGAGTGGGTTCGGTTTGTCACTGTGTTTAACCACCGCTCTGAAGCCAGCAAAGTACATTACAGCTCATGAAAAATACAGCGAAGAAACTGCTCGTGGCAGAAGCATTTAACTTCCTTGTTAGCAGCCTCCCCGAGTGGCACTTTTTCACCAGCAAGTTGTTTATTATGTTCGGTGCCAGGCAAAACTGATTAAATGGGGCTCTTAAGAATCAAAGCGTTATAAATTCATGGAAACACAGCAAGCAATAAATTCCATGGAATTAAAAGCTTACTAGTGCTATTAGCATTTCAGGGTGTTTGAACTGTTAATACTGATGTGCAAAAATGATGTGCCTCTACGACAAGGCAGACCACAGCAACACAAGTGACTGGCTCTAAAAACATTTTATCAAAGTGTCACTGGGACCTGGCAGTTGTTAAAGATACAGGAATGGAGGAGGAGAGTAATTATCTTCAAAATTCTCATTTGCCCTAAAAAGTCAATCCCACAGAAGAGAGAAGGCGCCAAATAAAGGTTTACACACAGGAGAAGAACAAGCATAAAAATATTATGCAAAGGATTTATGCTTTAAGTGAATGAAAATTTCGTCTTAACAACCAAGAGGGATGAGAGTTTTATCCTGTAACCTGGTCTTAGCAGGGATGGGGCCCACCGTGTTTTAACTGGGTTGATCTTAATCTTCTTACAGGACAGATAACCCCAGATCAGGCCCTCAAAAAGTTACCAAGTGGAGTGGACACCTTGGCCAATAAATTTTTCTGGTTTGTCATGTTTCATCTTCGACTCTTTCTGGGGGCGTTATAAAGTCTTATTCTAAAGTGACAAGGGGGGAAATCAATTATTATGCCATTAGGCAAGTTATATTCTCCCTCCCAAGGTGCAAGATATGAAGTAAATGCTACTGCACCCATCTGTTTAAAGAATACTTCTAGCTGGGTGTGGTGGCTCACGCCTGTAATTCCAGCACTTTGGGAGGCCAAGGTGGGCAGATCACCTCAGGTCAGGAGTTCAAGACCAGCTTGGCCAATATGGTGAAACCCCGACTCTGCTAAAAATACAAAATTAGCCGGGTGTACTGGCGCACACCTGTAATCTCAGCTACTTGGCAGGCTGAGGCAGGAGAACTGCTTGAACCTGGGAGGTGGAGGTTGCACTGAGCCCAGATAATGCCACTGCACTCCAGTCTGGGTGACAAGATCGAGACTCTGTCTCAAAAAAAGAGAATACTTCCTTCCAACAGAAACATATCTAAAGATCTGTGGTAAACAAATACAAATGTAGGGAGAGAGAAAAGACAAAAAATTAACAAAGACTTCTTAAAGAATTAGTTTTGTTGATAAAAAGTGTTAACGATAATTTTACTTTTTTGGTAAAAGAAAGAATTGCTGCCCACCAATTCGGTGTGATCACTTGAAAACACAACTTAAGAGAAAATTCACTGTAAATCTGGAATTACCAGATTTCAGGAAAAAAGCAATCTAAAGCTGTCAATCTAGACAGACATCCAAACACCTATTCATCCACTCCAGAGCTGGCCAAAAAAGTACTGTTTATTAACACATCAAGAGAACTTAATTCCTTTGATAAAAGAACCACACGGGTAATAGCATCTACTGACGGATCACTGGTACATATGATTATCTCTGGGGCTATGTTCCACATGTGAATATAACATTTGTACTCACTGAAGCTGTCTGTTGCTTCCCTACAGAGAGACAGAGGCTGCTCACGTACCAAAAAATAGAAAGGAGACAAAGAGGAAAAACCTTACAGGGAGAAACTCATAACCACTAATGTGCTTTCACTGGGCTTAAGTCCAAAGCCATGGATTGTTACAGAAGCAACATGTTACAGGGTGTCTGAATTGTTAAAACTGCTGTCCAAATTGGTTCTGCCTCTAGG
Organism: Homo sapiens; assembly: GCF_000001405.40. Classification (NCBI taxonomy): domain Eukaryota; kingdom Metazoa; phylum Chordata; class Mammalia; order Primates; family Hominidae; genus Homo; species Homo sapiens. The sequence continues at coordinate 71,271,921 of NC_000003.12, forward strand.
ACAAGACCTACTATGTGTAAAATATTGGCAGGGGCGATGAATACATATAAGGCATTGTTCTTGTACTCAAAAAAGCTTAAGAGTCTCACTGGGGACATAATCAATTATAAAGCACCTATTATACATTCTAAATCAGGAATCAAAAGAGTCTTAATAGACAGGTTCTCTACCCACTGGGATTTTAGAGTGACTTGAAGATAAGGCATACACCCAAAAAACAACCACCGAACAAGGCAGTATTATATCTGTCAACATTCTATACACATGGAATAATGGGGTTCTTTTGTGCAAAAGAATCACCAATTATAGGAGAAGGAAGAGTCAAAGTTTGATAAATAGATTACTAGGGAAATTCAGCAATGAAAACGAGAAATAATATGCACAATTTTCTCTCAGCAGTGTCCTCGGCATCCCGGGTGGGTCAACTTCGATGTCCTCCTGAGGCTCCGTGTAGAATTATACCCAACAGTGGTGAGCAAAACCAGTATGGCCCTTACCATATTGCTCCCATGGGTCTTGCAATATACTAGGGGTGGGGGATTTCAGGAGGACAAGTAACAGAAGATGGCCTCAGTAATAGAGAAGACCTAGAAGCTTCCATGCCTGTGTCCCACATTTACCCCCCAGCCCCCCACCCCGGGTATCTGATCCCCTGGTCTTCTCACACAGGTCTCTAGTCCCTTGTTTTCCTTCAAAACTAGAAATTCATTTCTCAGTCCTTTATTCTCATTGACTAGCAACCCTTTAATGTCACTGGGCTGCAGTCAAGCGTTACACCAAAGAAAAGACACTCATATTGTCCACTGTTCCTAACTAACTGGGAGAAAGAGCTCTGCCCCTTATTAGGGTCACCTGACTTTGGTCATTTTTTTGACTGGAAAGTCTTTCCAGGATTGCTGCAGATACCTTTTCAAGGGTGACATCTCTTCCCGAACTGCTAGGGGAAAGCTCAGGTCTAGCTTATTTCTGGACCTGGAGGCAACCATCTCAAGGCCATGGTCTTCCATGGTTTGGAAGGTGCAGCATCTGGAGAAGGGAAATTGCTCTCTCCCTCCCCCAGTAGAGCCTCCTAACTTCTCACTATACATGAATTAGGACTAAGGGGAGGCCTCACACTCGTGTGTGCGCATCCATCTGGCTCCCTCTCTGCTGTTCAATCCCCTCTCTTGTACAACGAGCAGAGGCAGTAAGGTGCACATCCTTCTTCCTTCTGGTCCTTGTGCGTCCCATGGGGTCCACTTAAGAGTGACCAGATTCAGGTTTGTGTGAGGAATCAGTTCTGTGTGAATTCAAGTTCAATTTCCAAGAAATACTGGCAATGAGGCACTGGGAAGGAACAAGTCTAACTAACAATCAAATGATAATTTGCATCCGGCCCTGTCCTCCTTCAAACATGTCTGGCTTATGTGAAGCAGTGTCATCTGATGCTTACACCACTGTAACCGAATTGGACTCCCACCTCCAATACATGCTCAGGCCCTCACCCTTCCTCCTTGCTACCACAACCCTAACTCAACTGCTTCCTTCTCTCCTCTAATCCCCTTGCCTTGGCAGGTTCAAGACTCCAGTGTTGTGTTTTCTAGCACAAAAGTTGGCTGGTATTTTCAAACATGCCCATCCCCCTTCAGTCTTCCTTGAATGCAGTCCTACGCCGCCTCCATTATTTCAGTATCCGAGAACAAAGTTTCTGATGACAAAGTCTGTCCTTGGAACACAACCCTTTGCTAATGGGGGGATGACTGCTTGATAATAGGGCACTAACTGTGCAGCCCAGACAATGAGCAAAAAAAGAAACTGGGGGGAGGGAGAGAAATAAATAACAATACAAAGTAATAAATGACTTCATGCCAAATGCATGGTGAAGGAATCAAATGCTCTACTATTCTGAGCACTGAGTGATTTCCTTGAAAGGTCTGGTCGTGGATGGTGGCTACAAAATGAGAAGAGGGCAGTGCAAAGGCCATTGTGAGGCTAGATAAATACAACTTAATGATAATTCAAATTGTCTGCTCATGCTCTTCTCAGACTGGAATGGCTTCACCCAATCCTCTAACATGTCTACTGAAGAAGTCCTACTCCTCCCAGGAGCCTTCACTGCAGGGTAGCCTCCCTCAGGAGTCTTCCACTAATTTTCCCAAGTAGAAATGAAGGAGCCCTCCCTTCCAATTCCTTGGGTCGAATATTTCACATCAAAAAGGACTTCCATACTAGCACCAGTGCCTTGTCTACCATGCTGTGAGTTTCCTGAGATCTGCAGACATGTTTTATTCATCTTAGTGTTCCCAGGCCTATAGGAGCTCAGGGATTTATCCATTTTAACTATGTTGCAAACAGGAAACAGAAGATACAGATAAATGAAAGGCAACCCTCAAGATTGGCCACCTTAACTAAGGACATTAAGAAGAAATATGGTCCTTAGAAGCACATGACCCAAGGCTACCCCTGAAGAGTCAGGACAAGAGGCTCAGACCTTCTCTGCACCCCTTGGAGCAGCAAGGTGACAAGGATGGAGTTGCTGGAGCTCGTCACCACCAGGAAAGGGGTCCTATTAGAAATGGGGTAAATTCAGAAGAGAGCAGAGGGGAGAAATGCAAAGATGGGGTTGTCTAGCCAGGGCTACACCTGACCTATTCAGTTATATTATCAAATAAAGTCTCTTTTTGCTTGAGCCAGTGTGGGCTAAGTCTTATATGGCATGCAACTAAAAAAGTATTTTCGATAACACAGTGATCCACGGAGGTGGAGATAATAATTTAGCATTACAGGAGACAAGCCATACGGAATCGAAAGTCAGGAGTCAGAAGCTGGAAGTAAAGGCTGGGTAGATCTGGGCAAAATCAACAGTTTCTTATCACTGGGTTTCTAAAATCAATCAGCAATCTTACTGATTTTCACTGTTGTTAAAAGCAAGGATTTAAAAGAGAGATTATCAAAATTCAGTATCTGATCAATTGTAGCAGGGCTTGTTGCCCCTTTAGGTAGTAACACTTTGCTCTTTGCCATTCTAGAGCTACGTTTAAATGCATATTATACTCATATACACATAATTAAACAGCACCAAAGAGGTAAGCAAGAATAAATTCCACAGCCCCTGGCAACTACCAGTTTCCCTTCCCAAAGGCATCCATTGTTGCCAGTTTCTTGTCTCTCTATTCCAAAAATATTCTGTACACAATACAATCACATAAGTATTTTGTATGTATATTTCTTTTTCTCCCACTTCATCCAAATACTATTCTATTTACCCACTTGGTCACTTAATATATATTGGAGATATTTCTGTACCAGTACCTACAGGTGTACGTTCTTTTTTAACAGCTCTGTAGTGATGTCCCTGGGTGTCCCTCATCCTGGGGATGGACCATAATTTAGCAATTCCCTCCTGACAGACATTTATGGAATTTATTTGCTATTGCCCCCACAGATAATGTTACAAGTTATAACCATGAACACAGGCCTTTTATCACCTGGGTGGGTATAAGTCCCTAGAAGTAACAGTCGCTTTTCCTTACTGCATTTGTGATCTAACAGAGTCAACAACCCTAAGAGCTGGAAGAATTAATCCCCATTCCCACCTCATGCACCCTACACCTGGGCTTCCCTTTTACTTTTCTTAATTTGTTTTGTTTTGGCAGTTTTCTGATAGGTTCAGACAAGCAGGTGTCTTTGATGGACGCTGAGAACAAAACATACCGAGGCACAATTCTACTGCAGAATGCAAACAACCTTGTAAAATATTCCCCCACCACCTTTTTTAAAGGCCTGGAAGAAAATCATTTGAACCTATACTTAGTGGTGTATGTGAGGCTTCTGGGCATGCGCCGTATTATTAGAGTTACACAATGTAGTAATCACATGCCCGTGTCCCTGGAGGTTACGGGAGTGGTTCCCCATCCTCTCATGCTTATCCCTTCTTCGTTTTTTTGTTTTGTTTTGTTTTGTTGTGTTTCCCCGTCCTTTCCTACCTTTAACATATCCTGCAGCATTCTTTTAGCCTGTTTTCCTCCAGTCTAATTATTCTTCAATTTTAAATAATGTAATAACTTTGACATTTTCATTTATAGTTAAGCCACGCTAATTTGCACAAATGACGGGTAGACACAGCACAAATTAACAAGCCTGAAAAAAATCAGCAAACACCCAAAAAGCCAATGATTAAAAAGAAATCAGGTTTCTGCATTATGAAATGCACATTTATTTTTCCAAGCAATTTCTGCAGACTTGTGAGAAAGTATGGAGTAGTGACACTTGGCTGCTTTCTCATGTTCTCCCTTTTCTAAGCTATAGGGTTACTTTCTCTGCATGGTCTTCAGTAATGATGTTTTCTGGACGAAGAATCAGGACTTAGAAGCCTAAGTCGTTCTGAGTACAAGGTTCAAAAGGTAGTCTGTGAGCTCAGTTTTGGTCCTATAATATAGGAATTTCTGGCATTTCTGGTTACAAGAGAGAAAAAAAATGGAAACGGTTCTTCCCTGAAAAATCTAGGATGTGTCTAATCCAGTTTCATTATCTTCCAACTCCACATTAGGGCTCTCTCAACACGCTACTCACTCAGCCAATATCTCCATCAGACATGGTCACATCAGAAATCTAGGTGGCATCATTAACCATTCCCTCACTCTCACATCCCTTACTCTATCCATCAGTGACTGCTGCCTAATTTTAACCCCTAAGTATATCCTTTTTAAAATTTTATTTTTTAATTAACAAACAATAACTGTATATATGCATGGTGATGCATAGATACAGTGTTTCAGTACACATAATGCACAGTGACCACGTAAGAGCGATGGGCACATCTGTCATCTCAAAATGAATCATTTCGGGGTGTTAGGAATGTTCAGTATCCTCCTTCTAGGTGTTTGAGACTAATTATGTATTGCTGTTAACTATACAGTCAGCCTACAGTGGTACAGAACAACAGAATTTATTCCTCCTACCTAGCTATAATGTTGTATCCTTTAACAAATCTCTCCGTTCCCCCTACACTTCCCAGGCTCTAGTATCCTCTGTTCTACTTTTTAAGTAGATCAACTTTTTTTTTTTTTTTTTTTTAGAGACGGAGTCTCACTCTGTCGCCCAGGCTGGAGTGCAGTGGTGCCATCTCGGCTCACTGCAAGCTTCCCCTCCCGGATTCACGCCATTCTCCTGCCTCAGCCTCCCGAGTAGCTAGGAATACAGGCGCCCGCCACCACGCCCAGCTAATTTTTTGTATTTTTAGTAGAGATGGGGTTTCACCATGTTAGCCAGGATCATCTCGATCTCCTGACCTCGTGATCTGCCCGACTCAGCCTTCCAAAGTGCTGGGATTACAGGCATGAGCCACCGCACCTGGCTGAACTTTTTTTTTTTTTTTTTTTAACTTCCACATATGAGTGAGAACATGCGGTGTTTAACTTTCTCTTCCTGGCTTATTTCACTTAACAATGTCCTCCAGTTCCATCTATGTTGCCACAAATGACAAGATTTCATTCTTTTTTAGTGCTGAATATTATTCCATTGCATATATACAGCACAATTTCTTTATCCATTCATGCATCGCTGGACAGTTTTAAAGACTTCCTGTTCCTTGCCTGTCCACTATCGACACCACAGTCCAAATGACAGCATGCTCTACAATAGCCTCTTGCCACATGCATCAGTCTGATGACTGCAGCCTCTAACTCCTCCCTGCATATTATATTCCAGCCATGCAGGCCTTATTTCTTTGCTTCAAGCATGCCAAGTTCACTCCCACCTGGAGGACTGGACATTAGTTGCTGCTTCGACATTGAATTGATCTTTCCCTAATCCTTACATGTCTGACTCCTTTTCATCTCAACTAAACTGTTTACCTTCATAGAGGTATTTTCCCTAGTTAAAAAAAAAAATGGTGTTGGAGTATTTATTTAATTAATTAATTAATTAAATTTTTTTAGGGTTGAGGTCTCACTCTGTTGCCTAAAGTGGGGTAAGGTGGCAGGATCACAGCTCTCTGAGGGCCCAGTTTTGTCTTCATTGGCTCACTAATATAAACTCAGCAAAGAATGCTGTGGCTGGCACGCAGGAAAAGCCCAAATATGTGATCAAAGCATGAGAAAATGAAGAGTGTGGTCACTTGGATTGCCTACTTCAAGTCCTGGCCATAACACACACAGGAAGGATGTGACCTGGGCATGCTGGGTGAATGGCTGGCCCCCTCTCTGTGCCTGCGGGAAACAGTAGCCCCTACGTAACCCAGAGAAACCAGATTTTTCTGAAGTTTCAATGAAGTTATACATAAAGGCATTAAGCAGGGCCTGACACACAGCAAACGTTCAATAATTAGCTACTGTCATCAATAGCTTTTGATATTATTCCTGTTTTTTACAGTCAGAAAAGTCTTAGATAAATTAAAAAGGAGTAAGAGAGTTGTCTTCTCTGATGTTCTCCATCTTTCCCTCCTTTATGAGCACAGAAGCACTGGACAGTAGGCTACAAAAGGTGGTCTATGGTATCTCACTGCCAAGCTGGCTTCCCAGAAGAAAACCCAGCTTGCCTCCATCCTGGTGCTTAAAACGGCCGGTCTCAGGAAAGCAGCAATTTGATTAAACAAATTTCTGACCGGGCACGGTGGCTCACACCTGTAATCCCAGCACTTTGGGATGCTGAGGCAGGCAGATCACAAGGTCAGGAGTTCAAGACCAGCCTGACAAACATGGTGAAACCCCATCTCTACTACAAACACAAACATTAGCCAGGTATGGTGGTATGCACCTGTAATCACAGCTATGCAGGAGGCTGAAGCAGGAGAATCCACTTGAACATGGGAGGCGGAGCTTGCAGTAAGCAGAGATCATGCCACTGTACTCCAGCCTGGGCGACAGAGCGAGACTCCATCTCGAAAACAAACAAACAAACAATTCCTAACAAGTAAAATACCAATTAAATAATACCCAGCCGCGCCTTCATGAATCTCTTAGAGGCCTTTAATGAGGATCTTTGTTACTCTTGATAGAAACAGGAATTGGGGCCGGGCATGGTGGCTCAGGCCTGTAATCCCAGCACTTTGGGAGGCCGAGGCGGGTGGATCACCTGAGGTCAGGAGTTCGAGACCAGCCTGGCCAACATGGCGAAACTGTGTCTTCTACTAAAAATACAAAAATTAGCTGGGTGTGGTGGCAGGCACCTGTAATCCCAGCTATTTGGGAGATAGAGTCAGGAGAATTGCTTGAAACTGGGAGGATCACGCCGTTGCACTCCAGCCTGGGTGACAAGAGTGAAACTCCATCTCAAAAAAAAAAAAAAAAAAAAAGAAAGAAATAGGAATTGATACCATTGTTCCAGAAAAGAGTTGGGGAATACATACATAAAATTTCAATATAAATCAATACATGTTTATCAAATTTAAATACACATAGCTTTTCACCCAGCATGTCCCAATCTGGTAATTTGCCCTAAATTAGTGCTTCTCAACTAGGGCAATTTTTTCCTCCATGAGACACTTGGCGATGTCTACGGATACTTTTTCCCTGTCATGCATGGGGCAGGGGTGGTGAGTGGGGAGCAGAGTTATAGGCATCTAGCAGGTACAGACCAGGGACGCTGCAAAATATCCCACAAATCACAGCACAGTCTCCCACAAGAAAAAACTAGTCAGCCCCAAACAAAAATAAGCTGATGCTGAGAAACTGTCCTTAGGAAATAGACAGGCTTGCAACTATGCATATACAAGCTTTTTGTATACAATCTCGTGTATCCAACCAAGTAGAAATGGTTAGATAAACTGCGATATATTTATACATAGCTATAAAGTAATAATAATGTTGCTATATATCAATTGTTACAGAGAGATATGGGTAACATTTTTAAATGTTTAAAAAGTAGGAAAAATGTAGCATACTCCTGGCAAGAGAAAACTGTTATGTGTCTATACCAAACTGCCCAATAAAAATAGAATGCAGGCCAGGCGCGGTGGCTCATACCTGTAATCCCAGCACTTTGCGAGGCCGAGGCAGGCGGATCACGAGGTCAGGAGATCGAGACTATCCTGGCTAACACAGTGAAACCCTGTCTCTACTAAAAATATAAAAAATTAGCCGGGCGTGGTGATGGGCGCCTGTAGTCCCAGCTACTCGGGAGGCTGAGGCAGGAGAATGGCGTGAACCCGGAAGTCAGAGGTTGCAGCGAGCTGAGACTGCACCACTGCACTCCAGCCTGCGCAACAGAGTGAGACTCTGTCTCAAACAAAAAAAAAAAAAAAAAAAAAAATAGAATGCAAGCCACAAATGTAATTTAAATTGTTCTAATGGGTACTTTTTAATAACTAAAATGAAGTGAATGAATCAATTTTAATAGTATGTTCTAATTCAATATATTTAAAACATTATCATCATTTTAACCTATAATCAACACCCAAAATTATCCGGTATTTTACAATATCTTTTTTTTTTATTTTTTGAGACAGAGTCTTGCTTTGTCCCCTAGGCTGGAGTGCAGTGGTGCGATCTCAGCTCACTGCAACCTCCGCCTCCCTGGTTCAAGCGATTCTCCTGCCTCAGCTTCTTGAATAGCTGGGATTACAGGTGCCCACCACCATGCTCGGCTAATTTTTTTTCTATTTTTAGTAGAGACAGGGTTTCACCATGTTGGACAGGCTCGTCTCAAACTCCTGACCTCAAGTGATCCACCTGCCTCGGCCTCCCAAAGTGCTGGGATTACAGGTGTGAGCCACCATGCCCAGCCTACAATATCTTTTTTTTTTGTTTTCAAAATAATTCAGGTTACCCACATTTCATCTTCTCAAGAGCTGCCTATGGTAACTGGCTACCATATTGGACGGCCCAGGTCTATTCCATAATCAGTGAGCAGAGACAAATGTTTAGAAGGATGGTCTCCAAAATGGTCCAAGTTGTGATCCTGGGGGTGAATTTATGGTAATGTTTGCTTTCGTATTTATGTTTTCCTTACTGTTTGTTTGTTATGATAAGAGTTATCCTGTATAGGTAAAGAAAAATTAAACTGCATGCATTTCTGAAGGAACAAAGAGAGAAAACAGCTTGTTAGGTGTCATGAAGATATACGAAGCAGCCCTTTCTAATTCCTTGTTAAAAAGGACAGATCCTACCAGCCTGGGCAACATGGCAAAGCCCCTTCTCTACAAAAAAAAAAAAAAAAAAAAAAGAAGAAGAAGAAGAAAAAGTAGCCAGGCGTCGTGGTGCATGCCTGTAGTCCTAGCTACTCAGGAGGCTGAGGTGAGAGGATCACCTGAGCCCAGGGAGTTCAAGGCTGCAGTGAGCTATGATCATGTCACTGTACTCCAGCCTGGACAACAGTCAGACCCCATCTCAAGATAAAAATTTTAAAAAAAAAAAGAAAAAGAAAAGGACAGATTCTGGAGTTTTCCGAGAAAGGGTCGCTATCACCAACCATGTGCGCGTGCACACACTCACTCTCTCTTTCTCCTTCAGATAATAATGGGGTCAAGGTCATTCCTGCCAACTGTACCCACAAACAGCCAACCCTCTGCTATCTCAAAACACATCTGAGTGGTGAGAAAGCACCCGCTTCATGTTCTTCCAAACAGACAGGGATTCTGGCTCCCTGCCCTGTAGAACACACACATCCTCCCATCTAGCCTAGGACATGGTGAATACCTGACCGACATGGTTTCTGCCCACATTGCTCAACGCAAAGTGCTCTCAGGCCTGTCAAGAGCCTAATGCTCTTTTAATGCAGTCTCTACTTGTAAGTTCTAAAATAACATCATGTTAGAGCCAATGAACCTCACAAACAGCCCTGGAAAACCTGTTCACAGTACTTCAGTCCATGGTTTAAGTTCTGAAAAGCTCGTGAGCCCAGGTCTCTCCTTCTGAACTCAGGAACATCTGGATGGCAATGGCTTGGCCTTTTACATTATCATCCCTCAAATCTAAGCTGAGGCTGGGCACAGTGGCTTATGCCTGTAATCTCAACACTTTGGGAGGCCAAGGCATGTCACTTGAGTTCAGGAGTTCAAGACCGGCCTGGCCAACATGGCAAACCTCTGTCTCTACTAAAAATACAAAAAAAAAAAAAAAATTAACCAAGTGTGGTGGTGGGCACCTGTAATCCCAGCTACTCAAGAGGCTGAGAGGGGAAGACTCGCTTGAACCCAGGAGGCGGAGGGTGCAGTGAGCTGAGATTGTGCCACTGCACTCCAGCCTCGGTGACAGAGTGAAAAAAAAAAATCTAAGCTGTAACAAAGCTAAGTGAAGATAAGCCGAGAAGATCCCTCTAAGTGGTACCACACCTTACTCTCTGGTGGCACGTAAGAAATGAGCAGAAGAGAGAGAATATTTCAAATACAGTGTTATCCATAAAAATTCAAAAATCATTTCTTTTTACTTAGGATCTTAATTTTTTCTATTTTGGGCCAAAAGACAGTACCAGGATGCCTGTTTCATTTCTATTCCTATTAGGCTCTCCTTAATATATATATATTTATTAAAGATATTTAAAAATACTTTCCATATCTTGAATTTTTAATTAATAATAAAGATTATTAACCTCCTTGAGAACTTACTACATTCCATGTACTGTGCCAATCATAAAAATTACTGGTGTTGTGGAGCCGACATTTACTGAGCATTTGCTGTGTATAAAACATTGCTCTAAGCACTTTTTACCTGAAAAGAATTTAGTTAATCCTCAACTACTTCACAGGGGAGGTACTAGTTTAGTATCTATTTTTGCAGGAAAAAAAAAGGCTTCAAGAAATCTGGTTACTTCCTCAAGATCAGAAAGCTAACAAGTAGCAAGACCAGGCCCCCAACCCAAGATGGAAACCTGAACTCCCAACCTACGCTATTCTTTGTATCATCTTCACAGCATTCCTATAAGGCAGGTCCTTTCATTCTACCCGTTTCACAGATGGGGACAATTAACTGAAAGTATTCAGGCCATGCCCAAAAACTGGCATCCAAACTCAGCCAAGGCATACTCCAAGTCCATTCCCGCCTGGAGACATGCTAGTACCAAACAACAAGCTATACCTTCATCATGTCGGCACCTGAGATAGTCAATTTCCCATTACAAAATTGGTCCTGTTTTGAAAGGGTGGTAGCAGGAATCAGACAAGTGCACAACAACAGTCCAGTTTCTAAGTGCACTCTCAGGAATGGGAAGAACAGAGAAAAAGCAGAGCATGGTCCAGGCCATGGGTACCCATCTGCCTTCCACTGGTGCTGAGTGCAGGGAAATCCCAGAAAGGGCTGAGAGAGGGAGAGGAAGTGCACTTTCCTTTCAATTTCCCTTCCTTTCTAATTCCTTCATTCAGGAATGAATAAGAATGAGCTGCTTGGGTTTACGGACTCACAGAGCAAACACCCAGAGAGGGGCTGTAATTCCCAGTGCCCCCAGTGTACTCCGGAGCCCCACCCCCAACCCCCAGCAGCACCCTTCTAAACTGATACAAATGGCAGGTGCTCCCTCAAGTCCATAGGCCTGTTCCAAGGGTCTTAGAGCTTAAATGGACACTACTGCAAAGCTTCTGGAACCATGGGGCCAGAGGATGCTGGCTCATTGAGTAAGGAGCTGAAAGAGAAATGGGGAGAAGCTTCTTGGGCTGGAGAGGACAGGACCTACATGACGGTGTGTCCTCCATGTGACAGGGAGACTCCTGAAGGGATCTGGATGACAACCCTTTTTTATTTTAGCTGCTGAGGATAACAGAGCAATAGCAGAAGTTGTAAGAATAGCAGCAACTGCTTACTCTTACTGTGCTAAGTGCATTGCTCAGTGATTTGTTGTTTCTCCTCCCTATACAACACTGAGATTGATCCACCCAATTTGCAAAAGAGCCTTTTGGTTTTTTTATGTTTGTTTGTTCACTGATGTATCCTGGGATGCCTAAAATTATTGAATGCTTACTTGTCCAGAACCAGTAAGCACTCAATAATTATCTGGTGAATAAAGAAATGAATTTAAAGCTTCAAAGTACCATATTAGTCCTGGTACAAGGGCCACTGGTATAGTGGCCTCCCAATGACAAGACCCCTTTCCTATTTTCTCATCACCCTGGCTTTCCCAGTATCCCCACTCCTTCAAACCCTGCCTGTTCCAATGAACAATTAAGAACAGCCTAAAGAAACAAATACAACTTCTGGGACTTCATTTGTAATGAAAGAATTAAATAAAAATTTTTAAAAATAAGATAAACCTTTTTCTCCTATGATTAAACAAAAAAATGTTGAAACTCTTTGGCAAAGTTCAGTGAAATAAACATTCTCATCCAGTACTGATAGGATGAGAAAAAGCAAGATGGCAAGACACATGGAGAACTTGTAAGAATTACATAACTGTTCTTCTACTGATTTTCCCCCCTCTAGAATACATCTAAAGAAAAGCAAATTAATAGACAAATATGCCAGGCACAGTGGTTCACGCCTGTAATCCCAGCACTTTGCGAGGCCAAGACGGGCAGATCACTTGAGCCCAAGAGTTCGAGACCAGCCTGGGCAACATGGCAGAAACCCGTCTCTACAAAAAATATAAAAATTAGCTGGACATGGTGTGTGCAACTGAAGTCTAAGCTACTCGGGAGCTGATGTGGAAGGATCACTTGAGCCTGAGAGATCAAGGCTGTAGTGAGCTATAATCATCACTACAATCCAGCCTGGGTAATGGAGGAGACCCTGTTTCAAAAAAAGAAAAGACAAATATTTGTGCACAAATATGCCAACTGCAACGTTATTACAGGAAAACTGGACATGGTGTCAATACCCAACATTAAGAATAGTTCTTTAAATTTTATTGTATCCGAAAGGATGATGTGGTATACAACCATTCCAGATGTCTTTAAGAACACTTCATGACACAGGAAAATGCTCATCATGAAATACTAAATTAAAAAAAAAAATGGATACACAAATACCATATACTGTATGGCTACAACTTTGTCAACTATATGTACATTCCATTAAAAAAAGAGTAGAAGGAAATATATGTTATCATCAGGGTCAGGAGTCTAAATTACTTTTATTTTTGCATTTGTCTACTTTTCTATAATTGCAAATTCCCCATAATGAGATGGTTTTATATTTATAATCAGAAAAAATTAACTTCATAAGAACTTTCTATTCTATGTATGTAACATACATAGAATATTATAATGAGAACTTAGTTAATGAAATTATATGACCCTTCCTGATGACAATTTTACATTGGTAGGTATTTTATCCCACAGAAGGGAAATAAAGAACATTAACCCCACTCCAAAGCCAGGTAGAACAAGACCTCAGAAAACACGCAGTTCGAATCAATTAGCTTATGCCTCAAAAATAGTAAGAAACACACATCATTATCCTCTTATATACCCCAGCCCTTGGCAAAACACGTCACATAGGAGGCAGTCATTTGTATGAATCAGTCGCATAAGGATAGTGTAGTCAACTAAATTCTCATGCTATACAAAACTCAACTATTCAAAAAATGCACAGTAGTTGTCAACCAGCAGGATAATTCTAACTTTATACATATCTTCATCAAACAGCCTTGTTTTTTAAAAAATCAGGCTTTAGAGGGAGGAGAGACACAGAGGGAGAGGGAACGAGGAAGAAAAAGGAAGAGAGTAAAGAGAAGAAGGGTGAAAAGTGGGCACTTTCTGAGATAAACATTTTCAGATGATGCTTTTCCTATTTAATATTTTGAAACACTTGTAAATTCCCTTAACATAGCTTAGAGAAGAGAATATTAGAAATTAAATCCGAGAAAGGGTCATGTACATAAAAATAATACACCTTGGTTTTCAGTTGGTCCATTTTTTCAACAGTCAACTTTTTAACAGTCAAATTTTAATATTTCCACTTATCTTTGGTATTATATCACAAAAGGAAGGAACTGATGTAGTGGAAGAGGCTGGGAGTCACTACCAACACAGAAATCTACAATTACACAGTGGCCTGGGGTCTGTCATTTCCTTTTCTGTATCACAGTTTCATCTTCAGTAAATATAAGGAATGGGCTACAGAAGTCTGACATTCCTTGGTCCTCTCTGAATCTATAAACCTAAGAATAAAGTCATGTATCACTTCACAATAGGGATAGGTTCTGAGAAACGTGTTGTTAGGCGATTTTGCTACTGTGCCAACATAAGAGTGTACTTAAACCCAGATAGTATGTATATTTTTACTTATATATTTTCATATGGAAAACCGTATGTCCCAGCACTGTTACCTAATGTCAGTCACTTCTCCTACTTTATCTGCAATGACAATACCAAGTGCTATGTATCAGGTATGCTCCATTATAATTTTATGGGACCACAGTCATATATGCAAACCATCGTTGACCAAAACATCCTTGTGTGGCACATGACTGTACTTCATTGATTGGCCATTTGGGGATTTTAGAATTAGATGGGATATCTACCACCATGTAGAGTGTCCCCCGCCACCCCCGCCCCGCCCGCCAGCACACAGCTCAATTTTAAACACAGGGAGCCTCATAGAAACTCAGTAACTACTTATTGCTTAATCAATTAGTAACTATATCACTGAGGTATAGCAAAGAAGAGAACTTAAATTTCATACTCTAAAAGCTGTAACTTTTTTAATTTTACAGAGTTAATCTGAATGAAACCCAACCAAAGCAAAATTTGCAACTATAAACAAATTTATATTAATGGCATGTGCTGGGACAAGAGAATGACTGATATTTGGGATAAATTAAACAATGAAAGTATAAATGGCTCTCCTTTGAAAGATACAAAGTTCCTTATCTAACAAGCTGCAAATCAAGTTGGGGAAGTGGGAAAATATCGAGGGAGAATTCAAATCAGAAACAAAACAAAACAAAACAAAAAACTGCCTACCAACTTAATGTCTAGAAATGTTGTCATCAAAGTTGATACAAACTCTACCTCATGCTATCACAGAAAACACATGTACGCAGAGCCAAGCAATGATTTTATGTGCCTGGAATTCATTTGAATATTATTTAAAAGTAGAGGGAGAAACTAGGTGATTATCTAAAATCACAACATCTTTTATGAAACTCACTCAAGAGACTGAGTTATCTCGAGATGTCCAACACAGACGTAGTTACAATCACAAATAACTGGAAGGAATCTAAAGACCCACCAGTTGCAGGTATAGAAAACACAACAGTGGTAGTAATGAACGTAGCTTTAAAAATAAGATGTAGATATATTAAGTAATAACTTGGGAAAACACTTAAGATCGTTTAATGATAAAAGCAGGAAACAAAAAGAGTACATACAGTAAAAGTATATATAGACAAATGTTTTTAAATATGCCATATATAAGAAATAGCCAGGCAAGGTGGGATTACAGGTGTGAACTTCGGAACTTTGGGAGGCCGAGGTGGGTGGATCCCCTCATCCCAGGAGTTTAAGACCAGCCTGGGGAAAATGGCGAAACCCTGTCTCTAAAAACATACAAAGATCAGCCAGGCGTGGTGGCATGTGCCTGTGGTACCAGCTACTCATTGAGGCTGAGGGGAGAGGATCACCTGAGCCTGGGAGGCAAGAGAATGCAGTCAGCCGAGACTGCACCACTGCACTCCAGCCTGGGCGAAAGAGCGAGACCCTGTCTCAAAATAATAATAATAATAGTAATAGGGCCAAGCGCTGTGGCTCACGCCTGTAATCCCAGCTCTTTGGGAGGCTGAGAGGGGCAGATCACTTGAGATCAGCAGTTTGAGACCAGCCTGACAAACATGGCGAAACCCTGTCTCTACTAAAAATACGAAAATTAGCTGGGCTTGGTGGCGGGAATCTGTAATCCCAGCTACTCAGGAGGTTGAGGCAGGAGAATCACTTGAACCTGGGAGGTGGAGGTTGCAGTGAGCTGAGGTCGTGCCACTGCATTCCAGCCTGGGTGACAGAACGAGACTTCATCCCAAAAAATAAAAATAAAATAAAAACAATAACATTAGGATTTAGTTACAATGTTGAACTGTTTAAATAAGGTTACCAATGAAATTTTTCTCACTACTTCTTCTTCATATATATATATTTTGAGACAGAGTTTTGCTCCTGTTGCCCAGGCTGGAGTGCAATGGCACGATCTTGGCTCACCGCAACCTCTGCCTCCCGGGTTCAAGCGATTCTCCTGCCTCAGCCTCCTGAGTAGCTGGGATTACAGGCATGCGCCACCACGCCCGGCTAATTTTGTATTTTTAGTAGAGACGGGGTTTCTCCATGTTGGTCAGGCTGGTCTCGAACTCCTGAGCTCAGATGATCTGCCCGTCTCGGCCTCCCAAAGTGCTGGGATTACAGGTGTGAGCCACCACGCAAGGCCGCTTCCTTTATTTTTTGTTTCGTAAGTGCATTTAAAATTATCCACAAAGAGAAACTGTCCTTCCTTCATCCAACACCATCTTAACAGTATTTAGCATCCATATAGAGATAATGTGTGTTTTTGTAATTAACCTACCATTTCCTGGATGCTTGAGGATTTGCGACTGGCCAAGAAATCTTGAAAATGTTCAACTGTGTTTCACAAGTTTTGAGAAAGCTAGAATCTGTGATGCTCTTAGGTAATCTGAAAGGCAGATGAACCCATCAAAGACTACCTATATTAGTAAAAGGTAAAGGTGATAGACAGACGTGGCTCAGGCTCAAACTAGTATTTTACTAATCTAGAGACTATGTTAACCACACCAATCTGTGATATACTTCAGATGATTACAATCGACATATTCTAAGTTAGGGCTATAAACACATCCCACTTTCCTCTATGCCTTTTATTTAAACTGCAAATCTCCAAACCATCAGATTAGAGAACGGGTCAAGAGGGACAAAATGCCCAGGATTCCTTTTTCACTGCTCACAGGTTGTACTATGACCCAAACTTCACAAAAATGAGTGCAAGGGGTGGGGGAAAATGTGGTAACTGTAACAAACAAGAATGCTGAACAATTACTATTCCTGGAAAAATAATACAAACCATGTAAGTTCAGCCAGCCAGCAGACTGCTAGTTATATAAAGCCAGTAAATATGATAGGAGTGAGATTCAAACACAACTAACTCTTACTAAGGTCATCAATGACTTCCATATTGACAAATCCAATGGTCAGTTCTTTGTCATCATCTTTTTTGACCACTTGGCAGAATTTGATATGGCTCACAACTCTCTTCTTATTTATTTATTTATTTATTTATTTATTTTTTGAGATGGAGTCTCTCTCTGTAGCCCACGCTGGAGTGCAGTGGTGCGATCTTGGTTCACTGCAACCTCCGTCTCCCGGGTCCCAGTTCAAGCAATTCTCCTGCCTCAGCCTCCTGAGTAGCTGAGATTACAGGAATGAGCCACCATGCCGAGCTAGTTTTTGTATGTTTAGTAGAGACAGGGTTTCCCCATGTTGGCCAGGCTGATCTTGAACTCCTGACCTCATGATCCGCCTGCCTTGGCCTCCCAAAGTGCTGGTATTACAGTCATGAGCCACTGTGCCCAGCCTAATTTTGTTTTTTATCTAGAGACAGAGTCACTATAGTCTGTCACCCAGGCTGGAGTGAAGTGGTTATTCACAGGCAGGATCATAGCACACTATAGCCTCAAACTCCTGGACTGAAGCAATCCTCCTGCCTCAGCCTCCTGAGTAGCTGGAACTACAGGTGTGAGCCCCCATGCTCAGCTTTGTTTCCTACTTTAAACACTTACCTTGATGACTTTCTGGTTCACAATCTCAGAGTTTTCATCCCATCTCTGATCTTTCCTGTTCTCAATATTCTATGACTAAAACTTTTAATGGTGTTGGCTTTTTATTTTTATTTTACTTTTTTGAGACAGAGTCTCACTCTGTCCCTCAGGCTAGAGTATTGTGATGCAACTGTGGCTCACTGTGGCCCCAAGCTCCTGGGCTTGAACAATCCTCCTGCCTCAGCCTCCCAAGTGTAGCTGGGACTACAGGCACACGCCACCATGCCCAGCTAATTTTTGTTTTTTTTAATGTAGAGATAAGAGTCTCACTATGTTGCCCAGGTTGATCTCAAACTCCTGGTCTCAAGAGATCCTCCCACCTCAGCCTCCCAGAGTCAGAACCCAGATCCTGGAACTCTTCTTTTCTTCTTCTATACCACTGCTTCCTTGGTGAGTTCAGTCAAGTTTATGCCTTTAGGTATCACTTACATGCTTATAAATCCTGAATTTATAGACCAAGCTAGGACATTTCCAGGACTACATATCCAAATGCCCACTTGGCATCTTAGTCTGGGTGCATAGCTCAAACCTCCCATATCTACAACTACATTCCTGGTCTCCCTTGCTTACCTCCCCTACCTCCAAAACTGCCCCACCCACTGTCTTGCTGTATTTTAGTGATGGGAGCACCACCTTCTATCAGTTCCTTAGAACAGAAAGCATTTGTCTTCTGACTCCTCTGTTTCTGCCCATAAGCAATCCATCAGTGAATCCTATTGATTATATCCCGTCATTCAAGACAAAAATCTTAAGAGTCTTCTGTGATGCAACTTTTTCAAACTCCCCATCAATTTCACTAGGAAATCCTTTGGCTCAATGTTTAAATAAATTCCAAATTCAACAACTTCTCAGCACCTCCCCTGCCATTGTGATCCTGGCCATCATCATATCTCACTGGGATTATTCTAGTGGCCTCCTGACAGGTCTCCCTGCCTATGACCTCATCCACCCAAAGTCTATTTTCAAAACAGCTCCCAGAGCGATCCATTTAAAAAGCATGAGTGAGATCTTGCTCTACCTCAAAGCCCCTCAATGGCTCCCCAATAAGAATATAAAAAGCCCTAATGCCCTACTCAGTCTGGCCCTGTTACACTGTTATGTTGTCTCTTACTACAACTTGAGTAGCCTTAATCCAATATTCTGCAATCAAAAGTGCTCCGAAATCCAAAACTTTTTGAGCACAGATACAACACTCAAAGGAAATGCTCACAGGAGCATTTCAGATTTGGGATTTTGGGGTTAAGGATGCTTAGCTGGTAATGCATATATTATAAAATCTGAAAGATCCCAAATCAGAAATATTTCTGGTCCCAAGCATGTCAGATAACAGATACTCAACCTGTACTCTTCCCTTAAGGACACTGCTTCGGCCATACTGGCTGACTTGCTCTCTTTAGAATAGGCTACATCTCTGCTCACCTTACATGGACTTACCCTGACCACCCACCACCCTATTTACACAGCAACCCTTCCCTCTGACAATGTGACCTCCCTTATCCTTTTATATTTTCTCTACAGTATCTATCACCACGCCCTTGTTTATCACGCTTCGCTGGTTGTCCACTCCCTCTAAACCAATGAGCAGAGGGCTTGGTGGCTGTGCTGTCCACTGCTATATCCAGCAACACTGTCTAATAGAAATACAATGGCTGCCACATAAGTAACTGTGACGCTTTTCAGAAGTAACAAGAAACAGCTGAAATTAATTTTAATATTTTATTTAACCTAATGTATCCAAAACGATCATTTCAACATGTAATCGATGAAGAAAAATTATCAAATATTTCATGTTCTTTTTTCCATACAAAGGCTTTGAAATACTTTGTAGATTTTACACTGCACATCCAAGTTTGGGCTAATCACATTTCAAGTGTTCAGCAGCTCCAGGTAGCTAGTGGCTCCCACACTGGACAGGGGAGGTCAAGCACAATGCCTGGCATACAGCAGGCATTTAATAAAGATGTGTGAATAAACAGATGAGGGAATAAATCCAACCTGCAGAAAGAACTACTTTACATTGCAAAGACAGTACTCATATGTTTCAGAAGTTTTACTGCATACACATAAAATCCTTACCACATGTGACATATTCTGATTTTTTTATTTTACTGTATTGTATGCTTATTCTGTATTTTTTTTTTTTTTTTTTTGAGATGGAGTCTCACACCAGGCTGGAGTGCAGTGGTGTGATCTTGGCTCACTGCAACCTCTGCCTCCCGGGTTCAAGTGATTTTCCTGCCTTAGCCTCCCACGTAGCTGGGACTACAGGTGTGCGCCACCATGCCCAGCTAATTTTTGTATTTTTAGTAGAGATGGGGTTTCACCATGTTGGCCAGGATGATTTTGATCTCTTGACCTCGTGATCTGCCTGCCTCGGCCTCCCAAAGTGCTGGGATTACAGGCCTGAGCGACTGTGCCTGGCCGCTGATTCCATTTTTTAAAAGTCTTGGGTACAAGCCACTACACTAAAATCCTTAACCCACAAACTGGTTCCAACGGCCACTTTGAAAATGACTGGTCTAAATAAACTTTAAAGTATGGAATTTGTAATGAATGTATTTTAGGATATTTCCTCTGGCCTCCAGAGACCACTGAGGACCTTTTGAAAGGGAAACAGACCAACCTCCAGAAAAAAAAGACTGGAGGAAAGAGTGAGCATGTAAGCTACCATGGCAAGCCATAGACTGCAATAATCACAGTCCATCCAACAATGGGAGGTTTCTCTTAATTAAAAAGTAATTTTATTTTACTTTTGATTTATTTATTTTTTGAGATGGAGTCTCCCCTCTGTTGCCCAGGATGTAGAGCAGTGGCATGATCTCAGATCACTGTAACCTCTGCCTCCCAAGTTCAAGCAATTCTCTCACCTCAGCTTCCCAGGTAGCTGGGACTACAGGTGTGCACCACCATGCCCAGCTAATTTTTGTATTTTTAGCAGATACCAGGTTTCGCCATGTTGACCAGGCTGGTCTCAAACTCCCAACCTCAAGTGATCCACCTGCCTTGGCCTCCCAGAGTGCTGGGATTACAGGTGTGAGCCACCATGCCCGGCCTAAAAGGTAATTTTAAATAACTGGTCACACTCTCAGATAATTAACAAAACATCTAATTACCTTTAATTACATACCACATATATGCCAATATACAAAATTCAGGAAAGATCTGCATGATTTTCACCCTTTAAAAAGAGTGAATTTGACAAGGGCAGAAAGACTTCATGTTTTTCCTTTTTCTTCCCGACCCCATGCAAAGCCAGATCAGTGGCAGAGAGGAACAAACTGAAACGATTCATCTTCATTTCAAATTCACAAAGTCCCATTCACCAATAGTGTTTTTAAAAGATACCACAAACTTCAAATCCAAACTCAGCACTGCTTAGTAACTGTCACTACAGCTTCAACTTTTAAATGGGCTCATAAAATAAGGATTCTGTCATCAGTACACTATTTGTTTCTTTGAGGTCCTTGGTGTTACTAGATACTGAGGGGGTAGGCCCACAAGGTTAACACAGATGTGCTACCTTTTATAATATTTTGTTTTTGTACAGTTAAGCTTCAGATTTCTTTCAGAGGCTTTTGAATTGCCAAGGAAAGGCTCTATTTCCTACATCTGTGGTACGTCGTTAAGTTGCCACCTAACATGAGGTTTGTGTTCCTAAAATGCTCAAGGTGAGCAGTTGGAATATTTGTGCCTTTGGCAGATAGGACAGCAAAAACATCATTTAAAAAATACATGGATACAGTAGTTCAGTGGTGTGAGCCTATAGTCCAAGCTATTCAGGAGGCTGAGGCAGGAAGATCCCTCAAGCCCAGGAGTTCGGGGCTGCAGTAAGCTCTGATCACACCTATGAACAGCCACTGTAATCCTGCCTGGGCAACACAGCCAGACCCCATTTCTTAAAAAAAAAAAAAAGATAGATAAAACCATTTGCTATTTGGTTTTGTATTTTTGATTGTTCACTGTGCAAAATATGGTTATTTGATAATTGCTGCAAATATTGTCTTTACTACTAAATATGCCTTCATGTACATTTCAACAAGTGACTTCTGCTTGAAAACGAACTCTATTGAGCATATTTCTCTGGAAATCAATATTTAAGAAATTTTTTTTCTTTGAAACTAACATTCAAGAGAGACAGCTCTTGTTTACAGAGTAACTTAGTTTAGCATTATGGCTAACAATGTTTAAAAACAGCTAACTTAAAATGCAAACATTTAAATTCTGACGTTTAACTGTTGAGAGGCCATGTCAGTCTACGGAAATACACACAGCATAAAAAACAGTAATTTTTCCCCAGTTCTGTCCCTTGTAAGAATATTTCAAGCAACCATTCTCTTAGATTTAAAAATAAGAACTCATGAGGTTTTAAGACAGTTAAAAATTTTAAATGCCTAGATGAACCTTGAAAACATTTTGCTAAGTGAAAGAATCCAGTCACAAAAGGATGTGGGATTCCATTTCTATGAAACGTCCAGACTAAGTAAATCTATACAAACAGAATGTATATTTGTTGTTATCAGGGGATGGCGGGAGGGCAGAATGCAGTGTAAGTGCTAATAGTTACTAGGGTTTTTTCTTAAGCGATGAAATATTCTAAAACTGAACTAGATGGTTGCAACTCTGAACACATTAAGAACTATTGAAAAGTCAGTACACCTTAAATGGGTGAATTGTATTGTATGTGAATTATATCTCAGTAATTCTGTTAACAAAAAATTAACATGCCTGATAACATTCACAACAGCATATAAGGAAATCAAGTTAATCTCACATAACTTCCATACGATGCTAAAACACATAATTCCCGACACCCTGGACTCCTTGTTTTAGACCACTTCTCAAATCAACCAACAATTGCCCTTCCTAACACCCATCATCAGCATCGTCATTCATGTATGCCTGCCCCTCTAGACTATCAACTCTGTGAGGACAGAGACCATGTCCTTCTTACACGGTGCTATAATCTCAGCACCTAGCACACACCCACCAATAAACATCTGCAGTAAGAATTAATATATGTATGTATGTACATACATCTGTATGTATGAATGAATGAATGAAATTACTAGATTGGAGCAACTGAATCAATGAAGTACTTGTATTCTACTTGTCCCCTTAAATCTGTTTGTCAATTCTCCCCAGGCTCCTGGCCACCTAGGTAGAGACACTTCCCAGCAGCCCTCAAAGTTTGCTGGGCCTTATGACCACAATCTTACCAGTTAAGTGACAATGAGTGGGATGTATACAATGTTTAACTCTTTTGATCAAAAGAAAATTGCTTGCTTTGGACATCTCCATAGTGCGGCAACAACATAGCTTCAACCATATGATAAAGACAAAGCCCCAAGGGAGGAGAGCACAGACGGAAAGATCTGCCCAGACAAGCTACATTGGTCTGGTTGTTTCACGAGAGAAGTAGACTTCTATTTTATTTAAGCCATTTTACGCTGGGGTCTCTTTGTTACACCAGCCTAGTCTTTACCCTGACGGTTACAACCCAGGCATGAGTGTACTGTATGTGTGTACGGGGGATCAGGGAGCATTTCAATGCTTAACTGAATTGACTGATCACATTCCAGCCAATGCGGTCATCTGGTAACTCAGTAACGACTGCTTCCAGTGTCTTCATAACAACTTCCTTAATTAATGGTCACATAATTCAAATGCTAAATACTCTAAAAAGGTAGTTTTGAATGGGTTTAGCTCAGAATTGCTGTGTCATTAGGTAAATGTTCAAATCACTCACATATACACTTTTAAAGGAACTTATATTTCAAATAACTGAATAGCATTTTAGCTTTATTTTTCACCAAGAAATAATTTATAATAGGTAAGACACAATGAATGTTATCTACAAGGATGCATTTATAGTTCCTTCATCTAACATAAAACACCTTAAATTAGGGATGGAGTGGGGGGAAAATTGCAATGATTCAACTTCCTTTTGATTGTTTTTTAGTTTTCTCTCAAATAACCTGACTTTAAAAAAAAAACTGAACCAATACACAAAATGTGAAGCTTGGAGATGCCTAATGTTTAAAACTAACCATTTTAATTGTAATCTATATGGCCTTGATGATTATCTTCAACTCTCAATGCCATTCAGAATTGAATATAAGATGATGAATTTTACAAATTGGATTTGAATTTTAAGCAAATGCATGTGGGTAAATTGTCAATGGTGAGGGGAGGCAGGAAAAAATGCCACAGAAACCTTTATTAGATCACCAAACCAAGGCAACCATAATAGAATGACATCTGTATAATTGTGACCAGTGCATCCCTCTTTAGTTTCCATCTTGACATTCTGGATGACCTTGGGTAAACTATTTATCATCAACGGGACCGTTTTTCCAGTCTGTAAAGTGGGGATTATGAGAATTGCCAGCTACCTCTTAGGAATGCCAGCAACCAGATCCATTTTGTAAAGCACTCAGATCTAGTTGGAAGAAAATTGTTATATCACTCCCGAGTATGATGACTGTTATTTATGACTCTTCAGACCATAGAATCCAAATTTTCAAAATGGCTTCATTTGGTTTTCTGAATTTGCCTGGCGACTTTTATGTATATAATCAGTTATTCCCATAGTACCTTTGTAGGCATATTTCTGTGCATCTATACTGACTCTTAATAATTCCCAGGTTTCAAATTTGAGGCGTGGTATTTACTGAGAAGCTCCTGGCATCTGAAGTCTACATGCTTCTTGCAGTGTGAAAGATGATGCTGATTTTTTTGTCCATTGCTGGATGGCAAGGTCTTCTCCTCATTTAAGGCTTATTCATCAGGAAGAAACGCTAACCACTATATTCACTTGAAACATCTTTTTAAATTGTATATTTCCAACAAACCTTTTATTTCTTTCTAGATAAGAGATCAAGATATATACAAATTAGTCTTTGAAAGATCTTTCACCTTGTTCAAAGGTAAAAATTACATTTATTACTTAAGTCTATATACCCTAACTTATTTCTCCCCAAAATTTGAAATTAGCATCAAAACACAGATGGAATGGATACTGTAAAAGAAAAAAAAAAGTGTTAAGTAATGAAATGTTCACTTGGAATAGGAATACTGAAGATGATGTATGATATACTTTGGAAATGTGTCCCCTCCAAATCTCCCTCTTGAAATCTGGTCCCCAATGTCAGAGGAGGGGCCAATAGAAGGTGTTTGGATCATGGGGGCTGATCTCTCACGAATGGCTAGTGTCCTCCCCAGAGTAATGACTGAGTTCTTGCTCTATTAGTTCATGACAAATCTGGTTGTTAAAAAGAGCCTGGCTCCCCTTCCCTCCAAGCTTCCTTTTTCTCTTGTCATGTGACATGCCTGTTCCAAACCCCCTTTTGCCATGACTGGAAGCTTCCTAAGGTCCTTACTAGAAGTAGGTACTGGCACATGTTTCTTGTACAGTCTGCAGAATTATGAGCCAAATAAAATTCTTTTCTTTATAAATTACCCAGCCTCAGGTATTCCTTTATAGCAACACCAAACAGACGAAGACAATGTATATAGAACAAAAACAAAGACAACAAAAAAAGCTGAAAGTAGAGAACAACTATAGAGACTGAGCATATAAAATACTTTTATGATCAAGTAATTTTACAAGGGGGGCATTATTTGCACGATATTAAATAATCCCATAGATCATGCACTTGATAGTGATTATGAAGAAAGCATTTTTTTTGTAATATAGACTATTTTTCTCAGGCAATGCCAATGACAAATTTCTAGAAACATTTCTTTCCAATTTTTCCCTTGACCTATGATATTTTTAACTTTCAACAATATTACAGAATTTGGGGTGGGGTGGGGACTGTATTTCCATTTTCAGGTAACAGGTGAAAGAACGGACATTATAAAGATATTGAATCAGAAGAAAAATAATTCATGCTTACAGGTGATTACAAAAAAAAAAAAAAACAAAACAACAAATGAAAACCCATCAGTGAAGGTTATATTTGGAGCTGTATGGATAAGGCAACTCTCAAGCTAAACTTTTCATCTTTTCTACCACTTTTTCAGCTTTGTTTAATTTTTTTTTTTTTTTTTCAGACAGAGTCTCCTTCTGTCTCCCAGCCTGCAGAACAGTGGTGCGATCTCAGTTCACTGCAACCTCTGCCTCCCGGGTTTAAGTGATTCTCCTGCCTCAGCCTCCTGAGTAGCTGGGATCACAGGTGCCCGCCACCACACCCAGCTAATTTTTGTATTTTTAGTAGAGACGGGGTTTCACCAGGTTGGTCTCGAACTCCTGACCTCAGGTGATCCACTCGCCTCAGCCTCCCAAAGTGCAGGGATTACAGACATGAGCCACCATGCCTGGCCTGTTTAATCATAATTTTTAGCTTTGCCAGAAACCTCTGCTAACAGTAGGAGATGAGTTAGACATGTGGCACCACTTTGCATGAGGAGCATCTTGGATTGAGATCACTCTGTGAGATTATAGAGACCAGGAGACAGCAAATTACCACCTTGCTGAGTAGCTGCAACAGAGGCTGAATGCCCCCACAAGTAGAAAATATTTACTATGTGGCCCTTGACAGAAAAAGTTTGCAGACCCTTGATATAGATTAATGTCTTCCTTTTAAAGATTAGAAAACTGAGGCCGGGAGCAGTGCCTCACGCCTGTAATCCCAACACTTTGGGAGGCCGAGGTGGGCGGATCACGAGGTCAGGAGTTTGAGACCAGCCTGACCAACATGGTGAAACCCCGCCTCTCCTAAAAACACAAAAATTAGCTGGGTATGATGGCGACTGCCTGTAATCCCAGCTACTCAGGAGGGTGGGGCAGGAGAATCACTTGAACCCGGGAGGCAGAGGTTGCAGTGAGCCGAGATCCCGCCACTGCACTCCAGCCTGGGCAACAGAGCGAAACTCCGTCTCAAAAAGAAAAAAAAAGAAAAAAAGAAAAAGAAAAAGAAAATTGAGCCTCAGCAAAGGGAAGTGTCTTGCTGTGGCCTGATAATCCCAATTACTGGTTGGGAATCAATTCCTTCCATGCCGAAACATCTGAAACGTATGTTTGTCCTCTCTGAAATACAATTAGGTAGATCCTGCAAAGGTTTCATTTAAACAATATAGATGGTGAAATGATGCAAGTCTGATTTTTCTAGACCAAATTAAATGTGCCAGAATGCAACTACAAAAACAAATCCATATCCTTTATATATATGCATTCTAGAACCCCCCCAAGCCCCAGGTGAGACTTATCAAAAACTGATCAAAGATTCTTCACATTATGAAAAGTTCCACAAAAAACTCTGTTCAACTCAATAATAAGTCTATATCTGACAAATACATAAACTTTAGTAAAATCTGAGCAAAGGCTTTGTTCAACCATGCTGGCAGGTAACCTGTTTTTAGACAGACACAAATCTACTAAATCAAATGGAACTATTAAAGGCCAAAAATTCTAAATGAAACAAAGATGCTACTGCTTGAGAAATATCAGATGTTAAAACGACCGGCAGGATCATCTTCTGTAAGATGATCATTGCCTTTATCAGAGAGGTACTTTTGAAATCAAGTAAATATGTAGCATCCATAACCATTTTAACCGGAGTACTTTTTCACTCCCCCTCCCAAAAGCGAATTTGAGAAAATTAAATTTGGCTTTAATTCATTAAGCTACTTTAGTCTCTCTGAAAACTTCTAATTTTAAAATCAAGTACTCATTTGATTTTCAAGCAAGGTCAAGAGAACAAGGCAGCCTAGCGCTGACATTACAGGGATATGCCCCACACTGCTCAGCAGTTACATCAATGTGGCGTGTTGCTATGGTGCCTGACTGTTAATTTCTGAAAGAAGGTGATTATAAAGCCGCCAGATGAACATCAATTGGATGACACCACTTCAGCACACAATACTGACATGCGTTACTCTTGTTTGCAGCAAGTTAATTTTATGAATCACCACTTTTGTGATGTGAATATTCCTTTCTAACTTTAAACCTACCAAGTCAACAAGAAACAAATAAATTTAAAAAATAAAAATAAGTTCAGCTTCAACAAACAGAGAAGAGTTTGATAATATTTGGGGGGGAAATGTGAACCTGTAGACCATTTCTTAAGGGCAACCATTTTTCTTAGGACCTCCAAAAATACACCACATATGTCCTTACACGCAAATAAATACATGTTTATTTGACAAATACAGACCAAAAAGCAACTGAATTAAAATGCCTGGAAGGCAAAAGACACAGCCCTGGATATAACTTCACTAATCACATTTGCATTTACCTTTTTTGGCTTCTGTAAAGCAATCTTCAGTTATAGTCACCTCAAAAGGTCACGTCTTACCCTGAAAACAAAAGAGAACATCAAAATCTGAATGTCAAGAGAAGTAGCAACCACCTCTGCCAAGGACAGACACAAGGAAAACAACAAAAGCACTCAATTCTATTTAATGGCAAATGACTTTCAGGGTTAATAAAAACAAGTCCCAAGAATCTCTACTTATCTGGACCATATGCCTTTGAGCTCTTCAAGACAACAAAATTGACTTGGTGGGGAAAAGTCAAGGTGAAACATTTCAAATGTTGTGTATCAACTTTTTCTCATCTTGTTGTCTATCGATTTATTTTCATGGAGAATAATATGTGACTCATAGGCCTCTGTTTTTGGAAACCAGACTGCCACTTGAACGTGTCTCTGTTTGGTTAATATCCACAACATCTCTTATTTCATTAAAGCAAAGACTTATTTTTTTCCCCTTTTGGAAGAGAGTTAGGTCTTGTAGACAAGATGCTTTCTGCCACTTCGGACCTTTCAAAATGAATGAAAGCAGCACCATTTTCACTTTGGGGAGGGGCAGGGAGTTAATTGCTGGCGAAAGCTGTTCACAGAATGTTTTTCTCTTACCATGTATCTACCGGAGCTACTAAGTTAAATTAAAAAGGGTTCATGTCACATGAAACAAACAATTGAAATCAAGCTTCCTAAAACACAAAGAAACCATGGAACACATTTTACCCCACATCCTACTCCTGCATCTGCATACTCCCGTATGCAAAACAGTGTTTAATCCTTTAAGAAACATTACAAGCTGCCTCTTTCTGCCCATGTAACTGGGATCAACATATGGCACGAGTGAAAAGAAAAACATTTGTTTATTAATTTAGATCAAGTTACTAAGAGGGTACAGGATTCATTCCATATCCATTGACCAAATGCTCATATAATTTTTAAGGTGGCGAAATCATATCATCATTTTACCAAAATGTTAATATCTTTTTGCTCACTCTTCAGAATAGCATGTAATGAAGTGGTTTAATTTTATAGGAATATATCCCTGCTCATCCCTCTGCTGTCAGCCCTGAATGTGGAAAGGCAAACATCATTGAGAAGAGTAAAATCTTATTTCACGAGGGCTAAAAATTTGAAAGTGGCACTTTGGTGTGTACTATCTTTGAGGAATTGATCCGAGGCCAATTTATGACATTTCCACAAGCAAGTGTATGCAGATTCTTGCCATTAAGATTGGAAAAAGACGCAGGCTCTGAGTGAAATCATAATTTTCATGTTTACTGTAAGAGGAAATTGGAGGTTTTCACCATAAATTTTCACCATTTGGGTGGGGGAAAACCCTAGCTCTGGGACTTAAAATTACTATTTTGCAGCCTGACCAAAACCTTTTTGTTTTTACACAAAACAATTCAAATTGAAAATGAAAATCGTGTGCTTTACTGCTGATGTATGTCCCCAAGATTGGTTTCTCCAGTAGTGAGAAGTCTATTTCAGGGCAAGCAACGATAAGAAAGAAAAACAGAGCAAAGATGGTCAGGTCCTCAAGGTAGAGCTAAGATCTGCAGAGCCCCACTCTACACAAATCAGAGCTCAGTAGATACAAAGCGCACACAGAAATTTCTACATCTACCACTCATCAAATCTTAAATGTAAAGCAAGTGAACTTTGGCAGATCCTACTCAATTCAAAGCAAGAACGCCTTTTCCTCTCTCCTTTTTACTTGAGATGTTCTCCAATACATGCACTGTAAACTAATTTATATGTTTATCTATTGAGCTGTGTCTATTTTTGCATGTTTGGCAGTCAGACCTATAGTATTAGACTTTGCAATGCAGATGAGATTTGCCATCATATAGGCCTGGCAAACAACTGGACCTCATTAAAATTTAATTTTTTTAAAAAACTGCTGAAAATGCCTCCTTCGAATAAAGTTATCTCCAGTGCTGCATTTGAACCTGCGGAACACTTTCAGGTAAACACTAGACCTGTTTTTCTACTCACCTATCCACACAGTATAGTGTGTAAGTGAACACAGAACAAAAATAGAAGCTGATTCAGCCTCAGATTTAACCAGTATCATTTTTTTCCCCTAGGGATACTGGGGAAAGAATTACAACAAAATTATACAACTGACCATCCAATTTATAAATACTAAAACAATACGAAACTGACTACATTTAATTTTCACTTATACATAAAAAATGGGCAGTGGGATATAATCTCTATCTTTCTCCATTTTGAAGTTCCATAAATTTTGGTGCACATGCACGATTGGCCACTCATTAATTTATTTCTGTTGATTTTCATTTTTAGAGAAGGTATAACATTAACAAAGTAATCTAACAGACATTTTTCTAGTTTTGCTGAGAAAAAGATTAATAGTTCAACAGCTGTTTGCCATCATGCTAAAGTAAATGAAATGTGTCAATATAATAGACAAGAAAATTAGGGCTAGTACTGGGGCCCGAGTCTGCCTCATTACTAGCTTAGAAGAATTGGAAACCAACAACTAGCAGAAAAATAGGCATTTCATTTTTTCCAAAGCATACAACTTCCCTTTCCAATACTATATTTGCTATTTTCTTTAAATCACTTTTACTTATCAAATAGATCAACTATTTACCTGTATGCTTACTGGCAGCACAAGCACCAAAACTAAAATTAAATGATTATGCAAAGCTTTTATGTAAAAAAAAAAAAAAAAAAGATAAAGATAAAAGAAATACATTCCCCTCCAGCCCACTTGTCTTCTTTTAAAAAATGCTGTCTCCATACGAATTGCGTTTTTTTTTCTTTTTCTCTTTCTTTTTTAAGTTTCCTACTGGTTTTAGGTTTTAAAAGTGAGCCAAGGATATGGTAAACAGAAATTACTTATTTTCCTTTATGTCATTCTCTGTAACAGTTAAGATCCTGTGAACACCAGAATTGTTCCATGGCCTCTTCACTATTGATTGCAACAGTATCATTTACCTGAAGTTACACAGTGACCACAAAAACCATGTCCAGGACACCAAATTTCTACTGCGAACTCTAGGGTGAGACACTAAATGTACATTCCTCTTTCTCTACCTCCCCAACCACCCCTCCTCCCTAATTAGGACTGTTATTCTAAAGAACCCTCAGATTATTGCAGTATTTCAATATCATACTTTCTATGGATATATTTTGCCCTTAATTTAATCTGTGTGACATATAATACACGGTGTCCACTAGTATGTCCTACTTGGAACTGAGTTGCAGGTAAATGTGGAGGTGCAATCTCATTTCACAAAACTGAAAATGAAGAGTATCAGCTCTTTTTTTCCCCATTTATAGTATTTCCCCCTTCCCTTTCTTGACAGCTAAAATAAATTATCTGCATTAAGATTTCTGCATTATATTTCATTTTATATAATTGTGCAAAAGCAACTCTGAAGTATGCCCAACATAGTTCATCTCAATCTTCAGCCTACCCAATACTGGCTGAGAACCTATTGTGTACCAGTCTTAATAAAGATGCAAAGATGAGCAAAGCAAGCCCCTGGGTGGTGATGGGGGGCAGTTCAGTAGGTCTATGGCTAGAGGACACTTTCTTACTAGGAAACTGAGGAAGGAACATGGTTCAAACTTCCCATACCCCCAAATCCTCCAATCAAATGGCCTGTACTCATTTGCAAAAACTGGTCCAAATAGGCCAATTTCCAAGAGTTTGCTGCCTCTTTAAATAGGGAATCTTATCTTCTGTGGGCTTTAATATCTTGTTTTTCAATGACTTCTTAGAAAATATAAGGACATCAACATATATTTGACTATTGAAAAATATAAGACAAGAGTCACTTTATTTTCTATAGTGAAGAAAATCTACTCCAAAATCAATCTCAAAGTTTGTTCTATGCCCTTAAGACTTCAAATACTGAGTAAGATTTCAAAAAAGAAAAGAAAAAAAAGTGGGGAAGGTGGGGAATGAAGAAAGAAAAGAAGAAAATAAAAACGGAAAAAGGGGAGAAAGGAAAAAATAGAGAAAAACAGAGGGGAAAAAGAAAGGAAAAGAATAAAGCAAGGAAACAAGAAAGAAAAGGAAGGAAGAAGCTGCTGTGCAGCCGGGGTCTCTGAGACCAGAGGCAAACTTGGACGCTACCCAGGCTTGCAGCTTCACAAACACTACACTTCTTTTACTTGTCTCTATCAAAGAAATGTGCGACTTTGAATCCACCATTCTTCAAATCTCTCTCCTATCCCTGCAAGTAACATTTTACTTCCTTTCTCCTCATCCTCTGGGGCCCTCATCAGATCATAGTACCTAACTTTGGAGTCCATTCTAGTAGGGCAAAAACCTAAAATATTATACATTAAGCCACGTGGTGCAGTAAACCCCAGTCGATGCTTGCCCATGAAATTACTTCAGGCTGGCAGCCCCCCACTCACTCCACATCGGCCCATCTCATTTGGAAAAATGACTCTCTCCTGCCTTACAGAAAAGGAAAACCCTGGCCGTGGTCATGTGAAAATATTTTATGGGTATCCTTTAACAGCCTTTAAATGTTGAAACCTAAAAACAATATTTGCTGTTTTCCCTTCGAAGCTCTAACAAAGCCTTTGTTTTAGATTCACCTTTAGTGTGCAATAAGAGTTAATAATCAAATCCATCCCAACCCCCACAAATGTTAAACAAAAAGATAAAAGAAATGCAAATAGCTATTGTCATGGAAAGTTAAAGTACCTGTCTGTATTTTTAAGTGAAAACTATTATCTCTATCAATCAAAATTTAAGAATACAATAGCACTAATCACAGAAGGTGCTCTGACGGAGTTACTTTGCCTCAAAAAAAAGTATTTTTCCCCTTAAAAACCAAGTATAAAAGTCATATACTTACAATTAGATAGAGTATTTGTAATTTTGTTATTAAAAACCTTCAGCAGCCTCACTGTTAATAAATGCTTCTAAGTCTCTAGACTGATTTGTACCCAAGAAGACACAAGTCCCTACATATTTTAATAAGGTTGATGAAATTTTATTTAAATTCTCACAGTTTCCAACCGGCGGGGGAACAGCACACTCTTCTGTTGAAAAGAGTTACTCAAACAGAGGCAACAGTTAACCGGTCATGAAAACTCCTTCTTTTAGAGCCTGGACATAATTCCCACACCCTGAAATATCTTCACACAGGACATATCTTCCTTGGATGGTTCACCCTTGTTAATTGTGGCAACTTATTTTTGAAATAACACTCTACCCTCAAAAAGAAAGCAGAATACCCCCATCATACCCCAGAATGATCTAAGTGTACACTACATGAATTTCTCTGAGTCTGTTTTTAAAAATTCACTTTAAAAAAAGACTGGATTAGCCCCTGAATATGGTGCTTTCTAAAGACAGTACGGGAACAAAAAATAGCAAGACCCCAGATAGTAAAACAAACAGCTCAAGATTAAAATTCCTAGAGCAAACAGTTAAGCCAGGATGCCATTATGCACACTGAGCCTGGATGATGTCTCCTCCACCGTGGGGCCAAGAGGCTGTCATTTTCCCCCCAGCAAGATCAGATTTCCTTCCCTCCCGACCGCCTCTCTGAGCATCATGGCCAACATCTCTAGTGTGCTATTAATATCAATGAAGAGACGATTCGATTTCCACAGAAGAAAACCTTTCCTATTCCGGCACAGACCTTCGGGGAGGACCCTGGCCCGGGTATAGACAATACAGCGGCAGAGTTTCTGTTTTCTTACAGTTCAGTCTTAGACACTGTTTGAAGGCTTTTAGCAAACAATGGCAGCATTATCTGCAGGATAGTTACAAAACAGGATTTGTTAGGACAAAGAATAATAAAGCTGCTCTCTCTCTCTCTTTTCTTTTTAATTCCCCCTAGTCCTCACGAGCCTTTCTCTGCGAGTCCAAAATTCAGCCACATTTCCTAAGAGGCACCTGTACTTGTCTATTTCAATGCAGCCAGAAGCTGACAACGGCCCAGGAACCAGGACTGCTTTCAGGAGGCGCTCAGAAGGGCAGCAAAGTACCCTCTCAACATTAGTAAAATGAAACAAAAGTGTCAGCCTTGGCTTCGCACACACTTACCCGTTCATGGTGAGGAGGCAAAGCTTTGGGGCGGGAGAGGCAATTTTCACACAACGGAAGAAAGTTGAGAGTTTGTAAGGGAGAAACTACAGGCGCTTGGAAGCCTGCTGGCTCTCAGGGCTCCCAGGCTGGCGGCAGTGTGAGGAAGGACTGAAGGTATGTGGGCTAAACACAACAAAAGCCACTGCCTTACTCTAGATTAAATATGCAGGAAGAGGCCCCTTTGCATAAACACAAACACTCAGCAAATGAATAACTGGCTCAATCAGACGCCCGCTGTGCCTTCTACCTGTCCTCACTCTGACAGGAGACACTGCCTATTCCAGGGGACACCACTAAACAGGAGTCAGTTAAATGTTATGTTGCTATAATAACAATTAAAATGAATTGTATTCATTAGTAATTAAGAACTCACTCGTGGGGCGGGGGGGAGTGCTATTGTTGTATCTCCAGCTACTCCAAAAAGAACTTGTAGTATACCCATCCCTGGAGTTCTACTATGGGTTGCATTTCAATCTTTAACATTCAACGAATTTTAAACAATCGGTTTGTTTAGTCACAATTGTCAGATATACGTCTCGTTTCTCTGCTTTGTCACATTGTAAGTTGATACTTGTGACTCTGTACCTACAAAGATCTGTTTGATATATGCATATAAAGTGTACATATAAAAATATATACACACACATATATATATGTGCATATATACTCACACATAATACATTCAAGCATATCTAGTTAAAGAGAATAAGCCAAAAAAAAAAAAAAAAAAAAAAAAACGCTACTTAACTATATTCTCTAGTTCACTAATCATTTAAGGAAAATAATTCGAGTTTTCCAAAAATATATCCCAAATGCCTGCCTTTCAAATGTCACCAATCCATGACCACTCATTTAAAAACATTACCCCCATATTAGAAAAGATGCTTTTAACTGAGTGGCCTCAACCACTTATAATTTCAATTAAATAACATAATTACAGTCAACAATTTTCTCCATTTCGGCAGAAAATATGCCATACCTCAACATAATTTGTCCTTACAACCCAGGAATTTAAGCAAGAGGAAAAACATGCCAGTGTTAGGAATTCACTACTGACTTTTCTCAGCTTATGGAATCAACTCACACTGACCTCTTATTCTATGTTCCAGCTACATGTTGGTCTTAGTAACTTAATTATTTTTTAATAACTTTTGCAGTATTAAATGATTTTGATTGAAACATAAATAAGATTATGTTCGTCTACTACTTACTAATGCCCTACAGAACTCTGTGGCCAAATCCAGCAGGGCTGTGCTATAGGATGTGTCCATATTATTACTGTATTTGGACTAAAAAGGATAGGTCACAGATCCTTCACAGCCTTCGAGAATGCTGTGATTATCCTAGCCAAGGGAAATAGGGCAGCTTTCTATTTCAAAAGCAATTTTAATTTATTAACACAAAACTGTTTTCTGGCCAAATCATTCTACTGTAAAAGGTGAAGATCACTGAAAAGTTTTAAAATATTTTCACAAACAAACCAACAAACCCAAAACTCATTTCAAACATTATTATGGCATAACATGGAGAAAAGGCAAACAAAATAAAAAGATACCCAAAGACCCAGAGAATAAAACACAGGTTCTCTAAGCGGGGTGCCCACAGAAACTGAAGACGCTGATTTTGTCCACCCTTTTGCCTTGAAATGACCTTCCAAATAAGGTGTTAGATAACCCAGGTCCATAGACAATAGTGATCTAACCTTGCTGCAAATAAACCACAAAACAAAATTTAATCAGTATATCACTGTGAGAAAGCTTCTGTCCATCCCCATGGAGCTTCTAATGAATGTTTTGGCAGTTTTGAGGGTAGTTATGCTTCCCAGCTCATCTATATCTCATACTGGTTGAGCAAGCTAATGGAAGTGATGTTAGTGGAATCCAATATTAATGCTCTGTATCATGCAAACCTGGATGCAACTGAATATATTATACAATTATAGGTAGTATCTAATTCCATAGGTATTAGATACTGTACCCTAAATTAATATTTTAATGAGGACAGTGAAATAAAGACGACAATCCAGGTAAGGGATCCATGCATTGCGGCCCAGCTAAGCTCCTTGCTGAAAGAGCGCCGGATTCGGGAGCGAATGGCACAGACACAGGGATTGTGACAAAAATCCGTATGCAAGCTTTAGATGCTGAGTGACACATACTGATGCACAGAGTCAAAGATGTCATCCTCACACAAGCGCCACTCGCTGTAAGCTTGAGAGAAAATGCAGGGGGAAAGATGGGGGGGCGTAGTTGCAGTGAGACCTCCAGAAAATAAACAGGGTGTACAGTTTCAAAGGCTGCAGACACAGACATTTCATTGTTCAAGCCAATTATCAGTGGAAAATAATAACAACAGATGGATTCAGAGTCACTGACTTTTCATATGCACTTCATCTCGGCGGAACAGATGATGAAACGCGAGAGCTATCTCAAAAAGGCAAAACATCTTTCAGTAAAAGAACTCTACAGTCCAGATGGGGACCTTCTAAGGCTGCTGATTATCTTCTTATAATGTTGTAAGATAGACCTACTAAAACATTTCAAGAACTGATCAGATACGATGCGTACAATGGCTTCATTATTGGAAGGAGTCGCCTCAGACTTGTGACTAAACCCGGCAGAGATTTCAATAAGGTTAGGACTGTAAGTTTCCTGTTTTCTCATCAGGGACTGCAGGTTCCAACTAAAACTGGAAATCTGTGCACAACAGGAGAATAAACTGTCGCCCAAGGATCCTACATATTTGCTCTTCTCTGATTTGAGCAAAGGAAAAAAAAATAAACTGGAACTGTAAAAAGGACATTAAATTATTATGAAGCATTCTACCACAATGTGTGTGTGTGTGTGTGTGTGTGTGTGTGTGTGTGTGTGTGTGTGTGTGTGTGTGTGGGTGAGGGGGGACAGCTCCAAAGCAACTCTTTATTAAAAGCATTCGGTGATAAAATATCACCCCTTACATGCATTAGAACATCTTAAATATCCCTTGCCACTGGTGACTGCAAAATAGAATTTCCTTTTAGTAGGGAATAAATATAAATTTCAATGGTGGTGTAACAGCAATTCTACCAAATGTCAACGAAAACTCACCAACCTACCCTAACCCACTCTCACTCAACTTACTACCAAGTTACGCTTGCTGATAAAACACAAGAGGTTAACCACAACCTGAGGGCTTGCTGTAAGTAATGGAAAAAGTTAAATCTCTAATCAGATAGGCCTCATCCTTACTGGAATAACAATGTATCTGTTCCATGTGTCTGTCTCCTCATCTATCCATCTCGATCCATCCATCCATCACCAATTGCACATTCATAATTTTGCAAAAATTCTTTCCCTGAATTAATATAAAATATGGTCGAAATCACTGCGCTAAGAAAAAAGAAAAGCTGATTCTCTCAACTATTTACTAACATACTTAACATTTAAAAAATATTTTTATGAACACACTGTTGACTTCACAAGTTTATAACGTAATTTTTTTTTTTTTTCTGAGCAAGGCTTTTCTTTCAAAGTACTCTGACAAAAGTAAATTCATAGCAGAACACACAGGCACGAAGAAAATATCGCCAAGGGCAAAATTCTGCAACTGCTTTAAGAAGCAAACAAGAACACAAAAGATGTGTAATACAACCATCTGGCTCTCCTCTTACTATATCAATGCCTCAACCTTATCCCCACCCCCTGAGCCAACCCACACCAATGCCACAAAACCAAATGGCTTCACTTATGTTTCCTGCACAGCAAATTTACACAATGCAGTTAGAATGCAAAAGTTGATTTTGACACACAAACTAGCATCTTTTGAATTTTCCCCACTTCAATGATTTTGTTGTCGTTATCTGTTCAGAGTGGGACTTCTTTGAAAGACCACCAAGAACCTCACCATGATAAAAATGTTCTCACATGGACATATCTGTTCAGCCTCAAGAGAAGTCTCCCTGAAAACCTTAATCTCTGCCATCTTGTGCTTTCTGTTATCATCAGACTTTAGATGTGGACATAAAAAAAAATCCTAAGCTTATTCCAATTAGAACTTTTACTTTTGGGGGGCACTAAATGGTGGGTTGTTTCCCCAACTTATGATTTGAAATGACTGCACTAATTTTTAATTACCATTCTTGCAAGTCAGCACATTCACTGGAATTTTTCCTTATTCAGCTCAGTCTACAAACATTTACTGAGCAACTACTGTGGTATTAGAAACATGCTGGACAATGGATGATCAGAATCTATTATTTTCCCGTGTGCTAGCAGGACTTGCCTGGTACATGAAACCAGCAACTCTACAGTTTATAAAAAATCTTCCACATGCAGGCAGGCTGAAGCATTTTATTTACTTATATACTTATTTTTGAAGGCAGATATAACAGACATTTGAAAGTTATAGCCTGTTTGTGGGGATCTAATTGCTTCCAAAAGGTGGGAATGAATACTTTTCATGGAAATCTCAGTTTGGGTAAAACCAATAAAGCATCATAAATGATTCTCACCAAAGGGCAACAATGTAAAAAATAACTGAAAAAAAATTTCTTCACAGGCAAACTCTACTCTTTGCTTTTCTGCAGGGGCATGCTGGAGGCAGACGTTCTCTATCAGGCAAGAGTTCTCAGTCAGAATTAAGGTCTGCCAGGCAGAGGGCCACGTCTGGTTTACTTCTGTTTTCTCACTGTTGCTGGTCTTCCCCGATTCCTGCCTCCCTCTCCATGTTCCGGGATGAGACTTTGACTGGTTTCTCAAGGGGCTAACTTTTGGTTCTCTTCTGGGCGTTTCTGCCCAGAGTCCCCTGGTTTGGACAGCAGCGATCGTCTGTAGGACACACACAGTGAATCCAGCCACCGGATGAGGAATTCTGCTAATTGTTTAAGCCTGCACTAGTGTCTGGCCACCAGTTGGCAGACACAACTCATGGCTGCCTACCAGGCCTAGGTTAACACAGCTGGAGCCAGATGACAGGCTCTCAAAGATATTCCTCTCATGGCCACATCTGGCTCTTGGCGGTTCCCACTGCAGCTGAACTGATTCTGTTTGGTTGTTCTGGGCAAAAAGTTTAGGCAACAGATAAGTCGTATTAATTTCAGTTTATGACAAAAATATCAGAACATATACTCCATGAAGGCAGGGATTTTATCTGATTTGCATCCCCCTCCCACTTTTTTTTGTTTGTTTGTTTTTTGTTTTTGAGACATGGTCTCACTCTGTTGCCCAAGCTGGAGTGCAGTGCAGTGGCACGATCATGACTCACTGCAGCCTGGAACTAACTACTAGACTCAAGCGGTTCTCCCACCTCAGCCTCCTGAGTAGCTGGGTCTAGAGGCACGTGCCACCATGCCTCACTAGTTTTTTCAATTTTTTGTAGGGACAAGGTCTCACTATGTTGCCCAGGCTGGTGTCGAATTCCTGGGTTCAAGTGATCATCCTGCCTTTGCCTCCCAAAGTGCTGGGATTACAGGCATGAGCCAGTGTGCAGGCCTCTTGCTTGCTGTATCCCAGTACAGAGCAGTGGCTACGCAGGGTAGGTGTTCAGTAAATACAGAATGAGTGAATAACACTAATCAGTGTATGAGTGGAACAAAAACATTCCTGTATCTTACTCCAGCTACTCTGTTCCTACTGTTGTACGTAAAATGGCTAGCATGCTCGTGCACACAGAGAAGTCCTTGAATGGCTCTACAGCTAGATTTTATTATGGACACGCTCATCTCAAGAATGAACCCATGTACATTGTCAGTATAGCTGGAAAGACCTCCAACAATCCTTCCCTTCAAACTACCCAGTCTCCCAGAATTACCCACATCCCAACTTTATTAGTCCTTAAACTGAGAAACTTGGCAGCTCTGTGCCCACAGGGCCTGAGAGTGATCTCAAAGTAGAAACTTACCTTTTGGCCACCACCAAAGTGGGAAATGATGAGGCAACTTTTCCTGGCACCTTTCCATCCCATTTCCTTTCCCATGCCTCTCTTCCTAAATTCCCTGATATCTGCAGATCCCAGCTCCCTTCTACACTCAACTATGACCCAAGGCGAGGCTTCCCCAAAGCTCACCACCTCTCTAGCTCCCATTAGAAACACATTTAGAAAAGCCTACGTAATTTAAAACCAGGCGGGGCCCTCCCTCTTGGCTCCTTCACTAGAAAGAAGCCCAACTTACAGGCTGTTATGTTAATAATAACTATAAAGCTCCCCTGAGTCCACCAAGGGCTTGCTAAAGGTGAAGGGACACTTAATGGAAGCCTGGCAAGGGTGTACGCATATGCTGCTTCTTTCCCAAAAAGAACGTTAACACTCCTAAAACAAGAACGGCTGAACAAGGCAGATGAGTTCAACAAGCTCAGCATCTGGACTTCAGCGAAAGAAAGGTAATCAAGTGTGCTAGAGGAAGCTGTTGCTGAACTCATCTCCTTTTCTATCATATAAGGCAGCAGGGTGGAGGTATAGATAATTTTTTTAAGCTAAGTATAAGTTTCTGAAAAGAGTACTGTGTTCACTACGAAGAATTCAGGCTTCAAGCTCCCCTTGGAAGGAGCTGCTTACTTCATTAAAGGTGGACCAGAAAGATGAACTCCTAAAATGCCTCTCCTTCCCTGCTTCTGCTATTTGAAATTACTTTAAAAATGAGAGAATAAGCTAGGCTCAGTGGCTCACACCTGCAATGCCAGCTATTAAGGAGGGTGAGGCAGGACGATTGCTTGAGCCCAGGAATTCAAGGCTGCAGTGAGCTAGCATGGTGCTGCCGCACAATAGCCTGGGCAATAAAGTGAGACACTGTTTAATAATGGGGGAATAGGCCAGGCACGGTGGCTCATACCTGTAAATCCAGCACTCTGGGAGGCCAAGGCAGGTGATCACACTTGAGGTCAGGAGTTCGAGGCCAGCCTGGCCAACACGGTGAAACCTTATCTCTACCAAAAAATACAAAAAAAAATTAGCTGGGCATGGTGGTGCTTGCCTGTAGTCCCAGGTACTCAGGAGGCTGAGGTGGAAGAATTGTTTGAACCAGGCAGGAAGAGGTTGCAGTGAGCTGAGATCGTGCCACTGCACTCCAGCCTGGGTGACAGAGTGAAACCCTGTCTCAAAAATAATAAAATAAAATAAGGGAATGTCTTTGTACAATTGCACAATCACAATGAAACTTTAATTCTTTTTTTTTTTTTTTTTTTTGAGATGGAGTCTCGCTGTGCCACCCACACTGGAGTGCAGTGGCGCAATCTCGGCTCACTGCAAGCTCCGCCTCCCGGATTCATGCCATTCTCCTGCCTCAGCCTCCCGAGTAGCTAGGAATACAGGCGCCCGCCACCACGCCCAGCTAATTTTTGGTATTTTTAGTAGAGACGGGGTTTCACTGTGTTAGCCAGGATGGTCTCGATCTCCTGACCTCATGATCCGTCCGCCTCTGCCTCCCAAAGTGCTGGGATTACAGGCGTGAGCCACTGCGCCCGGCCAAGCTAATTATTTAAAAAGCAGTACAACAGGCTGCAAGTGATTGTTATCTACCTATTCATTGGCTGAAAACAGGCTATCAAAAACAACAAAAACAAACAAGTTTTGAAAGTTAGGAAAGAATTTTTATAAAGGCAAGGCTGAGGTTGTACAGATCGAGTATCTGCATTTCTTTTTCTTTTTTTTTTTGAGACAGTCTCGCACTCTCGCCCAGGCTGGAGTGCAGTGGCGCTATCTCTGCTCACTGCAAGCTCCGCCTCCCGGGTTC
Source organism: Homo sapiens (assembly GCF_000001405.40). Lineage (NCBI taxonomy): Eukaryota > Metazoa > Chordata > Mammalia > Primates > Hominidae > Homo > Homo sapiens. The sequence continues at coordinate 71,313,625 of NC_000003.12, forward strand.
CCGCCATTCTCCTGCCTCAGCCTCCCGATTAGCTGGGACTACAGGCACCAGCCACCATGCCCGGCTAATTTTTTGTATTTTTAGTAGAGACGGGGTTTCACCGTGTTAGCCAGGATGGTCTCGATCTCCTGACCTCGTGATCCGCCCACCTCGGCCTCCCAAAGTGCTGGGATTACAGGCATGAGCCACCGTGCCCGGTCGAGTATCTGTATTTCTTAATGCATCCTTGGGCTGCCTCACCTAAAACTAAGTATTACAGAATATAGTACTATACAGTATACTTTAGACTAGAATAGTTCAGAATTTACAAGCATGGATTCAAGTGCCCAAGTTCTTATTAGCTCTGGTGCTGACTGACCTTGTGAGCTTAGGCAAATTGCCTAAGCTCTCTGTCCCTCAGTGTTCTCATCCATAAAATGGGCTTCATTACAGTGCATTATTTGCTTTTGTAGAATAAATGCATTGACATGTCATAAGTACTTAGAATAGTGTATGGCACAAAGTGAATGCTCAAAGAAATGATGGCTGCCGTTATTACGATCAGGGATGATATAACTTAAATAAATCTAAAACATCCTACACCTCATTTCTACCATCTCTACAAGTTCTTAAAAATAGCTGGCTGGCCAGGCATGGTGGCACATGCCTGTAATCCCAGAACTTTAGGAGGCTGAGGTGGGCGGATCTCAAGGTCAGGAGATTGAGACCATCCTGGCCATCATGGTGAAACCCATCTCTACTAAAAGTACAAAAATTAGCTGGGTGTGGTGGCGGGAGCCTGTAATCCCAGCTACTCGGGAGGCTGAGACAGGAGAATCACTTGAACCCGGGAGGTGGAGATTGCAGTGAGCCGAGATAATGACACTGCACTCCAGCCTGGTGACAGAGTAAGACTCCGTCTAAAAAATATATATATATATATATATATCTGGCTGTCTGCCATGCTACAGGCTGGAAAAATAAAAGAGAATGTATATCAGATTTTAAACTTCTTAAGAACATAGTGCTAAAATAAAATCAAAGTACTTATTTTTTCCCCTCAATAGTAGTTGGAGAATTGTAGGTATAAGATTGGGGTCTCACCTACCTCAGTGGAGGCAAGTCATTAGTTACAAAAAAGCTACAAGCCAAAGTTAGCCTTGGGGCTGCCTGTCCCACCAACTACCAAAAAAGACTTTGGGGAGATGTTCAAAGAAGGAAAGAGGAGAATCCAGCCTGGAACCAAAAGGCATTGAAACACATTTTCTTGTACTTTTCAAGTCTGTGCATATAGATTCTGTTACTGATTTAGGATCTTAAACAGTTTGTTTATTTTTTAAATGCCTTTCAGCTCACCTTTAATAACATGTTTCTTTGACTTGGCTGAACTGTGCCTCAGAAGAATTACAAGCGGGAATAAGGCTGGGATAAGGCTGGGTAAAAGGTTCAGTGAACTAATCCACACCTGGTCCATGTAAAAAAAAAAAAAAAAAAAAAAAAAAAAGAAAGAAAGAAAAAGAAAAGAAAAAGCTCATATTTTCCATATAGAAACAAGCCCCTTTATATGAACCAGCCTTTTATTTAATTGCTAAGGCACTTTCCACACCGTACAACCTTTCATGTCCTTCTTCACTTGGGTGGGGAAAAGGCACAGAACCACTTTCCAGCCACACCAGGGCGCTTTATCAGCAACAGAAATTAATACTCCTATTAATAATGATAGCAAGCACAAACCTGATTCAAAATGGGAAGCGGTAGGTTCATTTAAGCAGAAATTCCCTGACCAAGTTTTGCCAATAAAAAAAAAGACAAGGATGTCCCCTGAGAACAGATTTGGGATAAACTGTGACAATCTCTTCATCAAAATTCAGACTTTTTTTCTGCCTCAGTTGCGTGACCCAGACTACTAAGTGGAAGGAATAAGGCATGGATGGGGAAAATCTTGAATGAGAGAGAACAGCAAATATCTTAGAGCTAAAATGTGCCTCTGAGAGGTCCAGGCAAGCCACTCCTCTGGGAGGGGACTCTGTGTGACCAAGGTCACACAGGTGGTGGGGACGAAAGCAGGAACTCAAGCCTGTGACTCCCAATTCATAGAGAAAAGCAATGGCTACAGAATATGGCCCCTGGGAACATCAGTCATGTTAAGAGGAGATTTAAGAGGAGGATCCTGTGAACAGCAAAGAGGCCAGAGAACAGAAGGAGAAGTCATGAATGTCCCACAGACTGTGCCAGCCCATTGCATCTGAAGCTGGACTTGAACAAGCTTTACTTTCTCCTATGAAGTCCTTCACTTCCAGGCCCCAGGTATCTTCTATTTGCCTCTTAGTTTTGTTCATAGGAAAATTCTTTTAACCAACTCTGGTTTGAAGTAAGTGGAAAAGGAGACATTTCCACACTTCCGTTAAGAGGCAGCAAAGTGAAGTGGAGAGATCATTTCATTAGGAGGCAAGAGAGGGCGGCTCTGCTCCTGGACCCACCGGTATCTCATCTAGGATTTGGGAAGCCCCTTCTCTTCTGCAGATCCAGGCTCGTCACTGGTACAAGGTGGGGTACTCAGGGATGGTGTTTAATTGCTACAGACGGGTCGCCTGAACAAAGTGCTAAAATGCTGAAATACTTGTGTACTCGCTGGGAAACAGCCCTTGCCCCCAAGCCTCCTGAACACACCCTTGACCAGAACCTTGGACTTTCCTGCCTCCTCCACGGCATGGTGAGGGTTTCCCAGAGCCCTGCTCCAGGGCTAGAGCTAGTGGCCATCGGGATGACCACAGCTGTGCTGTACCTGTGAACTATTCTAACCATCACCCCAGATGCTCTGATAGGTCCCTTTCCAAGGCTAGATGCAAGGACCACCAGGGCCAGCTAATGCCCTAGAGAATGCCACTACCCGGGTCCCACGTGGGGCCCGGCAAGAGACAGAGGGGCTGGAACAAGCACAACAGTGGATCCACCACAGAGCTGCCTTCCTCCCCAAATTACTTCCCTCACTTGGGGCACCCGGATGTAGGCCTGTACAAATGAGGCAAGTCAACAGAATCTTCTTAGGGCATATTCTTTTTTTTTTTTTTTTGAGATGGAGTCTTGCTCTGTCGCCAGGCTGGAGCGCAGTGGTGCGATCTCAGCTCACGGCAACCTTCGCCTCCCAGGTTCAAGTGATTCTCCTATCCCAGCCTCCTGAGTAGCTGGGACTACAGGCGCCTGCCACCATGCCCAGCTAATTTTTTGTATTTTAGTAGAAACGGGGTTTTACCATGTTAACCAGGATGGTCTCTATTTCCTAACCTCGTGATCCGCCCACCTCAGCCTCCCAAAGTGCTGGGATTTCAAGCATGAGCCACTGCGCCTGGCCAGGGCAAATTCTTAAGGCTAAATTTGCTTCTGAAAACTGGAAAGAAATATACCATTGTGAAACAACTCTCAAAGTAAAATCCTCAGCTCAGAGGGAACCCACCCCAACATATGTAATCAAATTATATTTATCATGGAAATTCTAACAGCTCCTACTTTCTACTCCACTTTTACTACCCTCTAGGAAAAGGAATATTTTACTATCCTGTGTTCCAAATTTCCACCAGAGAGTTGAAGCATTATACATGCTAAAATATATAGGAAAGGAAAAAAATTCCCATTATTATTTCCTTCAACCCCCTCTACCTTCTATGCCACCATTACTCAAAAGTCACTCAAACATTTTGCTGGCTGACATGACGCCACGCTGTCACTTGATCAGGTGTGGAGTACCACATGGAATGAATAAATACTTATCCACAACCGCATATTAAATGGGAATTCGCACAGGCGGGCTCTGGAGACAAAGACGTTTCTATACAGAAATATTAACTAAGAATTTAAGTAAATGGCCCCACTGGAAAAAAAAAAGGTCTGAAGTAGCAATATAAACTATATTTAATAGCAACAAAAAATATTTTCCTTTTGGGAAAGCAATTTGGGCTTCTAAAAGTTACTGCCTTTCACGTGACTTAGTACAGTATGCCTGAATTCTTTCATTTCCTAAAACACAGATGCTAGGCCCCAAAATTCTACTTTGTGAGAGTTAATTTTTTTTTTAATTAATCTTCCCCCAAATACAATACTCAAATAAGAAACTATTTTGGTACCTGTCCCCCCCACACAATTGTTATTTTCTTAAGTGTCTGAGTATAACACGTCCCAAAGAACATATGTTCCTGAGGAAGAAAAAAAACCAGGCTCTAGAACTAATACACAATGAAAAATAAATTTAAAGCAGCCTTCTGGTCTGACATAAGAATATAAAAATGATATGAGCAAGAACAGCTTAGTTTACATACTTTTCAGTCACAGCTGCTGCTCCAAAACCACAATACCTTTAAAATGACATTTTAAGGAAACAGATACGGCGTGGCTTTAGCCATAGTTAGATGTAGCTAACACTGAATTAAAGGGGCTTTTCTTTTTATACACACACTTTATATAACCCTGTACACTGGTACAATTAAGAAGAGTAAGTCATTTTTAAAAAATGTAGTGATAAACAAAATGAATTACAAATAATTCTACCCAGCAAGGTTTTTTTTTTTTTTTTTCCTTCTTTTTCCTTTAAAATCGCCAGACTCAGGCATGAAAATAGAGTTTCAGGGACAGAAGGAACAAGTCCCCTCTTCTTGGTTAATATTTAATTGGGTGCTAAAGATTTCTTGGAGAGGACCTCTGTACCTCCAGTGACAGGCATACAAGAGGCTCCTATCTCTGCAAGAGATGCAGGCACTTCCCTGAATAAACGAAAATAACATACAATTAAATCAGACTATTCAATTAATAAATTACTTTGGTGGACCTTGCAGGCCAAGTCCTATTTAATTACATAATTTTAAAAATATTTGCACATTGCAATCACCGAAATTGGCTTTGAGGTTTCATAATACACACTTAACACTTGAGTTAGAGAACACATTTATTTAATAAATGCAGGCCTAAGTGCTAGAAGGCCGTACCACTCTAACTGCAAAATCACTTAGCACATCTTCAGAAAAAGCAAATAAACTTTTTCACTATTTAGACGTGGGCTGCTGTTGAATGTCAGGAGAAGCTGGCTGATTTTTTTGTTTTCTCTGTCATGTGTTGCTTGTAAATCTGACTATTCTGAGAGGTGATTAGAATAGAGCTAATGGACAAAATGGTTCCAGTTAAAGATAACTTAAAGATAAACTAAGGTGGAAGATGTCAAGGTCCTGGTAGTAAAAACCTCTTCAGAGTAAAACAAAGAGAAGTCGTATTAACTCCCCATTTTTCACTTCTTGGAATACCAAAATACACCATAAATTAACATGGTTACTGAGCGTAAAGATGTGTTCCATTAGGAAAGCACACACAAATTCAAGGATGAGGAGGACATTCATAAACAGAATAGAATTACAGGGTACCCCAAAGAGGGCAGAAACATTTCAAAGTGACTCTGTTCCCTATAGTTGTACTGGAAGTCGTGATTTTGCCATTAACTGAAGTTTTCTAGAAAACCACTTGACCGCTTTACTGCCACAACTTTTTTTTGATAGAAATCTTTGTCAAACACACACATTTTCAAATAACCATTGCACACCTTACACCCACAATGGCCTCAGAGCTTTTTGAGCTGTGTGGGGTTGACTCTCTTTACACCAAAAGCCCCCATACCACCACAATAAGGGTTATTTTTGTTGCTGTTTGGGGGTCTTCTCCTTAAAGATTTCTGTCATAAATATATGATCGAGCCTGCTGTGTGCTTTCATTTGCCTGCTTCTAGAAACTTCTATGCTAAATTCCCAAAGCCTCTAAGTTGCTACTAACTACTATGCTAACTATGAATTCAGAATTCATAGTTCTGAAATTTAAAAAAAGATTTAAATTAAACTGAAAAGAAAGATTCTGGTGTGACTTTATAATCTCTGTTCAGTGATGAAACAAAAATTCTTTTCACAGTCTCATAGCCCCCTACTCTCTCCTCCCTTTCAAAAACTTCTGTAAAGAGCTGCTATACTCCCTGTCTCCACTTATTCATCTTCTAAACATCCTGCAGCCCACACCATGCCACTGAAACCTCTGTTGCCAAAGTCATTAAGTTTTCAGTCCCTTTTGTTTGATCCATAGGCTGCATTTGGCAGAGTGCACCCTCCCTTCTTCTCAAACAGTTCCCATTTCCAAGCAGTCTGCCTGTAACATTGGCTCTCCATGATCTACAACCTTCTTCAGCACCCTCTTCTCCGCCAATCTGGTTCTTCTTCCTTGGGCCTTCCCTCAGTGAATGCTACCACCACACGCCTAGCCAATGGGGCCAAACACTCTGGAGGCACATTTGACTCCTCCACCACATCCAACAATGACATCCACTCCATTCTCTTTCCTTCACCCTGACCAACACTTGCCGGCCCACACAAGGGTGCCTCCCACGACTCTGCAATTCCCTTGTGAAGGCTCTTTCCTGCCTTTGGTTTTGCTCTCCTCAAACCTACCCACGGGGAAGACAAACTCATCTTGCAAAATGTGAATGTACAACGTTCCATCAATTCCCAGACAGCTTCCCCAGTCACACCTTAATATTTTTGACATTAGGACGCATCTCAACATTGACATGGATGCTTAACGTTGCATGCTTACCCACGCACATCCCATCCCAGCTGAACAATTTCTTAGCTTTCTAAGGCCCGGAAGGCCAAGGGGAAGCATCTAGAGGTATTCAAAAGGCTGTGCTGGATGTTAGCCGCTGCTTGGTCCTCTGCTTGCACTTTTTTTGCGGCTCTGGAACCACCATTCTACCACGGACAGACACTCACATACACACCCTGTACAGTCTTGTCTCTAAGCCGCTGCACAGATCTAGCCTACCACCGTATTGCTCTGCCCTCTTTCACCTAAGAAATCCCACACATCCCATATAACTCAGGCACAAATACCACTTCCTCCAAGAAGTCCTCCCTAACCTCCCTTTAGATCAATGTCCCTGTTATCTATTCCCTTTGTACACAGTACTTGTCCTAATACAGGCATGACTCCATTTTATTATAATGGTCTATTTAATCAATCATTTCTCTTGCTAAGCTCTATCCCAGTCTACAAAAGGCACTTAATAAATCTTGAATGAATAAAGTAAAAGCTGATGAATTTCAGTAAACAACGTTAACGGCAACAATTTTTCCTTCTTTGGTTCCTTCATAAAATCAGCTCTTCTCCATCTTTGTTCCTCTCCCTACTACAATGGTTCAGCAACACGCGGCCAAGCAAATCAAGTCTGCATAGTATTTGTTCATACCTCTGAAGATATAAGAAATGTGTCACAGCTGATATTTATGTGAATGACTGAGATATAATTTGAACAAAAACTCTTCCGTTCCCTTGAAGTAAAATCATCTTATTGTTTATGATACAGTGCAAAGGAAATAGAATGAGCAAGGAAGCTATAAGAATTTAATCAAGTCGACTTCTTATAAATAAGAATTGAGATTCACTATGCACCCCTAATTACCCTCCCGCTACTAACAGTGTCCTAATTTAGACTGTACCAAAAAAAAAAAAAAAAAGGAAAAAAAACGCTTTCAGATAGTAAGACGATTTTGCATTAAGGTCTCAGATGAGCCTTAGTGCCATTCCCTCTCTTGGGCTGTGGTCTGCTTAACTTCAGCTTTAATGATATCACGCTTCCCACTTTGACAAAATCAAACTTCGCAGTTGGCCTTCAAAACAGTGTGGAAGAAAGAGTTGTCATGGGACAAACCAGTGACCTCTAACCCTTGGCAGATTTGGTAATGAAGACAAGAAATCTGGTATGAGCCAGCCATAGCCCCAGACTCAAGAAATGGTGTCATTTAAGTGACCATGGAATAAAAGCCAACTTCTGGAAACGTGAGATGGCCACATGGGCTATATATAACACATAAGACTATAGACATTTTCTCTGGGGTTCAGGTTTTCAGAGACCCACAACTAGAATATCAAAAGAAATTTCGTGCTCACAATGTAATTAAAGTAACTGGCAGGCATAATTCAATCTTATTTTTCTTTCTTTTTTCTTTTTTTTTTTTGAGATGGAGACTCACTCTGTTGCCCAGGCCGGAGTGCAGTGGTGCGATCTCCTCTCACTGCAACCTCTGCCTCCCAGGTTCAAGTAACTCTCCTGCCTCAGCCTCCCAAGTAGCTGGGACTACAAGTGTGCACCACCACACCTGGCTAATTTTTTTTGTATTTTTAGTAGACAAGGTTTCATCATGTTAGCCAGGATGGTCTTGATCTCCTGACCTGTGATCCGCCTGCCTCGGCCTCCCAAAGTGCTGGGATTACAGGCGTGAGCCACTGTGCCCAGCCTCAATGTTATTTTTCATGATTATAAAGTTGCCTGCGTCACTTAACTTTGCTGATCTTCACTTTCTTCATCGGGAAAATGGGGTAATGAGATCTGTGTGTCAGATGTGAGAATATGTGTTATACTCATAAGCAGGATTTTTATTTGTATATGTGTAGAGAGGTGTATAAACTACAAAAGATGAAAATTTTTGATACAACTCTTACATCATTCATTCCGTTGTTTAGCAGACTTTAGGGAACACCATTCTGTACTATATGGAATAAAAACATGAATAAAACTAGGCCGCTGCCCTCAAGAAGCTCATATCAACATCTGGGCTATGAAAAACAGTAGTCATTAGCCACATGTGGCTTTTAAGTTTAAATAAATTAAAACTAAATATAACTAAAAATTCAGTTCCTCAATTGCACCAGTCATATTTCCAGTGTCAAAAGCCACATGTGGCAATCAGCTATCATAGTGGATAGTGTAGATATAGAACATTTTCATCACTGCAGAAAGTTCTATGGGACAGCTCAGGTCTAGAGAAAAAAGTACAGTGTGTAGGTACATTTTAACCTACTGTGATAGGTGACAAACTGGCAGCAGAAGAGGTTTTCTCATGGAGCCAGTACCTTTGAAGGATGGTAGGCTTCATTTTTATAGGACAGAAAACAGGAGCCAGGTGGAGCGAGGCACACATGCAAAGGTGCACTGTCATCAAGGGGCATTCGGAGCTCCAGGAGGGGTAAACTATTCTTGGTGACCGGCATGGAATTATATGGGGGAGCAGTGGCCACAGAGAAGTCTGGAGAAATTAGGATCCAACTATGAAGGTCTCCCAAGCCAAACTAGAAGTCTGGACTTACTGTGGAAAACAGAGATGCGGATGCAGTAGAGTGACCACTGGATGTGTTTTGTAGAAAACCAACTATGCTGACAAAGTACAGCAGTGGCGGTTACCTCTGGAGATGGACATGAGAACTCTGGAAAGCTTCTAAAAATGCTGATGCCAGAGCCCTTGCCCCAAATGCATTAAATCCCTTTCTGGGCACAGGGCCCAAGCTCGGTACTTTTTTTTTTTTTTTTGAGATGGAGTCTTGCTCTGTTACCCTGGCTGGAGTGCAGTGGCGTTATCTTGGCTCATTGCAACCTCCACCTCCCAAGTTCAAGCAATTCTCTTGCCTCAGCCTCCTGAGTAGCTGGGACTACAGACATGCACCACCACGTCTGGCTAATTTTTGTATTTTTAGTAGAGATGGGGTTTCATCATGTTGGTCAGGCTGGTCTCGAACTCCTGACCTCATGATCCGCCCGCCTCGGCCTTGGTACATTTTAAACTCCCAAAATGACCAATATATAGTCAGGGTTGAAAACCAGTGGAGATGACAAAGAACTGAGACTGAGGTTAAGTTAGAATGAAGTAGTATAAGGAACAGTCTACTGCCATGACCCTATTAAAAGACAGGGAGGACCATCCCAACACAGAAACTGGGAGGGTGGAGAGGAAAGGCTCATTTTGGTAGACGTTTCTAAGACAGAATCAATGAGACCTACAAAACCAAGAATATGAGCAATAAGAGAAGAAAAAAAGAATATAATATGATAACTTCTGTCCCAGGGCAATAAGGACCAAGACCAAGCACACGGGAAAGTGAGCAGGTTTGGGAGGGGAAGAGTGTGTAACTAGTTCAGTTTTAGATGCATTGCCTGCTGCATTCTACGGAGCACCTCGTAAAAAGGCCCCGCAGGCTGGAAGAAATATTAGACTGATTCTAAAAAGCCAAGGCCTAGAGTGGGACACAGAATAGTTTTCACGAGTACTTATGCAATCTTGACAAAGTAAATATTTCCGTAAAACTTCAACCTATGGGAACAATAGCAAAGACATGCACTTTAAACATTTTGTTCTATTTCCATCTATTCCACACTGCACATTAATGACTCTAACTGCCTTGCTTCACCAGCAGGACACAGGGATCCTGTCCCAGCACTACCAGTTATATAAATTGCATGGCCTGGAACAAATCACTGGACTTGCTGGGCTTCAATTTCCTAATTAGTAAAAGGACAGGGCTGAATTAGAATTAGATACTACCATGTGGCCCTCCACTTTGAAGATTCTGAGGAGAAATTCTATAATTTATAATCATATCTATCATTTAAATATACATTAAATATATAAAATTATATATTTATAATTCATACTCTATGTTCCTGAGATTATATTATTCAGAAAATATAGATTCCCAAAATTAGATACATATATTTCCTTTTGTCTTAAATTTAGCCATTAAAGACACACACATGTTGTTTAGTTCTGAATACCAATTTGGTTCTGTTTTTCCTTTGCAGTATTAAAGTAAGGGGTTGCCCAAAGGATTATAAATCATGCTGCTATAAAGACACATGCACACGTATGTTTACTGAGGCACTATTCACAATAGCAAAGACTTGGAACCAACCCAAATGCCCATCAATGATAGACTGGATTAAGAAAATGTGGCACATACACATCATGGAATACTATGCAGCCATAAAAAAGGATGAGTTCATGTCCCTTGTAGGGACACGGATGAAGGTGGAAATCATCATTCTGAACAAATTATCGCAAGGACAGAAAACCAAATGCTGCATGTTCTCACTCATAGGTGGGAAATGAACAATGAGAACACTTGGACACAGGGTGGGGAACATCACACACCGAGGCCTGTCGTGGGGTGGGGGGAGTGGGGAGGGATAGCATTAGGAGATATACCTAATGTAAATGACAAGTTAATGGGTGCAGCACACCAACATGGCACATGTATACATATGTAACAAACCTGCATGTTGTACACATGTACACTAGAACTTAAAGTATAATAAAAACAAATAAATAAATAAATAAATACATTAGTGTAAATTCAAAACAAATTAAAAAAAATAAACCAAGCGGTTGCGAACTCTAAAGTCTGTTGGAACAAAGGGCCATGCTAATGAGCAAAACAGCCCAGAGGAGAAAGGCAAGCCCTAGGCCATGCCCCAGCTAAGGGGGCACCCCAGCCATGACTCAGCTCCCACCCAGCTGCCATTTGGGAATGTGGACCCAGCGCTGCTCTACATCTATCGCAATGGCCAGAAATCCAGAGTTGCTGTAGGTATAATCCCTTGATTTTTTTTTTTTTTTTTGAGATGTTGTCTTGCTGTGTCATCCAGGCTGGAGTGCAATGGCTCCATCTCAGCTCACTGCAACCTCCACCTCCCGGGTTCAAGAGATTCTCCCACCTCAGTCTCCCAAGTAGCTGGGATTACAGGCATAAACCACCACACCCGGATAATTTTTGTATTTTTAGTAGAAATGGGGTTTCACCATGTTGGCCAGGCGGGTCTCGAACTCCTGGCCTCAGGTGATTTGCCCGCCTCAGCCTCCCAAAGTGCTGGGATTACAGGCGTGAGCCACTGTGCCCAGCCAATCCCTTGATATTTAAATGCTGGCAACGGATCAAATTATTTTAATGTATTTTACAGACCAAACACAACAGGTCTGAGATTGCCAGCTTGTCTCATGCCCTAAAGTATGCCATCCTTCTATGGTTTATGAACCTGAAAACCATAAAACATGGATTAAAAGTAAGAAAGAAGTCCTCTGAAGTCCCTAAGATACTTCTAACCACTGCTTTCAGTCTAAGCAAGTTTGACCAACAATACCAGCATGGCCCTTGAAGCAGCCTTCATATTAAGGGCCTATAAAGAAATCTCCTACAAATGTATTATTATTATTATTATTATTATTATTATTATCACTATTTTAGAGGTGGGTCTCACTATGTTGTCCAGGCTGAAGTGCAGTGGCTATTCACAGGCATGCTCATAGCACACTGCAGCACTGAACTGCCAAAGCAATCTTCCCACCTCCTCCCCACAAGAAGCTAGGACTATAGGGCATGTGTCACCATATCTGGCTCAAAATGGCATTATTTTGTATGAAACATCTGTGGGATTTGAATGGAGAAGAGAACGCCTGATGAATGTATTCTTTGTATACCAAATATACAGTGGACTTTAACACTTAGTGATAAAAATGTAATGATTTACATTCTGCTGACAGCATCCATATAGCCCTCAGTGTATTCAAAACAGAAAAATACTTTATTTGGCGTGCATATTACTCTCTTTCTTGCTTTCAAGTAGAAAAAAAAAGCCACCAAATTTCTCTTTTCGTTATACCATTTTTTACATGAAATATTAAAGAATCTGGCACGCATTAGCAGGAAGAGGCCAAGCATATCTGGACTATGCCATTACCCTCTTCTTCAAAGCACTATGAAATGTAATCTTTGGTCACCAGATCACCTTAAGATCAGTGCTGCAGTGCAAATAAAGGCATTGCTAATAAAAAACAGTCTGCATTTGGAAGAGTTGTCCTGTACATACCCAATGGGGACTCAATGGGCAAGAAATCCCAAAGAAAATCATAAAAGAGGCTCGGATGAAAAATAACAGTCCAATAATCATCGTAATAAAGCTCCCAATGATGGCCAAAACAACAACAACAATAATAACAACAACAAACTCCTGGTGACAACTTGAATTTCATGCTTATTCTGTGATGGCAGAGCTGATGGCATCCTGGCTCTCAGAACAAAATCTGCAATAGATTCTTCAAGAGATGTGTTGTGAAAAAATAGAAGGAAGGAAGGGAGAGTTTGGAGCTAGGTACTTTGGCACAGGATTTCAGTTTACATAAGCAGAATGCAATAAAATCTTCCTCGTCTAAATGATCTACTTGAGAACAGCTTTCTCATCATGCTTACTGGTTGGATGTATTAGGTGGGTAAATATTTTTTTAAAGCAAACTCCTAAATCCCACCAGGAGTTGGGGAAAGGGAAGAAAAGAAAGGGTGTCAGAGTTGGGAGAGATGGACTATGACAGACTTTATGGTACAGAAAGGTCAAGATGAACTCCGGATGAACTGGTTTACTGCAGAATGAGACAATAATCCAAACTATAAGAGAAATAGTTGGAGGAAGTCATTAGAAAGAGAAATGTGTACCAGGCACAGCATTATACTCTTCTTATCTCCATTGAACAGATGAGGAAACTAAGGCCCAGCAAGGTAACTAGTCCCAATTCATATAGCTAATACATGGCAAAGCTTAAAGTTGAACTGCACTGCCCATTCTAGAATCCAAGGTCTTAACCACCATGTTACACGGTCTCCCTAAGATTGAGACCACAGGGCCATACTGAACAAAAGCAAGTAAAGACAGAACCAGATGTGAGAAGAGAAAAGATACCTTCAGAAATGCTTGTGAAGGGAATCATTTGAGGCTGACTTTGATGGATCAATGAGGGAAATGGCTGGGAGGGAGGAGGTGACAGCCTTGTTGTTAGTCCAAAGAGGGGAATGAGGCAGACTCACTGTACTCAATGAAGAGATTATTGTGCCTCAGCCTCCTGAGTAGCTGGGATTATAGGTGTGCATCACCACCATGTCCAGCTAATTTTTTTTTTTTTTTTTTTTAGACGGAGTCTCCCTCTGTCACCCAGGCTGGAGTGCAGTGGTGCGATCTCAGCTCACTGCAAGCTCCGCCTCCCGGGTTCACGCCATTCTCCTGCCTTAGCCTCCCGAGTAGCTGGGACTACAGGCGCCTGCCACCACGCCCAGCTAATTTTTTGTATTTTTAGTAGAGATGGGGTTTCACCGTGTTAGCCAGGATGGTCTTGATCTCCTGACCTCATGATCTGCCCGCCTCAGCCTCCCAAAGTGCTAGGTTTACAGGTGTGAGCCACTGTGCCCAGCCCAATTTCTCAAAGTTATAAGCAGAGCAAATGACCTGCTGTAAAGGGTAGTTCAATTCTATCACATATAAGTGTGTATGTGCAAACCTGTATGTTTACTGATACATTATATCTCAATCTCAAAGTATCTCTAATCTAACTCACTCTTTTTGCTTATTATAACACATTCTTTCAAAATAAGGCGCATATAAATGTCTGTAATTTTATTACCCAGAAGTGGCAACATTTTTCTAAATCAGTAATGTTCTCCCAGGGTATTCCCCCAACCTCTCTACACATGACAGTAGGCCACACAAGCACCTCAAATATTGTCATTTAAAACTACACCAGAAAGTTTATTCATCAGCAGTAGAGAGATCTGAAATTGTTTTTCATTGGTGAAATTAGTAGTGTTCAAGATACGTGATAAGCTGAAAAGACTGGGTGTAAACATGTTTACATTAAAGGAGGCAGAAGAATTTGGCAAACAGGCTGGGCACTCATGCCTGTAATCTCGGCACTTTGGGAGGCTGAGGCGGGCAGATGGCCAAGCCCAGGAGTTCAAGACCAGCTTGGCCAACATGGTAAAACCCCGTTTCTACCAAAGAAATAAAAAATAAAAATTTAAAAATTAAAAAAAAGAAGAATTTGGCAAATCAGGAGGCTCCCAGCTGAAGAACTGTGCTCCACACATAGATCTTATTTGGTACAATGAGGGAACCTGTCATCTTTGGACTAGAAAGTGGGTTGATCCTGCCATCAAAATATCATTGCTTGCTCCTTACCACACCTTTCATATGAGATGCCTGCTGGAGTCAGTGAGGGCAGCAAAGAGGGACTTCATGCCTCAGAGGAACACAATGTGTGACTTTTCTGGGCTTCCTTCTTGATACATTTCTGCCCATTTGGCAGAATTTTGCAGAGACTTGCTTTCAATGCAACCAGACACAAGATAGTGAAGAAATGCATAACCCTTTCTACAGCTGACCAGGGTAGCTACGGTATTGGCTAAAAGAATCTGACAGTTGGCTGGGCGCAGTGGCTCATGCCTGTAATCCCAGCACTTTAGGAGGCTGAGGCAGTTGGATCACCGGAGGTTGGGAGTTCAAGACCAGCCTGACCAACATGGAGAAACCCCGTTTCTACTAAAAATACAAAATTAGCCGACGTGGTGGTGCATGCCTGTAATCCTAGCTACTTGGGAGGCTGAGGCAGGAGAACTGCTTGAACCCAGGAGGCGAAGGTTGTGGTGAGCCGAGATCGTGCCATTGCACTCCAGCCCGGGCAACAAGAGCGAAACTCCATCTCGCTAAAAAAAAAAAAAAACAAAAAAAAAAAAACTGACAGTTTCAGAATGGCCAAATTGGCTCAGTTGGTCCTCAATATCCTCCACCTGTGACTGGCTTGGTTGCCCAGCCCTGAGCTCACGCCTGGTGCCCTTTGATCCAGCTGGACTGTGACCTGATCAAGCTGCTTGGGTGCAATGGCTGACATAGGTGGAATGAATGATCCCGTCACCCACTGAGATAGCCTTTCACAAAGTCTAGACCTCTTTTTTTTTCTTTTTCTTTTTTTTGAGAGGGAGTCTCCCTCTGTCGCACAGGCTGGAGTGCAGTGTCGTGATCTCTGCTCACTGCAAGCTCCGCCTCCTGGGTTCACACCATTCTCCTGCCTCAGCCTTCCGAGTAGCTGGGACTACAGGCACCCGCCACCAGGCTGGCTAATTTTTTTGTATTTTTAGTAGAGACGGGGTTTCACTGTGTTAGCTAGGATGGTCTTGATCTCCTACCTCGTGATCACCCGTCTCAGCCTCCCAAAGTGCTGGGATTACAGGCATAAGCCACCGCGCCCGGCCACAAAGTCTAGACCTCTTAAATCTCACAACACAGGGTTGTCCCAGGGCATCAGAGAGCAAAATGTTGAAAAAAAAAAAAAAAGACAGGATCTTCCCCTAAAGCACTGGGAGAAAACAGCCAGCAATAAACACATTTGCAGGTGGGTGAGATGAGAAGAACAACTATCAGAATTTGATCATGGTTTGAGGCCTAATACTTTCTATAGTACAGCACTGAGAAGAGTTACAGGGAAATGTCTAGGTGTAATTTTGATAACATTACCGCTGGAAGAATTCGCAGCATACATGTTCCAAAACAGTATCTACAATCAAGAACAATGTTAATATTTGATATCAGAATAAGATGATTTTTATTAACATGCGAGTGTTCATTTGACAAGACACAATCCTTTCAAAGAAAATAACATGCCAGACATAGTGGCTTGTGCCTGTAATCCCAGCTACTCAGAAGGCTGCAGGGTGGGAAGATCTCTTGAGCCTAGGAGTTTGAGACTAGCCTAGGCAACACAGGGAGAACCTGTTTCAAAAGAAAAGCAGAAAGAAAAGAAAAGAAAAAACATGAACTTATACATGTAATAACATGTATAACTCTTCCTCCTGCTATGCTTCAAAGCTGAAGCACACAATATCACTTCTCAGGCTGACATAAAACCAGCATAAAATGCTGTGTGATATGTACTTTAACATTCTCCTTTGCTTTCTACTTTTTCTTCATTGGGCAAAGGTTTTCTTAACTCTAAGGCACAATGATCCCACATTTTTAAGAGCATTTCTACTTTCTTGTGATTTTAATCTTATCAATATAAACAATTCATTACATATAAAATATTGTAAGTCACTTCTATGTTTTTATAAAACTTTTCATATAATTAAAGCGTCATGTCAGAAAAAAACATCCTTTGAGAAGATGACAGTCCACACATTTGAGTTTGAAATGCATCGATATTGACCATAGGAATGAACAAAAATAAAGAAGTGGAAGTCAGCGGTTCAGCAAACAGCCCTATTTTTGCTGTGCTTACTTTAATCCACAAAACCTACAGAAGGGAGAAAAACTGGTAAAGAATCTGTGGACAAATTTATAACTAAAAGAAATTTGCATTAAGTGCAATTAAGACATGAGTGCCCAATAATAGTAGATTGCCTTAATAAATTATGTTACATTCATGCAGTAGTGGAATATTATGCAGCCATTAAAAATAAGGTTATGTGGCAACATTTAGTGACATGGAAAAATGTGCTTGATAAAGCCTCAGGTAGAACTTATATTACAAAAGAGAGAGGCAGAGTTTGCAGAAGCACAGTTTTTGAATCTTGCTGAGTCCCCACATAAAAACATACAGAGCAACTAGAGAGCAAAACCAAAAATCCACAAGCAAACAAACATATAAGAAAATCAGGCCAGGCACAGTGGCTCCCACCTGTAATCCCAGTGAGAGGTGACAGCGTGCTGGCAGCCCTCGCAGCCCTCGCTTGCTCTGGGTGCCTCCTCGGCCTTGGTGCCCACTCTGGCCGCGCTTGAGGGGCCCTTCAGCCCGCCGCTGCACTGTGGGAGGCCCTTTCTGGGCTAGCCAAGGCCGGAGACGGCTCCCTCAGCTTGTGGGGAGGTGTGGAGAGAGAGGTGTGGGCGGGAACTGGGGCTGCGCAGGGTGCTTGTGGGCCAGCGCGAGTTCTGGGGTGAGTGGGCTCGGCGGCCCCGCACTTGGAGTGGCCAGCTGGCCCGCAAGCCTGGGGCAGTGAGGGGCTTAGCACCTGGGCCAGCAGCTGCTGTGCTCAATTTCTCCCTGGGCCTTAGCTGCCTCCCCGCGGGGCAGGGCTTAGGACCTGCAGCCTTCCATGCCTGAGCCTCCCCCCTCCCCACCCCCCGCCATGGGCTCCTGCGCAGCCCAAGCCTCCCCGACAAGCGCCGCTCCCTGCTCCACGGCACCCAGTCCCATCGACCGCCCAAGGGCTGAGGAGTGCGGGCGCACGGCGCGGGACTGGCACGCAGCTCCACCTGCGGCCCCGGTGCGGGATCCACTGGGTGAAGCCAACTGGGCTCCTGAGTCTAGTGGGGACTTGGAGAATCTTCACGTCTAGCTAAGGGATTGTAAATACACCAATCAGCACTCTGTATCTAGCTCAAGGTTTGTAAATACACCAATCAGCACCCTGTGTCTAGCTCAGGGTTTGTGACTGGACCAATCGGCACTCTGCATCTAGTTAATCTGGTGGAGACTTGGAGAACCTTTATGTCTAGCTAAGGGATTGTAAATACGCCAATCAGTACTCTGTGTCTACCTCAAGGTTTGTCAACACACCAATCAGCACCCTGTGTCTAGCTCAGGGTTTGTAAATACACCAATCAACACTCTGTATCTAGCTAATCTAGTGGGGAGGTGGAGAACTTTTGTGTCTAGTTCAGGGATTGTAAATGCACCAATCAGCACCCTGTCAACATGGACCAATCAGCTCTCTGTAAAACAGACCAACTGGCTCTTTGTAAAATGGACCAATCAGCAGGATGTGGGTGGGGCCACATAGAGAAATAAAAAGCAGGCTGCCCGAGCCAGCAGTGGCAACCCGCTTGGGTCCCCTTCCATACTGTGGAAGCTTTGTTCTTTCGCTGTTTGCAATAAATCTTGCTATTGCTCACTCTTTGGGTCCACACTGCCTTTATGAGCTGTAACACTCACCGCAGCTTCACTCCTGAAGCCAGCGAGACTACGAACCCACCGGGAGGAATGAACAACTCCAGACGCGCCGCCTTAAGAGCTGTAACGCTCACCGCGAAGGTCTGCAGCTTCACGCCTGAGCCAGCGAGACCACGAACCCACCAGAAGGAAGAAACTCCAAACACATCCGAACATCAGAAAGAAGAAACTCCGGACATGCCGCCTTGAAGAACTGTAACACTCACAGCGAGGGTCCGCGGCTTCATTCTTGAAGTCAGTGAGACCAAGAACCCACCAATTCCGGACACACCAGCACTTTAGGAGGCTGAGGTGGGTGGATCACTTGAGGTCAGGAGTTTGAGACTAGCCTGGCCAAAATAGTGAAACTCTGTCTTGACTAAAAATATAAAAATTGGCCAGGCATGGTGGCACGTGCCTGTAATTAATCACAGCTACTCGGGAGGCTGAGGCAGGGGAATCACTTGAACCTGGGAGGTGGAGGTTGCAGTGTGCTGAGATCATGCCACTGCACTCCAGCCTGGGCAACAGGGCAAGACTCTATCTCAAAAAAGTAAAAAATAAAATCAAGTGACCAGTGTCACTTTGAACACTGTAATACAACAGATGTGGAAAAGCTAAGACTAGCCTCAAGTCCTACAGAATAGTAGCACCTAGGTGGGAAGAAGCAGAGGGCGGCAATGCAGCAACGGAAAGAACTGAGAAAAAGAACCCCAGTATTGCCAATAAGTACTAAATGGACAGTATGGTGAGCCAAGTTTAAAATAGCAGCTGAACTTAGGGCTGTGGGGTATTTCCCGTTCCAACAAAGGGTCAGAGCAAAGGGCCCGTATTAAGAAAAGTCTGCAGAGCTGGGAGGAGTCTAGTGCTTATGAACTCTCAAAACTGGGCTGTGAGGTCTCCATTCTAGCATAGGACTCCACACTGAGGAAAAACTCCTGGCAACAGAATCAAAATCAAAAAGGACAGAGAAAACCAAGAGGAAAGATAAGAGAAAGGCCTCCCCAAAGTAGAGAAGAATACAGTAAAGATATTTTAGAAAGCATGCCAGTAGCCAAGTAGTAGAAAGTAACCCAAAAGAGAGAGAGCTCTAAGGAATTAGAAGATCTCTCTTAATACAGCCACCCTGCTAAAAGTTCAGAAAAATCACTTTCACGTAAAAATGAGCAATATAAAAATTTTGAGGTAAAATTCTATACAAAGTGATAAAAAAAAAGGAACAGAATAACATCTTACACAAAATGAAAGCATTTATCAGACATGTCATTACTTGTCTGTAACCTATTACTTCAAAATGAGCTAAAAGACATTAAGAATAAGATATACGGCCTGAAAGAATTACATAAATCAAGCCACGTACAGTGGCTCACACCTGTAATCCCAGCACTTTGGGAGGCCGAGGTGGGAGGATCACTTGCACTCACGAGTTTGAAG
The DNA here is from genome assembly GCF_000001405.40 of Homo sapiens. Taxonomy (NCBI): domain Eukaryota; kingdom Metazoa; phylum Chordata; class Mammalia; order Primates; family Hominidae; genus Homo; species Homo sapiens. Next base: position 71,333,625 of record NC_000003.12, read on the forward strand.
CCAGCCAGGGCAAGATGGCGAGACGCTGTCCCCACAAAAAAATACAAAGAAATAGCTGGGTGTGGTGGTGCGTGCCTGTGATCCCAGCTATTTAGGAGGCTGAGGTGGGAGGATCGCTTGAGCCTGGGGGCACAGGTTGCAGTGAGCTGAAATGGCACCACTGCACTTCAGCCTGAATGACAGAGTGAGACCCTATCTTAAAAAAACAAAACAAAAGAAAATAAACAAAAAAGAATTACATAAATAAGAATTCGACTGGCTGAGAAATGGGGGAAGAAAGAATAAACTTGAAAAAAAGAAAAATCATTCTAGAAATAAGAAAATACACTAGAGGGACAGATAGCAAATAGATACAACAAATAACGCTTTAAAAAAAACTAGAAGGTTAAAATGAAAAACAAAATCAAACAGAAATTAAGAGAGAGAGAAGGATTTAAGGGAAAGTATCGAATACTGAAGACAGGTAAAGGAGATCCAACATATAGAAAATAGGAATCCCTGGGTCAGGTGTGGTGGCTCACGCCTGTTATCCCACCACTTTGTGAGGCCAAGGTGGGAGGACTGCTTGAGCCCAGGAGTTCAAGACCAGCCTGGTCAACATGGCGAAATTCTGTCTCTACTAAAAAGACAAAAATTAGCCAGGCGTGGTGGCACATGCCTGTAGTCCCAGCTACTCAGGAGGCTGAGGCATGAGAATCGTTTGAACCTGGGAGGCACAGGTTGCAGCGAGCCAAGATCATGCTACTGTACTCCAGCCTGGGTGACAAAGCTCAAAACTAAAAGAAGAAAGAAAAAAAAGTAGGAATCCCTGGAGAGGAAAGCAAAGGAAGAAAATTGTCCAAATACCTAAAACTATAATTCAAAGAAACATTCCTGAAATTAAAAAAATATTCTGAAACTACATATTGCAAAAGGACCCTGGACACTGAAGCATATTTGCTCCAAATGACCGACACTAAGATATAATCTAATAAAATTACTGGACTTAAGACTTATTATGCCAGAAGAAAAAGGAGTAACATATTTAAGATATGCAAAGAAAAAATGTGAGGCAACATTTTTAATTCAGTAAAGATTGTGGTTTAAGTATAAAGAACACAGCAAACTGTTACGAAAATTCAAGAATTCAGGGAATACAGTACCCATGAGCCTTTTCCAAAAAATCTAACAGAAATGAAGTTTAGACAAAATGACTACAGACATTGACATAAGGACTGAAGAACTGGTACTGAGCACTGAACATACCTGTATTACTAAAAAGTACAATAGGGTTAGAGTTAAAAGGGGGAGAGTATCATATAAATGGCTAAATGTCCTGAAAATGCAAATCTAATACAACTATCAAAAAATAATGCAAAGAGTGAGTGGCTCACACTTGTAATCCTAGCACTTTGGGCAGCCAAGGTGGGAGGATCACTTGGGGCCAGGAGTTCAAGATCAGCCTGGGAAACCTAGTGAGACCCCACCTCTACAAAAAAATTAAATTAAATTAAATTAAAAATTAAAAATCATTAGCCAGGCATGGTGGCACATACCTGTAGTCCCAGCTACAACAGAGGCTGAGGTGGGAGGATCACTTGAGCCCAGGAGTTCGAAATTACAGTGAGCTATAATCGTGCCACGGCGCTCCAGCCTGGGCAACACAGCAATATCCTGTCTTCAAAAAAAAAAACATAATAATGGAGTTAGACTAGGGATAGCATATGTAATAAAATGTTTACTCTTCTTGCTAATCATAACTGGTAGTGGAAGTATTTAGTATTGTTATTCTAAGACTGTTGTGTGTAAGGTAGAGAAATAAGCAGATGGGCAATTATGGGATATTCTAATGCTACCATCCCCTTTGTTCTCGAGAACCAAAACTGTCAGCATGGAAGAAAGGAGATAAAGATGTAATAAATAGGAGGTTAAATAAAAGCCCTGTAATCCTGATTATGAAATGGAAATATCAGGATGAACTCATGAGGCCTGGACACACTCACAACAAGGAGCACTGTTAGCGCTAAGATAATTGTCTTGAAACACAAATTCCCACTAAAAGAAATGGGTTTCTAGATAAATGGTTGATTTCAATTCTCAGGTAAGAAATGTACAAGGTGGCCAGGCGTGGTGGCTCACGCTTATAATCTTAGCACTTTGGGAGGCCGAGGCAGGTGGATCACCTGAGTTCAGGAGTTTGAGACCAGCTTGGCCAACGTGGTGAAACCCCGTCTCTACAAATAATACAAAAATTAGCTGGACTTGTTGGCGTGCACCTGTAATTCCAGCTACTCAGGAGGCTAAGGTAGGAGACTCAGGCGGGGGTGGAGGCGGAGGCGGAGGTTGCAGTGGACCAAGATCGTGCCATTGCACTCCAGCCTGGGCAATAACAGCGAAACTCCATCTCAAAAAAAAAAAAAAAAAAAAAAAAAAAAAAAAAGGTACAAGGTGAGTCTGAAACATTCTGTCATAGCAGGGAGCAAAGAAGCTATGAAAGACCGTAGGGTCATATCAGAAGGACAGAGGAGCGAATGCAAAGAAGTTACACTCATGAAAGACAGACAATTTGATCTTCAATAAAAGTTTAAAAAATGCAATAAATTGAAATCTACTAACATGTTTAAATTTATAGTTTATAAAAACATAAAAAATTTTTAGTTTATTTTATTTTTATTTTACTGTAAGTTCTGGGATACATGTGCAGAATGTGCAGGTTACACAGGTATACGTGTGCCATGGTGGTTTGCTGCACCTATCAACCAGACATCTAGATTTTAAGCCCCACATGCATTAGGTATTTGTCCTAATGCTCTCCCTCCCCTTGCCCTCCACCCCCCGATAGGCCCCAGTGTGTGAGGTTCCCCTCCCTGTGTCCATGTGTTCGATAAAAACATGAAAATTTAATGGTTACTTTCAGAAAAGGAGAGCGAGTCAACTCATTATTTTGAAACTTAGTAAATAGAGGGAAAGAATTCGACATTTATCCTGTATTACCTAAATGAACAGTACCACTGGGTAACTAAAGAGTAGATGAAGAATAAAATTACAAAAGCATCCCAGCTAGTAAGTAGAATTAGAATATCACCGTGTTGCATCTCCCAGTGAATTAATGGATCTAGGCAGTAAGGATTAATGACCGTCAATATCACAAAAAGGAAGACAATAAGATATTATATCCCTCACAAATGAAAGAACACAACACCACCTAGAGTTGTGCTGAAGGGATCAAACATGAGCCTCTGGATCCAGCTTGCCAATGTGCAGGAGATAGAGAAGGCAGAGGGACATGTTGAACTGAGGATGCAATCAGCAACTTCCAGGCTCTGGGGAACCCTACAGCTCAGGGGGCCAGGGATCTCTGAAAGGTGGTAAAGTACAAAGAAAAGAAAGGCATAGACAGGAAATCTTCAGATTAAGAAACTTAAAAGACATATCAAACATTTAAAAAGTGGACAATATTAAACTGTGGTGTCTAAGGATGCACATGTAGGTGATCAAATAATTAACAAATGGAAATGATTATGATAAAAGTAAAAACATGAGTTGTTTTTGGAAAGGGCTGTGAGTGGAACAGGACACAGGAGAAACTTCAAGGTGGCTAAGTTCAATTTCTTGATTTGGGTGGCAAGGTTCCCTGCCTTAAAACAATTTTTATGTAAATATATACAAATACATATATATGAATGCAACTTAATACAGTAGCCACATATGGCTATTAAAACGGAAATTTAAAATTAGGTAAAATTTAGTCCCTCAGTTATACTAGCCACATCTGCAGTGCTCAGTAGACAATGGCTACCTTTTATACAGTATGGAAATAGGACATCTGGTTCAGAACTGATCTGTGCGCGAGCATGTGTATAGTTGGGAGTGGGTGGGTAGTTTTCTATAACTGTTCTACTTTATAAAAATATTGAAAGTGCAGGCCCCCAAATACATTACATAGCTATACATATATTATCTCAAATATAGAAATATTGGCTATTCTTTGAAGTAATAACAAAGGGCATATACCTTCCAGAAGATTGATCAATGATATGAAACCATTTTATGCCATGACACAGCAGGGACCCCAATCAGTCCAATGGATCTGACTTCCAGTTGCTGGTACATGGTAGCAAAAACTTTCATCTCAAGGATAATGTAGCTGTGATCAGAAAAGGTTAATAAGCTCTTCTCCATTATGGATTGATAACTAATCATTTCAATTATCATTAAACATTTATTAGACATTGGGAACAGAGAAGGCTATGGCAGAGTGGAGCAGCAGCATCCATGCCAGACAGACACTCCAAACAAGGGACTCAAGATATGTACCTCCGTTATACACAAGGAGGACGAGGAAGCGCTCGTTTCACAGGGCTGGACATCCTTAGGTCACAGTCATCATACCTCTGTACTGCTGCTGAGCTCATAGTAAGTATTAAGGAGGAATTTCCTCTGAAGAGATTCGAAAGAGGTGTACGAAAGGAAAAAATGAAAGCATGGCTTATGCTCTCATAAAATGTTTCTAAGCAGGATAAATGACATAAGAGAAATGGGAGGCTATATGTTCACACAGATCAAAGTGAGATCTGCAAAAACATGTGTTACATAAAGAGCAGAGGGCCTAAAAAGAAATTACTTAGAGGTCAAAACAAAGAATCTCAGAGAACAAATAGGTACAAAGGCAGGGGTGTCCACTAATCCTCTTCGGTTATTAGCAGGACAAGGGTCAGTGTTATAGAAAGTGGATAATTATGAGGGACGGATTTGAATAACCTAAAGAAAAAGGATGGAGAAACAAAACATCTTAACTACAAAATGCCTTTCCAACCCGAGTCTTTAATTATCCCAGGAGAGTATAAATTTTTTCTTTGAGACGGAGTCTCACTCTGTCACCCAGGCAATCTCGGCTCACTGCAAGCTCCATCTCCCAGGTCCATGCCATTCTCCTGCCCCAGCCTCCCAAGTAGCTGGGACTACAGGGGCCCGCCACCATGCCCAGCTAATTTTTTTGTATTTTTCGTAGAGGCGGGGTTTCACCCTATTAAGCCAGGATGGTCTCGAACTCCTGAACCCGCCTCGGCCTCCCAAAGTGCTGGGATTACAGGCATGAGACACTATGCCTGGCCAATATTTTTCTTTAAAATAATATAATGGATATAAAAACATAATGAGAAAAAAAATAGGACTACAGAACTTGCGATCCAGTGCAATAAAGAAGACACTAACAAAGGTGCATTAATGGTTAAAAGGTGTGGAAAAGCAGTAACTAAATTATACTTTGGTAATTGTGCAAGGTACCACACGCTAAGAAACACACTAGCTTTGAGTCAAGATAAAAGATGCCTATCTAGCAAAGAACACTAGGATGGTTTAAGGGGAAAAAGAAGAAAAAGAAAACCACTAACAGGGTCTAATTTCTCCCCCTATTCCATATCTGAGCCTTCTGATCTCAGAAAGTCCATCATATGTTTACTAGTGTCTGGATATGATCCAAATATTCTCTTCAGCTCTCTTTTACATTTTATTCTATCGAGAAAGATTTGGCAAATGAAATCTATTATGATGTCAAAAGGTAGCTGACAACATAAAATGTATCCTGCTGAGTTGATGCCGCACACGGCTAAATTTACAACAACACAAGTATCATAAAAATTATAAGAACTGCAAATTAACCACTGATTTCTAGTTCACTGACATAAATAATGGTAAGGACCTGGATAACTTCCAAACATCTTTACCACTGTTTAATTTGTCAAAATCTATCAAGAGCATTTCAACCACAAACCTGTCCTCTAAGGTACATTATCATTCCCACACTCAGATTAGCATTGGTGGCAACGAAGGAAGACTGTATAATTACTAGGGCTCCTGGAGGAGTCTCCTCTCCTTGTTGTAACTCTTCAGCGTATCAGTGTCTCACTCTTTCTTAAATACCATTCTTACTCTCAATTAGTTATTTAAGATCATTAAAAAATTGGGCTCTAATTTTGTAAGAGATGTCTCTCTGCTTTCAAAATTAGTCCCTCATTACAGCGTTAAGGTTCCTACTGGGCTCAAATTAGCAAGATTTTCTGTTTACTTCATATTTGTGAACCAGGAATGCTGGTAGCAGTATGGTACAAGAATAGTTAGCTGACGGCTGTTGGGAAACCCAGCAGGTAGGGAGGTAGCACATTGAAACAAAATGACAAAGACGATAATTCCTCTCTGAGAGAAAGTTAAGATACAGAATCACATGGCTTCTTCCACTAGCAATCCAATCTATGGACCATTCACATAAATGACAAGAAAAGAAAATGGCTTTAACATACATGTAAAATCTCTTCTGAAAAACCATGTTTCATTCATAGTGAATATACAGTCGTGGCTAAACTATTTTATTGCTCATAAACACCAAAAGATGTTTAACAATAATAAAAAGGCTGAAGAATTATTTCATGTCAAAGTAAATACCCTTTTAAACATCTTTAAGTGAGGAAGTATCTTTTGATGCATATGTGTATGTACCTGTGTGTGTGCATGGGTGCTTGCGTAGATAACCCCCTGCCCCCCTATTTTCCCACTGACATATGTCTAGAACAAATTTACAATACTGCTGAAAAGGAACAAATTAAGTGTTTGGCCATAGCACTGTTAGCAAAAATAATCAATCAGTAGCATCAGTGTCTAAGTAGAAACTATATATGTATTTGTGCAGAAACTAGACAGTTATAACTCTTTGATTTGTCCTAATACATTGAGTGTATGGAGATGTTTGACAGATACTAAGTAAATCTAGCATACACTACTTGTGCCCAAATTGGTTTATTTCACATTTCTGTATTTTGGGGGGAAAAGCAATTTCTGTATGACAGATGCACCTGGAGTTTGCCACGTGGCCTCCACACAGAAAGGGCTGTAGAGTCAGAGATTTAGCAACAAGAAAATTGCATTTTATTCTTATTTCTTAAAAAAAATAAAAAGCATATTTTTTCCCATGGAACATGTTTGTATTGAGTTAGTCCATGTCTACACAGAGTAAGTGAATAGTGGAGACGAAACAATGATCTGGGTAAATCAAAGCTCCCAGTCATCTGCTACTGAAGTTAATGTTGGTTTGGCCTCAATTGGACCCTACCAGCTGCCCACAATAAAAAAAATTAATATATTGATTAAATAAAGCCACCAATCCCTCATCTCTCTTTACCTGTGTAAATATGGCCTAAATGTCTCCATCAATGTCAGGGAGCCACTATAAAACTAAACTTTTTCAGAGAGTGTTTTAATTCTTAAACACTAAAGCTGAATGAAGTTCTGAGAGTGGGTAACATAAGAAGAGTTTTCTTTTGCTTGCTTTGAGAAAATCTTCACCTAAAAACAGAACCCCAAAATATATGAAGCAAAACTGACAGAGCTGACAGGAGAAATAGACAACTCCAGAATAATAGCTGGAGACTTCAATACTCCACCTACCAATCCTGGACAGAATGAGGCAGAAGATCAGCAAGGAAATAGAAGGCATGAACAACACTAGGAACCAACCAGGCCTAGGAACCAACCAACCAGACATCCATCCATAGCAACTTCCACCTAATGACAACAGAATATACACTCTTCTCAAGGACACTCTCCAGGATATACCATATTCTGAACCATAAAACATGGCTCAGTAAATTTAAAAGTATGTTATCCAATTACAAAGAAATGAAATTAGAAATCAGTAACAAAAAAATGTGGGAAATCCATAAACAAGTGGAGATTAAACTATACACTCCTATATAACCAACGAATTAAAGGAGATTAGAAAATACTTTGAGATGAATGAAAATGAAGACATACTAAAACTTATGAGGTACAGATAAAGCAGTACTCAGAGGGAAATTTATAGCTGTAAATACCTATATTTAAAAAGAAGAGGCAAGGCGTGGTGGCTAATGCCTGTAATCCTAGCACTTTGGGAGGCAGAGGCGGGTGGATCACCTGAGGTCAGGAGTTCGACCAGCCTGTAATCCCAGCTACTCGGGAGGCTGAAGCAGGAGAATCACTTGAACCCAGTAGGCGGAGGTTGCTGTGAGCTAAGATTGTGCCACTGCACTCCAGCCTGGGCAACAGAGTGAGACTCCGTCTCAAAAGAAAAAGAAAAACAAAGAAGAAAGATTTGAAATAAAATATTACTAGGATTTAATCAACTGGTTAACAGATCCACCAACATATCCTAGAGCTTGACTCTCCAGTCGTAAGACTGAACGACTTCTACAGCAATCATTTTCACTCAGTAAAGACAAAGGTTTGAAGTTGTATTATCTGGAATGTTTCAAAGTTATTTATCCATGGAAGCTTGTGGTAGAACATGCATGAGTCGCTTCTCAATGATTTCCTAAGTGAGGAAACTGAGATCACATAACAAGTTAGCCAAAAATACAGCTTTAAAACACAGGCTTCTGAATTTGAATCTTATGTTTTTTTCTGCTACATAACTAGTCTTATGAATTTAACTTTTTTGCCGCTTATCAGATTTACATGCTGCAAGCTACTAAATCTTTGGGTTACTACTGCCATTCTCTTTTCTAGATGTCCACATGAGGTTCCATGTACACATCAGGAATTAATTACAATCTATTTTACAAATCATTTCATAAATCAAGGATGAATCTTTATTCCTGAAATCACAAGGGACTTATAGGAAACCATGTGATGTGGTCTGAGAGACCTGAAAACTCAAACCCTATAAAGATAGTGGAACAGAGACCATATTATTCCTAGTCAAATGATCTAAGAAGGCAAAGCAGTGAAAAATCTGGATTATAAAAGCAAACAGGCCGCACATAGTGGCTCACACCTGTAATCCCAGCACTTTGAGAGATCGAGGCAGGTGGATCACCTGAGGTCAGGAGTTCGAGAACAGCCTGATCAGGAGTTCGAGACCAGCCTGACCAACAAGGTGAAACCCCATCTCTACTAAAAATACAAAAATTAGCCGGTCGTGGTGGCAGACTCCTGTAGTTCCAGCTACTTAGGAGGCTGAGACAGGAGAACTGCTTAAACCGGGGAGGTGGAGGCTGCAGTGAGCCGAGATCACGCCATTGCACTCCAGCCTGGGTGACAGAGACTCCGTCTAAAAAAAAAAAAGCAAACAGACCTTGATCCAAGTCTAAAATCTACCTCTTTCTTTTTTTAAATTTTGAAATAATTACAGACCACAAGAAGTTGCAAAAATAGTACAATACCCATATACCCTTCATCCAGTTTTCCCCAACGGTGACATCTTGTACAGCTGTATACAGTATCAGAACCAGGAAATTAGCATTGACATATTACTGTTAACTAAATGACAGATTGTATTCAGTTTGGGTTACTTCTTCTGTAACTCTAGGCAATTTAATAATAGGCAATCTCTCTGAGCCTCACTTTATTCACCTGTAACATGAAGGTGGTAAGAGGAGCTACTTCATAGTACTTACAAGAACTCAGTAAGATGGTGCTAGTATATTGCTTATAAAAGTAGCTGTCACACAGAACAAATGGCCAGATTATAATTATTAAACAAAACTTCTGGGATTTCCAGTTTGCTCTGACACTTTCCCTGAGGTCCTTCCTACTTCTCACTAACATAGAGATGGCATCTGCCACCATTTATAGTTTCATCCCAAAGGACAAAAACACTAGAAAAACAACAGAATGTAGCCTACTCTAAGGACTAAAAGGAAATGTAATTCAAAATTCCTCTTCTTATGTGCATACATTGATTTTTTTTTCTTTAACTTAGTGTTTCCAACAGTCAAATGACTCAGGTGCTACTGACGATGCCCTTTGAGGCCTCTAGGAGAGAAAGGACTGAACTAAATAAAATAGCTGGATCTTACACCAATATCTAAGAATAATCTTACACTTTAAATGGCTTTGTGTCCTTTTTTGTTGGGTTACGGGGCGGGGAAGATAAGTTCTTTTTTTCCCCCTACTATGAGTTTTTAAATCTCAATTAGATTTTTTTTTTTTTTTTTTTGAGATGTAGTCTCACTTTGTCACCCAGGCTGGAGTACAGTGGAGTGATCTCGGCTCACTGCAACCTCAGCCTCCTGGGTTCAAGCAATTCTCCTGCCTCTGAGACTACAGGTGTGTACCACCACACCTGACTAATTTTTGTAGAGATGCGATTTCACAAAGCCTAGACTGCTCTCGAACTCCTGACCTTAAGTGATCTGCCCGCCTTGGCCTCCCAATGTGCTGGGATTACAGGCATTGAGCCCATCACGCCTGGCGTTCAATTAGATTTTCTGAATCAAACAGATTAAATGCAAGCCTGGATCTACCCTGTCACAGTTTCCAAACCTACTGGTGTCAACACTAAGGAAAGCAGGACTCTTTAAGAGCCGGGTTTTTTCATTGGTCTTAAATAGATCTCTGTTTGGATATATTTTTTTGTACATGCAGCAAAGAACTACATATAGAAACAGTTCCAGGCGCAACCAAGGCCTTCCCATCTGGGCACTATCCCACAGTCCTGTTGGCCCTTGCCCTCAACCAGTTGTGTGAGTACATCCGCCATCTCTCTGGTTGTGGCATTGCATACGCATATCAGTACTAAGAATGTTCCAGGACCTTCCCTCCTTCACAGCTACGTTTTAGGGATACGAGTATTTAATTTATAATGAGGAAAGAAGAACTCTGCTAGAGTTTCCCCTAACCCTAAAATGTTCATACTTTGAGAATAGTTGAATGGAAAACCTTAAGGAATTTTTTTCTATCTTTTTTTCTATTCTTCTGTCGTTTTGCAAATTAGCTGCATTTTCAAAACTTGCCACCCACAAACAGTGTGAAACACTAGTGTCTGCTGTTTCTATCAACAGACATAATTTGGAATCAGTTAAAACGACAAATAATATGTCCACTAATCAGCCAAACAGCTAAAGTAGACATCTTTGGTCCATTTTAATACCCGGATTTCTCTTCTCCAAAAATCAGACCAAATAAGAATCATATTTGAAGCTGGGTACTGTGGCTCACGCCTGTAATCCCAGCACTTTGGGAGGTCAAGATGGGCAGATCACCTGAGGTCAGGAGTTTGAGACCAGACTGACCAACATGGCGAAACCCCCTGTGCACTAAAAATACAAAAAAATTAGCCAGGCATAGTGGCATGCACCTGTAGTCCAGCTACTTGGGAGGCTGAGGCACGAGAATGGCTTGAACCTGGCAGAGGTTGCAGTGAGCTGAGATGTGCCATTGCAGTCCAGCCTGGGGGAAAGAGCGAGAGTCCGTCTCAATTAAAAAAAAAATCATATTTGGATCATTTTAGCTCTGACTTCAGATTAGGGCAGGCATCTTAAATGAAATGATTTCCAGGAACATTACTTAGTGCTAAGATCATAGGAAAATAATTTAACAAATACAGAACTAGACACATTCTATACTGCATATATCAACTAACTAGTTTATAAGCCTTGGTGTCCCAAGATTCATTTGTAATTGAATCAAAGAAAATATTTGGGGATACAGGGAAGCAACTTATTTTTCATTTTATAAAATATACCAAAAAAGGCTGGGTGTGGTGGCTCACGCCTGTAATCCCAGCACTTTGGGAGGCCAAGGCAGGCAGATCTCAAAGTCAGGAGATCGAGATCATACTGGCCAACATGGTGAAACCATGTCTCTACTAAAAATACAAAAATTCGCTGGGTGTGGTGGTGCACACCTGTAGTCCCAGCTACTCGGGAGGCTGAGGCAGGAAGATTGCTTGAACCCAGAAGGCAGAGGTTGCAGTGAGCCAAGACTGTGCCACTGAACTCCAGCCTCAGTGACAGAGAGAGAATCTGTCTCAAATATATATACACACACACACACACACACACACACACACACACACACACACACACATATATATACCAAAAAGATCAAAACCTGGTTTCCTAACTGAATTGAAAAGATGCCTTTAGCTTTGTGGGCCACTATCCCTTGTCCAGTTCTAACTGCCTTTTTCTCAACATGAACATATGTTTCCCTTAAAATTACTTCTTTTTTCCTACCCTGGTGTTATGCAAGATCCCTGCTTATTTTGGCGATGAAAACAAAATAAGAAGAGCCACCCAGAGTTCTCCATTCCAAAGAGAAGAGCTTCCCAAGAAAAGCAAAGTTTTGCTGTTGTATTTCCTTTCAGCACTGCTGAGAGCAGGCGGCATTCTTCAGTGCAGAAATTCAGTGCAGATGGGGGAGCTGGTCCTGAAATACCTATTAGAACCATGAACAGCAGGTGCGGGCAGGGACTACCGATAGGCTATAGGTTTGAAATCAATAAAGTTTTTGTAAAAAAAAAAAAAAAAAAAAAAAAAAAGAGGAGTGAGGTGGTTAAGTAGGCCCAATATGCAATGAGACAAAGTGCTTTTCAAGCACAAAATATAAGGAAAGGAGAGGCTTGGTATTTCAGAGAGAGCCGAAGAAAAACTAAACTCTCAGACTGAGAAGGCAAAGTTTGACTTTATTTCTATGATCAAAATCCTCACAAAAATGGCCATAGGTCTAGGTGAAAGCTTTAAAAATTTGGGAGGGGCTAGCATGCTTATGTAAGAAAAACAAAGAGCAGCTTGCATATAGGATATTGGTTTCAATGAGGGAAGGCGAATGCCAAGAACAGTCTAAGAATTAAGCACTCACATAATAGATCACTGTGAGCAAAGCTCTCCTGCAGATGTTGGAGTTGGTGATCTAAGCCTCACACTTGGAAAGGTTGTGTGACTGGAGCCATGATATATAAAGTAAGACCCAAGCGCCAAAGTTTTGATTTAGCCAAGCAAACGTGGCTGTTTTTGTTGGGTGGAAGAGGCATTTTTTTCACTGAGCAAAGAATTACGGTAAACATCTGCTAACCATGACCACAGAAGAGGTGGTTGTTTTCATCCAAGGTTATTTTAAAGGAATAAATTTAATTAATACAACCACACAGTAATAGTATAGTATCCAACCTTATAATAAGTCTGCTTGCTTCTATCCACAGACCTATTCACTAAGGAAGCACCTAATCGAGAAAGTTTCCTAATGTTGCCTTTATGGCTTCTTGAGGACCACGGATGCGGGGTAAGACTTTTCCATCTCAAGGGATGCTTGAAAACCCAAGCAGACTTCAGTTCTTATCTCATTCCTTAGGCAGTTTTTTTTCCAGAGGGTTCTCTTGCTCTATTAGCAAGACTTTATATAATACACATATTATTTAGGCAACTAAAGCCCCATTAAAAAAAATTAATGAGGCCGAGGCGGGTGGATCATGAGGTCAAGAGATAGAGACTATCCTGGCTAACATGGTGAAACCCGTCTCTACTAAAATTACAAAAATTAGCTGGGCGTGGTGGCACGCACCTGCCTCAGGGAGGCTGAGGCAGGAGAATCACTTGAACCCGGGACATGGAGGTTGCAGTTAGCCAAGATCGCACCACCATTGCACTCCAGCCTGGCAACAGAGCAAGACTCCATCTCAAAAAAATTAATGTTCTAATGGGTTGAAAGCTTTACCTCACATATAAATGTCCCAGACCGCATCTTTCTCTCAAACTGCTCCTTTGAAAGTAACTATAAGAATTAATAGAATCCAGAATGGTTTGGGTTTTAAAAAATTCCTTATTTGGTTCTTTCTTTAAGAAGGAATGGGGTGGTAGGGAAGCTAGTAGGAAGCTGAATTATTCAGGCTGACTGTCATTCAGATCCGTCAAATTACAGCTCAAAACATCACTTTACCTTTGAACAACCAGCCATACCTGCTCCAAAATGAAAGTCACCCATAATTATTATTAAATGTTCCTAATTAAGATAAAATAATCAAATTCATAAAAACCTCCACTTCCATTCTGACTTAAACAAACTTCTGCCTCTACCATCAATATCAGCAGAGCCAGAGCCTTCTAGATTTAGAAAAGCTGGTTTTGCATAAACTACATGCTAGCACTGAATAAAACTGAAGAACTAAGGTTTACTATTTCTGGCCTAGGGTCATGTCAATATCATCAATCAACAAGATACTGAGTTTGCTGAATGTAAAGAACAGAGTCGGCTGGGGGAGGTGGTTCATGCCTGTAATCCCAGCACTTTGGGAAGCCGAGGTGGGTGGATCACCTGAGGTCGGGGGTTCGAGACCAGCCTGACCAACATAGAGAAACCCCGTCTCTACTAAAAATACAAAATTAGCCAGGCGTGGTGACCCATGCCTGTAATTCCAGCTACTCGGAGGGCTGAGGCAAGAGAATCGCTTGAACATGGGAGGCGGAGGTTGCAGTGAGCAGAGATCGTGCCACCGAACTCCGGCTCAGCAACAAGAGCAAAACTCTGTCTCACAAAAAAAAAAAACAGAGTTGTCCCTCATTATACACAGGGATACAGTCCAAGAGCCCCGGTGGATGCCCAAAACCATGATTAGTACTGAACCCTATACATATGATGTGTATTCCTATACATGTACACCTATGAAAAAGTTTAATTTATAAATTAGGCACAGTAAGAGATTAATGATAACAAATAACATAGGACAATTTTAACAATACTGTAATAGAAGTTATGTGAATGTGGTCTCTCTCTCTCTAACTATTTTCTTGTACTGTACTCACTTATTTTCAGACCATCATTGACTGCTGGTAACTGAAATCACAGAAAGTGAAACCATGGATAAGGGGAAACTACTGTATTTTCTCTCTTTGATTTATCTATTTCCCGTAGAACTAGAACACAGCAATTCATAAAGGCCAGACTTCAGTAAGCTTATTGAAAGAATAAATACTAAATTCATGAACTCCATTTATTCCAACAGTTGTAATATCAAACAGGGTCCCAGATGTTGGACCAGGCTAAGAGCAGCTTAGAAGCTTGGAGTGGGAGGCTGTTGGTGTTTCATCTTTTCCACCCACTAGTCTTCAACAAATACCTATTAAACACCTCCCAGGTGCCAGTTGCTGTGTTCAGTGTGTGTGTGTGTGCGTGTGTGTGTGTGTGTGTGTGTGTGTGCGTGCGCGCGCGCACGCATATGCATGTGTGTATAAGTCACACATGCAGGTGTGTATGTGTGTGCACACGCATATGCATGTGTGTATAAGTCACACATGCAGGTGTGTGTGTCGAGCAGAGGAGGGAGTAAAGGGGGAGGTGCTATCATTTGAATGTTATTGATACTAGACAGAATCTTGAGGGGTAATTAACACAGGTTTTAGGATTCACCAAGTCTGGAAAATTACTCTGTGTTTGTCTGTTCACCTTCCACAATGCTAACTGTTATGTGTGCTAAGAAAGTAAAGAAGGTAGGCAGAGATGAACATGGAAGAAGCAAGCAAGTTTTTGATACCCCAACTTCCCTTAAGTGATGATGAACCATTAGACAAGAGACCGGACTACAGAGGCCGCAGTCTATTTAATAACCATCAATGCCTTCAGCTATAAAACAAAGCCAGCCTAATGTAGCCCACTAATTCTGCCCCAACACAGTCAAGTTTCACTTCTATAAGTAACTCCAACATCAGAGGCCACTGTGGTCAGAATTGGAATATAACCATGTGCCACTACACTAAATTATGCTTAAATAAAAATGCAATGCATCCATCATATTTGTATAATCAAGGTATTAAATCAGCTATAATTTCCAAGCCTTAAAAGAAAATTCCAAGATTTTATGTATATTCCTAGTGAAAGATAATGTGATGAATGCCACAATAAAAAAATAACTTAGCAGGAGGAAATAATTTTTATCCTTTTTAAATTTTCCTTATGAAATGCATCATTTTAACATAACGCACTTCAACAGTTACCCATAAATGTAAATTTGTTTTGATAAAATGAAGAGCCTTTTAATCCAAATTGCACAGTGATGCTTCTACACTGATCTGTTATAACTTAGTAATCAGAGTTAACAGACTGCCTAATTAACCAAGTCATCATTTGCCAAGATCCAAATATGGGATGAATTGTGGGCCAAGGAGAAAATATGATGGACATGAAAATTATTAATTCAGGGAAGCATTAAAAGCATGTGAAATTAAAGTTTTTTGCTAAATCTCACCATCTTTAATATCTTTAATTTTTAAGGTGTAAGTAACATGCAAAAATAAAAAAAAAAATTCCATCCAGGGCACATGGAAAAACATTTATATCAAGTAGCTAAATGGACATAACTAAATGTTAAGCTTTTGACAACCAATGAGGTATAAAAATCATAGATACCCTTTGATAACAAGTAATATTGACAGAGGGCTTACCAGGTGATAGAACCATATTTGGTGTTTCACATGCTCCAGATGTTTATTCTCTATATCCCTAACCCTTCAGGAGGTACTATTTTTATCCTCAGGTACCAGATGAGAAAACTGAGGTTCAAAATATTCCTTTGCCCCTAAGAATGTATGAATAAACAAATAATATCCGATCCTTTCAAAATTATTAGGAAAGTGGTTGTTAAAATTCTGTAATTTAACTCACTGAAGTTTTTCCCAAGAAGGTTTCATCCATTCACTTATTACGTATTTATTAAGAAACAGGAGATGGGGGTGACTTGGAAGATGTCAGATGGCTCACCTGTACAAAAATGTTTCATCATCAGGATATTATTCCCACCACTTACATTCTTTATGTGACCTAAAAGACATATGCATTTTGACTGGGCTAAGCTACTTTATAAGCCAATTTTCCTGGGTCATTCAAAAGCAAGTCTGAATGTTAATATAGGGTTTAATCCTACTAAGTCCACCAAAAAGACCGTCTTTCCCTTGGCTACTTGGCAACTCCTGTTGATCCTCTGAGGCATCATTCCTGCTATGAGGCCCTCCAATCTCCCTTCTCCAATCCCCTCCCCAATCAAAACGCACAATACACCAGTATTCTTGTAGCTTCTCTATCACCATATTATAACTGACTTTTCTGTCTACCTTGCACATGTAAGTATGTTAAAAGCAAGCATCTTGCCTTAGGACGACAAACTGTGGCAGATGGTAGGTGGATGGTTGAAGAGAAGAATGAATAGAAGGAAGGCAGGAAATGAATGAACTCTAGACTCCTCGAGGACAGAGGCATGGTAGCATTTCTGAGGCACAGCCCACTCTCAAGGTAGGAAATGTCATTGAAGATGTCAAGCATTAGGCAGACAACTTTCTGGGAAAACTCCCATAGATGACATTCAGTTGTGGGTTAGCTGAACCATATGATATTTAAAGGTTCCTTCCACCCTGTAATTCTATGTATTTGCTGTGTATCAAGTATAGTACCCGACGTGGTACATAAACATAGTTCACTTTCCCAGAGTTCTGTCTCCTTCTGAAACCAGCACTCTTTTCACCTACTTCCCATTGTTTTGTGTAGGTCAAAGGCCATCCATGCCTTTAGAGATGGACACATGACCCATCCTAGGCCAAGCAGGACCTCCCACCACCCCCAACTCACTCCTGCTCCAGCTCCAGTAAGTGTTTCACCGAAAGGCATGTGGCACACACCAGACCAATCACAGAAGCAGGAAGATCCAGATTCCATGACAGCTGCTAGAACTCTTAAGAAAAGATCTTTTCTGCTGGAGTTGCTACAAAAACAGACTCATGAAAGGTTATCCTGCCACAAACAGGGAATCGCCTCCGTGAATGAATCCAACAGGGAGCACAGCACAGCCAGAAGACTGCCACCAAGACTTAATGGCATGATCGGAACCTCCTGCTCCAGATTTCCCTGGAGCTAGTTCCACAATCTGACTTTTCAACATTATGAGCCAATTAATTCCCCTTTATGACTAAGCTGGTCACTCAGAACCAACAAGACCTAAAATATGGTGAGCTCAGTATTTTAAGGCACCGACACTTTAGAAGTGGGCTGTCTGCTCTTTGTGTTAACAAGGCAATATGAACACTTCAAACCTTTTAAGTCAAAATTGCTTATTTGTGGTCTCTTGAAACTGGCATTTATACATTTCTTCAAGCCTAATATTTTACTAATATTTGAAGGTCAAAGTCCTTGGCATACAGCTTATAAACCTATAATTCTACTGACTAAGTAACCAAAGGTCTTCTACTCTGTTAGCCAATGTTACCTTTCAGTACCCCAGATTCACCCTGGTAAATAAAAAGCCTTCCAGGTGAATGTTTCCAAGAACTAAAAGAACATTCTGAACTTGCTTGCTGGGAAAATGCCCAGGTACGGGACCAAAGCTTTGGGAGGGAGACCCTCTCACTTTTCACACAGGTGATTGAGCAGAACAAATCAATTATTAGGTGGTCAGAGGCTAATATGAAGTAAAATGAGGGCTAGAGAGATGAGGTTAATTAGAAAAATGTCCCAGAGAAAAATGACTCAAAGATCTAGAGAAAATGTCTTAACAGGCACATCCAACTGGAGATAGAAGAATGGCAATTAAGTGGTTGTCCTTGTTCCTAATCAAATTGCGACACACTTTTATTTCCCATAGCTCTTGTGTTAGCAAAAAGAAAGCATTTGAAGAAGTCTAGTAAGATCAAGCAGGGCCTATTAGATAGCATTGAAGTATAACAGCTCCACATGCAGTCCTAGAGTGAAAAGTTTATGTGAAAACAAAATAATGCCTGCAAGTCGATAACCCCAAGAATATGTGTGCGTGAGGAAGACTGCATGGCATAGTGATTAAGAACCAGGGTACGGCTGGGTGTGGTCACTCATGCCTGTAATCTCAGCACTTTGGGAGGCTGAAGGGGGTGGATCACCTGAGGTCAGGAGTTCGAGACCAGCCTGGCCAACATGGCAAAATCCTGTCTCTACCAAAAATACAAAAATTAGCCAGGCATGGTGGCATGCATCTTAGTCCCAGCTACTTGGGAGGCTGAGGCAGGAGAATCGCTGGAACCAGGGAGGTGGAGGTTGCAGTGAGCCGAGACTGCACCACTGCACTCCAACTTCAGCCTGGGCAACAGAGCGAGACTCCATCTCAAAAAAAAAAAAAAAAAAAAAAACACAACAGGCTACGAGGGGAAGGAATTTCTAGGTCCAGATCCTACTTTGCTCCATATAAGCAGAGGGCTCTGGGTGAGTCATTTAACTCACTATTCTTCAGCTTCCTCACCTGTAAAATGAATTTTTAGAATGATGATTACTTCACAGAGTTACTATGAGTTAATAAATATCAAAGGCTTAGAATCATGTCTGGCATACAGACAGTAAAGGTAGCTATTATAGGGTAGACCTTTCAAAAGCTAGAATGTTTCTCTTAAAAAACTGCTGTTTATTGAGATTTTTTAGGGTTAGATTTTTCATGAGTTTAGAAAATTCTACTTCCACCTCTCCCTACTTTTTAAGCATGCAGAATATTGGTGACAGCACGAAATGCAAGTTCTTCTAGGTACATACATACAGATAAACCTAAGAAGGTCTAAGCACCAATTATTCTAGGAGTAGAATCCCAAAGAAACTGCCAGGTTTAGGAAGTGAGTCAGGAGTGGGAGACTATTTTGTGTCACCATTAATGACTGGGGACAGATGTGGACAAAGACAGGACACAGGCTCTCCTGGTTGGAATACCCAGGGCAAAACCTTTACTGATCCCCTGGGAAAGCTGGCATTAAAAAATTCAGCCCTAGAGCATCTTAGCCAGAGTCACCTGGCACTGAGAGACTGCTGAACCAAATTGGACTCAGACGATGCAGCAAAATTTCAAAGCATTAAAGTAAAAACCCTCAGAAAGCTCCTAATCTTCCCCGCTGCTCCTCAGGCACCAGGGTATTGAGAAGAGGGCAGCACAAGGGCTGATCTAGGCCCTCAAGCATCCCGCGTAAACTGCCTGATCAAGTCTCATATTACACGGATCTGTTTCCCCTTTCACGAATTATTATTTTAGTTTCTGAAGTGATATTTGGAGACAGGGGTGTTATATATTTTTAGAGATGCAAAAAATCTGGGTGTTAGCCACTCTGAGGGTTATCATGAGTCTAACCAATGTTTTTTTTTCTGATTTATTCACTTACTTTGACTGAAACTTACTGGATTTCATCTTTTCCTTTCCTAAAAGGATATTAGTAACCACGTTTGATGCCTTAAACTATATTTTAATCATGTCCTTTTATTGTTAAGTTGCAAGAGTACAAGTTATGAATTAATAAAAGAAATGGCTATTTTAATTTCCTAGATAACCCTAGTTACTCCATAAGTCGTGTAAATAAGAGTATATGATTTCATAGATTTCATTCTTGTCCGCTAGAAAGTCATGTGATACAGAGTGAGACAGGTCCCTCTCTCTGCTTCAGCTTTTACATAAAAAATTCACAATGAACAACAAATGTCAACCACTGACATGGTGGAACAATATAGCAAAAATAATAGATCATCTTCTTCAAGCAGGTGGAAGAAATTGGTGTTAATAATGAAAGACATTTATATCTAACTCCTTTCAGACTATACAGACTTTGGTTTTCTATCAAAAGAGAAGTGATGTGAATTTTCAGGACCGACACATCAAGTATATTTTTTTAAAAAAAGAGAAGAGAATTGGGCTGGGCGCGGTGGTTCACGCCTGTAATCCCAGCACTTTGGGAGGCTGAGATGAGCGGATCACAAGATCAGGAGTTCAAAACCAGCCTAGCCAGCAAGGTGAAACCCCGTCTGTATTAAAAATACAAAAAAAAAAAAAAAATACTAGGGAGGCTGAGGCAGGAGAATCGCTTGAACCCAGGAGCGGAGGTTATGGTGAGCTGAGATTGCGCCACTGCGCTCCAGCCTGGGTGACAGAGCGAGACTCCGTCTCCAGAAAAAAAAAAAGAGAGAGAGAAGAGAATTTAAGGAAATTTAAGATGCCCTCTATTGCAAGGCAGGAGATCAAACCAGCTCTGATTAACTTAAAGGCAAAACATATCCCCAGCAAGAAGGCGTACAGACACTGCAGCACCCCAAACTCTCAATTTCCATGGTTTTCTGGATGTGGGTCAGGCTCCAGACACTGAGCCATTGCAGCGCTTGAGGTTTCTAGCATGTGCTACCTGAGACAGGTCATGAGCATCCAACAGTCAACGTGTCAACAACAAATATAAAACAGACTATCTCACTGCTTGCTTATTTTGTACTTTTTGAAGTTAATTCAGCACATGAAACATGAGCAAATATAATCGGGAATCAAGGTTCTTTGCCATCTTTGCCACCTCTAAAATGAACATCAGAAGAAAGCAGAAGATGAGTTTTATCAGTGGAGGTCCCCAAAGCCTTTGCTGATACCCTTAAATCAACAGCACTGTTATTCTGTTCCAGACGTTGTGCAAAGTGCTTTATACGTACCATCTAATTTAATCCTCGCAATAGCTCAGTGGCTAGGTAATGCTATTACCCCTGCCCCAGGCAAGTAAACTGAGTCTTAGAGAGAGAAAATAATTTGTCCAAAAAAAGAGCCACTGAATGAGAGTGTTGGGGTTTGAGCTTGGATCCCAATGTCCTTAATCAATTTGTACCACCCACAATATCCTTCAGGCTCAAGTGGCAAATGATTCTGTCTTCATGGGGAAGATAATGTATAACCCCTTCCGGATGGGACACGCAGAGTATGCAGTACATAGTGGGAACTTTCCAGAGAAAACCCAAGGGCAGTATTTTATTCCTACAATAAAGGTGATGTGTGTAGCTTTGTTCCTTCTCTTTCTCCCTCAACCAGATACAGTCCTCTTAGGTGCCATAAAAATACAGAAATTCACAGGGAAATCCCCAGACTCTGACTGATTCAACAAATACCGACTGCATGCATACCTACCATATGTTAGGCACTGCTAGCCATGGAGAAGCCACACTGAATACGACCTACTTCTTGCTTATTACCTGATAAACAGGTGAATTCATGAAGGGACAGGGCTGTAACATATGGAACAAACAAGAGGTTTGGATCAAGAAAAATAATAAAGGGGCTGTCCCCTTTCACGTAGGTGGTCAGCAAAGGCATGTTTAAGGGGTTGATTTTTGAACTGAACACTAAGGGATGAGAAGGAGTGAGTCCTGGGAGGCATGGAAGGTATCCCGTAATTCAGAGGCAAGGGAGATTTTATGACATCTGAGAAGAGTAATGGGGTTTAAATAAAATATTGGAAACCACGCGGCAAAAGCTCGAAGTTTCCAAGAGTCTTTTGAACACGCCAGATCTTCAAGCCACTATCTCCACACAGTGAACATGATGGAAGCAAAGCCTATGTCAGGCAGACCCCTGATAAGTACTACTATAGGCTGGGGTCTGTTGCCCCAAAACCATCAGTTCTGTGATATGGTGTCAATGTTAATGAATTATCACTGCAGGTTTGTTATTATAGGTGGTGTGACTCTTACCCGTCTCACCTAACAGGGCTCAAAAACTCAAGAGACAGCCAGGGTCACGTGGTTGGCACTGTTTTTCAATCTGGGTACAAGTCACCAACTGGGTCATCCATGAGTACTGCTGACATTCTTTGCCACGGACCTGTGGCAGCTTCTGTGTGCAGATGACACAGTCCTTTGAGGGCCATTCCCAAGAGGATCTGTGGGGGACTAGGACCTGCTTTGCCGAGTCAGCACAGAGGCAGGGATGGAGGATGAGGTGGCAGAAGATCGACATCATGTAACATCAGCCTGCACGAGCGAAACCCTACAGTTTCAGATTATCATCAGCAATACCAACTTGAAAGCAGTTAGTGAATTCTGCTTGCGAGGCAGGACCATTGTCTGACTAAGTCAAAAAAAAAAAAAAAAAAAAAGGAATAAAAAAAGAACTGTATGCTTCTCAGGGGAAATCCTCAAAACAGGATCCAGAGACCTAAGCTCTGCTAACAGGGCTACAGCAGCTGTATACATAGCTGCACGTGTCCTTGCAGATGTGCAGCAGGACAAGCTCCCAAGGCTGTACTTGCATTTACAAGGGAATACCAGGTGAGGAGCAATGGACTGCGAAACATGCGTCATCTATCAGTAAAACAACGACCAGTGAACCAGCAACAGGATGGTACAAGCTTGTCAGAGACAGAGATTTCCACTGTATCACCTGGGGTGCCTAGTACAATGCTGGCATTTATGATGTACCAGGATCCGTGCTAAGCTCTTTACAAGCATCACCTCTCTAACTCTTCAGAGTGAGCTGGCTTCTATTTTTATCCCCTTTTCCAGATAAGGAGGCCGTGGCACAGAAAGGTTAAGTAACTTGCCTAGGGTTGTTCAGCCAGGAAGTGGAAAAGGTGGAATCTGAGTCTAAGCCAATCTAACTTCAAAGCAGACACTCTTAACCATGCTGCTATCCTGTATCCACAGGAGGCATCCAAGGAGTTTCTGCGAATGCATCCATTACCCTAAGTTTTATGACTACTCGTCACAGGCCAGTATAGGCAGAGAATATATTATTAATACAAAGCATAGGGAAGTCTCATTCTATTCATTTTATGGGATAAAAAGTGGCTCACAAGAATCATGTACAGGCCAATTTGGGACAGAAAATTTGGACAGGAGTGGCTTACTTGTCCCGTGCACCCCACTCCCACGGTAAGCTTTCAGCAGAGATACAGGGAGCAACAAATCACAGAAAGGTAGGATGGAGAGTTCTGTCCCGTCCTTGAGTCTACATAAGAACAGAGGGACAATGCAAAGCTGTCAGCAATGTCCCCTGCCCATATAGGGGGAACAGAATTGGGTGTGAGTGCGTGCCACTAAGACCTCATGCTAGTACTCAAGCCTTAATGAAATCTTACATCCACAGGAAGGAAAACCCACTAGACTAGCATATTCGAGAGTTTAAATTTTGCTTTATAGCTCTCTTAATAAAGAAATGTATTTCTCAGATTTGCCATGGCACTTTCAGTAAGAATATTGTGGTCTTAAAATATTTACTGAGCTGTATCTCTGCTGAGAATTAAACAGGCTAAAATTCTAACATGTAAAATTCAAACAAGGCACAGTCAACAGAAGGCATTCATTGAAAATAAATAAAAATTAAACATGTAAGCAAAATTGACAGCATGATTTCGTAAAAGTAACCATAATGGTTGCTCAGTAAGCATTCACCTTTTCTTAGTACTAGAACCCAGAATTTACCTGGGACATCAAATTGTTCAAGTCTAAGGATGCATTTCCCAGACACCCTTACAGTTAGGGGTGGCTAATAGGATGTAAGCAGGCATCATTGGATAAGGCTACAGGGAAAGTGCTTTAAAAAGGCCTGCCTCAGCCAGGAAAACTACTTTTTGTCTTGGATGTAGAGGCAATGGCCTGAGAGCCAGCAGCCACCATGTGACCTTGAAGATGAAGGAACGCACTTGAATAAGCAGAGTAGAAAGATAGAAGACACAAACTGCTCTTCCCAGATGTTTTTACGACAGAATACTTAAATAATTTTTTATACTTATATCTCTCTTACTAGAAAACAATTCTTAACTAATATAATGACATGAAAACATATCTAAAGATGACACTACAATTTTCTCTGAGGGAAAAAAAAAACTAGAAGATTCATGAATTGGGATTCTGATTAACCCTCTATTCCCAAAGCTGTTTGTTTAAGTATGACTTGCCTTCTTAATTAGTATTGCTAGCCCAGGGAAGCATATTTGCTGAGCCTGTCTCTCTGTTTTGACATGCAAGACTTGTGAAATTTAAACATACTTGTAGGCATCCAAAGCATTATTATTTATTAAGGCCTATATTAAAGGTGAGATCTTACAGCACTCTCAGATTCTGATGATTAAAGGAAATTTAATCGTTCTTCATTGGCATTTGATCTTTAGCCTACCATAATCTACCCGCATATCCCTTCATCCATATTTGATACTAAAAAGAAAGACATTTCAACAGCTAGTCCATCAACTGTAAAATAGAAGGAACGTACAGACAAACCACATTACTCAGAAAATAAGAGAGCTTTCCCCCACACTCATTTCGCTCATGAAAGCCCAATGTGATTAAAAAGGTGAAGAAGTCACACTCCACAAGGTGAACCAGAATGACTGTAGAGCCGATCATCACATTCGTAAGGAGTTTCGAAATTTTCAAAGTGCTTTCACATGCATTATATCTTGTTTCATCCTTACAACACCATCTTTCAAGGTAGTAAGGGCAGGTATATATTTTTTATTCCTGTTTCTCGCAGATAAATGGTTTGCTCAAGGTCAGACGGAGTGGTACCCAGCGAGGTGTCAGGTTTACAGGTCAAATGTCCGTTTTTGATGCATCCAATCAAGGGACAGCCTACTATAGTCTTCAGGCCAAATATGGCTTACTGTCTGTTTTTGTAAATAAAGTCTCACTGGAGCACAGTGACACCCCTTTGCTTGTATATTATCTATGGCTGCTTTTGTGCTCTAAAGGCAGAGTTGACTAGTTGCAAAAAAGACTGTATGGCTCATGAGGATGACAATATTTCCTATCTGGCCCCTTACAAATTTTACCAACCCCTGCATTAGGTCACCTTCCCACAAATATGATCCCCGTTATGAACCCTATTCTTGAAAACCATAAAGCTATCATGGGGGGTAGCAGCATTCAAATGCCTGCTAGCTTCAGAATCAGGGCCTGATAATTAGAAAGGCCATTATCTTCTGCAGGATTACTATATCGACCACTGGGTCCCCCGCAAAGGTAGATGGCAATTTTTAGGTGGTATACAGCATCAGTGGTGTCTGTCACTTACCCTGAAATTTTAACGTGTCTCACAGCCATAAAAAGCCTGGGGTCACTGGGAGGGGGCATGCATAATGCCACAGGACTGCAACACACAGAGGGAAGCTGAAAGCAAAAAGAAAAGAAGAGGTTAAGTGAAGGGGCAAATGGTGATGCTTCAAAAGCAACACAGACACACGAGCCTTTGGTATCCCTCATTTACATACCACATTTACCTTCAGTATATAATCATGTATCTAAGCATCTATTTTATCCTTTGCCTTCTAGAATCAGCATTTGACCTAGCTCACAACCTGAATTACAGGAGGAGGATGCAAAATGTTATGTAGGTGAGTAAAACTGTCACTCTTGAAGGCACTGACATCCACTTAGGAAGTTAAGTTCCTTTATCTTCCGTACCATAATTTCTATTTCTTTTCTTTTTTCTGAGACAGGGTCTCGCTCTGCCACTCAGGCTGGAGTGCAGGGCACATTCAGGGCTCACTGCAGCCTCAACTTCCCAGTCTCAAGCGCTCCCAAGTACCTTGAACTATAGGTGTGCGCCACCATGCCCAAATAATTTTGGAATTGTAGTAGACAAGCTAAATTTTAGTAGGCCGGCTGGTCTCAAACTCCTGAGCTCAAGTGATACTCCTGCCTCAGCCTACAAAGTGCTGCAATTATTTTTCCAGACACAGTCTTCTTCTATCTCCAAGGCTAGAGGAGTGCAGTGGCATGATCTCGGCTCACTGCAACCTCCACCTCCCAGTTTCAAGCGATTATCCTGCCGCAGCCTCCCGAGTAGCTGGGATTACAGGTGTCCGCCACCGTGTCTGGCTAATTTTTGTATTTTTAGTAGAGACAAGGTTTCACCATGTTGGCCAGGCTGGTCTCAAATTCCTGACCTCAAATGATCCACCCGCCTCGGCCTCTCAAAGTGCTGGGATTACAGGCATGAGCCACCATGCTCGGCTTATAATTTCTTATTTCTCAAGATAAATTCTCATAATTACAGTGCTAATACATCCTGAGAAATAAGAAAAAGAAGATCCATAGGTCCAAATGATAATTTTGCCATGAGTTTTGATCTTTTAGCCTATCTCAATGCACTCAGTAGAAGAGACAGGAGGAAGTAAGTACATACATGGACACAGGCGCCCTACTAGCGAAACATACAAGCTCTCTCCTGACAGCCAAACAGAAAATCTTACTTGCCACAGTTAGCAACTCTTTTTTTTTCAGTTGCATTTCAAATGCAAAAGGAGACTGTGACACACCTTCTCATGGAAACAGTCACTCTGTTCATGTGCTGAGACTGCAAAGCTTTCATCGCTTGGTTAGGTTATTAGTAGAATATTTACCAAATCCAATTCCAAGTAAGTTGAAGTTGCTGACAGATAAGTCAACTCATCCTCAAGCACTTTCAGAAAGTTTTTGCGAATAGCTGTCAGTAGCAAGGTTTCACATGCCGGGTCTTTTCTGCATAGATCCTTGAGATAATAATGCCATCTATATGGTCCTCAAGATTAAATAAAGGACTCTCACTAATACAGAAAAAAAAAAATGGAACTATAGAATGGGTAGAAAGCCTGAGCTTTCAAGGCACGTACATGTACGTCTGTGTGCAGTGTTCTCTTTCAATAGTAAATTCAGGCAATACTTTGTGAATTTACATGTTTTTAACCTACTCAGATGGAGAAGTTGAAACTAAAAAGGAGATGCACGAAGTTTTATGATTTGAATAGTCACCTGTCTCCGGAAACTATGTGGGCTGTCTGCCTACCAGAACTCAGAAGAGAGTTAAGAGATGGTGTTCCCAGTGGGTGTCTCTTCTAGATATGAGATAAACTCAGGCCAGATTTGTCCACACTATGTTTTCTAGGTATCTGGTGTCTAGTGTGCATAAACTCTTTGCACATGACTTCTGAATCTTCATTCTTATATGAGTTTAATGTGCTGTGTGGGCATTTTCCCTCTTGAGCAAGGGAGCTTAAGAGTATGATAAGAATGCATCAAAAATGTTTTTAAGATAATTTCAGTTGGTAAAGGCTGTAATCGTTCAAACTTAATTGGTGAACTCATTAATGAGCAACTGCCACTAAAAGAAAGATGACCATTGTCATCGACTTATCAGAGCAACGAGATAATGAAGTTAATTATATTGTTTTCAGTGGATTTACACTGGCTGCCTTTTAGATTCTACATTTCCAAACATTTGTTCTGACACCCCATGAGTTTGGACTCTTAACAAAAAACTATGAGCTGTGGACTCCTCAAGGAACAGTCGGCAGATCACAGCCCCACGTCAGGGCAATGCAATTGGAAAACTTTTCTCCCCTTTATTATCTACTTGTAAAATGTTATAAGCCTGTAAACTAGTTAATTTATGAGCCGTGTTAATAATTTGCTCACACTCGATTGCAGGTTTGGCAAACACAGTTTCCAAGGGATGTGGGAGGATAATTTGTAGGTCCGGCTTCTCTCCTAAGGGGACACTAACTAATTTGACACAGTAACATGACATTGATGGCGGGGCACACTAATGACCATTCTCCAAGACAGGGCTGTCAGCCTGTCGTTCCAGTGAGACGCCGGTCTGCTTTCACCGCTGCTCAGGACTGGATGCTCAACTAATTATTCAGACAGCGACATTAATGAGAGCCCTCATGTTTATTTTCAACAGACTAACCAGCGCTTAGCTTCCATTTGTCTGATATGGTCACTGATTAAAATGTGTTTCATGAATAGTAAATTTGAACTCTAATATAACAAAGAAGCACCGGAGAAAAATAAGGAACAGCTGACTGGAAAACCAACCTCGTCCAAGCAATTTGTTTTCTGCCCCATATATCGTCAAGGACAAAGTGACAGGTAGTGGGAAATGTCATGGAGTACCAAGAAAAGTGAGTGGAGTATTTTTAATTACACATGTCTGTGGACAAGTCTGACTTTTGACTAAGGCCCCTGGATCACAATATGGCCAAGAGCAGCTTCCATCTCAAACAAACTTCACTAACTGTATGATACTGAATGAAAATTTGTGTTTTATTATTTATTCATTTATTTATTTTTGAGATGGAGTCTCGCTCTGTCACCAGGCTGGAGTGCAATGGTATGATCTCGGCTCACTGCAACCTCCACCTCCTGGGTTCAAGCAATTCTTCTGCCTCAGCCTCCCGAGCACCTGGGACTACAGGTGCCCACTGTAATGCCCAGCTAATTTTTTGTATTTTTAGTAGAGGCGGGGTTTTGCCGTGTTAGCCAGGATGGTCTGGATCTCCTGACCTTGTGATCCACCTGCCTCAGCCTCCCAAAGTGCCAGGATTATAGGCGTGAGCCACCGCGCCCAGCCCTATTATTTACTTTTTTGAGAAAGGGTCTCACTCTGTTGCTCAGGCTGCAGTGCAGTGGCATGATCTCTGCTCTTTGCAGCCTCAATCTCCCAGGCTCAAGCCATCCTCCCACCTCAGCCTCCCAAGTAGCTGAGACTACAGGCAGGTGTCACTATGTCTGGCTAATTTTTGTATTTTTTGTAGAGACAGTGTCTCACTGTGCTGCCCAGGCTGGTCTGAAACTCCTGGCCTCAAGCAATCTGCCTGCCTTTGTCTCCCAAAGTGCTGGGACTACAGGCATAAGCCATCATGCCCAGCCTGAATGAAGATATTTAAAGTTAGTATTTTCCAGGAAATGACCAAAATTTGCTTATGTGTGTTTTTTGAACCTTACAAACTTTGATCTTTGATTAGTCTATAATATGATCTTCACAAACATTAATAAATGCTGTTGTATTTTTTCCAAATCTACTGTAAAACTATACTGCTGAGGGTGTCTTAAAAAGTGTTTTTTAATGTCTTCTTTTATGTCTTGTTTCTAGTCTACTAAACCTTGTAATCAAGTTCTTTGTACTTTAAATTAAATTTCTATTTTGGTGTGATAAATTTTGTCCTTCATTTTAGGGTGATTATAATCCTAAAATATTCATATAATCATGATGTAAATGAATAACTTTAAAAAAAAAAGGTGTGTTTAGATCTATTAAAGGTGTTAAAAAATTGAAAATTTTTTCAATTTTTTATTGATATAATTCTGATATAATTCATTGTAAAATGTGCAATTCAAAATAAGTAACAGTGGTAGTATTTCAACAGATGTTCTATCTGCCATCACGGATAAAGAATTCTACTCAATATTGTGTACAACTTCTTATTTTATAAAATAGCAAAATAAATTTGAGTACACGTAGATCACTTTGGGAAGGAAAATGTCACTGCATGCAACATTTCTTAAGTATGTATTCCTAAACTTACTCACTCTGAGATAGATCTGTCATTTTAGAACGCCAAAATGCCTAAATGGCACACAACATGTGGGAAGTAGATTCAGACTGCAGGCTAATTTTTTAAATATATTTAAACAAGTAGGCAGATAAATTGTTCCAAACCAGCACGACTGTCTTTAAATGCTGCCCTTCCCAGGGGACTTGTTGGAGACAGGTTCTCAGATTATCAGCACCTCTGGGCAGTTTATGTATGGTAAACATTTGTCCTCCATAATAATACAAGAAAATGCGGTCAGTCTGTGGCAAAGACCAGCTAAACGTTCATCAAATCCATTTCTTTTTCCTGAACACACAGCTGGAATGCATTTCCCAGCATCCCTTGTAGTTAGGTGGGGCCTGGTGACTGAGTTCTAACCAAATAGATGGAAGTGGGTATACACTACTTTCATTCAGATCCTGAAGCCTCTGGCACCCTGCCTAATGACTGCTTTCTTCCCTGGATCGTGGGCGCAGAGATCCAGTAGAGAATGCCTAGTTCCTGGAGATAGTGGAGTCACTGGATGGAATTCGCCTGGGTCCCTGAAAGACTACATGGAGCAGAGCCACCACCGCTCCAGTCCCCCTCAACCAGCACTAACAGTGGGAGGTGCTCACCCATTAAACTGCACTGAGTTAAGCTCCCGAGCAGCTGGGACTACAGGCGCGTGCCATCACACCCGGCTAATTTCAAAAATTTCAAATTCTGGAATGTTGGTTACAGCTGCTAGTATCTCTTACCCAAATACATGGACCTTTCCAATTTCTCCCTGGCTTTTACTTGGGTCTCCAGGTAACCATAAGTAAGCAGAAGCTCTGTCAATTTGGAACATTTTCTGAAAATATTTCATAGTTACCATTATTTGCTCCTCTAACTAAGCTAAGGGTAGTAAAAGGAAAGGGAACCAACAGCTAATGTATGCCCAAAATGTGTCAGACATAGTTTTACTTACTTAACCTTCACGTAGCCCAGTAAGGAAGTTTGATTCCCACTTTACAGGTAAGAATACTGAGCTTCTAAGAAGTGAAATAAAACCAAATGCCACAGAATATTGATCCAGTTGACAGTTTCCTAGTTGAATGCCTTTTGTTGTTGCTGTTGAATTGGCTTTTAATATCCAAACTTTACAGAAAATACATGTTTTATTTATTTCTAAATAAAACAGTTTTGTCTGCTGCTATTATAAAAGAAAAAATCCTATCACATCCTTCAAATTTAATGTAACATTTTTAACGAAATGGGTGAAGGTTAAGTGTCACATTGCAGTACAACTGGTAGAACATCAGATACCTCCCTAGAGGTTTTGAAAACCCAGCCACAAAAGTGATGCGTTTCAGATGTTCTTCATGATTAAAAAAGAAGTCACATTTCAAACAAAATAAATGTTGAGATCATATTAACTGTTAACTAATTAATGTTTTAAACATTTTTACATCCTTAACGTGATAGCTGTGTATATATAAGATATTTTACTATCTTTTAGTCATATTTTAGAAAAGAGTTGGTAAACTTTTTCTGTAAAGGAACACTTAGTGAATATTTTAGACTCTGGTGCCACAGCTCTCTATTGCAACTACTTGGGTACTACAGTAGAAAAGTAATCACATGTAAACAAGTGGGTGTTGTTGTGTTCTAATAAAACGTTATTTACACAAACTGGCAGTGGGCTGGATTTGCCAACTTCTGCTTCAGAACATTGATTGAGGGTTTTGCACATTGACACATAACACATTAAAATTTGTCCTATGTAAAATAATGTGAAATAGACTCTGGTCAGCACTTTCACTCAGGATATCTGACTGCCAGGGATGGATTACTGATGGTAAGGGTAGTTGCCTTAATTTGCCAAAGGGTTAAGAGATGAGTGCTGGCAGGCTCAGCTTCCACTCACTCACCCCATGCCTGGTTCTTTCCCCTAAGTCATGCCACCTTTCCAAGGGCCCATGCGCCCACATAGACAGCTTACTAGAATCCCATGCCATTCCGAACAAAAATCCAAGGAATACTTGCAACAACCAAAAAAAAAAAAAAAAAGCTGAAGCTTTTTCTCATCAATACAGTCAAGCCCCTGTGTTAAGATAGTGTAGGTAACAGTCACCTTAAAGTGACTTTATGTTGGACCTTTTTTAAAAAAGCAAAATAAACAGTAGATTTTAGATGTCACTGGAAGAGTGAGACAGAAATGACATCCACTAAAAGTTTCAAAATCAGGCATGAAGATTCCCTAAATTAGAAGCAAACTGCTTTCTTGGATTTAAAGGATGTTCCGGCTGGGTGCGGTGGCTCACGCCTATAATCCCAGCACTTTGGGAGGCCAAGCCCGGCAGATCACGAGGTCAAGAGATGGAGACCAGCCTGGCCAACACGGTGAAACCCCATCTCTACTAAAAATACAAAAATTAGCTGAGCGTGGTGGCGTGTGCCTCTAGTCCCAGCTACTAGGGAGGCTGAGGCAGGAGAATTGCTTGAA
Source organism: Homo sapiens (assembly GCF_000001405.40). Classification (NCBI taxonomy): domain Eukaryota; kingdom Metazoa; phylum Chordata; class Mammalia; order Primates; family Hominidae; genus Homo; species Homo sapiens. Next base: position 71,365,905 of record NC_000003.12, read on the forward strand.
ACTGGGAGGCAGAGGTTGCAGTGAGCCCACTGCACTCCAGCCTGGCGACAGGGCAAGACTCCATTTTAAAAACAAAACAAAACAAAACAAAAAACAAGATGTTCCTTCTTAACCAATTTCAGGGTAGGAGCTACATGTCCAGTGATAGAATATGCCAGAAACAATGAGTCAAATGTATTATTCCCCCACTATTCTCTCAAGGATGTACAATTATTGTAATGACGACTTGGTCCACTTTTTTTTTCGTTGTGGATGGCAAAGCTCAGAGACATACATACAGAGAGATATCTTTTTTTAAATCTCAGTTCCCCATTAATGTTTTATTATAACAGTTAAGTGTAAAAGATGATTTGAGACATAAAATGGGTAAATTTTATGAATCTGTCTTATCTTAAATGTCTATCAAAACAGAACAAAAGCAAGTAAATGATAATCCAGTCTGACAAAGGCATATTTTATAGGTTGTAGTCATTAAAAATGGGGAAATGTGTGCAAATGCTTGTTAATGTGATATAAAATAAGCAAGATAGGAAAATTGTATCTACAGTAATTCTCAGCTGTATAAAAATATGTGTCAATGAAGAACAGAAAAAAATAAAATTAACAGTATTTGCCCTAGAGAAATGGGATTACGGTCAGGATTTTTCTTTAGAATTTTTTGTATTCTCTAGATTTTCCAAAACCAAGTAATATCCAAAATACCTGTTATACAATTTGAAACAATGGTTTTGACTTTAAAAAAAGAAGAAACATTTTGCACATTTCTACTCATTTATTAATGGCTTTTGACTGTCTTGTTTCCAGACTAGAAGTGTCTTGAGAGCAGAGATTCATGTTATTTCTCATGCCCCAAACACAATGTTTATGGTATCTTACGCACTCAATTAACATTCCTTAAAGCAACTGAATAGACCACCTTACTTTTTAAAAGTCCTCTTAATGAGATTCCCTAAATAAATTAAATTTTCATACTTTAAGCCTTTACAAGAAATTAAATAATTTTGTTTAAAGAGGTTGATTGCTTGCGGATTATGGCTGTAAATAAATTGCTTGATGTAAAATTATACTTTCTCCTCTTCCCTTTTTCCATGATGGCACACAATAATTTGTCTTTTAATAACCTCAAACAGTTCTGAGTCATTTGCTCATTAAAAACAAAATACATCTTGATCACAAAGTTTGGCATTTCATAAATATTTACCCCAAATGCACTGCCTGCTTTGAAGCTGGGATGGTAAGCTCCTGATTGACAAGCAACTTCTGTGCAGAAGGAGGGAGGAGACCTCTCCTGTCAGCTAGGAGAAGGCCACCACACTGCCTTTGCGCCTCCTCTCTCCTGCAGAGGCTCCTTCCCCACAGCCAAAAAACCCACAATAAATGTGATCAGCATTCATCAGTGTCTCTCTCACATACACATACACACTCCCTCTCTCTCACGTTGCATTCACTCCCTGTTTGCATTCTCTCAATGGCTTCCCAGTAGTGTCAGAACAGGGGCCAAAAGCATTCCCGTGGTTTACAAGGTCCTGTATGACCTGACCCCTGTTGACCTCTCTGGCCTCCCGCTTAACTACGTATCTCCACTACAAGCTTCTCACTGAGTCTTCATACTGGGCTGGAAGGACGGCAGGGAGGGATATCGAAGATTAGATGAAGATTTCAGCTCCTATCCTGAGAACCGTGATGCTGAGTGGGTAAAACAACATATCTTTACCTAAAAAAATCCAAAAACAACAACAAAAAACAGTGTACTATAAACACTCTGTGTTTTCCTCCACCGAATATATCATGGATCATTTTTCATATCATTTTCTGGATGAAAATAAGTGAGATTAGTGAACAGAAAATTCAAATCTTAAAAGCAACTTCAATTTTCTCCTTAAGAAATAAGAATTTGACCACCAGTCCTTTCCAAGACCATAATGATGGCTAGTGGTAATGGACTAGTTAGTCCTCTGCAATACCACCAAACTTTTTCCCAGAGTTGTCAACTCCAGGAGCAGAAGAAAAAAATAATGCCAACCACAGAACACAAGCAGATATTGTCCTGTGAGAGCCAATCTGTTTGGATTCAAACGTGTTCACCACTTAGGGTTGAATATTTCATTTGATGACATAAGGACTGCATGCTACAGCTGGACCCTCGACAAATTACCCTGGTGAATCCTACAGAGGAAGACAGGCTCTTAGTTGGGATTTATTTATTTAATTTTTATTTTATTTATTTATTTATTTTTTTAGATGGAGTTTCACTCGGTTGCCCAGGCTGGAGTACAATGGTGTGATCTCGGCTCACTACAAACTCTGCCTCTCAGGTTCAAAGGATTCTCCTGCCTCAGCCTCCTGAGTAGCTGGGATAAACAGGCGTGTGCCACGACACCTGGCTAATTTTTGTATTTTTAGGAGAGATGGGGTTTCAGCATGTTGGCCAGGCTGGTCTCGAACTTCCTGACCTCAAGTGATCCGCCTGCTTTGGCCTCCCAAAGTGCTGGGATTACAGGCATGAGCCACCATGCCTGGCCTTAGTTGGGATTTAAATGAAAGACATCCTCTTCATGACATGCAAAAGTTAAGAACCACTGTGGGTCATCACTCTCATTAGTCTCTGAGAAAAAAAGGGTATTGATATATGCACAGGCTACAAAAATAGGAAGTATGCTTTATTTTGATCAAACCTCAGTAGCTAAAACCAAAGTAATCAATTGTTGGGACTGTCACATGATAACTAATTTCACTGCAATGTCTTCATCCTGGGTACACAGGGAAATGACATTTCCAATTCCAATCCCAATTTCACTGGCATTTATACAAGTCAGGCCCATGTGACTGATTTCTGCTCAATGGGATGTCAGCAGTAGCAAGGGGCAGCACTTCTAAGCCCATGATGGAAGGTCAACTGCACTCCCTGTTCCTCTTCCCCACCAACTGCTGAGACCCCATAACAAGAATAAGATGAGGAGGTTCAACAGACATGAAGGGAAGAAAACATATACCTTATTATGTAAAGCTACCAAAATCTCTGTGTTAGTCACAGCAGCTAACACATTGTGAGTGTATACCGCATTAGGATCTACCTCAAAGAAATACTTATTTCTGCCCTCATTAAGATCTACCTCAAATAAATACTTATTTCTGGCTTTGTCTATACTTCTCCCATCTTGACCCCATGGGACCATGTCTTTTTTTTTTTGAAATGGAGTCTCAGCTGGGCACGGTGGCTCACGCCTGTAATCCCAGCATTTTGGGAGGCTGAGGCAGGTGAATCAGAAGGTCAGGCGTTCGAGACCAGCCTAGCCAACATGGTGAAACCCCGTCTCTACTAAAAATAGAAACAAATTAGCTGGGCGTAGTGGCGGGTAAGGGGCATAGCCTTGCCTCTGCAGGCTGAGGCAAGAGAATAGCTTGAATCTGGGATGCGGAGGCTGCAGTGAGCCGAGATCACTCCACTGCACTCCAGCCTGGGCAACAGAACGAGACTCCGTCTCAAAAAAACAAAAAAACAAAAACAGAAACGGAGTCTCGCTCTGTCACCCAGGCTGGAGTACAATGGCGCAATCTCAGCTCACTGCAACCTCTGCCTCCTGGGTTCAAGCGATTCTCCTGCCTCAGCCTCCTAAGTAGCTGGGATTATAGGCATGCACCACCATGCCCAGCTAATTTTGGTATTTTTAGTAGAGACGGGGTTTCACCATGTTGGTCAGGCTGGTCTTGAACTCCTAACCTCGTGATCCGCCCGCCTCAGTCTCCCAAAGTGCTAGGATTACAAGCGTGAGCCACTGTGCACAGCAGGGACCATGTCTTAATATCCGGTGTAACCCCCTTTTAGGAAGAACCCGCCACTATGTCTTCCAAGATCGACCATAGAGTGTAGTTAATCAACTCAGAGGGAAAGCATCCAAGAAACAGCTACTTTCTCAGTACCACCACATGCCAGACACTATGTTTGAAGCACAATATAGCTTGAACTTGAGACAAATGAGGTTTAAGACCTCCTGGAGCCCACATACTACCAGGAAACACTAACAAAAGCACATGGGAATGATTAACACACAGATGTAACCTAAGCACAAGGGGTCAGAAAAGATTTCGTGGAAGAAATGACCTGCAAGCCATTAAATTAGAAGTCGGTGGGTGTTAGCCAGGTAGAGAGCACTGGGTGGAGGGTGAGGGAAATGATCCTAGGATTTTCTGACAGCGCTGTTGGACAAAGCAGATAGGAGCAAGCACAAATACCAGGCCTGAAAATAATCAATCTTCTGCCTTCTTCCATGACACTAAAAACATAACTTGGGAGTGCCAGGACTTCCAAAACCAAAACAGGGCCAAATAGATTGAGTAATACAGAAATAAAAGAATGCTATTACACTCTGCTAAGTGTCTCAATGGTGTAACTTAAGACAAAAACACTTGTTTTTCTATCAGTGACAGGGAGAAAGGAGTGAGTTATTCACACTGACACTGCTTTTCTAAATTATCTGAGAAAATAGTACCATGAGAAACGAGGTCACCTGAGTTCACACACCATAGCACTTGTCCTTAAACATCCACCCAACTCCTCCTTTAGAAATATAATTATCCTTAAAAATACAAGGTTAGTTTTGTTTATTCTTTCACTCCATAAACACTTGAGGAAAGGGCACTAGAACAGAGTCACAAGACGCAGGTTCCGATCGGCACCGGGGCACCACTTTGCTATAGCCCTTTATTGTGTCTGTCTTATCTTCCCATGAGACTAGTGCATTAGTGCATTTGTAGTAAGTCCCAAGTCTTTTCTGCCACTATCTGCCACAAACACCCTATAACGGGCTTCTCAAACTTGCATGCTCATCAAAATCACCTGGAGGTCTTGTTACAAGCACATTGCTAGGTCCCAACCCTAGAGTTTTTTTTGTTGTTTTTTTTTTTTTTTTTTACTGAGAAGGAGTCTTGCTCTGTGGCCCAGGATGGAATGCAGTGGCATGATCTCAGCTCACTGCAACCTCCACCTCCCGGGTTCAAGCAATTCTCCTGTCTCAGCCTCTCAAGTAACTGGGACTACAGGCACACGCCACGACGCCCAGCTAATTTTTTTAGTAGACGCTAGGCTGGTCTCGAACTCCTGACCTCAGGCAATCCACCCACTTCAGCCTCCCTGTAATCCCCTGCCAGGATTACAGGCGTGAACCACTGCGCCTGGCCCCCAACCCCAGAGTTTCTGATTCACTATGGCTACAGTGAGGCCAGAAAATTTCAATTTCTAACAAGTTCTCAGGTGCTGCTTCCGCCACTGCTGCTGGTTCAGGCGCCACACTTGGAGGACTGTGCTCTGAAGCACTGTGCTTCCACCCTTGTATTGGTGCGTAGCTGCATCTCACCGCCAGTTAGAAAAGGGTTTTCTCATTTCACCAGGGCCAGCTGAGTCTGTCTCAGGTGTGGCATCTTCCAGGATTCCATGCTCAACCTCAGGGAACCAGAATCTCAGCCTCTCCCCCAAAGAAGCCTACTCTCAAGAACACACCTGACACCGCAATCCATTCCCCAGTCCACGTGGTTTGTTCTCACACCTGAATCAGAAGTCACTGCCTCCAACTGCTTCGCATCCATTTCAGAATAAAATCCAGGCTGGGTGCAGTGACTCATGCCTGTGATGCCAATATTTTGTGAGCCTGAGGCAGGAAGATCGCTTGAAGCCAGGAGCTTGTGACCAGCCTGGGCAACACGGCAAGATTCCATTACAATAAAAAATTTAAAAAATTACGCAGGCATGGTGGCACACCCACCTGTGGTCCTAGCTGCTTGGGAGGCTGAGGTGGGAGGATCATCTGAGCCCAGGAATTTGAGGCTGCGGGGAGCTACAATTGCATCACTGCACTCCAGCCTAGATGGCAGAGAACAAAACCCAGTCCTTCGCCCCGGTATACAGGGTCCTGCTGACCCCCTAACCTCTCCCACACCATCCTCACTCCCTACCTCCTTCTCTAATAACCACATGGAGCCACACTGGTCTTTCTGACCCCACACCACACTCGGCTTATTCCTTACTCTGAGGCTTAGCCCTCTTCATTCTCTGCAGGAAAGGTTCTTCCCCTGGCTCTTTGTACATGAGGATCATTCTTTCGTCTTTTCTTTCTTTCTTTTTTTTTTTTTGAGATGGAGTCTTGCTCTGTCACCCAGGCTGGAGTGCAGTGGCACGATCTCAGCTCACTGCAACCTCGGCCTCCAGGGTTCAAGCGATTCTTCTGCCTCAGCCTCCCAATTAGCTGGGATTACAAGCATGCACCACCATTCCTGGCTAATTTTTTTTTTTTTTGTACTTTTAGTAGAGACAGGGTTTTGCCTTGTTAGTCAAGGTGGTCTCGAACTCCTGACTTGAGGTGATCCGCCCGTCTCAGCCTGCCAACGTGCTGAGATTACAGGCGTGAGCCACTGTGCCTGGCCGAGGATCATTCTTTAAGTCTTAAATAGAAAGTCACCTTTTCCAAGAGGCCTTCCCTGGCTAGACAGGCTTTCCCAAGGTCTGTGCTTTCCACTGTATCCTGTGTGAACTCCCATTCCACGCAGATATCTTGTTCCTTCGTTTCACTTGCACTCTCTGCTTCTTTATACTAGAGGACAAACTCCAGGAGAACAGAGTTCTCCTGGTGGAGCTGTCATAGAGTTTGCCCTCTAGTAGAAAGAAGCCGAGAGGGCAAAGGTCTGTTTCCTGCCTTGCTATGCACTCCTCCTCCTGCCATCTACAGCACAATGACTGTCACACAGCAGGCACTCAGCAGATATGCGTTGAATGGATGAATTACTAAATCTAAATATACCATGCTATCCTTCCATTGAATAAAAAGCTAAGAAAAAAGAAAACCTCACTCGAAGCTATAATGTAACAAGTTATAAATGCCAGAGTGATTTGCAAATGCACACGACAAGATCAGTTACAGAAATGATGAATCTAGGCTTGGAATTCAGGCATCAGAAATTGACTTGGGTTGAGGACTGGAAGAGATTCTCCCTTCTATGTCGTAAATGACCCTTGAGAGGCCCACCTTGCCCCCTACAAAATATCTCAAACAATGTCTGAAAGGTAGGATCCTTAACTCTTGACTTCTTGAACTTCTTTTTAATGTCACTCACTCCCAGTGCCAGGTGCAAGAAGAAAAGTAGGTACTAAAATTGTCTGCACGCTGAGCTCCTCTACCCTGGACGACTCCGAAAAACCACTTGTAAGTATTCTATGTTAACCACAGTTCGTAATTTTGTCACAGGTGTTTGACTAAAAAGGGGACAAAGCCTTTTAAGATAGTACACCCATATTATGTCATTGTGTATATTCCGGACCACACCTAAAAGCTGACAAAATCTTTTCTTTCTATGCCATGGCAACCAGGAGAGTTAATGCTGCATGATTTTGCTAAGAGCATCCTATATGCTCCAAAATGTTCGCCTTTACAAAAAAAAAACATGTTAAAGTAGAATTTTAACACAACTTGTCATAAAAGCTGACACTAGTACACTGGAGAGGAAACCAAATGACATGAGTTGTACCTGGCAGTTCAACAGAATATAGGATCAATACTCTTTGTAAGGCAGCCAAAGCATTGGTTAGAAGTTCAAGTGAGGAGGATGAAGTGAATGAATATTCAAAGTATACTATACCAAATGATTTTTCTATAGTTATAAAAAAATCATTAAAATGCACTAAGCTTCACAAAAAGCAGCATAGTGAGGTGACACTGGTGCCAGTCCTGGTTTGGACATTAATTTACTTCTTGTGTGGCTTTGGAAAAGTCATGCACCCTCTCTGAAACACATTATCAGGAGAAGGTTTAATGAACTCGATCATCTCAAAGTTTCTTGCTAGTCCACATGCTTGTTGAGCCTATGAATGTTTCTGGACACGCATCTTAGGTGGAAAGACACAAAGAAAAGGGTGAACTCACCTCTACCCTGCTAATGATAAAACAAATGCTCTGACAGCTGTCTTCTTGTAGCAAAGACAAAGGTGTGGAGTGGCTATACACTGGGGTTTGCTGAATCTTTTCAAATAAAGTTCTGTTTCTATATACTGCAGGAGGGTGAGTTGATGTAGTAATTACCTGTTACTCTTGACAAGTAAGGTAATTAATGTAGCAAAATACCACTGCAATGTGTGTAAATTTAGACCACCATAATTAAAGCACCCGTCTGTTCCACAAACTGTTCAATTAAGAAAAAATATTGACGGTGTACGTTTTTTGAAATTAAAAAACGTATGGAATGAATGAATCTCCCTTGGTTGACATCCGTTTCTAGAACGTGTTCTCAGCATCCATAAAGGCTATATAATGGAGTAACTTCCACTGAAACACAGAAGTATTTCTGTACATCTACTATTAAGATAAGAGTCTCTTGTGGAAGTATTTTATTCAGAATTTGCATTCTATAAAACCTACATCTGGGCCATGCGTGGTGGCTCATGCCTGTAATCCCAGCACTTTAGGAGGCCGAGGCAGGCAGATCACTTGAGGTCAGGAGTTTGAGGCCAGCCTGGCCAACAAGGTGAAACCAGTTTGTACTAAAAATACAAAAATTAGCTGGGTATGGTGGCACACACCTGTAATCCCAGCTACTTGGGAGGCTGAGGCAGAAGAATTGCTTGAACCTGGGAGAAAGAGGTTGTAGTGAGCCAAGAGTGCGCCACTAAACTCCAGTCTAGGTAACACAGCAAGAGACTCTGTCTCAAAAAAAAAAATAAAAATAAAAATATCTGTCAGAAAATGAATTCTAGGAGTATATGAACCCCAAAGCTATTGGAGGTAGCAAAAAGGTGAGAAATAATTATTGTGCAAGTATCCAAGTAACTATGCCTGTCCCAGTGTATCATAACCTGAAAGTAGCATTGTCTACTTGCCAATTTTAAAGAGCTGGAGACACTGAACACATGATGTGCTAGTAAAATAGCTGCAAAGCACCTGGTACTCTCTGAACAGATAGGCAATGGTGTGAAAGTTGGCTTCACTACTCTTTTATTCTCATTCCTTCCTCTATCTACTAGCCATTTCCAGACCCAAATGTTAACATCTTGAACAAGAAGACTACCTGGCCTTTCACTCTATAGCAAAGTGTATCTCCCTGCTACTCTAGATGTTTAGATTTTCTAGGTTTATTCTAGATTTTCTACTCTAGGAAATCTAGACAATCTCTAGCCACGTCAAGAGTTAAATGCCCAAATAAATTAAACCAGAACTGCTGTAAGACTAAGGAGAGAAAAAAATCTGTTACCAGTTCAGTAGAAAAGTGGTTACCTCTAAATGCATTCATAGTGGGTAGGGGGTTGGGAGGAAAAAACAGAAAAGAGCTTCTGATATCTATATGGTAAAGTAGAGAACTGGACAAGGGTTCTCACAGCTCATGCTGAGAAGAAAACCCAAGGGATTCCTCTCTTAATTCTTCCACTCAGATAAACTCAGAGAAGACACAACAAATTGGCCTGAATAAAGAAACAGCTGGAATTCTGACAGACTAAACAGTGTGATATGAGCAAGAAATGGTATATGATTTTGGTGTTATTTAATGATGTATATACACGTTTTGTTTCTTTTTCATTTTTCATATTTTTGTATAGCATACCTTACCTTAGGAAACGTAAACTCTAGAGGGGTAACTAAAAGGTAACTTCAAGTGAATTCTCAGCTTAACATCCTGAAATTAAGTCCTAAATGTTCCATATCTGAGAACTTGGATGTATCCCCAAGTAAAGAATAAAGAGTACAAGGAGACATTCTAGACTGAAACACGTTGAGGAAATGAAATGGTTTCTCCAAGTCAAATACTCCAATTTCACATTTGGAAATAATAACAATGTCATTAAAAGACAAGGATGGAGAAATCACTGTTCTAGTTGTTGATATAAACAAAGCTAGACATCATGACTTTTACAAAATCAGACGATTCCTTAGAAGGAAACGGACTTGGTAAAAGTCGCTTTACAGCTTTCATTATATGGTGTCACTGGAGTGTTAACCTTTAAAATGAGTATTTTTCAAAAATTGTATGGCTTCAAAAGAGGCTAACTCTATAGTATGGTAGGGATGGAGACATAAAGGAACATGATTTGGGGTTCTGATGTAAGATTCGTGGACTGCAAACTAAAATTTCTGACTTTCAAATGCTGAAGAACCATCCAAAGAACCAAGGAAGGTCAATACTGTTTTTGCTCACGGAGCAAATTTAAGAGAGATGAAATCCCCACAAGCATCTATTTCAAAGATTACATCAAATGTCATTGATGGGCCATAATAATGTAACAAAACATTACTGAATTATTTCACCTCCATTCCATCATGTGATCCTCACAAACCACTGGAGTAAGATTAATCCCATCTTATAGACAAGCAAAGTAAGGCCCAGAAGCAGCTACATGATGTGGCTGAGTTCCCAAAAAGTTGCTGTACTGAAACAATTTATTCTTCATGGAATGGGATAAATACTTGTCTCCACTGAGTCCATTTACGGAGAATATGTCAATGATGTGTTTGCCTTAGTACTTACAGTTCAGACTTGTGTCTTAAAAAATCTATCTTAAAATTACCAGTGATATTGGCTAGTACATTCAAAAGCAATGGTAGTATACATTGTTAAGGAATCACCGAAGATGAGAACAAAGATCTGGTTTCAAATTCTGGCTTATTCATTTAGTAGAAATACCAAATTGGAACTTGTGGCCATCTGAACTCAAAATAGCGTAAGAAGCCAATTAAGCCTAGAATTTGCTTTGCCCCAAAAGGGGGCTCACGGGAAACAACACCATCAGCTTCAATTTTCCACTTTACATAAATCAGTTCTTTGTTTAACTTCCTCTTAGCCTTTTCCTCTTAACCCCTCGATGGCATCACACCATGGTCCCCTTTCATCTGACAGACAGAATCTGAGAACCATGGAGTTGGAGGATGATTTTTACACATCATGTACATTCTCCAGAATGTAGAAACTGATGCGAGAAATTGAAAAAAGGTGAGGGTATACAAAGAAGCAAAGATAAAGAATTATCACAATTATACCTATCATATGTATTCTTTTTTTTTAACCTACAGAAACTCAAAAGTGAGCAAAATGCAAAATTGAGTCTTCATCTTCTTTTATTCTCAAAATTAATAAAAACTGGAGAAAAAAACTAAATGGTGACTAGGTGAGCAAGTGCAACTGAACTGATGTTAAGGTGTTAAAACGTGAGTCAATGTTTCCTTGGTTTAAGCAAATTTAAGAGAGTTCAGCGGGCCACAGACTCACTGATGCGAAGGTACCCAAATTCTGTCATACATGTGAACTTCATGCATTATGGCCTCTTTACATAAGGGAAAATTATTTTAAACTGAATATTAAAAATACCAAAAGGTAAAATGGATGTTTAAAGCGCTGTTTACTCCCAGAATTAAATGTCCTCTAATATTTAACTCCAGCTTAGGCATTCAGCAAAACAATACTTGGAAATATTTTTTATTTAATCAGGTATATAAATATCATGTAAAGGAAATATTACTTTGATGTGCCATGTGCTACACTAAGAACTATTTTTACATAATCACATTCAACCAATGGCATTTGATAAACTATAATATTTTCAGTTCCTATAATGAGGTAAGTACTTTTTCATCCCCATCATCAGATGAGAAAACTGAGGCTTAAAATACTAAATAACCCCCCCAAGGTCACCGAGTTCCTAAGTAGCTAAACCAGAATTTGAAACTAGATCTTTTTCCCAACTTGGGTAATTATTTAACAACTATACTATCACACTTCAGAACATATCAGCTAATATGCCTGGTGTAAGGTTTCTTGGTTCATGTTGATACTGGAAGGCAATGCAACTTGAAAAAACAACTTTGTTTTAAGAAGCTGTTTTGAAATTAAGAACATCTTTTGAGCTGGTAACACGAAGACATTATTTTTCACGTTACATTAATAATTGTTACCCTATGAATGCTATGCACAAATGCTTCCTTGATACTGAAGATCACATTTTCCTCAGAATTTCCACAGTTTTTGTCTATCAGAATATAAAGCAAAATATTAGAATATTGTGAACATCTAAATTCTTTTATCCCCCAGACATCTAAACTTATGAGATGAAGCCACACTGGTCCTGTTTTTTGTTTTTTGTTTTAAACAGAATTTTGTCAAGAAATAACTCAAAGATTCCTTTCCAAATCATATGCGAAAAGGGAATCAATACAGGCCAAGAAACAAAAAAAAAAAAAAAAGCCTGTGTTTGAGATTTAACATCAGATGGACTAACACAAAGGAAGGCAAAAAGTGGGTGGATAAAGAGACTCTTTTCTGGGTCGCTAGCTTCTCTTCCTTTTGCCAGGGGAGGGGAAATACTAGTATCAGTAACTAACAGAACAATACATAAATACCAAAGAAGGTACCGCTGGGGAGATGGATTAGTAATATACAGTATCATATACTATGATACAGTAGGGTCTGCTGTTATCCACGGGTTGTGCTTTCCAGGGTCTCAGTCACCCCCAGTCAACCAGGGTCTGAAAATATTAAATGGAAAATTCCATAAATTTTCAATTGCCCACCATGCTGAGCAGCGTGAGGACATTTCTCCCTGTCCCACTCTGTCCTACCCACATGAGTCATTGCTTTGTCCAGGGTCTCCATGCTGTCTACACTGACTGTCCACTGGTCACTTAGTAGCCATATTGGTTGTCAGATCAACTATAATCATATCCCAGAGCTTGTGTTCAAGGTATCCTTATTTTACCTAATAATGGCCTCAAAGTCGAAGAGTAGTGATGCTGGCATATTGGTATAATTGTTTTATTTTAAATAAATTAAATATATATAATTGTTTTATTGTTTATAAATATAACTGTTATATTGTTTAATTTTATTATTAGTTATTATTAATTTGTTTCTGTACCTAAGTTATAAATTAAATCTTATCATATGTATGTATGTATAGGAAAAAACATAGCCCCTATAGGGTTTAGTACTATCTGTAGTTTTAGGCATTCACTGGGGGTCTTGGAATGTATCCCCCATGAATAATGGGGAACTATTTACTATATGATACCATCAGAAAAAGGAAAGAGGGTCATGGATAAATTGGCAAAATATTTACGTTTTGGCTAACTTCTGGTCTCAGAACTTCTTCTTTTCCTTCTTCAGATATTTACTCCTTTGTAAAAATCAGCCATTCTTTCAGTCCTTCTTCCCTCTGCCCTCATTACTGATCTTGGTGGTTTTTAGTTAATGTTGAAAACTCTTCCTTTCGCTGCCTCTCATTTCACTCATCTCTATTTGTATCTATATTTTCATGTTATCTGTGTGATGGTTGGGAGAACAACTGGGTAGAACAAGCAGACAATGGCAATATTTCCTAAGGCTCCAGACTTGAACCTCTAAGATGATTTTAGGTGGTACAGGCATAGCAACAAATTACACTGGACCGCATACTCAGGAAGTTGTTCTCTTTTCAATTCCACTTGAACCCTTCAAATTATGTCAAGGACAAAGTCTCATTTGGGTGCTGGTCTAATGCCTAACACATGTTAAAGTCCATTTTTAACAAAGCGAGAACCTCTCCAGCTCAGTTATCTTAGGTAGAAGTAGGCAACTATAGGCAGCAAGAATTTCATACCAGGGGTCAGCAAATTACAGTCCACGGGCCAAACCCAACCTGCTGATGATTTCTATACAGCCCACGAGCTAAGAATGAATTGTATGTTTTTAAATGGTTAGGGGAAAAAAAAAAATCTAAAGAAGAGGCAATATTTCATGAAATAAAAAAATTATATGAAAATCAAATTGCTGTGTCCATAAATGGAGTTTTGTTGGGACACCACCATTCCCATTCATCTATGTATTGCTTCTTGCTGATCTGGGGCAATGTGGTGGAACTGAGTGGTTGCAACAAAGACCAGATGGCCTGTGAAGCCAAAAATATTTACTACCTGGCCTTTACAAAAACAGTTTTCCCACTCCTGTTTATACCATTGTTCTGGCTTCATAGTATTTACTTTAGGTAATCATCTAGCTGTGGCAACTGATACTATTTCTTTTAAGGAACAATGTAAAGCCTTCCTCTAGATAGACTAATTTATATTCTAACAAGTGAGGGGATTGCAGGGGATATAGAAGCAAATACAGTATAGGTGGTATTTAGATCAACATCGTGGAAAATACAAGGAAAATCTCCAAGAATGCCTGAGCATGGCAAAGTCTAAAGAATAATAAACCAAAAAGATGGGGGCGGGCAGGCAGGGAGGAGTTGGGATATAAAACCAAAGACTATGTAAATAAGACTTCCAGATGTAGCAATCTGTCTTTTAAGGTCAGAGTGGAGTCAGAAATGTGGACCCCTAGTGGACAGAGGTCAGGGAGACTACCCAAGAACATCAGGTTGGCCAGTCTCACCATGGTGAGCCGCAGGTTCTAATTTTACATCCACAATACCCTGACACACTGGCCAAGAATTCCTAGTCTGGCAACTGGGAAGGCAGTAGATCCAAAACAACCAACGTTGTGTAAGTCAGGTAAAACAACAGCAAAGGCCAAGAGGCTCAGCATGAGCCTAGGCCAAAGGCTTCCCAGAAAATATTGCTTGGCAGGGTTATTGTAGCCAGTATAGTTTAAGAAGGCTCCCTTTGCTTTCTTTTCACTCTGATGGAAATGTTGTTTCTAAAATGCATTGAGCACGAAACATTTTCGGCAACTTAGAATAAGTTCACATTACCATCGACAACACTTTACACTCTTCAATGTTTGATATGCACAATGTTTATTTTTTAACAATGAAGTTTCCTCCACAGTTTGACTATACTCTTTTTAGACATTTTTTTTTTTTTTTTTTTTTGCAAAACAATCTTATGGTATTGTGTTTGCCTCTCATTACTCTTACTGAATATGCATCTCTTCTGTGGCCTTTCAACCAAACAATTTTCCCCCAAGACAGAATGGTTTTTTGCTGGTTCTGCTAACAACAATTTCTGTTGTTGAGTCATAGACGCTATCGTAGTAGTGTTAAAATGTATCATCTTTTTCTTTCCATATGATTAATGTTTTTAAAACATGCTAGTAAAACGTAAAACTTACCATATCTGGAAAAAAAGGGACTTGAAACATTGAATTTAAAATTTTGGAAATAAGAGTAGCACAAATGAATGTCCTTTTTTCTTTTATCCACATCTGCACAACATTTGACCTGGTCGTCCCTTCTTACCTTCTTAGGTAAATTACAATTAGTTTTATCTGCTATTGACTCAGAAACCTGAGACATGAGGTTCTCTCTTTTTTTTTTTTTTTGAGATGGAGTCTTGCTCTGTCGCCCAGGCTGGAGTTCAGTGATGTGATCTCGGCTCACTGCAAGCTCCGCCTCCCGGGTTCACGCCATTCTCCTGCCTCAGCCTCCCCAGTAGCTGGAACTACAGGCGCCTGCCACCGCGCCCGGCTAATTTTTTGCATTTTTAGTAGAGACGGGGTTTTATCGTGGTCTCGATCTCCTGACCTCGTGATCCGCCCTCCTCGGCCTCCCAAAGTGCTAGGATTACAGGCGTGAGCCACTGCGCCTGGCCTTTTTTTTTTTTTTTTTTTTTTTGAGACAGGGTCTTGCTATGTCACCCAGGCTGGAGTGCAGTGGCACGATCACAGCTCACTGCGGCCTCAACCTCCTCGGGTTCAAGTGAGCCGCCTACCTCAGCCTCCCAAATATCTGGGACTACAGGGATACAACACCGCTCTCAGCTAATTTTTCTATTTTTTGTAGAGACGGAGTCTCTCTGTGTTGCCCAGGCTGGTCTCAAACTCCTGGGCTCAAGCAATCCACCCACCTCAGTCTCCCAAAGTGCGGGACTTATAAGCATGGGCCATCATGCCCAGCCCTCTATTGTTTTTAACCACAAAGAACTCCTTTTAGTAAATTCTAAGCACTCCTACCAACATAGATGCTAAGTTTCAGATTCTACCAACACTTATTTGTTACGTATTAATTCATAGGGAACATCTACCAAATTGCCAATCAGAGCTCACAGATTAAAATGTTTATGACCAAAAGCCAAGGAAATTGACATTTGATTAACGTCAAAGTCTTATGCAAATGACTGAATTAACATTAGCCTTTAAAAATATGAAAACAGGCCCAGCTCACGCCTGTAAATGCAATACTTCAGAAGGCCTAGGCAGGCGAGTTTCTTGAGTCCAAGGCTTCAAGACCAGCCTGAGCAACATGGCGAGACCCTGTCTCTACAAAAAATCCAAAATATTTTGGCTGGGCATGGTGGTGCACGCCTATAGTCCCAGCTACTTGGGAAGCGGAGGTGGGAGAATTGCTTGAGCCCAGGAGGTAGAGGCAGCACTGAGCCATGATGGCACCCCTGCACTCCAACATGGGCGACAGGGACCTGTCTCCAAAACAAGAAAAAAGGTGGGGAGGAAAAAAAAACAGGTCAATGAAATAACCATTTAAGGCTGTGTCCCCAGCATCTTGTCCTCTAAACTACTTCCAAACGGGACCAACTGACATATGGGAAGTCATGGGATTTTGCAGAAGTTGATTGCACCCCAGCTCCAGTGGCGGAAAACACATGGCCTAAAACATGCCAACTAATATATTCCATCTCCCTGGCCACAGGGAGGGTGGTATGTGGCAGAAACAAGTCCAACTAGAGTTTCAAGAATTTTTCTGAAAATCCTAAGAAAATATTCCCTTTTCCACTCTCCTGCTTCACATGTGCAAGGAAATCTACAGCTTGACAGTTGCTAGGAATCATCTTAAGACTGCAAATAGGGCCACTCTGAAGATAAGCCAACACCATGAAAAGCAGAGCAGAGAGCTGGATCAAGTCTCTCCTGCAGCCTACCTACTAAGGACTTGCCAGTGACACTCTTTAAGCCTGCCTTTACTGGACTTTCTGTTGAGTACAATCAAACTCATCCTAATTTAAATACTGAAAAACACCAGGATAACATCTTCTAATCCTTTGACGGCATCTTCTAATCCTTGGATGGCATCTTCTAATCCTTTGACGGCATCTCCTGGGGTTTGGGGATCCCAGGCCTTGGGAGCCACTGTTCTGATGAGAAATACATCTTACATATTTAGGTGTGGGTATGAGAACTTGAAAAATAACCAATAAGGGTGCACTTCAAGCTTGGTAGATGTTTTTCAGAGTTTTTGTAACACCAAGTCAGGAACATCACTGTGAAAACTATGAAAGATAACACCATCAGGAAACTGCCTGATGTTCCTCATCTAATTATGAGATACCCATGCTGGCTGACATTATTATGGTAAACTGACATGAGAAGATGGGCCAGCTCCAGGTGGCTCTCTAACAGCAAATGCTTTCCGCTAGCTCTGCATCAAACAGCACCACTTTACCCTTTCTTTGGCATCCTTAATTTCTAGGGGAAGGGGAAGAATTCATTATCAGAGAAGACTCGATTAAAGAATGACATATAAAGTGTCAAACTTTACAAGGAAGACTGCATAACCAATGGCAACAATAAAATGCTGTGAGGCTGAGATTTTGGTTTTGGGCCCTAGGATTTAGGGCAGACATTGTTGGTCTAGTATCAGAAAATAAGTATCAATGAGAAAATGTTGGTATTTAGGGCATGCACTTTGAATCAACCTATTTGATTAAAGGGAAATACATGAAAAGAATAGAGGGTGGCAGGTCCAGTCAAAATAGGTAAAACCTTAATATGTCTTTTTCTATGCAAAGTAGCTTCAGTTTTTGCTACATTTATGGGAGAGAGAGTGGAGGGAGAAAAAGCAGGGGTGTCTGTGCACATGTACTTAACTAAAAAGATCATTTTACTAGTCAGCTCATCCTTGACACATCGCTTGAAACATGGAAGACCAGGCCCCCTTGAACCTGGTTTGGAAGGAAATGGTGAGACAGAAAGAGAAAACTAAATTGCCGTTTTTAAGAAACATGAGTTGGTAACAGAAACCAGAAGAATGAGAGGTGAGAAGATAGATAAAAGAGGGTAAGTCAGGCAATTTGGAGGTCATGATGTATAGAGAAAGCTCTTCAGAGACAACTATGTATGTGCAAACATACAAGGCTGGCGGGCGCGGTGGCTCACGCCTGTAATCCCAGCACTTTGGGAGGCTGAGGTGGGCGGATCACCTGAGGCAGGAGTCCCAGACCAGCCTGGCCAACGTGGTGTAACCCTGCCTCTACTAAAAATACAAAAAAATTAGCCAGGCATGGTGGTGTAAGCCTGTAGTCCCAGTTATGTGGGAGGCTGAGGCAGGAGAATCGCTTGAACCCCCAGAGGTGGAGGTTGCAGTGAGCTGAGATCGCCCGTTGCAATCTGGGCAACAGAGTGGGACTCCGTCTCAGCAAAACAAACAAACAAACAAACAAACAAACCAACAAACAAACAGGCTGTTAAACATCCTTCCAAATTTCTCTGATGCAAACTTCCTCCAACTCCCTAAACTTCCACGGTCTGTGTGAGCTGTGTGGAAGGAAATTGTGGAAAGAAGCTAATTTCTAACTCTGAGAGAAGAGAGAAAAGCAACGGAAACAAGGAATATCAAGAGTTCTCTAACAAAAATCCACCACGAAAACAAAGCCTCCAGAAATGCTCATTGGAATTCCCACAGGGTATAAGATAAAAGTTCAAGCCAATTTTATTAGAATCTCAAAAGTCAAAGTGACCTCAGCTGATAAATGACTTAAAGCATTATGACAAAGCTCTCAGTAATGTGGCCAATTGGAGACTCTCAGAAGAAATGTGAACGACATTCTGAGTTGACACTGGTATGAGGACCTGCAGCATCTTATCACATATATTTTCCTAAAACAATTGTCACCAACTGTAAAGGGTTCAGGTGAATTTCATATCACTGGCAGTCTGAGTGGTGGAGTGGGTGGCAATGAAAGCTTTTTAATTTTAAGGTGTTCCAAATAACTCTAACCATTTAGGAAATGGCCATGTAAGGAATTAAGAAGTAGAAGCTTAAGGCTACTAGCATGGGAAGGCAATTTTTGTCAGGGTGACACATTTTCTAGAACCCTGAAAGGAAATCACTTAGTGGTATCTTGAAAGAAAAAGAAACGGGCACTCTCTCAGCCCTTCAATCAACAACACAAAACAGACTTGAGCAATAATACAGCATTTCTTTGGCTACAGGAAAAACAAAAACAGAACACAACACAACATCAGTGACCCTGAAGTGTGTGCTGTTAACCTTCTTAGTAATTAAGAAGGGGCACGGGAAAAGGAAGTAAAAAAAAAAAAAAATCCTAACTGCAATCCTTCATTGGCAAAAGCAATGCTTCTCATATGCATTTCGGCAGATGAATGGATTTGCAAAGGAGAGACATACCAACCCAAATGAAAAGTTAACACATTTACTGACCACACTGTCAGCCCTTATTTCACAATAGAATGGTAATCTTGCTGAATTCTTTAAAACTGTATTATAAATCACCTAACATTTACTAGAGCATTTAAAGTTGCCAGGCTTCTGTGGAGGAATGCATTTTGAGGGGTATAAAATTCTGCGTGTTGGCCTGAACCACACGTACACAAAGTAAACCCCATTTTCCCTCTACTGCTCTCAAACTGCAGCAGCAGGGAGCAGAACCTGCCCCAATCAGCTGCTCTGGGGAGAGACTGACGCCTACCCCACTCTTCCTCTCCCCACTTGCTGAGGTGGGAAAGGCTCCCAAGAATACATATGTGAGCATAAGAGAACAGCGCATGCTCATGAATAAGATACATATACAAACACACACAGTAATACATATGAATGTATATAGGAATACATATATAAATATGTACATGAATATGTATACAAACATGAATATGTATAGGTATGTGTCTGAAGCATGGCCTACAAATCTGTCATCTCCAATGTGCAGAAAGATTTTTCTTTATCTCCTAAGACTGATTTATATCGTGGTCTCCTTCTCCAGCCACTTTCTTTTCCCCGCACCTCTCTAAATGTACCAGTCTCACTCTTTCTACTGGCTTCTGTGGCTTCAGATCCACATCTCCAGCCCTGACTATCTTCGTAACCTCTAGTTCAATGTGTATTTCATCACCTTCCAAAAGACTCTGCCTGAAATTAACGTCTGCACCTCAAGCCACATCCAAACCTCAGCTCATCCCTTCCCAGCCTGCCCTCTCTCCTCTTCCATTAGCAAGGGATAAGAATACCAACTCCATTCTCCCAATCATCTGTCTTTCACACCAAGTACCGCCCAAAACGTTAAGGATTTTGGGACCTCTCCATCACTGCCTTTCCAATCTCATCAAACACTCAACTGCAGACTGTAGTTGCCGCTCTTCAGAACATCACAATTTCCTCCTATCTGGGCTCCTCACTACATTGCTTTGAAATATGACAGATGAATTATCCCAGAGCACAGTTCTGACCAGAGACTCCTCTGCTCAAAAATCCCTGGTTGTGCCCACTGGCAATAGAGTCAGTCCTCAAAAGGCTGATTCTTAAGCCACAGAGTCTAATTTGAAATCTTGGCTCCATCTGACCATTGCGTGCCCAGGGTAAGATCACATGACTTTTCCAAGACTCAGTCTTCTCATCTCTGTTAACTACGCATAATAATAGAATCACGCCCTGTGCGGTGGCTCATGCCTGTAATCCCATTACTTTGGGAGGCCAAGGTGGGCAGATCACGACCTCAAAAGATCAAGACCATCCTGGCCATTATGGTGAAACCCCGTCTCTACTAAAAATACAAAAAAATTAGCTGGGCGTGGTAGCGCATGCCTGTAGTCCCAGCTACTCGGGAGGCTGAGGCAAGAGAATCACCTGAACCCGGGAGGCAGAGGTTACAGTGAGCCAAGATGGTGCCACTGCACTCTAGCCTGTTGACAAAGCAAGATTCCGTCTCAAAAAAAAAAAAAAAAAAAAGAATCACCTTCCTTGGAAGCTTATTACCAGTAAAATAATACAATGAATTGTCAACCACTAAGCTTGATGCCTTGCCCATAGCAAATGTTATCTGCCATTAGTATTTAATATTAATATTAATTAATGTTACTGAATTCTTTACTCCTTAACTCTGAATTTGAGGTTCTCCATCTTACATCAGCTACCTTTCCAACCTACTAATATTTTCTCTTTTCTCCTCTATGAGCTCTGTGTACCAACCAAAGGAATTGTTCATTGCTCTGAGCACCAAGATTTTTAGACTTTGTTGCTTATTCACCCAGCTGCCATGAGCCAGAAATCCCCTAACCCAAATATCTAATGTTTATATTTTCAGCAAGCTCTAGCTGAAATGCTTCATGACGGTAACAAAATATCTTATTTCTTTCGACACTTTATTCCTAAGGACAGAATTTGAATATGAACTTTTGCTTTTTCAAAGTTGCCTACATAAACATCAGAATAGGGCAGGAGGTACTGGAATCAAATGCTGGTCTCGTGCACACAATGGGGCATAGTGCATCTCTCAGAACACCAAAGTCTAAAACTGGGTTAATAACTTCATCACCTTGAAGTCTTCCACCATTAGTTAGTAAATATATCCCTTTTTCTTGATTAACTCAATATTGTATTGCTACAATTGGAATAATTAAGGATTTTATAGCTAAGACATCTAAAATTGTATTTCTTTCTCTTTCTCATTATAAGTAAGGATTTCAGATGTTTTAATGAGCCATCATAACAAGTTTTAGCATCAGTGAAACCACTTCACACCTGAATGACTTAATATTGTCTGTAATCTGTCTCTTTGAATTCACATTGGTTTTTTTCCATAAAAATGTATCAACTTCTTGCTGTGCGTATGAACGAATGCATAACAATTCTTAAAAGCGATATATGCATGTGTGATGATTACACATTATAAACTCAATAACCACACCCATGTGTCATCTTCAAATGGTATTTATTAAGGACCCATGTGTTCATGCGGCATGACACAAACAAAGTCGTTGTTCAATCCAGCTTCTATTTATTTCAACGTCTAATGCTCTTAAGAGAATGGGTGGTTCTCTGTTATTGAAAAAAAGTTTGTAACTGTCAAAACAAGAAACTGACTTGGTTATAGTCAGAGGCTTACGATGCCAATACCAAACCAATGCCAGAACATATAATAAAAAGAAAAGTTCTGTCAATTTTTCCCGAAAGTCTGTTTCTATGCATTACCCATATATCCAGCCAATTCAAAAGGGATGAAAAGTAAAAATTCTCTGCTGTAATATAGCCAATGCAGCCAGTGGATTTCCTTTTCTAACTTTATTTTTTTTAATGTCCTGTAGACTCATCGTAAATCATTTCCAATCTAATTCTCTGGCTTCCCAATTTTAACTGTCGGCCTTATTTAAAGAATGGCCTCTATATTTAACAGATTCCATATCCATTCTGAGAGCTAGTAAGCTAAAAAAGATGTTCTAAATGCATCATTCAACTGCGTGACTTTTTAAGCAGCTTAAATGTTAAACGGCCCAATTGTCTTACCTAGCAGTGATTTGAAAACTATATAGATGGCTTTCTACTAATGAAGAAAATTATAGTTTAGTGCACGTTCCGCAGCTCGCCCTTCTAGGTTTCAGGTGAAATGTTTTTATAGCCGTGTATTCTCTAAATCTACCCGAACATGCATTACTTCATCAACATCAGAAAACATAAGAATTCAAAATTAACGTTAAGTACAAATTTTCCTTTTATCTGAAGATACACATTGTAACACCGGTTATTATTTTTTTAACCTGTTGACTATTAGGGCTTTTATTAAAATGAAAAATTAAATGAAGTTTCCTAAAGCACAAGGTAACACTTAGTTGCTTTCAAGGGTGCTCAAGGGAGAAAAAGGGAAGAAGAAAAAAACATAGTGGCAGTTACAACAAATTAACAACATATAATAAAAATGCCATAAACATGCGGCATACATAATAAATCTAATCAAGTCTACAAGGCGGACAGATAAAAATGATTAACTGCCACTATCCTTGAAAAGAAAAGAAAAATTTTGTCCCTAGCTATTCATCACAGCTAATGTTCTGACCCTAAATCTAACGTGTAGAGCGAATGGTCTTTATAGTAACACACTGTACCAAGTAGAATGGCCTTTTCACTTCCTATTTTATTTTCTGAGAAATCGAGATAACAAAAATGTCAGAGCTACTTTTTAACTAAAGGTGTGGCTTTGGGAGGATGTTAATAAAGGTTCTCAGAATCTTTATCTCTATCATTAGAAATTTTTAAATAACCAAAAAAAATTTAGTATTTGTGTACTGATAGGACAAAAATATTACATATCTTGAGGCAACATTCCATCACTTTTTATTGGCTGACTGCATTCATTTCCTGATTCCGATATGGTGCAAATTCAGTGAGGCCTCCAATCAATTAGGACTCCATATGCTATATCTGTAAGCGGCGGGGGGGGGGGGGGCCGGGGGGGGCGGGTTATAAATTTCACCTAAAGGAAATGTAGGAAAACTGAGGCTTTCCTACAAGGGAGGGTCTGTGGCTCACAAAGGCCTGCATCACTTTCATGAGCGACACCTGCGTTCCTCTTGGCACAGGATCATCTCGATAGGTAGCAGGTTTATGACTGCTTTGCTTTTATAAGTGCTGTTGCAGTAAGGGTTACCTGAAGTGAGGATGAACACAACGACGTGTACAAAACAAATATAATAAAATAAATTAAATAAGGTGGAAAAAAACTGAAGTGGTTCAAATGAACAAACTCCTACTTGCTCCTCAAAGAAAACACGAAGAGCTTTCAGAAACATCTCCTCTGAGAGATGCAAGAGAATATGAGTAAATTACAACAATTAAAAACCATTAAAGATAGAATAATTGAGAATACCTGTTTAGGTAACAATGACTTTCTTGAATGCCTCATAACAGAGGTTCTATTTTTAATCACTTTTTTTGCAAAAACTTGCATAATTTAATAATAATTGTGGATTTTTAATTTTTATACATCCACAAGAACATAAAGTGAAAACCATAAATTATACTGACTCCAGCTGTTAAATGTTGGCATTCTGTCTTTAAAAAAAAAAAAAAAAGTTCAAAAATCTGTTTCCTCAAACCAAGGAAATGTGGGAAAAGGCCATCCTGCCAGTGGAAACCTTCAGCAGCAGAAAGCTCAGGCTGCGGTTTCTTGCCGAGGCAGCAAACTCCACTGAAAGAGAAGTCGCTGCCAACTCAAATACTATTTGCTTTCACACCCAAGAACAAACTGTGTGCATGGCGAAGGCATCGAAGGGCTCGGAGCAGCTGGAGAGGACTGCAGAAAGGTAACAGTAGTGTCAGAGCTACTGTAAACTGGTTCTCACTTTTCTATCAGCAAGTTAGCATCCAGGAAAACAACGCAATGCCTTCACCTTGCATCCCAGCAGCCCTAAGTCAGGACCTGCTGTAACTCAAAACCTCCTCTTTCTAAGTCAACAAGCCAAGGGACTTTTCAGAAAAAGAAAAAATCACCCAGACAAAAGAAACACATACTTCAGCAGTGGGATTCTAAGGGCCAAGAGGTTCAGGCTTGAAATGGAGTCATGAGGAATTTCCATATCTCAGTGCGACATGCAACCCACCTTCTCTGTAAGCAGGAAATGCAAAGGAAGTGTTCACTGCAACTTTGTAAACCAAAGGCAGAAAGCTCTGCCAAAGCAAATATCCTTACTGCAAGGCTTCTGCTTAAAAGGTCCTGCAAGTTACAGTTGTGCCTCATGGATGGGCGTCAGTAAGGATGTGTGTGTGTGTGGTGGGGAGGGGGGTTGGGGGGGGCAGTCAAGAATTCTATAGGAAGAGAAAAACAATCCAAGTCTCCAAAAAGCGAAAGGTTTATTCCATGATGACATTCTGTTCCAGTTTCAAGTAAACAAAGGCCAACTTCTTGCAGACATGGCAACTTCTTGCAGACGTGGCCCAAGTTAAAAACGGTTAAATAAGAAAGATTTTAAAAGTTCCTTTGTGCATGCTGCTTTGAAATAAACAGTTCAAATTCTTGTGCAGTGCCGTGTAGTCAGGAAGAGATGAGCCCCCCATCTGAGACAAGCCTCACGTTATCAAACTCTGCCCTCCCCAGGCCTGGCCTGTTGCAAATCCAGAATTAAACACTGTTAATTATTTGCAGGCAAAATCCTTTTCAAAGTAAAAAATCAAATTGTTTGTTCAAAAACTCCTGCTCCATCTAAGTTCCCCCTCCCGCTGAACATCATTACTTCAAAGAGCTCACAAAAATGTCATGGCCTCCAAACATGTATATGAAGGAAATGATGAATCTGTATGAATGGAAGATCTAAGTATTCTCCACTTGTAATAATAACACTCACCTAAAACAAAAATATCACATATTTCCAATTCTAGATTGGACTTTGTCAGGTTTCAATATTAAGAGTCAATTTTATTGACTTCCTCCAGTTTAAATTTAGAAATCTTTTTCTTACTGTCTTAACCACCCATGCCTACTTGCCCCCACTACAAAAAGTTTCATGGTTTAGACATAGGTTGAAAAATCTGCCTAACTAAATAAACAAAGACTGCCTTTCTTTCCAAATAAAAATGAGTTTAAGAATTTGCCTACTGTTCCCCCAAGACACAATCATATAGCAAATTCTCCCACCTCCAAAATGATTGATGTGATGTCTTTCCTTTCTTTCATCATTCCCTACCTTGTCTGGTCGCTGGTGAAAACCAGGAAGCCACAGACACACACTTCGGTCTTTCGCTTGTGCGGGCCTCAATTCTCCAATGCCAGGTTGCTGCCAATGTCCTTGCAGCCAATGGTAAACAGGCCACAAGGTTCAAGTTAACTGCGGAGCGTTACTACACTGAACATCTGGTCATGAATGAACGGATTGCCCACTAACTCTCAGCATTGGGCAGCTGATGAAAAATTCAACATTTTCCTTGTTGGCACAGTTGTTTTGGAGAATTCTCTAGAGCTTCCTGAATTATATTAAGAAAATTTCACTGCAGCAATCTATATCTGTGAGAACAGCTGGTGTTGAAAGGGATCTGCTGCTCTCTCTCTGTGCTGGGGGACCTCATGTTGGATCAGGACACTTTTACTACATTTGTCCTTGAAAACTTAGCCTTCGTTCAGGGGTACAGGGTAAAGCAGGAAAGACAGCTCACGGATGCTGGATTCCACACAGACGAACATCTTAATTCAGAGTGAAAAATCTATTACTCAGTGAAGAAGGCATTAAGATCAAAACAGTTCATTAGAAATAGACCTGTCTCTGAATTTTCTTTAGAAAACATATCTAATCAAAATTATCGTTGGGTTATGATATCAGATTGGTCCTATCAGCATGGCACATTTCCTAAAGATTTTCAGTAGAAAATAATAGTCCTTTATAAAACTCAACTAGATGCAATGTGTCCAAACATTACTTTTTCACCACATAACTGATTTTAAACTCAGCAAAGTGTTTTATTAAACCTAAGGGTGAAACAATTAGAGCAAATCTGATGTAATATGTTACATTATACTCAGCACTGGAAGAGGTCACAGTGACAGAGGTGTCTGAGGCTTAAGAAAAGAAATTCTCTAAAAATATAACAGTCGCGTTTAAAGAAATTAACTTGTTAATGGATATATGTGATATATTACTATTCTTTTTGTTTAAAAAAAAGGAAGTGGTAAACTTAAGTCAAGCTAAATTTAGGCTATTATCTATGCAGCATAAATTTCACTTCTGTGTATAAATGCTAACTTGCATATTTCTCCATGGTAACTAAACTATGATTAAAACAACAGTGAAACCAGCCTTTAAAGCCACCTGTTTAACTAGGAACAACCTAATTTACAAAAATACTTAAACTTTGGAAATTTCATGGGCATCTATATCGTGCTCTTCCCAGTAGAAAGCTCACTTTTCCATGAACATATAATTGCAATGCACTTGGCCTAGGTCGCAATCATTCTTTTTTTAACTAGTGTAATTTTTTTCATGTATTGTTCACGCTAACCTAAGTGGTATTTAAGATTGTAAAGAATAAGACTGTAATAACTCTTTCCAAGAAGAAAGTTATTTTACCGTTTGGAAGGGATTAATTTACCTAGAAAGTATCTTCACATTTTACAAAAAGAACAAATGAAAAAAGTGAGAAAATTCCAAACTGAAATGACTCTTTGAGATGGCAAGCCACATTCAAACTAATTTTTTTATTGAGATAGCCTGATAATTTACTAATGAAGAAATGGGCTATTTTATTGGTGAAATTAAAGAAATAATTATAATATGCCCAAGAATAATAAAAATGTAGGTATAAGCAATATTTTCTTATTTAATTATAAAACATAAAAGTAGGTTTGAATGTGAATCATTTTGAAACCTTAGAATTGGGTTTAGAATTTAAATACTGAAAACCCCATGAAGTTGAAGCATAATCATAATAGGTCAGGTTTGGTGTGAAAATCATGACTCATATTCATGACACATATTCAGAAATGCCTCATACTAAAACTTTATTATAATCAAAAATTGATCCTCAGTTTTTTTTTGTCTCCTGGTCTTTACATGATGTAATGTCTAAGACCACATTTCACACTGTTAAGTAATGATGACTATAGAAGACTCATAATAAAAAAAAAACTCATAAAATGTCACAATTTATAATTTTATGTATACTTGCCTCTCTAATATCATGTACATTTACGCAGTGGATGCTAATTAGATAACAACGGTATTACTATAATGTCTATAAAACCTGCCTTTAAAACCAAATTCCGTTAAAAATAGTCTTTTCAAGCTGACATAGCCCATTTCCAGGGTCATATTTAAAATAATTAGCACCATTGCTAGTAAATGTTCTAATAAAACTTGAAAATGATTTCTAAGCAAAATGCAAAATTCTCTAAACTTAACAAGAAAGTCTTCCAGTAATCTGAGATAATCTTTTGAAAGGGTGTCTGTGAAATCAAAGCAGTTTTAACATTTTAAAGTTCAGAATCTCTAGGGCCACTTACATGGCTCCTGAAAACTACTCTTGGAGAACCTGACCTATGGACTCTCTCATCCCATCTGATTCTTTTTCATTTTTTAAATTTTTTGTAGAGATGGGATCTCACTGTGTTGCCCAGGCTGGTGTTGAACTCCTGGGCTCAAGTGATCCTCCAGCCTCGGCCTCCCAAAGTGTTGGGGTTACAGGCATGAGCCACTGCACTCAGCCCCATATACTTCTTTGACACATACAAATGTCTGCGGAGCAGAGCAAGAGTTTCTGAGAAGCACATGGAAACAAAAGCCAACTATGCCTGCATCAACAATGTCCACTAAAAGAGCCCCAATTTCCAGAAGAGTCACCAGCTCCCAAAGAGCAGAATGTAAATTGTTCATATGCACCAGCCCAACTCCAAGGCAATCAGCAGTTATTTTTAGAAGTCCCGGATTTTTGTTTTCTCAGAACAATGATGAGTCCTCTTTAGAGATACGTTTTTAAAACCAACAGTCAACTCTCCTTTTTAAGCCTCCCCTATTTCAAATCCAATTCAGCTATTGGACAAAAAATCTAGAAGAAAGAATTCCATAGGCAGTGGTCATTTGTTCTTAAATACATCCCAGACCTTAGAAGAAAAGGTCAAACAGGTTATCTGTGAGTGTGAAGCAATGCCTAGGAACCAATGAGGGAAAAAGGTAACTATACCCACCATGAATTTGTCTGCTAGGTTTCTCCCGGTAAGATATAAAGTCTCTTCAATGGATCAAAGATGCATTTTTATAGTTTTAAAAATAGACATTTTAATAGATAAGATGATCAAATTGAAGGGTCATCAATAATAGCAACTTTGTATTTTGTATATGACTTTGCATTTGTCAGGTAGCTGCCATTTCATCATTATACCGACCCTTGTGTCAAAGGTAGTGTCAGTCTTACAGATGGATGACTCTGGAAAAACTAAATGGCTCGTCCCAAAACTGCTGGGATTTGTTTGGGGACTCCAATTCCAGTGCTCCTTTCACTATTATGGCTCTTAACGAAAGAATTGAACTGGAGGCTGGGCGCGGTGGCTAACGCCTGTAATCCCAGCACTTTGGGAGGCCGAGACGGGCAGATCACCTGAGGTCGGGAGTTCGAGACCAGCCTGACCAACATGGAGAAACCTCGTCTCTACTAAAAATACAAAATTAACCGGATGTGGTGGAGCATGCCTGTAATCCCAGCTACTTGGGAGGCTGAGGCAGGAGAATTGCTTGAACCCAGGAGGCAGAGGTTGCGGTGAGCCAAGATCGCGCCACTGCACTCCAGCCTGGGCAACAAGAGTGAAACCCCGTCACAAAAAAAAAAAAAAAAAAAAAAAAATTGAACTGGATAATCCAGACAAAACCATCTACTTCCCCCTAGTTAATATCTGGAGACTGTTTCACTGATTCTATTATTTGGCTCATGACTGAACAGATTCCTAGTTCCCTTTTAGCATTAAAGTAATAGGTAGAAGAATAAAGCTCGGCGTCTTGCGACCCTGGTTTCCAAAGTCTGTAAGATCAGGCCCCAACTAGTTCTGCTGCCTTGAGTGTTTCTGCTCTCCATCTTGTATGCCTTTTTTCTGTTCCTCAGACCCACCCAGTTCATGATACCCCAGGGTCTGAACACTGGTTGTTCCCTAAGTCTGGAATGCTTCTCTTCCAAGCTGCTCCTGGCTGCCTCCTTCTTGCCATTCAGACCTCAGCTCAAAAGTCACCTCCTCTGAGAAGCCTTACCTGGGTACCTCATCTAAACTGGCCCAGGGGCACTCCTTATTTCATCATTCTGTTTTATTTCTCTGCACAGCACTTTCCTCTGATACTGTTCTTTGTTGTTTGTTTAGTATCTGTACCCTACTAGAATACCAGCAACACAACAGCAAGGTTCTTGGCAGTCTTGTTAACAGTTATATTCCCAGTACGTACAACACTGCCTGGCACACACAAAGTCTTCAATAAATAATTGCTAAATGAATGAATGAATCATATCCCACATCATATCGGTCTCCAATAATGTATTCTCCTCTTTATAATGTAGAGTCCTTTGATATGGTCAATGTTGCGCAAATTTCCTGTAATTAATGGGGGGGTTGGTTATGAATGACTTGGCTATATTAAAATATATTATAAATGCTCTGCAGAAAAAAAGACTGGTTTCTTTAATGATATATCGAATAAGAGGCATCTTTGCACCCACCAGGAAACAGAGATGGGTTACAAAAATGCAAAGTTTAGTTACACAATTCCTTTCCATATTAATTAATCATCTAACATAAAAGAGAAGGCTTAAAGAAGAGCAGCTAGAGCCTCATTCAGGAGGAGGGATAGGGCAGAGCTGAGTCAAGTCTTAGAGTTCAGTCTAACTTGAACTCTGCTACCGGACTACACAGAACCTTGAGTGCTGGAACAGTAGAGCATCAAAGCAGGGCAAGAATCCTGAAACTTTTGGAGCTGCCACAGAGAGCAGGAAGCTCAGTAAGTGTCAGGTGTAACCAGGAATGTGGTGCCCGATGATTGCAACCATACCTAGCAGAAATGCAGTGCTCAGCCCTAAGACGTGCACCTGGGACGTTAGTTTAATCAACTCAAGTCTAGGAAGCAGACACACTATTATCATCTCCATTTTGTAAATGAGGAAACTGGGCTTGGAAAGTTTAAGTAACTGACCCAGTTGCAGAGCCAGGATTTGACCCAGGAAGTCTGAGTCAAAGCCAAGCTCTTAACCCACAGGCTTGTCCCGTGGGAACAAGCTTCCTACCAAGCACTAAACAAAGACTCCTAAAGGAGCCATGGTCAGCTAAGATCAGGCCTAAAGCAACCTACCTTCAAGTAACACAAATTCCAGTTCAGACTGACTACATAATTTATGGGGCCCGTGGCATAATGAACACTTGGGACCCCTTGTTCAAAATTTTAAAAAATGTTTAAGAAGACAGCAACAGCAGAGCATTAAACCAAGTGTGGGTCCCTTCTAAGCGTCAGGTCTTGTGAGATTGGGCATGTCTCACACCCACGAATACAGCCCTGATTCTAAGTGTTTTATTTCTCCGAAACTTTACTCCCTGTACTTCAACTGTATTCATCTCCGTATAAGGTTCAATGTATGAGTCATAAGGAACATATATATGTGTGTATATATATATATATACACATATATATATGTGTATATATATATATGTGTGTATATATATATATGTGTATATATATACACATATATATGTGTATATATATATATATACATATATATGTGTATATATATATACACATATATATGTGTATATATATATACATATATATGTGTATATATATATATACATATATATATATGTGTATATATACACATTTAAATGGAACCAGCAGAGTCTAGGCAGGGTTGGAAGCACGTGTACCTTTCCCACTTTATATTTTAAATTGTCTAAGCCATCAAGTGGCAGTCCCTGGAATTGCATGAAGAGAGCTTAGGAGGCAAAAACCCATTCGGAAGGAACGAGATCTAACTGGATTCCAAAGTTCCAAACTTTAAGAAAGTTGCAAAAGAGCCATCTGAACTGCTCCACAGATTATGTGGATGAGCATTTATAATCTGGGAACGTTTTATCTGGATGGATTTTGCTAGTTTTTCCAAGTGATATCCTGAATGTAGGTATTGCTGCCTGCGGTTCTTTGGATTGTTCAACAAATACTTTCCAAATGTACATTATGTGCCAGGCAATGCGACGGGCCTTGGGGCCAGTTTTTGCCTCTGTGGAACTTACAGACTGAACACTGGGAAATAAATGTTAAACAAATGATTTTACAAATAGACATATAATTACAATGTATGGTCAAGTCTACAAGAGCTATCAAGTCTGCAGTACTATGGGAGAAAACAATAGGAGGACCCCATATTTTCAGCTGAGAGGACAAGGAAGGAAAACCCCACCAAAGCTCTCACTGATTTCACAGAGTTAATCTAGAAACCTTTGAAGTCTTCAACTTATACCATTTAGAATAATTTCTCCATCTACACTGGAAAAGGCAGGAAAGTTCCTATGTCTAGTATAATTCCAGGTCCCAAGCTGTACAGACAGACCTAATCCTACAGTTTAACTGTTCTCCGTATAACATTTTACAGGGATGCAAGGGAAGGAGGGAGAAGGTAGAGACAGGGAAAGAAGGAAGAAGCAGAGAGAGTGGGGAAAGAGAGAGAAGGGGAGAGGAAGGAAGGAAAACCAGAAAGATCACTACCTTCTGTCCACAGAATAGCTTTTAAGATACAACCATTTTCTTTTTTTATCCTCCTCCAAAAGCTTGAAAACACTCTTCGTACCACTCATAGCTTCTAACACTCCAATGTCTTAACATTATTTTAACAGAGCTTTGTGTGTGCAAATAATGCTAAAACCAGAAATTGTGCCTCTTTCCTTAGAAGCATCTATCTAATCTGATTGTATATATGTCAAGTCGATGTGTGCAATATGTATGTCAACAGTGCTTAAGTAATATCTTGTCTCCACTTGCTTCTGATTTCTTTGAATTCTCATATTAACCACTCTCATTTTTTTAAAACAGTGCTGGGATTTTCCCTCTTTGAAACTTGACAGAAACATAAGATATTTCAGTTCTTGCTATGAAGCACTAAGCACGCTGAAAACATCGCCAGCCCTTTAGTCTCATTAGCTTCCTTTAAACACCTACTTTGCTGGTATAAGCTAATGTGAACCCTTTTCACCCTGTTTAAATTCCAACATAAAATTTGTACACAACAATAAAACATGTGGCTCATTTGTCATGCTTCCAGAAGCAACTATGTCACTCACACCAAGAACCACGGGCTGGGGGTGCAGAGTGATTTTGCTCCCATTTCACATCACTCAATTGTGCCTTCTGTAGAAAAGCTTTTAACAACCACATCTGGCCTTTAATAAATCACTGCACTTTGTCTTCCTGCCAAAACTCCTCCTTTATCTAACTTACATCTTCATGATGAGATAGGAAATCATGCATTATGGTGGTGACAAACAATTGTAATTATGTCATTAGTAGCCATTTAGTCTACAAAGGTGCTCAAAAAGGAAATACAATGCAAAATAAGAT
Source organism: Homo sapiens (assembly GCF_000001405.40). Classification (NCBI taxonomy): domain Eukaryota; kingdom Metazoa; phylum Chordata; class Mammalia; order Primates; family Hominidae; genus Homo; species Homo sapiens. The sequence goes on from NC_000003.12 coordinate 71,398,863, forward strand.
ATATAGGATAATACATTGATCACAGTTCTAATCCGCTTTTACTTCATGAGTGTAAAAAGCTGGCATAATTCTTGGGCACAGCAGGCAGTAATGGCACACCACTTTATGAACTATACAGCTATTTTATTCCCCTATCTACTTAAAAATAAAAAAGCATTTAATAGCTTGATTTAGACATAAAAGTTATTTGTGATGCCTCGCTGATTATAATATTTATTTTTCAACTGTTCGTAGAAGTGACTTTCTGTGTTAGGAAAGAAACTTGAATTATTTGGGTTTATGAAATTTAACAACCATACGTGTGTCTATGTGTGTACATACACATATGTGTATATGTGTAGATATACAGGTATGTACATAGGTTTAGGTGTATACATATGTATGTGTGTATATACACACAAAACACACTCAGACACATCTCTAAAGGAGTCAAACAACTTCACAGTATGATACATTCTCTAAAGCTCCCAAGTCATGAAGAAACAAAACTACAAACCAGAAATTTAAGAAAAGGTGACTACACTTAAGGAAAGTATAAAATACCCTTTATTCCACCATCTCCCACCATACATTTTAGAAACAAGAAATTCAAGCAAGTTTCAAAATAAGCAGCTATTTGGGTATACCTGAAGTTCTAAAATCCTATGCATTTCACTAAAGTCGATAAAAATCAACTCCCAGATTGCACACAGAACATAGTTCCAACATTCACCCAGACGGAAGCACTACTGACAACCAGGGCAGGGAAAGGGGGTTTGCAACCTTTGATAACCTACAACCTTCTGAGATGGAGCATGATGAAATTTCCTCTTACCACATCTCAACCTTTGAAAGGCATACACCTGAAATATGTAAGTAAAATGAATCCAAAAGCAGTGTGGTCAAACATTAGCAGGGGCAATTTTATGTATAACTACAGTCAGCCACTTCACTCTCTGCACCTCTTACAAACCTTCATTTTACTGGGAAATCTTTCCATGAAACTCTACAAATGGCTCTACGAATCATTTAAAAATTTCTCCAGTTGTTAATTTGAAAACGATGTAGCAAATGCCTAGTATGTTCCACATCAATCTGTGAATCCCAAGATAATTAAAATGTAAACCCAGAGACAAAAAATTGAAACTCAAAACACCAATGCCAAATCTAATTAATGCAGTGTTAATAATTATGACCATTATTTCCAGATACATAAATTTTTTCATGTGACAAACTTTCATTTTTTACCTCGCACTTGGCAGTGTATGTTTTCCTGGGAGGGTTTGGGGCTGAACCCATTAAAAAAAAATTTTGGCAAGTAGGTAAAAAATGTTTATGTCACCATAATATTGACGTAAATCTTATTGATATCATTACCTGGCTGATTCAACCCAGTGCTGGCATGAATGCAATGAAACCAATTATTTCAAATTTTTCATGGACTTAATCTGATAATCAGGTAGTTAGTGTATTGGGTGTTTCTAAGGCATACACCTTCTCTGTTTTATTAATTTATGTATGATTTTTTTTTTTGAGACAGAGTCTCGTTCTGTTGCCCAGGCTGGAGTGCAGTGGTGCAATCTCGGCTCACTGCAACCTCCAAATTCCTGGGTTCAATCGATTCTCGTGCCTCAGCCTCCTGAGTAGCTGGGATTACAGGCACGAGCCACCATGCCTGGCTAATTTTTGTATGTTTAGTAGAGATGGTGTTTCACCATGTTGGCCAGGCTGGTCTTGCAATCCTGGCCTCAAGTGGTCCACCCACCTCGGCCTCCCAAAGTTCTGGGATCAATGCCTGAGCCACCACGGCCAGCCAATTTATGTGTAATTAATGCTTTGTGTGGACTTTCATCTGAATACAGAACCTCACATTTTCAAAAGATGCTTGGGAAGTAAAAGAAGCTGAATTTTTTCCCCATCATTTTTGTTTTTAAAAGAGAACAATCTCCCAGATCAATGACCTACATTGTGTTAGATGTAGAACCCCCCTGCAATTTTTTTGAGGAAGAATTAGAAAATGACTATTTCAGACAAAGAAAGTAATACCCCAATAATAAACAGAGGCTTCAGGAGAACACATAAGGAGGAGGGAAGTCTACGTCTCATAAAAACAGAAGGATCTTCAGTCAAATTTACCTACATGCTGTCAGTTTGCTTTTCTCTTCATCAGTCTGTCTCTTGTCTAAGACGAGTCCTTCCGTACGGGAGTCTCCTCCACCCCCACTCAAAAAACTTTGACATTTAAAATTTTATTTTTTCTAAGAAAAGCTTATCTGAAAACTCACATGCTTCTCTAGTTACATATGAAAGAAACTGTACTTACATCAACATTATCTTTATTTATCAACTCCCCTGCACATTGCCCCCTGGGTACCAACAGTTCAAAAGTTCAAAAAGGGTTTTGAAAATAAACCAAGATAGAAAACAGGCACCAACTCCTATTTGGAACTTACATTCTCATGCCTTCTAGCATTCTCTGGATGACGGATCAAGAGGAATGATAAAAGAGAGAGAGAGAGGCAGCTGCCAGGGGAGGGTATCAATTGGTGTGGATGGGGCATTTCTCACACCGACTGAAAAATTCGTGTTGTCCCCAGAAGCTGTCAGGCTAAGCAAGAGACAGATCTACATATCACAATTCAGGATGAGAGGCAGCAGCTGAAAGCCTCATTCACTCAGAAATCCTTCCTCTCTTTTATTCTTACATTTTCCTTGTTTTTAATGCTATTTTTATTTGGCTTCCAACATTCCTCTCTGGGTTTCTGTTAGCCTCTTAAAAGGGATGCGGGAGAGAGCACATGAACAGGTCTGTATGCAAGACAACCTTTGCTGGGCATCTGGAACTGTCTCTGCTCTAGTGCTGCACTAATTGGTTGATACCTTCCTTCGCTAAATCTTGTTACAACCTGCAACTAAAGACGAGGCTCTCCCCATTCAATCAATGAAGCGGGATATCTCTCTTCAAACAGACAAAGTGAATGGACACAACACAAATTTGAATCTGTCTGTTACAAGACACCGGGGCCCAGGCAGCCGTTACTTCCTCCCTGGAGCACCAATTCAGTCCAGCTGGGAAACAGTTATTCTGTACGTGGAGTTATCCCTCACCCCTATCCCCACCCCTATCCTACTCCTCACCAGGCTATAAACGCCATGAGAGACGGAATGGCACACAAACATCTTCCTCACTGGAGTTGTGGCAGGCTCTGAACTGGGGATCAAGAAACCTTAGTGAGTGCGGTTTATTGTCCTAATTCTACTTCCAGGTATTTACTCTAAAGAAGTTCTCATGCATGCCAAAGATGTTTATTGCTTTAAAAATAAAATCACAGGCCGGGCGCGGTGGCTCACACCCACAAACCCAGCACTTTGGGAGGCTGAGGCAGGTGGATCACTTGAGCACAGAAGTTTGAGACCAGCCTGGGCAACATGGCAAAACCCCATCTCTACTAAAGATACAAAAATTAGCCAGCCATGGTGGTGCATGCCTGTAGTCCCAGCTACTTGGGGGGCTGAAGTGGGAGGATCGCTTGAGCCTGGAAGGTTGAGACTGCAGTAAACCATGTTTGCGCCACTGCACTCCAGCCTGGGCGAAAAAATGAGACCCTGTCTCAATCAATCAAATCATAAATGTCTGTTATCTGTGGAATGAATAAGCACAATTCATTGACAAATGACAGAATACTTTGTACATTTCTAGCAGGGTAAGTGAGATCTATACATGTCAACATGATACCTTTTTCAAAATCGTGCCTGAATAAATTCAGCATGAAGTAGTTAGGATACAATATAGTTTGATACTAAACTTGTAAACTAAATACACACTCTCAGAAAAGGCTACCTGTGTACATAAGTGTATATAAATGGAATGGAACGGGTACCCCAAGCTCCTGATGGAATGTGCTGCTGAGAAGTGGGAAGGGGAAAAGTTATAAGAGATCTTAGGTGTTGCTGAAATGTTTTATTTGTTTTAAATATATCTAAAAGCAAATAGGACAAGCTGCTAAGAGGGGTTCCTTCAGGGTGAACAGGATGCAGATGACTGCTAACCCTGTATATTCCTCTAACTGGTATATGTCTCAGGCTCTCCACCCAATCCACTCCCTGCCAAGTGAATTCTGAAGATGGTTTGAAAAATCCCTCAATCAACTAGGTTGTCTTTTTACACATATTTAGCCAAGCACCCTCTTCGTCAGATAAGAGATTGTATAAGCAAAACCAAATTAGTTTCTCAAAAGAGGAAGTTTACTTTTTTGTTTTGTTTTTTCTTTCTGGTAGAAATATCATAACCCCAATTACTGAGTGATCAGGAACAGTGAAGCTGGATCTTCTCCAAGTCACAAAATCCTCATGTGTTCATGTGTGGCGTGTACATGTCTCTTCCAGTCTGATGTAGTGAAGAACACAAACTGTTCTTCAAAATTCCAGCTGGGGCTAGGAGTATGGAACCCTGATTTAACAAAAAGCTCGCCTGGATCTCTGAGCTGGAGATGGTGTTTTCAAAAAATGATGTGGCTCATCACTGAAAGTTTTCAGGGTGATGGCTCATAAATGGTGAAGAAAAAAGGCAACAGAAAAACAAGGGAACTGTTTCAAGATTTGGACTGGGATTAAAGGAGGATTACTGATGTGAGAGGTGTGTGAGTGTGTGTGCGCGTGCATGCACGCGTGCCTCATGTTTATAGGAAAGAGTTTATTCTCTCTCTGTTAAGAATAAAGGAGCTGGCTTAGGCACGGTGGCTCATGCCTGTGATCCCAATACTTTGGGAGGCCAAGGTGGGTGGATCACTTGCACCTAGGAATTCAAGACCAGCCTGGGCAACATGGCGAAACCCCATCTCCATTAAAAATACAAAAAAAATAGCCCAATGTGGTGGCAGGCACCTGTAGTCCCAGCTACTTGGGAGGCTGAGGTGGCAAGATTGTTTGGGCCCAAGAGGTGGAGGTTGTAGTGAGCCAAGATCGCACCACTGCACTCCAGCCTGTGCAACAGAGCAAGACACTGCCTCAAAAACAGCAACAACAACAAAAAAGTAAAGGATCCGAGAAATGATGGAATTCCAAGTATGATAAAACTGCCCATCAAAATAGATGGCATGTGAAGAAAAGAATGTAAAATTCCATTTTATTTGCTTTCAATAATATTAACATGAATGATAACAAAAGATGTCTTTCTAAAACAAAGAAGAGATATGGCGATGGCCTACAGATAATTACCTTAGAGGAGGGGATGGGCAATGGAGATCCCCATGTATTGGGGTTTTTTTCTTTTCTTTTTCTTTTTTTTTTTTTTTTTTTTTTTTGAGATGGAGTTTCGCTCTTGTTGCCCAGGCTGGAGTCCAGTGGCGTGATCTTGGCTCACCGCAACCTCCGCCTCCCAGGTTCAAGTGATTCTCCTGCCTCAGCCTCCCGAGTAGCTGGGATTATAGACATGCACCACCATGCCTGGCTAATTTTGTATTTTTAGTAGAGACAGGGTTTCTCCATGTTGGCCAGGCTGGTCTCGAACTCCCCACCTCAGTTGATCCGCCCACCTCAGTCTCCCAAAGTGCTGGGATTACAGGCATGAGCCACCAGGCCGGCCTGTATTGGGTTATTTCTTTTGGAAACAAGACTTTATTGTTACTTTTGATATTGTTAATTTGTTTCCCAAAAATCCCAGAGCCAAAGCACAAGTTTTCTTAGTGACACCTGACCAAGTTTCTAAAAATGTTGTACAAAGGCCATTAAGAAGAAAAAAAAAAACCCATAATTGTTGACTTTAAATATGCAGGCAAAAGTCACAGTAAATAACAATAATTTGCTTGGAATATTGTTCCATACAGCATTTCACAGAAATCCAGCATACAATTTACAAGAAAGTGCAGGCAAATTAATTGTATACTTTCACCTTTTCTTCTCAATTCACATATGAGAAGAATACCATTTTACCCCACACAGAGAAGCCCCATAGGCCTCACAAGGTTTTGAAAAGAGACTAATCAATAGTATCAACTGAACCTGAGATTAGACTAAACGGCAGACAGAGGCAAGCAGCCTATAACTATTAAGAATCCTCATTCCCATGGCTTTCAACCTCCTTTTCCCTGATGGCAGGCAACAGGGCAATATGGTTTATCGTGCAGAGACTGAATCCGGTACAAAATGCCACCCCCAGCCCAAGGACTGACACTGCTAATGGTTTGTGAAATACCTCCAAAGGCACTGCACCAGCACGCAGCCACCAACTTCCAAATTTCCACACATCTGCCTTGCCAGCCTTTACGTGGAGGTCTCCCAAAGACAAGGGGCAAGGATGCATGGCCCCAAACTCACAGTGAGCCTTGGGTTCAAGTCCAGGCTCCCATGTTTAGTCTCTGTGCAACTATGGAAGAGTGGTTGGCCTTTTCTGATGCCTGCCATCCTCGCCTATGGAAAGGGTATAGTAACAGCAGCTACCTCAGAAGGCAGGTGTGAATGTAAGGTGTATAAGTTAGCCAGACATCAGGGGAATCTATGTTCTGTGCATCCAAATCATCACCTTACGAGTAAAAACAGTAGCTGCCATTTATTGAGCAATGACCATGTGAGACACACAAAAGCTCTTTCACATTTCTGGACTGCACCACCCTAGGTAGAAGTTCACAGTATTACCAGTTTGCAGATGGAAAAACTGAAGCTAAGAGAATAATCCACCCAGACAGACAGCCAGGAGGAGGCAGATGTTGGCTAGGAGGCCAGGTAGATCTGATTCCACAGATTTAGGCCCTAAACCAGAGTTCCACGTTCCCAGCTGCACCTCAGAATCACTTGGGAAGGTTATAAAAGGCCAATGTCCAGGTCAACCTCCAGGCCAATTAAATTGGAATGTCTAAGATCGAGGGTCCAGGCAACAGTATTTATTTATTTATTTATTTATTTTTTTGAGATGGAGTTTCACTCTTGTCACCCAGGCTGGAGTGCAGTGGCTCAATCTCGGCTCATCACAACCTCTGCCTCCCGGGTTCAAGCAATTCTCTTGCCTCAGCCTCCCAAGTAGCTGGGATTACAGGTGCCCGCCCCAACGCCCGGCTAATTTTTTATATTTTTAGTAGAGACAGGGTTTCACCATGTTGGGCAGGGTGGTCTCGAACTCCTGACCTCAGGTAATCCACCTGCCTCGGCCTCCCAAAGTGCTGGGATTACAGGTGTGAGCCACCACGCCCAGCCAGGCAGCAGTACTTTTTAAAGCTTTTCACTCCAACATGCAGCCTTGTTGGAGAACAACTGTTCCAGTCACCGTACCATACCAGGCACGTGGTCCTTCCCCGATGAATTAGTTTCATTTTGCTGTGTAACAAATTCCTGCAAACTTAAGGGCTTAAAACAACACACATTTCTTATCTTACAGTTCTGGAGATCAGAAGTCTCAGATGGGCCCCAACGGGCTGAAATCAAGGACTGTGTTCCTTCCAGTGGAGAATCTGCTTCCTCACTATTTCCAGCTTCTTGGAGCTGCTCACATCTCTTAGCCTGTGGCCTCTTCCCGAATTATTTTCGTTATTTTTTTCTTTTGTTTTTAATTGACACATAATAACTGTATGTGTATATATATATATATATATGGTACAGTATGATTTTTTGACACATGCGTATCTTGTGTGAAAATCAAATCAGGGTATTCCATTTCCAAAGTCAGCAACATTGAGCCAAGTCCTTCTCGTGATGCTATCTCTCAGGCTCTCTCTCTTTAGCAGCCTTCTTCTACTTTTAAGGACACTGGTGATTCCACTGGGTTCGCCGAGATACTCCAAGATAACCTCCCCTTCTCAAGGGGGCAGGTGATCAACAACCTTAATTGCATTTGCAACCTTAATTCTCCCTTGCCATGTAACATACCATATTCCCAGATCCAAGGGATTAGGATGTAGAGCTCTTTGGGTTGTGTTATTCTGCCTTCCACACCTGACAATTCTGCCTCCAGATCAGGATCGCAGGCAAAAATGACACATTCTGACAATAACGTGAAAGTGGGTCTCAGTATACAAGCCTCCTGCTTGCTTTACAGTTTTATGGTGAGTATTTTACCTGCCCCTGCAACTTAGGTACCAAGCACAGTGCTTGGAGCACACCAGGGGCTCAACAGATGCTTATGGAGGGAAAGAAAGAAAGGATCTTGCATTTCTCCCGCCACAACAGTTTATATCAGATATGCTATCATGTTCAATAAGGAAAGAGATAACCCGGGCTGTTTCTAATTGGATAGTCACAGGAGAAATTTCTGCTTGATTCTAAATACAGCAACTCCACTCTGTTTCTTGCATTGGGAACGGCACGCCACCCATTCTCCCCAGCACACAGAAGCCTGCATCTAATTTTACAAGAGCTTGAAAGTAATATGTCCTCTAACTTGAATTTTCTTTGCCAGTGGCCACCACAAAAACAAATGACTTTCAGTAGTGTATGTTTCACTGGGTTTGTGTATTGGGTTGTTTTTTGGAGGCTGGGGTGGGGGGTGGCGGGAACACACATTTTAAAAATCATGCTTCTAATCCTTAAAAAGACTAAAATAGTTTCATCCTTTCATAACCTGTCATCACGCATGTTTTTCTAAAATTAAACACATATGGCTCAAGCCAGAGTTACATTATGCACCATATTATGTAATTATCTTTTCAATTTATTACTCCTCAAAATAGAAAAAGATTAGCCCATGTTTCTTAAGTCTGAGTAAACATATGGCCTGAGGATTGTAAATGACATCCTATCTTTAAAAGAAGTTCCAAGACTAAACAACATACAATACTCCCTTCGGAAAGGCCATATGTGGTATCAGGGTTGTGAGATACAGAAGAACTGTGCGTGTGTGTGTGTGTGTGTATACATCTTTTTGCTTTCTGGCCATGTCTTTGATGCCGTGAAATATTCCTGCTGGCGGATCATAAACAGCACAAAAATAGGGACCAAAAAAAAAAAATCTCCATTTCAGCATTTCCCATTAGCCTAGTGCACTTGGGTCCTGTTTAATCCATAAGGAAAAGGTTCCCAGTCATCTGGGTGTTCGTACAAGAATTATCTGTCGCTCTACAATTCAGGGGCTTTGTGCCCGCTTCCCCAGCAGCCTGTGTACGTCCCATTCTTCATGTTCCCTGGTGATTTAAGACCTCCTTTGAGACCCTGTGCTTGATCACTGTCCTTTTCTTCCTCGTCAGGAAAGAGAGCAGTCAAGCAGGGATCCTCATCCCTGCCAACGACTCCCTTCCCTACAACTACATTAAAGTTATTCCGGAGGCTCCCAGCAGTGTGTGGCTTAGTTAAGGGTCTGACAACGTCCCTATTATCAGAACCTTTCTTCAGGGGGGTTTGCAACTCGAAGACTTTTAATTTGCAACAGGCGGAAATTTTTGCATAGGGCTGCCAAGCATAAAGGAAATATTTCAGAGACCATTCAAACTGAAATCAGTTTCATTGTTTATTCTGTGTTGAGGGATATCAGAAATGAAATGCTGTAAGTGGGTTTCTGATGCCTTTATGCTCCCCTTAACTAGAAAGGATGGTTTTGAAAAATAATTTTAAAGAAAGCCAAGCAAGTTGAAAACCAGCTAATCAGGCTCGCACACAGCCGTTACCATGCGCACATTCACGAGGTTTTTAAATATACATTGTGCCATGAATGTCCAGCAGGAATTTGTGGATTTCAGAAGACTTTTCTTCAAGAAAATATCATTCCCAATGGGCCGATACCAACAATTTGCAATGGTACAGCCAAGCAAATTTTAGGAACAGAGCATCTGATCACATTTTATTGACTAAAGCGGAAGCATTTAGATGAGATAGTAAAACAGTTGGTGGATGTTCTGCTCTGCCATGATGGAAGACTTTCTCTTTTTCACAGCATAAAGGCAATCCTTTTCATTTGCTCTAAATGGGTAAGTAGAGGCAAGGGGCAGCAGACACCCTGTCATAACCATTCCACAGTGCAGCATAAAGATCCCGGTTTCTAATTACTAGGATGAGACTACAGTCCACTAAAAATAAACCACTAAATTGGCTAGAAAAAGATGTATCTTAGAGGCAGAATCGATGAACAAATCATTTGGGCTACATCCTATGTTTACTGAATCTTTGGAACCAGAAATGCCACGTTTAGCTTATTTAGCACCTCATTATTTAATGCAGATCAATGCTGACATTCCCCCAGAGAAATGTATAATAGTCCAATCAGGAAGGAATATGAAGTGCAGACTAACGTGCACAGCAGGTTTTTTCCTTTATGAGCAGGCTCTCACTGCAGGGCCTTTGCACTTGCTGTTCTCATTCAGGAATGGTCTTCCCTCAAATATTCTCATGGCCCCCTCAGGTCTCACTATCTTTTTCTTTCTTAATGTTCCTAAGTAAAAACAGCACATTCCTCACCCACAGTCTCCATTTCTTTATCCTGATTTATTTCCTCCATACCACTTACCACCAAGAGAAACATTATATAGTGTTTGATTTGTTTCCCCATCTAGGATAAAAGTGCCATGAGATCAGGGAGTAGTTTTGGCCACTGCTGCATACTAATAATCTGTGAACTAGTACCTGGAATGTAACCAGCACTGAGATATTTACTGAGTAAAGAAATAAACAGGAGAATGAATGAATGAATATGCTAATACAACCACCTCTGTATCCTCTTTGGTAGGCAGGAGGCAAGAAGCAGGCTAATCTGTCTATGGAGACACAACTGCACTAGGGCTCACCTATCTTTTCGGAATGAAGAATGGCTTGAATCTAAGTTATTTACTTTGGAAAAAAAAAAAAGAGATCTCAGGCTATTCTGACATTAACAGTGAGAAAATTTAAAACAAAAAACCTGGAAGTAAAAGTAACATAGCCCAGCAGTTAGGGGTTTTAACTCTGGGGTTAAACTGCCTGGGTTCAAGTCTCAGTTCCTCTCCTTAAAAACAGTGTGCAGTAATCCCAGCACTTTGGGAGGCTGAGGCAGGCGAATCACTTGAGCCCAGGAGTTTGAGACCAGCCTGGGCAACATGGCAAAACCTTGTCTCTGCTAAAAATACAAAAAATTAGCCAGGTGTGGTAGCATGTGCCTGTAGTCTCAGCTACCTGGAAGGGTGAGACGGGAGGATAACCTGAGACCCAGAGGTCAAGGGTGCGGTGAGCTGTGATCACACCACTGCACTCCAGCCTGAACAACAGCATGAGACCCTGTCTCAAAACCAACAACAACAGCAACAACAAAACAACAAAAAAACAGTGTGGCTTGGCCAGTTATTTTACCTCTCTCAGTGTCAGCTCCCTCACCTGTAAAATATGGCCAAGAACAGGACTTAACCACTCAGAGTTTTCAGGAGGATGCAATAAGGGACTTCAAATAAGCACAGTGCCTGGTATAAGCTAATTGTCACAAAATTGTACCTACGAGTTATTTTCCTTTTCAAAAAAGCAAGTATCTACCAGACTGAAGCTTCTGAGACACAGAATCAGAGATCTTTTGATATTTTTTACTGAATCAACTGCCCACAATTTTTTTTAAGTTAAAAAGTCTGTTTCCTTATTGGAGCTAGTTAGTTGCAACATTTACAAATTTCAGGTGGATTATTATCTTTGTTTCCAACTTTTTTCTATTCCAAGAAATTATGGTATGCTTCCAGTTGTGGCTTATCCTTCCTGACGTAATTTTACTTACTCACAAGAGGCACAACCTCCTTCATTCACTATAAGCTGTGTCCTTATGATTATGCAGTCAAAAAGGCATCCATGGGTTTTTTAAATTGTCCACACACATTGTATCAATGTTTCATGTGTCCTCCCAAAGGAATTATGAAACAAATGTCAAGCCCTGCTTTAATACATTTTTTTAAAATTTCCCCAAACACTGATTTTACGTTTCTGATCTCTTAGAGGGATGTATCATGGAAGAATCAGGACTTCAAGTGGAATAGGCTTTGTTCCATGATACCTTACCTTTTCAAAGTTGAAAGACACATCATATTTCTGTCCTTTGCATAAAAAAGCAATAAATGTCTTTTTCCCAGAACAAACATTGTTCTATGGCTTTTCTTAAGAATGGCTGGTATTTGTCTATTTCCTCGCCTACTGCTCATGTTAGAAGCTGACTAGAGGTATGCCTTATCACGCGTGGCTTCATATGTGTAGCAGACGAGACAAACAGGCAAGCTGTTTACTCCCAGAGATGTTGGTTATTAGGGCTTTCTTTAGGAACTCCAATGTTAGTCACATGCAAAGATGTAATTGAATTAATCCACTCTCTACAGAGCACAACAGGATATAAAATAACTTTTAAATTCCCATATATGAAATATACACGCTTATTACCCTTTGACATCACACAATATATAGGACGTCTACAAATTTGTAACCCCTAGCTCCATTCGCTTCTTTCTTATGCATCTGCTCCAGTTCCCCCTCCAGAGTGGACAAACTTGTTGTGGACTTAAACCAGAGGCTGAATGGGCGTGTGTGTGTGTGTGTGTGTGTGTGTGTGTGTGTGTGTGTATGTGTGTGTGTGAGTGACGGAGTCTTGCTCTGTCACCCAGGCTGGAGTGCAGTGGCGCGATATGGGCTCACTGCAAGCTCCGCCTCCCGGGTTCAAGCTATTCTCCTGCCTCAACCTTCCAAGTAGCTGGGACTACACACACACAGGCATCCGCCACCATGCCCGGCTAATTTTTTCTATTTTTAGTAGAGACAGGGTTTCACCGTGTTAGCCAGGATGGTCTCGATCTCCTGACCTCGTGATCCACCCGCCCTGGCCTCCCAAAGTGCTAGGATTACAGGCATGAGCCACTGCGCCCGGCTGAATGGTCTTCATACCACATCTTCTGATCACCTGATGCTGGCAGGTGGCAGGCAAAGCCTCTCGTAGAAAAGGACCCATCAAGAGCGGTCTCAGTTAGTCTGCTCCAGTGTGGCAGTGCAAACAAGCACCACTGGCTTTTGAATGAGGGAAACCTCAGTTCCAATATTGCCTCTGTCACTTAAAGCTCTGATCCTGGGCAAGTCACCTCATCTCCATACACCTCCATTTCTTCATCAATCATCTGGAGTAGGGGAAGCGGGCATCCCATTACCCATCCACCGACTGAGACGTGGATATGTCAAATGAGATAACTTACATTACAAATCCCAACACTGTGACTAAAAGTAAAGCCTAAAAGTCTCAAAAATGATGAAGAATGTTGTTATTACTATTAAAAGCGCAAGTGCTTCTAAACAGAAGAGTCACTGTGTCTTGCCCTACAGCACCTGTCTCTCCCTGCAGTCCTTGAAATGACCTCTGGACAAATCATTCCTTTTCCTGTCTGGCAATCTATTCAAAATCCTTGGGACCCTTAAGAGGGACAGGTCGCATGGTGTAGGGGATCTAGAGACACCTAGACTTGCTCCTGGCACCTGGGCGCCTTTGGGCAAGTTATTTAATGTGTCTTGGTCTCAGATGCTTTGCCTGGAACTCCATGAGGGCTCAAAGTTACTATCTCCCAAACTACCTTCTGCAAAGACATAATGGGGTTTATAGGGTGGGGTGAAGGGCAGGTTTCTAGGACTGAAGTATTAGTCATGTTGAGGGGCATGATCTCATCGACTGGGCCCCCAACGCTGCTTCTCCCTTGATCTCCATGTTATGACTCTGTTAAGGAGGGAAAAACATCACAGTATTCTGGCCAAAGTGGGCCAGACTAGGGACTAAAACATAAAGCCAAAGAAAATCACAAATGGGGCATAAGAACGCCCAACTACCCTTTGAAGAAAATGTTACCCAAGAGGGATGCACCATTCTGAACAACTCAACATGATGCAACCAAACCTTGTCCTTGGGTAAGTAGAAATAAAAGATATAGAAAGAAAAATGGGTCCTTAACACAGGTTGTAGTCCCAAGAAACACTGGGCTCACCCTTCACATCTTGTGAACTCCACCACTGACTTACCCCCACCTCTCCTCTACCTCCTCCCTGGGAACCCAGGCACCAATAAAACAACTCGTAATGCATATATTTTTTTAAAAAATTGACAAGGGAGAATAAACACATTTGGGGGTGAATATGTTTGTCTAATTAAAAATATTTTCCTGCTTAATATAGGCTAACCGGCTGGAGAATTAATGTGCCGCCTGTGCACATATGCAGTAAGAGTTTAAAAAAAGGAGGAATTTCAGTAGGTGCTTTGTCTTCTGATGTACAGGAATGACTGCCCAAATTCATACACAGGGCTTCGTCTTTGAAAAACACACAAAGGTGGAGGAGGCAACAAACAAACCAAAAACCGACAAACAGCCAACCGGCTATTCAGCTAAAACACACACACACACGCACCCCCAAACAGCCACACACATAACCCCCAAATAGACACACACATCTCAAATAGACACACACACACCACCCCCCCAAATAGACACACACACACCCCCCCAAATAGACACACACACATCCCCCAAATAGACACACACACACACACACACACACACACACACCCAAAACAGCCAACCAGTATGGAACTGGCTAAATAAATGACACTTCATCCATATGACACAATGCTGCGCTGCCATTACAAAGAATGATACATACCTACATTAATGATAGAGCAGAATGGCACACACACACAGACATGCCCACACACACATATACACACATACTGTACTTTTACTACTTGTTTAATTTCTGTCTTTTTGTCCGTCACTAAACCTCCCCCCACCCTGCAAAATTTTATTATAAAAATGTTCAAACATCCAGACAAGTTGAAAAGACAACATATTTAACACCCATATACCTGCCTCTTAGATGTTGCCAATTAACATTTTACTTTACTTGCTTTAGCCTATCTTTGTTCATCTATTTTGGTTTTTGACACAGATCACAGTAAGTTCCATGATATATTTTCAAGGAAAAAGACAAACTACCAAACAGCATGTACGGTATGACCTCATTTTGAAAATATATATACATGGGTGTGTGTGCTTACATACCTAGAAAAAAACAATGGAAGGAAATACCACACAATGTTACAGTAACATTTTATATATCTTTTCCCCTCGTTACCTGTAGGCACTTTTTTCTTTTATCTCTCATTTAAGCCATCAACATTTATTCCTTGTGAAATAAATAGACATGGAATTACGAGAAGGAGCCAAGGATGAGGGGAGGAATGTGAAGCAGGCAGGAAGGATGTAGGGCAGAAAGGAAAGATTCAAAGCCATCCATCCATCCCTTCCTAGGCTGCGGAGGCTCATGCTAAAGCCACCCACGGGTTGCTGGCCACCCAAGGCAAAGAAAAGCCACCGAGAAGCACCCCAACTCTCGGTCTTGCCGGCCATCCAAATTGTTTTAGTATCAGGTTCACGATTTTTCAGATGCAGTTTTAAAACAATTTCCAACCACCTCCCTGAGATTGTCTGCGGAACGTGATGGGGATTTCCTGTTTCCAGGCTCTGCTTTTTGGCCAGCCGTCATAAAGAATCCACCGCATCAGGTTCCCAGTGCAACAAGGCCACCGTCCTGTGCCTCCACACCCAGCTCGGGGCCCTGCACATTGGAAAGCACTTGGTCAGCATCCACCTGGGCCTCAGCCTCTGGCTTTAGAAGGCCAGGAAAATCCCAGTCACAGATGCACTGCCCAGACCTGCGGCACCATCCACACCCACACAGCAGGGGATGCAGCCCCAGGCTTTTGCCGCCCACCAATATACTTGTCTGCCAATTCGAGGACTTACTGGGTAAGATTTAGGTCTCACTTCCAATTATTAAAAGAAGGGAACAAATAAAGGGAATTGCCTCTGCTCCAAGGGATATTCTAACATGGCTCTTGGAGTCTTCTAGACGTGCCCCAGCCCGCAGAGGGGGAGTAAGGGGAGAGGGCACGAGGAGGACAAGCGGAGCCCTGGCCTCAAAGGCACCTCTTAGGAGCCTTGCTGGGAAACACCGGGTGTGCCTAAGACAATGCCATGGGTGATGACTAAAAAGACAATCACAGAGCATGCAAAATAAAAATGATAACTTAGATGAGGCCTGTGAATTTTTAAATAGCACTCGCTGATGGATCAGCAGAATTGCATAGCTTCAGGGTTTAGTATTCAAATCCTGCATCTGGCTTCACATTAATAATCCATTACCATGTTCCCATTCAAAATACTGCATTTTCCCAGCACTTTGTTTCTGTTGTTCACTTTAAAAAATTAAGACACACTCAAAGTATCTATAATCTCACCCTAAGAAAAATCTAGGTACTTGAAAACATTAAGCTGTCATTCATATCTTAAGAGTCACCTATATCTGAACTACCTCCTCCACACGGGCATTCTGAAGAAAGAAAGGGAATCTGTGTTCAAGAAAGTAAGTATGCAATACCCCAACTCTAGGAAATTCATTCGACACGTGTCTGTATCAGACGCTCTGAGATGTTCTCAATTTAAAACCATCCTCCATAGATTACCTATTTAAAATCCCATGAAAAAACACTGAGAAATGAGGATCCCAGCAATTTTTTTAATCCAGCTAATATCTTTCAGTATAATTTTTTAATCTATAAATTGTGATTATAATTTTCACTCCTGTTGATAACAAAATATGTTTTAAGAAACCATGAGGCTTTATACAATGTAGACATAAAAACATGTTTTTTGAACCTGGGTCTTTGATGTGAGAGCCAATATTTATACAAACAAAATCTAGACTATCTGAGCAAAAAAGGAATGTAGAAATCATGGATTCCAACTCCCTGGTTTCACAGAGAAGGACACTGAGGCTGAGAGACTTAAGTGGCTTTAACGGCACAGGACATAAATGGTCCCATAACATCAAGTGAACAAAGAAAATGAGGCAGAAACAGACAGACACATCATTAGGAAGTGTAAGTGTAAGCAGAACATAACTCAATCATTAGTTGCTCTTTTTTTTTTTTTTTCTATTAAGGGCTTTAGTATCTGATGTTTGGGTCTTTGACTGTAAAATAGTCATGACCACAAACTGTCCTTAACACCACAAAACACATCATCACTCCTCAAAAAGAACCTCAGCCCTGTAACATAAAGGCAACTTTAGAAAACTGATAAAATAAACCACTTAAAGAGTAACCACTTGGTTTGTAAGTAAACTATTTGGTTTGGTTTTCAAAGAGGACTTCAAAGGGGCTCAAGATAATAGAAATCTGGGACTTCGGCATCTTTCGTCACAGGAATGATAGACCAACTACTATCAATCACCATTTGCTGAAGAAATATTTACAAATTACCTACTTTGTGCCAGGTATTGTACTCAGAGACCAAAACACAACAGAAAGAACCTGTAAAGTTACATTCTTGTCTTTTGGAGCTGGGGAGAAGACAGACATTAATCAAAATAGAAACAAAGATGTGTATAAAACCGAAAGGGATGAATGCCACAAAAAGCAAGTTATATGGGTCCAGGAGAAAATATAAGGGAGGCATTAGGATGGTCAGGGGCTGGGCACAGTGACTTACACCTGTAATACCAACACTTTGGGAGGACGAGGCAGGAGGGTTGCTTGAGGCCAGGAGTTCGAGACCAACCTGGGAAATACAGTAAGACCCCATCTCTACAGACAATTTTAAAATAAAAATTTGCCAGGTATGGTGGTGTACACCACCTGTAATCCCAGCTATTTGGGGGGCTGAGGCAGAAGAATCACTTTAGCCCAGGAGTTTGATGCTGCAGGGAGCTATGATTACACTACTGCACTCCAGCCTGGGCCACAGAACAAAACTCTGTCTCAAAACACACACACACACACACACACACACACACACACACACACACACACGCAAAAAAAAATGACGTATGGTCAGATAGGTCAGGGAAGGCTTCCCTGAGGAGGTGACAACTGAGCTGAGAGCTGAAGGATGAGCAGCAGGTAAATGGGTGAAGAGTGAAGAGGAGAGGGAGGCATATTACAGGCAGAAGGAACTGCATATGCAAAGACCCCGTGGTACCTGGAAGCAGAGTTAAGATGTGGTTGCAGCAGGAAAAAAAGGGGGCGGGGGTGGTGGCCGCATAGAAGGAGAAGAGGCAGAACTCACACTATAAAGGCCATCCTGAAATTACAGAACTTTCCCTTTATCATAAGGGTAATGGGAGGCCAGTGAAGGGACCTCGGCCTGGTAAACAGGTGAGTGGGACATGATCACATTTGCATTTTGAAAAAAAATCACTCAAGCTGATGAGCAAAGGGGAGACTGGGGCGGAACCAGTCAGTCTCTGATAAAAACAAATGTCCAATCCTATTCGCTGAATTCCTGGTATATGCAAAAAACTAGAGGAGGTCCTTACAAAATGCTCAAAGCAATTCTGCAAATACACTTCAGACCACAGGTGGAGCTGCGGCTGGAGAGAGGAGTGTGCTGAAGTCAAATGGTACAGACTCGCGACATCCTCCAGGCTGAGCCCAGTCGTCCACACGATGCAAATAAACATTTTGAGTCCCCACCTCACCCACCATGAAATTTACAGATGGTTTATTCCGGCATCTGTTTCGCATTGGCTATATTCCATGGTTATTGATTTTAGACTTCCAATTATCTCTGTATTTGAGCTTGTGGACTAAGACGTGTAAGACCCGGCACCAAAACCAAAACCATAAACCATTCCAAGTTGTCCTCCTAAAAATGAGCACTGGGCTTCTGGACTATCTTCCCCAGCAGATGCTAAGGATGGCAGAGATGAAATAATAGACCATCCACACAAGATTTTAATATCAGAACTTATCTTTCTAAAAACCACATGGAGCTTCTTGTGATTTTTTTTTCACATCTGAGACAATCTCAAAGTATTACATTTCCAGCTTTTAGGAGACAAAAATTGACTATATTTTATGTGGAGCTAAATTCCTTTCAACCAAAAGGTTGGGAAACAGTTAATGCATCATTTTTATTTTTCTATGCAGATCTACAAATGAGGACAGGCATCTTAGCTGGCCCTGGACTAGTACAAGTTTGGACAGAGCTGAGGCTGTTGGGTTTAATTTGGCCAAATAAAGGAACTCTCAACCCAACGAGCATTTGGTCCGCATAGCCGATTCACTTCATATTACAGATCGAGGACACCAGCAGTACTGTTTAGAAAAACTGGCAATGCTGTTTAGACAAACACCCCCGAGAAGACAGACTGTGGATAGGAAATGTGGTCTGTTGCACTGTTATCCTAGTTTTTTTTTTTTCCTTCTTCCTTCCCTCATGAGTGCTTTTCATGTAATTTTTACTCACGAAGTTGCCAGTGTTAATTTCTACAGGCCAAATTTGGCTCACTTATTCCTTGCCAATTCCACAGTGAAATTCTGTGTGCTTGTGGGTGTGTGTGTGTGTGTGTGTGTGTGTGTGTGTTTCCACTGAATTGCACCTAAAGCCAAAGGGATTTCTATGACCATACACTTGAGAAGAATGTAGACAGAATCACACTTCGGTGTCTCTAATGACAAAATCTGTCTCTATTAGCAAAAACAATCAAACCCTCCAAGCTGGCACAAGGCTCAACTCAACAAGATGCATGGATCCCCACAGAACCTTTACAAGGCTGTGACAGGGCGACCACAGAAAGGCCATTTGCATATTCTCCTGCACAGGAAAAATGGCAAAGCAGCATTTTTAAAAAATTTTCCCTCATGGGCTCCATAATTTAAATCTACCATTCATTTTAGGGAGCTAGGTTCAAATGGCAAGGGTAGAAAACAAAAATTTGTTTCCTATAATAATTCAATGCTGGTTCTTTTTTCTATAATTATTCTGAAGTGTTAAAAGCGGTGTATTTTCCCCTTCACTCAAAAGAGCTAATAGGGGAAGAAATTAGTAACTGTCAGAACCAACATATTTTATCATGGCCACCTCAGATCTAAACACTACTTAACTGTCAATTATCAAAATTCAAAGGTAGGATATAAATCTAAACCAAAAGATTAATTTGAGGCAACAATATTTTGTCCAGTTAGCCATTTGAGACCAATACCACTGTCACTATCGCAAGAATTAAGAAATCACAATATCACTGTCACTATCACAAAAATTACGAAAGCATCTGCCAGGCATGGTGGCTTATACTTATAATACCAGATACTCAGGAGGGTGAGGCCAGGAGTTCCAGACCAACCTCTGCAATATATGAAAGACCGGTCTCAAAAAAAAAAAAAAAAAGCCGGGTGCAGTGGCTCACACCTATTAATCCCAGCTCTTTAGGAGGCCAAGGTGGGTGAATCACCTGAGGTCAGGAGTTCAAGACCAGCCTGACCAACATGGTGAAACCCCATCTCTACTAAAAATACAAGAAATTTGCCAGGTATGGTGGTAGGCACCTGTAATCCCAGCTAGCAGGAGGCTGAGGCAGAAGAATCACTTTAAACTGGGAGGAAGAGGTTGCAGTGAGCTGTGATTGCACTACTGCACTCCAGCCTGGGTGACAGAGGGAGACTCCATCTCAAAAAAAAAAAAAAAAAAAAAAAAAAAAAGGGAGGGGAGGGGAGGGAAGGAAAAAGAAAACACAGCATCTATTCAATCAGTTATATATTTTTGAAAGGTTATATATCTTAAGAATTTAAGAATTAGAAGTTAGTGACACATAAGGGGAATGAAAGAAAAACAATATTCCCAATAACAGCCTCTAATCTTTGTAGAAGAACTACAAAGAAAAAAAAAAAGTAGATGTTTACAGAAGCTGTAGGCCATGGGTAAAACTGTGCTGGTCTGACTCAAGGCCATACCTAACACCTGCTCTCAACAGGTAAGAAAGAAACTGGATCTCCATGAACATTCTTAGACTCAACCATCAGTGCACCAAGGGCAATGACATTTAGAGACTCGTCTCTCCATTCACCACATCATTTGCAAACTGATTTGGAGGTTTCTAGTCTAACTCAGCATTTCCCAAAGTGTGCTGCAAGTACCCCGGGTGGTAAGTGGGATGGTTTTAGGTGGCAAATGGATGAGCATATACACATACATGTACATACACATACATATATGCACACACACACATTTTAGGAGCTAGGTATTTTTTTTTATTATTATTATTATTTTGAGACAGAGTCTTGCTCTTGTCGCCCAGGCTAGAGTGCAGAGGCGTGATCTCGGCTCGCTGCAACCTCCGCCTCCCAGGTTCAAGTGATTCTCGTGCCTCAGCCTCCTGAGTAGCTGGGATTACAGGCGCCCGCCACCACACCCCCAGCTAATTTTTGTAATTTTAGTAGAGACGGGGTTTCACCATGTTGGCCAGGCTGGTCTCGAACTCCTGAGATCTGCCCACCTTGGCCTCCCAAAGTGTTGGGAGCCACTGCGCCCGACCAGGTATTTATTTTTATAGTGTTCTTTCTTTTCTGGCCCACCATCATATTAGTTTTCCATTTACAGCCAAATTCTGAAGTTTCCTCTTATGAAAAATGTTAAAATAACTAATGATGAAAACTTAAAAAGCAATTTACAGGAAAAATATTAGGTATATTATACTACAAATGTATAAAGAGGAGGCAAAAATGAGGGTGTGGAGTTTGACAAGCAATGGTCTAGCCACACAAAGAGTGACATGGAAGGTGATGAGACTAATATTAGGGCAAGTAGCAGGAAGGTGGCATGATTTCTAATTCCATCAGGATGCTACAGGGGCCACTTCACCTCTCTGAGCATCAGTGTCCTCAGCTGTGTAGAAGATGAAGTCTGTGCATCCCAAATGTTCCTATCATGGGACTCCTTAAAATGGTGAAAAAAATTCTATGCATACACATAAACACATACAGATACACGCACCTATAAACATATACACAAACATAGTCACACATTCTACATATATGTATGTAAAACAACCAGACCCTGCCCAAGTGGATCAGCAAAGCAAGCAAAAGGATTATGAATAAAGTCGCTTTTCCTGCCTGACCTTAAGCATCTGAGTTTCTATCCTTTTTTTTCTTTTTTTTTTTGAGACAGGGTCTCACTCTGTCACCCAGGCCGCAATGCAATGAAGCAATCAAGGCTCACTGTAGCCTTGAACTCCTGGGCTCAAGCAATTCTCTCACCTAAGCCTCCTTAGTACCTAGGACTACATGTACCTGCCACCATGCCCGGCTAATTTTTTGGTAGAGACAGAGTCTTGCTATGTTGCCCAGGCTACCATGTGAGTTCTACCTCCTGTCTTAACCCATGTCTGGTGAGCCCTATGCCCAGTGAATGAAATCACGGACTACAAGTTTTTTTACATTCCTCTCAAGCTCTATAATGTCAGAACGCCACAAAGCCTCACCCTAGGATAGCGTTGAGATGAGACTAGAAATGCCCATGTCCCCAAGGATGCTACTGGACTGCAAGGGACAGACACAGCAAAGCAAAATCTGTCACCATCATTCCCAGAGTTAGGTGTTTCCTGAAGCAGAGACCTGAGCGACAAATTCTTTGGGAAAAACCAAGTAAGAATGCGCAAAGCAAGAAAGAAACTACAGGGGAAAGTGAATAAATATCATTTTCCTTGATTCTGACATCAGGATAAAAAAAATTAAACACATTAAAGGTGAATTTAGCTAGGCGATGTCATCCTCTACCCTCAGGTAAATGTATGCCCTGTTCGTAATTTCAGAAAAAAAGAATAAAGTTGCACATGGTTTCAATATTTTTTCTGTGCTAGAACAATCTAGTTATCTTTTTATTCAATAAGAACACCAAAATCGCTTGTGTTTCCTAAATAATCTTGAATTTATATAATTTGACATTTTTTTCAAAGAAGCATAAATTGTGTGAGGGCCATCTCCCCAGCGTAGGACAATAAATGGCAGGGCATCCTATTTTAGGATAACCACAATATGCAAACATCAGAACCCAGCCGACTCAGGACAGAGACACCTGCGTAGTGAATGGTTCACACTAGAAACAGAGGGGCCGCTGGTCTCAGGACCTCCTGACCAAAGAAAGGCTGGCTTGACTCTTCTTTCATCCAAGTGGGATGATGTCACCAAGCCACTGCCCAAACCTTCTCTCAGAATGGCTGACTTACTCTTAAAACCATCACCACCTACCATAATTCTCTTAAACAAAAACAGACCAGTGTTGGCCCTCCTATGATTAGCCTCCCAGCTGCCTCTGAACTGCTGATGGAGCACCTCCATGTGAAAAGCTCAGAAGGCAAGTCATAATTTGATCCCCTCTTGACGTGGCCTTGGTTTCCTATTTTATCATTTTAGGAGATGCTTCCTTTTGAAATTTTCAAACAACCCAGCCCAACTTTTTAAGACAGTCTGCAGTCACCCCGCAATTGGGATGCTGAACATCTTTTACTTTCAAGCACTGCGACATCTTAATGGTGTGATGTGGAACAGGAAACATTAACTCACCCGCTAGTTTCAGTCACACTTCACAGCTTTCTAACACAAGTCAAGGACAACACGTAAGGAAGTTAGAAGTCAAGGGGAGTGATAATGCAGGCACTTCAGAAGAGAGAAGCATGCAACAGCATCAGCATAAACACGAACTTCTCAACCAACAACCCTCCCCCTTTTCACTCCTATTAGAAAAACTACATACAATCCAAAATGTTCTAGTGCTCCTTAAACCTAAATGCACGTGAATCACCTGGCCATCTTGGCAAAAGACTGATTCAGTCGGTCTGGGGTGGGGCCTGAGACCCTGCATTTCTAATAAGAACTCAGGTGATGCCGCGGCTGCTCGTTTGAGGACCACACTTTGAGCAGTGAGGGCATGGGGTCCCTCCCCCACGTCCTCACCTCTCTTCTCACCCTTCCAGTGAGGTCAGGAGAGCCCACAACTGAAAACAGGTTTCCACCTGAACAAGGCTGAAAACTTGTTTCAAATGAATCTGAAGTGTGGGGAAATAATCGAAAAGAAAGCCAAAAAGAATAATCGCCCAAGCTGCAACAAGTCCTTCCAATTAAACAGAGAAGGAACTCACTGGTAGTGCTGTACAGCTCCCACACTTCAGAGAAGGATCTAGGGGACAAACTTAACCAATGGAAGAAAAAAAGGGGTGAATGCCCTCTCTCTTGGCTGTGTAAGCCTTGAAATTCTTTCATCTCAGTAAGAGTTACCTACCATTTCTGGGTACACACACACACAAGCGCGCACACACACACACACTCACACACCCCTTCTTTCATATGGAGAAAACACAAACCAAAACTCCAATACAAACCCCCATGTGTAAGCTAAGACAAGTCAAGATTTCCTTGGAGAAAACTAAAACTCATTCAGGAGCCAGGAAAGAGCTGCCTGAAGCCCAACACCCAGCCCAATATCTGAGGCCTCCAACTCTCCAGCTGCTACAGGCAACCCAGTAAGATGCCAATGTCTCTGGTTCAACAGGTTTAGAACACCTCCAAGTCCCCAGAGACAATTTCACATCTTCAAAGCTCTCACTGAGGGTGAATTTATGAATCCACACAGCACCTACAAGTTCTTCCTTCCCTAGGTGCTATTAAGCCCATTTCACAGATGAGGAAGCAGAGAGAGACATAAGAATTGTGGCAACTTGCCAAGCGCATCGCAGAGCAAGACCAAGCGTGCATCCAAAGTGAGAAGGCTCCAGGCTCCCACTCCCAAGACCAACCCAGCCACTCAGAACATCCTAGTCACAGGCCCTGAAGCGGTGTTCCTTTGGCAAAGACAGAGGTTCACCTTGGACTTCTGCCAAGGAAAAACACATTAGTCCTAAAGGCGTGTCCTCTGTCTCCCCTCGCAAACTGCTCAACTTTATAGGATATCCGGGATTAGACCAGCTTCTCCTCACACAAAGAGCATCCCCCTGCTGGCTGGCATGCTCAGACATGGTTCTACCAGGGGTACAAAGCAGACCTGACAAAGAATCATAGGCCATAGAACCAGAATTAGAGAGGTAGCTGGCCATGGGGCCAACACAGGGGCCTCCCAGGCTGGCCTGTGTGGATTTCTCAGTCACGTTATCTGCATCCCAGGCACACTGTATCTCCCACCTCACTGAGCCCTTCAGCAACCCTGGCAGGGAAGTGCTATTATGCTCCCCCGCCGCCCCGCCCATTCTATGTGTGATCTAGCTGAGCCTGAGACATCTTCAGTTGTATTTAATCAGCTTGTCTTAGGTCACATGATTTCATGAATGGCCCTAAATATACCCGCAAGTCCATAAAGATGCACCAGCAGAAATATATTTCTATTTTTATTTCTTACTTATTTTATGTACATATTTATTTTTTAGAGACAAGGTCTCCTTATGCTGCCCAGGTTTATCTGGAATTCTTGGCTTCAAGTGGTCTTCCCGCCTCAGCCTCCCAAGTCGCTGGATTATAGGCCCAAGCTGTCAGGCCTGGCTTAGAAACATTTCTAATGCTAACATTTCTGCCAGAATGCCAACCTTTTTCAATAAGTAACAAAGAACTGCGCTGAAGGATGGTCCTTTAACCATAGTCTCACCAGCAGCAAGAAGGAAGGGACAATGATTTTGGCGACCAGGCAAACAGAGGCATCACCTCCTCTGCAGTCAAACAGGGAAGATCATAAATCCCAATTTGGGCTTTCAAGTCATAATTAGGATAATGTCCATCTTTTGCAAGCTCTGGCGATGTTGCAAGCACTGGGTAGGGCGCCTTCCCTATCTCATTTGTAATCCCCACCATAACCTTGCAATGTTACCAATGAGGAAACAAGTGCTTTGCCCAGTGCCCACAGCCAGGTAAAGAGGATTCCATGTCTGGTTCTCCTGACTCTAAATTTGTGATATTTCCACCACACCACACCATGGAAATTAGGTGGTTCTGTAAGAACACTGGGGACCACCATGCCTAAGAATCATAAAATGCAGCTAACTTCCAGAGGTGTATTAATCAAACCCAAAACTGTCAGAAGGTTTTTAAAAACCCACAAAAATCCGCACTCCAATTTTGCCACTAATTTCCAAGCCATCATAGGAAAACCACCAAAACAAGGTTGGTGTCACTGCCGAGCTGAAGAAGTGGTCCTCAGAATTCATCCAGCAACTGCTGCCTATGCTGGGCTGGCTTCTGTCAGCAAAAGTGGAGGACACAGCCCTGGCCTTCAAGAATCCAATGTTCCCATTGGAGAAGCCAAACACTTTCATGAAACAACGTCCAGCCTGGGGTGGGAGGAAGTCACAAGCCAACTGTAAGAGGTAAGGAGTGATCAAGAACAGGGAAAGCTTTTTCTAGGAAGAGGGAAATGTGTATGGCAGTTGCCATACTCTCAGTGTTTACTCAGAAAAAGAAAAAAAGCACTATCTTGAATTTGTATTCATATACTGGAAATCTACTAACTTGCAAGTGTCAGACAATAATCTACAAGGTGTCTTCATTTTCCTGTTTTTTTTTGTTTCGTTTTGTTTTGTTTTGTTTTGTATGAGACAGGGTCTCACTGTGCTGCCCAGGCTGGAGTGCAGTGGCACAATCTCGGCTCACTGTAGCATTCACCTCCCAGGTTCAAGCAATTCTCCTGTCTCAGCCTCCTGCGTAGCTGGGATTACAGGCATGTGCCACCACACCCGGCTAATTATTTGTTGTTGTTGTATTTTTAGTAGAGACAGGATTTTACTATGTTGGCCCAGCTGGTCTCGAACTCCTGACCTCAAGTGATCCACCCGCCTTGGCCTCCCAAAGTGCTGGAATTACAGGTGTGAGCCACCACACCCAGCCATTTTACTGTTCTTAATACAGACTCTGGTTTCCAAATCCATTCCAAGGGGCCACTGCAGTGTGGAGGGTGGGGAGGGGAGACCAACTTCTCAGAGCTGGAACTCCCTCAACTTCCTGGTGTATAACCGTCTCCTCAGCTCCTGGCAGAGTCCCTGGCAAAATAAATGCTTAATAAGTATCTGCTGAATGAAAAAAACAAGGAGAAGCTTTGAACTCATGCCCTTACTCAACCATAATAACTCAACTTTTGTTTATTTTAAAGGTGGGGGGGCTCTGAGTAAGATTTCATTTGGTCAAGGCAATCAAACCACTTAAAAAAAAAAAAGAACTGAAAAAGACATGAGATTTATGAGTATCTATGAATACCTCAACATTTGCCCTCATTTCTTTCTCTACCATGACATTCATCCAACATGAAGGGCCATTAAATTGAGCTTATTCAAACTCTTGCAAATTTCCAGGATCCCAACCATGTACACTCACCCACGTATAGCTGAACCACATCAATCAATAGTGTGGCCTGTTTAAGACCACAGTCTGCAGGCCAGCTGGGTTTGACTAACATGCTGGCTCATCCAGGTCTCTGCCCAGGACTGAAAATACCCTAGCATCAGCTCAATGCATGAGCCTCTCATCATGCCAGCTCTGATCCTATGAGATGTTGAAAGAGGATATTAACTTGATGGTGATACCTCTTGACCTAAGAGCTAGAAAACAGGGCACTCTGGAAATGCAGGTAGGTCTGAGGATTGAAAAGATCCTATGAACATTGAAAGAATCAGGCAAAGGAGTCAGGGGAGGGAATTAACACTATAAGCTCAACTCCTGGCTAATGGTAAGCTATTTTCCTAAATATGCAGCCCCAGTAAATCACCAAACAATCTGTAAACTCTTGTTAGATGGGAGTCTCTCCTTGCGAAGATGTCAGGAAGGACCATGGAAACGTATGGTATATAGTCACTGCCCTCAAAGAATTCAGGGGAGACTATTCAAAAGATTTAGTATTAGGCAAAGAGGAGAAGTCTTCTACAAGACGACCCAAGTGGAATGAATGCACAGGATAAGTAGAGATGAACCCAGCTGAGCCAACTAAATGTGGTTTCTGATAAAGGGAGGGTTACTGTGGCTATATGAAGGAAAAATGGAAACTTAACAGGGAAAGTGCTAGAGTTTTTCCATCCCTTCCACACACGCTCATCCCACCTCAAGGTCTCCTCTGCCTAAAAGGCTCTTTCTCAATTCTATGCATGGTGTTCTTCCTCTCATCCTCCAACACTTCACTTAAAAATTACCTTCTTGGGAAGTCCTTCTAAAATAGTTCCCCTTCTTGCACTGTCTCTTAAAACATCAGATGCAGCCAGGCGCGGTGGCTCACGCCTGTAATCCCAGCACTTTGGAAGGCCAAGACAGGCAGATCACAAGGTCAAGAGTTCGAGACCAGCCTGACCAACATGGTGAAACCCCATCTCTACTAAAAATACAAAAATTAGCCGGGCATGGTGGTACATGCCTGTAATCCCAACTACTCAGGAGGCTAAGGCAGGAGAATCGTTTGAACCTGGGAGGCAGAGGCTGCAGTGAGCCAAGATCGCACCACTGCACTCTGGCCTGGGTGACAGAGCGAGACTCCATCTCAAAAAAAAAAAAAAAAATCAGATGCATTTTTTTTTTCATATAATCACCCCAATTTATGCTTTTATGTCTCTCTTGGTTTATTTATTATTTGACTCTTCCCTTAACAGATCATAAAGGCAGGAATCGCAGCTGTTTGGGTCACCACCATATATCTAATATGTAGCCCAGGGTCTGGCACAAATATAGTACTCAATCCATGGCTGCAGAATACATGAATGAATAAATGGATACAAAACGGAGAAGGGAGACAAAGCATTTCACACAGAGCAAAAGGAGCAGGGACACACGCGCAGGAGAGTGTCAGTGATATTAGAGGTATCCTACGGAGAGGGTCTGGCTGCAGCGAAGGGCATGTAAAGCGTAAAGCTAGCGAGAACTGGAAACCATGCCGCAGATGGAGTTTGCAAGGAGATCACAGAAGGCCCCGGATGCCGGGCTAGGGAGCCTGGGCTCTCTTGTGAAAAAAAGGAGCTACTGAAGGTTCTGAACAAACACACGTGATATGATTTGGGTTCTTCCAGGAGGGACATATAAAGGCAGAGTTGTCAGCCTCAGGCTATCACAATTGTATGGACAAAACATACCAAGGACCAGAATGAGAGGAGATGCTCAGGAAGGAGAATGATACAAGCGATGGACGGAAGTCACAGGATTCAGGAACTAAGGGAACATGAGGGGTGAGGGGTCAAAAACAATAAAGAGGATGCCTGGCTTTCAGGCATGAATGACTGGACAGATGAGGATGAAATCAGCAAATGCAGGCAACCCAGGAAGATGAGCAGGCACCAAAGAAAAGATGACAAATCCCATCTCAGAAATGCCTATGTGGAGATCTGAATGAAGGTCAGGGGGGATTCTTTGTGAAAATATCTTCCAGGAACCTGAAAATGAATTCCAAGAAAAAGATCAGCTCAAAACAGGGCTATCTCAGAGTCCTCTATACTGAGGTAAAGAGTGGAACTGGGAGAGAGGAGGGTAAATTAAGTCAGAAACAAGTCCCATCTTCAGGCACTGCTATCATAGCTTTTAATCAAGTTGATAAATACTGTGTGATAAGGGAAGAGCCCTTTTCCTCCCGTAGGAGGGTGAGACTGTCCCATCTACATTCAAAGCCCTCATACCCTCAGAACAAGGCATTCAGGAAGAAAAGACTGAACATCATTCTGCCCAACAGGACCATGAAGATCAGGAAGATATTATGAAGCAATTCTGGAAACTGTGTCTCCTGCCCGCCTAACCTCCAAGTGGGACACTCTGTCAAGTCCTCTGCAATCCCTTTTTGGTTTTAAAAACGCCCTTGTTCCAAATGTTTCCTGCTGTAACCAAATTAATGGGAACAGTACAGATATGCATGCCAGTGCAAAATATGGCAGCAGTAGAAGTTGACAGAGCTAATTTCCAATTGTTTTGGCAAAACAGCTTGGTCCACCCCTTCGGGTTTGGAAAGCAATCAGCTTATTAGCAGAGAATGGGCTACTGTATCTTAACAAGTCTTGTTCAGAGGCCTGCCTTCTGGTTTTTAATGTCATGAGAAGTCCCTATTGAGAGTCCATTGTTCTAAAGAGGCCCCCCTATGAAATGTCTTTCATGCCCAAGGTTTGAAAAGAGCCCTTCAAGAAGCAGAGTCATAAAACAATAATAGTTAGGCAGGTCATGAGATTCAAAGGAAATTAAACATTTGTGATCCCTACAATGAGATGTGGCCTGGACACACATACACACAAAAGAAACTTGAAGGGGAACATTGGAAAGAAGGGGTTAAGCACACACTTCACCTTGGGCTGCAACTGCTCAGTGAGCTCTCCCCACAACCTGGCTCGGCCAGGAGGCACTGCTGAAGCCGGGGCTTTCCTGGCCCTGAGGTCCCGTTCAGCTCGTCCATTCTACTGTGCAATTACAGAATCAATAAAACATCCCTTTGAAACTCCCTGGACTAGTGCCGACATGCAGACAGTAGTCGGCTGACATTTTTTGCTATTTCCGTTATTACAGCCGGCAAGCACGAGGGGAAGGCATCAGAACCAAGGCACAGGCTGGGGACGAGAAGGTGGATGGGAGTTCCGGCTTCATGCAGGCTGCCCTCATGCTCTGCATGGCCCATGGAGTTATCACCCACAACCTCGCCCATGGGTGGGGGCAACCAGACCAAGGTGACATCATTCCCAAGGGGACACTGAAGGAAAACTATGGGAGGGTCTGGGTTCTGTCTGTCTTCACCCTTTTTGGTGAAGTGTGGGGAGGAAGAACAGCAGGAAAAGAAATTATTCTTTAAGGAAAAAAACTTCTTGGACAGGCTCACCTGAGAAACACTTTTTTTTTCTTGGTTTGCTCTGAGCATTTCAGGAATCAAAGGCCTGTGCCAAGAAGCAGGCAGCGAGGCGGAACTCAGCACTTGTGTGTGCTGCTCGTGAGAACTTGGGGGTGGGGGGGCGGGAGGGGGGGTACTGAAACGTCCCTGTCCATCTGTTGATGTCTGGGTGGCAGAAAATATTGAAATAGAAATAGAAAGTTAGAAAAAGCTTAGGAGCAAAACCTGAAAGAGTATTGTATTTGAAAAGGAAATGTTAGACTGATTGTATAAAAATGGAAAAACAGAATTAACATGTTCCATAATGATTCGTCTGTGTTAACTAAATATTGAGCTAAAATTTGGTGAAACCCTCAAAATAAGACTTTCCGAGGAACTCGTCTTCAAGAATCACCGTCATTGAAAGACAGCTAAATCACCCCACGGTGCCTGATCTCACTCACCTGGTTGGTGGCTTTTTTCATTCACTTTATTAAATACAATCAAAAATGATGTGTGGTTTATTCCTCACTCTAAAACCTCAAGACAAGCCCATTACCAGCATTCCTCAAACATATTTGCATATCCAGTGAAAAACAAAATTCAAAATCTTTCCAAGCTACTTCTGCTCTACTGGGAAGCTAGAAAAACTGGCAACTTTCGGAAATGAAGATTCCTTTTTCCTCCATCCAAGCTCACACAGGAAGTGATACGAGAGGTTTTCTCAAATTGCCTTGCTACAATGACCACAACCTCGACAGAGAAAGACCACCCTGGGAATGAGACAATTCAGGTTTTTTACAGGCTCCCTCCTGACCATACCCCAAAATAGCCAGCCCATACCACGGAAAGCCTGACTCGAGGACTTTGCAGCGTGAGCGATTTCGGCATTGCTAACTCAATCCGACGGTCCTTACTTATAAAATAAAGACCACAGCCATGCACACACAGTAAAATGAGCAGGCGCAAATCTGGTGCAGTATTGCAAGCCGAATGAATAATAGTACAAAATATCAGAAAAAGAAAGGTTATGAAATTTTATAACAGATGACAAATTGGTAGCTTTTCCCCACTTTTCTGGAATGGATTCAGTAACAGATTTGAATCTTGGGTTTTGATGCTTGTCTGTGATATGCAGGGATCCCAAGTTCAAGAGGAAAGAAAGAAAAAAAAAAAACAGGAGTCATCCGCATGTTACTTCACTTACAGTAGGGTCCATTCTTTACCATTTATTCTAGAAATTATTTGGTTCCTTATTTAACCTGCTTTGATTTAAAACAACATTGAATTTTAAATTTTCAATCTCAGGGTCTTCTATACTTCAAGCTCCCAGACTTATCCCTAAAAGAGGAAACTACCTGCCCAGATTCTAGGAAAATAAAGAGAGAAAGCATCTCATTCTGCCACGTTGGAAAAGAGGCTTAAACTCTGCCTTATGGTGTCTGTCACCCAAACTCATGGGCTGTTGGGGGAGGGGAGGCGGCGGGGGGCAGGCCCATGTTTCTATGGCAAGAATGGCCACAGGGGAAGGCCTTACAGGTCACTGACTTTAGAGCAACGCAGTAGCCACAACCACCGGGAAATATGGCACCTGTACCAATGGGCCCCTCCAATTTATATGAAACACTTTCCTAGACATTCTACCCCACCACTTTGATTTTACTGCAACAAAGCATTTAGAAGGTGCATGGTGGACAGAACCAGGCAGGGAGGTGAGTGGTGGAAGATGAGCCGGTGGACATGTCCCTTGCGTGCATGCAGCAAGCTCAGGCAATCTAGGGAGGCAGGTCGATCTGCAAATGAGCCATGCAAAGACAGCACAGACAAAAGGAATCCACTCTTGAGGAGTATCACAAATCTCCAATGGGAGCAGAGTTCAGTGGCCGTTCTCTGGTTGGTGGGCAGGAAATCAGGGAAGGCTTCATGGATGAGGAAGCCTTATTCTCCATAGACAGAGTGCGAGAATAAGTGGCAATGTGTGAGAAGATGCTTGCCCAGGAAGTACCTGTGTGGTTTTCTCAGCGACTTAACTTTTCACTCCAGTGAATACTCCTAATAAGAGCTGGCCTGGATGACTCAGTGCTCATACCATGCTAGGCACTTAGCTAAGCTACGAGCTTCAGGCACTCAATTCTTACCATGACTTTTGCCCAATTTACAGATAGAAAACCTGAGGGTCCAAGAGATCTGGTAATTTTCCAGGGTCGCGAACCAAGTAAGTGGCGAAGCAGAGATTCAAACCCTGGTCCATCTGGTCCCACACAGCCCCATTGCCTGGTTTGAATACTTACTACAACTAAACATATTTCCAAAGGTATTTGCTAAAGTTAATAGAAACTTCAGAACTCCTACCTGCAAACTCATTTCACAGGCAACAAAACACACCAAAGACGAATGGAGACTAACTTTTCCAAGTCACCCGATGACCTTGGGTCAAATTCAGAATCCAGGCCTCCTGGCTTTTTCCTGACTTTATTTTTCTTTCCAGGTATTTATTCTGACTTCATTGTGTAGTGTCTATGGAAAACCAAAGCTATAGAGTGATTTTTTTAAAAAGACTAAATTTAAACACCATCATATGTGCAATTCCTGTTGCCGTGTTGCCCCTGGGTGTCATTCTGTGTTGCATCTGAACCATCAGAGAAGCAGAGAGAACCTATGACCAAGCTGCAGGATCCCTTAAGGCTGCTAGTCTTTGAAAACCTATTTATGGCAAGAATTTCTTAAGGGCCAAACAATGTGCCAGGAGCACTCTTTAGAGAAAGCAGACGCTGACATCAGTGTCCTCAAGAACTTCCATTCCCACAGAGCACTAAGCAACTAGGATGGATTGAGATATGCAGAGATCAACCACTGACGACTGTGGTGTGCATAGACTTCTCACGGCTGACCTTGTCGTGGCCGGGAACGGCAGCCCAGCACAGACGCAGAATATTCCCTTTTGCTACTTTCCTGCACCCATCGAGTTGATTTTTCCATCTCCTCCCCGGCCCTGCACAGAGCATTTTCCCCTTCCCCTTCCCTGCCTCACCACCCCTGAACCAGCTTCTGACCTTGCACCCCTCCCTACATTCAAAGCACAATTGACGCACCCCTCCCGGGCCCTGGCCCAATGACCCTCATTCTTCTCTCCCTTTGGACGCTTCCTTTTCCTGTCCCTCCCAGTCTAATAATCTGCTCCTATTCCACCAGGTCCCCTAGGCTACGCCCCACCTAACATAGGGCAGGGCCTGGGCTGGCTCCAGTGTCTCAGTTGTGGCTTCAAAGGGTTTGGGCCTAACACCCTGGGCGCCTGCAGCACCAGAATCCTGGGATCAGATCACCAGCGCTACTCATGATCGCTTCACCCCATCCCCAAGCACCCTATCCCCCCCATCCAAAGAAGCAGAACTCAGCATTTACAGCATTTACATTCATTTTCAGGCTTAAGTGTGGAGCTCCTAAGTCAAGCCTTCAAAGCAGTTCGACACTTAACACTGACAGGAAATGTGAACATGTTAAAAAAAAAAAAAAAAAAAATTAAAAAAAAAAGCCCCATGATTTGGCTGAGGAACTATTCTTTGCAATGTTTCCAAGGATATACCAGAGTCTGAGCTTTAAGACAGACAAAATAATTTGAATGATTCTAATGGTTAGAACACCCTGATCATTTTGTACCTGCTTGGTCTTCTTGGATCTTTTGGTGTTAAAAAAAAAATAGTGACTTGAGTAACTCATTTTGTCCTTTTACCCTCTTCTCAGCGATGGGCAAATTAGTGATGATGGTAGAGTTATTACATGTAACTCTATACATGTTCTTATATGTAACTCATATATGTTAGCATATGTAAGACTTCAGCCATCAAATGGTAAAAATCATGTCATGAACTATTGACATACAAGGACCCTGAAGAAAACACAGCAAGTCAGCCTGAACTACCCCCAACCACTTTAGGCATTGTTTTTAAAACTATAAAATCAGACTGTAGGTGCCAGACTTTTGCTGTGTCCCTTTGTCTCTAAATGTATAAACACTCTACGTGTCTATCAGAACAGAGCAAGGGTTTCATGTGTGTTCCTGAAATGCACGTGCAATTGATCAGGGAAACAACTTTACGGGTTCAACCATGAGAAATAAAAACATGCAAAGGCTTCCAATACATTCAGTATCTGACATCACACATCAGAGAGAGGGCAGGCAGGGGAGACTTTGAATAATCTCAGATTGTGCAAGGGGGAAGGGTCTGTAAACTAAAATAAAAATCCACATTAAAAACGTGCATGCTATACAAACAGAATATAAAACAGGTTCACGGGGGCTCTATTTTCCTCCCTGGTGAGATAAGTTCTCCCCAGCTTGCAATGTATTCTGGAACCCTGCTAGCCTGTTTTTCTGTTACTCGGGAGAGCAGCTCCAAGCCCATCCAATCCCCCACGTGAGTTTTCTCTTCCCTGACTGGTTACCTGGATGAATGTGAATGCCCTGGTCGGCAGGCAAGCAAAGGCGTGTCTACACTTACCTGCATTGTCTGCCATCCCCTGATGGCACAGGGAAGCTTAGATCGCAT
The DNA here is from genome assembly GCF_000001405.40 of Homo sapiens. Lineage (NCBI taxonomy): Eukaryota > Metazoa > Chordata > Mammalia > Primates > Hominidae > Homo > Homo sapiens. The sequence continues at coordinate 71,433,895 of NC_000003.12, forward strand.
CAGCCACAGATCCATGCCAAATGGAAACCCAAGCCCACGTTACAGCTTCCTGGCTGGCTTAAATTGCAATCGTTTATCTTCATATGCCTCAAGTTTTAGTTTCGAAAAATTATTTAAAGACCAAGCACCATAATGAATGTGTCTACTACACAAATGCTTTTAAAAACAGAAAAAGAGTTACAAAATATTTCTTAGGTAAAGCCCCAACAGGAGATGGGAAGAGATCAAGATTCAAAGTCCTGACTTTTAAGGAGTTTACAGACCAACTTGAAGAAACAGGACAAATACATCTCCAAAGATAAGGAGCTCTGAAGAAGTATGTGTTACATGCCAAGTGAAAGATACAGAAAATAATGACGTTAGGCACTGGATCCTAGAGCCCCCCCGAAGACTTGTTCCCCCGCAGTCAGGATGACAGCTTCAGAAGACACCTCCTTCCCACTCCAGTCCTGGGAGTCCACCTGCAGGCTGCACCTCTTGCTGTCCCTCCCAAGTCCCTCTTGCTGCAAGCCCAAGTCCCAACTTCCCTCAATACAGGAGTCCAGAAATGGGCTTCCAGGGTCCAGGAAGTACCTGAGGCCTTACGTTTTAAAAGTTTTATGCACATACATATTATGTACACTTGTGCAAATTAAAGAAATGTACACACAAAAACACTATATAGCCTTCCTGGGCACTCATGTATATGAAATAGTAAAACCAGAAGGTGGACACGGTGACCCTCATGAGGGGATGGGGTGTGTGTGTGTGTGTGTGTGTGTGTGTGTGTGTAAGGAAGGGGATGGAGGGAGGTGAGGAGTTAGACTTAAATGGTGTAGAGTAGAGTTCTTCTTACCACAGATGTTGTATTTATTAAAGGTAATAGAGTAGAGGTGAATATGGCCAAATGTCAACAGTTATTAATTCTGGGTAGTAAGAAGATGAACATTTGTACTATATACACACATGCCTGCACACACACAAATAGAGAGACTCAGAGATTTTTCAGCTTCACCAAGGAGTCCTGACCGCCAAACAGTTTAAAGCGCTTGGCTAACAGGCCCCCGTCACCTCCGTCTCTCTCGCCTTTGATCTTCTATAGCCAGGTATTAGATGGCCATTTCACAGCCCACTCTATTCAGCTTTACGGCATGTCGTCAGTTCTTAAACTGATAATTAACACATGAGTTTTCAGCTATGTCATTCTTTTTCTCATAAGAGCTTAAAGTAAGAGACTTCAAGACAAAAGGGAAGGTGGACGTTGAGGATGAGGAGGAGAGGAAGGAGAAGGAGGGAAAGGGGACGGTAGAAAGGGATGGAAGGAAGAAGGGAAGGAAGGGAAGCAGGAAAGAAGGAAGGAAGAAGGGAGGAAGGAAGAGAGGGAGGGAGGGAGGGAGGGAAGAAGGGAGGGAGGGAGGGACGGAGGGAGGGAGGGAGGGACGGAGGGAGGGAGGGAGGGACGGAGGGAGGGAGGGAGGGACGGAGGGACGGAGGGAGGGAGGGAGGGAAGGGAAGGAGGGAGGGAGGAAGGGACGGAGGGAGGGAGGAAGGGACGGAGGGAGGGAAGGAAGGGAGGGAGGGAGGGAAGGAAGGGACGGAGGGAGGGAGGGAGGGACGGAGGGAGGGAGGAAGGGACTGGAGGGAGGGAGGAAGGGACGGAGGGAGGGAGGAAGGGACGGAGGGAGGGAAGGAAGGGACGGAGGGAGGGAAGAAGGGACGGAGGGAGGGAGGAAGGGACGGAGGGAGGGAAGAAGGGACGGAGGGAGGGAAGAAGGGACGGAGGGAGGGAAGAAGGGACGGAGGGAGGGAAGAAGGGAGGGAGGGAAGAAGGGACGGAGGGAGGGAGGAAGGGACGGAGGGAGGGAGGAAGGGACGGAGGGAGGGAGGAAGGGACGGAGGGAGGGAGGGAGGGACGGAGGGAGGGAGGGAGGGACGGAGGGAGGGAGGAAGGGACGGAGGGAGGGAGGAAGGGACGGAGGGAGGGAGGAAGGGACGGAGGGAGGGAGGAAGGGACGGAGGGAGGGAGGAAGGGACGGAGGGAGGGAGGAAGGGACGGAGGGAGGGAGGAAGGGACGGAGGGAGGGAGGGAGGAAAAAAGGAGGGAAGGAGGGAAGGAGGGAGGGAGGATAGAAGGAAGAAAGGAAGAAAGGGGGGAGAATCTGTCTACATATATTAATACCCTGTTATGTCACAACTGAAAACCATTTCTGATTTTTCAGGGAATGTGGGTTTATATACCATGTAGGAATTTCTAATTATTCCTATTACATATTTCCCAAACTGTTCCTGGTATGGGCTCTTCAGGTCATCAAAAGGCATTGTCTCCCCGCAACAGCCCCTGCCACCTCCAAAGCAGTTTCATTTGGAAAACTTTACACATGTTCACAATCCCTCTGAGATCAACAAAGCACATTACTACGCTAAAACCTGAAAATCCTAAGATGCAGCCTGGTATAAGCCAGTGTTTTCCAACTTATTTTCACCATAGCATAGTTACTGCATGGAACAACTGTGCCGCCGAACTTGTGGTCTGAGGAGTGTGGGGAATGCTGGCCCTGGTGGTGATGAGACCTTCTGGATTTAACACTGCAGTCCACATTTCAAATACCCCATCTATCGTCCCTATAAACATGACTCACTCTCATAAAAATCAGAAATCCTAGTTTTAGAGTCATAAAATATGGTCCCTATTACAATTCCATGTATTTCCATAAAACCCTTAAGGAACTGACTCACATAGGCCCTTATAATACTAACAAGAAAAGAACAAAAAATTTCAAGGATTCACTAAGCCAACAGCACTGAACCGACTGTAGTCATAAACCAAGTCTGGAGCACATCCTCCGAGAATGATGATGAGAATACACCAAAATACCTGGAAACCAACTCCGACTTGGAGCCAGCCAGGCAAGTGGTGATCTGTAGGCAGGAATACTGCAAAATGTCTGCTATAATAATGTAATTTTGGCGTAACTTTGACATCTATCTAAAACACAGGAAACAAAATGTAAGCCCCATGACCGATCAAAGCAACGCTGATCAACACAATTCCATTTTTTCACCTATCAAATTAGGGAATATTTTCACATATAATATCCCACATTATTTGGAGTTTAAGGAAATGGGCCATTACATACAAAGCTGATTGAGAACAAACTTGGTATTACCATTCTGAAAAACAGAAAGCTGGCATTAACGTTTCTCAGTCTCTTTGATCCAACAATGTCACTTCTAAGAATGTATAAAAAGGAAAACAGAGCTGGGCATGATGGCTCATTCCTGTAATCCAAGCACTCTGGAAGGCAGGCAGATTGCTCGAGCCTAGGAGTTCGAGACCAACCTGGGCAACATGATGAAAACCCGTCTCTATGAAAAACACAGAAATTGGCCAGGCTTGGTGGTGCACAACTGTTGTCCTAGTTACTTGAGAAATGAAGGTAGGAGGATCGCTTGAACCTGGGAAGTTGAGGCTGCAGTCAACCACGATCATACCACTGCACTCCAGCCTGAGTGACAGAATGAGACCCTGTCTCAAAAGCAAAACAAAACAAAACAAAACAAACAGAAAACAAATCATGAATACATACAGAGTTTGGAGGTACAAGAAGCCAACAGCCATTCTCCACTGGGCTCTCCTGACTCACCAGGAATGGCAGATGCACTGGACTGGGGCAGAGTGAGGGAGCAGAATGAGGTCCCATCACAGGAACACCCCAGGTCTCTCTGAGTGTTCCCCAAAGAAGAAGGTATCACAGACACTCAGCAATGGCTCCACCATCCTCTCTCTCCACCCAGCATAAAACGCAAGCCCAAAGGGTGGAGGAGCATGAACTTCCGAGTCTGTGATCATCATAATGCCTTTGGGAATAAAAAGAAACCCTGCTGGACAGGAATTAAGAGCCTGTTCCTCTGGCTGGGGCGTAAGAGACCCAAACCAAAAAAATGATCAGGTGAAAAACAAGCTGCCTCAAGAGGACAGGGCCCCACCCGCACTTGCAGACAAAAAGAAAAGCTTGGTTCCAGGAGGTGAAGAAAAGCTGTGTACACGAAATTGAGTCAAAGAGAGCCCACGGATCTGCTGATGGGAGGGGTAGAAAATTAACATGGATTGAAACAATAACAGTGACTTATTTCCAGAAGAAATGTATTTATGTGATTCTACCACTGGAATCTATCTCTACTAGTTATATGAAAGTAATGGGATAAAAGCAAACAAAATAATTGAACAATTTATTACCTTCAGGAAAATGTAGGCATCTAACATGTTCAGTTACGCACAGGAATTACAGGAATGGAATAACATGTAGACTCTTTAAGAACACTGTGTCTGGTTTTGCTCAGCACTGAATTCTTGGCTCTTAAAATCTATTTCTGAATGAATGAATGAATGAATGTTGTCCCTTATTCTTCATTTTCTGGCAGCCTCGTTTAATATGAGCTACATCGGCCGGAAAGTACTGGTGTTTTTGGATTGCTTTCAAAAATGTGAAAACAGCAAGACTAATCCTATTTCCACTTCTTTATCCACCTTTAAGAGTAACCTGCTGTGGCATGAGTTCCTGTGCATTCCATTATCTCGGCTGACTCTCCATCCTCCTGGCCATCAGCAGAGGAAACTCTGGCTCACAAAAGGATTTAGCATCCTAGCACAGTAGGGATTTCGACTTACGGCCACCTTCTCCAGGCTCCCCTCCACTCACATAATTTTGGTCTCCAAACATTGAGACTGCCTCTCCCTTGGGTCTTTTGGACCTCATTTATACCCCCCAGCAGTTGATGGCCAAGATCTAGTCCTCATCACAAGGCTTGGTAGGCCCATTCTGCAAATAGAATTATATAGATTTAGGGAGGTTTCAGTCTAATTTGGAGAAAAAAAAAAAAAACCAGTCTCCATAGATACAAGCTTTTCAACATATTGCTTTTTTGCTCTCCTGTTTTCTTACACTGAGAATGTCAATGCAGAACCGGAATATAAAGTAAATTACACAGGCTGGAGGACTGAGCATCCCACCCAGCCCTCCCCAACCCCACTGGTGGAGACCACAGGGCAGAGTGGATGGTAGCAGGGACAGGAGCTCTTCGGAGGCAAGGAACAGAGCCTTAAGGTTGGAGCTACAACCCGCTCTCCAAGGCTCTATAGGAAGGAAGACACCAGCTCGCTGCTCTCACAACTCATCTTCCTCTCCACTGTTTCATTAAATTGCACAAGGATGGGACTGCCTATGCAGGTGGCAGACAGGCAGTGAGGGTGCCAGGCCTTGCCACAGATGCAGAGCTCGGGCAGACTTCAGGCTACAAGCAGCACAGGTCCTGATGACAAAGTGGTCAAGGTGTGATTATGGCTGCACGAGAGCTGCTCAGAACCCTGGGACCATGCATGCAAACGATTGCCTTTTCCTGGTTCCTGAAAACCTTTCTGTGTGTCCATGTGCATAGGGTGGGAATGGGAGAAAGAATCAAAGGTAGCAGTGATGTAATGAAAACCTTCAAGAAAGGGTGGGGAGGGGTCTGAAGGGCAGTGCATTCTATTTCTTTCAGCTAAGAAAAGGTAAGAAAACTTAGAAGAAGGAAAAATAGAATTACCACATGATCCAGCATTTCCACTACTGGGAATATTCCCTAGAGAACTGAAAGAAGAAACTTAAGAAATACTTGTACACCCATGTTCATGGCACTATTATTCACAATACTTAAACGGTGGTGGCAATCCAAGTGTCCAGCAAAGGATGGATAAACAAAATGTACACACATTCAACAGAATATTATTCAGCCTTTAAAAGGGAGAAGGGGCCAGGCGCAGCAGCTCAAGCCTGTAATCCCAGAACTTTGGGAGGCCGAGGTAGGCAGGTCATTTCAGGTCAGGAGTTTGAGACCAGCCTGGCCAACAAGGCAAAACCCCATCCCTAGTAAAAATACAAAAAAATTAGCTGAGTGTGGTGGTGCACGCCTGTAATCCCAGCTACTTGGGAGGCTGAGGCAGGAGAATTGCCTGAACCCAGGAGATGGGGGTTTCATTGATCGGAGATTGCACCATTGCACACTCCAGCCTGGGCGAGAGAGTGAGACTCTGTCTCAGGAAAAAAAAAAAAAAAAGGAGGAAGTTCTGAATCCTGCTGTAACAGGCACGTACCTTGAGGACATTATGCTAAGTGAAATAAGCCAGTCACAAAAAGACAAATACTATATGATTCCATTTATATGAGGTATCTAGAGTTGTCAAATTCATAGACAAAGTAGAATGCTGGTTGCCAGGGGAGGAGGGAGTTTCAGTTATGCAAGATGAGAAAGTTCTGGAGACTGGTTGCACAACAATATGAATATACTTAACACAACTAAACCTTACACTTCAAAACATTTAAGATGATAAATTCTGTTATGTGTATTTTACCACAATTAAAAATAACAAACAAGTCCAGGTGCAGTGGTTTATGCCTGTAATCCCAGCACTTTGAGAGGCCAAGGCAGGGGAATTGCTTGAGGTCAGGTGTTTGAGACCAGCCTGGGTAACAAAGTGAGACACCGTGCCGGGCGCGGTGGCTCACGCCTGTAATCCTAGCATTTTAGGAAGCTGAGGCGGGCAGATCACGAGGTCAGGAGTTCAAGACCAGCCTGGCTGATATGGTGAAACCCCGTCTCTACTAAAAATACAAGAAAGTTAGCTGGGCATGGTGGCACATGCCTGTAGTCCCAGCTACTTGGGAGCCTGAGGCAGAAGAATCGGCTGAGGCAGAAGAATCACTTGAACCCGGAAGGCAGAGGTTGCAGTGAGCCAAGGTCGTGCCACTGCACTCCAGCCTGGGTGACAGAGCAAGACTCTGTCTCAAAAAAAAAAAAAAAAATAGTTATCCAGGCATGCTGGCATGTGCCTGTGGTCCCAGCTACCCAGGAAGCTGAGGTGGGAGGATCACTTGAGCCCAAGCGGTTGAGGCTGCAATGAGCTATAATCATGCCACTACATTTCAGCCTGGGTGACACAGTGAGACCCTGTCTCAAAAATAAAATAAAACAAAATAAGAATAAGGAACAAAAAATTGGAAAACTAAACAAGCAAAAGACCCTACCCTGTTCCTCACATTTTAAAGTGAAACTGGTATTAAATGGAAAGCATGCACCAGGTATATGTTAGGAATTCTCTTTTTCTGTCAGCTATGATAGTACTTCAGGTTTTTTAAAGGTAACTGCATTCCCTATTGCAAACAGGATAATATAAAACTTTTTTCAGCTGCCTCTTGTGAAATTTTGTTCCATATTTTAGATTAGAGACCTAGCTTAGCAGTGCCTTTAGTAAGGGTAAATAACTTTGCAAATCATGGCACAACTCCCTAGGTGGGACTGTACTATGGATCAGTCATTCTCATGGAAGTAGAAGGTAGCTTTAACCCCTACGGGACATACATGTGGAAATGTCTGGAGACAGTCTTGGTTGTCACTGTCATGGGCAGGAATGAATGGCAGAGGCAAGGATGCTGCTACACATCCCACCGTGCACAGCACAGACCCCACAACAAAGAACTTTCTGGCCCCAAATGTCAACAGCGCTGAAGTTAGCAGCTCTGCTCCAGATTGGCCTAGCAGTTCAGGCATCTTGTTTGTTTTGCTCTTCCTTTTACCCATGCCTGTGAGCAGGCAGTGGAGTGAGTAGTCACTAACATGTCAGGCCCTGTGCTAAATGCTCTAGGAGAATGATCCTACGATGCCCCCGGCGTCACTAACAGGGAACCATTTGGAGAGGTTGAGGAATGTGTCCAAAGTCAGTACCACTGGTGGAATTTTAAATCAGTCCTAAAGACCTCCAGGGTGGTGTTCTTACCTCTGCTTCGTAAACCCTCAAGTTCTCAAACTCATTCTGGCTTGTGGGCAGCAAGCCAGGGCACCAGTGCTCAACAAGACACGCTATAGAGAACACTGGCACTGGGAACTGTTAGCCAAGTCCCTTCCCACTGAGGCCCTTCAACATCTTGGCAGCCTATCAACCCCACTCAGACTGCAGAAGAATGTTTGGATTCGAGGGGAAATTGGGGAAAAATTATTTTCTAGATTTTATAAAGGTTACTGTCATTTGCACATAATAAATCTCTGTTCTGCCTGATGTTATTTGCATGAAGAGGGCTTCACCCACTACGTTCTTAACGATATCTTCACCAGAACCTTCCCATTCAGAAGTCATGCCTACACAACTTTGAGAATTCCCAAGCACTAAACATCTCAGGAGCTGAACCATCTAGGGAACTCATATTCATGCCTCAAAGCCCTGTTCAGACTTGGTGCCCCACTTTTGTGGAGCTTGACCATATATGTCCCAGATGCCCCAGTTGTTCATTCCTTCTGCATAGCTCCATACTGTAACACCCTGACATTGTACGCATACTTCTCTACATTAACCATTAGCCAACCAGACTGAGTTGCTTGACACAGGGACTAAGGACACGTCTTTGTATAGGTTTTGCATATTACAACAGGCCAACTACAGCACCTGTCAGAAATGGCTGAAGACCTTAAAAAGCCAAAAAAAAAAAAAAACCACATTCAGAGATCAACTAAAACACACAAGGAGACACCCACAGGAGGACACTGGTGATTTCCTCTGAATCTTGAGAACGTCCAGCTGATTTTAGTGAAATTATTCATGCAAGTCTCGCGCAGTGAGTTGGGTGCTGGGATGTCTGGAGAAAGCTACATGGGCACGGAGGTCCTCTCTGTCGTCAGTATCATCCTGCACCAAACTAGCCGCGGCCCCAGTAATAATGCCACAGAGAAGCTTCCTCCATTCCATGGTCTTGGTTTTTTCTTTTGTTTTTGTTTTTTTGACAACAATCACAGTCACTCCCACGTCTGGATTTGTCAAAAGCCCAGGCCTGCTCCATCAGGAAAACCAGGGAGAAGGGGATTGCAGGCGGAGTTGCCTGCTCAAAAAAATGAAAGCATGCAGATTGTCAGGCCCCACTTGGGACTTAATCTGAATCTCTGAGGGTGGGGCTCCAGCACCTGCAGTTTTTATTTAAATCTTTTTTTATTTTTTTTTTATTTTTTTGAGACATAGTCTCGCTCTGTCACCCAGGCTGGGCTGGAGTGCAGTGGCGCGATCTCAGCTAACTGCAACCTCTGCCTCCTGGGTTCAAGAGGTTCTCCTTCCTCAGCCTCCTGAGTAGTTGGGATTACAGGCATGTACCACCACACCTGGCTAATTTTTTTGTATTTCTGGTAGAGATGGGGTTTCACCATATTGGCCAGACTGGTCTTGAACTCCTGACCTCAGGTGATCCACCCGCCTCGGCCTCCCAAAGTGCTGGAATCACAGGCGTGAGCCACCACGCCCGGCCCTTATTTTGTTTTTAACTGACACACAATAATTGTATGTATTCATGGGGTACTGTGTGATGTTTTGATACATGTATATTTGGTGTCATGATAAAATCAGAGTAATTAGCTTATCCATCACCTCGAACATTCATCATTTCTTTGTAATGAGAACATTCAAAATACTTTCTTCTAGCTCTTTTGAAATATACAATACTTTATTGTTAATGACAGTCGCCCTACTGTGAACAGGACATGGGCACGTATTCCGCCTATCTAACCGTAACTCTGGGTTCACGTCTGTCGGTCTAACAAGCCCTCCAGGTGACCCTGATGCACACTCGAGTTGGAAAGCCACTGCCTTCTCTCCATGCTTCTCAACAGTCATGACCATCAGAATCGCCTATAGGGCTGGTTAAAACACAGACTGCCAGCCCTCATGCCAGATTTTCTGATTCTGCCACTCTCCCTCCAACAGGGCCCCAGAACCTGCATCCCTAGCAAGCTGCCAAGTGACCTGCTCTAGGGATTTCTGAAACTAAAGAAGGGAGCTGAGTCTCATTTTGTATCCTTTTGTCATTTTTTTCTCACTTGTATATACTTTTAAATAAAGAATGGAGGCTATTTCTCAGCTGATGAGAAAATTCTATAGTATTGTAGGGTGGCCTTATGATGATCCAAGAATATACCAAAATAACCTCTTCAACAGAATACTATTTCCCCTTTTACCCTTCTCTCCCAATATTCTATGAGACCCCCAAAGGCAAAAAGCACCCCACATTTTGGACCAGCAGCTTGGCACTCAGCCTCCTTCAGAGGGGCTTCACCAGCCAGCCCCAGCCCAACTGGTTTCTACCTAAATACTCACTCCCTATGCACTATAGCTACTGACTTTGCCTCAAAGTGATTTCTCTCTCAAACGCCTAGTACATCAACGTCAATTGGCACTGGTTTCTGTTAACGAACAGACTGGCCTGCGCCAACCACAGCTTACCACACGTGTACTCGGCCTACTTCCCTATTTTCAATGCCTAATGATTTTTGCTGCGCCTGAACACATCTGGAGGGAGCCAGGCCCACTGGCTGCCTCTCGTCCCACTCCAGGCCCTCCTACAAAGGTGCACTCAGCAAACCCTCCAAGTACAGACAGGTTCTACAATGTTGCTCCAAGTCAGAGAGGAGGCCTCAAACAATCAAGGATTTTTTTTTTTTTTTTGGAGAAATGATCAAACCCGGGGGTGGGGACAGAACTTCCTGCAAGAAACCGCATCCTGAACAAGCATCACCACGACTCACTGTAAATAAATACTCTCTCCTTGCAGCACTTCCGTCAACTGTCAGGGCCCTGGCTCCAATCGCCTTTCAAGTCCAAACAGGAAAGGGGAGAAAAGAGAGTGAGATGGCAGATAGGAGGTTTAATTTGCTTCTTGCTGCAGTTTTCATTGGTGGGGCGCTTCCAATTCAGCAGGCCTGCCAGCTGCCTGGAATTGCTCCTGGACCCCACTTTTTCCTGTTAACCTTCATAATTGTATTATTACGGGCCAGCCCACAACTGGCCTACCCAAGGCTCAGAGGAGTGCGGCTTCTTCCCTACATCAGATAAGAAGCCAAAATCAAACAGGCCTGCTGCAGACAGAAAGGCAACTGATGTTTGCGAGGGATGCTCTGTACATGCCTCTGCTGTGACTTAACCCAAGGGATTGGGGGGAGTGGGGATGGCCATGGGGACTGGAGGGTAGAGGGTTCAAGAAGGAAATAAGTCAGTGACCTCAATTTTCTGGAAAACGAATGTGAAGGATATCCTTTTCAAAGTGCACAATGTGGCCGGGCAGGGGAAGATGTGCAAGGGAGATCTTTCATTTCAATAACAGCAATAGCAAGTACTTCTGGAGTGCAGACCACGTGGCAGGCATGACATAAATAGCTTCAACATACCTTTAGTCCTTAGTGTTCTCCATGGTACCTGTGAGGGAAGAGCCATAACCCCCATTTTACCAATGAGGAGGCCAAGTGTGGGAGGGCTACAGAAACACAGGCTGCTTCACAAACCGTAAGTGGCAAAAGCAGGAATTCAAACTCAGTTTTGCCTAAATCAGGGCTGCTGTGAACAGCTGGGAAGGAGGTGTACTGCACAACTGAAACGAGTGCCACACACATCTCCAGCAATGTAAATGGCAGCTCAGCAGTGTTTTGCCTGAACCGGAATGGGGCTGATGCTGAAGTCCACATTTTAACCATGGAATATACTGCCTCCCAAAGGTTCTGGAAAATAAAAATGAGCTCTGTCCAGAGCTTCTCAAGAAGTTCTAAGATTCTAAGGTAGTATGAACTCCATGGCTTTCAACCAAGTCAATTTGCCCTATATAAAGGGCCTTTCTTTGTTGAATTCCCTATAATTCAAATTTCCCATTTGTTTCTGTGTTATGTATGCCCCAAGTCTGTTTTTACACAGTATTGAAATTAACAATGCCTGGCATATTAATAATAGATATAAATATCTATCAATAGATATTTATACCTTTTTTTTTTTTTTTGAGATGGAGTTTCACTCTTGTTGCCCAGGCTGGAGTGCAGTGGCGCAATCTCAGCTCACTGCAACCCCCGCCTCCTGGGTTCAAGTGATTCTCCTGCCTCGGCCTCCCAAGTAGCTGCGGATTACAGGCACGTGACCCAACCCCAGCTAATTTTGTATTTTTAGTAGAGATGGGGTTTCACCATATTGGCCAGTCTGGTCTCAAACTCCTGCCGTCAGGTGATCCGCCCACCTTGGCCTCCCAAAGTGCTGGGAATTACAGGTGTGAGCCACCGTGCCCGGCCTATGTGTGTCTTTTAACACATACAAGTATCTATTGAAAACAACTCATAGGTGAGTGAGTGAGTGAGTGAGTGAGTGAGTGAGTGAGTGAGTGAGTGAATGAATTCAGGCATTCAATGTGTCATCACGATGGCCAAAGCAGAAGACAGTTCTTGCCCTTCTCTGAGAAGCCTGGGCCTCATGGAGAAATGGGTGCTCTGCCATCTTGCTAAGACTGGCTTCCATAAAAGCTGCTGTCACTTGTGGGCACCCTTGATTTTTTTTAATATAACTATGAAAATTCAGGCTCGGGCACAGTGGTGGTAGCAGCTCTGGTTGCAGATGGAGGTAATATAATATGTTGTTGGCAGCCCAGGAGGAAACAGGGAGGGTAATAAGCAGAGAAAAAGCATGTTCAAGAATGAAGGAGTGGGTGAAACCTCGTAAACTCTTCGCAGACAAGACATGCCCCCTGGAGCCTCTGCCCTAAGGAGGGAGGGAGCCAGGCGGCTTCCCAGAGGCAGAGGAGGATGAAGCTAGAGATAGGGCTGAGGTGCCCAGGGCACCTGCTGCCACACACTGAAAAAAAAAATTAATAAAAGTAAAAATGAACCACTGCATGTAGCAGCAAAGTGTTATTAAAACACTGTAATGTCTCAGAGGTTCCTATGAAGTCATGTTCTTACAATTCACTCATAAGAATTTAAAGACAAAATTATATGCCTCGTAATTCTCCAATGAGTATGTTTCTCTATGGATCCCATTGTTTAGATGGGATGCACAGCTTCCAGCAGGTTTAAATCATTGAAGGGATTTTAAAAACTGGCACTTTCCAGAAATCTGGCTGCACATTCCTCAGCAGGAGTAAGTGTCAATACAGATTATGTCTACATACTTGTGTATACCAGTACATCTATTTCAGGACACGCTTTCCATCAGGGTTGCAAACTCAAATGCCCATAGGGGCCAGGCAGTTGCTTCAATGGATTCAATGGATGAAGCAGGCAGGGACTCAAACACTAGGGAGTGGGTGGGAATGCATCCCTAACAGACAGCTTTGACAAGCCCCATCTAAATGGGCACTTGACCCCAGCATGGGAGAGGGGCTGGTGTTACTACATCTTTTGGTTTGTTACAAGAAGTCAGGAATCTGGGCTCTGCATAGGAAACCTCAGTAAATAAATGCCAGTGATCATCCAAATACCTTATTTAGAATACCATACAAGTTAGCATGTAGTTGTGGCCTGAATACCTCTGTCTACACCTATGTCTACACATACAGCAAGAATGACTGTTTAAATTTAGCCACTATGTTTCCAGGCCCCTCTGCCTTACACATTCTCAAGCTAGTTTATGAGGCACCCCAACGAGCTTACAAACAGTCACATCCACTTAGATGAATGGCCTGAGTCAGGGAGGAACCTGCCAATCTGGGCAGTGATTGGCAACCAGGTGCCACATGGCTGGAGTCAGATCTGAAAGGGCATCACTCCAGCTGGAAGGAAGTAGGTCAGTGGCCTAGTTCCACAGGTCTGCATACCAACCTGCTCCCATTCCATTGTACTTTTCCCTTCTGGACAGATGAAACCATCGAGGCCTATGTCCAGTTACCAGACAGAAACTGAGAGGACCCACTAAGGGAGCGTGTGGATGAGGTTCACGCTAGCAGCATGGTTCTTTAAAGGAAGCTCATCCACGTCCAGCGTGCCCTACCTGTTCAGACACAGGTTGCAACAGATAGAAGCAAAGCCCTTCTAAAAGAATCTGGCCTTTTTCATATATTTTTATTAAACTTGAATACTCACCAGAATGGGGCAGGGGGAGAGGGGTTTGGATATCATGTCTTTCTCTTTCACCCTACTCAAGATCATAGTGAAATTTCAACATTTGCAAGTATAGAATCTATACAGTATACTTACAACTATGCAAGTATAGAATCAGCCAGAGACAAGTGTAGACACGTTCAGAGAGAAGAACCTCAAATGACTCATTCTTCCAGTTTTCTCAAACTGATTTCAGCTTTGAGGAAAGAGGCTTCATTCATACACACCACACATCAGATAGTGCCAGGCCTCATGGAACCCTTCACGGGTTGATGCCTCTAAACAACGCTTCCCTGCCGAGGAATGTGAATGTTGCCAGCCTTGGGGACGGAACCCCAGCACAGAAATAGACTCCTTCTAAGATTTCAATCTTAGTGACTGACAGACACCTCCTAGTCTATCAGGAGATCTTTATCCCCTGACCAGGGTGAAGGATTCCCACTGCTTCCTTTCCCCTTACACACACCTCTCTGAACAGCTTCCACAAAGAAATGTACAAAATCCTGCTCCATTAAGTCTGCGAAAACAGTATGGGCACTAAATGCTTTCCTCATTCTGCAAAGAAAGGCTGTTGACTGGTAAGGTTTAAGCAATACTTAAGAAAGAAATTCTGGTACCTCTCCCAAAAGACAAACTGTACCTATAATAATATCCCTGGACAATTAATGGAACATAGCAAAGACTACACAGTGGTTAAGATCACTGGTATTAAGAGCACTGGCTCATGGGTTAGGGTCTGTTGTTATTGACCTGTGAACTTGGGTAAATGATTTAATTTCTCCAAGCAGCAATGTCCTCATATGTAAACTAGTAGGTAATAATGGTACCCGCAAAAAGGAGTTTTCCTTAAGAATAAAATGGGACGCATTCAAGAACACTTTGCAAAATACCTTAACTAGTAGGTAATGGTGGTAGTGTCTACAACAAAGATAATTCCTGTCGGCTGCTTTACTGTCCCCAGCTAAGATGCCTATTCCAAACTTCTCTGTTTTGAATACCAAATTACCATTGCCACAATTTCAGAACCAAATCACTGGCAAGTAAGAATCCTTAGAAACCTGCTTAGCAAACTTTGACCTGGGAATGCCGGCACACGTCTTTTTCATGGAGGACACTTGCAACTGTACAACTTAGTAAGGCGTGGGCATGCAAAGTTTATTAGCTAATGTCAAACCCTAGCTCCAATGAAATCAAAGAACAAAATGCGTGTTATGACCAGACCTAACCCCAAACTGGTTTTTGGTTCAGAAACAGAATGCCTGCCAATTCGGGGAAACTACATAGAAACAGTAATCAAACAATATTATATGATCATATTCATTGTCATTATTAAATTTTGGTAATAAAAACAGGGTAGAAATATAGAAAGAGCAAAAAATTGATGTGTTTTACTTGGGTCAAGGTTTTTCTTAATTGCAAAAATAGAGCAGGGCCCAAATTATAGGAGGCAAGCAAGGTGCCTAGGGTGCAAAATTTAGGGAGGCACTAGCTCTCAGGATCGTCCAAGTTCAAGATCAGCATTGACAGCAAATGCCTCCTTAAATTTTCCACCCTAAACACCCTCTGTGGCTCCCCTTAATCCGGTGTTAAAAGAAGTGAAATGTAATTTTCATGCATTTGTGTGTGTGTGGCAGTAACCTGCAAGGAGGCTCCAAGATGTACACTGATGGGCAACATTACAACACATCTTTCCTTTAAAACCCAGAATTTCATGGCTGGGAGCAGCCCAGGCAAAGGACTATTTCCTAGAACCTTACCAAGTTCAAAGGCAGCTCTTTGCAACTTTGTGAGGGTTTCCTTTCATCAGCCCTCAACAACCTTTTCTTGTCCTCTCCCATACAAACAGGGATTAATTCTACAAGCAGCAGAAAATCCTATTCTCAGATATAATTTTTGCCCATGTAAACCCTATGGAAGAAAGGGGTGCAATGTAAAATGAATAGGGGTCACTTACTGATCATGCAATCTGACCACTCGAATTGAGGAATTCTTTTTTAAGGGGCTGTTTATAAATGAATCATTGTTTCATTAGATAAATATTCACAAAGTTTATTTTTAGAAAAGCTAAACCATAACAAAGTATAACTAAATACAATCTCACATAGGTCTATGAAATACGAGGTAAATAAAAGTTTAAAAAATCTCAGAGAGGTGACTTCAGTCATAAGGCATGAAATTTCTTTCCCAACATGTCTACGAATTGAGCATTAAAAAGGAAAAGGGGCTTTATAAACATAAGTCCTTTAAAATTTCCTTCTGAAGTTTTCCACTTTAACCTCACAAAGCCTCATTTACAAATAAACAGGTTTCTAAATACATAAGACATTAGAAGAGGTAGGTGGAAGACAAAGAAAAATCACACCTGCGTATTAGAGTCAATGTGTTTATGTTCCTAATTTCAATGATTTAACTGAAACTACTTTGGTTAGAAATGCTAAACAAATAGATTCACAACTAAAAAACTACAGGTGTTTCTGTACCTCCATGCTGGCAATTTTTAGATGTACTTCACCTGCTATCAGAACAGAAACTCTACATACTGATAAGGAATGGGACGACAATGAACTTCGCCCTCCCCAGCTCAACCTTCTTCATAACTTCACTGCAGAATGACAAGCTCGTTGCCAGTGAATGCCACTCTCTAATGCCACAGAAATTTTGATCTCAGCTGTCCGATGCAAATTTGTGTACGATTTTGTATGCATTACCAAGCTACGAAATAAGTCAGTGTGTTAGGATGTGTGAACACATGGCTTGCTCTTGTTTCTGAACATAATAGTTCCTAATGTCTAGTGTACTGTGATATTCTTGGTTCACCCTGCCCTTTCTCTTAAAGAAAGCCTATGTTAATTTCGAACAAAACTGAAGAATGGCATAGGACAAGCTCCTGTCTAAATACTGTTTCTTGTGATGGCATAAAATAAGTAGTAAGTGATAAGATGAGTTGGTCATTTTTTTAATTTAAAGAGGGAAGAATAAACAATTTTATGGAATATTCTTTTTTTTTTTGAAGACCTAATTATATATACTAAGCAAGAAGTAATTTCTCCCTCCTGCCTACATTTTATGTTTTGGGCACTTCCATTTCATGTCCCTTGACACCTTTTCCAATAATCCATCTACTTGATATTGGAAAGCCTCACATGAATAAAACTTTATGGCACTACAGGCGTTTAGCCTTCCACTGACATTCCTGGCCTGTTCAATTCTGCAATTCAATCAAAATCAAATCTCAAAATCCTCTTGTCAGCCAGCACTGCTTTCATATGCCTGAGCCTTGTGTAAGGATAACTGCATCCAATCTTCCCCCCAAGCAGTGCTTATATTGTTTTATTACAGTTCAATGAGTGGAGTTCAAAATTACATGCAGCTGCCTACTACTGTGGTTGGGCTGTGTTACGCATGGACACAAGTATTGCCCACCAGGCCTGAAATCATTCACTTACTGGCCGGCCAGAAAGACTGTGAGCACTTCTTTGTATGGAAGAACATCCTGTCTGCTAGATCTAAAGAGGGTGATGTTAACAGATCAGTCCCTTTATAAAAGGATTGTGAAAGCCCGATGAAATGCAACTCAAATGTGCTCAATGTTAAGCAAGTGGCTAGAGCACATAAAAGCGAAGATAAACCTCAACATGCACTACTTATTCTCAGAAAGCTTGTGAAGGAAGATAAAGAGATCTGGAATAAAAGACATCTTAAAGAATTTTCGTATGTGTTTTAGATGATGAAGCTTCATTTAAATGAGTTTTTTTTTTAACACCCCCAGTAATCCTTTCATTGAAACAAAAAGACAAAATACAAAGCCAATTAAATACAATTTAACCTGATGAACAATACAGTAATTAAAGTACCAGTAGTCAAATGCTTCGATAGGCTAACATCAGGCAGAGTGACAGTGAAAATAGCTTTAGGGATACACCATATTTTCAACACTGGGACAAACACATCAAGTGGCCATCCCCTATTTTTAAGCGAAATGAAAAATGTGTAGAAAATACTAGAACCAAAAAGGAAAGCAAACTGGGTCTCATTTGTGTAGGTGTTAAATTACTTAGTTATTAAACAGGAAAAAGGTCTTGCTAGAAGAACTGTTAAAGCCCCAAATAAAAATGTGTGTGCTAACTCCAGGCTACCTCTGGGCTAGTAATTCTACAGGTAAAACAATAACTTCCTAGAGTGCAGTGTTTCAAGAAAAAGAAACCTGCCTCTCTCATTTATGAAGACATGCATCTCCTGTGCAGGTGGCCCCACACTTCTCTGTGACAAAAGTCAGCGCCAGGAGGGTAAAGACGTACATGTCATTGCCAAATATTTACTGGCGACGTCTCTAAAATTAATCACTCTCGGAGCCCCCAAAAGGTGAATGTATATCCATTTCTAATACCTACCACTCTGCATCTTTGGAAACAATATCATCAAAAGGAACTTTAAAGGGATCATGAAAAGCTCTAACATACAGAAACCTCTTTCAGACTACAGAAATTAGTCTCAAGACTAAATACTCAGGAGTTTAATTATTAAGTCAGCCCCCATGCCAAGAGGGGGAAATGGAAAGGTATTTATTCTGTTGCAGCTATGTTTATAGGTAACAACCTAGAAAACCAGGTGATTCACGTACAATGATACCTTATTTTCTAATGACGTGGCAACTCAAAGAGCCAGCAAGGCAAGATAGGGACAATTTGGAACTGGCAAAATAATGAATGAGTTTCTAGACATAATTTTATTTTCTCTGGGATAAATGATGAGATTCAGGCTTACTGACCCCCAAAGGAGGCTCTTGTTGTATTTTAATATTTGAGAGGGTTGAACTTGGAGGGACAAGGCATACATTTTTTTACCGAGGATGCTGCTTTGGTCAAGACCTGTCATCCTTTGATGGTCACAGAGCAGGAGTGCCTGCCTCCCTCCCAAGTCAACTGCAGTGAAATGTTATTGTTTGATAGCTTTTCAGTTGCTGACAAAATCAGCTGGTGTTCCCAGAAAATGAAATGAATTCCACACACTGGCCTCCCTCCCTTCCTTCCCCTTTCACTCAGTGGAGTCCCAATGGATGAAATGAACAAATCTCCAAGGAATTTGAAGACCACTCTTACTACTTACAAGAGTGCTTTCTGGCATCTGTAGAAAAATCAGAAAATCCAACAATATGGCCCAAAGTCCTGACAACAACTGGCTGGAGTGAGGCAGCAACAACAGCTCCCTTTAAATAAAGCCTGTGCTGCCTAGTTCTTTACTCTTCTCACCCCATCTGCTTAATTCTTTTAAATTAACTGTGTGGCTGCCATAACAATTTGAGTTTCAGCCCCCTGTAATACAGCTTACCTCGCATTACTTCCAGGACACAAATCCCACAATCCTATTCACACTTGGTGATGTTTGGGCCAGTATCAGGGTATGTCCCCACACTTCCTAATTTCCTAAGAAAATGAAATACATATATACACAGCTTCATGATAAATGCCAAGACCAGCCAACTAAACAGACACCAAGAATAAAGCAAGATCCCTTCCCCAAACTCCATCCTACCAATGTCATTTCATAATGTCTACTAGGCAAAGGAGTACTTGGTCCAATTATCAGATGCAATATTCAAGCTGAATGATATATGCACATGAATATTTTGAGACCTGGTTACCTTGGCTATCCTAACAGCCAAAGCAGATTTGCAGTGTGATCCCGGCAGCCCTACTGGCCGCATCAAAGGATAGGCTGTAATAGGATTTCAACACAGGAGCAAACAATGTCTGGTACTGATGGACACATAAAACTCACTGAAGTTTAACTCCTACTTCTTAACAAATAAAACCAAGCCCCTCCCCAACCTGGAGAGCCTGACCAAACTCACTGAGATTATCAATATCATTTTTGGGATCTGGAATCTTATTCTCGTTGAAGAAATAAACACCATCCCCAAAATGCTGATGACATTTAGAGTTAAGCCCTCTGATCACACTGCTCTTTCAAAGAGCCCAAGAGTAAAGGGAATTTACAAATATGTACTAAAGTCAGACACCAACATCCTAATAGCTTCTGCCTTCTAGAGATAAAAATATAAAGTATTTATGGAAAGACTCTCCTCATCCCTTTTTATGCAAAGAGTATCTTACAAACGCATTATGAACCAGACATCTGTGTCTTAAGACAATGAACACATCAAGTTTTAAGGGGCTGTAACTCTGAAACAGGCCTGGCAGGTATTTCCACCAAACCACCTCTTCTGCTGTCTAATCCTTTACTAAGCAAATATTTATACTTTAGCAGGAAAATCCTGAGCTAGATTGTTACTTCTCTTACCACCCTCTGCACCCCTTTGTAAGATGTCCCTTCTCCAGTGACCCTGGAGTTTAGAACTACATTTGCTCTATTTTGTTGCATAACAGCAGCAATAGAAGAGGTAAGAGAAAGTGTCTCTAAAGAATCCTAAAGAACCCTCCGTCCAGCTGGGAGAACTATACTCCTACAGCGTGATCAGAGCTAGGGTCGCCGGGGCTAATCTAGAATCACTGTGCCTCCACATACACGAGGCACATCATCTGTATTTTCACGTTTTGTGAAAATGCTCCTTAATGTTCACAGACGTGGTTACCCACTGAAGCAGGAGCTAAGGCACAGAGAGAGACAGGTGTTCGATAGAAAACCACAGAGACAAAAAGCACCCAAAGAGTCGCTTTATAATTTTTATTTGATTTTCAAAAACTCCACAATATAAATGACTGAACCTTGAGGTTCCAAGTGTGGCCTCGACCAGCAGCCTGAACATTATCAAAGATGCAGGGTCCCAGCCTCTACCTTAGACATACTGAACAAGAATCTGCATTTTGACAAGATCTGCAGCTTGACCTCCATGCACCTCAAGGTATGAGGAGGACTGTGCTCTAGAAGAACTATGATGCAGCTGCTCTTGATGGGGAGATGGTAGCGAAAGTTCCCTAACTTTCAGAACATATGTAAAAGTCTGTGGAATACGTGGATTCGAATCATCAAAGCAACTTGTTTTCTTTAAAAAAAAAAACAAAAAAAAAACTGCTTTCTGAGCGCCATCTCTCTCAGACCCACTGAATTAGAATCACTGGCACTCAGGTAGTCCTAGGGCCCACACCAGTCTGAAAACCACTGAGCAACTTCAAATGTGCATCTCCTCTGTGCTGCTTCTGGAGCTGGTTTCAATATACTGTTAAACTGATCGACATTTGGTAACTGAATAATCTGCAAAAACTTCAAAAACCATGTCATAGCTTTGTATATGCCCTAAAGTGAATGAGGCGGGGGCAGTGTTCTGGAATTCTTATGAATGATATACATCTCTTTACAAATAGTCAGTTTTTTAAAAGGAAATGTGTGCATTCTCGGTAACACATGCATTCACACATGCTTTCAGTGCTAAACTCTTCATAGAAAATGACAGGCGGACGTGGAAATAGCCACACGAGCACACATCCCCCCCGCCGTCTGAAATACAGAGGCATACATCTGAGAGTACATCCCTACGTATAGACAACTTCAAACAAAAACAGACCAGCTAAAGACGGAAAGCACCCTCCTTAAATCTAATATTCACTTTGTCTAGGACCAAACCAACTCCAACTAATTTAACAAGCAGCAATAAATAACCCATTATATGTTAGCTTTTAGTCATTAAACACCCTTCCCTTTTAATTAAAGAAAACTTGGAAACTAGCTCTCAAAGGGGTCCTAAATTTAAATGTTTAAGAAAAGACTGCTTTTGATACAAACTGCATAAAACAAATAATGAAAACTCTTAAATGTTGGATGGGGTGGGATTTCAAAGAATTAACTAATTGCAACCTGCGAGAGAAACAAGACACATTTGCTTCTGGGTACCTCTCCCACGTCATGCTCTTAAAGGCCCAAGTTTCAATTTGGGAGAAGAAGCCCAAATGTTTTTTGTTAATACGAAGAGTCAAAATATTTTAAAGGATCACACTTCCAACAGTTGCAATTTCCCTTTTGCAAGTTACCTAAGAAAGAAAAGAGCTATTAGTGATAGTTACGGGTGGGTATGGGGTGACAGCCACATGCAAACTGATGCTTGCTTTATCTCCCATTGCAGATCTGCGGGAATATGCAAGAATGGTTTAATAAACACCATCATTCCACTTTTCAGTTTAAAGTGTTCTTTTTTTGTGCAATTAAGTTATTAAAACACGACTATAATTTGACTACATTAATAACACAATGAAGCAAGCCTTCAGGTAAAGTAACTTGGATGGACAAAGGGTTTCCAAAAAATCACAGCCAAAAAGTCATGCCAAACCGAGGGAAAGGAGGTAATGTCTGTGGAAAGAATAACAGTTGCCCTTGCTCAGATGATTCAAGTATTTGAGGGAGGTAGCAACAGCCCTTCCCTAGCAAAGATATATGGGGCATACTTTTTGAAACCAACAAACAAGTCGCCCTTGCTGTATTGCAAAGCACAGGGCAGCAGGCACAACAGAGAAAGAGAGAGAGAGGGGACACACAAAAGTCAGGCAAAACAGGAAATTTGAGGAAACTATTTCTGAAATGTAAATAAGGGTTTCTGTTACTTTCAATATTGCAGAAGCAAAGAAGCTCCACTAGATGGAAGGTGCCGGGTTTTCTTGTACATCTCATTTTTCAGCACGTGAGACCTGATTCACAATGTATGGAGCTGATATTTCATATACATATTGTCAACATCAGAATAAGAACCGAAATTTGTTTTACATGTTCCCCTTGAGGGTCAGCCCTTCCTTTTCTCTCCTAGAGACTATGGAAGAAGCCTGTTCCCAACTCCCCTACACACTAGCTTGGGGACTCAGGACAATGTATTTGTCTTCTTCAACATCACTTTCTTGTCTGGAAGAGGAGGATAAGAGCAGTTCCTACTCCACAGAAACGTCGTGAGATACCCAAATCACACAGTGACTGAAATCTAGTAAGTGCCAAATATGCTAGGTATTTTTATTACTAACAACGTGGTAATTCTACTATCAAAAGCAACCCATGGAATATCAGAAAGTCAGTTATTGGTAGTTTTTTTTTTTTTCTGTGATATATCTATGTCAACTCATATCAGTGGCTTTATTTTTAAAGAAAGAGTGTTAGCAGGTTATTGCTATAGAAAATGCCCCATATGAAAAAGACTGCCCTGGTAACTTATCTGAGAGATGTGTCATTTACCCTTAAAGACAGCAGAATACACAAACACGAGTTCTCATGCTAGGATATAAAGATGGGTATTGGAGAGTGCTGACAGAATGCTGGGCTACTGAAGACAGAGTTTACTCATTCACACATCTCTGCCATGTTCTTAAATGTCTCTGCTAATCCTCACTATGAAACTTAAAAAAAAAAAGCATCTGAAATCCACAGAAATCAGGGTGAAAGTGACAGTAATAACATATTTATATCATAATATACTTGTGGATTAATACCATTTTCAAAATTAGCAATCCAATAAAATCAAAGTCAGAAAAGCAAACCTAATGAATTTATGCACACTGGATTTAAGAAAATATGCAGTAGTACTGTACCCACATGATCCTAGAACTTCTAGGTAAATTACAATTACTGTGCTATATTGCAATTTTACTATCAATTAGCATGGACCATTTTTCATCAAAAATCAAACAAATCCTCTCTTTCTGCCAGGTACATACCTAAAATATCCTCGGTAATCACAAAAGAGATCCAAGTCCTTGAGGGGTTGATCCACCTCTCCATCTCTACCCCCATGAAATTAAAGCAACAACTTTATCAAAGTAGAAGACCAAAAGGACTCAGGAGTGTGAAACAAGAAAGCATTAATTATGAATTACAGTGCTTTTGCAGATTCGCATTTAGTGCAAATCCCTCTAAAGCATATTTTAGTATACTATGTCTCACACTGCAGCAACTGAGAACTCCTGTACACAAAAATACTAGGGGAAAGGGCTTAACCACTGGGTCAAAATTTGCAGTTGCTCTGACATGCACAATCAAAGCACTCGAAGAGATATGCCTGGGAAATAGGATTTTATTGATATTTATGGGTAAGTTTGTTTACTACAAGCCTTAGCCATTTCTTCTCTTTACTTTCTTCCTTTTAGCAAAACACACTCCGCTTCCCAGTGCCCAACATGGGGGCACAGGACAGGGACTATTGTGCTCCAGGCTTCCTTGCAGCACATCTCAACCAGTATTGGCTACAACTCCAGCACCACGCACCAATTTCAGGAAAATTAGAGTTCAGCCCTTTCTTTCTCTCCATTTTCGTAATCTCACAGAGGCACAACTGTTCCAGAAACCAGCTCCCCTACCAGTCAGATATTTACACTAAACCTTTACTAAAGGGCTTGCTATTACAATGCTATCTCATTGATACAAGATTACTTCACTTCTGGACCACATCAAGCTATATAATACTCCAACAATCAAAAACATTGCCCCTCAAGAAAGATGCAGCCCAGATTATTTTCATGTGCTTATGTGAGCAGAATGCCAACATTTTTGTTTAATGCAATGCAAATCTCAAAAAAGAGTTTAACCATGAAAGCAGCATGCAGGCAAAAATCCTTCCAATGTATACATGTCCACATACACACATTACATAGACACATGTCAAGCTATAAAGAAATCACCCAGGATCAGAACTTTACATACTGTCAATTTCTCAAGGTGCAACCCCATTTTCAAAAACCCCAAACAAGCATCAGATCAAACGAAATATACATTTTTTTAATTTTGGGAAAGTGTAATATCCCTGTGCTTGACAAGGTGAAATATTCTGCCTTTTTACTCTGATTTGCAAAATAGGTATGTGAGCAAAATAACAGAATATAGCATTTACCTATCCATTTAGCAAATAATATGGAAGACCTACTCTACATCTTTATTCAAATGAAAATACTTTCCCCAGCATTTATTTCTTTAGCTGGTAGAAACCCCACCCTGTAAGGAACACAAGCGTAAAGCAATCTCTTGCAATGGACCATTTTACTTATTCTGCAATTTCTTACCCAAATTACACAGGTATAATTATTTTGACACTATAATGAAAAGAAAATGGGATTTGGGCACCGTAGGTTTATCTAATAACACTATTTCTTGCCAGACTTCACAGCACTGACAGTCACAAAGAACCTTGTCCATTCCAATAGGAAATATTTGATTTTACTGTAGGAACATTATTTATTTTCACCAAGTTGCTATTATCAGAAAGGATATGATAGCTGAATAATAAAAATGAAATCAAGAAATTCTGGTGTTTCAAGGCTTTATTTTTTTTCTGCTCTCACTTTTGACATTTTCTTCCCCTGGAGAGACAAGATAAAGTGCTGTCATAAATGGGTGACTTTTCTTGTCAAATGACAGATTTGATTCTCCATGGTAACCACAAATCAAGGTGCTAGTAGGAATTAAAGCTTCTCTTAAAAGGCGTCTTTATGTTTATAAAATGAATTTAAATTAAATGGGTATTAGGTACAGTCTTTACCTCAATTTATTTATTGACTGAAGAGCTCTGGATTGCAAGAAGCACATTTGCATTTTTAAGGAAAGATAACATATTGTCCTGACAGATGTATAAACAAAGCAAGTTACAAGGTCATGCTTCATACACTAGTTCTGAGACCCAAGAAGGGGATACAGATGGACATCTAGCAGTTAAGAAGTATTTAAATACTGAAAAAGGTGTAAAAATTACCTACAGGGGAACAGATGATGGAGTCTCTCTAGTTCCCTTCCTAACGCAGCTTTTTTTCTATTCAGTTAATAAAGATTTGTGAAATTGTCACAAAAAGAATGCCAAAAGGCAATCTCCCTCTTCGTCTTGTGTCCCTCATGTAATAGATATGGGGTTGTTGTTTTTTAAAATCCCTTCATCACAAATAAATATTCCATTCAAAATCATATTATTTTAGCCTCCAAATTCAAATACAGCTAAAATAAAACATTTGCTTCCCAATGTGTTTAAGAAAGGCAAACACACATGAAAAAGACTATATATCATGATTTCAGAAGAATGAGATAATTAATCAGTGTGTTAAGCTGATTTCAATTTTCATAGGAAATGAATGCTGATTTGTTTCTTTTTTTATAGTATTCTTGGCCATTAGAACTTAAGAAGAAAGATTACGTGCCATTGGATCCTAAAATAATATATCAGGCCCCATCTTCTTTTTTTTTTTTCTTTTTTTAAGATGGAGTCTCACTCTGTCACCCAGGCTGGAGTGCAGTGGCGCGATCTCGGCTCACTGCAAGCTCTGCCTCCCGGGTTCACGCCATTTTCCTGCCTGAGCCTCCCAAGTAGCTGGGACTACAGGCGCCCACCACCATGCACGGCTAATTTTTTCTATTTTTTAGTAGAGACGGGGTTTCACTGTGTTAGCCAGGATGGTCTCAATCTCCTGACCTCGTGATTCGTCCATCTTCTTGATATTAGCAAACCATTTAGCTGGTCTAGAGGAGTAAAGGCTTTGTTTGTTTGTTTGTTTGTTTGTTTTTTGTGACAGTCTCACTCTATCACCCAAGCTGGAATGCAGTGGCGTGATCTCAGCTCACTGCAACCTCCACCTCCTGGATTCAAGCGATTCTCCTGCCTCAGCCTCTCGAGTAGCTGGTGACACAGCCACCTACCACCATGCCCCGCTAATTTTTGATTTTTTGGTTTTTTTCGTTTTTTTTTGTTGTTGTTGTTTTTGAGACAGAGTCTCACTCTGTCGCCCAGGCTGGAGTGCAGTGGCACAATCTCAGCTCACTGCAATCTCCGCCTCCCGAGTTCAAGGAATTCTCTTGCCTCAGCCTCCCAAGTAGCTGGGACTACAGGTGCACACCGCCAGGCTTGGCTAACTTTTTTTGTATTTTAGTATACACGGGGTTTTACCGTGTTGCCCAGGCTGGTCATAAACTCCTGAGCTCAGGCAATCTGCCTGCCTTGGCCTCCCAAAGTGCTGGGATTACAAGCGTGAGCTACCGCGCCTGGCCTAATTTTTCTAACCTAAAACAAAGAAAGGGAAAATAAGAGTCTTACATTATACACTGGTAGCTGAGAGAATTCATCATTCTGAGTGGCAACCATGTAAGCTTAGCAAAATTTGATTGTACACCGTATCTAGCTGAAAGAACAATGTGGAGAATTAAGCCAAATTCCCTTCTTAGAACTGTCTGATGGTGGTGCCTTTGACTGTCGGGAATAGCTCTGACAAGCTGAAGGGAAAAAAACAACCGGTACAGTTTTACAATAAAGAGATGGGCAATATCATCTAGGAATTTGTGACTGAAACCTAAATTCTTAGACGTTTTTGTTTGTTTGGTTGTAGAGAGAGGTTTGAGTTTTATCTTGGGGAAGTTAAAAAGACTTTGTCCATTCTTGAGTTTCATCAGTACGAGCTATAATAAAATGGTGCCTAAAAGTTATAAATCTCTTTGGAACTCTGTGTACAAAGCATATTATATGGTGGTGTGAGTCACACAGAACTCTCCATTTCAGTCACAATGGCTTTTGTTTCATATTAGAATAAAGTGGGTTGATGATCTTATTCTCATTCCGTGTAAAAAGTCAAACTAACATCACGTCTAAAAACACAGATCGACGAATTACCCAGAAACGAGTGTTCAAGGAGATCTCATGCAACATAGTAAGTGTACGGTAGATTCTGCAGGGTTATGACATCAGTTTTAAATGAGCCATGATCGTATCACTGTGTTCCAGCCTGGGCGACAGAATGAGACCCTGTCTCAAAAAATCAAAAAGAAGAAAAACAAGAGGCCGGGCGTGGTGGCTCGTGCCTGTAATCCCAGCACTTTGGGAGGCCGAAGCGGGTGGATCACAAGGTCAGGAGTTCAAGACCAGCCTGGCCAAGATGATGAAACCCCGTCTCTACTAAAAAAACAAAAATTAGCAGGGCGTGGTGACAGGCGCCTGTAATCCCAGCTACTCAGGAGGCTGAGGCAGAGAACTGCTTGAACCTGGGAGGCAAAGGGTGCAGTGAGCCAAGATCGCGCCACTGCACTCCAGCCTGGGAAAAAGAGCGAGACTCTGTATCGAAGAAA
Source organism: Homo sapiens (assembly GCF_000001405.40). Lineage (NCBI taxonomy): Eukaryota > Metazoa > Chordata > Mammalia > Primates > Hominidae > Homo > Homo sapiens. The sequence goes on from NC_000003.12 coordinate 71,461,807, forward strand.
AAAAAAAAAGAAGGAAAACAAGGTAACTGCTTACAGGGACCACAGGTCTCTGGTATCACAGTGTAAAGTTACCCCATCAAGAGAAGATTGGCAGGGCTTGGCATTCTAAGAAAGAGTGATTAACACTGAGAGAACTTAACCCTCCCCAGAAGAACTGACACTCCCTTTAGGCAGAGGGGAGAATCAAGGATACCTGAATGCTAACAAGGACGTCCCATAAAACTGGAACTATCACTACCTGGTGTTGATATTGTCTGCCTTAAATAGTTCACTAGTAGAGAAAGGAATTCACCAAGAGGAAGGCCTTACAGGACTGCACATAAACACTTGCCGCATAAAATCAGGAAACACTTCACTAATGCACTACTGGATAAAGCAAATTGCTCATTAAAATGAGACTCATCAGGGTAAAAAATGGGAATGCTAAACTGGCCTGGAAATGAAGTTATTTACCATTTTGTTTGAAAGGCGGGACAGAAGAAAAATGTGTAAACCTATTCGAGTCATGCAGTTGGAATCTGGTTACTCTGTTTAGATGTTCATGTCACAGAATCAGCTCAAGAATTTCTTGAGAAAAATAAAATAGGGTTCACTTCAAACAACACCTTCCACCTGCCTTCTGGAGTGCACTAGGCTTTTCAGAGGTACACTCAGCCTCACAGAATCACGTATCCATGATGGGCCAACTACACAGATAAAGTTCTCCTTCTTGGTAAGCTCCAGTCGCCGTTCAACTTTCTAAGACAGAATAAAATAAGTGAGAACCCATTCGTGTAAAGCTGAAATTTCACCAGGTGTCTTCAGCCAAAACCTCCGTAGAATTTAAAAATCAGTGAAGATGTGAGAGGGAAATCATTGCATCTATGTTAGAAATCTGGACTTGACTCAGAAGAAATTCCGTGTAACTCCATTGTATTCTAGTCATCCGATGAAGGAAAATTCAAACCAGCCACCGCCTTCAACATGTTTTTTATTTGTGTGTGATGTAGCTTCATCTGGTCCAGATTAAGGACCGCCACATATATATTGCTGACTTGAGTTTACTGCTGAACTTGGCCTAGCAGGCTGGTCACCCCAGGTCTTCTCTCGAAAACCAATGCTATGCCAAAGACAGCACCATGTATAAAACCACCTCCTACGCCCCATCAATCAACCAAATGTGCATTTTCACATGGAAGGTGCCTGCCTGCAAGGCCAGCAAATGACTTAAACCTTGGCAGGAAAGCCTCTCCTCTCTGTGATTGTCATTCTCAGACCTCCGAACTTGTCAAGGAGGCCAAGCATGGTGGCTCACACCTGTAATTCCAGCACTTTGGGAGGCTGAGGCAGGCAGATTGCTTAAGGTCAGGAGTTCGAGACTAGCCTCAGCAACATGGTGAAACCCCGACTCTACTAAAAATACAAAAAGTTAGCTGGGCATGGTGGCATAGGCCTATAATCCCAGCTACTCAGGAGGCTGAGGCACGAGAATTGCTTGAACCCGGGAGGCGGAGGTTGCAGTGAGCTGAGATCACACCACTGCTGGGTGACACAGTAAGACACTGTCTCAAAAAAAAAAAAAAAAAAAAAAAAAACTCACCAAGGGGGAATATACCCACCACAGGTCACCTTTGGAAAACAGCTCACACCTACCACATGGCTATGGGTTCAGGAAAATTCAGGGCCCTGCTGGCAGGGAAGACATCCCACACTAAGGAGCTGTATGCAACAGGCTCTCCCAATTGCCTGACATGAATGGTGATGCTGAGATTCTCTGGGCTGGGGTCTCTCCCCAGGAGATATGAAGATAACTATAACAACTTCTACCTCACGGGGTGTTGTACTTTCAATTAATGCCTGTACCATGCTTTGTGGTCCCTGAATTAAAGGCACTGTTTAATGAAAGCAAGAAAGCAGCTACCAGGGTAACTATCATGACTGCGTCTTGACCCCAAACACAGCACAGTTCAATTAATCATGTCCTGGAGGTTTTGTCTGGCTACTCTTGGTTCTTGGCTAGGACCAAGAACAGCACCTGCAGAGGCATATATTTTGTAATAACGGAAGTATGGATGCTGGCCAAGAGGAAGACACTGGCAAGAGGGGATCCAGCCTGAACAGGATTGAGAGGTGGCATCAAATATACATTTCTGCAAAGGCTGAGTGTCCAGTTTACCAATCTGTAAATGAGGTACACTAATTAAGAAAACAGGCTACACATGGTGGCTCACGCTTCTATCCCAGCACTTTGGGAGGCCAAGGCAGGAGGACTGCTTAAGCTCAGGAGTTCAAGACCAACCTGGGCAACATAGGGAGACGCCATCTCTACAAGAAATTTAAAAATTAGCTGGGCGTGATGGCACATGCTGTGGTCCCAGCTACTTGGGAGTTGAAGTGGGCGGATCAACTGAGCCCGGGAGACGGAGGTTGCAGTGAGCCATAATCGTATCACTGCACTCCAGCCTGGGCGACAGAACGAGATCCTGTCTCAAAAAGAAGGAAAACAAGGTAACTGCCTACAGGTCTGCAAGTCGGGAGCAGGTGACCAGCATCCCCAGAGAATGCCCTGCTCCCCACAGTGCGGGGCTCTCGGCTCACTGCCAAAGTCAGCGACCTCCAAAGAGGGCCCCAGAGATGTCTCCTTAAAGGCCCCACACAAGTTGGAGTGCTCTCCTGAGAGGGGGAAGGTGAATCAGAGGCCAAGTTACTACTGTTCCATGCTCAGCCTCTTTGGGAGTTGACTGGAGCCAGGGTTCCTCTGGCTCCTGGGAGTTGGGAAGTCAAGAAGCCAAATAGCAAGATGCCCTCCCCCCGACCTGGCACTTTCAAAAAACAGCCCTTCTCCATAGGCACTGCCAAGAAGCAAGCTGGCCTCTGCTCTACCCTTTTCACCCCCAAGGTGAGGGGATGACTGAAGACAAGTGGCCTCTCTGATTTCCGCTCAACAGTCACTTCCTCAGGGAAGCCGAGGCCCTTGACTAGCCATTACAAAGGTGGCACACACAGAGGACTGACTTTGTGGCAAGCAGGGGACTAAGCAGAAGTGGGAAACCAGACTGCCCCAAGTCTAGTCTCCAAACTGCCCCCCTTCCCCTTACATAACCTCATAGGAGCTACTTGACATCTAACCCTTAGTTTCCTCATCTGTAAAATGGAGACTGTAGCACCTGCCTCATAGGGTTTTCTACCATGTGTGGATCCAGTGAGCTATTGTAAGCACTTAGAAGATGGCCAGGCTAAGGCTGGGCACAGTGGCTTAAGCCTGTAATCCCAGCACTTTGGGAGTCCGAGGTAGGCGGATCACCTGAGGTCAGGAGTTCAAGACCAGCCTGACCAACAAGGAGAAACCCCGTCTCTATTGAAAATACAAAATTAGCTGGGCGTGGTGGCACATGTCTGTAATCCCGGCTACTTGGGAGGCTGAGACAGGAGAATTGCTTGAACCTGGGAGGCAGAGATTGTGGTGAGCCGAGATCACACCATTGCACTCCAGCCTGGGCAACAAGAGTGAAACTCTGTCTCAGAAAAAAAAAAAAAAAAAGAAGAAGAAGAAGAAGAAGAAGAAGAGGGCCAGGCTAGAATTGTCATCTTCTTCATAACAATGCTATGAAGTGGAGACTAATATGATCTCCACTCAGCAGATGGGAAAACTGAGGCACTGGGTGCTTAAGGAATTTGCTTAAGATGGAACAGCCAGGACGTGGTCTAACCTAAGCCGTCTAACTCCCTGCTCTGTGAAATCTAACCTTGTGCACGTCCCACAGCCTCTGTTTTACATCACTGAAGATGGCACTGAAACCTCACGTTTATTCATGCAATGCTCCACAAGGGCAGGGTCCGTGCTTGGTTTCACTCATTGTTGTCTTAGCACAGTGGAGGTGCTCTAAGAGTTTAAAAAAAGAGCAAATCCATCTTTCCATCCATCTAAGCTAGGGGTCCTTAACCCCCAGGCCACAGACACGTACCAGCCCATGGCCCGTTAGGAAACCGGATGCACAAGAAGTGAGCAGAGGGCAAGCAAGCATTACAGCCTGAGCTCCGCCTCCTGTCACATCAGCAGCGGCATTGGATTCTCACAGGAGGGCGAACCCTATTGTGAACTGTGCATGTGAGGGATCTAGGTTGTGCACTCCTTATGAGAACCTAACTAATGCCTGATGATCTGAGGTGGAACAGTTTCATCTGGAAACCACTACCCCCAACCCCTCGCATCCATGGAAAAACTGTCTTCCATGAAACAAGTCCCCGGTGCCAAAAAGGTTGGGGACCATTGATCTAAGCAACATGCTGGACAGATAAAACGAAACACTTATAAAGCTGGCAACCAGGCACAAGTGCGTACAGACCCCTTGGAAACAGATGCCAGCCCATCCTAAGCCTGCCCCAGACCTTTCAAGGACGCTTCCTCTGCCTTCTCTCCACCACTGACTGCTGCTCGACAGTACCCAACCTCTCTGCTTTCCTGGCCTGCCCTTATTTTTGTCTTGGGGCTGGAAAAAATCTGAACAGGCGAGCTGCTAACTTTTCTCCAGAAAACAACTTTCCCCAGCTATTTGTCAACTTCTGTCATTCAAAGGGATACAACACAAATGTATATCTTTAATGAAATTCACAGTCAAGGAAAGTTGTCATCATCTAGTTATATCTGTTATGACATACATTTCATTTTGTTCAATACATAACAGAGAAGCTATTTAATCAAACAGAAGATTCTTGCTAAAATGACAGTCCAAGCAATGTCCAAACAAGCGTTTATTATGCTATGCGAATCTGATCGGGATTGGATTGTTTTCAGCGGAATTTTTTTTTCCTTCCTCTTCCATTGAGAAAATAGCTTAGGGGGTGGGTGCAGAAAACAACACTGGACAATGGAGGCGGAGTCTGATGCTGACTCAGCGCTGAGTGCAGGGACGTGAGCCCCACCCCAGAGTTTACAGGGAGAAAGTAGAAAGATATATCCGACCATCGGGAAGGTCACAAAGAGCACTGCCTAGGGCAGGGGGTTGCATCTTCCCTCTCCTTACCATATAGTTCTACATGAGAGACGCAGGTACAAGCTCTAAACACAGACACATGCCAGGAATGATGACATCTGTGTTTCTCAAGTGATACTTATCCTTGGATACGTTTTGTTTGTCTTTACAATTTAATGAACACTTAGCTTCAATGGGAAAACTCATGTTACTGCAGGAGAATTTAGTGGGTTGGGGAGCCAGCCCAAGGCCAGAAAAACAAAAAGAAAAAAATGCTGAAGGAGGTGACTGGGTACTTGGGCTTTGGGCACCACAGATGTTGCGAGCTTGAGAAAAAGGAAACATTATTATATGTGTGTGTACGTGTGTGTGTATGTATGTGTATATAACAAACATACACGTATATATACATACACGTACATGCATACATACTTATGCCTATGCACATACATATATATACACATACATATATACATACACACACATATATACCTATATACCAGTAACGTTCAGAGGATGATAAATTTCTTCCTTCTGCTTCATTCACCACACAGTACCTGGAACGAAGTAGGATTTCAGCAAAGAATTGTTGGATGATTGGATGGGTAGATGGATGAAAAGACAAGTTAATAGAAGGATACATGGGTAGGTGGGTGGGTGGTGGACAAATGGAATCTCCCCAAAAAGAAATGACTGATGAAAATGATTTTAATACATTATTCTAAGACACGGCGGCCCTTTATCCAGGGACTTCCTCCTTACTATTGTTCAAGGTGTGTCCTCAGCCATGCCACGACAGCTCTTGTATTAAAGGAAGAAAACGTCTTTATAAGATAGTTGGGGGTAGCCTGTGGCTAAAAAAACTTTCCTTTTCCTGAGCCAGGTTAATTGGTCACCATGGCAACAATGACAAAGACTGCCAATTAGCCCAAAACTTTATATTACTATGCTAATCTTCTAAGTAAATGAGGGATGGTGGAGCCCAGTAATTCTCATACTGAAAGACTTGTTAAAACAAAGATCGTTGGATCTCCCTCTTTGAGTTTCTGATTCAGGAGGTCTGGAATAGGACCCATGAACGCACTTCTACCAAATTTCCAGATGATGCTGATGCTGCAGTACAGGGACCGTGCTTTGTGAGCCACCAATCCTGACAATCTACAAGGTTCCACAGATTCCAATATGTTACAAGTCTATTCATGATCTACCAAAACTCTTCTTAGCTGAATGGACTTGGAAAAGTAGATCCACCCTTATTTAAGGTACCATAAAGGGTCACAGCATTGTTAAATATAAGATCAAGATACCTGATCATTCCAACAGTCCTCATTAGGTGGGATTTTTAATCCTTGGAGAAGCAATGTTTTTTTTTTTCTTTCACATTCCTGTATTCATTTTTGGTGAGATAAAAATACCTGTCCAAACATTTGAAAAAATGAATTTCAAAAATTCAATCACGATATGATGACATAAATTGAACTCAGGAGTCTGTAAGAAATTTCCAAAGGGTCATCTAAGTCATTGCTTGGCTTCAAAAAGGATTTGCAAATCAGCCACCAAATGTCAATAAGTATGCCTGATTGACGTGAAGGTGAAGGACCCCAACATTTCTCCTTGGTGTGACTGTCCTGTTCCAGAGTCGGGCTACCTTGAAAGACTCTTGCCATGTTCTCACATCACACAGGGATCTCACCTGCTCTTCGACACGTGATACCTTTCTAATGTTAGGTCTCTGGAGAACAGCGGGGTGAACAGCCCCTTGCTTACAATTCCTTTTGTTATGTATAAAGACATTAAAACTCCCACCCACCCCCAAACCAGGCTTCTCCTCTATATGTTAAGTAGTTTCCATTCCTTTAACCGTTCTAAAAAGATCCCATTCACCACCCTTTCATCATTGCCATGGATCACCTCTACAGCCTTTCCCAAATCCCTACCCTTTCCTTGTTTTCCCCCTGGGGCCTGGACAAGTCACTGGCCGTGACTCTTTCATGGACTCTCATTAATACATCCTGAATCATGTGAGGCTTTTAAGAACAGCACTTCACTGCTGACACAAGCATCAGTGTGAAAGGAGAAGCACCAGACAACTCCACTTGACTGAAGATCTGAAAGAGAAAAACGAGCAGGACCACGTTGGCATGTGGGTGCTTGAGCAAGACACAAAAGATATCTCAGGAGTCACTCTCCTGAATGAGAATTTGGACCCAGGGATGTTTGAGGCCTGTCGAATACTTCCAACTCAGAGCAATTCCACCGGCGCTGGGTGTTGCCTTGTAAATGGCAATATCCAAATCAGAGAGGAAATGACAGTGCATTCCAAGCAAAATGGCACACATTTAGACTGACTAAGAAAATAACAATAAAAGTGCAAATTTATTCTGCATGTGTGATCATGATTATCATTACATCAAGTTCCATATATGCCCAGCCAGAATAAATATTAACCCATTTTATAAATGACTTTATACTGCATTTGTGGATACAGCTCCACCCAAACCCAAAACAACACTGTTTCCATAGTAACCAACAGATTTCAAAGAAGGAAAAAGGAGGGGAAGACTTCAGAACGGATAGCAATCAAATAAAATAGCCAGCATCAACAAAATATGTCAGCATTATTTAAAACACACAGGACCATTCTATAGTTTAATCTCTTTCCCAGAAAACCACCCCTTCTAAGTCACCTTCTTGTAAAGCCAGTCTTCCCTCAAACAAACAGTTGCAAAATTGTTTCCATTTTAATTGAGGAAAGAAGCAAATTTCTTGAGTCATTCCTGGGATCCAAATGGGAGTATGATGAAGAAAATAACATCTACTAAGTGACTTAGCCCACACAGAAATTCACATGGATTACCAACTGGTAATTATGAAATCTTAGCTGGGCTTTGATGATCATATTAGAGTGTCCATTTCCTTGCTGAATGTAATGAGGGAGGAAAAGAAGCAAAAGCCAAAATGGAAAGCCAGGGAGCTAAAAACCGTAAAAGCTGCAGACCACCCTCAACTGAAAGCCCGATTTTTCACTGGAACTTTCTCAAATATCAGTTCCCCCCCAGTGAATTTTGCACACAGATGATGTGCAGTAGCTCTCCACATCCCTGCAAGTTCTTTGGTCTTATGCCTATAGATAAAATTCAAAGCAACACCTATAGGCAGCATCCTGTCTGTAGGACAGAAATGGCCTCATGTGGGGTAATCTATGAACTCTAAAAACTCACAGCCCTGGTGATCTCTCTCTCCTCTCGCTTTCCAACTGCCTCCTGATTTCAAAATATTGCAGATAAAATAAAATAAAATATTAATAAAATAAAATTAATAAAAATAAAATATTCATAAAACATAAAAAAGGAATTTTGAGTCTCTAGCTCCTACTGTCCTTTGGAAAGAAGTTCTAAAGTAATTTATTAATGTGTTCTCTCCTACATTCTAGCTGTGTGACCGTGGGTAAGTTATTTAACATCTCCTTAACCTTCCTGAGCCTGTTTCTTCATCTGTAAAACAGGAATAATAACAGTATCTACCACATAGAGTTGTTATACAGATAAAATCAGTTAATTTGTACAAAGAGCTTAGTGGAATACCTAATACACAGCTAAGAGAATGTGTGTTACTATTATTGTTGTTATTCATAAGTAATTCTTCTTTCTTAATGACTTGAGTCAAATCCTAATGGCTTTCCTTAAAAAACAACGTTTGAGGCCGGTGCGGTGGCTCACGCCTTTAATCCCAGCACTTTGGGAGGCTGAGGAGGGCAGATTGCCTGAGCTCAGGAGTTCAAGACCAGTCTGGGCAACATGGTGAACCGCGTCTCCACCAAAAATACAAAAAATTAGCCAGACGTGGTGTGCGCTCCTGTAGTCCCAGCTATTTGGGAGGCTGAGGCACGAGAATTGCTTGAACCCGGAGGCAGAGGTTGCAATGAGCAGATATCACACCACTGCCCTCCAGCCTGGGCAACAGAGCAACACTTCTGTCTCCAGAAAAAAAGAAAAGAAAAGAAAAGAAAACACTGAATATTGCAGAGAGAAATACTGCTGAACTAGGAGATCTCATAAACTTCAACTATTCAGTGTATCAACTAGTCTTGAATGGCATAAGCTTCTGAGACAGACAGAACTGGATTTGAATGGTACTTGCACCCACGTGACCATGAGTCTGTGCCTTAACCTTCCTAAGCCTCAGCTTCCTACCTCTACAATGGGAGCAGTTAGAGAGTGACCACCTAAAGACTTGTGGCAAGGGTAAGTGGGATAATCCCTGTATAGCATTTCACAAAGAATCTGCTACATTAAATATTAAATACATGTTCACCATTATTATTCTGTTTCCTTGCTTGGACAAAACATTGATTCAACAACTATTTACTGCATCCTACTGTGTGCTAGATGGTTACAAAAATTGACATGGTCTGTGCTCTTATGAGGTTTACACCCCAAAGGGGAAAAGTTTACATTGAATAAACATACACAAATACACATATTTAATTATATATATAAATTATATAGTATAATAAGTACACTTTTATGTTTATTATATGTTATAGTAAACATACACCAAAAATTAATTATATGTATATAATTATAAACTTTGACAAGTGTTATAAAGGAAAAGAACAGGGCGAAATAACTGAGGTTTGTCAATGGGAATATTAGGTCACACTTTTCAGATTTTTCTACTGTACCCAATATAACACAAAAATGGTATATCCCACCAATAATCACCCAGAGTACAAACGAATGTTTTGAGTATACACCTTCTAGTCATTCCACAAAGGATTCAAAACAACTGCAGGGCCTTCCTTTTAGGCAAAACTATAACAATGTTCCATTCTTTTCAACTCAGATGGAACACAGGCTAAGTTTACGTTTATAGCGGACATGCAAATTGAATACTCAAGTGATAGAAAAGAAAAAAAAAGGTAGAAATGAGACAGTCCACCCTGAAAGCCATACCTTCAAGGACCCCACATGTTTTGTTACTGTGTCACTTTATGAATCACCAATATCTTAAGAATCATATAATCCTGGAATACAGCGGCAGCTTTACCACGTTCCCAGGTGAATAAAATGATAACTCCATGTTCTGATGATTCAAAGTGGTTCCATCTGAGCAGACCAAGAAAGACCCGGCAGCATAACACCAGGTGACTCCCAGGTTTAAAGATTTATCTGAATTTGTTCTACAGCCCTACTGGGAGAGGTTCCCTGTACTTCTTCCTCCAGTTTGCCTAATGGTAGAAGATGGCCAAATGTAATTACATTTACATTTTATTATGAAGTCAGTGAGTCACTAAAAGTCGATGCTAGAAGGTACGTTTTATAGTTTTTCATTATGTTTTGTGTGCTTCATTGCCTTTAGGGTCATATTTTTGTTGGGGGAGGAGTTATAAGTAAGGAATTCTTATTTTGCAGAGGACATACCTTTTTGTCAGGGTGTTTGTTTTTACCTCCTCAGGACCACTCTCACCCTGGATTATGTGAATTCCCCTATTTAACTGTGTTCCATCATTCTTGGTAAGGAATAAAGATTTAGACTTTCAAGACAGAAGGTACAGAACTGTTCATACCCAATAAACACTCGACACAAACCATACAAAAATGATTGACCAAAAAATGAAAAATCTTATGGGTCCGAGAGGATTCAGTAGAAGTTCTGAAAATATGTAAAATCATACTTTTCCTTTTTTTTTTTCTATGCTACATTTTAAATTACATTCTTCAAGTCATATTTTGGGTGTCGGTTCCACTTGCTCTGATACACGCTATTTCACTTCAATGAAGTAAATGATGCCAACCCTGAGGGAAGACCTCTTCTTATTCTGCCCAGCATCTGGGACTTTGAAACCAGCCCAGAACTCCAACAGGAAACCCCAGTCCAGAAAACAAATAATAAAGAGAATCCAAGCTCCCATTTTACTCCTAACAAGGCATTTTGTTAATTTTAACTATTCTAGTCCATAAGAGAAGTAGATTAGAATAATGGAAACGCTAGTTGGTTTTTCCCCCAAAGTGAGAACAGAGAAAACTAGTCTACATATTAACCCCACTTATTCAAACTCCCCAAGATATGTCTAGCTCTGCAGCTGCCATTTATGGTGTGCTCCAACCACATGCAGGCATTGCACTCCAGGGCACCTTCAATTAGTTAGTCCTTATGATGACACAGTAAGAGGGATTTTTTTAAATTTCAACTTCTCAGATGGGGAACCAAGGCTCAGTATGGCAAAATAACTTATGAAAGGGCCAGACAGCTAAAAAATAACTGAACTAAGATTTGAACACATAGCCTAGCACTAGAGCCTGTGTCTGTAACCACTACACTCCATTAGACAAACACTGGTCTCCATTTTAGGTAACAGAATAACATCACGTGCATAGCTCATTTAATCTCACAGGAGCTCTCTGTGGAGTATACTATTATTTAACAGAGGAAGATAAAAAGAGATGCAACTGGATGGAATAATTTACCTAGGTACATACAGCTAGGAAATGGCAGAACTAGGATTTTAAGTGAGACCCTAAATTGTGGGTCAGCAAACATTCTCCAGTACTATGGCCCAATATGCTCCCCTGAAATACACTCCACCTTTGGGCTGGTAGATAGGATCGATGTGAAAAAAAATGAAGGAACTGAGAGGAAGAAACAAAAATTTCCAACATTAGATCTTATTCAGAAGTGGCTCCCCTCATGTCATATGTCCTTCCTCTAAGCATTGTCAAAATATTGTCCCAAAATTTTGTGTATAGCCTTCTCACAAGTAACAAAGTGGCAGGAAAAACCACCTATAACCCAAGGACCTGTTCTACAATGAAATGGCAGAGTCATAGATACAACTGATGTATAACTGCCCGCCACCTCCCCGCCACCACCCGCAAATGAAAGAAAGAGAACAAAAGGAAACCAAATCAAATGTCCAACAGAAGGAACATAGTTAACCAAATTATGGTTTAAACTGGTGATCCTCAATTGGGAGTTAGAAGGGGGTTGATATTAGGAGCTGTGTGGGAGCATTTTTGGTTGTCACAACGACCTGGGAGGCATCCTGCAAAATAAATACCCTGCAAGCTATGACACACACAAAAAGAACTGTTACATCTCTAATAGTGATGACGTCCTCATGGAGAAAGACAGTAATTAATTATGAAGCCCTACATGGGTGGGACATGTCACCTGAAAGATACTGAACATGCCCTGGCACAGAGTAGGCACCTAATAATATCTGTGTAATGACTGGATGATCTATTACACCGTTCATAAAAGATAATATGGCAATATGAAAATAGTTACGTTAGGAAAAGAAAGTAGGATAAAAAGTTATAAGCACAAGATAATTGCAACTATATATTTATTTAAATTCCAAAAAAGACTAGAAGGAAATACACTTAGATGTTTTATTGTTTCACAATAGCACGAGAATTAGTGGCTTTTCTCTCTGTGGCTTAAGCATAGTATAATTGATCATGAAACAGTAAAAAACCTAAACCACATTTAACTGGCCAAAAGAGGACTAGAAAAGAAGAGTAGAGTGCAACCACTCCTGAATAAATGTGATCAAGAGAAAAGAACAAGAAGGTTTTTGAAGAAAGATAAATTATGACTGTCACCTGGGTATTTCTAGACAGATTTCTGACCCTCATCTCCAAATTCTGAGTACCCTAGTTCAGGGGTCCCCAGTCCCCGGGCCACAGACTGGTTTCCGTGGCCTGTTAGAAGCCAGGCTGCACAGCAGGAGGTCAGCGTCAGGCAAGCAAGTGAAGCTTCATCTGTGTTTACAGCCGCTGCCCACAGCTCACATCACCACCTGAGCTCTGCCTCCTGTCACATAAGCAGTGGCATTAGCTTCTCATAGAAGCGTAAACCCTATTGTGAACTGCACATGTGAGGGATCAAAGTTGTGCACTCCTTATGAGAATCTAATGCCTGATGATCTGTCACTGTCTCCCATCAACCCCAGATGGGACCATCTAGTTGCAGGAAAACAAGCTCAGGGCTCCCACTGATTCTATATTATGGTGAGTTGTATAATTACTTCATTATATAATACAAGGTAATAATAATGAAAATAAAGTGCAGAATAAATGTTATGTGCTTGAATCATCCTGAAACCATCCCCTCCTCTGGTCCATGGAAAAACCGTCTCCCATGATTCTGGTCCCTGGTGCCAACAAGGCTGGAGAACTGCTGTAGTTTACAGGCCCTGCCCACTGAAGCCTTCCTCATGGAGTTTCCCATCTCTGTTATGCACACTGCCATCCGCTGTGTCAGGCAAGCTCAAGTCTGAAGTCATGATTTTCTCTTCTCCATCCTATGGCTCCCACCTGCAGGCAGCCCTCACATCCTCTCAGCCCTCACTACAATTCCTATTCCATCTCACCTTCCCCCCTGCTTCTATTTCCAATGCCATCCCCCAACCCAAGACCCTCCCTCTCTCCTGGATGCTAACCCCATGCCGTCCTATAATTTCCTATCATGTGCAAGGAACACCCAAGCATTTTTATTAAGCAGGCTAAGATGCTCAAACTCCACGATTAAAATGCTCAGTGGAAGAAGGAGCAACTATAATTTTTTAAGAAGTAATGATTAGCACAGAAAATACGTTTGGTCTCAAATATTCCCACCAAAATATACCTCCATGGCAATCGGGGAAAGGGAGAGGGTGGTAAATGTCAACCCATGAGAAAGGAAGGGTCTGGAGGCACAAATCAAAGGGGACCTAAGTAGGCAGGAAGTATCACTGAAAACCTTCAAAATCTTGCATTATACAACAGCATTAATTTGGCCATTTAAAATGTAAAAATGGGCCAGGCGCAGTGACTCACGCCTGTAATCCCAGCACTTTGGGAGGGTGAGGTGGGCAGATCACTTGAGGTCAGGAGTTCGAGACCAGCCTGGCCAACATGGTGAAACTCCATCTCTACTAATAATACAAAAATTAGCTGGTGTGGTGCTGTGCACCTGTAATCCCAGCTACTCAGGAGGCTGAAGTAGGAGAATCGATTGAACCCGGGAGGCGGAGGTTGCAGTGAGCTGAGATTGTGCCACTGCACTCTAGCCTGGGAGAAAGAACAAGACTCCACCTCAAAAAATAAAAATAAAAATAAAATATAAAAATGATGTATTTTCCTACTAAACTCTTCAAGGGAAAAAAAAAAAAAAAACCTCTTCATGGAGATCCACCAGAATAAATTATTCTATGATTTGGGGATACCTTTACCACGTCAATGGGGTGCTAATGGTATACACATTCTGGTATGAAATGCACAAGTCTACATGACAAAGTAGAACACAACCTCAAGAAAGCAGATTATCCGATAGCATTCAAAGTGAAACATCACTAGTGTGTTAAGTGACTCTTCAACTAGATATGTCAGTAAATGGTCCACACAATGGAAATGACTGAAAGTGGTTTTCTCCCAATCAGGTTATAATCCATGAGGGAATCTTTATGGATGTGTTGTGTTTATAGTGGATGAAAGGAATTAATTTAGAAAGAAATCTATCTCATATTTTCTTTTTTAAATATAAATTCATCAAGTTCTTTTTTTTTTTTTTGTTTTGTTTTTGAGCAATGGTTAAACCAAACTAGTCTGAGCCATAATTTGGTTAACTATTTTCCTTCTGTTGGATATTTCTTCTGGTTTCCTTTCATTCTCTTTCTTTCTTTCATTTGATGGTGGATGGAGAGGTGGTGTGCAGTTACACATCAGTTATGTCTACGACTGCCATTTCATTGCAGAATGAGTCCTCGGGTTATGGGTAAAATTTCATGCCATTTTGTTATTGCAATGGCGCGATCTCAGCTCACTGCAACCTCCACCTCCCAGGTTCAAGCGATTCTCCGGCCTCAGCCTCCTGAGGAGCTGGGATTACAGGCACCCGCCATCATGCCCAGCTAATTTTTTTTTTTTTTTTTTTGTATTTTTGTACAGATGGGGTTTCACCTTGTTGGCCAGGCTGGTCTCAAACTCCTGGCGTCACGTGATCTGCCCACCTTGGCCTCCCAAAGTGCTGGGATTACAGGTGTGAGCCACTGCGCCGGGCCGCATTGATGGTTTTCTTTAATGTGTTTGTTCTTAAATTATGTTTCCTGTCCTTTGGTCTTATTTGCAGCTTAATAATAACTGATTAGGTCTATGACATTCCCCAAGAACCTTAAGCTTTAATAATCTGTTTCATTAAGAAATTACTCATCTGAAGGAAACTTATTGACATTTATCTCATTCTCCCTCTTGCTCTTGTTAAGAGACACCTTTGGTTTTCAGAGACAAATAAGAAAAGGTGAGGGCCTTTATGTATCACCAGAGCCTTGAGCTAGTGTTGCAGATACAGCTTTCTTCCTGCCTGGCTGGTTTCCGCCATCTTTCTTTCTGTAGCAACAGGTGCACAATGAGGTGTGACACAGCGCCCCCCAGAAGATCCACCAAAAGCAGCACACAATGCTGCAGGCCTCCCAACCACCTAGCAAGTAGAAAAGTTCAAGGTGCTGGAAGTGTCCCATTCTAGGCAGATGCTCAAATTCTGAACACTTAAATCCCTTTGCATTTCCATAGAATTCTTTCATCTCCATGTAGGGCTCCAATGAGCCTCCAGAAACTGTAAAACTCTCGTAATCAAATGCAATTGAAGCATCATAAAATGAAAAGTCTGGGAATTATGTGTAGGTTGCCATGACTTAACTCATTGTTCTCATTTCCTTAATAAAATATATTTTTAAATAGCTCTCTATTATTTATAGCAAAAAGTAAAAATATAAAATTTTTGATTCAAATAATTACATAGGTAAGCTCGACAAAAGCAATTCTGAACTGTATAAAACCATACAACATAGAGTTAGCAAACATTTCTAACCCTTGATTTCTATTTCTCTTATGATGTTGAGCCTTGCATTCATAATGCTAGATTGAATATTAGTGCTACATCCAACTAAGGTAACCATGACACCTACAAAATACACACAAGCAATGCACATGACTGAAATCCTGTCAGATTATTCAAGTGACAATGGAAAAGAATATTACAAGGTAATTTCTAATATTGAAGATTTGTATGCATACATGAAGTACCAACTGAAATAGATCTTCAGAATGAAATTTCCTAAAATGATTAAAGTAAAATGTGAAACCTCACAGTTTATACAAGACAAGAAACATTTGGCTGCAAATCGTTTTATAATTTTGCTAATTAAAAATTATCCCATTTTCACTTTGGATTCATTATAACAGAAACAGGAATAACCTTACCATGCCAGAAACACAAGCAAATGGTTAAAGTTCTACTCTCAAAAAAATCTTTAAAAGTTGGCAAAACATTCATTAGGCTACAAATCAAAACCCGTCTGTCCTTGACATCTCTTTAATGTCTTCCAGATTCCACATCTTCTTTTTTAATCACTCGCTGAATCACTCAAAAATTAAAATATGTTAAAATACCACCTATCTTGGACCTCTAGAAAAGTCCTCTGATAGAATACAACCTTCAGCCCCCTACATAAGCCATGGATCCGTAATACCACCATCTGATTTATGTAAAGTATTCATTATATTTCACAATGAGAAAAAAATATTCCCAGGATCATGCCTGCATCAATAAATCTGCTACATGTGAAGAATATGAATAAATACTAAAAAGGGGCCACCATGAACTCTCTCTTGTGAAGTTTGCCAAGTAGAAATGGGTACAACTATGAGTAAAAATAAAAATCATTTTCAAGCTTCCAAGGTGTTACCAACAAAATATGCTTAAAAAAAGAAGAATGAGAGTGGCAAGGAGGTTGACTGATGAACAAGTATTTCTCTGCAAAGCTAATGAAGGCAATGTTTACAGCCTGCACTTATTTATTTATGCTTCTCTTCCCTGAGCCCTCCATGCGCCATGGGAGTCAGTATGCATTAATGGCACTGAAAACCAGAGAACCTTCCAACTGCAAGTTACAGTAGTCACTGTGTCAGTGGAAACAATGAATCACAGACATTCAACCTGGGATGAGTTGTGGCAGCACCTTACATGTGTCACCAATGTGTCGTGTGACATGGCTGTTGCCATGGTGAGGCACCATGTTCAGGAAATGTGTTAAGTCTCATAGAAGGCACCCAGCCATCCCTCAAGATACCCATGCCCAGTAACATTGTGATTGGCTTCCTCTCTGAGAATCTTGTTGAAAGGAGGGGGGGAGGGAAAGTCACTTGGAGAAAGCTGAAAGAAAATGAAGTACACCATCCCCAGTGTTGTGTGTGTGGGCTCTGGCACATTGAGAATAGCAGTATCTTTAACTCAAAATTAGCTTGAATAGTTTCAATGGAATAAAAGCAGACTATCCCAAAAGGGGGAGGGGGTAACTTTTACGTCACTTGCACAATTTATATGCATTAAAACAAAGGATAGGGCTGGGCGTGGTGGTCACACCTGTAATCCCAGCACTCTGGGACTGGGGAGTTACCACCTTTACTTCTACACAGTTACCTGGCTTAAAATGAAGAAAAGCCTATTCCAGCATACTAAAGTTTCAAGAGACAATTTATAATTCTTTATGTGCCAGCTTCTCAGATTTAGAATTTAGGAAGTAGGTTAAGAACAGTCACTGTTTCGTTTCCAAATGATGGAGATAGGTTTGTCAAAAAGAAGTACCCTTAAGTGAATTATATCTAAATGTGGACACATCAATAAAATATATCTCTATGACTATTGGGGCAGGTGGATCACCTGAGGTCAGGAGTTCAAGACCATCCTGACCAACATGTTGAAACTCCGTCTCTACTAAAAATACAAAAATTAGCCAGGCGTGGTGGCGGACGCCTGTAATCCCAGCTACTCAGGAGGCTGAGGCAGGAGAATCACTTGAACCCAGGAGGTGGAGGCTGCAATGAGCTGAGATCACACCATTGTGCTCCAGCCTCGGAAACAAGAGCAAAACATCATCTCAAAAAAAAAAAAAAGAAAAGAAAAGAAAAGAAAAAAAAAGATAAAGCAAAAGACCATAAACTACATCATTTCTTGGGTAGACAGAACAGAAAAATTATAAGGATTAAGGACACATGAACAACTAATCTTGGTTATGTTTACCAAAAAATCCTCCTCTTGAGCTTTTCTAACCGAAGTCTCCAACTTTACCCTACCACTGCTTTCATCATCTGGAAATAGAAATAAAAACAGAAACAGGCTGGGTACGGTGGCTCACGCCTGTAATCCCAGCACTTTGGGAGGATTAGGCAGGCAGATCACGAGGTCAGGAGTTCGACACCAGCCTGACCAACATGGGGAAACCCTGTCTCTACTAAAAATACAAAAATTAGCTGGGCGTGGTGCCACGCACCTGTAATCCCAGCTACTCAGGAGGCTAACGCAGAAGAATTGGTTGACCCCGGGAGGCAGAGTAAGAGAAGATCGCGCCACTGCACTCTAGCCTGGGTGACAAAGCAAGACTCTGTCTCAAGAAAACAAACAAACAAACAAACAAAAAACCCCAAAACTAAACAGGAACAGACTCGTGATCATGAAGCTTAAATGATCTACTGCAACCAAAGGACTGAGCCGAGTGTCTGGCACACAGTATGCTGCTACTGCAGGTACTAGAACTGGAATTACCACCTTTACTTCTACACAGTTACCTGGCTTGAAATGAAGAAAAGCCTATTCCAGCATACTAAAGTTTCAAGAGACAATTTATAATTCTTTATGTGCCAGCTTCTCAGATTTCGAATTTAGGAAGTAGGTTAAGAACAGTCACAATGTTTCGTTCCCAAATGATGGAGATAGTTTTGTCAAAAAGAAGTGCCCTTAAGTGAATTATATCTAAATGTGGACACATCAATAAAACATATCTCTATGACTATTGGTGCTGTGGGAAACAATGCACATGGTCACAGGGCACTCAAAATTGAAGCAAAAGACGAACAGCTGAAGGAGCAAGAGATTTTTAGCCTGGAGTGGGCTCAAGAAGATCTGCTAACTCTCCTCAAATCTTTCATAGCTTGTCAAGTAGAAGAGATGGGTTTTCTAGAATCCCAAGGTACCAAACCAGAGTGGGAAGCCCATGCATGGTAGATTTGAGTCCAGTGTAAGAAAGAACTTCCTAGCCCTAACAGCTGGCCACACATATATCGGTCTTTCCCAAGGATAGAAATTCACCATCTCTCAGGTTGTTCAAATGCAGTGTGGATGTTCATGTAGTGGTAATTAGGCCTCAAACACTGAGGCACAAGGTATAAGGAAGGGCAGGCAATATCCTTCATTCTTTTTTTGAGCACAGAATGTCTGTCTTTGAATGTGCATGACATATATCACTACAATACATTGATAGATACACATACATATATATACAAAAAAGTTCACATCCTAGAGAAATGAGGGCAACTTTGCTGTAATGATCACAAACCAAATATTTTGCTTAGGACAAACTTTGGGGCTAACAGCTGGCTGTAATTTACAAAAATTTACCATGTGCTAACTCTTTTCTAATGCTTTATGTGTGTTAACTCATTTAAATCCCACGATCACCTATGAGTTAGGTACTATTATTTTAAAGGTGAGGAAACTGAGGCACAGAGAGATATGACCTACCCAAGATTATACTGTTGGTAGGTGGCAGAACCAGGATTAAAGCCCAAATTGTCTGGCCAACATCCTGTATGCTTATTACCACATGTAGATGTTCACTACATATCAAAGGTTCTACATCTTAACTTGGATCCTGGAATGCATTTATTTTTCACTTAACAAAAAAGATAATTTACAAAGCTTTCAGCACAAGCCTATCTTTGTTGTCTCCTCTCTCCCACTTCCTACCTTTTTTATTACAAAGGACATTTATGTGAAATCATGATATTTGCATCTTAGTCAGTCGTCTTTTCTGAATGTTTATTCCCCAACCCCAAAAACAATACTTTGGTTCATAAATTCTGACTTGGTGACAATCAGAAACTTTTTCTCTTTCATATTCAAGTCAGTTTTATCATGATACTTGATAAAGAAATATTCCTCTAGATTATTCTTACCTTTCTTGAGAAACACCCATTTCATTTCTACTTCTTGGTGGGGCTTCCACCATCCCTTACTCTAAAGGCGCCTTGAGAATAATGCCCACAAACCTTCTTCGCACACCTTTTCTCACTCGATGCTATTTTCTACCTAGGCCTCCGTTTTATGAAAACGCCCCACTCCACAAATTCACTCTTCCCCATGTTTCCCCTGCCCTGACTTCCTCCACCTGTTTACGACACAAAAGATTTAAATCTCCAGCAAAGAGAGGAGGGAGGATTTGCAGCATCTTCTCTCCAGAGTGTTCACATGCACATCTGATCACTCTTGTCCTCCAGAGATTTCTTCAGACGCAATCAGCTGACACGCACATGTCGCCTGCTGTCTTCCCTCATGATAAATTAAGGAACATTTAGAAGAAAAGTTCCTACTTCTAATCCTTCAATACCACCTCTAAGGGCTTTGCTGCACCCAGGTACCACTTGCACAGTAATCTTTATAGTTTTCCTTAAGCTTCTCACATTTTTATTAATGTCATAATTAGCAATATCATCTGAGAAGCCAGACTTGAAGTGCTAAGTTTATTTTTTGCTACAAATTAATATATAACACTATTAAAAATAATACATAACCTTTTTTTTTTTTTTTTTTTGAGACGGAGTCTTGCTCAGTCGCCCAGGCTGGAGTACAATGGTGAGGTCTCAGCTCACTGCAACCTCGGCCTCCTGGGTTCAAGCAATTCTCCGGCCTCAGCAGTAACAGGGATTACAGTTAGGGTAACTGGGATTACCAAGTAACTGGGATTACAGCTGTGCGCCACCATGCCCAGCTGATTTTTTATTTTTAGTAGAGACGGGGTTTCACCATGTTGACCAGGCTGGTCTGGAACTCCTGACCTCAGGTGATCCAACCACCTTGGCCTACCAAAGTGCTGGGATTACAGGCGTCTGCCACCACACCTGGCCTAATAATACATAACTTTAAAATTTTTTTTTAAATTTTCTGTCTTGCAGAAAATTCACCTTAAATTCCTCCACTAGTGAGATATACAACACATTTTAATAACACTGGTTAGGAAGAGACTATAGTTCTTATGTCACTTTTTTTTTTTTTTAGACCAACGTCTGGCTCTGTCACCCAGGCTTGATGCAGTGTAGTGGCATGATCTCAGCTCATGGCAACCTCCACCTCCAGGATTCAAACTATCCCCCCCACCTCAGCCTCCCATGTAGCTGGGACTACAGGTGCAAGCTACCACATCCGGCTAATTTTTTTTCTTATTTTTTGTAGAGATGGGGTCTCACTATGTTGCCCAGGCTGATCTCGAACTCCTGAGCTCAAGCAATCCACCCATCTGGTCTCCCAAAGTGCTGGGATTACAGGTGTGAGCCACCACGCCCAGCCTTACGTCACTTTTCAAAGTCTACTTTTCTTCTTTGACTTGTCTTCCCTTTTCATTTCACTCTTCACCTTGAACCTCATTTTTACATCTAGATATATTTTTGTCTTTTATTAAGTAAAGGAAGGACCTCACTAAATTGTACTCTAAATCAATAATTATGCAGAACAGCCTGTCTCAAGATAAGCATTAAATAAAAACTGATGACATTATTATTTCATCAGAAACCGAAGAGCAAGTGAGCGAGCAGAAACACCAGAGAGCGGGAACAAAGGGCCGGTCCTCGCCACTACTTCCCAATCTTCTTCCAGACTGGGGCTTGGCAAACTATAGGCGCGTGGGCCACATCCAACCTGCCACCAGTGAGCTAGTTTTTACTCTTAAAGGGCTGGGGGAAAATGAAAATCCTACTACTACTTAGTGACACATGAAAATCATGTGAAATTCTAATTTCGGCGTCTGTAAATAAATTGTACTGGAACACAGCCACACCCCTTCATTTACATACCATCCATGGCTGCTTAGAGGGGACAAAGGTAAATAGTTGTAACAGACCAGGTGGCTTGCAAAGCCTAAAATGTTTACTATCTGGCTCTTTACAGAAAAGATTCGCTGATCCCTGTTACAGGCAGAAATTAGACTGAGCCTCCCACCATCACACACATACACGAACTTTTTTTTAATTACAAAAGTTTTCCTAAAAACACAGTAGTAAAAAAAAATAAAAATAAATAAAAATTTGAAAAAAGAACAGAAGGAACCTACCTCCATATTAGGACCACCATTAAAAGCTCATTTTTTTGTAACCGGGGCAACGACTAGAAGCACAGACACCCACCTATTGGCCTCATTATCCACCAGCTCGAATTTTGGTTCCCCTAATTTCTCATGCAATTCTGCAGAATATTAACCATCCTAAGAGTAAACTACCCTGATACCTTTTTAAAGCAGCAACATTATTAACAATTAAAAAGCTGCCACCACACATACACAATAACTTTCTTATATTTTAATATGCATATCCATAGTCTGATTATAACAGCGTGGAGAGATTGACAGGAAATGACTGAGTGTAATGGCTCCAAAGGAGACAGTACATTGATCAGTAAATAATACACGTCCCTTGAAACTGTCTAACTGCATATTTACACTTGTCAACTCTCATACACTTTGATGACAGAATTCTTTTTCAAACATCTAAGTAAAAACTCTAATACTTATTTTTAAAATGCTTTTAATAATCACAAAAAGCATACTTCAAGGATATGTAAGGTTTAAATTTCACCCACCAAATAGTGCCACCTGGAGCATTCATTGCTACATCCTCAATATTCTTGGTTTTATCAGGAAATTGGCAAAGTCTCAAAAAGGTTCAAATACAGTTACAAGCAGCATATATCTAACATTTGCAAGGTGTCAAGCACTGTATTAAGGACTTTTCACAGCCAATAGTGTGGATGACACCACTGTCCCCATTTGGCAGAAGAGAAAACTGAGGCTTGGAAGGAGTTGTGACATGGTCGGGGTTACGGTATTATTGAGTCCTGGGGCCAGGACCTGAGGCTATCCACTCAACTTCAGAGACCACACTCTCCCTAACCAGTCTAAGGGCCTGTGTCTCAGTGTGGGCCCGAAAGTCTGTATTTAATGCGCTTCCCAGGCAGTGCTGAGATGACACTTTGAAAAACACAAAACGTGGAGGTAAAGAAGAAAATCTGATGGGCCCTAAATTCAGGTCTCCTCTACAGCCCTCCAAACACTGCCCGTAGGAAGATTACAGATAAAAATCTATAACACACGTATTATAGCCCTTGGCATGTCATACATACTCAACTATGACAACTGCCATCATTTTATAAGTTACTTGGGGACTGCTGGTATGTCAGGTTAAAGACATTGTATCTGTATTGTCCAGTAAATTACTCCTGGACAAAATGGGCTGATGAGGTCAGCATCTCCTTGCCCTAAGACCCCATATCAATTAAATTATACTGGCAGCTGAGGGCCAGCAGGTGTTGGGTAGAGGACAGGGGTGCAGAGGCCTGGTTCTATCCTGCCTGTGATTGGTTTATCAACGACTAGATTAGACAGTGAGCTAGATAAGCCTCTCATCTCCCCAATATCCCTTTTATACAATAAAAGTGGTCAAAAATATTTAAAAGTAGAGAAAATAGTAAACCCCCTTATATCCATCACCTAGATTCTAGATTTATCAAGCTTCTGCCCCAACATTTTTTCTTATTTTCTGAAGATTCATAAAGGAACTTGCAACTGACATGTCATTTCACTCTTAGATAATTCAATATGCAACTTTTTAAAACAGGGAGAAAAAAGTTCCCTGAATAATAACTGAGGCTGGAAGCGATGGCTCACGCCTGTAATCCCAGCACTTTGGGAGGCCAAGGCGGGCAGATCACCTGAGGTCAGGAGTTCAAGACCAGCCTGGCCAACATGGTGAAACCCCATCTCTACTAAAAATACAAAAATTAGCCAGGTGTGATGGCGTGTACCTTTAATCCCAGCTACTAGGGAGGCTGAGGCAGGAGAATCGCTTGAACCTGGGAGGCAGAGGTTGCAGTGAGCCAAGATCATACCACATACCACTCCACTCCAGCTTAGACAACAAAGAGACTCCATCAAAAAAAAAAAAAAAAGAACCACAGAAATAATGCAGTGTTGAATCCAGTGGCATGACTCTGGGGAGATTTTTTTCAACTGAGGAAAAAGCCAGGAGGTGAGGAATATTTTGGAGAAAATTTTTGGAGGAAGCCATTCCCTTTTACATTGCTGCCTCTATAAAAATCTTGCAGATGAAGCTGCTGTTTTAAATAAGTCAGATTCCACCTCTTTCACAAAGACAAGTATAAACTACAAAATCTTCTCTGCCTAAATCAAAAAGACCTTAAAGAACCACGGAATCTATTCAAAGATGAGGAAGTAGCATGTCCTCATGGTTAAGACAAAGGTTTTGAAATTGGCCCAACTTGGAATAAAACCCACTTCTCACTCTTGCTATGCAATTCTGAGCAGGTGACTTATGCACTAACCTTCTCTCTTCTCAACATTAAAACCAGAATAATACCTAGAACACAGAGATGTTGTTAAGGTTCAATAAGATAAGCAAGGTGATACTTGAACCAACATAGGAAAAGTAAGTGCCTGATGAATAGCTCTCTAATTATTTGTTATAAATATTACTAAAATCTGATCGAATACAGAAGGAATAAAAAGATTTTATCTCATGAGCCTATTCCAATCCATTGGATGGTGCTACATAGAATATCTGTAGGGAAAAATCCAAAAGCCACCATCAGAACAGGCCTGCTGTTTCGGGGGCCTGCTGATTTTGTCACCCTTAATCAAAGTCAACCGTATCATCCTATTATTACGGGCCAAGAGGGTAACAATTCACGTGTTCACCACAGTCACTCTTCCGCACTCTGCTTTTCATGACCAAAAGAAATAATAATATGCAACATATTGAAATAAAATTAAAATGTACATTAGCTAAATGATAGCTTATATGTACTAATTGCTTACTTTTCTTGAAGACAGAATAAAATGACGGCAATTCTCAACAGGCAGCTCAGCAGCCTGCATATAAACTGAATGGAAATTTCCTTCTCTTTGCTTCTGTGCATTACTTGAACCAACTTAACAGAAAACAGAATATTTTCAAAAACAACATGCAATGGAGTTTAAGTTCCTAGAATTTTACATCACGGAAGATATCATTTGAAATATAATAGCTAAATGCCTTCCTCCCTGGTACAGCTTGCTTTGGTGTATTGATAAGAAGTAAGATTAATATGCAAAAGGAAAATGTAAGAAACTTGCCCTGCACCGGTCAGCACCCGGCATGTATGTGCCTCTCCCTATGAGAAAGCAACTGCACCCAGAGAGTGAAAGTCTGGGTTTGGCTCTCACATCACCACTTCCTTGCTATGTTAGAGCCTCAGTTGATACACAGGTAAAAAGAGAGCGACATAGACTCATTCTCGTCTTTTCCAAAGTTACGCAAATTGAAAAAAAAAACACTACAAAACTATAATATTTCACAGACATAACACAAAAACCAGTTGAAGGGTAGAAAATAAACTACCTAACAAGTCAATGTGGTGCACACATATTGCCCAGGCTGGTCTCAAACTCCCGGCCTCAAGCAATCCTCCCACCTTGGCTTCCCAGTGTTGGGATTACGGGCATGAGCCACAGCACCCAGCCCAGATTCTTTCATTAATATGTGAAATATGGACTGTTTAAAAACTGTCTGCCAGATATTAGGGTAAGTACTGGGTATACAAAGGCAAACTGCAAAGATCGCTCAAAAGCCCCGGCCTTATACCTTATACACTGCATTGTAAATGTAAATGGTGACTCTGTAAGCCTGCCTACAAGAATTTAGGTGGAATAATTCTGAGGCCACATCTACACTCAGTAAAGGAAAGAATATGACCAATTCAATGATGTCTGCCAAGGCACAGGATGGGCACAGAAAAGGGGAACTATAAAATCGAAAGTGTGTCAAGAATGTTTGCCACCTCTAATTTAGCCAAAAGGTTTGATGTTTTGTGTAGGTATCATGTGAACGAAAGTCTGCCCAATACATTAAAAGTTTATGGTGAATTTGTATGTCCAGAAAAATGTGTGTATAATCCCGTAAGGGGCTTAGAGAGGAATGGAAAATACATGCAATATAAATGCAGATTACCTTTATTACAAAGTTGGATCATATTCTCATTCCTAGACTAATTTCCTATATCATAAAACCTATATTCAATTTTATAAATAGCATACACCAAGAATCATAAATTCAGTTAATGCAGAAATTTAACAGATTTTTTTTTAATAAAAGTGAGAAAAGGCTGTTTTAGAG
The DNA here is from genome assembly GCF_000001405.40 of Homo sapiens. Classification (NCBI taxonomy): domain Eukaryota; kingdom Metazoa; phylum Chordata; class Mammalia; order Primates; family Hominidae; genus Homo; species Homo sapiens. The sequence continues at coordinate 71,488,010 of NC_000003.12, forward strand.
CAAATATCTGAAAGGACAGAAAGGGTTCTTTCTTTGAAGATATGTTTTTCCCTTTGACTCTACCTCCTTAGGGACCTAACCAGAGAAGAAATAAATTTCACAGCTAATATATATGAAGTAACATGTTTAACATTATCCAATGAATTTATATCTATCTACACTATATAAATTTATCTCACATAAACTGTCACCTCCAATAGAATTCATTAAAACAATGTTACAGCTTCTGAATTAAATGCAATCTTCTAATTGGAATTTAATCTTAAAATAGGAGTTGGGGGGTTTATTTTTTAATTGACAAATGGAATAATTCATTAGTTTGTCTTACAGTTCTGTCTGAAGAACTTAAAAGTAAATTTGACACAGGGATGGGCTGGCTACTGCTGTGTGGTACTAGGGAACTGGGGTGGGGGTGTGGAGGTTCTTTCATCAGCTGCTGAACACCTCCTGCTGCTTATGGGCAGGAAGGGATGGACACTGTCTCTCACCATCCTGAATTACTACATTACTAATATATTCCATTACCTCCACGTAAATGTCATGTTAATTTCTGATCTTCATCAAGCCAGACAATGGTTTCCACCTTGGCCCCTAGCCAGTTAGCTATGTGGAAAATATTTAGCCAATTACATTACTTGTATTGGGTTAGGAACTGGAGAGAAAGGCAAAATAAACGCATCGAAAATACTTCACAGATAAAATGTAAGTTGACACTGTCTTCGCATGCGGGAGCCCGAGTGATACAATCTGATAGGCAGCTGCCAGCACTCATAACTGCTTATTAAATCTAGCCTCTCTTTATGGTGTGAGTGAAGATCTGTATTTTTACCAATATTAGGTTCATTGTGTTATGAAAGAGACCAAAATACTTAAGATCATTCGCTCCAGCTTATAAAACATATTATGTAGTTTATTAAATTGTTAAAATTACTTTTCAAAGTCAAAATTCCAGAGACTGGAAGTTTAAGCACAACACCGTGGGCTGGCCCCCTGACAGGCTGCAGCACATGGCAGACCAGAAAGGAACCCTGTCGGCTGGCTCTCCTGGCCCAAGGTACCTGCCAGCTGCACATACCTTCTGGAAGCTGCGCCACCACCGCCCCACCCCAAAACCGGTCACGGAAAGTCCATATTCTCGAGTTTTATTTTAAAAAGAAAGGAACTCCCAGCCAAAAAAGTAGCCCTTCACCAAGTCTTCGGTGAGAAGGATGCATTTCCCTTGTTTTTGTCTCTTCCTAGTAAGTCAAAAGGTAGCAATTTGATTATGAGAGACATCAAAAGAGGAAGGCTGGGCAAATAAGGGAAAACAGTTGTAAGCAAATAACACATAACAATGAATGTTGCGTGACGCTTATGTCTTTTCACCAGATCTACCAGCAAGGGACAACCTAGTGGTAGAGACGATGCAATGACAGAGCAGAGACAGACGAACAAACCAACACATTCGCCATCTCTAGTCAGCCCTTCTCAAAACAACTCTATGCAAATGCAAATTGCTATGATCACATTTATTAATAACACTGTGGCTAACTGCCGATTAAATATGCAGCAGGCATTGCCAGCCTTCACTCTGGAAGTCCTGTGATGTGCATCCTATAGGTACCAGTGTCAACTAAAGCTTCACACCAGGAAACAGGAGCCAACTCTGACTCCTTCCTGGTGAACGGTGGCATTAAATAACCACAGCACAAAGAGAGATACGAAGTGCTCAGCCCTTCTTTCGCTGTCTCCTGCCTCTAAGTTAATTTATTATGCAAGCATGGTTACCGCCGGCATCAATCGAGTACATTACCCGTCTTCTGACCTTAAAAAGTTGGCCATAATGATCTATCTGTGCAAACCTTTTATTTCATGGTTTCGTTTCCTTGTGTTTGAGTGAAGCAATCTGTTGTTCTGGATGCCTACCTCTGTAACTCTGACCCTGGTCTACCAGGAGGACACTTACCATGAAACACTTCACTCAGAATTAGAGTTTATTTCAAGCCTAAAGACTCCAAATTGTCAGCTGTAACAATTAATTGGTGCTTCTTTTGGTTGTTCAATAAACTGTAAAGTTCTAAAAGGCACAGGACTGTGAATAAATGTTTGACAATGGAATGACTAACTATCAGATGCATAATGCACGGAAGGCCAGTCACTGCAGCACAGAGGAAGAGAGTGAGTCCTTTGAGCAAGCCTTGGAAATGCACCTTGAGAAAAAAATGGGGCCAGGCACAGTGCCTCACACCTGTAATCCTAGAACTTTGGGAGGCTCAGGTGGACAGATCACCTGAGGTCAGGAGTTCGAGACCAGCCTGGCCAACATAATTAAACCCTGTCTCTACTAAAAGATACAAAAATTAGCTGGGTGTGGTGGTGGGCACCTGCAATCCCAGCTAATTGGGAGGCTGAGGGAGGAGAATCACTTGAACCCAGGAAGTGGAGGTTGCAGTGAGCTGAGATTGTGCCATTGCATTCCAGCCTGGGTGACAAGAGCAAAACTCTGTCTTAAAAAAAAAAAATGGGAGGAGAATAGAAAATCAGAACATATGGTCCAGCTCACAGGATTTCAGGCACCTCTACCTTCTACTAAAAATACTGAGAAGGGAAGTTTTTTAAAGTCTGATAAATACTAAGAACTGCCTTATTTACAAAAATTCTAGTATTCCACTAGGCCTAAAAGAACATTTTTTTCAAAACAGATATCATTTTCATTATAGTTCTTCAGATGGATTTTTCAAATAATGGGCCAAATCCAATTGAAATTAATGAATAAAATGAGCCTCATCTTCAACAAATCCATTCATGTGGTTTTGTTAAATTTCATATATCAATTTTGTAATAGTGAGATTGAGTCAGACTCTCTCAATACCAAAGACAGAGATGACAGGTAACCAAAAACCTGAGTTTGTTGTTATTTCAATACCTTCAGAATTCTAACCCCTTTGATGAATTCTCATGTGTATATGAAACAGACCGAGGCTTTGTTCTCAACTCTACCTGAATTCCTAAAGATATGACTTTTTTTATTATTATTATTATTTTGAGACGGAGTCTCACTTTCTCAACCAGGCTGGAGTGCAGTGGCACGATCTCAGCTCACTGCAACCTCCACCTCCTGGGTTCAAGGAATTCTCCTGTCTCAGCCTCTCAAGTAGCTGGGAGTACAGGCACCCACCACCACGCCCAGCTAACTTTTGTATTTTTGGGAGGGATGAGGTTGCACCATATTGGTCAGGCTGGTCTTGAACTCCTGACCTTAGGTGACCTACCCACCTCGGCCTCCCAAAGTGCTGTGATGACAGGCGTGAGCCACCATGCCCAGCCAAGATACGACTTTTCTTAGCATGTGCTGCCTGTTCACTAATCTACAGACCATCCACAAAAGTCTATCATACATGCATAGCAATGGAAAACCTCAGGAGTTCACGGGTGAGAGAACCGAACAACTTGCCCAAGGCCACCCAGTAAAAAGATCAAAGATCACTAACAGCTCTAAAATTTCATGACTCCATTAACCATTTCTTTTCATTGTGGACATCCTTGCCCGTGTGTTACTGTTTACTATTTGCCTTATTTCTTGCCACTGACAGAAGTAATACTGTAGGGAAGACAGGAGGCTGGATTTTTTTTTTCTCTCTCTCTAGCTCCAGCAGAACCAAATGCAAAGTACAAGTTATCAGTTAACAAACTGTGGCAGGAAGTGCCTTTTCGAGCCAATAGCTCTTTGAAAATCATCTGGTCTCTAATATTTGAGCCGGTTGCTTCACTATGAACACAGTTTCTCTGGACAATAAAACTAAAGTATTTTTTAATGTATACAAGGGGAAGGATTTGTCAAAATGACCTCTAGCTATAAAATCTTCACAAATCTGGCCCAAGTAATTGAATGCATAACACTGTCTTAGACATATCATCAGAGGAGGCTTAAAAAGCTAAATGGGCAGGATGTCTTAATCTCTGTAATTGAAATAAGCTAGAAAGAACCACTGAATGATGACCAAATAGCTATGGTCCAGCCCAGACCAACCCCAGGGACTTAGCCATCCCACCTAGACTCATGACTTAAGCTGTCCCATTTGTAAACTGAGGTATTTAAATAGATAATTTCCAGGGCCTCAATAACACTGATAGGATAGGATCCTCTAACCTACATGCTTTGTTTTAGATATAGAAAATCAAGCCAGGCACAGTGGCTCACACCTGTAATCCCAGCACTTTAGGAGGCTGAGACGGGCGGATCACCTGAGGTCAGGAGTTTGAGACCAGCCTGGCCAATGTGGTGAAACCCTGTCTCTCCTAAAAGTACAAAAATTAGCCAGGCATGGTGGCGGGCGCCTGTAATCTCAGCTACTTGGGAGGCCGAGGCAGAAAAATTGCTTGAACCTGGGAGGCGGAGGTTGCAGTGAGCCGAGATCGCGCCACTGCACTCCAGCCTGGAACAATTGGGAAACTCCGTCTCCAAAAAAAAAAAAGAAAAAAAATCAAAGAGAGAGCCTAATTTGCCCCATGCCAGGTTACTATTAAGCCTCCCAACTCCCAATACAGTGCCCTTTCTGCTTCACTACACTTCTCTCCATTATTTAGAATTTGCTTCCAATACTACTGCACTAAGACAGAAAAAGATGAGGGTCTTACCAATTAAATGCTATTCAATACAAACCCTGAAATGATAAGGTTCTCCATGAAACTGACCTCATCCAATGGCAAGGCTACCACAAATGATGTCAGAGTTGTCACCCAAAATGCCTGGCCTCAACCAATCATTGTCTCTGCTAATGACAAGTCACAGTGTTCATTACTACAGGGGAGTCATTGATTGCTGAGGAACAGGATGGATGGAAAACACACTTAGAGAAAAATATCATCATGTCCTTTCTAACCTCCCCCTAAAAAGTCAATGAATAACCTAATGAGGTAAATTATGATACAAAAAAATTTCCAGAAGTCTTTCAAAAAATCTTTGAAAATCCCAAGTTTCCAATCCTTTGGCTTTCTCATAAGTCCTGATCATACAAAAAGTTTGGGATAGGACTCTCTCAAGGAACAAATTAGACTCAAATTTCCCCTAAAACTCAAGATGAAAAAATTGTTGTCTTATTTCTTGGTGGCTCATGTTATCACCAAGTTGTAATGGGACCAAAAAAACAATTACTCATTCAACGTTGCACATGGACCAAAACTGAGATAGTCCATCCTTCAGAGTATGATTAAAACAAACAAGCCAACAGAGGAAGTTATCCTATGTCCTATTATGCCTTTTATAAATCCTCAGATCACCGCAGGAATTATCTGAAAAGATTACACCAGAAAACAATGACAGAGTTTGTCCCTTCTTTCAAGATAAGAATCTCTCATCCTGGGTGGGCAACTGTCTTGAAGGACTTTTTGTCTTGTGAATTTTCAGATGAATAATCACAAACATTCATTCACTCACCCTTTTGGCTAGCAGGCATCACATCCATCCGTTCATGGCTGACAGCAAATCAGAGAAGGGATCGAAGCCCTCACCATTGCCGAAATGTTTTGTTCGGAAACTGGAATTGTCAACAAAAGCTTCTGGGACACTGCAACACAAAAATATTTTTTACACATAACTAAGATGTAACTTCTAAAACCACCACTTCCTTACACTTGAAAACAGCAAGACATAGATTCTTGAGGTAGGGGAAAACACCGTTCAAGCCAGGGTATGTCAATACATCAAGTGTGATGCTGTTAAATATGAACCGGAAATACTGTTTTGAAAGATACATTTACTAATCACTTCAACACGTACACTGTAAAGTTGTTATTTATTATGGGCTTTGTACCAAATATTTTAAATATTTTAGCATATGAAAATACCACTTCCCATTATCAAGTCTTCAGGTAACAATAAACTGTTTTAACTAAAATATTACACAGATAAATGTACCATTCCCTATTAAGTTATGATCTTTTTCGAAGAACAAAAAAAGTAAAAAATTTAAATAATTTTAAATTATTTTAGAAATACTAGTACTAATAACGAACATTAAAACTAGTAGGAAAGGTAATCATCATTTTTTTCTCCAAAATAATTCTATTTTATTCTAAAAATGATTATGGATTACATAAGGAGCAATACTCATGGAGATGTTTCCATCAAGAAAGCACATACGGTGCGATGGTCAGGGCTCAAAAGCTGAGAAGCCTGAGTTCTGGACCCGGTATGGTCTTCAGTCACTAGTGTGGCCCCAGGAGAGCCATTTATCATCTCGATTCCAGTCTCTTCACCTGTAGGGTCAGGGCATTAACCGATGCTCTTCAAGTTCCTTCTACCTCTAAGCTTCTGTCTTTTTGAAAGAAGCATATTTCTTCTAAATACTTTAAACTAATTAACTTCTCCTTTAAGCTTCCTGATTAAAAAGAGATTTTTGGTTTTTGTTTTGTTTTTACCATGATTCACTCTCATGCTGACCTGCCATCAACACTGAAGATGTGCTGTGACCAGAGAGTTTTTCAAGCGCTTAGAATGCTAAGCCTGGCACCAGTACCTAACCCTATTGAGCCAGCATCCCGGCGGCTGGCAGCATCCCCTGGGTGCCCAGGAAAGGCTTCCATTCCTCTCCAATGAGCATAGCTCCATGTCCTGCAGAAATCTGTCCAGATGTATTCTAGATTGATGCTTCTCAAACTTCTGTGCATAAGCATCTTTTGGAGAGCATTTCAAAATACAGATTCCTGGGACCCATCCCCGAAGACTCTGATTCACTAGATCTGGAGTGGGCCTGAGATTCTGCATTTCTAGAAAACTACCAGGAGATGCTGATACTACCAATCATGGACCACACTTCGAGTCAAATGGCAAAGTCCTATTCTCCAAGCCTCCAAGCAGCTTTGAGATCCAAGAAGTACTTCCAAGGCTCAGACATGCTCCCTAAAGCCATGAAGTCTATGTCACATAGAAAAAAAAAAAAAGAAAAGAAAAAAGAAAAAGAAAAGAAATGAAGAAATGGGCTGAAGTTGTTTACCATCTTTAGGATAAAATTTGAATTTCTTTCCATGGCCTGAGGGCCCTACATAATCTGGCCACTTTCTACTTCTCTGACGCTGCCTTAACTACCAACCCAATCCCAAACTATAATCAATGTAGATACAGTGGTCCTCCTTTTGTTTCAAGCAAGGCAAGTGTCTTCCCATCTCAGGGCTGGTGCACTTGCTATCTCAGCTTCCCAAGATGCCATGAGCCCATTCTTTACACAACTGGTCCCTTCTCAGTACTGGGACTTAGGGACAAAGGCCACTTCAAAAAGCTTGTCCTGCCCACCTACTTAAGTTAGGTTCCAAGTTAGTCTCAATTATATCATCCTATGTGCTTACTTCAGAGCTTTCGCCCTGATCTATTTGCTCATTTGTCTTCCCCACTAGAATATAAGCTCAATTAGATAAAAGAACTATTTCTTTTCATCGCAATGCTCCAAAATTTCAGAAAAATGCCCAGCTCATAGCAAGTACTCAATATGTATCTTTTGAGTGAATAAATGAATCAACAACTGAAAGAAGTAACTTTTCGGTACTCTCTAAAAATATAATTGCCATTTGTTGAAAACTCATTATGTACTGGGTATTGTTTTAAGTCTTTTATAATCATTATTTCATTCTATTCTTACAACAAAGTTCTTAGCAGATATTATTATTTTAAACTCAATATGTGGATAAGAAAACTGAGGCACAGGGAGTTTTAGCAGCCTGACTCAACTCTATAAAGCTTGTGCCCATGGGAACTCTATATTTTCCAGCCAATACCCTAATATAAAAGTCCTGAGTTTTTGTGATATACCCTTCTGACTCAGGCTTGCTCAAGTGAATTTTGGCACTACCTGACCATGCTGGTACTAACAATCATGGGCCACATTTTGTAACAGGCAGGTAATGCAAATGAGCGAGGAAGGCCAGGTGTAAGGTAACAGGGAGAGGGAAGGAATGTGGCAAGCTGAGAAATCCTCACTTTATCAGCTTCAAGGGGGAAGCCATTGTACTTCCCCCTCCAATTACTGCCACATGGGCACATACCCTCAAGAACCTCAAGAGCTTTCAATTCTACAAATAAAGGCAGTAATCTAGATTTCTATTTAGTAAAATTCCAGAATTTTTCAAAGATGGCAGCTAACTTTTTAAATAAGTTATATTTAAACAAAACAAACATGTTGCAATCCCTGTAGCAAAGGATGGATGAGGTCATGCACTGTCTCCAGTTTTATGATTCCAGAGTGATTCAGAAGCACAGAGAAGCAGTACGGGTGACACAGAAAAGCACAGTAGGTGTCTGGGCAGATAAGAGCTTTCTAGAAGAATTCATTATCTTGAGGTTTTGGGAGGAATTGGAAGATTGGGTGGAAAACGCATTTCACAGGTCAGAATATCATACTCGAAGGCTTGGGGGTGAGGAGTAGGCAAGTCAACAGCAAAGATCAGCCATGAGGAGAGGGCTGGTGGAGGTTTCCTGTGGGAGTTTCGTTTTCATTCGGACTGGAGTGAGTAGCAGCTTTCTAGCTAAGACATAAATCGGTTAAACAATACTCTATGTGGCCGGCCACAGTGGCTCACGCCTGTAATCCCAGCACTTTGGGAGGCCGAGGCGGGCGGATCACGAGGTCAGGAGATCAAGACCACACTGGCCAACATGGTGAAAATCCCTCTCTACTAAAAATACAAAAATTAGCTGGGTATGGTGACGCCAGCTACTAGGGAGGCTGAGGCAGAAGAATCGCTTGATCCAGGGAGTCGGAAGTTGCAGTGAGCTGAGATTGCGCCAATGCACTCCAGCCTGGCGACAGAGCAAGACTCTGTCTAAAAAAACAAAAGAAACAAACAACAACAACAAAAAGACAAAAAAAAACAATGCTCTATGTGTATGGTCATTAGTGCTGTCTTATTTGACTTCTAATATTTTAAAGTAACCAGGCATATCTAAAAATAAAGGGTGAATCACCACTGTGGTGTGTGGAAGTGTGTGTGTGTGTGTGTGTGTGTTGTTAAGAATTCAACAGTCACAGGACTGAATTCCATCTTCATGGAACCCCATAGCTAACTAAAATACTTAACTGTTCTGAACTCTAGACATAAAAAAATACAGCAACTGAAATTTTTAAAAATACCAGAAGATAGATACCCAAATAAATTATCCTTTCCACAGTACAGAGGCAAAAACAAAAAAGAAAAGAAAAAAATGACAGAAACCCCCACCCGCCTACGTAGAATTGTATAACTAGAAAAACTATCTCTTAAAGCTGAGGGTGAAATAGAAGCTTTTTCAAACAAACAGAAGTTTATCACCTCTCTATAAGGACATTCTAAAAGACTTACTTCAGACCAAAAAGAAACAATTTCCAGGAGAAAGTTTTTTGATTTAAGAAGGTAGGGAACAGCCAACTTGTGAAGTAGAGTAAGTGAAAAGTAAATGCACTAACAAACAATGTGCAAGTCTCAAACATTTTTTTAAAATGTAGCAGTACCCCCACTTGCTTTCTACCCCAGCTCACGGTATTTACACTGTAGCAATATCAATCACCAAGGCCATGGACTGCAAATGTGAGTGTGCAGGGAGGCACCAGCTTGAAGCCCAAGTTCCCACCCTCCATAGTCCAGAGATTCTTAAACAAGTTCCAGGAATCTGCTGTTCTACCCAACAGATACCCCAGGTAACTCTGATAAAGATCTGAAGAACACTGCATTGCTCTCTGACTACTTTAGGGGAAGGAATTATTCAGTGAACCCCCAGGGGCTCATCCCTGGGAGGCTCCAGCTGAGAACACTATCAAACCTTTGTTCTTTTCCACTTCACTACAGCCCCAGAAGTACCTTGGCCCAGGAGGTCAGCAGTAACCCTGCCTCAACCCTGCTAATCAAGAGCTGCAATAAATTAAAAGCCCATTGAAATATTTTAGAGAAAAGCCGAGAAGTGCTGAAACATTAATTGTGCCATATTCAATCTGTTTTCCTAGAGATTTGAAAAGCCAGATTACCATCTTGGGGGTCATTAGAAAGAATGAAGCTTTCTCCCTTTTCAATTTACATATTTAAAAATGCATGCGTTCTGGCAGTGGCTACTAAGTCCTTTCCAACGCTTTCCAAGTCCTGTGGCTACTCCAAATGCCACAGTCTAGCCATGGAGAGAGAAGCGTGGAATGCCACCGGGGCCTGCCTTGTTTCTGTAAAGCAAAGGAACCCAAATCCCAGGGCCTGTGGTTGCAAAACAGCTCCAGAAAAACAGGTAGAGGCAGAAACAAAACAACAAGTGATGTTTTCTTGTTTTGTTCTCCCCTGTTTATTTTTCCCTGAAGCAATCCCTGCTCAGTACAAAAGTCTGCAGGGAGCTAGAAAGAGCAGCTGTGGTTCCCTGAGGCCGGGACCTAGCAATCAAGTTGTTTACCAAACACTGCCAGGCACCAGGAAAACAACAACAGCACAGACAGCATTTGCATCTATTTTTCAACCTCCAAAAGTCTGCCCTGGAACTTGCCTGCACAGCTGAGAGAAGAGCTTAAAAATTAAAGGAATGAACTGCACTGGGTATTGGCCTCCATGGCCTAAATGTAATCAAGTATTCCATTTCTATTGAAGAATGTCTATCCTAAAAAAAGAGGATTGAGGAACTGCAGAATTTCAAGCAGTGGATTGATAACAGACAACATGCTCATCACGGGCATTTCTGAGCATGCCAACAAAGGCCCTCTCAGCAAACTGACATCATATGCTGAGCCTCCAGCAACTCACAGACATCTTGACCAAGCACCAGGATCTCCAGGGGGGTTTGTAAAACACAGATTGCTGGGCCTCTCCTGCAGTTTTGCATTCCATAGGTCCAAGACGGGGCCTGAGAATTTCTAGCAAGTTCCCAGGTGATACTGATGCTACTGATCCGGGCACCATCCTTTGAGAACCAGTGCTCTAAAGCTAGAGGCTCTATCCCCACCCTGAAGATCTAGGAAGGAGTTCATTTCCCACCTTGACCTCTCCCATGGGTTACCTGGTTGAGTTATGGCAGTTACCTTGCATAGCTGTTTCCAGAACAAAATGCATTGGATGGTTTCCATCTGCTTCTCCAGAGGCTCCACTCACTATCCCCCACCCAGCTCTGTGTCCTAGAGGGCCGCTCTCTGTCCAACCAATGGGAGCTCTCATCTCAGGACGCCACAGAAGATGGGGTATTCATTTCTCTAGTTCTGAGTCCCTCTTTGACCAGTGGCAACCCTGCCAGGCAGCTCTCTCCACACAACTCCTCTCTCTGGGTTCTTTCAGCCCTCCTCTGCCTCCCCTAGTCCACTTAAGGCCTAGGAGAACTAAAAGCCATCTATTTCCATCAGGGACCCTTATGCAAAAGTCAAATTCAATGTGTTGCCCACTGGATCTCCCTTGGTTTGAGAATGCTAAATGGCAATTTTATACACACACATAATATACGTATGTATATACACACACATATAAACACGCACAAGTATACATATGTGCATATAAACATACAGACATGCAGATATATACATCTTCATAATTGTTCGTTTTTAAATGCAACTAAATCAGATTGGCCAGAAAACTTGGGAGTCCCCTGGCCAAGGCCACCTCATGGAGTTTGCATGGATGTTTCCTCGGGTCCCACGTGCCACAGCAAGAGTGAGCCTGCTCTGTCTAATCTGTTACACAACCTGATAAGAAGTGCATTTGTGAGAGCTTCAATCCTTCTCTAATTTACAAACTTAGTTTCCTTTGTTGCAAATGGCACCAAAATAGAAAGGGAACAGAAGTGGGTGGAGCGGGCTCCATCACCAACTCCTGTGAATAACTTTTTGACAATGCTGAACCCAGTTCAAAAAAGCACATCAGCTGCAAAAAAAGGTATGTGTTTGTCAGCTCATAAATAAGATGCCAATCCACCTCAATTCATAGGCTAGGAAAAGAAGAACAAATAATACTTCTGTTTTTAAAATAATAATAATAATAACTCAAACGTGCCCTAAATAAGCATCTGTCTTTAGCGCTAAGTTCTAATAAAGTTCTGGTAAAAAACGGTCACCAGATTTAACCAAATGGGTCACTACACCAACCTCCATGGTTTGGGCAAGCCCATTTAACTAACTTTGTTTCAGTGAAGTTCCCTAAAACTAACCAATCACTATTCCTTTTATTAATCTTCCACTAGTAAGGTTTCTTTCAACTCACCAGAGGACTTATTGGTATCTATGCTCAAAAACAAATTTTTAAGTAAACCCACTAGACTAATTAGAACACATGGGGAATTACGTAATTACTTTTCTAGCTCTGAGGCTCAACCTGAAACCTTTTCGGTTTGTTTGTTTATTGCTCTCTTTTTCACTAACAATCTCCTGAATATTCCATGTGAAACTCGCAGGCTAGTGAGATTTTTCCTGTGGCATCTGTCTGCTCCATTCCCCCATCTATGTCCAAACCCTGCTCTAGAGAACAACTGACCTAACTGATCACTTCCCCTCTTTGGGGATGAGATAGACCATCATCCTGCTGGCTTCAGAACACTCCAGAATCTCCCTTCTGTGCTGAAGAAACTCCACTCCTCCTTCCCCTGGGCCTTAGTGCTCACCTCTCTCCACCATCTTCCACTACCATCATCTGGATGAATGGAGAGACTTGCCTTTTACCCTTAAAGATGTCCCCTCTCTCCTTTTCCAGAAGCCACTCATTCTACATCTTTCAACTTCAAGCAACTAAAAAAGAAAGAGTTGGTCTCTCTTCAATTCCTGTTACAGCCAAGTCGTTCCTCTGCCAACAGCCCACCTCACCTGTCACCTACCCTCAAGGAAAGTACCATCACCTTCCTCCACCGTGATTCCAAGATCCATGGAAACCTTTCTATTCATAGTCACATGTAAGGGAACCACCGCTTCCTGCCCAGCCAACTGGCAGTTACTTCTAAATGTCAAGGATGGCTAGGCACAGTGGCTCACATCGTTAATTTCAGCACTTTGGGAGGCTGAGATGGGCAGATTATCTGAGGTCAGGAATTCAAGACCAGCCTGGCCAACATGGTGAAACCCTGTCTCTACCAAAAATATAAAAATTAGCCAGGTGGGGTGGCGGGTGCCTGTAATCCCAGCTATTCGGGAGGCTGAGGTGGGAGAATTGCTTGAATCCGGGAGGCAGAGGTTGTAGTGAGCCCAGATCAAGTCTCTGCAGCCTGGGTGACAGAGTGAGACTCCGTCTCTAAATAAATAAATAAATGGCAAAAATGCTCTTCAACACCTTTCTCAGGTATTTTACTACAGAGTGAGCATCACTAATCAAAAAAATCCAAACTCTGAAATGCTTTTCTTTTTTTTTTTTTTTTTTTTGAGACGGAGTCTCGCTGTGTTGCCAGGCTGGAGTGCAGTGGTGCCATCTCGGCTCACCACCACCTCCGACTCCCTGGTTCAAGCGATTCTCCTGCCTCAGCGTCCCGAGTAGCTGGGATTACAGGCACGCACCACCACACCCACCTAATTTTTGTATTTTTAGTAGAAAGAGGGTTTCACCATGTTGGCCAGGATGGTCTCAATCTCCTGACCTCATGATCCACCCACCTTGGCCTCCAAATTGCTGGGATTATAGGCGTGAGCCACCGTGCCCAGCCCAAAAGGTGAAAACACTTTTGAACAACAACATGACCTTTCGAAGAAAATGTTCATTGCATGGGTACAAAAAAATAGAAAGAATGAATAAGACCTGGTAGTTGATAGTACAGCAAGGTGACTATAGTCAAAATAATTTAATGCCACTAACCACCTTGAATCCATTGCTCCTCCCAGTGCACACAATCCACCTTCACGTTTCTGAACTCGGTGTCTTTTACATCATCTAAGACTCATATTGTGGTACCCAGTGCCCTGAAAACCCTGGTATCCCTCAAGATGGCCTTGTCTTTTCTACTGACTTCCTGTTCAAGCTCTTTGGTTTCTTTCGCAGAGTGAGATCAGCAAGGCAGGGTCTGGGATTTGCAGGTTATATCCTGGATGGTGGCACGACAGCGCCTGGAACACAGAAGGTTGGGAGGCGTGACGCTCATCAGGAAGGCTCTTTTGGGGAGCCAGGAAGAGTCCCCCAGAAGCCCACTTGGCACCCTATCTATAACAAGTTGCTCTTTAAGAATCATGGGAACTCCAGAATCATTTTCACAAATACCTTCCACTCATGATTCAATTAAATGGCAGAAAACACAAACCTTCCGTTCCCACTGGCAAACTGGGTCTAGCTAACTGAGCACAGCTAGCACAAGGCAGGCCCCCTGCTAGCAGGGCAAGTGGCGGCCCGGTCCCCAAGGCCCAGGGGAGCCTCTGCAGCTCCCTGGAAGGACGGTCAAGTGAACAGAGAGCTGGCTGCCATCTGGGTTCTTTATAAGGCTTTTGTGGTAAACATGTTTACTTTCTTTTGATTGGCTAGGCTTATCAAGTATTTTGTTTTGAGTCTTGCTCTATAAACATGTTTACTTTGAGGGGAGAGCTTTTTTGATAGCTAGCACACTTGTTTTTCACACTTTTAAATTCAAAACATATTTTTCACAGCCTGTGGTAAACAACTCAAGGTGGTAAACAAATTATATTATTTTCATCTTCACACTAGAGAGGTGATCCCTATGTATCTATTCAAAGGCTTGAACTGGGTTGCCGGTAACCAAGGCTCTCTACTGGATGAGAACAAGAATTATATTCATAATGATGATGTTACTAAAAGGAAAACATTACAATGGCAAATCCTGCAGTATCAAACCTAAGCCTCAGTTTCCCCAGTGGGAACATTCTAGAAGAAGCCAGCCATAACAACAGCAGGGGTAGTCCTATTAATTGATGACATCCATATTTTCCATGAAAAATTAAGGTTATGTAACCGGCATACATAACAGCTAATACGGGAGGAAAAATCAAATAATGTTTCAAAGAATGAAGAAACCAACTAGGTCACAACACTAAGTGCAATTCTTTTGAGATCTGTTTTCTGTGATGATTTTTGCCTGCTTTACAATTAGAAAAAAAAAAAAAAACAAGTAGTAGCCTCTAATGTAAAACTGAAAAGCCTTCCATTATTGGAAAAGGAGTAAAATAACAAAAGAGTTAAGAGAAGAAAAAAAAGGAACATATCTCTTGAGAGAAAACCAATGGTCCCTGAAGTAGGATTTAAAAGTGCTGTTTACATAGAGGCATCAGAAGAGCCCCTCTGTGGAGGTAAGTGTGAAGTCCCATAGCAGTGGAGCCAAATCTGTTTTCTAGAGAGTTCTCTTGGTCTCCATGTTCCAACTAGAAACAAAAGCCATCTTACCAGAGGCCTTTGTAGTTAGTTACAAATTACTTAAAGGAATAAAAATACAGGCCAAATTACTTGCTAAAATAAATAAAGCCCCCAGCCCCCAAATCATCTTCTAAGCTTATGCTCAAGTTAAGTTAAAAAGCAAACAGAATTTCAACATGATGAAACCCCATCTCTACTAAAAATACAAAAATTAGCTGGATGTGGTGGCACACACCTGTAATCTCAGATACCCGGGAGGTTGAGACAGGAGAATCACTTGAACCCAGGAGGTGGAGGTTGCAGTGAGCCAAGATAGTGCCATTGCACTCCAGCCTGGGCAACAGAACGAGACTCTGTCTCGAAAAAAAAAAAAAAAAAAAACACCACGAATTAAGGTTGTAGCACCACACTATGGTAAACCTCCTCAGTGACTCGATGTTATTATTTCGTCAGGTATGGTACTGTAGGGAGGGGAGAATGGCAGAAGACACAGGAAGCCTGTATGGAGCCTCATCCATCATTCAGGCCAGATCATGTACAGAACATACAGGCATCAGAGTACAAACATACTAAGTAGCCTTGTTTTCCAAGGTTATAACATGCTCTGGGGACATGCTCATTAGGGGGTCAGGAGAAGGAGCCAAGGGCATTTGGAGGCAGCCACTATTCCTGACTTTCAGATTCTCTTCTATCAAGGAAGAAGACCAAAATAAATAATTTCCAGGTAGTTTTAGCAGAAGTGCAGCAAGACCCAGGGGGTGAGTACACATCACAAATTCCCAGGAAGATCAACGCCATCCCAGCTTTGCCAACAACTGTTTGAGATGTTTCGCAAGTCAGTGAGCTTCTCGGAACCTGAGTTTCCCTTCTTATAAAATGAAGGCATTTGAATCCCATCTTTTTGAACAATACTATGTCATAATTTTATGCCTCAAATCGAAAAAAACACTTTGGGGGATAACCGAGAATTCCAGGCTACATCATCCAATCAATACAATACTTGGAGCACTTTCAAAAAACCCACCAAGGAACCAAAGCTACCATAACTTAAAAGGAGCAGAAACGAAATTTCAGATTAATATGACGTTGGCCAGTGACTAGTCATCAAGCATACTTCAGCATTTAGTTGTCTGAGCAGACAGGTGACTCAGCGGGAAATGGGTTACCCAGCCAGCCACGCTCATCTGACCCACTGCCTCAAAGTAATTTTTCCTCAATTTTCAAAACCAAGAAAGTAAATGACTAATGAAATGACTGAAGAATAACTTCCAGACAATTCTTACATTAAAAAATAAAACCAAACTTCAGCACAACAGTAAGTAGATGAGAAGAAAACAACCCGGCTCAGAGCTGTCCAACGTCTGATGGCCACAGTTCCTTCTGACAAAGGAAACGTGCACATTCCAGGGTGTGTGGAATGATGTGGTTTGGAAATGTCTCGAGGCGCCAAGGGAAGAGCTGATGATCAGGACAATGTCATCAAGAAAAGTGTCACGGAGCCCAAGTGGTGACATTTCTGTTGCAAATATGAGAAAGGAAAGGAACACGCTGGTCCTTCACCCTGGTGTTCAATGCGGTCGTAGGACTTTTGGATATTCTCCTGGGTACTTCCAGTTCTAACACCAACTAACATGTGCAAAGCCTGTGCTGCACTGCACATGAGGTACTCTGTCCATAGCATTTTCATCCACCCTCTTATTAAGCCTTATAACGGTGGCAAGAGTAAATGCTATTATCTTACAGATGAACGAACCAAGGCTGGTGAAGGGAAGTCCTTTACCCAAGACCACAGTCAGTGACAGAGCCACATCTTTCTGAAACCCAAGCCTCGTCCCTTAACCACCAGTGAATACTACTGAGTACCATTTTTCCAACAGCTCAAACAGGAAAAGTAGGAACGTTTGGAATGGTTCCCAAAATAAAGACAACCTGGCAACATAGAGTTATAATTCTGTTCAGACCTCTACGTTGCCTCCCACTGTCTAAAACCCTTGGCTTCTTGCGTGAAGTCAGGCAAACCCGGGAAGCAGAAAAGCAAGGACCCAAGTCACCCCTGGTAGTGCAGCTTGGAAATGAGACAGGACATCTCCCCCAAGACAGGAGACAAGGAGGGAGTTTATGACGGCATATGAGGCATGCACTCAGTCCTCCTATTGGACTGTAGAAGAGGGATGCTTTTTTTTTTTTTTTTTTTTTTTGAGATGGAGTCTCACTCCGTCGCCCAGGCTGGAGTGCAGTGGTGCAATCTAGGCTCACTGCAATCTCCGCCTCCCCTCCCAGGTTCAAGCGATTCTCCTGCCTCAGCCTCCAGAGTAGCTGGGATTACAGGCGCTTGCCGCCACGCCCGGCTAAATTTTTGTATTTTTAGTAGAGACAGGGTTTCACCGTGTTAGCCAGGATAGTCTCGATCTCCTGACCTCATGATTTGCCTGCCTCGGCCTCCCAAAATGCTGGGATTACAGGCGTGAGCCACTGCGCCCAGCCCTGAAGAGGGATGCTTTCTATTCTTCTCTCGGTCTCCCTTCAATTCTCCCATTTTCTTCTGAATCACAACTGTGGGCATCGTCCCCCTTCCTCTCCTACTTCTTCCCCTCCACGAATGTCACCTGTCACTAAAGTCTAAAGGATGAGATTATCACTTCCGCCCGGAAGCCTCTCAAATGAAATTAAATCAAACATTTATTGCACTGTGGTACCACATGCACTGGGTGAGGTGGGGGATACCCAGGCACAGTCTGCCTCTCTGGGCAAGAAGTTAAATAACAATGTGCGATTTAAATAACATTTCAAGACAACAATAAGAGCCTTGTCACCGGGAGTACATGATTAATTGCCAGATGAATTCTACAGACAATAATTGCTGCAAAGTTCAAAAGGAGGGAGCAATCACTTCCAACAAATATATCCCAGGTTGCAAATTCTCCACTGAGCCTTAGTTCGCAGTTGGCTTCGGCAGTGTTGGGAGTTGGCTGCCTGGGGTCCGATCCTGGCTGTGATACTCGTGGTCCAACCCTATTTAAGTTTTCTGGGCCTCTGTTTCATCAGCTGCAAAACAGAGGTAATGATACTTCCTACATCATGGAGTGGTTTGAAGATTAAGTGGGATAATGCATGTAAACCTTGAAACAGGGCAAGTGGTAGTTTTACATCTCCTGTCTCCACGGCGGCGTATCTGCTATTCGAATCCGCACACGCTCCCTACACTGGCTCCCCCTCCTCACCTCCCTGTGTTTGCCAAATCCCCAGGTTTTCTTTTCCAACTAGCTGATAACTTTTCCAACTAAGGGGTTCCACGGTATCCTTCCCCCAGTACCAGGCAGCTACTACGTCTGCCCTTGACTTAGGCTCGCTGCTAGCTCTTGCATCCAGATTTCCACCTCCATTTCTAATATCCTAGGACAAGAGCAGGAAGCTGAACAACTGGGGGAAGCTGGTCCTTCCCCTCAGTACCAGCCAGCTACCACGTTTGCCCTTGACTTAGGCTCAGTGCTGGCTCTTGCATCCAGATTTCCACCTCCATTACTAATATCCTAAGACAAGAGCAGGAAGCTGAACATCAGGGCACCTGGGTTCAGCTCCCAACGTTGCCATAGAGTAGCCTTGTAATTCTGCACACTTTACAGTTTCTCTAAACCTCCATTTCTGCTTCTATAAAATGGGGCTAATGAAAGTCCCTACCTCCAAGCATTGCTGAGATTAAATTATCCAATTGGAGAGCACTGTGCTCAATGCCTAGTCAACCAGCAACGGCTCCACACCTGAGAGCTGCTGTTCTCATCTTTGCTTGGACCACACAACTAAGTGAACAACAGTGTCCCCGGCTGCTCTCTCCTCTCTCAAATGTGTGAGCTGCTGCCAGTCCTTCATGGTACCAGATTTGGGTCAGCGAACCACAGAACTTAATTATGCCCCAGTTTTCTTTCATGCCCATTGATCTAATTTTACATTAAAGTTTCACAAATAGAAACAGGTACTCTCATGCACAGCCAGGGCCAGGGTAAACTGACACCGCCTTTCCAGTTGGGTGGTGATATGCTTCAACAAGACTTAGAATCCCTTCCAAAGAGTAAGGAGTGAACAGGAATGCATGCTTTTAACAAAATAGTAATCACTGGGGAGAATTCAACTACAAGGTCACAAAGGAATACATCACAGCATTATCTAGTATATGAAAACAGAAAAATAAATGTCAGTTAAAAACTATTTCTGATTCATATGATAATGAAATATTATGCAACCATTAAAAAGTATTGTAAAAACAAACAAGGGCATAGAAGGAAACGTGAGCCCCAAATCATACCTGCTTACCAAATGTCTATTGAATGATATGTTGCAAAACTGCTTTTTTTTTTTTTGAGATGGAGTCTCGCTCTGTCACCGAGGCTGGAGTGCAGTGGCACAACCTCGGCTCACTGCAAGCTTTGCCTCCCGGGTTCACGCCATTCTCCTGCCTCAGCCTCCAGAGTAGCTGGGACTACAGGCACCTGCCACCATGCCCGGCTAATTTTTTCTATTTTTAGTAGAGATGGGGTTTCACCATGTTAGCCAGGATGGTCTCGATCTCCTGACCTCGTGATCCACCCACCTTGGCCTCCCAAAGTGCTGGGATTACAGGCATGAGCCACAATACCCAGCCCAAAACTGCTACTTTTTAAAGTTATTTGAGTACTTACTGTGTGCCAGCTGACAGGAATAAGCACATTACATATGCTAGGCTACTGCAAAATCCAATGAAGTGTTATTATCCCCATTTTACAGACAGCAAATGGAGACACAGGGAAATAAAATAACTTGTCCAAATACACACAACTAGTAAATGGATTTAAACCCAAGTCTTATTCCAAAGCTCTTGCTCTTTTCTAATGAGTGCTGCTGCCTATAAACTTATTAGTATATTTATGGCTGCATTAAGTATATTTCTATAGGGGGAAAAAGGACTAGAAAAGCTGACAAAAATACTAGAAGTAATTCTTTTTAGGGGGTGGCACTACAGATAATGTTTATTCTAGCTTTGATTTGGTTTTTAGATTCTTTACATTTATCATAAATCATGTTTGTAATAAAGGGAGGAAATTTGGGGGACAAAGTATTTTTCTGTTTTAAAAGCTCAAATGGCAGCCACCATCTTTCCCTCACTGTGACAGAAGCAGATGCTAGGCAGGCGCTGGGCTCGTGAGGGAAGGCAGTGCCTACCCAGTGGTTAGAGGTCCAGGTGCTGGAGTCAGACGGCCTGGGTGCAGAACTCCCAGAAGCTCTGGGGAAGCTGCTCAGGCCTCTGTGAGTTAGAAATAGGCAGGTATGTACAGGGCTTGGATCAGGGCTCACAGATCCTGAGGGCTCTGTAATATGAGTGATACTCATTGTTTTACGAGTGACATCTTCACTCTACTCAATACGTTTTATAGCCTCTTTCTGCAGATGGAACCAAAACATCGTTAAGGCAATGTGTCCCAATATCTTTTAACCAATTATCGTAATAGATCCTACAACCACCCCTCTCTGGCCCCCAACCTCCCAAGGGCTTAGGGCTGTCAAAGAAACAACTTAGGTCTGCAGAGTGATACCTGCCTTGGAATTCCAGCTCTGACCCTGGCTGGCTCTGAAATCTCGTGGATGTCACTTAACTTCCTTGCCTCAGTTTCCTTGCTTACAAGATGAAGAGGGCAACAGCTCATAGCTCACAGGATTGTGGTGAGGACAAAAGGGGAAAATGTATGTGAGACACTGAGCTCTGCATTCAGCCCACTGGGACTTCTCAATAAACCTGACCCATCATGACTACTTTGGCATTTTCTGATACAGCTCCACTCTCCGTATGGATTTCGCCAGTCATTATGGGTTTCTTCCTTGTAATGGTTTTCTTGCCATCATTTTTTCATATTTAAGCATTGTATTATAATAGAGAATAGAGATGAAGCATGCCCTTGTGCAGATTCTGATACTGTATGCTCCCTTATTAGTCAGCCAGGGCTGCTGTAACCCAGTACAAGAGACTGGGTGGCTTGAACCACAGGCATTCATTAATATTTGCTCATGACTCTAGAAGCTGAAAGTCGAAGATCAAGGTATCCACAGGGTGGGTTTCTCCTGAGGCCCCTCTTTTTGGCCATCTTCCCTCTGTGTCATCACACGGTCTTCCCGTGTGGGTTTTTGTTAGAATCTCCTCTTCCTATTAGGATACCAGTCACACTGGATTTGGGCCCATCCTAATGATCTCATTTTTAATTTAATTATCTCTTTAAAGTCCCTATCTCCAAATACAGTCACATTCCGAGTGAGGTACTGGGGGTGAGGGCTTCAGTGTATACATCATGGGGGGAGGACATAATTCAACCCACAACAGCTCCTCACCTCCTGAAAGGACAAGCTAGGCCCCAAATTAAGAATCAGTTATGCTCTAGGAGGCTCAGATGGGAGAATTGCTTGAGGCTAGGAGTTCAAGACCAGCCTGGGCAACATAAAGAAGCCTCTGTCTCTACAAAAAATTAAAAATTAGCCGGGCTCAGTGACATGCACCTGATTCTTAGCTACTCAGGAGGTTGAGGCAAGAAGATCACTTGAGCACAGGAGTTTCAGATTGCAATGAGCTATGATTAGGCCACTGCACTCCAGGATGGCCAAGAGAGCAAGACTCTGTCTCTAAAAAGAAGGAATCAGGCCAGGCACGGTGGCTCACGCCTGTAATCCCAGCACTTTGGGAGGCCAAGGCGAGCAGATCACCTGAGGTCAGGAGTTGGAGACCAGCCTGGCCAACATGGTGAAACCCCATCTCTACTAAAAATACAAAAATTAGCCAGGCGTGTGGTGGCAGGCACCTGTAATCCCAGCTACCAGGGAGGCTGAGGCAGGAGAATCGCTTGAACCCCGGAGGCGGAGGTTGTAGTGAGCCGAGATTGCGCCATTGCACTCCAGCCCGGACAACACAGCAAGACTCTGTCTCAAAAAATAAATAAATAAGAAGAGTCAGGCCATGTGCGGTAGCTCATTCCTGTAATCCCAGCACTTTGGGAGTCCAAGGCGGGTGTATCACTTGAGGACCAGCCTGGCCCACACAGTGAAACCCCGTCTCAACTAAAAATACAAAAAATTAGCCAGGTGTGGTGGTACTTGCCTGTAATCCCAGCTACTTGGGAGGCTGAGGCAGGAGAATCGCTTGAACCCAGGAGGCAGAGGATGTAGTGAGCTGAGATCCCACCACTGCACTCCAGCCTGGGCAACAGAGTGAGACTCTGTCTCTAAAAAAAAAAAATCAGTTGATCTTGGGCCTTGGGCTTTGGCAATCTGAGCCAGTCCAGGTACTTCAGAAAATGAAAGCACACAGGTGCAGCACAATGGAAAGGCTTCCCCCTAGACACTTATGTGTAGTGTCCTCCCAGTGCTGTAGTGAGCTCCTTGCTCTTCCCAGCCACCAGACCTGCAGAGGGGGCTGATGCCTACCAACTGCAATGTTCAACTAAGCTCTGTCCAATCGAGTCAGCAGACCCAGCCATTGCTCATATTTACATTTGTAAAAAGTCAGGACGGAAAGTGTTCATTCCTGGCATGAACTCCCCAATCTGGGCTCATAAACATAAATCAAAGCTGAAGGTCATTTTTAAAAAATCAGTACATGCCTCATTAAAACAATTTTTTTAAAACTGAGTTTCTTGAACCACGGCCTATAATTTACAAAGTGCAAATGTCTGAGATACGTGTGCTAAATTTAAAGAAACAACTATTATTAAACACCCCATTATGTAAGGCAGTGAAATATATTTGCACTCTGTATATCCGTTATAATATTTCAACTGAGCCTCACAATGTTTGGCAGTTCTTTCCTTCGGTGATAATAAAAGGCTTTTCTTTCCATTAAATATCTAAATTAAGTCAAATAGTGTATGTTAAATAAGCCCATAAGTCCTTTTGTATGATGCAATGAAGTCTTGAAATGCTTATCTACTGAGCACTCTGGCTTAAAGGCTGGTGGTTTATGTCCCCTGCAGAGCCCCGGGACCCTGCTGGCTTGGCCAGACTGTGAAAATAAGCTTCAAATGACCAAACGCAACTGCAACTTTAAAAGTAGGAACCAGACCAGACACAACAAACCACAGTGTAGTCAGCCTCACTTGTCATAATTCATATGTGTGGAATTCAACTGTAAAAGCATTCACAGAGTGCTAAATTTCCTCCATTGGGGCATTCCATGTGGAATGTCAGATTTTGAAAAGCTGCTGATAAGCCACTCCTGATTACAAGTCTACAAGTTGTAGAATTAATAAAAAAAAAAAAAAAATTACCCCAACCCCAAAACATCTCTGTCTGTGTCATCCAATCCTAAACAATGTAGGCAAGTGCCAATATTTTTAAATAACCAGGCCATAAAAATATGCACTCAATTGGTGGCCCTGTATGAACACTGACTTCCTTTTTTTTGGTTTTCTTTTAGCTCCATGTCTACATTATTCTCCATTTTGATGGCCTACATAATGATCACTTATAGCAATCCTTTTTTTGAAAAAGAATCTCATCATGGTTCAATGACTTAAAAATATAATCCTTACAGATTTTTAAAAGAGAAACTTGAATGGATAAATATATTCATGTGTAGATTTCAAAGCCATGCATGTATATATAGATGTAAACACATGAAAATGTAATAATCCAATTAGCACATCTTTTTTGGAAACTAAATTAATCTTAACAAAACTGGCCTAAGGCTCAGGTAGGAGTTGACGGAACTGCTGGTGATGACGACAACAATAATAGCTGCCATTTAGTCAACATTTACTTTGTGCCAAGTGCAGTGCTCAGCCCTTGACATAGATTTTCCCATTTGGTTCCTCACAACAAAGCTCTGATGTAGGAATGCATCTTTATACGTGAGAAAACCACGGCTCAGAGATGGGAAGTCACCTGCTCAAGGTCACATAGTAATTAAGTGGAGGGGAACCAGGGGTTGAACCTAGTTCACATTGTGCTATATTGCCTCCCAGTGGTGCCTTAGAGACAGGATATAGGGCCTGGCGAAGGGTAGGGTAATATACCTGGCCCCTAAATGACCTCTTATCTTGGCTAAGGACAGGCAGCATAGCCTAGGCCCCATCTCAGGAGAAGATTTAAGAGCAGACACACCCTGTAAGCAAGGTAAAAAGCCAGAGCCATATCCCACCTCTCTTGCAGACACAAAGGAAGAAATCCCCACCCAAAAATGAACTCCTAACCTTCCTCCACCTATTACCTTATTGCCTTGTTACCAAAAGCACCATATGCATGTTCCTGAAGAGTCTATTTTTCCCCCATCACAACACACTTAAGTAGTACATATTTAAGACAGAAAAGCAATAGTAGTCCTCTTCTTTCTACAATGCAATCCAACTTTTCCTGGGTGACAAAAGATGAATAAAGGGATGAGAGAAGCAAAGGTGTTGGATTATTCATTTGTGAATGCCACTTCATACAACAGCTGGTCACTACCCAGTAGAGTAGAAAGAGAACAGAAAGGGAGTCAACCAACTTGGATTCTCAGTTCCATTCTGTCCCACATCCTGGTGCCGTCATCTCTTCCCACACACAGTAATGAGGGAGGAAAGACCATCTCCACCCCTGTGTTTATTTCAGACTTTCTGTGACTCTGAGAGCTTCCTTTAGGTACACAGAACCAGCACGCCAGCCCTACGGCTCAAGCACCAATGCCTAACACCAAGGAAACGTCACCCTCAAGAGTTAAACTGAGCATCTCCTTACACGGCAAACACACAGAAGGATCCCTGAGATACTAGTAAGGTCAGTTTTAGGGGAACATGAAAACAGCCTGCTCCAGTAGCATTTACCAGGCATTCCTAACTCCCTGGGCTCCCAACCTGGCCCATACCTCTTTCCTTAACTCCAGATGTGTGTACCTATCTGCCTCTACAGCCTGTCCTCTGGAATGTCTAGACATCTCAGACTCAACACGTCCAGAACTTGATTTACCCTCTCAAGCAGGCTCTATCCACGTGATTTTCAATCTCAAGCAGGCTCTGACCACATCCTTCCCCAACACAACTTGTCCTTCCCAATCATAGTCCACGGCAACTATATCCTTCTCATCACACTCAGGCCAATCATCTTTGAGTCAATACTGACTCGTGTCTTTCTCTTAAATTCTACATCTATTCCATTAGGAAATCCCATAGAGTCTGCCTTCAAAACAGATATAAAAAGCCAGTACTCCCCTCCTTCGCTACCAACTTCCTGGTCACAGCCACCATCATCTCCCCGCCAAGCTTCCTAACAGGACTCCCTGCTCCTTCTCTTACCCCACCCGTGGTCTATTCTCAACACGGTAGCAAAAGAGAACTTCTTAAAACTTATAGCAGATCAACACCTCCACCTCTCGCACCAGAACTGTGTGAAAGTTGATTATACAAAATGGGTCAGGGTGTAGCGCAAGGTGTGAAAGTTCATGATGTGGAATGGGTCATTCTTTGTCATACCCCAAACTGAATCACTCTGAGGGCCTGGAGGATAAAGGCACTCAGGGCACATAGCATGGCTCCAAGAATGTAATTCTCTGCAAGCCCAGCTGCTGAAACTGCCTGCTGCAACCATAAGACCGGGTTTACCTAATAGCTGCTGAAATGACCTGCCACAACTCTTAAGGCTAGCTCTACCTATCACCGTCACTCGCTGTTCAGAGCTTGCCAGCTCCCCTAAGCTGCTTCTCTTGCCAGTGAGCTTTCTTTCCATTTCTAATAAAACTATGTCTAATAAAATCCTCAAACTTTGCTCCAATGAGTCTGTGCATATGCCTTGAACTGCAATTCTGTGATTCCCAAATAAAACACTGAATTTAGACACTTGTCTCTATATTTTGACTTTGACAAAGGCAAGTCCTTTAATGGTATGGCCCCAACTGGCTCTCAGGCCCCATCTCTCACCACACTCCCCCAGTCCACTCCTCTTGGCCACAGCAGCCTCCTGACTGCCCTTTGATTATGCATGACTTGCCCCCAACCATAGGGTCTTTGATTAACTGTTCCCTCTGCCTGGAATGTTCTACAAGTCTAACTCATTCACCTCCTTCAAGTCCTTACTCAAACAGCACCTTTAAAAAGAACTACTTGGCGTCACAATCAAAAGCACAGCCCACTCTCACTCCACAGAACTGCCAACCTCATTCCCTGGTTTTTCTTCTCCTGCACACCCCTTCTAACCTCCTAACTAATCTACTTATTATGTCTGTCTGTCTGCATCCTTTCTCTCCCCAGAATGAGTGCCCACAAGGCCAGGATCTTTGTCTGTTTTGTTCATTGATTTATCCCACATGCCTGGAACAGTGTCATGTACAAAACAGGCACTTGGTAAATATCTGTTGACTGAACAATTGAATAGATGAATGAATCCAGGAGTGGACATTCTGTGAAGGCTCTCCCCCCTGTTGGGAAGGGTATGTTCTCTTCACCTCCTTTTTTCTCCTTCATACAAGTTGAAAAAACAGACCTGTCTAAGCTCAGCAAATACCCAGCACGTACACCACAGTTCTGTGACCTGCATGTGGAGCCGACCCAGGTGAGCAGCTCAATGCTCTCGCCCACTGGGCCCAGTCACAACCTCAGAATTCATCTCACACCACGCCCAGTAAGGGACTGAAACATCCTTTATCGCTCCTCTTCCAACATTCCTTTCCACTCACTAACAAGATACCCAGCCCTAAGACAAGAAAAACAGTTCAAAGATGCAAACCTATTATTAAATAAAAATTAATTAGACTCACAGCAGGCAACTTCAAAAGAAAAATACTAAAACTACCATTTTTTATAGAAGTCAAAATTTTAATTAAACAGCATAAAGATAGCCAGGCTATCTGCTTTCAAGTTTAACTCAAAAAGTTTAGTTTGTGAATTTTACGACAGACCTCCATTCTCTTCGTTACAAACTGGCATTTCTAGACCCTCTCATAACCAAAACAGGCCTTTCTGTTGAATATATAACCATGGCTATAGTATTCATGCCATCTATCCCATACCCTCTGCATCGAACCAAAATGCTTCACACAACGCGGTATGGAAAGCTGCTATGTGGACCAGTATCTCCATTCTTTCTGAATCTTAAGCTCACATTTCCAATGCCATTTTATTTCTGCTTGTTGTTTTACACTAAGATGTGATTAAATTTAAAAGAAACGTTCAACTAAATGGTATACGCATTTCCCTTTGATCAAAATTTACACAGCAAAAAAAAAAAAAAAAAAAACTGCACATTTATACAGCTGAGCTCGCCGCAAGTCATTGGAATCACGCTTGCAGGGTAACAGTCATTTTCAAGCTTTTATTAGTTACTATAATGATCGGAGACAGGGGTCATCAAAATGCCTTTGCCAGAGCCAATCTAACATTACTGCAAAGTCCCATAGTGAAATAAAGTCTAGGGAGGGAGGGGGAGGAGAAAGGGAGACTTTTGTGCTGTGTGGCTACAGAAGAGAAAAAAAGTAACTCAAGAATGTAACATTGTGAAGAAAACAGCACTTAACATAAGTTATATCTAGCTCACCTTTACTGGTTCAACATAAGCAAAAACACTGCTGCTACCAGGGTAGTGAGACCAGGAAGAGATTACTAAGGAAAGTTGCTAAAACAAAAGGAAACAAAAAACGTCATCTTTTTAAGGAAGGAACAAGGGTCAGAATACGCTCTGTCTCTGATGTTTCAAAATGATTTTGTTTGCAGCCAGGAGAATGGGTTAGAAGAATGGCCAGTGTCGTTCATCTGAGATTCCGTAACACATTTTGTTTAATCAAACGCTCATTAAATACAAACTTATAAAAGAGAGTGACAACTAAATACAGTACATGATCCTGGATTGGATTCTGGACTAGGCAAAACAACAGCTACAGAAGAGATCAGAGACACTGACAACATCGTGCCACAGTCTTTTATCAATGCTAAACCTCCCGCTTGATTAATGTACTGCAGTTACGTAAAATAACGGCCTTGTAAGGAAATACATGCTGAAGCATTTTATGGTAAGGGTGCTTGAGATTTCAAACTTACTGTCAAAGGATTTAGGAAAAGCACAATGCAAACGTGTGTGTGTGCACACGTGTGTGTATCTGAGAGTATGAGAAGGAGGGATAGAAAAAGAATGAAAAACAAATGGAACCAAGTATAATCAATTGGTAAATCTCGCTAAAAGGCATAGGGAATTCTTGCATTATTCTTGCAACTATCTGTGTTAAGTTTGCAATTATACCAAAAGAAAAATGAGCTCATACTTTGTATCCTAATCTCATTCCTAAAATATATTATCTTGGTTATTTTCTAGAAAATGAAATATACTAACCAGAATAAGACTCATTCTGCTGTAGGCCGGGTGTGGTGGCTCATGCCTGTAATCCTAGCACTTTGGGAGGCCAAGGCGGGTGGATCTCCTGAGGTCAGGAGTTCAAGACCCACCTGGCCAACATGGTGAAACCCCATCTCTACTAAAAATACAAAAATCAGCTGGGTGTTGTGGCGGGCACCTGCAATCCCAGCTACTTGGGAGGCTGAGGCAGGAGAATCGCTTGAACTCGGGAGGCAGAGGTTGCAGTGAGCTGAGATCACATCACTGCACTCTAGCCTGGGTGACAGAGCAAGACTCTGTCTCAAAAAAGAAAAGAAAAGAAAAGACTCATTCTTCTGTTCATTCATTCACTTAGCCAATCGACACATACGCCATATATGAAGCACCCATCCAGGGCCACGTGTGTGTCTCGCCTGTCAGAGCTGACTGTGTGTGTGCTTTCTCTTTCACCCCCTGTGAATTTTAAATAGCTACATCATTGGTAGGAGAAAAACATGGCTTTCCAATTTGGAAATGATGTCAGCCACATTAGTTGGTCCTGAGAAAACAACCCATACTTTAATACAAAGTTTCAAATAGTCAGAAAAGAGGATCAAAATATTATGTCTTACTTTTGCTAAAAATATTAACCTACACTGAAGGTGATCTATCAAAAAAAAAAATACATGTGGCTATGCAAAACACAGATGATAATGACAACACATCTGCAAGTCCAAGTCCATACAGATTCACAGCATTGAAGAGAAGGCAATAACGAAAGGCTTTCAAATGATGGAAATGCTGTCTAGTCATGTGTGACATGACTTAAATAAGTAACAATGCAAGAATGTATTTGTCTAACCATTGCCCAGGGGTTTCTTGGATTTAGCAGCCAAACTGGCAACAGGGATTATATTATCAGTAGTATTCTATACCACTTTATTAACTGTCAGGGAAATGTCTATTATAATAATTGTCAGTGGAATGATGTTTATTTTACTACCAACACAGCAACTTGACCAATCAACTCGAGATTTTTCATCCAATCCTTCCCAGAAATGGCCAGCATTCCAGGAACACTGAACTGGTATCACTTCTTTCTCCTTTATCTTCAGTATAATATTCATACCAGAGAGAAGAGAAAACACTCTCTTTTATTGAATACTGGCTCAGCAAGCTACCTGGTTCAAATTCCAGCTCCTTCATTTCATTAGTTACATTCTTAGACAAGCTACTCACGCTCTCAAGACCTCAGTCTCCTCAACTTAAGATGGGAAAACAAACTCGCTGGACTACTGCAAAGATACAACTAACTAGGTAATGTCTACATCTAATGTTGCCTGCATAGAATGATTGTTCATCTTACCTAAGTCATATTCCGCTGGCATATAAGTGTCATTATTAGCTCTCCCCTCGAAATACATCAGGTGCACTGGATGCTATCTCAAATGTTAAGTCAACTCAGTAACAAGGTATTCAAGAAATGGTCCAATGGAACATTAGAGTAATAAGCCCTCCCCAGTGAAAAACTCTCTGCCTTTCCTCTTAATGAACAACTGCTTGGGGAAACCATAGAAAATCTTGCTGGACATTTGACAGTGTTTTTTTTTGTTTTTTGTTTTTTGTTTTTCTTGCATTTTATCTAAGCACATGCATCTCTAAGAACTCTAAGAAACTTAATTAATACAAACAGCCCCAGCTGGACCAAATGATCTCATCAGATCACCAGCAGCAAAAAGATTCCCTGACTCCAAATTCCTACCCTTGTTAGGCAAACAGAATTCTACAGATGAGAAAATGCAAGCTCAAGGTCAGTCAACCAAAAACCTCCCCATGCTTATTTGCTTAAAAATGTGAGAAACACCAAGAAAGATAAAAGAATATATAGAAAGCACTATCCTTGCCCTCTAGGGAATTATCATCTAATTCCAAAAGACAGCATAAATTCATAAATAACTTTTGGGCCCTTTTCTCCCTCTTTTGTGAACATGTTCACCTGTTTCAATGGAGTGTTTGTGTAAGTGATATATACTACTTCCAGGACAGGTCCATACAATTTTACTTACATGACCCTTGCTCTTTTCTCAAGTTGGCAGACTTGGAAAACACATGCAGAAGATGGTGGCGCCATAAAATGTAAGAACAAAGGGTGTCTGAAACAATGCTTGCAAGAGAGGCCTTGTCAATTTGGAGAAAAATACCTATTGGGTTTGAGTCATTAAACATTTGTATGTTTATTTGTTACAGCAGCTAGCATTTCCTTAGCTAATACACCCTCCATTACTCTGTGACCTTATAAGCAATTCTATATACATTTGATGAACTTCTAACGAGATGCCAGACACTATGCAAAGCATCAGAGGACACAATGAGGAGAAAGAACTGGCAAGGCTCCCGAATAGATGAAAGTGGTTACATAGCAGGGGATAAAATAATGTGTGAGGCCAGGTGCGGTGGCTCACGCCTGTAATCCCAGCACTTTGGGAGGCCGAGACGGGCGGATCGCCTGAGATCGGGAATTTGAGACCAGCCTGGCCAACACGGTGAAACCCCATCTCTACTAAAAATACAAAAATTAGCCAGATGTGGTGGCACATGCCTCTATTGCCAGCTACTCAGAAGGCCGAGGCAGGAGAATCACTGGAACCCAGGAGGCAGAGGTTGCAGTGAGCCGAGATTGTGCCACTGCACTCCAGCCTGGGTGGTAGAGGGAGACTGCATCTCAAAACTAACTAACTAAATAAATAATAAAATAATGTGTGAGCAGGCAATTGCGTGAGCTGCCTAGAAGGCTGGGGATACCATGAAAGGTAAAACTGCGGAGACTTTACATAGTACATCATCACAGAAAAGTACTAGACATTAGATTTCATGTTAAGTCCTATTCTCTGCCATGAAGATCAGCCACCTCTAACCTGTCTCTTCCTATCTCAAATGCCAAAGCACAGAGCCTCCTAACTCTCTGATAAGTATATTAGGATTCTCTCAGGAAGGCACAGACCATTTTCTAAGGCCCCATCTCTACTCACCCCACTTTCCTGGGCATTGTCTTCCCATCACTTCTCTGGTTCCACGCAACAGATCTTTATATTTACCTAAGTTGGGGTCACTTTATTTCTATTCCTTGCCCCCATGCCAAATTCAAAACTCAGTCTTTGGCATGCCTCAAAGAAACAAACTAAAAACCCAATTCTTCCCCCAGTGTGTTTATACAAGAATGATATTGTGGTGTAAGTACTTTAAATGACAAACTGTTGTCTGCTTGCTGCTAAATCTCTATAAAGGTGCTAACCAGCTGCACTGGGATGTAAGCAAATGCTTTGTTCTCTCCAGAGTCTGAAATGCTTTCCCATA
Organism: Homo sapiens; assembly: GCF_000001405.40. Taxonomy (NCBI): domain Eukaryota; kingdom Metazoa; phylum Chordata; class Mammalia; order Primates; family Hominidae; genus Homo; species Homo sapiens. The sequence goes on from NC_000003.12 coordinate 71,519,876, forward strand.
AATGTGGGGGCCAGTCCCTGCTGAATGCAGTCCCTCCCATAAAGGGGCCATGTTAAGTGAGGCAAACACATGTCAAGATATTCTTGGGACACAGTTTTCCAAGTAAGAATCAAGTAGGTGACCAGACAATCTTTGGATTAAGAAATAAAATTAGATGAAAAAGAGACAGGCAGACAGACAGAAAGGAAGAAAGAAGAAAAGAAAGTGCATGAGCATACACATACCATTCCCTATTAACTCCATGCATCTCCCCAATTATCTTGGGACATTTCTTCATCTTATTATGAGTGTCTGAAACACAGAACATGCTCTCTTCTAACCTATAAATGAACCACTCATAGACTTCTGTTTGCCTCATCAATTTCTACACCTTTTTGAAAAATAGATCATTTTACATTCCTTTTCAATGACGGGAAGGAGTTCACATTTTTAAAAAACATATATCCATTTCTTAGCATATGTGCAGAATGACTTCCCAGCATGAAACTGGCTGACCCCTTTAAATGTTCTCATTCCAAATACAAGGGAAAGCCCATCTTGTGCAACTCCACAGGAATCCTTGCAGAATTATATCAGATGAGAACCACTTGGCGGCTCATTAGAAATAGTCCCCGTCTGTCACTAAGGTTAGATTTGAGGACATCTTTACAAGGATATAAGGGGGCCTTTCCCCCACATTTCCCAGAACAGCAACAAAACACTATTCCAGTTGCCCTAAAAATGTCAGCGTGAGACTGCCCTCGAGAAAACAGCTTCAGATCTAAAATGTTCTAGCAAAAGAATGAGTAAGTCAGGCATACCCAAAATGCTGAGAACAGTGTGTATCAGAAACCTGTCGGTCTTGTGTCTCCACTTAGCCTCTAGGAGCCAAAACAGGTTGGCATTGACAAGTCAATTGAAATTTTCGTGACATTTATTTTTTTCTCCAAAGTAACTCAGGTAAGTCACAAAGTATAATCAGCAACGACAGTTGCCATCTGAGAACAAAAGGATGACCTAACTCCCTGACACCCACGCTGAGCAGCACATATGCAAATGAATATAGAAAGAAAAATATACCAAGGGAGAAATGAGGACATTTTCCCCTCCCACCGACTTGCACCCAATATCCACTCAGCAATCACACAGTGTGCATCTACCAGGTGCCAAGACCATGGACATAATGGGGAAAAAGCCATGATCCATGAAGATGACAGAGAAATACAATTAAAATGCAGGAAAGTCAAGGCTAGGTGGTGTGGGGGAGGGGGTGTCAGGGACATGATAGCAGCAAGGAAAGCTCCTGAAAGGGATGGACAGAGAGTCACAGGGAAGGCCACTGAGATATGTGGTATCTACACTGTAATCTGAAGTAAATATAAGAAGGGGCCAGGAGGCCGGGCGTGGTGGCTCAGGCCTGTAATCCCAGTACTTTGGGAGGCCGAGTGAATCGCCTGAGGTCAGGAGTTTGAGACCAGCCTGGCCAATATGGTGAAACCTCGTCTCTACTAAAAATACAAAAATTAGCCAGGTGTGGTGGCAAGCGCCTGTAATCTCAGCTACTTGGGAGGCTGAGGCAGGAGAATCGCTTGAGCCTGGGAGGTGGAGATTGTGGTGAGCCAAGATCACACCACTGCACTCCAGTTTGGCCAACAGAGTGAGACCCTGTCTCAAAAAAAAAAGGGCAGGGGGAGGGGGGGGACCTGGGTGAAGGACAGGGGCTCTGTTCTAAGCCTAAAATTGTAAATCAATGACCTGAGAGCCAAATGTGGTCCAAAGATTTGTTTCGCTTGGGCCAGACTAGACAGACTTTATTTTTATTCTATTTCCAACACTTAATAATCAAGATTAAGCATTTGTTAATTTGAGTTTTCTGGTTTCTTTGGAAGATATGAGGAGAGGAGATCTGGCCACATGAAACTAATGTTTCTCCCACAGCAACAACAGGGTGAGGCCATCTGCTTGCTCCTGTCGGCTCTGGCATCTGTATCCTCCTAGGCAGGGGGAACTGCTCATGGAAAGGCGCATTGGACTTTTAAGCACATCACTGATGGCCCAAGAAACCTCGGCCTTGGCTCCAATGCACCAAACTTTTTATGAAGCCCGCTGATTTGGTACATTTTCAGATCTCTTTGTTTGAAAGCAACAGAACATCTGAACAGCAAGAAATGGTGCCAGTTACTATTACAAAGGGTAGATAACAAAACCAAAATAAAAAACAGCCACATACAAACATCCCAAATACCACGCACCAGCAATTGCAAGTACACCCTTGGGCCTGCCAAGAGTTCCGAGAGAGACACTGGCACCAAAAACACTGAGCTCCCTGTGGGCAGCTGCCCAATGACAGAGGCAAGGGTCCCTGGGCTCATCTGTCCACGCTGGGACATCCAATCTAGAGAAACTTATTTTTTCATAATATTCCTATTTCTCAGGGTAAACTCTACTCTGCTTAAAAAGAGACAGACAGACAGACCCAAAGACAGGAAATACCACCAGATTCCTTTTCCTGTGATGGTGTTTTCCAAGAGAAGATAGGAAATTGGGGCACTTAATAAGTCAGAGCCAGAGAGACAGAAGGAAAACAGGCTCTGGATTCAGAAAGGCTTGAGTTTCAATCTTGAATTAGCTATGTGACCTAAGCCAGGGAATTGACTTTCCTGATTCTCAGCGTCTTCTTTCTTAAAAGACAGAAAAGGTACTGGCCACCTCCCAGGTTCATTGTGAGGGACAAATAAAATTCATATAAAGTGATTCAAATATAGCAGGTGGCACTAGAGAGCTTCAAGACTGAGACCATAACTCAGACCGTTCTGGGCCAATGCCAGCCTCTGCCAATCATGCACTGATGTCATATTGAAAAAAAGAAATATGACCCATGACTTGGGCCCACCTACTGCACATCTGTGTCTGATGTTTGCACACAGAGAATGCAGTGGTCTCAAGCTGGGATGGGCCTACCGTAAAGTCAAGAGAGACACTGCCATGTCTCTTTCCCATGGTTTTCCTTTCAAATTCCCACAGATTTTGCATTCTACTCCATAATATTCTCAGGAGCCGCAGTACTTACACATTTAACTTTCCTGAATTCAACTATATGAACTGAGCGAAAAGAGAAGGTGGATCCGAATGTGACCTTACTTGGAATATGATTGCTGCAGATGTAATTAGTTAAGATGAGGTCATACTGAAGTGGGGTGGGACCCTAATCCAATATGACTGGTGTCTGTAAAAAGGGGAAATTGGGACATAGACAAACACATAGAAAGACCACCACAGGGAGATGAAGGCAGAGATCGAGGCAACGCTCCTACAAGTCAAGGAATGGCAAACATTGCCAGCCCCTGCCAGGAGGTAGGAGAAGGGCCTGAAACATTCTCCCTCACAGCTTTCTGAAAGAGTCCACTCTGCTGACACCTTTGTCTTGGACTTCTTGGCTCTAGAAGCAAAAGATGACAAATTTCTGGTGTTAAAGCCAGAGGCAGGGGGACAATAATTTACGTAGTAAGCTATGTGTTTCCTCAGTGGGGATGGGCCCCACTGCTGAAGTTGTAATAAACAGTAACCCTTTATTTTTAAGCTATTAAGGCTTTCTCTCTTAAGACAAATTGTACGTATTTCAGACTTAGATAAAGAAGGAGCAGCCAAGATGCCAATATATTGTTTTGAATAATACATTCAAAACAGTAGCAAGAGCCACTTAATTTTTCTTCATGAGTATTTTATTTTGCGGTGACATCCCGAGTCACCTTAGGGGGCATTCTAAATTCACTGTTTGCCTCCTTTCCTAATTGTGTATTTTCCTTTGTTTTTTTTCTAGCTGTACTTTTCCACATATGCATTTGTAGAAAATCCATTGTGTGAATGGGTAAAAGTGAGATAAGGCATGGATACAGTTTTAGGAGGCCCTAACATGACTCACAGGGCCCTAAAATGAATTCAGATGTGACTGAATTCACCTTTCAAGTTTAACTCCTTCTCTCACCCCCATTTTATAATTCTGCTAAACTCGAGGGAGGGCAGAGCAGCCGGGATCACCCACAAAGCAAAGAGATGTGTAGCAGGCTTGGATTACTTGACTCATCACGGAGATGAGGGAATGTGTCCATGTAACTACTGGAAAAAACAATGTATGTTACCAGCCGACAGACAGAAACCCAAAATAACACCATGCCATGAAATAAAAAAGGGTAAAAAACAAGAAACAACCTCAATTCAGTGAGTGACGGGACAGACACTTTTCCAGAAGGCACAGCAAACACATTTGTTTCTTGCTGAATGGCCCCAACAAATGTTTAAAAGAAAGAATGAATGAGCCTGGCCAACATGGCAAAACCCGTCTCTAGTAAAAATACAAAATTCAGCCGGGCATGGTGGTGTACGCCTATAATCCCAGCTACTAGGGAGGCTGAGGCAGGAGAATCACTTGAATCAGGAAGCAGAGGTTGCAGTGAGCCAAGATCAAGCTACTGCACTCCAACGTGGGTGCCATAGTGAGACTGTCTCAAAAAAACAAACAAAGAAAAAATAAATGAATAAAAATAAAGAATGAATGCACCTTCCAAAAACTCAATCAAGTTTTAAGTCTAGCAGAACCAGAGGGGCCTGGAATGCTCTGTCCTCACTTTGTTGCTGGGTTTCTACAGGAGTTAATTTTAACTTGCTAGCAAATGCAAATAAATCTTAAAAAAAAAAAAAAAAAAGCAAGCCAATTAAGACACAAGTGTTTAAAGACACAAGGAGTAATTACAAATGTATTATTCATACCTAATTTACAAGATGAACTTCTTTCTGTAAAATATTAAACTGTTTACATGCAGGCTAGGAAGACAATTTTCAAATTGTTCATGTTCCGCTACAAAGCAACGACTATTAACAATGCAACAGCTTCTGGTCGACTTACAGTGTGGACTAGGCAGTAATCAGAAAATGTTTGACCTCAAGATATCTACTTGACCCCACAGAAATGCAGACTTGCCTGCTATAAAATCCTAAACAATGGGGCAGACAAGGTCACAGGGTCAAAGGGAGTATTAACAGGTCACCGTGCGGCCCACTTGGGAGCAATTACTTCCAGTCATGGCTAAGTGGACACTTGATTGAATACCACTAAGACAGCTCACATCCCACGGATAACAATCCTCACAGCGATTAAGAATTAAAGCCCCCATGATTCAGGCTTTATTACTCAAATGAACCTAACTCTTCCATAAAAAACTCTTGGTATATGCCTGATGCAGGGTCCAAATTGAAATGCCACCTCATTAAACAATAATATCTAATTTTATCTAAATGAATTTTCATGAAAGTGCGCCACACAGCTCAGGAATTTTTAAAATGAATTATCACAAGTGATACATAATTTCACCAAAACTAGGGTGGATAAAAAAATTAGCTTTAGGAATAAAAGGAAACACAGTGTTGAATGAAACGCCTATTCCTCCAGGTCTAAAGACAGCAACGAAAATTATGGGCTGCTACAAAATATGTGAATCTATTTTTAAGAAATTCCCTAATTTTCACTAATTTCAGACGAAAAAAAGGCAGTGGTTTCACTGGCTGGGCAATCGCTGAGAGAACTTTAAAAAACATACACAGATTTCAAGTCCTTTTTCAGAATCAACTGGATTTGTGGCCCTAGGAAGTCAAATTGTTTTAAAACTCTCAAGTGATTCTCATAGATCACCACCTTTGAGAGCTCTGGTCTACACCCTGAACGAAGGTCTGCACAGGGTTGTGAAACCACAGGGAGAATAAGAAAGACCTCACCATCTTCCTTCTTCTTTAGCCTTCCCTTATTTCATAATCTTGCTGAGGCCTTTATATTTATTTATTTTTATCATCACCTTCTTCTACTGGCAAGTGATTTTCTAATTACAATAATCCATAGAAAGTTTCTTTTTGGTGTAAGATGATTCACGTTTTTTTTTAAAAAATCAGGTAATATAAAAAATTTATTCATTTAAATATAGGAGTACTGGCCGGGTGCAGTGGCTCACGCTTGTAATCCTAACACTTTGGGAGGCTGAGACAGGCAGATCACTTGACGTCAGGAGTTCGAGACCAGCCTGGCCAACATGGTAAAACCCCATCTCTACTAAAAATACAAAAACAAAATGAGCCAGGCATGGTGGTGGGCGCCTGTAATCCCAACTACTTGGGAGGCTAAGGAAGGACAACTGCTTGAATCCAGGAGACAGAATTTGCAGTGAGCCAAGATCGCACCACTGCACTCCAGACTGGATGACAGAGGGAGACTCTGTCTCTAAATATATAAATAAATAAACAAACAAACAAACAAACAAACAAACAAGAGTACCGGTGGTACTATGATGTCGGTGAACACAATGACCAAAATTATGGCCACACTGATACATGATGAGCTAAAAACTCCAGGGCCAGCCCCTTCCTTCTGCCTCACCTTCAGATCCCAGGAATATGCACATGCAGTAAGAATCCAGAGTTCAGGCCCAAATCTGTGCCTCAGCCGACAAAGTGGACCTTCTCTGCCAGGGAAATCTTTAAAACTACCTTAACAGATACAAACAATCCCTGCTGAAAGGTACAGTCAGTAATAGTCTAAACACAAACTACACATCATATAGAAACCTGCAAGGAATAAAAACTGGGACAAACATTAATATAGTAAGGGAATTCCATCCAAAGCAGAAACGGGGCTCTAAGAAGCAAATGAGTCATTTTAGGGTCTTACATTTTAATCAGTGTTTATTAAAAATCTTCTTTGAATGTAGCACTGTGGGAGTGTACTGCATCACTGCCAAGCCTCAGCCATCCCACCCATGCATTTGTGTGAACTAGAAAAACATTCCCAGCCAGGCACGGTGGCTCACGCCTATAATCCCAGCACTTTGGGAGGCCGAGGTGGGCGGATCACCCAAGGTCGGGAGTTAGAGACCTGCCTGACCAACATGGAGAAACCCCATCTCTACTAAAAATACAAAATTAGTCGGGCGTGGTGGCGCATGCCTGTAATCCCAGCTACTTGGGAGGCTGGGGCAGGAGAATTGCTTAAACCTGGGAGGCAGAGGTCGCGGTGAGCCAAGATCACGCCATTGCACTCCAGCCTGGGCAACAAGAGTATAACTCCAACTCAAAAAAAAAAAAAAAAAAAGTTCCCCTCTGCAGGGAGGTAGCCCTACATGGCTTGGTGAGCAGAGGGCACTACTGTATATGCAAGACAAAATTGTAAAGACTCTTCTTCCTCTAGGCTGATGCAGACAAGGCCCAGAGCCTAAGAAGAAGAACACAGGCAAGGTATCAGCTCCTACTTGCCCCCTCAGCCAGGCAAGCTTGTACAGTGAACAATCCCAATTTCACACCAGAGCAGCCAGTCAAAACAGTAACAGGTGATCTGTGACTGTCAGGCAACTCCAGAGCAAGGAGCAGCAAAGAATAATTAAGTTAACAATGCCTAATGATTCTCTCAAGCATCAACAGCAAGATCAAGGAGTTCAAAATCAAGACAGACAGAGCCCTGCCTTCCAGATGCTCACTCTCTCACCCAGTAGACTGGAAGGGGTCCTGTGATGAGATCTGCTCCCAAGCTAAGTGACCCTCACAAAGTCCTTAACTGATCACTACTTCAATGTCCACATCCAAGCTGGAGGTTTGATGAGACGATCTCTCACCCAAAAAGCTCAGATTATGCTAAAAGCTATAAACACAGCACAAATGCTCAAGGTCTACATAGACCTAGCTTCAAGTCCAACTCCATCCACTACCATCCATGACTAAAAGGAGAGGTGCAGAGTGTAACCAGCATCTGGTCACCTGCTCCTTACAGTGTAATTAAGTATTAGAATTTTTCATCTGTGTTTCCCCCGACAATCTGTACAATAGGGGGGAAAAAACAAAGAGAAAAAAAATATATGTTTGTGTGATGCTGGGCCATGCTTTACAAAGGTTTCAAAATGGGACGCCAAAGGGAAGCCTGTTGTTTAAGAATCAAAAATTGCCCTTTTAAACAGTTCATCCTGTCCTGTCTACATATACTTTGATTTCAAATAAACTGGTTTCCTTTTAAATTACACTTTGCCATATTTATTTGCTCACTATCCCATGTTTTAATTTTCAGACAGCAATTCTGCAGTAATGATACAGACTTTGGGTCATTCAAAGAGAAAGACCACGGTGTCTACAGGACATCAAGATGCCAGGAAAAAAGCAAAGAGACTTTGTGTATAGATGGTTTATTGTTTTTTTAAGAAATACTCACACACCTAAAAATGCAGATCCCCAACAATGCAGTCACTATTGTGGTTTCTTCTTGGTTCTCTTTATGAAAACATGTTTGTGCTTACACCTCCCGGCATTTGTTCAGTGTTAAACAAAAACAACTCTAGTAAATTGCTGACAAACAGGTAATACAAGTAGAAAGAATTCCCTAACTTTCAAACTCTCAGCTCGGGGAAAAGCTGAAGTAAAAGATGTCCCCAAAGTCATCTGGTAAACATGCCTTCCAAAGAGAATGTGAAATGCATAGCAAAACAGGCACTTAACTAATTTTAAACGCCTAATTATATACCGCCTAAACAGAATTATCAAGAGACTTGATTGACTTCCACAGAGCTGTGATTGCCATCAAGCAAACTCAAAGAAATAATAAATAATGTTTGACCTTCTAATGTCCTCAAAACTTACTCACAGTATCAAAGGATATGGACTGCTGGCGTTCCACTCCTGTATTGTCATGGAACACAGAGGTCACAGATCAATTTGAAGTTAGTGATGCGGAGTCATTTACCCTGATTTATGTAGAGGGTACATTCTGAAGAAACACTTGACTTGGATAAACAAAATTAATAAGGGGGCTGGACTACTTGAACAAGAAAAAGAGAGGAATATGGGAAGAAGGCATACAAAACATGTGACATTTAAGATAGTTTACCCCAAACAAGTAAGAATGGATAATGTCACTCAGAACTTCAAAGACACAGCTTTGGCCTGAAGGTGGGGGTTAGGTATGAAAGAAGGAAAACAAAGGGGTATTCTTTACTAGCTGATTTGTAAGACAGTCTTGAAGTATGAAGTATCTTCAAGGAATAGCGATCATGAATGTTTAACTTAGTAATGCTAAACTAAGAAGCATCTCTGGTTTTGAAAGAGATTGCCATATAAGGCAAAACTTTGCACCAGCTAACTGGTGTACTCTATCTATAAGGCTCACCTTAGAATTCAATACAGGAGGCTTTTCTGTGATGAATAAAAAGAAAACCAAAAGTCAAACCTCCTGACATCCGACTCTGTAACTCAGCTAGGATGAAAAAGCACACTCCTGCCCATTGATCTAATGATTTAGTTTTCCTGCTGATGTGACTTGACAAAAAGTTTTCAGTTTGTTAGTATGTCTCAATACTTCACATGCATATTAGCCACAACAATATTCTCTTCATGTTGATAGTTCAATTTGAGTCAAAATTTGAAAGAAAGTACTAGTGTGTTATCTTACCCAAGTCTCTTTGCCCTCTTTGGAAAATTGCATCAAACTCCTTATGACATAATAAGAAATAAATATTTGGTCTCTGCCCTTGTTTCTTGGCACATAGTCCTTAAAAACTTTGGAAACCCCAAAGTGATAATTGTCTTTTTGTATGCCATGGCTGGGCACTGCAGCAAGGCCTCAGGATGGGGGAGCCAGTTGCCAGGGAAACCAGCCACATGATTGCAGAGTGGGAACTTTCAGCTCCAGCCTCTGACCTCCAAGTTCTGACTTCCAGAGAGGGGAGAGGGACTGAAGGTTAAGTTGATCACCAATAGCCAATGATTTCATCAATCATGCCTACATAACGAAGCCTCCATAGAAACTCAGAAGGATGGGATTTGGAGAGCTTCTGAATGCTGAACATGTCGAGGTTCCTGGGGTTGCCACCTCCAGAGAAGGCATGGCATCTCCTTGCCCCTTCCTACATACCTTGTCCTGCGACTGTCTTCCATTTGGCTGTTCATCAGTATCCTTGATGTAATACCACAATACTGTTTCCAATAAACCAGTAAACCTAAGTGTTTCCTAGAGTTGTGTAAGCTATTCTAATTAGTGACTGAACCCAAGGAGGGGTCAAGGAAACTTCTAATTTCTAGCCGGTGGGTCAGAAGCATAGGTGACAACATGGCACCTGTGTCCAAAGCAGGGGCAGTCTAGTGGGGCCGAGCCCTTAACCTGTGGGATCTGATGCCATCTCCAGGTAGATGGTGTCAGAACTGAATTGAATGACAGGACACCCAGCTGGTGTTGGAGAACTGGTTAGTGCTATGGTTTGAATGCATCTCCCTAAGTTTATGCGTAGAATCTTAATCCCCAGTGCAACAGTGTTGAGAGATGGGACCTTTTAAGAGGTGATTAGGTCATCAGGCCTCTGCCCCCATGAATGGATTAATGTTGTCACCTCGGGAGTGGGTTCATTACTGAGAGTGGGATTGCTACAGAAGCAAGCTCAGCCCTCTTTTGCTCTCATGCACACCCTCCCGCCACGTGATAACCCAAAAGGCCCTCGACAGGTGCAGCCCCTCAATCTTGAACTTCCCAGCCTCCAGAACTGAAATAACTAATAATAATAAATTTCTTTCCTTTATTAATGATCCAGTCTGTGGATTCTGTTATAGCAACACAAAGTGGACCAAGACAGTTGGTGTGAAAGAAACCCCCTACACATTGTGGTGACCGTAAGTGTTCTGTATGGAGAGTATAGCAGGAGGAAGGAGTTTTTCTATTGTTCACTCCCTATCTGAAGGGGAACTGACATATCAGAGGTAATCTCAAAGGTCATTTCTCACAAAATCAGTAATTATGTTGCACATACTGTGTTAAGCCCTTTCTAAGCACTGTCTCATTTAACGTTCATGACAACAAGGTAGGTGTGATTGTTCCAGTTTTACAACCAGAAAACGAAGAGTGGGCAATTTAGCTGAGATGTGCCGTACACTAACAAAATTAGGATTTGAACCCAGGGCCATGTGACTACAGCCTGTATGGAGGGGTCAATGAAAACCTGAAGAAAACTACCCCCCAACCCCATCCAGGAATGGCGAAGGAAAAAGACTGAGCTAATTTGTACTAACTTTCCCATTCTGCCCCCAAATGGGCCCCCACCATGGAAATGGAAGTAGATCATAATTTTATAAATCAAGATTCTTCCTACAGCACCATCTAAATAGCACAGCTATTAATAAAACTTGTTTCTCACTTCCTTATGTTTAAATCTGCGTTCAGGTGTGAATAAAACCTTTGTTCCTTATTTCCACTATCTCCACCTCTGAGGAGGGACGCACATAAATAAATATAATTTCTTCCGGGCCCAGGGCTCAGTGCAATGCTCAGGCAAAGTAGGAGATATCGGTTCAAATCCGGGCTTAGGATTCAATCCCTGGACCCTGATGAGATGGGATTTACAAAGGTAACGCTGCCCAAGGTCACTCAGAAGGGGCCTGCCATTTCCACTAGCACAGGCAGCTGCCCGGCAGCAGCTCACAGCAAGAAGCCACTCAGCTATCGGCCTGGCTCCAGTTACAGCTGTAAACTACTGCTATTCTACGGGAAGAAACTGGGGCCCTCAACAGGAAAAGACCTCAGAGCACTATATTGCCAGTCCACCCTGGTTTAAATAGAGGAGCTCTACTTGAGGAACAAATTGGACAAAAAAAAAGAAGGAAGGAAACAAACAAATAAGTGAGGAAACAAAGAAAGCACACTGCCTTGTTAGGAGTAAGAAGAAAATACACAACAGCCAATGTTCTCATGACCATCTTTTTTTTGTTTTGCTTCCCTGACTGCACAGTTATCTCCAGTGTGATCATTTAGGAGAGGAATGATTTATCATTTCTGACTAGGTAAAGGTAACCATCTTCAAGCCAAAGATGTTTGGGATGGGCCAACAAGTTGAAACCTACATGGAAAAGGCTTAACTGGGAACGTTTGTGTGTTCAGGTAGACAGATCCTTCAACTACAGCGTTCTAGACCCAAGATTTTGTATCTTCCTACCTTACTATGTAGGTAAGTGGAGGACGCATGAAATTTATAGCCCAACTATATGTGTTGTGTACCCCACCATTTCAGAATACTCTGAAAAAACCGAATGTCATTTATGCGACTTCCACATGCTCAATTCTACAATTCCTTTTACTTATTTCAATGAAATCTCAAGTCCTACAGGCTTCCATTGACTTAATAGGCAGTCTTCTTTTTTATCTCTCTTGCAAAAGTTCCTCCATCACCTGGCACAGCAAAGAAAAAAAATTCTTTTGTTTTGAGACAGGGTCTCACTGTGTTGCCCAGACTGGTGTGCAGTGGCGTGATCTTGGCTAACTGCAACCTCCACCTCCTGGGCTCAAGCAATCCTCCCGCCTCAGCCTCCTGAGTAGCTGGAACTACAGATGTGTGCCACCACACCCAAATTTTTGTATTTTTTGTAGAGACGGGGTTTTGCCGTATTGCCCAGGCTGGTCTCCAACTCCTGAGCTCAAGCGATCTGCCTACTTCGGCCTCCCAAAGTGCTGAGATTACAGGCATGAGCCACCACGGCCGGCACAAAGAAACTATTAATGAAGTTACTCAAACACCCAAAAGTGGATGGTCCCACAAACCAAATACACTCCCTGGATGGCTGTCATCTTACCTTCAGTGTTTTACCCAAAACTGTTGGCAAGACAGGTCCTAGTGGAATGATTTTTTAAAAAAATTAATTTGGTGTCAGTGTGAGTTTCCTTAAGGTAGGAAATTTTTAAAATAACTTATTAAAACTCACAGTGTTGGCAAGATCTCCTCCCAATCCATGCCCAACTGTGCAGACAGGAGATGAAGACAAGGTGGGGCCTCCCTCTTTTTTTTCTTTTTTTACTAAATTTGGCAGGAAAAGCAAAGGGAAGCTGCTTCTTCCAGTTCCCCACCTGCCCCGCCCTTCTGTTCCACAGAGAACAGAAAGTGCCGTAAGCAACAACTAAGTTTACACTGGCCACTCCAACCACATATCTAGCAATAACTTCATAATTTGTTTTTAAGCATACATTTTCAGGAGGCGAGGCGGGGGACAGGATCTACTGAGGTATACACACTTCATCCTTGAAGGAAATAAACATGAGTCATATTCAAACATTCCAAATCAAAGCATAGGACCCTGGTTGATACATCTTGCTCCTGCAATCAGAAAGAAAGAGTTTAGAATCTACCAGAAGGTAAAGTTACCATACAAGTTTTAACAAATACTTCTGCAGCGGCCAGTGAGAACTCAACTGCTACAAAAATATTTTTGACTTTCTTAATATGAAATAAAAATACCACATAACTCCAACATTTCACAACTGTTAATTAGGCAAGATGCATTATCATGGTATGTACAGTTGAGCCTTGAACAACCTGGGTTGGAAGTGCACAGGCCCACTTATGAGAGGATTTTCTTCCACCCCTGCCAGCCCTGCACAAGCAAGACCAACCCCTCCCTTTCCTCCACCTTCTCAGCCTACTCAATGTAAAGAACGATGATGAGTCATTTCCACTTAATGAAGAGTAAATATATTTTGTCTTCCTTATGATATTCTTAATAACATTTCATTTCCTCTAGCTTACTTTATTGTCAGAATACAGCAATATATTATATATGGAACATACAAAATATGTGTTAATTGACTGTTTATGTTACCAGGAAAGCTTCTGTTCTACAGTAAGCTCTGGTAGTTATGTTTTGGGGAATCATAAGTTACACCCAGATTTTCGACTGTGTGGAAAATTGGCGTCCCCAACCCCATTATTGTTCTGTGAACAATTTCAAATCCTTCCCCTCACTCTTTAATTCTGCAGAATTATTTTTCGGGTGTTTTAAAGGGGGCAATAGCAAAGATTGGGATGACATGCAAAACATCCTCCAGACAAATTTTAGTCTCCATCTTATTCTTTTGTTGAATGAATAATTAAAGTCTTCAGCCATTATGATGCAATCCTCCAGAGAGCTACAAGAAATACAAGGAAAAATAACAGAACTCAACATTTCTTTGGAATCCACCTTCCTCAAAAATGGGTTTAAGGTGATTGTAACCCAAAATGAATACAGAAAAAGCCCTAAGCCTTGGTGTCACGGGAAGCCCAATTGTTCAAAAAAGAGAAGGAGCATAATCACAGTTGTCCGTCTGTATATTGGGGGACTGGTTCAGAACCCGTAAGTAGACCAAAATCCGTGCATACTCAAGTCCTGCAGTCAGCCCTGCAAAACCCTCAAAGGCAGCTGTGCGCGGTGGCAAACGCCTGTAATCTCAGCAATTTGGGAGGCCAAGGCAGGCGGATGACCTGAGGTCAGGAGTTCGAGACCAGCCTGGCCAACACAGTGAAACCCTGTCTCTACTAAAAATACAAAATTAGCCAGGTGTGGTGGCGTACGCCTGTAATCCCAGCTACTCAGGAGGCCAAGGCAGGAGAATCGCTTGGACCTGGGGGGGTGGAGGTTGCAGTGAGTGGAGATCACGCCATTGCACTCCAGCCTAGGCAAAAACTCTGTCAAAAACAACAACAACAACAACAACAAAAAACCCTAAGGCTCTCCCTATACACTGGTTTCCCATTCACCAACACTGAGTTTTCACTCTGCATGTGGTCGAAAAAAAATCCACGTATGAGTAGACACCCCCAGTTCAAAGGTCAACTCCACTTCTCACTAGAATTAAAAAGCTTTACTCCAAATGTAGTTAAAACAGCCCAATATCTTCCTCTTATAAGCAGTAATTAAACTTTAGTGTGGATAAGATTCATCTGGTTTGCTTACTTGAAAATGCAGATCTTTGGCTCAACCTCTAGAAGATGGGACAGAGCCAGAGTGGGGTTGGATGGGGTTGAGAAATCTGCATTTCAACAGTAGTCCACAGGTGACTCTATGCAGACCCTGGAAAACACTCTATTTAAGGGCTCACCACAGCCAGGGACCATATTCCAACTGTCACTTTTCTAGGTCTCATTCTCATTATTTGTTCCAAGACTCTCTCTTATTTTTGCAAATTTAATTTAAAAGTATGAGCATTTCCTGAATGTAACCAGCCACTCTAAGCCAGAGCTGACCTATGAGGGACACATACGTGGCCAAGGCTAGACCAACCAGAACCTCTATATTCTTCACACTGAACTTGAAATTGGGAGTGTGATCTAGTGAAATCACAATGTACTCAAGCTTAACTAGCACAAAGACATGTACCAATGCTTGGAGAAGGAGCAGGGAAGGGAAGAGCATTTAGTAATAGTGCAAATGATGAGCAAATGCCCGGGAGCAAAAGGAGCTGAAAATCCTGTGTTCCTTTAGTGGGTCTTTGATCCCACATGCCCCACAAACCAGGTGCATCTGGCCCTGCTTACTGGTGACTTCCAAGGCTCTGAAAGGATATTTTAACCATAAGCAATTTTCATCTCATATGCTAACTTCAGAACCTGACCTTCAGGTAAGATGTTATTTCACTGGAGGAGAACTTAATAGGTCCACTCAGAATTCATGGCAAGCAGGTCATGGCCTGAGAAGCAGAGGGGCGAGTCTGCTGAGAGCCAGTGGCAAAGCAGAGATATGCAGCGAGAAACAGGGATGAGGCCAGGCACAGTGGCTCATGCCTGGAATCCTAGCACTTTGGGAGGCCAAGGCAGGTGGATCACTTGAGGCCAGGAGTTCGAGACCAGCCTGAGCAATATGACAAAAACCCATCTCTAACAACAACAACAACAACAACAACAAAAACACAAAATGTTAGCTTGGACGTGGTGGCGTGCACCTGTGGTCCCAGCTACTTGGGAGGCTGAGGTAGGATCTTTGAGCCTGGGAGGTGAAGGCTGCAGTAAGCTGCAGTCGCACCACTACACTCCAGACTGGGTGACAGAGGGAGACTCTGTCTCAAAAGAAGAGAAAGAAACAGGGATGAGAAATTAGAGAACTCTGTTCAGGCTCCTGGTGATTCCCATTCCTGGTTCTGCCCCACTCTGAGATATGGCGGCATCCCAGAGTCCTAAAGATATCCCAAGATCCTTCTAATACACACAACGCCTCCCCGTGCCCTCCACCCTGGCTTGCCTGTTAGCTACCTACAACACCAAGGCTCCTAACAAGAACACTAAGTATTCAGACAGAATAATATGACAGAATTCTGAAAGCCTTAGAGATCAAGGGTGACCCTTGGGGGCAGTCCTGAGAGGCCATTTGCAGACTAACAGTTGCCTTGAGGTAGTCTGCAGGGAGGGAGAGCAAAATAAAGCACAGTCAAAACACAACGAGACACAAGAAGAGTGACACAGAGAGAAGGTGCCTCATGTCCTGAAGGATTCCAGTTTTCAATTTCACCATGGGTTCCATGATCCCACTCTAAATCATCCCTAAAAATTCCCTCTGTTACTTATAACCAAAGACACCCTACAAGGAGTACTTTTTAAATATTTTAGGCCAAAGAAGAAGTTTCTGAACTCTCAATAATTTACTTGTGACCCACGAATTGCAGAACAATGCAATTCGCTTACCCTACGCATCCCCTACCCAAATGCTCAGAGGGTCTATGTCTTCACCTCCACACCCCAGTCACCCTAGTCAGCAACTGGCAGGATCATTTTTGCACAGAATCGGAATTTTAGCACTTCACACAGTCCAAACTACTAGGAATGGAGACTGTACTAAAGTCGAAGGACTCTTAACCACATTATGAGTCATAAATAAAGAGCTTGCATTTATCACTTAAACACTTCTAAACCATGTCTCTTTTTTTTTTTTTTTTTTGGTAGTTGTTGCTCTGTCTTGGAAAAGCAGCACAGATAACACAGCTTTCAGAATAAAATCCTCGCATATAAAGGGCAAAAATGTATGGGTGTTTGAGCAATGAACTGGATCCTAGCAGAGGCATTACAAAGGACTCTGTGGGAAAGGTTCCATAGTATCCACAGTCCCACTGAACACATTCTCAATGTGCCATGATGCAAATCCAACATGATGATCGTTTGGTGTGGGTTCTCCCACCCCCACAGAGTGTGGTGGGAGAAGACACCCTCTATATAGTGTCCCATTTTCCCCAGTGGCAACACATGTGCAGAATAGCAGCGATGACGGCCACGCAGAGATGTAGAAGTGACTTAACACCCCTGCTGACTCTGCCTCCTGCCCACCTGAGCCATGGAGGGAAGGTCTGCCAACTGTCCCAGGATGTCAGGTGGACGTGGGAAAGGCGAGTAGAAGACTGAGGCCAAGCGAGCCAGCGATCCCTAAATAAAAGGTGCCACTGGGGTTTTAACTTCCTTTAAGGTCCTAACCAAGGCCTGGGTACTAAATGAAACAAAGAGGCTCTAAAAAACTTGTCACTGCAGACGGTTGAAATGATGCACAGCCAATCTGCCTCCCGAAAGACAGATGATCAAGGCAGAGCCCAGCAGCCAGCAAGGCGAACTCAGTTCCAGCTGGATTTAGGGTCAAAAGGTGGCCGAGGCATTGCCTTCCCAGAAGGAGTGAGTCACGAGGAAAGACTGAAAGCGAGGCAAGGTGGTGGATTTGTTTTTCCCCCAGCTCAGTGTGGGTATTGGCTCAGCAGTATGGAAAAGTGTACTAGAAGGGAGTGAAGGAAGTGTGCATTCCAGAATGAATGGAAGATGCAGGATAATGAATGGCACCAGGCAGGCGCAGAGGCCAAGTCGGAGAAGCATGCAGTGACCTGCACAGCTAGAAGGGGCTGGGCTGCCTTGACTGACCCAGATGGGTCAGACAGAAAGACGGTGTTTTTTTGGCACAGGTTCTGGAACTCAACAGAGTCAAGGACCAGCCCTGGCAGCCAATATCTGGGTGACTTGCCTCAGCCTCTGGAATTCTCAACTGCTTCATCTTTGAAATAGGGACAAGAATAATACCTCCTCTAATGAAGCTGCTAACATGTATTTAAAGCTTTTTGTAGCAACAGCACAGAGGTTGGCAAACTACTAGCCTGTAGGCCAAATCTTTCTGACCACCTGCTTTTTACAGGCCATGAGCTGAGAGTGATTTTTACATTTTTATATGGTTGAAGAAGACAATGAAAATACTATTTGGTGACACATGAACACGATGTGAAATTGAAATTTCGGTATTCATAAATAAAGTTTTATTGGAACACAACCACACCCAGTCACTTACAGATTGTCTATGGCTGCTTTTGCACTACAATGGCAAAACTAAGAGAGCTGAGAGACTGTATGGCCTGCAAAGCCTAATGGATTTACTATCTGGCCCTTTACAGAAATTTGCTGACCCCTGCATTAGCCAAAAGAGAGCACAATCAGCAGTGCCTCATTCTACAAGTAAAGAAATGCAGACAGATCGTGAAATCTTTTTATTAAGATACAATTCACATGCCATAAAATTCACCCTTTTAAACAATAGAACTGAATGGATTTTAGTATATTCAACGGTTGTGAAACCATCACCACAATATAAGTTAGAAGATCACCACCCCCAAAAGAGATCCTATACCCATTAGCAGTCTCTCCCCATTCCTCTCTCTCCAGCTCCCTGCAACTACAAATCTACTTTGTGTCTTAATGGATTTGCCAGTTCTGGATCTTTCTTATAAATGGAATTGAATATGCGGTCCCTTGGTGTCTGGCTTCTTTTAGTTAGCACAATGTTTGCAAAGTTCATCAATGGTGCAGCAGGAGTACTTCATTCCTTTTTGTGGCTGAAAAACACTGCATTGCAAACATTCATCACATTTTGTTGATCCACCAGTTGATAGACATCTGAGTTGTCTCCACTCTTTGGCTATTATAAATCATTCTCCTATGAACATTTATGTACAAGCTTTTCTGTAGATAGACAATTTCATTCCTCTTGGGTTCATATGCAGGAGTAGAAATGCTAGGTCCCAGTTTATCTATTTGTTCTTTGTTGCGTGTGGTTTGGTTTCACATCTAAGAAACCACTGCCTTATCCATGGTCATGAAGAAGATTTATTCCTATAATTTCTTCTAAGAGTTTTCTATATTTAGGTCTTAATACTTTCGGGTCTTCGATGTGTATGTTGTAAAGTAGAGGTCCAACTACATTCTTTTGCACGTGAATATACTGTTTTTCTCAGCATCATCTGTTAAGAAGACTATTCTTTCTCCACTGAATTGGCTTGGCACCCTTGTTGACAATCAGCTGACCATAAATGTAAGGGTTTATTTCTTGACTCTCAATTCTATTCCATTGATCTGTATCTCCATACTTATTCTCGTACCATACTTTCTTGATTATTGTAGCTTTGTTTTAGGTTTTTTTATTTTTTATTTTTTTGTTTTTATTTTTTTTTTGTTTGAGATGGGGTCTCGCTCTGTCGCCCAGGCTGGGGTGCAGTGGCGCAATCTTGGCTCACTGCAAGCTCCGCCTCCCGGGTTCACGCCATTCTCCTGCCTCAGCCTCCCTAGTAGCTGGGACTACAGGCACCTGCCACCATGCCCAGCTAATTTTTTTTTTTTTTTTTGTATGTTAGTAGAGATGGGGTTTCACCGTGTTAGCCAGGATGGTCTCGATCTCCTGACCTCGTGATCCACCTGCCTCAGCCTTCCAAAGTGCTGGGATTACAGGCGTGAGCCGCCGCGCTCGGTCATCTCTGTTCTTTTTCAAGTGTTTTGGCTATTCTGGCTTCCTGGCATTTCCATATGACTTTTAGCATCAATCTATCGATTTCTGCCAAAAAAAAAAAAATACCTGGGATTTTGGTAGGGACTGCAATTAAATCTGTAGATCAACATGGAGAGTGCCACCTTGATAACAATAAGTCTTCCAGTCTATGAACATATGATATCTTTCCATTTACTTAGGTCTTTAACTTCTTTCAAGAATATTTTGTAGTTTTCAGTGTATGAGTTTTATACTTCTTTTATTATATCTATTCCTAAGTATTTTTGATGCTATTGTAAATACAATAGCTTGAAATCTTTTTTATTAGCATAAATTTTAAGTTGGAATTGTAGAAAGTCAATCAGTAGATGTACAAGAAACAAGGACCAAAGCCTAACAGAAATCGAAGGTAAAACTAAAGCTGGATTTCAGGGAGATACTATATGTCAAGATTCATGTCAGGCTTTTTAAGCTTCATGAGAGCACAAATAGTGTCTGTCTTGCTTATCCTGCACACCTAGCACATAGTAGACATCTAAATAAACACCTGTTGAATGAACAAAGTTTATCAGTAGCAGAAAACACTTAAAATCTGTATTTTCTAATCTAGGCAATAAATATGCCCTTAAATATTCATTTCTTCAAGCCCTAGGTTGGTCTTAATGGTGTGCATTGAAGATATTACTGACGATAATGAGGCAAAATATTCTCAAGCATGACACAAGTTTGGTGAGGGCCCCTGCCAGGTGACAAATCCCCTTTAGTCTTTCCCAGCTAGAAAGTTCAAGACAATGTCACTAGACAAGGAAGAGAATAAGAGTAAGCAGGAGAGGAAGCACCTGAGCTTTTTGCAAACAGCACTGGTCCGCCAGACAATGATGTAAACAACGTCTAATGACACCCAAAGGTAAAACAAGAAATGCTGCAGAAGGTGCTAGAAAAGAAAGAGTGAAGGGGGGACAAGAAGGGTGAGAAACACAAACCAATCTACAGGAGAAAAATGTTGAAACTCAAGGCTAAATATGGCATTTATCACTACTTTCCTTTGTTGTCAAGGGTAACAGATAATCAATTAAAATAATAAACTTTCGTTAAGGACAAGAATACTGTATGTGCTGCAGGGGCACCATGCTAAGTGTCTCATGTACATAATCTCATTAACTTCTTGGGACAACCTTAAGGCAAGTATTATTATCATCACGATTCTAGAGCAGGGACAACAGAGACCTGGAGATGTCAGGGTAATTCACCTAAGGCCTCGCTTCTCCAAACTGCCACCGTTGGCATTTAAACCCAGGTCTCCTGACTCCAAATGTGTGCACTATGCTGAATATGTATGAATACAGACATACACGCATATTGTGTACACTTACAAGTGTAGCAAATATCCAGTGCCCTAATATGGTGGTGAATATGTTTAGTTACTAATGTGAATCCAAACACCAATGAAAGATTAGAAGGAAACAAGGTTTTTAGGACCACAAGTTAAAGAGGTAGGAGAACATTAACAAAAAGGTTACAAATATCTTGCCATTAAAACCCCACAAACCATGAAGCCTGAGATTCCATTGTTTCCTGCAGCCACTGAGGCAATGCTGGCTTTGAGTCCTGAATCTGTCTCAACCGTGGTATGTAACTTTGGACAAGTCCCTTCTTTTAGCAAACTGCACTGCCCTAATTTATAAGGCCATTGCCAAGTCTAGGATTCTACCAATTCATGCTTTTTCCAAGCTTTCAATTATTAGGTAATCAACTTTCATCGCACACCTATTTACACCTTTACCAAACTCACTGGTCAATTATAATTCTCAGTCCCTGTTAAAAGAGAAGAATAATATTTGGGCATATGTAGACATACCCTAGAAGAGAAAAGCATTTTTTAATGAAAATAAAAAAAGAAGGGTATGGGAGTTGGGTGGAGAGATTTACTCTGATAAAGTACATCTTGAGCCCTTTCTTTCCTGGCTGGTCCATATTTCTAAATCATTTCCTTGCTTTCACATAGTAAATTTTCTGCTAGATGTCTAGATATGCTGGAGATCAGGTTACAGTGTGAAGGACAAAAGATAAAAACAATCTGCATACTTCCATCTGGCTCTTCAGAACAAAGTCTAGAGACTTGAAATGTGAGGAGAGAAGCATGCTACTCTAGCTGCACAACAGATACAGCAAAATGTCACAGAAACAAATCTTTCAAGAGAATCCGAGATGCTGGAATGCGTATTTCACCAGAATTTACTCCGAGAGCATTAAAAAAAAAAAGTTAAGGCTCAGATACTGAACACAATGTTGCCTCTGTTACAAGAAGATGAAAAGTTGAAACAGACCAATGCATTAGAAAGTCCATACTGTACTGCAGAGATGCTATTCTTATTGCTGTCAAAAGACTCCTGGTTTTAAAACAAACAAAAAAACACCTTCTAGATTATTTATTCAGACGGTCTTGCCTAGTTTTTAGGACTCAAAAGTCAACACTCGAGGTTTGACTCTGGTCAAACTACTCCTTTGCCACATGGCATCACGCCGCGCGAGACAGATTTTCAGTATGAAAGAAACCAGCAGTTTCCAATACAAACATGGGCTTTCCAATATATAAAATTTAAGAAAAGCCAGGGTCTGTATAGAAAACATTAAACTGGCTTATATATCAAAATCATGAGGTTTAAGCAGAAATGCAGCATTAAAATAATTTACAAAATGGCTCAACAATGAACATTTTCCTCTGTGAAAAAAACAACACCCTTAATGTTTTTCATATGGCACATAAATTTTACAATACCTGCAGGAATATTTTCATTGGTTAAACCAACACCATAGGTCTTTTTAGCTCTTAAGCATATTACGATTCTTGCCTTTTTATGGCATTTTTGTTGTTGTTTGCACCCAATGTAATAAGCTTTTGAGAACAAGAAACAAACCACAATAAAAAGAAAAAAGAACTACCCCTTTGTAACTGCAACTTTCACAAGAGGGGTGGGGGAGCAGAGCGATCGAAATCTCGTTTTTATAGCTGCTATCTTGATGCAATTAGTGTAAAATAATTGTCTGCACAGGCCAAAGTAGAGGCTAAGTTGAGGCACTTGAGTGCATTCCCGAAAATGATTTCCCTGCCTCTTCCTTCAGCCTGCTGCAGCAGATGTTGGCTGTTAAGCCGCACAGACGACACAGTTCATGACTTTTCTAAGACGGCTGTGTGCCACATCTGCAGTTGATGAAATGGAGAGCAGAAGTGTGGCAGACACACAGAGGAGAGTGTGAGCGAGGCAGGCAGGCGCAGGCTGGGCCAAAGGAACTGTCTTGAAGGCTGGCCTAAAAATAGACACATACTCACACTCCTCCCTCCGCAGCCAGCTCATAAAACCCGGCCTGCCTGTCCTATTATGGAGTCAGCCTATGGCAGACACTTCCTGCATCCAGCTTGGGCTGCAGATAACACAAAAGCATGGAGGCAAGAGTGGAGGGGAGCAGGCGGTGTAGCATCCTCAAACTGCAGCTTCGCTCTCCGAGCCTCGGTATAACTGGGCTGTGGTCCAAGTTCAGCTGGGCCCCCAGAGAAAGGCAATGCTTGTGTTTAGCCCGCACAATACTGACATAACATTAACAGATTTACATATGCAAAACTGTGAAGCAACAGGCATTCCCCCTCAATTGACCCACAGCTTGTAGTGTCTGCCGAGTTATTCCCCGCTTCGGCTCTGTAACCAAGTGGGCGGCATGCGAATACCATCTGGGTACCACTTATTGAAAACTGGCAGTCGCTCTGTAATAGGCAAGCTGGCAATAAGAGGGAAGGGAATAAATTGCATCATTTAGTTAACATCCACTTGCTTTGCGGCTGTTAAAAAACCATGACTGAATAATAATTTGGTTATTTCTTTTGCCAGAAACTGCTGTCAGCCAAATTGTACTACGCACGCTGCAGAAGTCGACTTGCAAAATTTCCACTTGAGAAGGGACTGAGGAGGATTGGGGCAAAATGGGCACCAACCTCTGGCTGTTAGCAGTGGCGACTCCTGCTGCACAGTGGCTCTGTGTCCTCCAAGTGTCATCATCCCAAATGTAGTTGACACCAAGCCCTGGTTAGCCACCTGGCCATGCTGAGCCCCAGCACCAAGCTGTGATGTGTGGTAACACCCTCAAGCAGCTCAGATCCAAGGGTGTATGTGACAAGTGGCATCTACGTGACTCTCAGCTAGCCGTGGAGGCACATGTGGCCAAGCAAAGCTTGAGCTGACATCCCCCAGTTTCTGCCTCAAAACAGAGTGGGGAAGCAGGTCCACAGAAAGCCTGAGAGCTGCAGGCCTATATCCCTCTACTTCTGTGCCTGGAGCAGGCAGACTGAATCATTTCTTTCTGGTTTACTCACCTGCTTTCAAATACAACTAACAAAGAAAGTGACAGAAACCTTAGACCACCACATAAAGGTAGAAGTGATCTTCATTCAGTAAAACCCATGTGTTTGAAGTGGTTCTCTTTTGAATATATTTGTAAAGATATGAAATTCTCTTATTTACTATATGCTGTGCCTGTGTGTGTTTACACACTATATATACACATATACACACATGTATGTGTGTATACACACATATACACACATATACACACATATATGTGTGTATACACATACATATACACACATATATGTGTGTATTTCTATTACTTTCCTTTACTATGTCTTTTAGGAAAATCAGAGCCGAATACATACAAGTGACCAATGCCGTAGCAGTATTAAAAAGATATAAGTACTTAAAAGATATAAATAAAAATATATAAATCCTTCTATAAAGGTTAGAAATATTTTATGATATAAATCCAGTTATAAAATATGTATTTATTTCTTTTAATAATTTATATCATCTATAAACTGCTATAGCATTGGTCAATTACATATATTTCCACTTTGACTTTTTAAAAAGATGTATCAAAGGAAAGTAAAGAAATGGAAAAAAAAAAAAAGGAAAATTTGGAACAAAAAAAAGGAAAAAGCAGGAAAGACTAGACAGACTCTGCTGATCGTGGAAGTACTACAAGTGAACAAAGTTTGATCAAATTCAAAGAAAAAAGGAAGATGAGAACATTTGCAGTGACACCAATGGCAAAAACATACGTTTCCAAAATCCAAACCTGAAGCACTTGGGAAGGAATGGCTAAACAATCTTTCAAAGCCCAAGACATTTAAAGACCACTCCATTTTATATGTGGGGTGGTCTTTCTGAAAAATAACACAGTTGGCTGGTCATGCATTAAAATAAGCAGAATATGATCACAAAGAGGTAAGAGAGACAAAGGAGACAAGACCAAATCGTCATGTATTTTACAAATCACAACTGTTGTAAGTTACCATATGATTAAGTGAAACTTGGATAATAGTTCTTTTCCAGGCAATGAGGGTAGTCAAGAAAGATAATAGGGCTTTTTTTTTCCAGATTCAGCTTATGATTGTAATCTCACCTTGCTCTAAACAGCTTAGAAGGCAAAGAAAAGACAAAGTCAATTCTGTATCTAGAGACATAAAAAAATGTTAAGACTGTAAAGCAATACGCTGAATTTGCTTCTTGAAAGGATGAGAAAGAAAATGATATTTCCAAGTCACCACGCTTGCAGTCTGTTAAAAGGAAGCAAAATAGCGATTTTAACCAGGACCATGGGTGGTAAAACAATTTTTTTTTTATTAAAAATAACCATTTTATTTACACATGTACATGCGCGCATATGCTCCCTGAAAAAAATCAGCATGCTGTCATGGAAATACCACTGGTCTGAGGGAGAGAAGGACTGGTTTTCACCAAAGCTCAGCCACTTTCTAGTTGAGTAAGTGACCTTGGGTAAGTCACAGTTTGTCTGGGCCTAATTTTCTTTTCTTTGGGAAATAGTGATATGTAACAAAGCAGTGTTAGAATTTCCCAAATCTGAGAGAAATAATGGTTTTCCTAATAGCTCTTTATTGCACATTTATCATTCCAAAATGTAAATCCATCCTATGAAAATAAATGAATCAGAGTTACACAAGATTTCAAAATTACTCTCATTTTACTTTGCAAATTACACTTAGGGTAAATATTGATGGGGTTTTGTTTGTTTTTAAAAATACACATGCTGAAGGACTGAACTGCCTTATGCAAATATTTATCTTCTAGAACATTATATGCTCCTTAATGTTTGTTTAAAATCCTAAAAGTTTTCAGTAACTGCAAGATTTCTATTTAATATGCAATTCCATAATAAATAGCTATAATATAAATTTAACCTATATATATCGTTTTCGCAATAGGTAGGAACCAAAAGTAAAAGTCTGAAGAACCTACAACCCAAATATGATGTAAGCCAGCTTAAGATTTTGGAAAATATTACATTCCTAGAAAACAGATTTTTAAGCTATTGCCATGTCCCTTTTGTTGCTGCATATTTAAAAGTAATCACACTCTCCCTGGTTTTCACTGTTTTATTCATCTTAAGCTCCTCTACCAGTGAACCATGGGCACAGGTTTCCAGAAATCACTTTAAATGTTGCATATATCCTGGCAAAAGTCCAAAATTCTAGCCAACATCAGTATTTTCGAGTTAACCTTAATCAACTCTATTGCCTTTCAAAAGTGGAGACAATGCACTTGACCCTTGTTCCATGGAGTATGTGTGTGTGGCTTTTCCCCAGGAGGGGTCATGGATTTGCATTAATCCATACAACACCTTCCCCCACCCACCTCCCCACACTCCAACATCCAACTGCAGACATTCACAAGCCAGCTGGCGAGGGTTAGTGGTCGGTGGCCAGGTAAGAGAGTGAAGGTAACTGGTCCACAAGAGGCAGGAATTCCCACTTTGGCCTCATTAGCAGCAGGGCCAAGCAGCCAAGGCTAAAGTTAACATTCACGAAATACACCTGGCTAATCTTGTAAAGAATAAAGATTTGCTCATTAACTGAGCTTAGAGAAAGGTGTGACCCACAAAACCGAAGAGCTATTTTCAGGTCCTTAATGGTCCAAATTTCGTGATCAAGTTACAAATTCCATGTGGTTCTTCATAAGGTCCCTTTAAGAAACTTTTCGATGATGGAACAGTGGAGCCTCTGGCCATGTCATTCATATACACACAGAGATGCACAAACACCTACCCACCACTTCTATGATGCAGGGTTGAATAAAGCTTAATGGAAGTTAACCTTCTAGCCTGGGTGCAAGATACCCAACCACCGAGATGCTGTTCATCAGGTACCCCAATGCAGCGAAGCACACCTCCAAAGCCTTGCTGAATGGCACTAGCACCAGTGCCACTCCTTGCTCATTTCTAAGAGGCTCCTGGACAGTGAAGTCAGGGAGCTGCCTAGCCTCTGCAGCCCACTCTAAACGGACGATGATTTGCTGATGGTGATTTCTCCTGCAAGGACTACCCAGAGCCACTAATGGAGGCAAGCGCTGGCTTGTTGCTTGAGCTTTCATCTGAAAATAAAACTGAAGGGTCAATTTTCATCATGAGCTTGAGAAAAGAAGGAAATTGCAAAGAAAGGAAGGGGAGAGAGACAGAGACACAGAGAGGAAGAGAGAAAGGAAGGAAGGCAATTGCTTGCTACGAAGACAAAACAAATTGTGAAATCTAGAAATAAATACTCAGGGCTGAATTCTAACACAACTGTCACTGCTGTCAGTTTTAGGAAATAAAACTCTTATGAAATACAAAAAGGTTCAAGGGGGAATTCAATCTATCTGAGTTTTACATAAACTAAAAATTACAGGTTTCTGAAACAGTTGGGATTAGCATTCTTCTTAGGTAGTTTAGGAAAGGTTACCCTTTCCTCCCCTTCATTTTAACACTGTGAGGGGTCTGCCTGCCTACCAAAATGCAACCAGTGCAGCCCCAACCACCAGATCAAGGAACAAACAGTGCAGGACTAGACAGCAGGTTTGTGGAAACCCAGCAAGAACGCTCTTCTTTGAGGAAAGGAGGGCTTGGCAGGTAAACAACCATATCAGGCCTTATCCAAAAAGAAGGTAGAGGTGGGGCCTCTAGGGCGAGGCCCAGATGGTCTCCACGGATTGCTGTGCTCCTTTGGGCCCCGTTTGACCTCTTTTTAAAGGGCTCTGAATACCACTAGGGAACCAATGTCACCCAGCAAGGGCCACTCAGAGCCACACTTAAGGGGCAATGCATGTATTTTCTTCCTTCTATGACATTAGAAGGCAACTTGCTGTTCTTGGGGCCCAAGGCAGAGAAGAATGTGAACACACAAAGTTCTTGTAGAGAATTAGTCCTGGCACAATTACCTAATGGCCTCTTCAACCAAACACCTGGTTGGCTACTTATCAGTAGCAACCCTATAAGCAACCCATTCCAGCAAGGTCCAGAGAGAAGAGAGGACAGCTGTGACTATTCAATCCTTTGGTGGTCATCATCACCTCCCATATTTATGAGGCCTTTTGGCCACAATGGTCTGAGCTCTTGTTGTGTACATCTTTATTAGTTGGAAGAAAAGGTCTAAGGTTTCTTTCCCAACTCAGAGAAGTCCTCTTAAACCAAACTGACTTAGCCAGCCCCAGGTCAGTACAAACAGTCAATTTCATAAGAGGACAAAGGGCTTTGGAAAAGAAGTGAACAGAGAGAGAGGATGAGGCAATCTGCAGTTCCTCTTTGGCTGGGGCCTCTCAATGGGGCCTCATTCTTTGTCTCAAAGATAGACAGGAATTCCAGCATGGACAACACCCCCAAGTTTAAATATACCTTTGAAAATGTGGGTGACTGGCAGATTATTGTAAACCACTGATCATCACCATTAATGTGGGTGTTTTAAAAAGTTGGCCCTATGAATGGAGGTTGAATGCAAGATCCAGCTCTAGTTTAAAACTAAACACACACATACACAAATACACACACACACAAATAGCGTAAGTTTATATGTTGGTTATTTTTCTCCCAAACAGCCTCATAACAGTCTAGCATAATTCAACGTATTTCCTGTCCCCCTTCCTCAACTGTTTTTGTTTTTGTTTTTATTTTAAGACAGGGTCTTGTACCGTCACCCAGGCTGGAGTGCAGTGGCACTCTCACGGCTTGATGCAACCTCAACCGTCAGGACTCAAGCAATCCTCCTGCCTCAGCCTCCCAAGTACTATAGGTGTGAGCCACCACACCCAGCTAATTGTTGTATTTTTGGTAGAGATGGGGTTTCACCATGTTGCCCAGGCTGGTCTCAAACTCCTGAGCTCAGACACTCCTCCTGCCTTGGCCTTCCAAGGTGCTGAGATTACAGGTGTGAGTCACCGCACACAACCCCATTTCTTTTTTATTTATTCCTTCCTCTCTATTCCCCAGCCCCCTGAAACCAGACTTGGCCTTTACCCCCCCAAAAGAAATGAGATGAAGTCAAAATAAAAAGACAAAGCTAATACTAATAAGAATCACTAATATTTCATCAGCATGTGCTATGTAAAAAGTAGTCAGCATTTTGTTTATACTGTATTGACTCATTTAGTCAAAGCAGGACCATGATGAGGTAAATATTGCCATTTTACAGATTTAGGAACTAAGGCGGTGTGTTTAAATAACATATCCAAGGTTAATAAGAGGCAGAGCTGGGATTCAAACTCAGGAACGTTAACCACTGCACAACACTGCCTCAAAGGTGTATTAACCCAAAGAAGTTAATTGTTGACTTCTGAGCTGCTAAGGGCCCACCAGTTGGTTATATATTGGGTTTTCAAGGTTAATATTAACTTAATGAGACTTATGCACTGACTCTATATATGATGCAACTCAACTCTTAGCAACATACTGAGCATACACCACTTAGAACTAACACAACCGAAAGAATGATAAATTAAATAACCTTCTCCCCTACCTAGTGTTTCTTTCATGGCAACAGTTCAGTCGCTGGGGTTTTCCCTCATCTCTAACTTCTCTACTGAGTAAAGGCACATGTTTTTAGACTCCAAAATACATATACTTTATTATTTAAAAAAATTTTTTGAGATGGAGTCACACTCTGTTGCCCAGGCTGGAATACAGTGGCACAATCTCGGCTCACTGCAACCTCCACCTCCCAGGTTCAAGCGATTCTCCTGCCTCAGCCTCCCAGGCAGCTGGGATCACAGGCATACACCATCACACCTGGATAATTTTTGTGTTTTTAGTAGAGATGGGATTTCACCATGTTGCACAGGCTGGTCTTGAACTTCTGGCCTCAGGCGATCCACCCACCTAGGCCTCCCAAAGTACTGGGATTACAGGCATGAGCCACCACACCTAGCCCAAAACATATATATTTTAATAAAACATATCTCAAATATTTCAGTTCACAGGTTAGATATAATGGGAACAAAACTGTCTCAATTTCAACTGTAACATCAAATCATCACATGAACTGAGACTTGCTGAAAGCCCTTGAGGATGGAAGAAATGGTAAATTATATTACAGAATACTCTAATGCTGGGAGTAAAAAAAAAAAAAAAAAAAAAAAAAACGCTCTCTGGTAAACTTTTAATTTTTTTAGGCCTCTTTATATTTAGAACATGCCTTTCTAAAATTTGAAGCTAAGCATATGTCAAAAAATTTTTTTTCAAAGAACCTTATTTTTAAAACTATAACTACAAATGTCAGACAAGTTCATTGTATAAAAGTACTGCAAACAGTATAGCATAAATAAATCAAAAGCAAGTGTGTGCCCCACTCACCCTCCCGCCTCCAGCCCTAACACAGTTTATTCTTCAGAAGTAGCCACATCATTGGAGTTGGCGATGGTACAAAGCGGGGAGAGGAGGAAGCCTGTGGAGACTTAGCTCTCTCATCTCCATGATCCCCACCTGCCCCCAAGTAAAACGATTATAAATCACATAGCAAAGCTGGTTGAGAGCACAAACCCTTCAACAAAACCACGTAGGTCTCAATCCTACCTATTCCACTTATCCGCTGTTGACCGTGAGCTAATATGTTATATAACCGCTCCGTGCCTCAGTTTCCACATCTGCAAAATGAGGATAACAGGAGTTCTTATCTCACTGAGGCCTGGTGACAGATAAATTACACAAACTAATATTTATAAAAACAATTAAAATCATACTGCCACAGAAGTTTTATTTAGTTATCTATTGAATATATTTTTAAACTAAATTAACATCCAGTGAATAGAAAGCAAAGCCATGGAAGCATGTGCTGAAAGTGACCAATTTAACTTGTAAAGAAAAGAAAACTACTGGAAAAAGAAGAAAATAGATTATGTTTCAATAAACCCATAAGGATACCACTTATGTGAACAAAGCCTCCATTTTTATTAATTCAACTTGGTTTGTGGTTCAAACCCTTAAGATCAGTCCATTAGACACCAGCTCATATATTCGGGTAAAAAAAGAGAATTTCTTTAGCTATTTACATTTATCATATTTATACCACTCCGCAGCATACAGCTGAGGTAAAAAGCAGCAGGCTTGCCATGCCATTGCCGCTTCCGAGAGGCCCCCTTCAAACAGAAGGCACTCTCTGCGGCTCCTCCTCAGACACGATGAAGCCGCCATTGTTGCCAGGGTTTCCTTCCAGACTTCACGGAGTTGGGTTTCACTTAGGAGACAAATTATATAACTAGAGACACAAAAATTCATGCTCACTTCAATAATATTACCAGGAAACACTGAGAAAACTGGTTTTTATCTAATATTTATGCACTTCTGAATGAGATTCTGAGGCAAATAATGCCTGGAATGGATAGCTTTAGTGTTGAGTTTGGTGTTCGTGTTCTGGCTTAAATGTTCAAAGGGGTAAATACAAATTTTTCCAAAGGAAACAATTCCTACAGCATAAAACTATCAAGGTTCCATCCACAAAAACATTCTATAAAATGTCAAGACATTTATAAAAGTGTGCTATAAAACAAAATGACATAAATTACAGGATATTTCTACTTGTTGATTCTGAACACAACAATATTTAACTATCTTTTCCCCAAAATACTCCAGGGATTACTCAAACGCAAGGGTAAGGCATAGAAAACTACTTTTCTGTTTGGTGAATGGCATTTCCTTGGTCAAAAGAAAACCTTAGAAGCATACCAAAAACCAAAGTAATAAATGTGGCAATGGCCTGGACAGACAGATTACAAAGATGATAGCCATGATTCACATGCATAACGTTTCCTGGTTCCTCAAGTTATAGTTTATGTTCAATACATAAACTTCTGGCATATGAAACAAACATTCTATCTTTAGTTATTTGTTTAAATGGAACTTTGCATTTCTATTCAAAAACCAATTTTAACTGTTTTGAATAGATAACATAAAAATAGAGACAGGATCATTGCCACATAGGTGGGAGTGGTTATAACTGTGATACAACAAAACTGCCTCAGATATAAAACATTTGAATCTTTTGATCTCTACCATCTATGATCGGGCTTCTAGTATAATTCACATGGAAAGAATTTAAAGGATGGAATATACTATTAAAGCAAATTCCCTTAAGTTTTTCATATTATTTAATTTCATCAAATGCATCAATCACCTCTAAACCATTCCCTCCAGGAAGTGTTGAAATACTCAGCATTTAGTGCCTTTATTTTATCCTAATTTTCTGCAACAATATTCAACCAAGCATGCCATTCATCCTTTACTAAGTGCCTGTCTTTGTGCAAAGATTCCACAAAGACACACAGATAACAAAACAAAATCCACCTTCAACAGAATTAAGTCTAGCTTGAAAGAGAACTGTATAAAGAACTAACTGCTACCAGTATTACTGAACATTATTCTGTAAGGCAGAACCAATGCAATAAAGCAGGAGAAAGAAATATGGGAAAAGGTGCTGATATTGCTACCTATCAGATGTCAAATTTCTTAGTTTTTGGAAATATAACAAAAACACAGCCCTAATGAAATTTCAAAAAGATAATCAAATATAAAATGTACAAAAAACAGAACTATGTACATATTAAAAATAACCAGTAAGAAAATATAAATATTTCTTTATTTTCTAGGTTCAGACACATAACTACAAAATTTTCATGAGAAATAAAAAGGAATACTTGAATAAATAATTATATTAGTTTCCTGGATGAGCAGATGTAATACAGAAAAGATAAATTTTTCTGAGGTAATTAAATATTTAGTATTACAATCAAAATAAAAAAGGAAATTATTTTTAACAAAAAATTCCAAAGGTCATTTAGAAAAACTAAAAAATAAAAGCAAATAAAAAGTTTTAAAGTCAAATAGGGACTATGAAATATTTGATATTAAACATATTATAAAGTACAATAATTCAGACAGTATGGAACTGGCAAAGAACTAGGCAAAATATAATAATAATATTGATGGTATTATAATGACAGCAAGTATTTGCGTAGTTACTTAAATGCCAGGTGCTTTGTATTTACAGTTACCAAATAATTTATCATCCTAAGATAGACTATTAGATTCTTTTGAAATTGGTATTTGAACACCAACAATAATATAAGCAGAATAATCTTCTTAGTACATACACCTGTACTTCAATCAGTTTCTTGGCTGTACTTGTCTCTTACCACATCACCAGTAAGTTTCTAGAAGAATGTCAGGAAAAATGTCAGTCTTTATTATTTTTATTATTTTCATAAAATTGCCTACAGTATCCTTCAAAGTTGTATTTTATAGTTAATAAATACAATTTATTTAATTATACCTTCAAATGTCAGTATTTCTGGCCCATAATATTAACTGAGAAAATATTCGTTCCACAGGTACTAGAGTTACCTGTTAGCATACCAAATTTCCCTAAATTGAGGATATTCTCAATTCTACTATGTGGTATTGAAGTCCCTAAATATAACAGCCCAAATATTTTATAGGTCATCATTTAAACTCTATTCTGAATATCTTTGACAAATATTTTTACAAGATGAAATTCATCAAATAAATAAACTTGCTTTATAATTGCTTGAAATGTTTGGCCAAATTTGGATGCTGCAAAATTGTAGGCCTCATCAATTTCATTTCTATACGGAATTCACATTATCTGATTTAAAATAGGAGTTCCATCAAAAGCTTCTTCCCACTGGTGAGAGGCTTCCAAATACAGTTACAGAATTTCAGAATTAAAAAATGTTCACTTTTTGAGCTCACATTTAACTTGTTCGGTTCTTCACTGGTTTTTTCAGGGATAAAAATGGTAATATTGTCCTGTTTGCAATCTTTTTTTTACCAACAACTGAAATTTGCTAACAGTCTCAAAAGAAATTGTGTACATATGTATGTTCATTCTTTGAGTTATTAAAATTTCCAACAGAGTCTGAACAACATGTAACTACAATTTAGAGTGCACATTTACAAAAGTTTAATAACATCAATGGAACACTTACACTGATTTACAAAATAGTTTCTCAAAGTCTCAAACATTTCTAAAACCTAACTGATAGCTCAAGTACTTATTTGTATTCAACATTAGTCTCAAAACAGAAACTTTGTAGTTTGGTTATCTACGTATATATAAAATTATTTATAAATGTTGGTAGTTAGCTACAGTTTCTATTCAAGTGATATATATTGCAGTTTGGATGCAATTATAAAATATATGGTCACTATAATCACTTCCAAGTATGGTACATATTTGCTCCATGGGTTTCTGAATCTAGTAAAACCAGTTTTTACCACAATATGTTCTCCACCAAAATTCAAATTTAGGCTGGATACAGCGGCTCACACCTATAATCCCAACCTTTTGGGAGTCTCAGACAGGAAGATTACTTGAGACCAAGAGTTCAAAATCAACCTGGGTAACATAGCAAGACCCTGTCTCCACAAAAAGTTTTAAAAAAGAAATTAGGCAGGCATGGTGGTGCACACTTGTGGTCCCAGCTACTCGGAAATCTGAGGCAAGAGGATAGCTTGAGACCACGAGTCAAGGCTGCAGTGAGCTATGATCATAACACTACATTCCAGCCTGGGTGACAGAGGGGGACTCTGTCTCTTTAACAAATTTTTTTAAAAATTAAAAATTCAAATGTGTTTAATCACCACAAAATCAAATAACTTTATGTTCAATGTTAAACTTTTTAATGGAATTCATAATTATTTCAAATAATGTTAGATGCTTTACCTTCAACAGAATGAAATTCTGTTGACTTAATTTGTTGTTTGATTCCGTGTACTGGATGGAAAAAATCAAACTATTATTGGTATTACCTTAACTGAGTTTCTATTTGAAACATCCAATGGTATTAATGTGAAGCTGGCACCATTTATTGTCTATAAAGAAGTTCTGTAAACAGTGCAATACATTAAAAGTTATCAATCCTCTTTTTGAATGTGTTTTAAAAATGTTAGAATCCAACGTAAGTGAAATTAATTTAGAAAAATTCAATCTAAATGAAAAGTCATGCTTCACAGGATAAAATGTAAACACATTTTCTTTCACTTTGTGTGGACACAGTCTCCTGAAAATATGTACTAATTCTGAAACAGATGCAGTACCTTCTTTAGCAAATGGGTCCCCTGATTTGTATATGCTTGGTGATTTCATTATGTCCCCAAGAGTAGATAGTAAATGTCAAAAATATTTTATAGAAGTTAATGTTTATGGTCAACTTCCTTGAAAAATAGGGGGAAATTATGTAATATTTCAGTAAACAAGCTCAGTTATTTTTAAGCTCATAGCTGCCAAAATGGTTTCTTACAATGTATATATTTTTTAAACTTTACCAAATGATAAAAATAAATATTTGTGAGTTTACAGTATTCAAAAATGACAAAACCATAAAACCTACTTTATTAAGAACACTCAGACTGCTTCTTTACACTCTGCAGCGGGACTTCTCAGCCTTTATTTCAGATAAATTTCATGAAAACTAACCTAAAGTTTCCTATCCGTCCCCAACCCTACTGACCAAATTGAATTACTGGTCCCTAGCCACTTACACCAGAGCACACATTCCCTGAAACAGAGGTGTTCATAATGGTGTGCACAGAAAGGGTTAGGAGAAAAGGGATTGCTGGTCATCTTTCACAGAGCACCATATAAGCATCTCACACACTACAAGAGAAGACCATGAAGAAATAGGAACTGCACATAGTCTCCTTGTAATAATACTTTAGCATAAAATGAAAAATCTGAGACAATGCTAACCCAGGAGTCACTGTCCCAGATAAACTGACATAAATAGTCACTTCTTTATATAATTATCTCATTTACTGCCCATGGCACCCCCATTAGATGGTTCTACTATAATCCACATTTTCATGTAAGAAAATGTTGCCTTTAGATGTTTACAGTGGGTGGAACGTGTTCCAGGGTCCATGCATATAATCAACACTTAATATTGCTTCTCAGTGAAACCGAAAAAAGTGCATGGAAATAAGCCCTACATTAAAATTTAGCGTATACTACAGCTTTTAAAATCCATTATAGAGAAGTATTATTTAATAATTCTAGAACTGCGATTTTTTAATAATCAAATCAAACTCTTACCTCATACCATACACTGAAATACAATTAAGATAGAGTTAAATACTAAAAAAGGAAAAAGAAAAAAGAGGAGGAAGAGAAAGAAGAGGAGGAGGAAGAGAAGGAAGAAAAGGAAAAAAAATTAAACAATTATAAGAAAATAAATGGGATGGGTAGAAAAATCTGTCTTACAGAATGTTATAAGGCATAAATGAAAGGAAGGAAAACATAAAAATTGGGGTAATTTTCCGCAAACACACTATATATGTAATATGTATTAAAGTCTATAACGTAAAAAGACTTCTAATAAATCAAACATCACATATAAAAACCCTGTATATAATACAAATAGGTAAATCACAAAAGCACTGCAAATGGCCAGAAACCAAAGGGTGTGAAAAGGACAATTTCATTAGTTATTAAAGAAAGCACATTTCCAGAATTCTATACCATCTTTCACCTTGAAAACTGTCAAAAATAAAAAGCTCACGCCTGTAATCCCAGCACTTTGGGAGGCCGACGTGAGCAGATCACGAGGTCAGGAGATCGAGACCATCCTGGCTAACATGGTGAAACTCTGTCTCTACTAAAAACACAAAAAATTAGCCGGGCGTGGTGGCAGGTGCCTGTAGTTCCAGCTACTCGGGAGGCTGAGGCAGGAGAATCGCTTGAACTCGGGAGGTGGAGGTTGCAGTGAGCCGAGATTGTGCCACTGCACTCCAGGCTGGGCGACAGAGCGAGACTCCGTCTCAAAAAAAAAAAAAAAAAAAAAAAAAAATCTAGAAAGGTTAGTTTACTCAATGTTGGCCAAACTGCAATGAAGTGGAAACTGCCATAGTCTTTTTTTTTTTTAAGGTTTTATTGTAACTCTTCTTACTAGCATTCCCCAAACCATAACAAATAGGTGACATAGTCAAGAGAATATCAATGTTCACCACCCTTTGACCTAGTAAATTCACTTACAAAATTTATCCTAAGAAAATCATCAGAGATGCTAATAAATGTATGTACTACAATGTTCACTGCAATATTATTTATTTCAGCAAAAGACTGGAAACAATGTAAACATCCAACAGAAAGAGAAAGATTAAAATCATGGTCCACTGTAGATTGACTGGAAGTGCAGCAATCTTTAAAAATCATGCTTACAGAGAATATTCAATGACTAAAAAAAAAGTGTTCATGATATAATGTTAAGTGAAAATGAGCAGGAAACAAAACTGTTTAAGATCATTTGTAGGGGTTTGTTCATAAAAACATTTTAAATTAGATTGAAATACACAAAAATGTCAATAGCTGTTTTCTTATGGCAGAGAGACATACTAGGAATTTTACAGCATCAAAATTCTAAAAGTTGGGTATATCATACAGGTATCTTTCTGAACTGGGAAATGACTAGCTTGCTACACGGATGAGAGAAGAAAAATATTGAAATGAGTAAGATATATGTTTGGATGAAAATGATTAAATGTTGGCATTATCTCCATATTATCTTCCACAGCTCAAATGGTCAATTTATATCTTTCTCTGAAAAAAAAATCCTGCTTATTTAAAAAAAGTAAAAAAAAAAAAAAAATCCATTGTGTACCCCAGCTATGGCACACAGCACAAAATACTGACCACCCTGAGAAAATGTCCTCCAAAACTCCTTCACCTCATGGTGGTCAACCCAAGCCAAGAACTACGAAAAAGAAAAGGTGCCCTTCTGTGTGTCTGCTTCTGCAGTGAGACACAAGAGGAAGGCAGCTCTGAGGCCTGGCAGTCACATTCAACTGTCTGTCCCACCTTCACGGAAGAGTGAGGTGAGGTAATAGAAAGACTGCCAGTCCTGCCTCCGACTTTCTGCTCTTCAAGTACTTTATTCAAACGATGAAAGGGAAGAATGACCAAGATGCTGCATTCTACCTTACATGCCACATTAGGAGAGAATGGCTTTGCCCATGCTTCCCCACCCACAGGGCCTCCCTGCAAACCTGTATTTTTTATTTTTGTTTGTTTATTTATTTTTTGAAACTGAGTCTGACTCTGTTGCCCAGGCTGGAGTACAGTGGTGTGGTCTCAGCTCACTGCAACCTCTGCCTCCCAGGTTCACGTGATTCTCCTGCCTCAGCCTCCTAAGTAGCTGGAATTATAGGCATGAGCCACCACATCTGGCTGATTTTTGTATTTTTAGTAGAGACGGGGTTTCACTATGTCGGCCGGGCTGGTGACCCGCCCACCTAGGCCTCCCAAAGTGCTGGGATTACAGGCGTGAGCCACCACACCCAGCAAACCTGTATTTCTTTAAGACAGTGTATGCACAGCCTCCTCAGAGAATCTTCCTTCCCTCCCCATGACTGATGTTGGCCTCTCATCATTCTTTTCCATATGTGGGCACTGCCAGCTGAACTGCCAGCCTCCCTTCCTATCTTCCTCCTTCTGAAGGAAACCTTCCTCTGACTCGGACGTGCCCCTTCCCTAACAGGGGCCATTAACCTCAGGGAAAGCTGGCTCTACCCACCCCCAGAGGTGGACCAGACTGGCTGTCGTGACTGGTTAAGCCAATCAGGGAATGACTTCTATCTACTCACAGGAATAAGCAATTCGGGCTAAGATGGCAGAAAGTTTTCTAGGAGGCTGATGAGGAAGGAAGATTCTCGTTCTTTTTCTTGTTTTTGTTTTTTGTTTTTTTGGATTTTTTTTTTTTTTGAGATGGAGTCTCACTCTGTCGCCATGCTGGAGTGCAGTAGGGTGATCTCAGCTCACTGCAACCTCCGCCTCCGGGATTCAAGCGATTCTCCTGCCTCAGCCTCACAAGTAGCTGGGACCACAGGCATGGGCCACCACGCCCAGCTAATTTTTGTATTTTTAGTAGAGACGGGGTTTCACTATGTTGGCCAGGATGATCTCCACCTCTTGACCTCATGATCCGCCCGCCTCGGCCTCCCAAAATGCTGGGAATCATAGGCATGAGCCACCACACCCAGCCGATTCTCACTTTTTTTTTTTTTTTTTTGAGGCAGAGTCTCGCTCTTTCGCCCAGGCTGGAGTGCACTGGTGCGATCTTGGCTCACTGCAACCTCTGCCTCCCGGGTTCAAGCAATTCTCCTGCCTCAGCCTCCCAAGTAGCTGGAACTACAGGTGCCTGCCACCACACCCAGCTAAATTTTTTTGTATTTTTAGTAGAGACGGGGTTTCACCGTGTTAGCCAGGATGGTCTCAATCTCCTGACCTTGTGATCCGCCCGCCTTGGCCTCACAAAGTGCCATTCTCACTCTTAAGAGATGGCAACTGGACCAGCCAGCTTCTCTCTTCCTCTGGCTGTTAATGGCAGGCAGAAATTGCTGCAGCCATTTTGCCTCCAGTGCAATGACAGGAATCACTGAGAACTCAATCACCAGATTTGGCTATGCCCCAGGGCTACCCCCACTCTGAACTGCCAGTGAAATGAACTAAGGCATTCGCTTACTATTTAAGCCTGTTTGGTAAGAATTTCTGTAACATGGGAATGAAAACTGATAGAATGGACAACTGCTATTTTTACCAGACAAACATAGTTTCTTATTCTTCTATAAACAGAACCTTCATTTTCTCTTTGGGAATCACCCCTCACCCATTCTCAGTTCCTGCAGTCTAGATAAAAGTGATCTCCCCTCACCCGCTAATCTAACTCCAGGGTAGGCAATAAAGCAAGAATGGCCAACCAGAGCACTGGCTCTAACTGGTTGGAAGGCTGTTACGTTACCTACTGGACCAGGGCTGGGGATGGTGGCTCATACTTGTAATCCCAACACTTTGGGAGGCTGAAGCAGGGACAGATCACTTGAGCCTAGAAGTCTGAGACCAACCTGGGCAAAACTGTGAAATCTCATCTTTATAAAAACTTAAAAAAATTAGCTGGGCATGGTGGCACGTGCCTGTAGTCCCAGCTACTCAGAGGGCTGAGGTGGGAGGATCACTTGAGCCTGGGAGGTCAAGGCTGCAGTGAGCCGTGATTGCATCACTGCATTCCAGCCTGGGTGACAGAAGGAAACCTTGTCTGGGGGCTGCTGGGGGTTGCGGGGGGGACCTACTAGGCCAATGACAGACCTACATAAGCCAGCTAGAACTATGGGGAAGGAAAAACTTCTATTCTGCTGGAAATGCTTACATGGCAGAACATAAACCTAGATCTGCTAGTAGCCATCTTCCTACAAAGAGAAATGAGAGAGCTAAGAATGAAGGAGACAATGAGAAAGCAAGACAAGAGATGGAAAGAGGCAGCCACCCCCTGACAACACTGTTTTAGCACCTGGCTCCATCTGTACCTGAAGCTAATCACCACCATACTTTTCAGTTACGTGAGTCACTAAATTATCTTCTGTTTCTTCAAGAAGAAAAAATAACGGTGCTCCATAATGTTTTCGCATCATTATTGTCACCACCACTGTGTAATGTGACTACGATTGACTCTTCCACAGACAGTGAACTCCTGCAATAAAGATTATGTTATCATCCTCACATCTTCCAGGCCTAGAAAGAACCTGGCTCACACAACCAGGTATGGCACTGGAAGCAAGTCATTAATACCTTACCAAGCTCAGTTTCCTAATTTCAAAAACAAAAGTAGTGAGGATGTGGAGACACTGGAACCCTTATATACTGCTCATGGGAATATAAAATAGTTCAGCCACTTTGGGAAACTGTTTGGCAGTTCCTCTAAAGGTTAAACATAGAAGGTAGCATATGGCCCAGTCACTCCACTTCTAGGTACGTACCAAAGAAAACTGAAAACATACGAAAACACAAAAATATGTATATAAATGTTCAGAGTAGTATTAACCAAAACAGCCAAAAGTGGAAATAAGCCAAGTGTCCACCAACAGATGAATGGATAAACAAAATGTGGTATATCTATACAATGAAATATTATTCAGCCATAAAAAGAATGAAGTACTGATTCGTGTTACAACATAGGTAATCCTTGAAAATATCCTGACTGAAAGCAGACAGACACAAAAGGCCACAGAGAGTTTCATTCCATTCATATGAAACATCCAGAATAGGCAAACCTATAGAAACAGAAAGTCGATTAGTGGTTGCCTGGAGCTGAGGGAGTTGGAAGGAAATGGGGTGGAGAGAGGATGAGTGCTAAAGGTAATCATCAGCTAAAGGGTTTCTTCTGTGGGACATAAAAATGTTCTAAAATTGACTGTGATGATGTTATACAACTATGTGAATATACTAAAAACCACTGTTGAATTGTGTACTTTTTTGTTTGTTTGTCTTCTGAGACAGAGTGTCACTCTGTCACCCAGGCTGGATTGTAGTGGCACGATCTCGGCTCACTGCAACCTCCGACTCCCAGGTTCAAGTGATTCTGGTGCCTCAGCCTCCTGAGTAGCTGGGATTACAGGCATGCACCACCACGCCCGGCTCATTTTGTATTTTTAGTAGAGACGGGATTTCACCTTGTTGGCCAGGCTGGTCTCGAACTCCTGACCTCAGGTGATCTGCCCACCAAAGTGCTAGGATTATAGGCGTGAACTACCACACCCAGCCTGAACTGTATACTTAAAATTGGTGAGTTTATGTATATGAATTCTATCTCAATAAAGCTGGCCAAAAAAAAAAAAAAAAAAAGCCAGCTGGACCAGACTATGGCCAAGGTCCCTAGTCACCACGACCCGTTGTGATTACAGTATTTTAGATGAAATAGGAAAAGATCGAACTATGTGACTGAGTAAGCTCTTAACCTCTCTGGAACTCAGTTTTCTCATCTATAAAATGGAGATGCAAGTCTCTTCCCTGTAAGGTTGCTGTCAGGATAGAATGAATTACACATATAAAACATTACAACAGCGCTGGCACTCACTAAGCATTTTGAATGCCGTGGTGGTTGCAGAGCTGGCATTTGCTGACTAGTCCCTTATATATGATCCTAGACAGAATCACTGCAAATCAAATTCTATCCCATGAAAATCATCATCGAGCACCAGTATATTTCTTTGCACAGTATTTTCATTCACTATTCCACTAACTTAGGAAATTCCAAAGATGCATTCCCACCTTCAGTTTCTTTTTTTCTTTCTCTTGGGGGATATGGAAAGAAAGAAAGAAAATGCAAGTAAGTATAGCAAACAGCAAGTAAACATTTTTCATCTTCTACTTGCAAAGCCAAGGGCTGATTCTAGACCACTACAAAGTACTTCCATATGTCTCCATCCTAGACAAAAAGGAAAAAGGGCCAAGCATGGAGGCCTGATGATAGGAGTTTGGGTTTAAAACCAAGACTCTCCAACCAAGTCTCAGTCTTGGGCTTCTATCCTCCGAGCTGTCAAGAAATGGAGGGATATGAAAGAACTCTACATGAGTCCTCCCAATGGTTGTTTCTGCCTGGACAGGGAGCAATGATAATCACTGTGGGCATAATAAGGGCAACCACAGTAGTGCCTATGATTTATTGAGGGCTCCTTATGTTCTAGGCCTTCTGCCCTGTTCCAAGTAAATTACATACATTAACTTACCTAATCTTCACCACCAGCCTTACGCAGCAGGTGCTATCATACCATTTTGTGGGTAAGAAAACTGAAGCACAGAAATGTTAATAGCTTGTCTAAGGGTCATGCGGCTTGTCAGTGGCCAGGCTGGGGATGTGAACCAGACTCTGGCTCAGTATCTACTGAACTATGTGTTGGGCTGGATTCTTGACTAGGCACAATGAACTACTGCCTTTAACCAACAGAGTCATAAGCGCTAATATTATTGACCTTTCACTGAGGGCTTAGGATATGACAGACACTGGGCATCATGTGAATTATCCTTACAACAACCCAGACAGGTACCTATTATCAACAACAAAATCATTTTACAGAAGAGTAAACTGAGGCTAAGAAATTGACCCAAGGTCACCCAAATACTAAGGGACCACACTGAGGCTCAGTTCTATTT
Source organism: Homo sapiens (assembly GCF_000001405.40). NCBI lineage: Eukaryota > Metazoa > Chordata > Mammalia > Primates > Hominidae > Homo > Homo sapiens. The sequence continues at coordinate 71,562,735 of NC_000003.12, forward strand.
TGTCTGCTTCAGAGATGATACATGTCAGGAATAGAATAATTTGGTTTTTCTATTAGTGGAACTGGATCTTTCTTGGGTCTTACTCAAATAAGAAGTTGAGCAAAGACTTCTGGGCCCAACAGATACATAATCTGGACTTCCTGGGCCCATTCCTTTGTCTCTATTTTATTTGGTATTCCCTCCCACTCATGCAATCGCTCCCTGTTCTCATCCCTTCCTTTAAGAGCAATGGGAAGAGAAGCATTGTGCCCCTAGCAAGTGCCCTTCCAGGAAAATACAGAATGTGAGCCTGCTGAGGTTGGAGAGATGAATGAGGAGCCAGGCTGGCCATGCAAGGCAAAGTGGGAGCAAACTGCAGAGGGGTGTGTGTATGTGTATGTGTGTGACTGTGGCCAGGGAGTGGCTGGGGAGGAGCAAGCTGAAGGAAAAGGAACAACATCCTGGCTCAGTGGAGCCCTAGGGGAGAGATGCAAAAGCTCTGGCTACTCTATGGGGTGCAGTAGGTTGTTTCAGATGCTTTCTTACTAAAAGCAAGACATAGATGGGCATCTTGTACATATGACCCACTTCTGAGTTTAACAAAAAAGGGCACATGGAGAGGCCCCCTAGGATGGCAGACCAAGCTGGGCAAATTTTATTCAACTCAATGCATGTCTAAGGGCTCAGTGCATGCAAAGATCGGCAACTGGCTGAGAACAGAGTCACCTTACCTACCGCAAAGGCAAAGCAACTGTGGGTTCTCTCTAAATCCTTCAGGACAAAGAACCAAAGTAAGTCTTAAGGACAATGCTTTATTTAGATATAACCACCGGGCTGTGAGAATATTTAAACATTTGGAAAACTTTGTATTGTAGCCATGAAAATGTGGTATTCTAGTCTTGGGTCTTCAATATGTAAATTTTTCTACATTTCAGAATATGAGGATATATGTAACACAGTCTCAAACCCAGAGGAGACTTTGTAACTCTATAAACAGGGTGTGAATTCACTTATTAAAGATATTTTCCTTGCACCCAAGGTGGAACGTCAAAGACAATGTGACCAAATGACAACTGCAATCCTGTGCCACTCGACAAGTAAAACCGTGTTTTCAACACTGTCTCAAAAAATGAGGGCTTTCCTCTCTCTCACCTTTCCTAAGGAGCTGGGCAAGCTGGTGCCAAACTGCCGTATGACTTCATCTCTGAAATCTGAATGGCACGTGTGAATACCCACAGTATGCCAGATTATCAGTAAGGTGATAATGCTTGTATATTATACCTGCTTGGCACCATTTGAATGAGGTTCCCTCAGGCCACTTAAGGTTTCACTTCCTGTTACTTGCACCTGCACTAATTTCAGAAGCAAATAAAAAACCCAGCAAAACCGTATTTTAGGACCTTATTCAAAAGCAAACAGACAAAAACCAAAGCAAGTCAACACAAACCCCAAAACACAGCAATAAGGTAATTAACCTGATGTTCCAAAGCTCATGCCACATATACAAGGTAGGCTTCCTTCAGTTTTTTCGTAATCTTTGCAAAGTTCTCATCCGTTATCTGCCTTGGCTATTTAATGTGACTTTTAACCAATAACGATACAATAGTAATAATCAGAAAAGCTAACATATATAAAGCTCCTGTATTTGCCAGGCACCCTGTGTCACATTCCACATGGATTATCTCATTTAATCCACCGAACAAATTGATGAGGTAAGTTCTTTATTCTGTCCTTTTAAACCCACACAAACATACACACACATTTATGGAAGATCAAGGTAAATCAGAAAGGTTAATAAGCTTTGAGTCACCCAACAAGTGTTAAAAGTCTCTGGTTGGCCGACCTTGAGTCGCTGCCCGTAACTACCACGTTGCAGTGTGACTGACACACATGACCACATTGGATGAGGATTTGGTTACACCCTTGGCCAGTGATGCAGGCTGAGATTAGCAACACTCTTTATCCCTGGAGTTAAATGTCAATTACAGAGTTTTCTTAAAAATTATTTGTAAGTGGGAATTTATATTTCAGTGGACGGGCAGACAATCATTTTGGGGAAGTTATTTCCATAACATTTTTGGAGGATGGAAATTGAAAAGAGAAAGAAAATAAATCAAATCATTACAGGCAGTGGCTCAGGCCTGTAATCTCAGCACTTTGGGAGGCTGAGGTGGGTGGATCACCTGAGGTCAGGAGTTCAAGACCAGCCAGGCCAACATGCTGAAATTCCGTCTCTATTAAAAATACAAAAATTAGCAGGGCGTGGTGGTACACGCCTGTAGTCTCAGAGGCAGGAGAATCTCTTGAACCCGGGAGGCGAGGTTGCAGGGAGCCGAGATCGCACCACTGCACTCCAGCCTGGGCGACAGAGCAAGACTTTGTCTCAAAGAAAAAAGAAAAATGAAAGAAGTCAAATCATCCACTGAGGAGTTAGGGGCTATACAGATACCAATGTCTTCTGTCAATTTGTCCATAGTGGAGTGTTAGGGGTTAAAAAAAGGATGAGAAATGATGGCTTCACGGGCTTCAGACTACCAGACCACATTAACCCACGGGCAGGCCTTCTATAGGGATACCAGGCACACTGCAGCAGGAAGGCAACATTCCTTATTGGTACCTTTGAAACAGTACTTTATTGTTAGGATATTTTATTTTGGTTGTTACCAATTCGTTGTGTAAAACTCGTTGGGTAAGAGAGAGTCTCTGCTAAATACACATATTTGGTGGCAGTGATGGGGGGGGAGCTAAACAGACTCTTAATAAGAAATTCAAATCAAGAATTACTCAAGACGACACCTGCCTTCTGGCCTAATGGAAAAATCAATCTGTCAGGTCTTAATTAAGTGCTCAGGCTAGAAAGAAAAAGCGGCAGCTTATACTTGGTATAGTACCTAGTATATTTTCGGTAGTCAAAATGTAACTAAAAGCCGTATTTGTTGCAGAAATGGTAACTATGCATAAAGATGGCCCATTTGATCCTGGGCGGCCATCTATTTAGTAAATAAAAGGTTGAAGCAGATGAATCTCATAAGCTTGTTGACAAAGATCTCTACGCATAATGATGTTGGGTTTGGATGTTTAAATGATGTTTGTATTAGAATGCCCAACTGAGGATGTCCAAAAATAAGGTAGGGGGTAACGCTGGGTGATCACAGAGCAATACTTTCTGCCCCAGAAGTCATTTGGGGTCGATAAAGGAGTACATGAGAGAAGAGGTGAACAAATGAGATATAAATAAATCAACGAGTGAATCAGTCAATAAATGAACACAGATCCATGTGTTACTTCCACAATGGCCAAGGAAACAACCAATTCTCCACTCTATTGTGTATAATCTCCCAAAAGCGCACAGGTATATGAACATCCACATCTCTCACTGACCACCATGACAGCAGTTAAAGATTCTGCCCGAGCCGCTCCTCATGCACTCAGCACAGATGTGGCTGAATGTGCGTCTCACGGGGGTTATGATCACGGTAGGGAGTGACAGTTGGCAAATGTGAGGTCCCTCTTCCCAACCTGCAAAGCAGCACAGCCAGTTTATTCTCCAACTGCCCTGACAGAGGTGGGGAAATAGAGACATTGAAAACGGTGAGTGGATTACAAGTTAATAACTGGTTTGCAAATGGTGAGCTGTCCTGAGCCACATTCTCGTTCCCCAAGGAACTCAACACCAGACACCTTGCCAGGGAAAAATAATACAGACAGACTACGTAAACACATTCAAATCCCAAACCTGACTATAAAACCCTTGTGTAGTCTAATGTTTGACCCAACTAAAGTATCATTTCCAGTCCCTGTAGTGTGAAAATTAAGGTTGTTGTGAAAAGGCAATCCAACGGGCAATTTGGAAAATAGATAGGAATGCTCTGACGTTCAAAATCTATGACTGTGAGGGAGAGAAGCCCAACAGGGGATCACGCATTTTTCCTTCCTTCAACTTATTTTTCCTTCCTTTCCTTATTATGTACCAGACCCATGGGTGGGGAAGTCAATGCTGTTCTCTGGAAAAAAAGCACTGTGCCCTCCATTGATTTTGAAAGAGCACCCTCCTGAAGGCGCTGGGCTGACACCAGTGCCCACCTGCTCTGCTCATCTTCAGCTTCAAAAGGCCACAGGGACATGAGAAGTGTCTCCTTGAGCCTGGGCCCTGGGTGCTCCTAATAATCTCATCACACCCCATCCCCTGAAACACACACACACCCATCTTCTCCCTGGGCTCTCAGAATCAGTCTCTCCCTCACCTCACAAAGCACTCCCTCCCAACATTCACAGCCCCCACAAAACTGCTGCATACCATTGTGTCAGGAGGAGCTATTGTGCTGGAATGATGAGGATAGGAAAAAAGAGGCTGATGGCCCAAACAATGTGGGCAAAGTGGGAACAAAGCAAAAAAGCACAGGAGATAAGATTTTTAAACTTCCCCATTTCCATCATCAAACATTCTAAAGAAAAATGAGAAAGTGGACGGTCAATACATTGTTTCCATAAAACACAACTTCAGGTAACAGAAACAATTCTCATTATTAATAAACAGCCAAGAATCAAGTGTTTACCATGAGCCAACACTGTTAGGGGCTTTGCACACATTTGCTCATTTATGTCTCCCATCAATCCTAACATCAGGTTCCATCACTGCCACCGAGATAAACCGAAACGCAGAGACTCCGTCATTTGCTCAGGATGCCAAAGCTACTAAGTGGCAGATAATCAGTGCATATTAAAGGAGAGAATTCAAGCTACTTAGTCTAAGGTGAAACATTCCAGAATGATCTAATTATCTTAAGATTCTAAAATGTGGTACTACCAAAAAATCCACTCTTGGCTTCAAACCAGTTGGACTTATACCCTTAGGGAAGCTGTTAGCTTTATTAGTGAGGGAGCCCCAACTGTCCAATGCAGTGGTACCGCACGTCCATAAAATGACTTTTGCATTCTGTAAGCCTTGGGTCAACCACATCTCTACTTGATGGGGCTCGATTAGCTTGCAATTCCTGAAAGCAGTGAAACAAATAGTGCACTTCCGGAAAGAATCTCCTTATTTAACAACTAACACTTTGGGATAAAAGAAAGAAAAGAGTGGACGTTCTTTCCTGAGGCTGCCTTCAGGTTGTAGGCCCTGCAGGCCTCTTCCAGAATGAAGCAGGTCACAATGAAGGGCAGGTGACAATGAAGAAGGGCAGGGAAGGTGACTGAGATGGAAGATACAGTCAAAATGGTAAAATCCTGGGAGAAGGGCTATAGAAGAAAAGAAAGAAAATGAAAGAAAGGAAGGGAGGAAGGGAGGAAGGGAGGAAGGAAGGAAGGAAGGAAAGGAGGGAAGGGGAGGGGAGGGGAGGGGAGGGGAAGAGGGGGGGAGGAGAGGGGAGGGGAAATTAAAAAAAGAAAGAAAAGGAAGGGAAGGGGAGGGAAGGAAAGAAACTCGAGCAGGATTCGCCTCCCTCATGGGACCTTGCAGAAGGCCTGCAGAGAATACCCAGTCCTGGAAATGGCTAAGATGTTGTACTCAATGCATATCTAGGAGAAGGTATGTGCTTCCTGAGGAATTTGAACCCAATTTGATTCAGCAATAGAGTACACTTAGATGGATGAGTGCAAGCTGTACAGGAGGGCCTCAGGCTGCTATGCCTGTCCCAACCTGGTCCTCCTGTTCTACAGAGGAAGAACCCTTGGTGCAGAGAAACAAAGCCCTTCAAGACAGTTTCTGAATCTCAGGCAGAGCTGGTTTCATGGACATGTGACCTGTGCAGTCCCACAGGGCCCCACATACAGAAAAGCCCCAAGCTCAGAAGAGCCCCACCCTTGGTTTAATGCTCTGCCATCACCTTCTTGAAATACTTACTACTTTTTAAATAGGGACCCCAAATTTTAATTTTTCAATGGGCCAGCAGATTATACAGCTGGTCTTCTGCTTTTTGTTTGTTCCCTGAATTTTTTTTCTTTTTTTTTTTCTGAGACAGTCTCACTCTGTCACCCAGGCTGGAGTGAAGTGGCGTGATCTCAGCTCACTGCAACCTCTGCCTCCCCGGTTCAAGCAATTCTCCTGCCTCAGCCTCCCAAGTAGCTGGGATTACAGGCATGAGCCACCACGCCCGGCTAATTTTTGTATTTTTAGTAGAGACGAGTTTTCACCATGTTGGCCAGGCTGATCTTGAACTCCTGACCTCAGGTGATCCACCCGCCTTGGCCTGCCAAAGTGCTAGGATTACAGGCGTGAGCCACTGTGCCCAGCCTGTTCTCTGAATTTTCAAATGCCTCATAAGACTTGGATTTTTATACCACATTTTTACAGACAACTTGTTTCATGGGCTATTTACACTCTATGAGACCTGGTTGTCCTAGATTCTCAAAAATTTTTATTTAATGCAGAGAACAGCATTTTTTTCACTTCATCCCTAATACATGCTCCAAGCTGCAAACCAAAATGTGTTAAGTATGACTGTCAGAGCTCAAGAAAAAGCAAGACACAGATGTCACTAATGGGCAGAATAGGGGTATGAAGGGACAGGATACATTTTCTACCTCAAGGAGCTGAGAGTCTGAACTACTTATGAAAGAGCAGTTCCGTTTACCAAATATGCACATGTGTACACAAGTGCATGCAGACGTACAGCACACATATCCACAGAAAACACTTGCAACTCCACAGGCCCATTACGGCCTTATTCCCATCTCATGTAATGTAAATTACAAATGCAGAGACCATTTGGTCCTTATAGTGCTGCCCTCAAAGAAAGAAGGAAAACCAAATATAAATGCATACAATGGAAGAGCAAGTACTTATTAAGAATCATATAGAAGACAGTTGTATTATACTGGAAAATACTCTGCTACAGAGTGAAAGAACAGCATGTAACAAAACAGTATAAGGAACATCATCTATATATTTTATATTTTTAAATATGAGTAGTATATTCATATATATACATATACACACATACACATAGAGAGAGAGAAAGACACATATGTGCCAACGTAGGTATCTACATTCACAAGTGTATGTAAATACAGTTATGGATATCATTACGATCCTAATGGCTATGTGACTCAGTGAAAATCAGTCTCCACTTTCTTTTTTTTTTTTTTTGAGACGGAGTCTCGCTCTGTCGCCCAGGCTGGAGTCCAGTGGCGCGATCTCAGCTCACTGCAAGCTCTGCCTCCTGGGTTCAGGCCATTCTCCTGCCTCAGCCTCCCGAGTAGCTGGGACTACAGGCGCCAGCCACCACGCCCGGCTAATTTTTTAAAGACAGGGTTTCACTGTATTAGCCAGGATAGGATGGTCTGGATCTCCTGACCTCGTGATCCACCCGCCTCGGCCTCAGTCTCCACTTTCAACCCCATTCTCTTCATGGACAAAGGCGTGGCTCAGCTCTGACTGTACCTTAGGTCTTCTGGAGCTCTGACAAGTCCCTACCTGAGGGGTCAGGGCACTCCCAGTAATACTGGGACTCCAAGTCTCAAAAGCAAAGTGGCCCCCACTGCCTCCTCATTATGACAGGAAGCTTTAGTGCTCACTTGGCCTGGGTAAAGAAACACTTTGTTTCTTGTTTTCTACTTTTCTTTTTTTTTTTTTAAAGATATGGCTATGGATAATGGTCGTAGATATCTTACAATCTAGGATTATTTTGAAAACTTTTTTCTGAGTTATTCATTGTAAGACTCTCCCCAATCCAAGGGTGAAGGATACTTGGACACAACACAATGCCAGTTCAAGTTCAAGGGAAGTGTTCCATCCTCTTTCAGCCTCCACTCAGCTCCCTGACACACGGTGCATGGTCCAGCTCCCTGGGATTTTCCCATTCGGAAAGGGAAGCCGTTTGTCGAGCCAGCCTCTGTGACCACTCATGATCTGAATTACCCACAGGTGTTCGAAAATACAGAGGGATCCAGCATAATTAAGAGCATTAAGCAATCATCTCAGCCCAAGGAGGCAGTTGAAGAAAAGAACAGAGTTTGGGCAACACTTGGGGAAATAAATTCCACAGCCTTTCACCAAGTTGAAATCTTGGCTTTGGACACACATAAAAATGAGCCTGGCCCAATCTTAGCTCTCAGTGGACATCTGCCATATCACAAGATTTGACCCAATTGGCCTGCCTTACCATAGAGAAGGCCACTGCTGGAGCAGCAGATGGTACTGCTGGTAAGAGCCAACGTGGACGGACAGGGCTGTGGCAGGGAAATGGCAGAGCACAGCTGGCCCCAGCCTGGGTAGGAGGCTTTGCTTTGAAGAGAATCATTTTTGTGATGCATTTTTTTAAAATAACATCGATCTGATTTCCTTCTCTCGTAGACTTCAATCACTTTTCATGTCCTACAGAACATTGCTAATTATTCTTTTATTTTCTCTCTTGTCACCAGGTACTGTCATACAGTAGTAAAACAAGTGCTAAACTCTATCCACAGAGAAATGTCTGTTACAGAGAATTGTGTTAGAAACGCTTTGTTGACAAGGAAGGTAGAATCAGTGTTTTCCCTTAAGGTTTTAGTAACCCAGGAAAAGATTCTAAGTTACAAGTATTACTTCTCTTTAAGTAAACCATTACTAAGTATGATCTTATTTGATATGAAAAACTCAATTAAAAAAAATTAAAACTGCTGTCTAATGGGTGATACCGACTTTAATAGCCCCTGGTTAATGCAGACTAGTCATTTAAAAAGAGCATTATCCAAACATTGCCCCTTTGTTATCATTTTCCCCATTCTTCAGGGAAACACTATCTACCTTTATACTCATTTTGTTTAACATCTCTAGTCATTTATGCTATTTACTGAGTATCTGATATTCTTAATAAAATGTCAGTACAAATAAGCAAGTTGTCTAGGAGGAAAAAAAATTAAGTTTTTCCAATCTTCCCTGGCTGGTCAAGGTAAACATTTCTAGATGGCCCAAGTCAGTTAGCCAGGCTGACAAAAATGCCTTTTCTCTTTCCTCTTAAATTACAAAAGATGATCATTTTACTCAGCAATGAGCCTGACTAAAATGAAACTCTGTACATCAGAATTAAATATGTTCTATCCACTCGAAATGAACAGTGTATTATTTATCACTAATACTTAATGACAAAAAAACTGATAACTTTCCCCGATTATACCACTGATTTCATCTAGTCTCGCATCATCGATTCTTTTGGTCATTAGCATAATCACAGAGCATCAACTCTGGCTTATGCAGCAAGTTTGATAACAGAGATGAAAGTAGACACACACTATTTTAAAAACATGTTCCGATTTTCATCTAAGTATATCTTTATTTATATGGCTTTCTTACCATAAAGATGCCAGTCCTTTAAAATATGCAGAAATCACTTTCTACACTGAAGAACAAGGTGCTATATCATAACAAGGATACAGAAGTATAAAGCGCCTGTTAATTAAACATGGCTTTTTAACTCGCTACCCTGCATATGTAACTGCTAAGTTCCAAGCCAAGTCTTTAAATAAGAAAGAGAAAATGGCTAGGCTCCTTCAAATGAATGCTTTGCCTGTTTTTTCCCTTAATGTAAGAGATCAGCCACTTGATAGATTATTTTTTTTAATCAAATTCCCTGATAAATGGTTGAGGTTTTAAAGTTTTTTCCCCCAAAACACAGACAAATGAACAAATTATGAAGTTCCAGTCAGGACTGATGGTTTCTTATGAATCTGAAATTTTCAATGTACAGAGTGCTACTGGGTTTTAGGCTCAAATTTAAAGAACTTGTCTTGAATTAATATCCAGTATTTCAAAAGGTTCACATGGAAAAATCAATAAGCTATAGCTACATGTATCCACATGGATGAATTTTACTGTTGTTTATTTTTTAAAAAAGCAAGTTACTAAAAAACATATATAGTAGGATGCTATCAGAACAAACCTTGAACGTGCAAAACAAAATCCTGTATTTTGAGGAATCCTGTACATGCATACATATTAAAAATATGAAGAACTACACAAGATGAAAACCACCCAGCTGCGAACAGTGGTAAAGTAACCTCTAGGAAAGAAGGACAGAGGTAAGATGAGGATGGGATATTCCAGGAGCCTCTCCTACCTGAACCAGCAGCGTCTTCTCTCTTAAGCCGGGCTACAGGTACATGGGTGCTCACTGATTTACTCTTTGTTCCTTTTTTGTGCCTTACATATTTCACAATGAAAATGGAAACATATAAGCATACAGTTTTAAAATAAATAGCTTTGTAAATATCAGCCTGATTTCTTTTCTTAAAAAGGTAAGTTGAGTTGTTCTCAACTCACAGAACAAAATGCTTGAGACCAAGGCATCACACTCTATTCAGTAATTCGGACACTGGTTACAAATACTGAAAAACCCAGCAATCCAATATAAAATCTATTCATTTTCAAAAGTTCTTAGGATTACCTTATATTTAAAGAATTTTTAACCTCAGGAGTCTGCTGCAGGAAAGTCACTTCTAACAAAGAGATACTCTGTATTTAGTAAATGTGACTGTCCTGCTTCTTAAGCAAAACAAAAGCAAACACAGAAATGAGATTTCTCTCTAAGTATCTTTTTGAGTTGACATAAATACACACACAAGGAAAAATATGCAAGAAGCATACTTTGTGTGTGATTTCAGGACAAAAAGGTATCAGAAAAGGTGAACTTTCGCCAGGTGGAGAGTCCCTCCGTCCCCACCCCCACCCCATCCTCATCCCAGAATACTTAAACCTTTTGCTGCAGTTGCCATAAGGATAGCCAGACAAAAGGGAGAAGCACCCCCAGTCAGCAGCAAGGAGGATAACTTGCTTCTACAAGTATAAGAATTTGTTGTAAGCTTACCAAAGTTACGGCTGCGCGTTTACTGTCAACATGCATCACACTGCAACAAAAGCCATTATTTAGAAAATAAGATGAACACATTTAAGCAGCTGAACCCTTCTTAAACCCAGAGAAGGCATGCAAAACAACAGCAGGTCTGCAACAACATGCCTGATGGAGCCCATAAAAGAAAACTGGGGACTGAACGATTTTCTATTCTAATAGACCATTTTCTCCAAAATTATTTAAAGTTGCTTATGGACATAGATGTTATCTGAAGATGCCCCACCCCTCCTTCCCAAGGCTCAATCAACTAGCTTCTTTCCAAATAATTAAATGGGGCAAACTTTCTATTAGAAAATATCTACCATACATCACTAAAAAAAGGTCTGTCATTGATTCCCTAATGAAATATCAGTTAATTACTTAACCTTTCTTAATGAAATGATTAACATTTCAACAAACAAGGCGGAATGACTTCGCATCAAGCTGTAGATTACCAGTGACAGTGGTAACTATGTGTCCTCTACCATTGCGCCGTCTATTCTTTCAATCAGCTCCATGTTTCATCTTTTATAGAAATTCTTTATGCAGTAGTAGAGACACTCTACTTTTAAAATTTGGCCCATAAGAGTTTTTTTTAAGTGCCTCAGGGTCAGAACAGAAATTTTAAAAGTTTTTATTAGACGAATATCCCCAATGCTACCTAAACCTACAGAAAAGCAAACTGTGAAGTTCTAAACGTAAAAACAATTGCCAACTTTTTGGCAGCTATTAAAATAAAGCCACACCTAAAGCCAAAATGGAAATTAAAAATTAGGTGTGGGCATTATGGACACATTATTACCGGGTAACTTCAAAAGCCACATTATTAATACAGATGAAAAAATGTCTCAACAACTTTTATTTAAATAACTCTTTTGATCTTAGTGGTTAGATCTTTAGTTGAAGCCCTGAATATTTAAATAAGCCTCCTTAACATTTTATCTTCCTTTATTTCATAATCTTGTAGGATGCCTTCTTCTTAGGATTCTGGTTTCTTTATTTGTGTGGCATCGTTGGCTAGGCTATTTCCATCAATATTCGTGCATGCCCCATCACATACGATAGAGAATTTCCCAAGATGCTTGGGAAAATCAAAATACTTCTGCCAGCAGGGTTAATCCAAAGAGCAAACAGTTACAATTTTAAAATTAAGATGGAATACTCAGAAAAAAAAATTCTAGAGAGTCATCTGACACTAATTGGTAGCTACAGCATGACAACACCCATTGGGAAACATGGATGCAGGCAAGACAAAATTCAAAAGGAAATTATCTGATATTGACATTTGGTGAAAACCACCGATGTTCCAGGTTGTTCCTATCACGTTATTGAACTGTGAGGCTCTTGTTCTGCCTCTGTTTCTCTAAGTCTCCAAGGTTTCTTTTTGTGCCCTCCTGAAAAAGGAGCTCCGTTTTCTTCTCTTAGGTTTCACAATGGCCAACCAATTCAATTAAACTCTTAAGAAGGGTTGCAGGCTTTCCTCCAACTCTGATAATTGACAGGTCCAGTTTTCCCACTTTGGTGGGCATCAGGACCATGTGGGATGCGATTTAAAAACACAGATGCTGGCCCCACCCCAGATACGGCACATCCAGGAGTCGTGCAACTGTGTCTGTGTTGGGAACAACAGCTCTGCTGTGATTCCAATACTCGTGCTTGGTTAAAAACCACCGTTTTTCATTCGTAATAAAAATCCAAATACATTAAAAACAACACAGGATGGGCCTCAAGGTAAAATCAAAGAAATCATCAGTAAAATCCAAGTGAAGATAGAGATTTCAGTTCCACACATCTGAAAGAATAAATCACTTGATTCACAGGTCTCTAGCATGCATCAGAATTATCAAGGGAAGTTTGTTATAAATGTACGTTACCATGTCAATCAGCAAAAATTCTGACTCAAGGATCTGTATTTTAATAACCTACACACACACACATACACACACACACACACAGATACAGAGGTAGGTGAGCGAGGACCTCACTTTGAACCAGGCTGAATTAGGACCAACTGCAACCTCCCTTCACTTCAGACATGAGCATTCACTTCCATCTCTGTGCTCACCCCCAGGAGGGGAAGCCACCAGTGCCACTGGTCATCAGGAGGTAGGCACCAGGGCAAAAGAAACTCAAGCAAAACTCACATCACACCCTCCCCCAACAAAAGCTGCGGTCACTGTCCTGAGAGCACCAAGAATATCTTTTAAAAATGTGAGTAATAACAAAGCCCTGTATCATTGGATCCCTAAGCTCAAAGAACATATGTTAAAATATTACCCCTAATTCAAAAGCAGGGAACCTGGAGCAGAGAAAGTCACATTATGACTCAATTGCACAGCTGGGAGGGAGAAAGGACACCTCGGAAATTCAGTTTGATGCTAGAAATATTCTTCAGTGTCCTAGTAAACAAAGTGAATCACAAAATTAGCTAAAATCAGAGCATCTGGTAAAATGTGGATGTCCACCTGACTTACAAGTAATAAATAAATATATGTCCAAACATAAAACTCAGAGAAAATGTTTGTCCTAAGCAAATCTATTCTATTGAACATAAACAAGGCCCAATAATCCCACATTCAGATCCATTTTTCCCTCAGTAAATTGTCCTATAACATGCTAGCCTCTGATATCTTCAAACTGTTGAAATCAAACAGAATGACATGGGCTTTCTATTCAATGATCCCATTTCAGCTATTTATCTGAATTAGCAGCAGTTTGAGGAAATACACTCATCACAACATGATTCTGAGTATAGAGAAGTAAATAGTAAACAGAACACTGGAACACAACTGTGTATGTATTCATATTCCTTTTTAAAAAAAAAACTATTTTATTAAAAATACAATTTGGAAGGAAAGTGCAATTAGCTTTGCACAGGCACTGCTGAGATGTTCCCGAACACAGCAGACATATGTAAATATTTCGTGATATCAGTTCCATTTGAGTAGACCTGTCAAGATATTTACAGGGCTTGACAGTACTTCTGTCTTTAATTAAATTTTTGCCCAGATACTTTAATATAATTTAAATAGATTATTAGTTGTCAGAATCGAATATAAATTTTGTTTACGATTTAGTTACTTTAAGTACTCAGACTGAAGGAACTAATTTAACCCTACAACTGAGCAGCTTTAAGCATCAAGGCCAAACCACTAGAAAGCTCCCACTGCCCTTTGCACTCTACCAATAACCTTAAATTATTACAACTGAATTGTAAATTTCATGGCACTAAACTGAGCCCCCCTCCCCTCCTTTTGAAATAAAACAGCTTGGGGAGGGTCATGAGGAAACACCCATTTACACCTGTTCAGGTACTAGGTAGGTTCTCCCTTTCAGGCACTCGTTCTCACAGCGGCTGGCTAGATAGGAAACATTTTTTTCTCACTCTAAGTCCCATAAAATAACTACCGAACAAACACCTGTTGTGTACAAGGCAGGGCATGTATTAAAGACTGGCATCAGGGCATTGCAAAAAGAAAAACAAGCCTTGCAGAGACATCCACAAGCCAATCTGGTCAATAGATTTCACGACTGGGTAAAACAACAGTGCGTGCGAAGAACACAGCTTCTGGCACAACCTTCTTGTGAATGGCAGCTGACTTCTAAACAAGGATTGAAAAATGCCTTAGCACAAACTGACTGTAATTAATAAGAATAATTTATTAAAGAAACAAAGAACACTGTCTAATTGTCTTTCCTGACTGCCATGCACTTTCCCCCATTGTACTTCCTCTTTGCAGAATACCAGCCTCGTAGCCCTAACTGTAAGAACATTATCTATGGGATGCAAAACCAAAACACTTCTAGAAATCAAATATTCCTTACAACATTTATTTTTAGGTTAGCGACACAAGCCAAATCTGCTTAATTTCCATTAAGCACATGGTCACATGCTCATTGAAATAAACTACAAACGTCCCAGGAAAAAAAAAAAAGGAAAAAAACTATCATGCAGAAGATACCCCAAATTTCGCCAGGTTTGCCCGTTTCAGGAACTTGCCTCATCTCAAGGCCTGCTGGCATTCCAGCTTTTGGAGCCTTTATCCTTAATTCATCCAAGTACCGGAGAAGAGAAATATGTTGAAAAATCAGTTTAAGATGGTTCCTTGGATAGCATATGTATAGCAAAGTGGCCTGCAGAGTAGAGTAACAAATGACAAGAAAGATCATTAAAAAAATGCATGGGCCCAAGTGCAAACCTACTTGGCTTGCTGGCTTGTCTCACAAACTCAATGTTTGATCACCTGGTGGGACTAACTACCATCAACTTAAAAAAAAAAAATCCCCTGCAAATAGTAAAAGTATACATTGGCTCAGGTATAAAGTTCACCTGTCTATTCAGCAGATGCCTTTCTTGAGGTTATTTTCTTTAGAAAACAAACCCCTACCTGCTTGAGAGGTTTATATACTCTAGATTCAAAAAAACACATTTAAAAAGAAAAAAAGAAGGCCAATATTGCTGGTATAGCAAAAATGGCATTTACTATGACTGAAATCTATAAAAGAAGTGTGACATCTGACAGGATAAGGAAGAAAGGAAAAGCCCTTAGCAAAAAGAAAAAAAAAATTAAAAACAAAAATACCACCTGTGTAAATCTAGCCATGCTCTGGAAACCCTTTCTCGGTCGTGGAGAAGAAACAGCTCATGCTGAATGCCTTGAAGTTGCAATTAAATTGTAGTAATTTAAGATTATCGGGAGAGCAAAGGGCAGTAGGAGCTCTTCAGAGGGTTTCCCTCCCCACTTAATGCTCTTCAGTCACGGGTTAAATGAGTTTCTTTAATGTAAGTACCTTAAAGTAACAGAATCATAAACAAAATTTATACTATGTTCTGACAGCCTGCAATCTACTTCGGTTTTATTAACGTATACCTAAAATTATTTTTAAAGGACAAAATTCTTGCTATACCCTGTAAATATTCTTGGCATTCCCACTGAAATGTGATAGGTACTGTAACACCTAACCTTGTCTAAATATACATACTTTTTGAGATGTGGAATCTTACAAGATAGTGTTTCAAAACTGAGTTTGAGTCATAAGTAAAACATGAAAATCAAATAAATATGCACAATAAGATTGGCTGCAAAGAGGAAGCTGGGTTCAAAAGAAGTTGTCACATCTGCTATATTCCTTCTCTTTCTTAATTTTGGCACTGGACCCCCTGCAATATAAATATATTTGAAAAATATCACAATTCTTCTGTTAATTTAAACAACTGCTGAAAACAGACATACCCTTCAACAGAGCCTAAGATGCAAATTTACAAGGCCAGGGGTATAGTCTTTAAAAAGGCAAAGAAAAACTCAGTAACAGAAAACCATGCCTAGGCTCAATATTAACTCAGTTAACTTTTGCTATTATAAGTATAAATGGTTTAACTAGAAAATATTTATAGCGTTTTCAAAACATTACATATTGCAGAAAATTGCCTAATAGCATCCATGTGTATGTTTAACCCACATTGCTTAATTATACAATAAAGGTATATCTAGTAAAAACTACAGACTTTGAAACATGTTGTGCACCATGGTTATGAAACTCTGGCTTACAAAAAATATATAAACTGCTTACTATGTGACCGACACTTGTTAATTAAAAATATAATCCTTAAATGACAATTATTTTTATTCTTCTGTATGTGTTTACTTATCCTGTTTCCTACTTTGTTCTACTTAATTTAAAATAACATTTAATTTGGGGATAGTTTATCCCAGAAAAAAAAAAGTGTTACACAGTTTATACTCCACGATTTAAATATAAACACAAAATCTTAGACATCTCCAGCAATATAAACCCCTTATCTGAGACAGTTAATTTGAATAGTTGATGTTTCTTTCATTATACTTTGATAAACCTGTGAAAACAAAATGCTACAGTAATTACTGTTACTACTCCCTTTAAAAATGTAAAGTAGTTAAATTTTCCTAGACAACAAGCAAGGACAAGTTACAGAGAACTTGAATAAAAGTAGCAACGTGGTCATGTTGAATGTCAATCTAAAAAAAGAGGTTGTCTAATCTGGAGACTGCTCTCTCTCGCCTTTTTAAATTCCAAGAGTGGGCTGACACAAAACTTCATCACCAGAGATTTTTTTTTTCTTTTTTTTCTTTTTTCTTTTTTTTTTTTTTTTTGAGCTTCACATCAGATTTAAACTCTCACATACAAAACCTTGGCTTCCCTGACAAGGCAGATCTTCTAAACTCAATGTGAGAAAACGTTATCTAACTCTAGTGTAGGAGTCTAATGTTGGTAAAAAGAATTCCATTGCACAGTTCTTGGTAGCAAGACAGTCTCTGGACGACTTAATATTCCTTTAATACATTTTTGGGTAGCATTCTCCTCATAAAGAAGGATACATTAAAAAAAATAACTTGTTTCGCGACTCGGCATCCATAAGGAACTCAAATGCTGCCCAGAGAGGGGCTGAGTATTTCCTTCCAAGTGAGCCTTCGCTTGCACAACAAAGATTAGCATCTGCAATGGTCCATTTCTGCATAAGTGAACATATAGCCTTGCTGCTTGATCGAATAGTCCAGGGTTCTCCGTGTAGCAGCTCCTGACAACCACCCAGCAGCAGTTCTGTTTGATCTCTCCTGCTTCCTTAATTTGGGTTGTCAAGGTTCAGCAGTTGGAGGCTGTTTACTTTACTTTTCCAAAAAAAAAAAAAAAGTGATTTTTTTTTTCTCCCTCTCTCTCATACAATGACTAATCCAAAGTCTAAGGGGGGTGGGGGATGCAGCCAGTGGCAAGATGTTAAACCTTTTTTTTTCCCTTTGCAGTGAGATTTTAGCTGACACCTTTTGAATGGTAACTAGTTGAGTTCCTTTTTTATATTTTTCTTGCTCTTTAATTGTGAGACGTTTCAAATAGAAAGACAGAGGGGGGAAAAAAACAGTCCAAATTTCTGAAACTGTGAGCTGAGTTTTCTTTTCCTGGACCCAAAGGGATGGGTATTTCCACTTTGAGAATCAAAACTCCAGTGGAATTCTAAAAAAGATTTGATACATTTCTCTCTGGAACAGAAAAATAGCAGGAACTCCTCTTTCTCAATTATGTAGGCTATCCCTGGGTAGAAAACACCTGAAGTCTTACTATTTCTTTAAAAATTCTAGTTTACACATCTCCCTCCAAATTGATTCTTGCTGTGGAAAACGGGGGTGGGGGAAAGGGGATGGAATGGAAAAATTTTGCAGCGATTCTTCAATATATTTTCAGTAGCAGAAAAATTCCTTTAAATATCCTTGAGGTCTTCTCAACTCAGCTATTGTCCAAGCCCTAAACCCTTAAGTCTACGTACAACCAATGGTGAAGTGTAGACGGTTTGAATGTACAGATGCCTTTCAAAGGGAATCCAGAATGCTCCTCCGGCATTCCTGTTTAAAGAGCAGTGACAAAAAAGAAAATGCTAACTTGGAAAATACCTGTGAGCAGACATGAGCGCAATTCCAGCCCCTCAGAAGTGGACTGCATAAGGTCAAATGCAACCAAATGAAATGTTTATATTAATTTCATTATTCTGCCCAAGCCTCACAGATGAGGGCTTGTGGGGTGGGGAGGTAGGGAAGAGGAAGAAATAAGTTTCATTTTGGGTCTTCTGGTAGAGCAAAAAGAAAATGAATTAAGACGAAAGCATAGGATGAGCCCAGACTAAATCAATACACTTTGTAATCAGCCCAGCAAGGGTATTTGGATACAATGACTTGGAAATAATTAATAGTTATAAGAGGGGAGTGGGGTGAGAAGGGGGGCGAGGATGTCACCATATTTTATCGGAGCACTTTACACTCCACGCTAAACTTTGATCTCCAGATTTTCAGATTTAGGAAAGAAAGAGGGGAAAAGGGTGGAGGGGAGGAAGTCCAGTATTTCGAAGCACCTACCGGCCTGAGGATGGGCACATTCCTCGCTCCCGGTGCCTTATCGCTAGGCTCGCGCCACCCCGGCTGGCTCTTTGGGGACGGAGAACCCCTAGTGCCGCCTGGGGCTCTCCGGTGTCCCTGGACCCCGCGCCCGCGGCCGCCTCGACTTACCCGCGGAGTCCGGGGAGGGAGTAGGAGCGCCGCCTTCACGCCCGCGGAGGAGGCGCCGGCAGCACCATGGTCCCCGGCGCCGCTGCCGCTGCCCCCGGCCCGCTCGCTCGCTCGCCGCGCGCTCTCTTCCTCTTACAAACTTTCGGGTTCTGCAGTCGACAAGAAACCGGGGCGACCCTCAGCAAGTCTTCCCCGTGCAGGCTGGGGGGAACTGAAGGGGACGGGACGGGTGAGTAGGCCGAGGGGCCAGGACAGAGAGGGCAGCGGGCTCCGAGGACCCGCGAGTGCGCGTGGAGGGAAGAGAGGATGCGGCTCAGGGAATCCCTGCAAGGATCCAGAGACCGGGAAATCGGCCCGAGCCAAAGTCTCAGCACCTTCCCCAGGATCTCACAAAGTTGCAACAACAAAAAGGAGGGGGGAGGAATAGGGAGAAGGGGGTGGGATGGGGATACGATCACGGGCGCAAGGTTTGGAGTTACAACTGTTTATTTAGTCCTTATTCTCACAGGGGGCGGGAGCTGCGCGGGAATGGGGGGCTGCAGGCAGCGATTTCGAAGCAAACACATGGGAGGGGGGCATGCGACTTTGTTTCCGGGAGCGGAGCTCCCCAGAGCCCGTGTGTGTCACTGCCAGTCTCCCGGGACCAAGGCGGAGCTCACAACAGGTGGGGAGGGGGGCTCGTCGAGGGCCAAAAAGAAGAAGGAATCTAAGTTTCCGAGCGCGACGTTGTCTGAAAAGGAGGGAGGCGGGAGGCGGGGGCGAGGGAAGGCGGAGGCAGCAAATGACCGCGACCCCGCGGCAACTGGCAAACTCCTCGGCTCCCGGCGCCGCCGCCACCGCCGTGGTCCCCACTCGAAGCGCACGCCGCCTCGGCTCGCTGGCTCCAGGGAGTCGTCTCGGCGGGACAGGAATAGAGCGCAGGGAGCTCGGGAGGAAGGCTGCGCGCAAGCGAGGGACGGAGAGCCATCGGCCGCCAGGACAGGGCCGGAGGGACGAGGCGACACGCGCGCGACGCAGGACAAATCGGAGCTTGGGAAATCTCCCCGTCCCCCAAGCTTCAGAGGGGGGTAAAATCAGAAAATGTGTGTGATGGTGGGAGAGAGATCCGGGCGCGGCGACTCCTCGCAGCGCATCCGGCTCCCGCACCCACCCGTGGATCTGGCCACGGCTGTTGCGGACTCGTCTCGGGAAAGCGGAGGCCGAGCGCGCGTAGGGGTGCGTGTCTGGCTGGGGGTGCGCAGGTGCGTGTTTGAATTTTCCGGGCTCCGAGGGGGTGGCGGGAGAGCTTCCTCGCCGCTGACTCTCGGGGTAACGCGCGCGTGGCAGCGGGGAAGTTCCCCAGTGCGGGGCCCAGGGCCAGGCACCACAGTCAGTTTGCTGGGGCCCGCGGGGCAGCTCAAGGGCACCGAGGGGGCACACACCCGCGGGGAAAGAAGGGGAAAAGTTTGCTCCAAGTCTAAACTTTGGGCCTAGGAGGCGCCCGGCGCGCGCCCCCTCCCGCCGCGGCCAGGACCCGGGACCCCGCACCGGCCCCGCGCCCGGGCGGCCACCGGACGCCAACGCCGGACATCGAAAGTTGCGCCAGGCGGCCTGGGCTTATTGATTTCTCTCCCCTAGGCGATCGTGGAGAGCGCAGAGAGAGGCGTGAAGGGGCCTACGGGCAGGCGATCTCGCCTCCTCACAGTCGCCACCGCCCCCGCCCCCATTTGACTTATGCAAATAAACCCAAAGGGTGCGGGCGCCGCCGGAGCTCCCTCCACCCGCGCGCCGGCCCGCAGCCCCCACCCATCCCAGAGCTGGGCCTCGACCCGGGGGGGAGAGGAAGAGAGGGGAGGGCTGGGGGAGATGCACGTGGAGCCTGGAGGTGGAAAGTAGTTGTTTTTTTTTTTCCATTTTTTTTCTCTTTTTCTTTCTTTCTTTTTTTTTTTTTGTGCTGGTTGTTGTTGTTGTTTAAAGTGGCGGAAACAAGACAGGAGGCGGCTTGGGAAAAAGTGGAGCAGAAATGGAAAAATACAAACTCACCCGCTGCAAATGGTCTCTCGGTGCAAACTAAGGTGTTTTCGGGCCTTTCCCCGCGCGCGCCCACTCCCGCCCGCGCGCGCACCCCGCGCACACACTCACTCGCGCACACACGCGCGCACACACGCACTCCCGGGCGAGGGCCGGGCCGCCGCGAGTACAGCGTGCAACCGCCACACAATAAATAACAATAGATTCCTCCGCTCCGGACTAGCTTCCCGGAGCCCAGCCAGCGCCGGTGGCGGCGGCGGCGGCGGCAGAGGCGCGGGCAGCACCGGCCCGGGGGCGCACCCCGGCCCGACCCTCTACCTCCCGCAGGGGTCCCCTCTCCGCTTCACGCACCCCGCTGGGCACTCCAGCGGCCCCCCGAGCGGGAGCGGCTCCCTCTTTGCCGTTCGCCGGGGCGCTGGCGCCCACCCCCCTCCTCCCTCCCCCCTCCCCCCCGACATCCCGGAACAAATAAATAAATAAGGCGCGCGAGAGAGGCCAACACGTCGCGGAGGGAGATGTTGTTATTTTTTGCTGTTGTGCGTCCCTGACGTCACATCCACCTGCTGGGTAAACAACCGGGCTCCCAGAAAAAAAAAATCGCAATTGCCAAAGAATGGGGGGGGGGGTTGGGGGGAGGGATCCAGGGAGGGGGAAGTGAGGGGCGTCCAGGCAGGATTGGAAAGAGGAGAGGGAGGCAGAGCCCCGCGGACCAGAGAGAGGAAGGGAACGCCAGAGCAGTCCCTGGCAACAGAGGGATCTGGCAGGAAAGACCTGGAAAATAAGGGGCAGGGGGGCGGAGGGGGAGATTCCTCAGGAGATGGGAAATGGGGGGCCCATTCAGACAGCGGAAAAAACGAGAAGGGAGAGTGTTAACTAGGGACGAAGATGGGAATGCGATGGCTATTTGCTTGGATTCTGAGCTAAAAATATGAAAGGGAGGGGAGAGGACAGGCTAGAATGTGAGTTTCCTCCAGTTAAAAGTGAAAGTGTTTTGCCATCAGTGACAGTTGAAGGAGAGCGGGGTGGGAGGTGGTGTTTTCAACCCCCTTTCTCCCTCTCTCCCGTCCTCCCTCGGTCTCTCCTCTTTCTTTCTGCACTTTGTCCAATGAAAGAAGGCGAGTTCGGGAGGTGAAAGTTCAGCAGAAGGACAAACCCCTGTTTGCAAGGAAACAGAAACCCCGCCAGCCAGCGAGGGGTTTTCTCCCCTGTTTCTCGGAATCAGGAGAGTGTGAATGTGGGACGAGCTTCTGCCCCCTTGTCAGAGCCACTGCAGGAATGTGCAATCGAGTCCACTTTGGGGGAAGGTGGCTGCATCAGGAACTGTGTTCTTGCCACGACTCCTCTTAGGAAAACGCCTGGGGGCTAGCATGTCAGTCCGTTGTTTAACACAAATTACCTGCTCTCCCAGTGATCAGTCACGTGCAAAAAGCTTTGTCCAATTCTTTGAAAAGGTGAGATTTTTTTTTTTCTTTTTGCGGTTTTTGAAGTTTGGTTGAATTTAGAAATTCGAAGGAATAAACTAAGAGCCTGAATTAAATGTTTTGAAATATACATACATAAAACAAAAGACACTAGTATTTCTTTCACTTTTATCAATACGCATAGAGAAGGAAGCAGAGTATGTGTTTCCAAAACGTGACTTGGAAAGCTGTAAGACCTCTATGTCTTGTTGTTGTTGTTGTTGTTGTTGTTAACAGAAGTAAATTTTTTCAGACCCACCACCACAGAAGTGGCCAGACTCCCAAACCAGCATTTCCAGCTACTGGCTGGCTGGTGTACACCAGGCCAATTCTTTATGAGAATATATTAAAAGTCACCCCTGTGGATTCCTACAAAGTACTTCCCCTTGCGGGGAGGGGAGAGGCTTACTGTCCCTTTGGTCTTGAGACCAGCACAGTTGTAGATAATATCCTGAAAAGGTTATTATTAAATTCTTTCGCGTAATGCCCCTTTACAAATATTGTTAAACATTAATTTACAGAAGAACTTAAATCTTAATTTCAAGGGTGGCATAAGACTATCGCTTTGAAATTGTATCTTTCGCAAGTTAAAAAAAAAAAATAACAAAGCCATTCGCTGATGCTACAGAATAAAAGAAAGGGAGGCTGCTAAGGTAATTTCAGCCTGGTAGAATTCACATTGCATGCATGCTGCATAAAGTTCCATGCTATCCAGATAAGACTATTCACTGAATCTTTTAGACTAGAATCTAGACCAATAAAATGCATTTTAGTTTGTATGGAATGTCCTAGCTTCCTAGAGGCTAGGGTTCGACGTCTTGTTTGTCAAGACATAAAGGGATTAATGACATACCCACTGTGTGCTAGACCACAGAGTGGGCACAGAGGGATGAAAAAATAAAAATTCCTGCCCTTGAGGAGCTCACAGTCTAAGCTGTCAATAATAACATCTAACATTTATTAAATACTATGATCTAGGCACTGAACTAAAAGCTTTATGTCAACTCAGTTAATACTGCCAACAACTCTTTGACATCACTGGAAATTCCATATGCTGAATTCACACGGAATTAAGTGGAAATCTACAAAGTAGCCAGTCTACTGGTTCTGTAGTGGTCAACCTATTAAAAATGGTTTTTAATTTCTAAAGTACTTTATGCCAAATATAACATGTTTATGGTATATGCCTGACTGTAGAATTATAACTCAGGGGAATAACGACTTATTTAAATGTAACAGATCTATTCATAGTCTGTAAAGAACAATTCATCCTCTGATCTTGTTTTTCAGATTAAGCAGTGTGTTTATTAAAAATTATTATCATCGCAATACTAAAAAGATCTTTAGATTGCTGCTAATCTGATTCTGCATTTTAACTGCCTTAAATTCTACATTCACTTGCAAGTGGGGGCCACAGTCAGGTTGGCAACAAGTTTTGCAGACAAAAGGAAATCCTGGTTGTAAATCCCATGATATATTGTACTCAATTTTGTATGATACTGTCTAATGTGCTGTGCTGCCTTATTAAAGAACTCGATGTCCATTTGGTTTACATTAGAGGGAAACTTAACTGCAGCTTAACATATTGTTCATTTTCAACACTGTCACGTTACATTCGTGGGGGGCAGATTTTAATTTCTTTATCAGTAATCAACTGGAAGTTTCTTTTTGTTAAATTAAAGCAAGAAAGGTTTTAAAATAAAGGGCATGGGGGTAGGACGCCACCTTTTGGTGATAAAACAAATAGAAATCCCTTCTGAAAACAGATGTTCCTGACATAATTTTATTTTTAATTACACCAAGGCAAAGGTGCTTGTCCCCATTTCGTTATATTTTAAGTAACAGGAGAAAAAAAAAACCAATGTAAATGCAAAATTAGCAAATTATAGTTAACTGCAGCCAAAATTTTCCCAAACGTATCAGAATATGTTAGTCCCCTGTCACATTACTGTTGATTGTATACACCAAACATGAGCTTCATTCACCAAATACCATGTCACTAAATATATGTACATTTGGGGAACAGAAACTGGAGTGGACATTTACCACCTGACGACGTACCTGAATGCTCTTGTAAGTTTTGAGTTGAACAAAAACTAAAACCACTTAATTTAGTGTTTCTTTAACCACAGTTACTGGTGTCCTGATTTTTGCCATATCTATATGACATAACAGTTCCCGAATAATTAATATACCATACTCATTGGAGGCCACTTATTATGGTAATTGTAGCAAACATTTTCATTTAAATCAACCTTCTTTTAATTTTTTTCTATTACTGCCTTAAATGGGAAATCAGTATCACCCACCATAAATTAAAAACAAGCACAGTAAAAACAAAGTCACTGATTTCTCTTTGAGGGTCAAAACAAAAATTAAAAATGATTTTTGAAAAAAGGAGGGAGAGTGGCAAATGTTGAGAAGGGTTAAGGACAAGAGTATCAATGGAAATTTTTGAATTTTTGTTTTTTCTCTCTCTTTTTTTCTGTTTTTTTTTTTTTTTTTTTTTTAACAACCAGAAGGATTTAAAGTGATCGGAAAGGAATACAGTTCTCAATGTGTGATTCAGTGTTATGCCATCCTAGTGCCAAGGTTCCTACACTTTAAAAAACATGGGCATAACTAAGAATATCGCATTACAGATGAGGAATCTAAGGCCCAGGGATTTCATTTGCCCTCCAAGGCAAAATAAATTTGGTTACTGGTTGGACAAGGATTAGAATCCAGGTGTCCTGACTTTGTGGGTTTCCATCTCACTCTTTCCACTAAAGTGACCAATCCTCAGACTTAAGTGGTTTGTCTAGCTTCTCAGAAACAGCTAACCTACAGACCCCTTTACAGATCTGGGAGAAACTGAGGCCACAGAGGGTCAAGAACAAGTTCAACCCCCTGCTCACCGTCCTTTCTCTCCACCCTCTCTCCATAGATGTGACAGACATCCAGGTGGGGGTCAACACAGCAAAGAAAGAAGGGAGGGTTGAGAAGAGAAAAGTGGATTCAGAGAGGGGAGGTTAGTAAGCGTGGGCAGACCATTCTCTAAATGAAAGCTTAAACTCAGTTGCCTTCCAAGAAGATAAAAATGGCTAATGAAAATCATGTGCTTCACAGTAAGTGGTAAGAGGAGCCCATCCTCTGTGTCCTCATGTCCCTATATGTCCACACCGGAAATCAGCAGGGGATCTCTTGTTTTAAAGTATACAATATTAACAGGCACACTCTGAGACAAAACCACATTTGATAATTTGAGTGGGTGGAAAAGCTAGTCAGGGAACGGGGAATGACCCTAGCTTAAAAAGTGTTTTCCCCCACAACAAAACTTAAGAGGCTCAGAGTTAAATCTAGAAACAATAGTGCTTTTTCTGTTTTTCTAACTGGAGAGTGAGACCTTAGTTACCAAGACTGCACTTGCTGCTTTTTTTTAAAGTATGCAGTTATATAAACATAAATAAATATGGCCTGCAAATATTTTTATGTTTTTCTAAATTGGTGATTGTGAAAAGAGGTTGTGCATGACTGTACTGTATGAACATGGGTCTCAGTGGACTGTAATCCTCATAAACTACAAGGTACGGTGAAGCATTTGGCCAAGTATCATCAATCCAAAAAGCTGTTCTAATGCCCTGAGCATTCCCAGTGCAACGTTGGTACCTTGGAAACATGTAAAAGGAGTATGGGTGGCTCAACCCCATCTGCTACAGGTACTAGAACAATCTACAGCCTTACTATGCAAAATGAGATGTGCTGACCTGCAGAGCACCACCTCCAGGTTATGTCAAAAATGCAGAATGTCAGGCCCTACCTCAGACCTAGTGAATCAAATATCTGTATTTTAAAAAAATCACCCAGCCAAGTCTCACACACATTCAAGTTGGACAAAGGTGATCTATAGTACATGTGGCCCCTTATACAACAGGCTGCATCTCAATATCTTGATAGCCTTAAACTATTTCACAGGTAGTCCTGTAAGTCTGCCATACATGATTCTCCAAACTGGCATCTTTTATAAACTTTGTTGGTTCCTTATTTTTCAACCATTTGCAAAGTTAAGTCACTCAATCACCTATGCAAACCATAATTAATTCCTTTGACATTAATAGTCCGGTGACTTCTCTCTCCTGTTACCCCAAAGAGACTGCTAATTGCCCTCCAATTGTTTACCTTTGTATTGTTTTATGAGAGCTCAGAGAAAGATGGAAGATACTCTCCACCAGGCCAGAAACAAATGCCAGACAGGTTTTGAAAAGGCTGAACACATGCTATGACTACACCTTGTTAGTAGAAGGGCTTTGCTTTCTTTGTTTTGTTTTCTTTTTTTATGGAAGGGATGACGCCTCCATAATTATAGGTGCTGCTGTTTAAAACCCAGAGTGTTTTCCAAACCACTGAGGGGCCACACCTCCAGCAGCCCATGAGCCATCCTGGCTGGATTATCTTTCCAGTTCTCTAAACAGTTCATCAAGCAGTACTAGATTTACATTAAGCATAACGAGAGTAAGGGACCCCATCCAAGTATGGTTTCTTTCTGAATAAACATGAAGGACTCACAGGTAAACCTCACAGCTGAAGGTTAATTTGTATCTGTGAAGTTCTCAGAAAGACTGTAGTAAAGGCCCCTCACCCACCTAACAAGACAGCAGGTTACTTTTGTAACACCCCCCCAAAAAATAATTAAAACCATTGTTTTAATACTATCCTAAGGCAGTGTAATTAAGTCTCTGAGTGAGTAATTGTGTACCTGCATTCAAAATAAGATTTCACATGTAAAGCAAAGTTCTGATTGTAATCTCCGCGAAGTGTCTTGGCCTACATTTAGAATGCACAAGTGCCAGCTCAGCGTTACAATAGGCATTGTTCAGTAGAGCTGGAGACAAACTGTGTTTTATGAGAAGGGAAATGAGGCAGGTCTACCTACCTTCGGGAACAGTAAGGCTGTGTGTTCCAAACTATGGAAGATTTCAGGAGGGACTGAAGGATATTAAGCATGGTGGTATGTTGATGAGACATCTCAGCCATAAGCTTGGGATTTGTTGAGTTTTTTGAAGTAATGGCTATAAAATAGCTATAAAAAGAAGCTTTCTTATTTCCCCAAGATGTCCTTGAACTACTTGTAAAATTTTAAAACTATACAAAGATTAAAAATCTGATTTTCCCAAAGCTAGTATGACTCCTTTGGCCTTGGACTGGAGTTGAAGGTATTCATGGGGTCAGGTTTTACACAAACACACACACACACACACACCCATACACATGATAAATAGATATAGACATAAATCTATATGTGTACATATGTGTAAATTAGTATACATAAGTATACACACATATATTCCCTAGCTCTGTCCACTCAGAATGACTAGAAGCAATGATGATCCAATAGCAATGAGCACACCTAGCACCCAGATCTTGGTTTCTAAATACCTTTCTCCAATACAATAAATCAGGGATCCTTGAGGAGCTAGTTAATTCCAGGGTTGGGGTAGGGAAAATACAAAATAAGCACGGAGCATCTTGTGATGGAGTAAAAACCCAAAACAAAATGGGGGGCGGGGGGCAGCTCTGTAGAGGCTTACTGAAAGGCCACAGGAGGCAACCCCAGAGAGCTCCCAAATGCCCAAAGTTGAGACATCCTGAGCAAGAAAAGAAGTAACAATAGTACTGGATTATAATCCACAGAAGGAAATCTATATGAATCCATACTAACATGTATATATGTACCCACATGTATATGTGTATATATCTACATACATAAACAAATGACACCTCTTCCTTCCGGAAGATGGGTAGGGCTCAGCAATCTGCGTTTTAACAGTTTTTAACAGGTGCTGCTGCTGCCACAGCCTATAGAACTCAAATCAGGCAACTGAAATCTTGGAAGTAAGGAGGCATAGGCATAGGGGCTACAGCAAATTTGAGCACACAGGCCTCAGCTAAAAGTGGCAGGTGCTATTTGCTATTACCAGGAAAGCAAGCACAGGGCGGGAAGAGCTTTTGAGTTTTCAAGGGAGGCAAGAAATCAAAGTCTTTCTCAGTTTTAAAATTCTAAATGGGCAAATCAAAACAGAGCTGCAGCATCTGTCAAGGCCACTGTGCATTTGTACATTTGTCACTCTTTGCAGAAACTAAGTCCCATGTCAGTTTAGGATAACAGGATTTGTTTCTCAAGTGAGCAGGGTGAAAACAATCAGAAGAGATGAAAAGAAACTTAGAGGGTACTCTGACTTCCTCTTAAATTCCTTCCCAGGCATGAGTAAGTCCCCATAAGCCCCCTAAACATCCTGGGGAGGAAGGCTGGCCTACATTCTGAGTCATGGCAGCAAAGACACACATTTTCACAATACCAAAAGGTCAAAACATCACTATTTAGAAGGTGCTGTTATTTAGAAAGATTCTTTATTTCTCCCCCAGAAGAGTGAGTTCAAGGCTGGGTGCAGTGGTTCACACCTGTTATCTCGGCACTTGGGGACGCTGAGGTGGGAGGATCCCTTGAGCCCAGGAGTTTGAGACAACCCCCAGCAACATAGTGAGACCTCATTTCTACCAAAAAATTAAAAATTGGCTGAGAGTGGTGGTGCACACCTATAGTCTCAGCTACTGGGAAGGCTGAGGCAGAAGGATGGCTGGAGCCTGGGAGGTCGAGGCTGCCGTAAGCCATGATCGCACTACTGCTCTCCAGCCTGAGTAACAGAGCAAGACCTTGTCTTAAAAATAAAAATAAAACACAATTTCTTTAATTTAAAAACCTAAAAATTTTACTGGGATATTTTACTCAAGAAATTCATGCATAGGTGACCTCTAGCAACCATTATTATTACCCTCCCTCTGATCTATCCTGAAGAAAGCCAAGGAAAAGAGTTGAGTTGGTCTTTGCCTCATCTCTCTTGTGTCCACCCTTGCATACTCTTTCTGCTCAAATCAGTCCGGAGCCACATATATTAGAGTCCATACTTTCAAGGAACTTGCAGTCTAACTGGCTGAAGATACGTAGTAAATACAAAGAAGGTCATAAGATGAATACCTTAGAGGAAGCAGCAGAGGAGTAAGGAACCACATTGCAGTGGGGGCATGTCAAGACAATACAGCAAAGAGTCATTTGCAGCTGGGTCTTCCTGGAGAGCTAAGATTTTGGCACTTGGGGCTAGGATAGCCAAAGAGCACTGCAAGAGAAAGTGCAGCAGCAGCAATGATATGGAATCTACAATGCTCAGGACTGGTTCACAAACTGCTGCGCATTGGAATCAGCTGGAGGGCTTTACAAAGGTTGGCTCCCAGGCCCAGACACTGTGATTTAATTGACCCAGAGTATGATCTGGGCATCAGGACTTTTAAAAGCTTCCCAGGTGATTCTAATGTGCAGTGAAGTTTGGGAACCCTTGATCTGGGTGAGTCTGAGGACAGCAGTGCACAGTTAGCTCGGCCTGTGTGAGGGGTCTTGGAGCCCTAAGTTACCCTAAACATTGTCCTTCCATAGTGACCAGTATCCTTTCTTTGAGAAAACCAGTCAATTAGGTGAATTCCCCAGAAGGGGCTAGGCTGGCCTTCTTCTTCAGTGTGGCCCTCAGATACAGGCCTCAGCATCACCTGGATGGAGGGCGTCATTAGTATCAGGGCTCCAGAAAAAAAGAATTGATTAATTTCTTGGGATCCAGGAGCCCATTTCAAGCCTGCTAAATCAGCATTGGTGAGGGGCCTGGAAGTTGGCATTTTGAGAAGCTCACCATATAGTTTGTTATGCTGTATGTTGAGGTTTGGAATCCTTCTATGGAGATTTCCAATTGCCACCTACTCTGAGACTGTCTCCATTTTAAAAGGGAAGCCTTAAAAAGGGCAAGACATAAAAGAAACAAATCAAGACAGCTAAGCATTGTCAAAGATTCCTAGAAGTCATGGTGGAATTTTCCCTCAGGTTTCCACAGGTGGAAAGAGAGTCCTCATTTTCCACAGGTGGAAAGAGAGTCACAAAAAAGGTTGGTTGAATTACCTCAGAACTAGACACGGTAAGGTCTTGGTTATCGGCAGGGTCTTGGGCCTTAGACAAACCTGGTGGAAAATCTCTGCACCAGCACCATGCTTAATCAGTGTACCACCCTGGGCAAGTTTCTGAACATTTCCAAGCCTCCAATAACTGGACACATCTCACAGGGCTGCTGAGAAAATGGAACGAGAGAATGCCTGCACCGCACTTAGCCCAGGGCTGAGTGCACAGTGAATGCTCAGCAAATCTTAATGCATTCCGAAGTAGCAGAGCTTGATTCAAAACTCAGGAAGCCAGTTCAGCTCTTCTCTGGATTTCAACAGAAAGAATTCTAGGCCTTGGAGCCTCAGAAGTAGAGGAATGTTTTTTATGTCTGGATTGTCTCTGTGCCTTTCAAATCATTCCACCTAGGCTGCCTGCCCTGCCCACTTCTGAAATCAGATCTGCTTCCCATTCCACAATTCTTGATGCAAGAATAAGATGGAGATACTTTCTTAAAAGAACTGGAAAATAGCAAAAGAAGACTCACCTTCCCAGGCAGGGACATCTGCATGAAGCTGAGTGGGGTTCCTCCAGATCAGAGTCTCTCAACCTCAGCACAATTGACTTGTTGGGCTGGATAAGTCTTTATTTTGAGGTGCTGTCCCGTGCCTTATAGGATGTTAAGCATTGTAAGTATGGCACCTATCCCCCTTTGTGGGAGAAACAACCAGAAAGTCTCTAGACCTTGCCAAATGTGCCCTAGGGGGTCAAAGTTACCCTCAGGCAAGAAGCACGGCTCTAGATGCCCCGCAGGCAGGCAGGCCGTAGCCTCTCTTTGGGCCACTAAAATACCTTTACCTGGCACTGGTGTATCATTAATCTGATAACTTCCCCATAAAGAAGAGCAGAAATCAGTCTTATTTCTATCTGTAACTGGCTCTATACATAACCAAATGATTTTCTTTTCATAACAGAGTGCTTAAGATGAGACTGTAACTTGAAGAGAACCTCAAGGTGGGCTCTACAGGGTGCTCAGTGGCTACCAACCCATTTTTCAGTTCTGGCAAAGCTGAACCTATTCCATCATGATTAAGCAGACTTTATTAGAGTCCACGACTCCATAAACAATGTCAGATATGTTGTGAGCCCCATAGCTCTCAGCCTAAAAACAAAACGCAATAAAGGAAGTGGTAACAAATAGAATCATAACTTTAGGATATTGCATCTCAGGATGATGCATGGAATTTAAATTAGGCAAGAGCTTCACCTGGATGCTCTAATTAAAAGTCTCCTTCTTCTGGGATGTCCAGGGCATTTGAATCTCAGGTACTGAAGTCACTAAAACTGACCAGACGGTTTATCATGTGGAGAGGTTTGTTTCTCTCACTAACTCCACCTTCTCAATACCCAGTCTTCAATCCTGTGTAGGGCTCCTGAACAACCTACATTGTGTAGCTTATTGTTGCTGTTTTAGCGACGAATTATGGAAATGTCTGAATGGATAGTAGATTGCTAGAAAAATTTGGGGGGAAAATGTGTTTGTTTCCAAGACTTTTGCTAAGGTTGGAATTTTGATGGGTTTGCAGCTAACATGATTTCAAGAATTCATTTTGACTTTGGCAGAACCTTCTTATGAGAAGAAGGAGTGGGCATCAGCCAAGGCCCCTCACACAAGCAAGTCTGATGTCAATTTCATCCACTCATTCATTCAACCAATATTCATCACATGCTACTGTGTAGTAGGCACCATTCTAGATATTAAGGACAAAAGAGAAAACAAAACAAAAGATAAAATCCTTGCCCTCATAAAGCTTACATTCTAGTGAATTTCTTGATAATTTTTCAATGGAGCATTTTTTTAAGGAAGAAACTAGAAGCGATAACCACCAGTATAAACTGACCAGGTCAGCAGAGAGGATGTATTTTGTTAGAGTTGTCACTTAAACTATAAGGAAATACCAAAAGAAACTTTTGTGGATTTTGAAGCAGTAGAGAAAATTGAAAAATAAATCAATACGAATAGTAAGATGGTAGTTCAGAACTTAACTACAAAGAATTTTGAAGGTTAATTTATCAACAGTGGAAAAATCAGGCCACTATGATCTGTGTCCCCAGCTTAGCTAGAAGAAAGGCATAGGTCCTAGAAAGATTCAGAAAACAAAATGATGCAAGATTTTTGGAGGGGAGGAGGGAGAGAGAGAAAAAAACAGAGCGAGAGAGAGGGGGCACATCTCTTAGTGGCAAGTTATCTGTGGCATTCCATTGGAAAGAGTTCTAGGCCCAGAGAGAAATGGAGGAATGAAGATTATGATACTGGCATCCCTACAAGGCTCCGATTGGCACAACAAAACCAGCCGTTCCTCCAGACAACAGAAAACAGCCTCTTCTGGATGCAGAATAGCAGAAGGTAGAAGGGGCCAATCCAATCTTCTCTGGTCGTTCCAGCAGGTGCTGGGGCAACATGAAATCACATGCTCGAGGGGAACAAATTGTGTATTTTTTGGGTCAGAATTCAAAAGTGAAAATTCTGGAGAAGAGATGATAATGGTCTGTATAATTTATATGGTCATCCCCAAGGAAGCAGCAGCATCTGTGCTCCAAAAGAATCAAGCACGGCTGGCCTGCTGTTTGCCTCATGGATCTTTGCGCTGGCTGAAAGGTCACATGTGTCTGAATGTTTGGAAGCATATTACCCAGTTGTTTGTTTGTTTCTATCTTCCCTTTAAACAGTTTGGTCTCCTTCTGGGGAAAAGAAATAATGTGAACAGAGCAAACACACACACGCTCTGAAAAATGCTCTGCCCCGGAATGCAATAAAGCCAGATTTTTCTAGGGCAAGGAGAATCTTAAAGAGGAAGACCTTAGCTTTTCTCACAGTTTCATCTCATGCTGAGTCCTGAATAATATGTTAAAAAAATTACAGTAGTGCTTCAGTTATGTAGCAATGCTAAAATTGGCTTCCCTGGTTTACAATGAAAGAAAATATAGTTAAGAATTCCATCTTGTCTGGTGTCCTTACAAATTCCTCTGTCTACAATTCACCTATGTCAGGATTGCCTCATTGAGGATAATATTATTTTATGCCTACTTTGTGTATTTGTGATATAATTATTCAATGCCTTATGCGCTGTGCTGGAGCACTGAAGCCTTCACCTTGCTGGCATAGTCTTCCTCAAGCTCTCTACAGGGCTAGATCTTCCTCACCCTACAGGTCTCAGCTTAAATGTCACATCCTGCTTTCCTCTCCTCCTCCTTCAAAATTAATATCTAAAATCCCAGCTTGTTTCTTGATTTATGCATTTATTGTCTGTCTTCCCTAGAAGTAAGCTCCATGAGACCAGAGACCTATTTTGTTCGTTTCACATTCCTCAGTGGCAGACAGTAAGCACTTAATAATTGAGCAAATGAATGAACAAACGAATGATGAAGTGACAAGATCGCTCTGCCATCCAGGGAGACCCTGTGCCCTTTGTCCTTTCTTTCCATGACATGATATAATGATAAAGACACTGAATTCAGAAATGAGAGATTCTAGTGGAAATGAAGGCTCCAATGACAAGAGTGTGGACATGTTGTGCAGGGGTTTATAGAAGCCACCGAAAGATGTGGGAGGAGTTCCAAGGAGGCAGGCTGAAGATTATGATACTGGCATCCCTGCAAGGCTCCAATTGGAATGTCTGGCGGGGGGTCGGGGGCGAGGGGGAGGTCTGAAGCCACCCTCAGGGTCCCCACTCACCTGGAAGTCCACCAGTGCCTGGTCCTACATGACAGGACAAAGGGAAAAACCTGAAGAGAGGCTTGGGCCTTTGGTGAACTCTGTGTCTCTTGGTTCAGCATATGTACTTACACATGTTCTTTTAGACATAAAGGTTCAGCTGGACTCCAGAGTCACCAAGACCTTTTAGTTATGTGAGCAGACAGATACACAGAAGATCTTTCAGAGTTACTTAAAATTGGAAACATATGCCATAGGGAATTAAAGCCAGGCAAATATCATATTCAGAATTGAAACACATAATGCATAACTATAAAATAATGCAAATGTCACACACACACACACACACACACACACACACACAAACACACACCCTGAATTTATGCTTCCACATGTGTGTAGTACATTTGAAAGTAGTCACCTTGAGGGTCACTGCACTTATTCCAACAATGATTCCATTCATCAAACCACATTTGCATCTCCCTTTTTGGAATTTCCATGAGAAAATTAAGACAGTGGTTAAAGCACTGCCTCTTATGGCAAATTTTATCCATGTGGCTCTGTTTGATTTTTGAAAATGACCAAACAGAAATTCAGAGCATGTCTTAGTCTTAGAGGGCAACCAAGTGGGTAATTCCTGGTGTTTTTCTAAAATAATGAAGACTGGTTTTCTTGTCTGGTTCAGAAAGTAGCTTTAAAGGCAATAATCAAGAGTGAAATTCAAAAGAAGATGTTTCACTGGTAGCATCATTGAACAAACATATAATTCTCCAAGGTAGGAAATCTTGAAAGACAACATTCTTTGGAATCTATAACATGTAATATATTTATTTTAAAGTTCCATATGATTGCTTACAGAATAACCTTTTATGGAAAAAGTAGCTTCAAATGCACACAACCCCCACTACTGAATCATTATGTGTTACATTAAGGAGCTGTATGTTTCCATTCTGGTATCTCACATGAGAAATTAAAATATAATTTCTGTTGCTTTTCAGTCGGTCATAAGCAAGATCAGACGAATAGGAGGTAGACTGTTGTAAACACAATGAATCACTTGTTTTATAAAAGTCACAAGGCTGCATAACTATAATTTTGTTTTTTTAATACTTTTTACAAATAATGAATGCTCAAAGAAGAAAATTTAAAAAATAATAAGCTTCAGTAATAAGTAGCAAACACCTATAATCCCATCATCTATAAATAATCAAGGTAAACATCTGGGTGTATATCCTTCCAGACCTTTCTGTAGTGTGTGTGTGTGTGTGTGTGTGTGTGCGTGTGCACTGTAGATAACAGACTTGGGATGCATGGTCTGTTCATCCACTTACTAGCTGTGGGATGTTGGGCAAGGCACGCTATGCCCCTGCTCCATCATCTGTAAAATGAGAATAATGATGCATGCCTTGTGCATTGTTGTAACAATTGAATGGCACGAGGAACATCAAGCTCATAGCCCCAGTGTCCAACACATAGTCAGTACTCAAATTAATTATATCAATGTTATTATTACATAATCCGGAAGGCAGCTGTTTTCACTGGAAATTATATTGTGTGTGAACATTCTCTTTGATATTACTTTAAATTCTATTACAAGAGTATAATTAAAACTTCGAGTTTTAATCTGTTACTCAGAACTCTCGATGAGTTGTTAAGTAGAAAAAGTTGTAGCTTGACATGAAGAGAGTGACATTAAAGCCACTGACAACAGTTAAAAAAAATACATATTCCCTGGGTTTCATCATGAAACCAATGGAATGAGCATCTCTGACAGTGCGTTCAGGCACAAATATGTTAACATGAAAAAAAAGTATCCATTTTGTCCCCCAGGGGACATTTGGTAATGTCTGGAGACATTTGTCATAACTGGGAAGAGGAGGGGGCATTATACTGGCATCTGGTGGGTAGTGGCCAGGGATGTTGCTAAACATCCTATAATGCACAGCACAGCCCCCACAGCACAGAATTATCTGACCATTTGAAATATCAGCAGTACTGAAGTTGAGAAACTTGTCTAATCCTAACTGGTTTTGTGATCGCAAACAAGTCACTCTCCCTAATAATGATGGTGATGTTCATGGAAGCTCATGTTTCCTGAGCACCAATGTCAAGCACTGTGCTGAGTGCTTCCCACAGGTTATTTTGGTTTGTCTCCCGACAGTCCTATGATGTAGTCTCTATCATCATCCAAACTTTATTGGTGGGAAAACAGGCCTATGAAGATTAACTTTGCTCCAAA
Source organism: Homo sapiens (assembly GCF_000001405.40). NCBI lineage: Eukaryota > Metazoa > Chordata > Mammalia > Primates > Hominidae > Homo > Homo sapiens. Next base: position 71,598,924 of record NC_000003.12, read on the forward strand.
CCACACAGCTAACAAGTGGTTGAGCTCTAGTTGGAGCTCACATCATTCCATTGTTGAGCCCACGTTCCCAACTCTAGCACTCTTCTGCCTCGCTCTGAGCTTCCCCATGTCTGTAGTTATTTATGGAGATATATTATAATCCACAGTGGTAGAGATTCAATCTCGCATGCCAACTCCATTGGCATTTTAGCAGAAGCCTCGGATATCATGTCAAGAAAGATTGTGTGGTCTGGATGGCTCAACAGAAAGAAAGCCATGATCGATTATTGATGTTTGCAATGGGCGTGGGTGGGGAAAGTAGTCGTACTTGTGCCACATATTTGCCATCCTTGGACCAGATGATCTTTATTTAAAGATCTTTCCAAGAGCCAACCACTGATGTTCCTATTTCTTCCCCCATATACAGCCTCAATTCTTGGCCAAGAGCCACTTGCAGATATGTGCTCATCAAAGAAAATCTAGGGCTGAGTAGTCTATTGCAAGGGTTTTATTCAATACACAGTTTTCCCTGGTTGCAGGAAAACTGCTGAAAACTCTCAGGTCCTCGCCTACATAAGACAGAAAACATCAAAGTTTGTGAAAATCACAGCACACCTCCACCCAGAGTCAAAGCCAAGAACAAACAACTTTGGGGGTTGGACTGATTTCATAAAATAATCTGAGTGACTGAAGTGGAAAACAGCAATGACTATGAACTTTAGGGAGGCCAAAAAATAATCTACTACATTTTTTTAAAATTATGCAATGTTTAGCAAACTGAGATCACTGCAAGAAAAAAAAGAAAGAAAAAGAATCACACAAACTTTACTAAACAAAGTCACATACCAACAAACATTTAAACCACTGTAACCAAGATGAGGAACTGAAGCTTGTTTTTAGTTACAGAGATCTGAGGGATGGGGGTGGAAAATAAACAAAAATCCAAGAGGAAAATCATTAATAAGATACTCCAAACTATTTTCCCACAAATAATTTCTTTAAGAAAAAAAAGGCAAGCTATACTGTATGTTTTCTTTTTTTAAAAAAAGGCCAATCTCCTGCATTCCCATCCAAATAAAACCTCTTTGCAAGCAGTCAACCGAAAGAAACTGAAATTCCATTATCATAGCATTATGTCTGTGGGGTACCACTTCAGAAAATCCTCAAAAAAGAGCTGGGCAATTAATATAGGACTCTGTAATGAAGGGGAAAAGAAAATTAAAAAAAAAAACCCACCCAAAAAGAAACTACAACAAAACCTGGATTTACATGCTTGCAGTGTATAATTTCAAGAGCTTCCTGTTTACTAACAACAACAACAACACACACACACATACACACAAACCACCCACATCAAATTTTCCAGGAAGTTAGAGATTTAAATAAAACATTTGGACTTCTTTAGTAAAACAAATGTAATTTCTTCCTAAACCACCTCTATCACTGATGGATGAACTGGTGTAGCTTTTATTGAAGGAGTAGAAAACTAATTCTAGGGGTCATATTTCTCTCTGCCCGAAAGATTCCAAGACATGTGGAGATAAAATAACAAATAATATATCAGTTTTTCATATGAAATAAGCTATTTTTTATCAAATCATCTTAAAGCAAAACAATCCGTCTCTGCAACACAAAAGCAAATAAGTATTGAAAACTTATTTAAGTAAGATCGATTTTGCTAATGTCAAGCTTAAGGCAACTCAGCAAGAAATGACAACAACTGTACTAAATTATCTACATTCGTGACATCTTAGCTGTGTCTACAAGGCACCAAAACACTGTGATGAAAAGTAAAAGTCAGTAATTGCCCAGATGTTATGTCTAGTCACCAACAGCTGGAACTTCCTCAGTATTTGCTCTCTCTCCCTTTCTCTCTAAGCATCTTTGGGAGTTTGCTAACAGACCTTTTCCCACCACTCCTCTCTGTGGCTTCACTCTGCTTTGGCCTTCGTGAGCCCCTTTTCAGCCAGGCTGCTCCTGGACTTATATGTTGACAGCTCATAGTGCACTGGGATGGAACCGAATTCTTGTCTCTTGGAATTGTCTGAATTTAAAAATGCCTTTTCTATTAAGTCAAAGCCTATAACTCTGCCGTGATCATTCTAAGAGTTAAAGGAAGCAGAATCACCTCCACAGCCACACCCTTTTCTTCTCTTCCAAATGTTCTTCTTATCTCAACCTACAGAAATGGCTTCTCTTGTAAGTAAAGGCTACTCCCTTCTCAAATCAACATCTTTAATGGCAAGAAGTCAGAATGAGAGTTCTCCAAACACCCTTCCACCTCTCCCCAAGCCTTCTTTCAATAATTCATTTTTATTTGGAGTTCCTACCCACAATGAAGCCACCATCTTTGCATCCAGAGAGTAACAGGACAGCATGCTTATGATAAGCTATAAAGTCACACAGCCCTGGGATCTAATCCTGGTTCAGCCACCTTATGACTTGTGTGACCTTGGGCAGGTCACTTCCCCTCTCCAATCTCCAACCTCCATGATCCACATCTGTGGATTGGATACATGCCTCACAGAGTTATTTGAGGATTGTGCTAGCTCAAGTTTTCTGAGAAGCATTCACCAAGAAGGGATTACACGTGCAAGAGACATATTGGAGAAAATGTCTGTGAGGGAAAATGGAGCTGAAGGAGGCTAAAAGAGTGTCAGACCACAAAGCTGGTCTGACTGCAATGAGGGAGGAAGGATTTTGAGTTGGGAAAGTCTTAGGTTATGGTGCAACTCCATCAAAGTTTCAGCAAGGTCAATGAAGCATCCTGGAGCCAAGTCACTTGTGTCTCATGGTAATGGGCCCGCATTAGTATTCCTGTGACACTCAGACATTGGTCTGGAGAAGGCTGTGGGAAGCATGGCATTGATGCAAACATAGTGGTGAATTCAGTGTGCAGCAGTTGAGACCATCGGTCACTATATGCTTCTGTCAGCGGGAAATCTGGGAAGGGCTTCTTCATGGCCACCACCAGGATTAAATGTAATAATGAACCCGAAGCTCCTACCTCTACCTCAGAGTAAGAGTGGCATAAAATAGGGGTGATGGTGATGGTGATGGTGATGACAATGATGGTGACTCACTCTTCCTATTTTACTAAAGTTCTTTGACTCTGACTCACGGTTTTTATCCACACATGTTCTGCCATCATGCTGTGAGGCTGCAAAATCCTTGTTAATGAGCTAATCTGGTGTATCCGTGTTCTCCTGTACTCAATTGACCTTCCCTTCCAAACACTTCAGCAAACACCTACTTGGCAATAACCTACATTTTATCATCACCCAAACAATCAAGATGAATCTTATGATCATCCTAGCTGGATGAAATATTCCCAATCTGGATGAAATCCTCTCCATCTGGAGAGATATTCTAGGCTACTAATGTAGGAAGAAGGGACTGAGACAAATCCTGGAAGATGCCCTAAGTGGAGGACACAGAGGTGGGAGTCCAGAAAGGCCAAGGTGGCTGAAACTCACAGGGCAGAGTATGAGAGGAGAGAGCTAACTGCAGAGGGTGCTCCAGAGACTTCCAATGAGTCCCTTGATTATTCAGCTGAGACCTGATCAGTCATGCATGTAAGGAAACTGTCCAAAGTCCGGGGGAAAAAACACACCCAAAAAGATTAGAAAGAACAATTCCTAGAGAGCTCACAGATGGCCAGAAATAGCAGATGATCCCTATGGCCAGCGTGGAAAACCTGATAATTCACAAGGCATCAGGTAGAGTATTCAGAAGAGTCTTGCTTCAAGAGGTGGGAAATAACTAGCCCTCGATCAAATGCTGACCTGGTCCCACTCAACAAAGCTTAAAAGTAAGACCCGGCCGGGCGCGGTGGCTCACGCCTGTAATCCCAGCACTTTGGGAGGCCGAGGCGGGTGGATCATGAGGTCAGGAGATCAAGACCATCCTGGCTAACAAGGTGAGACCCCGTCTCTACTAAAAATACAAAAAAAAAATTAGCCGGGCGCGGTGGCGGGCGCCTGTAGTCCCAGCTACTCGGGAGGCTGAGGCAGGAGAATGGCGTGAACCCGGGAGGCGGAGCTTGCAGTGAGCCGAGATTGCGCCACTGCAGTCCGTAGTCCGGCCTGGGCGACAGAGCGAGACTCCGTCTCAAAAAAAAAAAAGTAAGACCCACGGCTGGGTGCGGTGGCTCATGCCTGTAATCCCGGCACTTTGGGAGGCCGAGGCAGGCAGATCACGAGGTCAGGAGATTGAGACCATCCTGGCTAACACTGTGAAACCCCGTCTCTACTAAAAATACAAAAAGTAGCCAGGCGTGGTGGCACACGCCTATAGTCCCAGCTACTTGAGAGGCTGAGGCACAAGAATGGCTTGAATCCAGGAGGTGGAGGTTGTTGCAGTCAGCCGAGATCTTGCCACTGCACTCCAGCCTGGGTGACAGAGCGGGACTCCGTCTCAAAAAAAAAAAAAAAAAAAGGAAGACCGACTAAAAACAAACTGCTCCCAAGGAACTTAACCTTGTCCCAGAACAAAGCAAGAGAATGTTTACAGAAATAGAAAAATATCCAGAACCCAACAAGGTAAAATTCAGTGTCTGGCATCCTATCAAAAATTACCAGGCATGTAAAGAAGCAAGAAAATAGGACCTAAATTGAGAAAAATCAAAACCAACTCTGAAATGACACAGATGTAAGAATTATCAGATGAAAACCTTAAAAGTCATTATAACTGTGTCCCAAGGGAAATTTTTAAATATTTTGAATTGGATAAAAATAAAATACAACACATCAACATGTGTTGGATACAGCGATAGGAATGCTTGGATGGAAATTTATAGTATTAAATGTTTATTAGAAAAAGAGGTCTCAAATCAGCAATTTAGCCTCCAACGTAAGAAACAACAAAAATAAGAGCAAATAATCCCAAAGCAAACAGAAGAAATACCTAATAAATGAAATAATTCTGTTTTCTGAAAACAGAAAACAGAAAAAAATCGATAAAACAAAAGCTGGTTCTTTGAGAAGATCAATAAAATTTATAAACCACTAGCCAGACTGACAAACAAAAGCAGAGAAAAGACACAAATTACCAATATCAGAAATAAAAGGTGTTATCACTACAGACTTTACAGATACTAAAATTCTAATAAAAAATACTATGACAATTATTTGCACATGAATTTAAAAACTTAGACATAATGGACCAATTTCTTAAAAGCAGCAAACTGTCAAAATTCACCCAAGAAGAAAAAAGTAACCAGAGTAATCTTACATTTATTTTTTTGAATTGAATTCATAGTTAGAAGTCTTCCCTTCGCCACAAAAAAAGCCAAACAAACAAACAAAAACTCCTCCAGTTTCAGATGATTTTACTGGCAAACTCTACCCAACATTTAAAGATGAAACAAAACCAATTCTAAACAATCTTTTCCAGAAAATAAAAGAGGTGGGAATACTTCCCAACTCATTCTATGAGGCCATCGTTAACCTGAGGCCAAAACCAGACAAAGTCAGTACAAAACTACCCTAGTGAATGTAGCTGTAAAAATCCTCAGCAAAATATTAGCTAATAAAATCCTGCTATATATTTTTAAAAATACATCACAATCAAATGGGGTTTATCTCAGGAATGCAAGGCTATTTAATACATAACAATCAATGTAATCACCATATTTAAGGCCTAGAAACACCACATGATCATATAATCGAAACAAAAAACACTTGATAAGCTTCAGTATCCATTTATGATTAACAAAACATTTAGCACACTAGGAAATAAAGGGAACTTCGTGCTTAGTGGTGAAAAAGAGAATGCTCTCCCCCTAAGATTAGGAACGTGACCACTCCTGTTGAACATTATACTGGAAGTCCTAGAAGGTACAATAAAGCAAGATGTAATATTAAAAGACATCCAAATCAGAAAAAAAGAAATAAGTCACCTGGTGGCTCATGCTTGTAATTCCGGCACTTTGGAAGGCTGAGGTGGGAGGATCACTTAAGGCCAGGAGTTTGAAACCAGCCTAGGCAATAAAGGGAGACCCTGTCTCTACAAAAAAATTAAAAATTCGCCAGGCATGGGGGCACACACCTGTGGTCCCAGCTACTCAGGAGGCTGAGGCAGAAGGATTGCTGAAGCCCAGAAGTTCAAGGTTGCAGTGAGCTGTGATCACACCACTGCACTCCAGCCTGGATGACAGAGCAACACCCTGTCTCAAAAAAAAAAAAAAAAAAAAAGGAAAGAAAGAAAAGAAAAGAAGAAATAAAACCATGCCTATTCACAGATAACATAACTGTCTATGTAGAAAATCCCAAGAAATCTATTTTTAAAAAAAACTCTTAGAACTATAAGTAAATTTAGTATTACCATAGGATTCAAGCTCAGCATACAAAAATCTATTATATTTCTATAAATTAGTAATGAACAATTAGAACTCAAATTTTTTAAAATCCCATTTAGAATAGCTCTAAAAAAAGGAGGAAGTAATACTTAGGTGTAAATCCAGCAAAACATGTACAGGATACATAGGGTGATAATCACAAAATGCTAATGAAATAAATCATAGAAAACATAAATAAATGAAGAAATAGACCATAGTTATGAATTGAAACACTCAAATTAGTTAAGATGTCAATTCTTCACAAATTGATCTATAAATTTAGTGGTATTCCAATCAAAATCCCAGCATAATTTTTTTGAAGATAAGGGCAATGTGATTCTAAAATTTATATGGAAAGGCAAACTAAAACATCAAAAGCAATTTTGAAAAAAGAATAAAATTGGAGGACTCACACTACTGATAGTATTATTATTATTATTTATTATTATTATTATTATTATTATTATTTGAGATAGAGTTTCACTCTGTCACCCAGGCTGGAGTGCAGTGGTGTGATCTCTGCTCACTGCAACCTCTGCCTCCCAGGTTCAAGTGATTCTCCTGCCTCAGCCTCCCAAGTAGCTGGGACTACAGGCGCGTGCCACCATGCCTGGCTAATTTTTGTATTTGTAGTAGAGATGGGGTTTTGCCATGTTGGTCAGGCTGATCTCGAACTCCTGACCTCAGGTAATCCACCTGCCTCAGCCTCCCAAAGTGCTGGAATTACAGGTGTGAGCCACTGCACCTGGCCCACACTACTGATCTTAAAACTGATTACAGTACAACCCTACAGCATTTCAGACAATATTGTAATATCTAAGAATAGACACATAGACAACAGAACAGAATAGAGAGTCCAGAAATAGATGTGGCCAGTTGATTTTTGACAAAGGTACAAAGGCAATTCAATGGAGAAAGGATGGTTTTTCAATAATTGATGCTGAAACAAATTGACATACATAAGTTAAAAAAAAAAAAAAAAGGAGCCTCAGCTGGTGCTGAGGTTAATGCCTGTAATCACTTTGGGAGTCTGAGATGGGAGGATCACTGGAGCCTGAGAGGTAGAGGCTGCATTGAACAATGATCTTGCCACTGTACTTCATCCTGGACAACAGAGTAAGACTCTATCTCAAAAAAACAAACAACAAAAAAGGTACCTGTACTTTACACCTTATACAAAAATAAATTCAAAATGGATCACAGATCATAGATCATAGATATAAAATGTAAAATGACAAAACTGTTAGAAAATCAGAGAGGAGAGTAGCTTGTGACCTTATGTTAAGCAAAAAGTTTTTAGTTATGAGATCAATAGCCACATCCATATCAGAATAATTGATATATTGAATTTCATCAAAATTCAAAACTTTTGCTATGCAAAAAAACACGAAAAGACAAGCTAGTAAATGGGAGAAAGTATTTGGAAATCACATATCCAACGATGGACTTGTATCCAAAATATGCGAACAACTCTGAAAATGCAACAGAAATAAAAGAATCCAATTTCAAAATGAGCAAAAGGTTTGAACAGACACTTTGCAAAATGGATGGCAAAAAAAGAACATGAAAAGGTGCTGAACATCACTGGCAATTTGAGAAATGCAAGTTAAAACCACAATGAGAACGGAGCAGGGAGCAGGGGCAGGGTCTGGTGCGGGGTGGGAAGGGCAAGGACTGTCAATACCAAGTGCTGACAAGGATATGGAGCAACAGAAATTCTCATACCTTCATGGTGTGAAAGCAAAATGATACAGCCACTCTGGAAAACAGTTTAACAATTTCTCGTTTCTTTTCTTTCTTTTTTTTTTTTTTTTTAATATAAGAGACAATGTCTTGCTCTTTTGCCCAGGCCCAGGTACAGAGGCATAATCATCACTCACTGAAGCCTCAAACTCCAGGGTTCAAGTGATCCTACCACTTTAGCCTCCGGAGTATCTGGGATTACATGTACAAACTACCATGCCCGGCTAACAATTTCTTTTAAATGTAAAGATGAATTTACCCAAAGGACCCAGCAATCTCACTCCTTTAATATTTACTTTAGATAAATGAAAACTTGTGTTCACATAAAAACTCATACAAAAAAAGTTTATAACTTAATGTCCCTGAACTTTACACTTAAAAATGGTTAACTTTAATGTTATATATATTTTACTTCAATAAAAGAAAAAAAACACACCTCTGCTTTCTGAAAGGAAAAAAATGTTTATAACAGCTCTATTTATAATTGCCCAAAACTGAAAGCAACCCAAATGTCCTTGAACAGTGAATGGATAAACCACCTATGGTACATCCATACCACAGGACACTACTCAGTGATGAAAAAGAACTATTAATGCACCTAACAACTGGGATGAATTTTAAAGGCACCATGTTGAGTGAAGACAGGTAACCGGAAAACATTACGTAATATGTGATTTTATTTATGTGACATTTTGCAGAAGGCAAAATTATGGGGATTGAAAACAGCTCATTAATTGCTAGAAGTGGGGCAGTTTTGACTACAAAGGGGTAGTGCAAGAGTTTCTGGGGGTGATGACACTGTTCTGTATCCTGATTGTAGTGTTGCCTACGTGAAGCTATGCATGTGATAAAACTCATAGAACTTTACACCAGAAAAGGTCAAATTTATGGTACATTAATCTAAAATTAGTAATTAATAAAATGGAAATAATTATCAAACCCATCATCTTTTTAACAACAGCCACTCCTGCCACCAAATACACAAACAAAAACCAGAGACACACCATTCCCCTGTCCCTGCATTCCATAATGATTAACGGAGGCCACTCGATAGCTACCACTTAGTCCTCATTCTTCCCTACCATTTTGGCTTAAGTGCATCAGGTTCTGTTGATAGTAGCATCTGAAATGTCTCTTGAATGGTTTCTCTCTTTGCTAATCCTAACATGACTTCTCCAGTTCTATAGTCTAAGAACTCTGGTTTGGATTATTTTTGTAGCCTCCAAAATGGTTTCCCCAATCTGTTTCAATTCATCCTTTGAATTTTCACCAGATCTCTACATGACCATCTTTTGCTTAAAACAAAAAGAAATCCTCCAACGATCTGCCATCATCTCCAAGATAAAGTGTAAACTTTACTTCCAATTTTCTCCACATCGATCTTTTTACACCTCCTGAAGTAGGCTGCCCTTTCTCACGTCCCCGCCTTTAATTAAGTTGTTCCCTCCTCTTAGCTTTCCTTTTTCATTTGAAAACATCCTTTAAAGTCTCATCCAAATATTCCTAGGCAGCATTTTTCACACTCCCCAACTCCCCTCCCTTTAGTCCCCTAGCACTTTTTCCATCCTTCTGGTGGAGAACTCAGCAGGTTTGGGGGCTGCAATGTTCCAGTCCACTTCCCCACAAAATGGTCAGCTGCTCGAGGACAGGGACTGTGTCTCATCTATTTCCAATGCCAAACACAGTGCCTGGCACTGAGTGGGGGTGCTCAGATCGCATTTGTTGAAATAAAAATTAGAATAACTGCTATCAACTTAGTAAAATGTCACCTGGACTTTCAATTTTTCACTCCACAGTCCTGGTGTCCTGGAGAAACAGCTTCAGTCATTAGTGCATTTTTACCCATTTGTTAAGAAGTTCTTATTGGGAGTTTACTCTGTGCAGGGTACCAAAGGCTGGGGGTGAGGGGGCGGGTATACAAGAGTGGGAAAGGACAGATGCATACACTGAAGGAACCTAATGATGTTCAGACAAGATTAATGCCCCAGATCTTGACTCCTTTTAATATTTATTCTAATACCATTTTTCTTCTTTAATAGAATATGAGAGTCATTCCGATTTCAATAATTCAGAATATATTCCTGACTTGAATATGGGTTAGTCCTCTAACTACATTTACTGTCCTTCTGGAATAATTTCTTGCTTTCTGATTTGGGCCTTCATTAGTTGTCTTTTTTTCTTTTTAATCAGTTCTTCTCCTCACCCACAATTTTTCTTTCACTACATTATTAAATCTGTCTCCTTTAAAAATGTTTTTGGATTTCAAGTATGAGATACATGGTTTAATCTCGAAAGATTTTGTTTTTAATGTTGTCATTCAAATTTTTAGAAAAATCAAAAGAGAAAGAGTATTATCCCTGAAAGCCTAAATGATAGAATCAACCTATGCTCTCTACACCCGCTGTCCGGGATTCAAGCAACACATTACTGCAGGGCTTGGCAACTTTATAAGTATTTGGAGATAAAACTGCCTGATCACTTTTGTAAAAGGAGCTTTTAATTTGTAAAAGCAGTAATAAACTCTCATTTTAAGAAAGAGACTATAATCTTAGGCTTTGTTTTAAAAATGTATTATATTGAACAGTGGCCTAAGCTTTTGTGATCCTGTACACCTAACAGTAAAATGTTTTGAGCCTGCACAAATATATGTATTTTTACTCATTTATAAATTATATATGTATACATAAACAACTATACTAATGTACTGATATGTATATGTACAACTGTGCTGATGTGAGCATCACAATGCATGCATTTAACATTAAATTTTAAAGAATGAGATTAAAGGTCAGGTATAGTGGCTCACACCTGTAATCCCAACAGTTTGGAAGGCCAAGGCAGGAGGATCACTTGAGGCTAGGAGTTCAAGACCAGCCCGGGCAACACAGTGAGACCCCCCCCCATCTCTATTAAAAAATAAAAAATTAGCCAGACTATTTAGAGGACTATGGTGAGAGGATCACTTGAGCCCAGGAGTTGTTTTTTTTTTTGGGGGGGGGGGTTGTTTTTTTTTTGTTTTGAGATGGAATCTCATTCTGTTGCACAGGCTGGAGTACAATAGCGCCATCTTGGCTCACCACAACCTCTGCCTCCCAGGTTCAAGTGATTCTCCTGCCTCAGTCTCCTGAGTAGCTTGGATTACAGGCACCTACCACCACGCCCAGCTAATTCTTGTATTTTTAGTAGAGACGAGGTTTCACGATGTTGGCCAGGCTGGTCTCAAACTCCTGATCTCAGGTGATCCACCCACCTCAGCCTCCCAAAGTGCTGGGATTACAGGTGTGAGCCACCACGCCCAGCCAAGCCAGGAGTTTGAGGTGACAGTGAAGTGTGACAGCACCAGTGCACTCCAGCCTGGGCAACAGAGTGAGACTCTGTCTCAATCAATCAATCAGTATTTTTTTAAAAGAATGAAATTAAATATATATGTTAAAGAAGTTCTAATACTTTCTATATGCCAATAGATTATACCAGATGCCCTGTGTGTGTACTCACCATGCTTTGGAGACCATACATATAGAGAATGTATCCTTCAGCCTGTTGCTGGAAGGCTTTGTGGGGTTGTTTTATGAGGAACATGGACAAATTAGAACAAGTGTGAAGAGAATGACTATGATCACAGGAGGGGTGCCCAGCTTACAGTTCCCCAGTGACCATATCTAGGCCATCCTTTCTTCTATTCTTCTATTCTTCTGTTATCCAAGTCTAGCCTCCACACTTCTACCTAGAGCTGGTCCTGTTCATAAGACTTCAGGGTCAGATTGCCTAGTTATCTACATCTTCCAATAGAAGTTATGCCAGATGCAAATTATCCTTCACTGTCTGATAATGGACAAGTTGTTGTACTTAAAAATCAAGCATAAATTCTGGCCAAATTTTACCATTGTGCCTTTACTTTCCAAGCACTATTAATGAAAAGATCTTTTTACTATCAATCAAATGTCTTTCTTTATCTTTTTTCCATTGTGGCACTGGTTGAAAATGCAAGTGTCCACAGGAACCAGGCCAAGGAGAGCAATGAGAAAATAGTGCCATGTTAAAGGTGATCAAGGGAACCAATAGAGAAGGGTAAGGATGGTGGTGGGCTGGACAGACAGTGACCACATCAAGGGGCAGCTGCCCAGCTCCTTCCCATCATGAGATCCAAGGGCTTAAACACCAGACCTTCCAACTTTCCAGTGGCGCTGGAAACACCTTGCTCCTTGTATAAACTATCTTGATTTTTAAATGTTAATATTTAACTTTTTAAATAGCTGAACATTGTACAAGGTGATCACGTACATCTTCAGCCAAGTTTTGCCTACTGGCTGCCACATTGTTTTCTCTGCTTTAGGGCAGGGGCTGGCAAACTACAGTTTCCAGGCCAAATCCAGCCCACTGTCTGTTTTTGTAAATAAAGTTTTACTGGAACACAGCCACCCTCATTCATTTATGTACTGTCTTCTGCTGCTTTCGTGCAACAATAGCACAGTTGAATAACTGTGATAGAGACCATACAGCCCACAAAACCTAAAATATTTGCTGTCTGGTCCTTTACAGAAAAGGTTTGCTGATCCCTTGCTCTGGGGTCTTGAAATTGATAGACTCTCCTGGGTTCTCTGTTTTTTTTCCAGCAGATCGGCTATAGTTTCTAAATAAGTGAAAAAAGAAGAACCCGAAACAACCTTTATTGATCTGCTGGTGGTCATTTGGTACCATATACAGAATGCCAAAAAATTTTAAATTGGTTGTTTTGTCATCACAAAATGGAATAATCGATTTGAATACTAAGCAAGCCCTGGAATAACAGAATCATGGTTTTGTAAAAAGACTGGGCACCAGAAGCAGACACACCTTTGTTAGAATCCCACTTCTGCCACCATTAGCTGTGAGGCCTTAGACTAAGTACTTGACTGTTCTGAGCTGCAGTTGTATCATCTGTAAAATGGTAACATTATTAAATGAATAATAATACCTACCTTACAGGCTTGGAGGTGAGGCTCAGAGGTAATAAATGTCAAGCATCTAGTACTTAGAAGCTTAATAAAGATGGAGCCCATCTTAAGGGTGGCAGTAGTAACAGTATCATGTAGATTCAAATTTTCCTCCCCAATACACTTTCTTAGACCTTCTTTGATAAGAAGAATGAGTCTAGGGCTCTTGATATTTCAAAGGAAGTTTCAGGAGAAACAATGAAAAGTCCTTCCTTTAAGACCCAGTTACAGTGGCTGGAGAGTGAATCTCTCCAGTGTAGGTGCTCAGGAAATATGCAGAAGACGTGTTCAATGTTGGTTGATTTGTTTGGATGAATGGATGTGTGACTGAAAGGATTAAAGACAGTGTAAAGTCTAAAAGAAAAGAAGCTGAAGCACAATAGTCTTCCTTTGCACTGTTTCTAAAGAAATTTGTCACCAAGTAGAATTACATAAATCCTGACTGTAAGACCATCTACAAAAAGACTAACCCTCTCTCTTCAACAGCCAATGCCATGAAATAAAGCAGCAGGGTAGGGCGTGGTGGGGGTGGAATGTTCTTGATTAAAAGAGCCTCAGGAGGCCGGGTGCAGTGGCTCACACCTGTAATCCCAGCACTTTAGGAGGCTGAGGTGAGTGGATCATGAGGTCAGGAGTTCAAGACCACGCTGGCCAAGATGGTGAAACCCCATTTCTACTAAAAATACAAAAATTAGCCAGGCACAGTGGCAGGCGCCTGTAATCCCAGCTACACGGGAGGCTGAGGCAGGAGAATCGCTTGAATCCGGGGGGCAGAGGTTGCAGTGAGCCGAGATCACACCACTGCACTCCAGCCCCTGGGTGACAGAGTGAGACCCTGTCTCAAAAAAAAAGCCTCAGGAGACACCATGACCCCTAATGCAATGCATAGTCCTTGACTGGATTCTGGCTTGAACAAGTCAGCTATAAAAAAACTTTTGGCAGCATTTAAGAAATTTAAATATGAATTGGGTATTAGATAATATCAGGGAATTAACAGTAATTCTATTGGTCTTGATAATAATATTGTGGTTATGTCATTTTATGGACACATAATCAAGTATTTATGGTTAAGATGTAACAGTGACTACAATTTATCTTAAAACACTTCAACCAAAAATAAACAAATAAAGAAACAATGAGAAAGAAAAAGGAAGTAATAAATATGGGAAAAAGTTAATTGTTAAATCCAGGTGATGAATATTCTAGTCTTTCTACATTTCTGATGAGTATGACTTTGTAATTTTACATGATAAAGTAAAAAAAATAAAAATTATTTCTTAAGTTTTTAAGGATGCTGAATTATATTTATTATATGTAAAATCATTTATAATACTAGGTTACCCTTTCAAGAATAGTAAAGTCACCTTTTCCATTGAACTCCAGGCATTTTAGTAATGAATCAGCCAAAAAAGCTGGGTGTGGTGGCTCACACCTGTAATCCCACCACTTTGGGAGGCCAAGACGGGCGGATCACCTGAGGTCAGGAGTTCAAGACCAGCCTGGCCAACGTGGCAAAACCAGGTCTCTACTAAAAATACAAAAATTAGCCGGGCATGGTGGTGTGTGCCTGTAGTCCCAGCTACTCAGGAGGCTGAGGCATGAGAATTGCTTGAACCCGGCAGGCAGAGGTTGTAGTGAGCCAAGATCACACCACTTCACTCCAGCCTGGGTAACAGAGTGAGACTCTGTTTCAAAAAAACAAAATAAAATAAAGCCCAAAAAAGTAATATTACTAATAGTATTAGTTTCAGTATATTGGTTTGTTATCACGGCTGTAACAAATTACCACAAATTTAAAACAACACAAAATTATTGTCTTATAGTTCTCCAGGTTAGAAGTCCAACCCAAGTTTTACTGGGCCAAAATCATGCTGTTGGCACCCGGAGGCTCTCAGGGAGAACGCTTTTCCTTGATTCTAAAGGCTGTCTGCATTCTCTGGCTCATGGCCACCTTCCTCAATCTTCAAAACTAACAACCTCGAGTCTGTGTCTTCGCATGCTTTTCTCTGTCCTCACATCTTTCTGTGGCCACTGCTAGGAACATGTTCCTGGTTCTTGAGGAGCCATGTGATTAGATCGGGCCCACCTGGATAATCTAGAACACTCTCCCCACCTCAAGGCTCATAACCTTAATTGCAACTACAAGGTCCTTCTTGCAGGGTAAAGTAGAATATTCACAGGTTCTGG
Organism: Homo sapiens; assembly: GCF_000001405.40. Lineage (NCBI taxonomy): Eukaryota > Metazoa > Chordata > Mammalia > Primates > Hominidae > Homo > Homo sapiens. The sequence goes on from NC_000003.12 coordinate 71,614,143, forward strand.
GGTTAGGGTGTGGGCATTTTGGTAGAGGGGCATTCTGCCTGTCACAGATACTATTAAATATAGTAACACATGATATCACAAGTAGCAGAATTGTATATTTCTTTTCTTTTGAGACAGAGTTTCATTCTTTTTGCCCAGGCTGGAGTGCAATGGCGTGATCTCGGCTCACTGCAACTTCTGCCTCCCGGGTTCAAGCTATTCTCCTGCCTCAGCCTCCCAAGTAGCTGGGATTACAGGCACGCGCCACCACACCCAGCTAATTTTGTATTTTTAGTAGAGAGGGGGTTTCTCCATGTTGGTCAGGCTGGTCTTGAACTCCCGACCTCAGGTGACCCACACGCCTTGGCCTCCCAAAGTGCTGGGATTATAGGCATGAGCCACTGCGCCCGGCCCAGGATTGTATATTTCAAATAACTGTAGCAGCAGCAGCAGCAGCAGCAGTTCCCATTCCTTGAGTATCTACAATATGCTGAGCACCTGCTACAGGGTTTCACGTGCATGTTCCCATTTAACCCACACACCACCATGAGGTTCATGCTCTTATTATCCCTATTCTGCAGATGAGGAAACTATGTTCTGAGAGGCTGTGAGACTGTAAGTCAAGGCCAGTCTAATCATGAGGGTCACAAGATGACTTCCATGCCTCCCAACTCTTATCCTGTCTCTAATTTCCTATGCATCTTCCTAACCCTGTAACACACACGGCACTTAAACTAGTGGGTGCTGCTCACTCGCTAACTGGCCAAATTTCAGTTACTCATCTTAATTCATCTCTGTCAGTTCTTTTATTTTTTCTCACTTCTTTTTAAAAGAAAAATATGTACTTTCTATTAGATTTCTTCAGGAGAAAGCATTCCCAAATACTTAAGCAAATATAGTCACCAGCCTGGACAAGTCATTTGCTTGTGCAAACTGATCAGGACAGATGTCACTTACAAAAATATTTGACTTGGAACTCATGTGCTTGTTGGCCCAGACACCTTCAAAACTGGGGTTTTATTAGGAAATGCTGGTTAAAAGAACTCATAGAAAGAAAACGTTAAAAAAAAAAAAAAAAAAAAGAGCCAGTGCTGGCTGGGCTCAGTGGCTCATGCCTGTAATCCCAGCACTTTGGGATGCCGAGGCAGGTGGATCACAAGGTCAAGAGATCGAGACCATTCTGGCCAACATGGTGAAACCCTGTCTCTATTAAAAACACAAAAATTAGCTGGGCGTGGTTGCCTGTGTCTGTAGTCCCAGCTACTCGGGAGGCTGAGGCAGAAGAATTGCTTGAACCTGGGAGGTTGAGGTTGTAGTTAGCTGAGATCATGCCACTGCACTCCAGCCTGGCAACAGAACAAGACTCGGTCTTAAAAAAAAAAAAAAAAAAAAAGAGCCAGTGCTCCTGAAATGGGCTGATGGAGCTTGGTGCCATTGTGGTTTGTCAGGGAGGAGAGTATAGGAATGTTACGTGGTTGGTTGTTCTAGGTGAATGAATAAGTTAGGATTACCGCTCATTCATCCTGAATAATCTTAGCATCTAGGGGCTTTGGTGTCTCTAGGCAAACTCCTTCTTTCCCTCCTCCATGAAGGCGAAGCAAAGCTACTCTAAGATATCTTTTGACACACCTTCAGTGATTGTACTTGACCCCAAAACTCATAAAACCATTTCTCACTCATATACCTCAATTTCAAAATGATTTATAGTAATTATATTTCTTCCAGAGTTCTTCAAATTTTTGTAATTATTTTATCTAACAAGCTCTCCATAGAGAAACTTGATTTAGCATACCACTTCTTGTTAGAAAAGCTTACAAATTTTTTTTGAATAGTCACAGAGGCTAAAATTCCAACATGCTTCTAGTTGTCCATTAAAGAAAATGCCTTTACTTCATATACTCTTTCCAAAGCATATGTAAACCAAAATTGCAGTATCATTGTCTCTTTTACAGATACAATTCTGTAAAGTCACAGACTGAGAAATGAAGCATTTACAGATCCAGCCCTGTGTATCATCCTATGATTGGTCGTCCCCTTCCCCCCTTTTCCAGCCACACACAGACCTTGTCAAACCAAATTCCAGTTAAGTGATGCATTAACGGCGTGAACCTCGGAGGCGGAGCTTGCAGTGAGCCCAGATCGCGCCACTGCACTCCAGCCTGGGCGACAGAGTGAGATTCTGTCTCAAAAAAAATAAAAATAAAAATAAAAATAAATAAAAGTGATGCATTAACATTTCATCATCTGGGAAAAACTTCAACCAAACACATAGTTTGGTAATTCAAGTGCCCTCCTTCCACATGTACTTTGTGTTCATCTCATAAATGGCTCAACCCTCCAGTTGGCCAATTGGCTCTGAAAAATTACATTTAAATCTCCAACTCCCAAATGCTGCTAAGCACCTCTTAATTTAATTTTTCTCCCTTTATGAAATAGGAATAGTATAAACACAAGATGCAAGCACTTAATGCTTCTTTTAGCATCATCGTTCTGGAGCTGAGAGGACTGCCCAGGGCCTTCACACACCACCGCCTCTTTGGTCTCCAACTCAGTTCCTCTTGAGACATTTTTAGGGCCTCCTCCAGAGGCTCAGGCCCAAACAGATGTCCCTCTCGCCCCCACTTTGAAATGGTGTGGCGTGAGGGAACACAAGAGAGAAGGGGGAAAAAAAGCTTTGGTAACCATGTGTCACAGTAGAGAAAGTGGTTCATACATTAAGGGAAAGTGAAAATGAAAAACCAGAAAATATGCAGAGAGTTCATGGACATCCTGGAAAACAACTTCTAGCAGATCCCCAGCTGAACCAAGCAGGTGCAAGCTTTAGATGATTAAAGTGGTGATAACGTGTCAAACCGGCTGGGGTTCTGACAGGGGAGGTCAAACCTGAACACCCAGAGGCAAGGTTTCTCAGCCTTTGCGCTATTGACATTTCGAGCTGGATAATTCTTGGTTTAGGGGGCTGTACCATGCATTCTAGGATACTTGGCAGCATCTCTGGCCTCTCACCATTAGACACCCACAGCAGAGTATTTGCAATAATCAAAAAAGTCTCTGGACATTGTCAAGGGTCACCTGGGGGCAAAAGCACTCCCAAGTGAGAACTATAGACCTAAATGCATGAGTTTGGAGTCTATATTATGATCAAGTGATGGTTTCATTAGTTCAACCAAACTGGCTTCTTGGGATCCTACAGATGGTTTGGCTACATTTTAGAAATTCAGTTTTCAAGAAGCTTACACCCAGAGAGGACCAAGCAGAATTACAGAGTGTAGGCCCATCAATTATGCACATCAGGAAACTGAGGCTCAGGACTGTTTGAGAGACTGCCTAACCAAAGCACTTAATTTAATGATAGCCAAAGAAAGAATGATGTGTGAGGGAAAGAGACAAAAAGGCAGGAACAGAAGAAAAGAGGGAACAAGCAAGTAATTTGTGTTGAGATACAGTTCAGGGGAGCAAACACACAAACTCTGAGTTCTTTTTTTATTTTTGAGACGGAGTCTCACTCTGTCTCCCAGGCTGGAGTGCAGTGGTGCGATCTCAGCTCACTGCAACCTCCGCCTCCCTGGTTCAATCAAGTCTCCTGCCTCAGCCTCCCGAGTAGCTGGGATTACAGGCTCCTGCCACCATACCCAGCTAATTTTTGTATTTTTAATAGAGATGGGGTTTCACCATGTTGCCCAGGCTGGTCTCAAACTTCTGACTTCAAGTAATTCGCCCACCCGGGCCTCCCAAAGTGCTGGGATTGCAGGTATAAGCCACCGCGCCTGGCCTGTGTTCTAATGAGAACGGTAATAGTTCTCAAGCCTACAGAACCAGAACCACTTGAGAAGCTTTTAAAAAGAAAACAAAACTGAAGCCTGCGCTCCACGTAATACTAACTGAATCAGAATCTCTGGAGGGGAGGTCTAGGCTTTGGCACTTTAAAAAAACAAACAAACAAAAAACAAAGTCTTGCTCTGTCACCCAGGCTGGAGTGAACCAGTGTGATCACAGCTCACTGCATCCTCGAGCTCCTGGGCTCAAGCAATTCTCCCACCTCAGCCTCCAGAGTAGCTGGGACTACGGGTGCACCACACCCACTACACCTGGCTAATTAAAAACTTTTTTTAGAGACGGTCTCCCTATGATGCCCATGCTGGTCTCAAACTCCTGGGCTCAAGCAATCCTCCTACCTCCTGAGTAGATTTGGCATTTAACAACAACAACCAACTCTCCAGATGTATCTATAAGCAGCCAGAGTTGGCCTACAGATGGATCTCGAGGAAGGCACTCCAGACTAGAGTGCTCTGAAGACCTGCTGGTGGTTCCAAACCTGTGTGGATGGCTTGCAGAAGTCAACCTTCGGGAACCACTGCTCGCCATGATCCATCTGTGACTAGAGGGCCACTTCCTTTCCCTCAAAGGTAAAAGTGGAGATCATTATCACAAAGCAGGTTCCTGGCTCTCAAAGATATCTTGGATCAAGCAAAGAAGCCCGAGCCTTCCCTCATCAACGCACCCTTTAGAAGGACTGGCTGTTACTTGACATCTAAGAACAACAGACTGGCTGAAATGTGGGACTTATTCATAAGTTGGGCAGATGTGTGTTTGCAGCAACTCTATCTGCATGAGAACAACATTTTGCATGGAAAACTGGGCATGCAAATTTAACCCTGATTTGGCAACTGCAGGCCTAATGCAGCAGAAATGAATACATCAACTGCTTCCTCTGGCTTTCAGCTCCTAAACCCGGAGAGAAACCAGAACTCCTACTTCTTGCAATAAGCTTTGCACTACCCCGGCCCACTCAGCGACCTGCGTTCTCTGTTTCTGAAGACTCCTCTTAGCAACCGCAAAACCCACTGCCCGCATTGCCACTTTACAGAAAGTAGACATTAGGGACCAGGGAGGCCGCCTCTGATCCTTGCGTCTTGGAGAGCTTACGACCATCACCATGCATCCCCATTCGTCCTTCTGCCGTTTTCTCAAAGGTGTTGCAGTGGACATCTGTTGTTTTTGCCCACCAGGCCCACATTCCTCCTCCTTCTGATAACAACACCCTAGTTTTTTGTTTTGTTTTTCTCTCTAAGGAATCACTGCTTGCCACTCTCAATCCTCAAGGCCAATTGGCGCCCCCCACCCCAACCTCAGGTGTGGAACTGGAGCTCAGGCATGGCTCAGCAGAGCCCGGCATCCTTCTGGCCATGGTGACTGGTTCAAAGATGTGTGAATAAGCTAATGTGGGCCAAAGAAGCTGGATTCTGGGGGGATTGGCATATTTGTTGAAAGTGATGGACTCCCACATGGATGTTGCTGAGAGGATGGTGCCCAGACTGGGGAACTCCTGAGAAAGAAGCCTGCAGAGGGAGGGAGAGGCCCAGAGATGGAAAGAGAAGGACCAAGACCCCACAGCCTGGCTTGAGCTTCAAGATCCAGCCCTGTCTTAACCCACCACCCCTACTTGGGACTCTTATTGTAACCAGCTAATCCCTTTGTACTCAAGCCAACGTGGTGTAAGCTTCTGTCACTGGCAATTGAAGCAGTTCTAAGAAGTGTAGGAGATAGGGAACTTCCTCTGAGAATCATTTGCAGTGCACCAAATTTGCTGCACATTCCCAAACACCCTTTCCTTTGGATTCCTAAAAAGATGGCTACAGAGTTCCATAGCTTCCCACTGCCTATTAAGTTCAATCTCCTTAGACTGGCATTTTTTTTTTTTTGAGGCAGGGTCTCACTCTGTCACCCAGGCTGGAGTGCAGTGGCACAATCTTGGCTCACTGCAGCCTCCACCTCCCAGGTTCAGGTGATCCTCCCACCTCAGCCTCCTGAGTAGCTGAGACTACAGGTGCACACCACCACACCTGGCTAATTTTTCGTAGAGATGGGTTTTCACCACATTGCCTAGGCTAGTCTTGAACTCCTGGTTTCCCTGGCATTTCAAGCTGGCTGCAACCTGACTTGAGTCACCTTGGCCAAACTTTCCCCTAATCCCTCCTTTCTGGTGTCATAATCTCATCTACAAATGCCTCCAAATCCCCTTGCCCCCACCCTGCAGTGGCCTTGTCCATCCTCTCCTCCGTCCTCGGGCCTCGCCAGCCTTCCGTCAAGTCTTCCACTGGCTAAAAGCCATGGTTCCCTCATCTGAACTCCTGCAGCTTGTTGCCTAGAGACCTCTCTGCATAGGAAAGCATGACGAACCAGGGAGGCACCCAGCAGGCGTCCAGGAACATATACCTGTTATTACCGGTATAGTGACATAAGACTTTGTTGTTTATGCCTGGCACTGTCTGCTTAGGCCAGCTACTAAACTGTAACTCTCTTGAGGGTCCATGTCCCATGCATCCTTATGTACTAAAAAGATGCATTGTTGAGTGAATAGGTACACATATGGATATTTTGGTGTTACCTTAATAAAAATAGGATCCATTTTTATGTTGCCATTAGGGAAGTCATGAGATAAAGGCCCAGGGTCAGTTATAAGGAACCACGTTGCCTGTATCTGAGATTAAATGGGATGCCAATATAATGTGGAGATTAGGGCACAGGCTGTGAGGATGACCCGGTTTGTGTTCAAATCCTGGCTTTCCCACTGTTATGTTGATCTTGGGCCAGTTTCTCAGCCTTCCAAATCTTTGTTTCCTCATTGGTGAAATGGGGTTTGCAGAACCCATCCCCCAGGGTGCTCAGGACGCGTCTGCATCCTAACATAGCGAAGCATTTCATTCATTCCCTGACACGGGGCATGTGTCCGGGAAGCACTGGCCAAAGGAGGTCTCTGAGCCCCCACGGCCTGTTTACGATGATTCCCTCTTGCCCGTCCCACTTTCTCGGTCCTCCCGGTCTGGAGGATCATATGACCAAGTGCTTAATTGTTTTTTTCCTTTCCTAGATCCTGCAATTACAGTTTCCCATCTCAGGCAAGCTATATTGTTCCCTCGTTTCTCTCTGAAAATTAATATTGAAAAAACATCTCTACCATCCTTTTACTTCCTTCACCCCATAAGGCTCCCCCTAAGCATGCTATCCTGGGGCACCTAACTCTCCTCTTTTTATTATTTCCCTCTTGCCAACCTTGGTCATTTTTTAAATGTATCCGACTCTGCAGGATTTTGACGAAAGTTCAAGAGGACAGTATTTGTGATAACCCTTTCCATGGTGCTTAGAGGGAAGACGATCTCCGTCCTTCCCTCTCCTGCTGTCCATCAGTCAATAAATATTTATGAAGTGTCCTCTAAGTACCAGGGGCCATACTGAGTATGGGGTACCAAAGAGAACCAAAGAGGCACATGTTTCTGTCCTCATCTTCTTCAAGTGTGCAAGAGTTCCTCTTGTGTAAATGGAAGGGAAAATAAAGACTAGAATTTAACTAGCACTGTACTTACTCCGCTGTCTCCTCCTTTATTAAAACTGCAACACAGAGGAGAAAGAAAACAACTCTTCCTTCAAGAAGGAGCTCTTAATTACCTGCCCCATTCTCTGGGAGGTGAATATGTCCGCTGCTTTTTAATTATATTGGCCTTATTGTTTCATAAGAAAATAAAAAACAGTCTCAACAGGGAGACTGCATGGAGCGGAGGAAGCCAAACATAACTTATGCACCTTATTAAAAACAATTAGGGATTGTTTGATGAGGCAGATTCGGCTCCAGATGGCCAGCCTCCATATAGCCATGGTTCAGATTTCTTCTCACCTTCCCCCAGCTTCTTCCCAAGTTTTGCATCATCAGTTTTCTTAAAATACAAGGATGGGATTGTAAGGGATGCTGTTCCCACGTTTGTTACTTTTCTCTTCTCGGTGGCAACCAAGTCGTTGCTGCACTAACATTTGTTGGCTCTGGGTCCTCAGGGCTTCTCCTCTGTCACCATCTTGATCCCAGTGCTCAGGCTGCCAAGCGCCTACACCGGGCTGTGCTGATAGCTCCTTGTGTTGATTGATATTGCAACACTCTGTTCAAGAGTGTTTTTCCCCAAGAGACCACAGGCTCCTGAAGGGCAAGGATTGAACGTTATTCATCTCCATATTCCAGACACTTAGCACAGTAAAAGGCACACATTCTGGTGGCACTCAATCCTAGCTATCTGTGAAGTTTATTTAAAATATATCTCCCAGGACCACACCTCCTTGAGAGACAGTTTTGGCCCCACCCCAAACCATCTCTCAAATCTGTATTTTTAAGTAGCTCCTCAAGTGGTGGTGATGTACAGCAAAGGTTTAAACTGTTACAGTCATCACTCAGTCAATGTTTGTGAAGCTAGACTCATCCATCCCGGGAAACAAAAGATATTTCTGGACGATCTAGAAAAGGTGCTCACAGATCATTCCTGACTCTAAGGAATCTAGTCATATGAATATATGGGGAGCGATTTCTTTCCCCATGTTGTTTGCTTATTCTCTAAAAATGAAAAAAAGAGAACAACTCAAAATGCATATGAAATCGCAGAAAGTTGATAAAGCCTCAATATCCATCAACAGAGAGAGGGCTGGTTAAAAAATTGCAGGAAGTCCATACACTGGACCCTTATGTAGTCACTGAAAGGGCAGTTTTCTATGCATAAATGTGGACTAGTACCCAAGACATATTGATGGGTGAAAAAATACAAAGCAACGTTTGGTGGCTGTCATGGGTTGAATTGTGTAACCCAAAAAGATACGTTGGAGTCCTTACCCCTGGTACCTTGGAATGTGACCTTATTTGGAAATAACGTCTCTGCAGAAGTAGCCAAGCTATGAGGTCAGGCCCTCATCCACTGACTGGTGTCTTTATAAGATGAGGGCAAGTTGGACACTGACACCCAGGGAAAAGGCCATGTGAGGATGGAGGCAGAGATGGAGCCAGGCGGCCATAAGCCAAGTCGCTCCAAGGACTGCTGGCAATCCCTGGAAGCTGGAAGAGGAGGGACCAGGTTTCCCCTGAGAGCCTCCAGAAGAAACCAATCCTGCCAATGACTGTATTTTGGACTTCTAGCCTCCACAACTGAGAGAAAACCTGTTTCTGTTATTTTTAAGCCACCCAGTTTGGGGTAATTTGTTTTGACAGCCATGGGAAACTAACAGAGTAGCCTATCCTTTTGTGGAAATATCTATCTTTTAATACAGAGACCCTTCTGAAAGGATACCCAAGAAACTGAGAGCAAGCATGGCCTCTGGGAAAAAGAAGTTGCTGGCTGGGAGTGAGGAGAGGAACAGAGATTTATTCTTCACTGCATACTCTTTTGTACTTTTTGACTTTTGTATACATTTGCATACTATCTATTTTAAAAGCCAAACAGTATTGCAATTATTGTGATTTTCTTTCCAGGTGCAGAAATGACCTAAGAGCTTAATCTCTCCGAGCCTCAGACTTCACATTCAGAAAACAGGGGTAACTGACAGTAACTACCTCACACACAGTGCATCATGCACCCGGAACAGTACCTGACACAGAAAAGGTCTTGATGAGTGATCACATTGGCTACTGTTTTTATGGCTAATAGGAAATGAAGCTGCTTCAACAACAGCCAAAACCCAAACAAGGAGTCATGAGCAGAACCCTGGTGAGACGGCACTAAACTGTGGTGGCAGCTAAGAACGCTTGTGCCTCATCGATTGTATCATGTGCTACCCAAATTAGGTGCTACACAAAGGAGATACCTGTCAGCAGGGTTTCTGAACAGCAGCAGTGTTGACTGACATTTTGGGCTGGAAAATTCTATGTTGTACGGGGCAGTCTACTGTACACAGTAGGGTGGTTAACAGCACCCTTGGCCTCTACCTACTAGTTGCCAGTCATACCTATTCTCCAGGGGTGATGATAAAAAGTCTCCAGACGTTGCCATATGTCCCCTAGAAGGGCGAAACTGACCCCAACAACCACTGGTCTGCAGGTCAGTGGTTCCTAATATGTTTTCCCTAGAGCAGCAGCAGCAACATCACCCAGGAGCTTGTAAGAAAGAATCTGTGGCCAGGTGTGGTGGCTTCACACCTGTAATACCAGCACTTTGGGAGGCCAAGGTGGGCAGATCACTTGAGATCAGGAGTTCGAGACCAGCCTGGCCAACATGGTGAAACCCTGTCTCTACTAAAAATACAAAAGTTAGCCGAGCGTGGTGGTGTGTGCCTGTAGTCCCAGCTATTTGGGAGGCTGAGGTACGAGAATTGCTGGAACTCAGGTGGCAGAGGTTGCAGTGAGCTGAAATTGCATGACTGCACTCCACCCTGGGCGACAGAGTGAGATGCCATCTCAATAAAAAAAAAAAAAGGAAAGAAGGAAGGAAGGAAGGAAGGAAGGAAGGATTGATCTGATCCCTGCCTCGGACCTACTGAATCAGAGCCCGCACTTTAACGAGAGCCCCAAATTATTTGTATGCACGCTAACATCTGAGAAGTGCTGGTCTGAATCAATGTCTCTCCCTCTCCTCTCCTAAACATAAGAATGCCCAGGGCCAGGTGCAGTGGCTCACACCTGTAATCCCAATACTTTGGGAGGCTGAGGCGGGCGGATCACCTGAGATCAGGTGTTTGAGACCATCCTGACCAACATGGAGAAACCCTGTCTCTACTAAAAATACGAAATTAGCCGGGTGTGGTGGTGCATGCCTATAATCCCCACTACTTGGGAGGCTGAGGCAGGAGAATCACTTGAACTGGGGAGGCAGAGGCTGCAGTGAGCCGAGATGGTGCCATTGGACTCCAGCCTGGGCAGCAAGAGTGAAACTCCGTCTCAAAAAATAAAAGAATGCCCAGAGGCCGGGTGCAGTGGCTCACATCTGTAATCCCAGCACTTTAGGAGGCTGAGGCAGGCAGATCACGTAAGGCCAGAAGTTCAAGACCAGCCTGGGCAACATGGCAAAACCCTGTCTCTATTAAAAATACAAAAATTAGGCAGGCATGGTGGTGCATGCCTGTAGTCTCAACCACCCAGGAGCCTGAGCTGGGAGGATTGCTTGAGCCCAGGACGGGGAGGCTGGAGTGAGACAAGATCATGCCACTGTACTCTAGCCGGGGCAACAGAGTGAGACTCTGTCTCAAAAAAAGAATGCCTAGACATTTGGTTAAAAACACAGACTTTTGGGTCCCACCAAACCTGCTACAGTGATTCTCCAGGAAAGAGAGCTAGAAATTGATATTTGAAAATGATTCTTATGATCAGGAAGATTTGGGCCTCTTTATAGAGTTTCTTCAGGGGGATAAAATTTAGCAGTTACTTTTTAGCACTGACTGAAGAAAGAATGTCTTGGCTTAAGAACTTGTTTTCTGAACTATTCAACAAATCCTCCTTGAGCAATGGCTTAGGAACAAGGGGCCATAGAGACAAATTCCTTACCAGCATAGAGCATCCATCCTTCAGTGGACTGAATGGTAGAGAAGCAAAGTCTAGGTGATATTGTTTGAACTCCTGAGTCCAACTTTGCCAGAACCCATTTCTTCCCAGTCAAATGAGTAAATAATTTCCTTCTTTACTTAAATTTAAGTTTGATTTCTAATCATTGATCTCTGAGAGAGTCTCAACTAACACACTACTTTTTAAGGCCACTAGACTAATTTCCTTCCTATGACTATACTTACAAAGCAACTTCTAATCATAATGTGGCTTCACATGAAGCTCTGTCCCTAGGCAAACAATATAGAGTCCAGTGAGAATGAGAATATGGTGCCTTTTGTAGCTGCAGATAGCATTATAAATGAATTGCAGTCTGGCTTCATACATCAGTTTCTTGTGAGTTTGGTTCCCATGAGTCAGTGCCCAGATTTTAGTACCTCTGGGTATACTTAGTAACTGGAATATCCAAACCAGCTCCTAGAAGGAAGTGATGCTACACCCCACACCCCACTGTTTTCAGGCAGGACTTTTTTTAATACCAAAATTGTGAAACCCATCTGGTCTGAAGGTATCCTTCCAACATATGCAATAGAAAGCTAGTCCTTTCTTTTTTTCCTCTTATTTATAACTTCATTTGTTTATATCAGGCTTATCTTTTCTTGTTCCTTTTCCTCTATCTCCTATGACCTATACAATATCTACAATGTTTCATTTTCGCGGTCTCTTTCCTAAATCCTTATTTCTTTGTAAGATTTCACTTTAGGTTTCTTCCACAGGTCCCAAGTGCTCACACAAAATGGTGCATTGAGTCCCTTATCTTCCCCTTTAGTGCTGTATTAGTTTGTTCTCATGCTGCTAATAAAGACATAGTCAAGACTGGGTAATGTATAAAGGAAAGACGTTTAATTGACTCACAGTTCTACATGGCCAGGGAGGCCTTACAATCATGGTGGAAGGCAAGGAGGAGCAAATCCACGTCTTACATGGCAGCAGGCAAGAGAGAATGAGAGCCAAAGAAAGGGGAAACCCCTTATAAAATCATCAGATCTCATGAGACTTATTCACTAACACGAGAACAGTATGAGGGAAACCGCACCCAAGATTCAATTATCTCCCACCAGTCCCTCCCACAACACATGGGAATTATGGGAGCTACAATTCAAGATGAGATTTGGGTGGGGACACAGCCAAGCCGTATCAATTGCACTTTTTTCTACATACGACTTGCTGAACTAATACCATTTCTTTCCAAAATTCTCTGTTTTGCCAAATTAATTGCTGTCATTGACAACCCATAGTCTGAACACACTTATCTTGGTGTTTATTCCTGAATTCATGCACTCAACAGCCTGCCTGCTTCTCTCCAGCTTTGCATTCATTACATGGAACAACCACAGGTGTAGCACTCACATTCCATAATGGCTGGAACATAAACAGGTTCAAACTTTTTGGAGGGCAAACACAATGTGTATGAAAAGCCTTAACCCAAAAATAGCACATCTAGGGATTTGTCCTAAAAGAGCAGTAAGAAAGGTATGCAAAGCTGTCCAGTCAAAGATGCTTGCAATGTCATGTTGGCGAATTGCAAATAATCTCAAGGTCCAACTATAGAGGATTAATTTTTAAACTTATAGCACAGTAAATATCTATAATAATGCAAAGTCCTAAAACGCCATTGGTGATTGAACTCCTGTCCACAATCTTTCTTTCTTGTTTTTTTGTTTGTTTGTTGTTGTTGTTGTTTGTTTTGTTTTTTTTCTTTTTGTTTTTGAGACAGAGTCTCACTCTGTTGCCCAGGCTGGAATACAGTGGCATGATCTCTGCTCACTGCAAGCTCCGCCTCCTGGGTTCACACCATTCTCCTGCCTCAGCCTCCGAGTAGCTTGGACTACAAGCACCCACCACCACGCCCGGCTAATTTTTTTTTTTTTGTATTTTTAGTAGAGACGGGGTTTCACTGTGTTAGCCAGGAAGGTCTCAATCTCCTGACCTCGTGATCCGCCCACCTCGGCCTCCCAAAGTGCTGGGATTACAGGCGTGAGCCACTGCGCCCGGCCCGTTTTTGTTTTTGAGACAGTCTCTCTCTGTCACCCAGGCTGGAGTGCAGTGGTGCAATCTTGGCTCACTGCAACCTCCCTGCCTCCTGGATTCAAGCTATTCTCCTGCCTCAGCCTCCCGAGTAACTAGAATTACAGGCATGCACCACCACACCCAACTAATTTTTTGTATTTGCAGTAGAGACGGGGTTTCTCCATGTTGGCCAGAATGGTCTTGAACTCCAGACCTCCAGTGATTTGCCTGCCTCGGCCTTCCAAAGTGCTGGGATTACATGCGTGAGCCACCACGCCCGCCTCCTGTCCACAATCTAACTGTCAAACAAAGGTGAGCTAAAGTTCTTTCCCTGTATATTGAGGGTGAAGGTGGTTGCAGGGAGAAGGAAGGGTGAGGTCAGGTGGCAAAATATCTAAAGACCCTGTTTTGGGAAGGAGGGTGGCGGATCCCCACATCATCAGAACTCTCCTGACTCATCTTCCTAGATGGGCTAATTAAACGGATGCCAACTAATCGGAAAACTTCTGGAATTGCCGTCCCTGGAAATCCTAGCAAGACACAGGACCCAGAATCCTCCCCATTAATATTGACGCTGTAGTGACCAATCACCATTAAGAGGTGCCAGAAAGGAACTGGAACTGGCAAGTAGTCAGGTCTTTCAGCGGCACCCCCAGAAATCCTGTCCTATAAATGGTACTTCACTCTAATGCAAACTTTGCTAAATGTTTTAACCTTGTTGTGTAACGCGGGGGTAAAAAGAGTACTTGATAGGGTTAACACATATAATGCATTTAGAAGAGCAATTCGCAGGTGGTTAACATCTGTAACATTTGCTATTATTATTATTGGTAGTAAAAATTATCTAGCATCTGTAAACACTTGCTATTATTATTGATACTAAAAGTTATCCATGAGCTTTTTTTCTTCTTCTTCTTACTATGCAAAGTTGGGATTCTGAAGTGAACAGCTGCACGGTGTTATCATCTTTCTACACATTCACACATAACAATCTTAATGATATATCACAATGAATAATTTGACGTTATTTAGCTCTCCTTACTCTGAGCTGTGGACTGCATCAAACCCAACTCGAATAGCGTTCCTGCTCTTCAAATTTCGGCGGTGAAGCCATTCATAAATAAAAAACAGCTTCTTGTTTTGTATGAATCAATTCACAAGATAAATATTTAAATAAAATGTGGCTTCAATTGTGCTCTCTGATGATAATTGCTGGCTCACACTCTGTTTCTATATCAATGTGTTTTCTTTTATTTTTTCCCCCAAGCTGACTAATGAACAGAGCTGTCAGAAGCCCATTGCTCATGATCTAGCGAGCAACACATTAGCAGTTTCACATAAATATAAAAACCACATTCACTGCAGCTAGGGAAATATACACGTAGCACACAAAAACTCCAATATACTCCAGTGCTATCAACAAATAAAGAATCCTGGGTGATAAATATGATTAGCTAAGTAACTGACACTCTCTTAACACAGGAAACAGCCCTGCATCACCCCAGCTGTCAATAAATAAAAGATAATTCAAAGAACAAACTCCTTTGTGTATAGAGCATCCTCTACTTTGAAGAGCCCACAAAATTCTATATCTGACATTGTAAAGAAAAAAAGGCATACTTATGTAATTTGGGGATATTTACAATCCCTATGCTGCACAAAATCACAGGCTCTTAAATTTATACTCCACTCAAAGTGGGGAGAATCCAGGATGCTCTCTACCTTTAAGACTCAAAATTGTTTTAAATGTCATTTCATTCATATCCTTCATCTCTCCATGGGCTGTTCTGTTCCAATTTTACAGTTTATTCATTTCATAAAAATGTATCAAGTCATTACCATGCGACTAGCACCGCTGGGGAAGATGGAGTCCAGGAAGAAAACTTCCAGGCTCCTACAGTCATCAAAAGAGCCAGAAATGAGAGGTCACTGGCTCCCAAACCGCTGCACCCGCTAGAAGCACTGTAAACTCTCAAACAGCAGTTCTCTAAGATAAATATTTAAATAAAATGTGTTTTCAATTGTACTCTTCGATGATAATTACTGACTCACCCCCGTGATTGCAGCAATGTGTTTTTATCTCCTTGTCTCGTGCTGATTAAGGAACTTAAGATTCAGAAGATACAAAATTGTGAACCTCAGTGATAAAAGGGGAGATACAACTGTTCGAAGTCATTGATTCTCCATATTTCTCTACCTTTTGATAACTTCTCTCTCAACTCTTCAGCCATGCTGAGGGGGGGACAATAAGCAGAAATTGCAAGGCCTCCTCACATCACATGATGCTGGCAGGAGAAGGCTCAGTGCTGAATGCAAATGTCCTCTTGGGGGTGGGTCCCTTGGCAATTTCTGAAGTTCCCTATCTGGATTCTGCTGAAGAGGAAGCAGCCAGCCCCTGTTACTAGTTCTTTCTATTCTGCTGACACCAGTGACCTCAACCAAGTCAACGGCACCCTTGCTAGGGCTTGGAAATTTCAAGAATAGGAAAACAATAATGCAATAACTCAAGAAGGAAGCTAAACAGCGTTTCCCTAATTTCTTTTCTCTCTGACCCCTGGATTCTTATGTGGTAGATTAGATTATGGTTTAGAAACATTCACTTCCTACTCCCATTACCTCCATGATAGGAATGTACTTTCCCTTCTCTTGACTTTGAGTTTGGCCACATGACTTGCTTTGGCCAATGGAATGTTAATCTTTGTTTGGTCTTTGGGATGATAGGACCAAAGGCTGAAAAAGCATTTATGAGATTGGGCATGCTCTCTTGTGCTTCTGGCACTGACCTGAGAAAAAATTGCCCAGGCTAGCCCACTAGTCCCAGGAGGAGGATGAGGGACAAGTTGGGCAGAGTCACCTGGCCAAACCATTCAAACCAGTCCTGGCCTTGGTCATCTAACCCCTAGGCATCCTGCAGATGTGTGAGCTAAATAGATGCTTTTAAAATATGCCACTGAAATGCTGTTGCTGGTTGTCATGTGGCAATGGCTTATGACACAACTTACTTTGGACTAACCAATCCTGCTTTTCTTTGCTCCTTTTTTTTTTCCTTTGACACAGTGTCTTGCTCTGTTGCCCAAGCTGGTGTGCAGTGGTACAATCACGGCTCACTGCAGCCTCCTTCCTGGGCCCAAGCAATCCTACCTCAACCTCCCCAGTAGCTGGAACAACAGGTGTGCATCACCAGCCCAAGCTAATTTTTAAAAAAATTTTTGTAATTGCGGAGTTTTGCCATGTTGCCCAGACTAGTGTCAAACTCCTAGGCTCAAGCAATCCTCCTGCCTTGGCCTCCCAAAGTGCTGGGATTACAGGCATGAAGCACTTTGCTCCTTTCTTAAAGGAAGATATATTCCTTCTACTTTTCAGGGCATTTTAGGTAATTTGAAATATAGTAAAAAATATTTGTTTACTGGCTGAAGAGAAACCTCTGAACCCAAATTCTTGAAATTTCCCCAGCACTTTGGCCTGTCATTTCCCTCTTGAGATTTGTCGCTCCAAGATCAGCGTCCTCCACTCTCCCATCTATATCCCTAATCACTTCCCCTCAGCCTCTGGCACAGGCTCTTCGACCTGCCCTTCCTCATCCCTCTTCCCATTCACTCCATAAATATTACCAACTGCTGGAAAGATGAGAGGAAAATTAGAATGTGGCAGAGTCATGGAGAACAGGAAAAGGCTGCTTCAAGACATGAAATGCCCAACTGTGGCACACACTGCCATGTGGCTCAGCAAACAAAGGCCATCTCATCCAACCCCATGGCTACAGCGCACCTTCATCTGCCAGTGATTGTCAAATACACCTCCTCTCTACTCCTTTGCAGCCACCTCCTCTCTCCTAAGCTCTGTACCCGTATTTGCAACTGCCTGTTGGACATATTCACCTGGATATCCTGCAGGTGAGCCTGCAGGGGATACTCAAGATCCCCAAGCCTGATTCATTCATCCCCAACCTGCCATCTGGATGCCCCTTTTCTGTGGGCCTTGCTTTGGTTATGGACATGGGCAGTTGATGCTGGTGGTGTCTTGTCTATATTTCCTTGGGCCTTACCGTTATAGCATTCTGCAGACGTCCAGCTACCTGCAGCCTTACTGTGAGAGTTCAACCCAGTCTACCCCATGGGCCAGAAGCACAGGAGAATTAACTCCCCTCAAGCCACAACCCTTAACTAATGACTATAAAAGATTTGATAGGCTGGATGTGGTGGCTCACGCCTATAATCCCAATACTTTGGGAGGCTGAAGTGGGAAGATTGCTTCAGCCCAGGAGTTCAAGACCAGCCTGGGCCACATGGCAATAACCCATTTCTACAACAAAATGAAAAATCAGCCAGGCATGGTAGCACATGCCTGTAGTCCCAGCTACTCAGGAGGCTTAGGTGGGAGGATCACTTGAGCCTGGGAGGTTGATGCTGCAGTGAGCCGTGATTGTGCCATTGCACTCCAGCCTGGGCAACAGAGTGAGACTCCATCTCAAAAAGAAAAAAAAAAGAAAGAAAGAAAGATTTGGTAGATATGTACTGCAGCTCCCCCAGCCCCCAGGGGACAGGGGCATCACGAGGGTCGGGGGGAGTCATTCTGAAGCACACATTCTATTCTGCTGCCCAGGGTTCCTAAGTGGTCTTCCCAGTTATCCACAAGGTAGCAAGCTTGATAATTCATTGACTTCCCTAGCCTTACTCACTTTTCCACTACTCTACCACTGTTTCCTGGTGTCACTTCCCAAATGCAGGCATCCTTCTACCAGGGTCTGCTTAAGTGGGACAAAATGACGAAGTTAGAAATCGCTGACTCCCTCTCTTTCACCGCCCATGTCTATTTGATTACACAAACACACACACACACACACACACACACACACGTACCTTATTCATTCATTCAGCAATATTACCAAGAACCTAGATATTTTAGATGCTAGGGAAGCAGAAGTGAACAAGATAGGCCTGGTCCCAACCCTCAAGAAGCTTATACTCTAAAGGGGAAAGGTAGACAAATACATCAACAGTATCATAACCTGTAGAGACGAGTTTTACGAGAGAAATAAACAGGGTGATGAGATAAAGAAATTGAGAAAGGCCATTTTAGGTAAAGTGGTCAGGAAAGGACTCTGAGGAGGTGACATCTGAGCTGGAACCTGGAGAATAAGCCAAACACATGAGGATTTGAGGGGGGAGGAAGAGTGCTCCAGGCAGAAAGAACAGCACAGGCAAAGGCCTGCTTGTACATCCAAGGATGGGAAAGGAGATCAGAGTGGGTGAAGCAGAGAGGACAATGAAGAGGGTGGTATAAGATAAAGGAGAAAGATGTGCAAAGGCCGGGCCACGGAAAGCTGTCTGGGCTAGGATCAGGGGCTTGGATTTTATTCTAAGAACCATGAGAAGCCACTGAAAGTATCTAAATAAGGGTGTAACATGATGTGCTTTGGATTTGTTAAAATCACTCTGACTATGGTATGAAGTCAATTTTGGAGGCTGCAAGAGTGGAAGCCTACAGGTTCCTGTAATCTGTCCCACTATCCACTCAGTGATGGTTCTGACTCTCATCACGGCCTGACCATACAGGAGGGTCTCCAGCTCTGCCTTTGAAGATATGCACACTGCAGGCATAACACAAGAAATAGAACCTGTGCCCTTACAGAGCTTTAGAATGAATCCCAGATACAGCAAAGTACTGATACTTTAGGTAATGATAAAATGGTGCATTGATGGTGGAGGGTGATAGACACAGAGTGGAGAGATAGGGAACTCAGACCCAGTGAGCCTCAGGGAGGACTCTCTAAGGCAGAAACATCTAAGCTGAGGCCTGAGGCAGGAGGTGGGACTAGCCAGGGTTTTGTTTTTTGTTTTGTTTTTGAGACAGAGTCTTGTTCCATCGCCCAGGCTGGAGTGCAGTGGTGCAATCTTGGCTCACTGCAACCTCCTCCATCTCCTGGGTTCAAGCAATTCTCCTGCCTCAGCCCCTCAAGTAGCTGGGATTACAGGCGCTCACCACCATGCCCAGCTAATTTGTGTATTTTTAGTAGAGACAGGATTTCGCCATGTTGGACAGGCTTGTCTCAAACTTCTGACCTCAGGTAATCCACCCTCCTTGGCCTCTCAAAGTGTTGGGATTATGGGTGTGAGCCACCACGCTGGCCTAGCCAGGTTTATAAGTTCATGTGCAAAGGCCAATGGGGAAAGCGCATGATGTGTGTGGTGGAGTGGAGGGCGTGGGGACTGAAATGCTGGATCTCTCCAAAGCATAGAGGATGAGAAGGGAGGTGATGACCAATGACCCTTAAGTGGTCTATTAATGCTTAGTGAATGAATAAGTAAGTGGCAAGACACACAAGCTAAGAGTAAGAGAATTTCATTCTAACTTTTCTAGTTCTTTAATTGCCATTCAAGAGCTTAAACCATACGGCAGATGACAACCTGATACATGAGTCAAAGTCAGCTCAGGAAACATTTAACAGGGTTCCTGACATAAAATGCCTAAAATATACAGAATTTTGAAAGTTATGACAACTGAGGTAATAATGAAGTAACGTTAAGGGCTGAGTATATTAATTTTAAAAAAGAAAAAGGGGTTTTATGGGCCTGGTCTGGTGTGTTAAGTTTGTTGTCGACTTTTCTTTTTTTAAGAATAAGGGTCTCGCTTGTTCTGTTGCCCAGGCAGGAGTGCAGTGGCCAGTCATAGCTCACTGCAGCCTCAAATTCCCAGGCTCAAGCAACCGTCCTGCCTCAGCCTCCCAAGTAGTTGAGATTACAGGCATGTGCCATCATGCCCAGCTAATTAAAAAAAAATTTTTTTTAGAGACAGGGTCTTGCTATGTTGCCAAGGCTGGACTTGAACTCCTGGACTCAAGTAATCCTCCTGCTCCACCATCCGAAAGCGTTAGGATTACAGGCATGAGCCACCATTCCCAGGCTCTATTTTTTTTTTCTTTTTGGCTTGGTGATGAGGTTTTGGTCAATTTACTGAGTACCTACTGCATGCCAAGCATGTATTAATTAAACATCGCGGGTGAAGAGATCTGTAGACGTGGTTATTGTCCTAGAGGAATTCATGAAGTTGACTGACATATGTATGACCATCAAAGACTGTGCTTTCACACTTGAATTACTATGATAAAAAATGAGGCATAAATGAAGTGGATTTGTTTTGTGGCTTAAGCATAGGAATTTGTTTTCTGCACACAGTCTCAGTCTCTCACTCTCTCTCTCTCTCTCTCTCTCTCTCTCTCTCTCTCTCATATATAAATATATAGATAGATGGATAGATCTGGAGTATGGGCCTAATTGCTATTTTTGGGCAACAGAAAGTGGGAGATCCTGCACCCTACAGTGAGTTTCCACTTTCCACTGCTGATTTATATTTTTTATCTGTAACCTCCCTGTCCAAGGTACAGAGATTCTTATTCTCTGTACCTTTGCTCTCAGTACATGAGGCATATGTGGTTACAGAGCCCTTAAAATGTGACTAGTCTGAATTGAGATATGCTGTAAGTATAAAATACATACACAGTTTCAAAGACCTACTATACAAAAACATTTCATTAATTTTTTTTATATTGATTGCATGTTGAAATGATAATATGTTGAATACATTGGGGTAAATGAAATGTATTATTAAAATTAATTTCATCTGTTTCTTTTTAGTTTTTAAAATATGGCTATTAAGAAAATGTAAAATTATTATGGGGTTTCCATTTATGGCTTTTATGATACAGTCAGCTCTACTATAATGCTTATTTTGAAAATGGAAATTTGTTCCAACATGACCGACATATTGAGAATATGATTTGAATATAACATAAATATTGTGTTTGCTTACATCTGCAAGAAACGCTAGGTGAACACTTCAGAAAACTACACCTGCCTGAACCGAGCTGTGTGGAAATACACAAAATGCTAACACACCTCAAAATCCACCAGCTACCTCAGTTTACTATACATGTTCAACAGCACACCTGCCTACATCTGGGGCTGCAACTTTTCACCCAGTTTAGGATAGCCCTCCTCCCACTGCTTCCCAATCACTCGTAAGCAGCAACCCTTCCGAGGCCACTTCCACAGGCAAAGCCAAGGTCTTTCACAAGGTAAACTGCCATATTTATTGTAGTATTTATGTATTTCTTAGCCATTTAAAATATGTAAAACCAGGCTACTCTTTTTACTAGGCTCCTGTCTTTTTTTATTATGGGTCGCTGACAAGGTTTCTGAATATTATGTCCCTAACCCCACTCCCTTCATAAGCCCTGTAGTTTTTGTTGTGAGATTTTGCATATCATGGTATTTTTCAGAAATGCCTCTGGCTGTATTTCTACTAGATAGGGCTGAGCTACAGAACTTCAGTTCCCAAAGCACATTCTGGCATCTCAATAATACTTTTCAGCCACCTGCTTAATAGAAGCCTAGATCTTTCTTTAAAATAATTTTTTAAAGCTGTATTTCTACAGAACTGTAGGGCCACACACCATATAATCTATATTTATATGGCTAGTGATGACTTTGATTTAATAACGTTCCTGCTAACATTGCTGTAAACCTGAAAACAACTGTTATACGTTTATGAGCAATGCTGAGGGGAATGAAATAAATAAGCGGTCTTGCTGCTTTGAGGAAAACATGCTTCGTTTATGAATAAGATGGACGGCATGACGCTTTAGGAGCGGTCTTCCTTCAAATCCCGGGGCCACAATTACTATGACATCACTGGAGAAGTACTGGAGCCTGGGATTCCTGCCTCTGAGATGATGACGCTTTATTATTTTTCTTTTTTTTTTTCTGAAGCCAGGCATCATCCTAGCACTGTCAGAATGGACCCTGGGGGCTTCATTGGAAAACCCATGTAGAATATGGACTCACTTAAACACAGACACTTCCTTAAAAGCTTTTGGTTCGATGTGAATGTAAGTCATTTTGATTACTCAATTTCTATATTTATTAGGAATGATAAACCAAAGTACTTGAAAATAATTTCAGTGGCAATGAACTGTGGCACTCGATCGATGGGGGACACGGCAGTCAATTACCCTTTCACTTTATTTTGGTCCTTGGCAATCAGTTGGGATCAATACTCTCAATCTCGATTGATAGCAGAGTGCAAATCACAAATAATTTTTGTAAGTGGCCTGTCACCGTGTGTGCAGGCAGCTACAACAGGTCCTGAGCCGTCCCCTGCACTTCCACGTGGGTAATCAGGACCAGGTATGGCTGTCGCAGTAAAAGCACCTGTCATTTCAGCATGAGTAGCTGCCGACGGCCTCTTCAGCCTGAGCGGATGTTTAGCATCACGGCTGCATCTCCTTACAGCCTAGTCTGTCATATTCAAATTTTAGCTGCCTGAAATCATCTCAAGTCGGAAACTTGGTAAAATCAATTAACTGAGCAAAAGGAAGGAACTGGAAGGCAAATCATGCAAAACTCAACAAGGAAAAAGAAGGGAAGAATTATAACCTGGGGATTAATACACATACATTCCAAATACGCTTTTTTTTTTTTTTTTTTTTTTTGAGACGGAATCTCACTCTGTCGCCCAGGCTGGAGTGCAGTGGCGCAATCTCGGCTCCCCGAAACCTCTGCCCCCTGGGTTCAAGTGATTCTCCTGCCTCAGCCTCCTGAGTAGCTGGGATTACAGGTTCCCACCACCATGCCTGGCTAATTTTTGTGTTTTTAGTAGAGATGGGGTTTCACCATGATGGCCAGGCTGGTCTTGAACTCCTGACCTCAAATGATCCTCCCACCTCAGCCTCCCAAAGTGCTGGGATTACAGGCATGAGCCACCACACCCGGCCCTAAATGTGCTTTAAAAAGGGAAAGGAGGAGAGCTTTTCCTAAAGGGGCAGCCCCTGGAGGAAGGCTTATCTAACTCATCCCCTCACATCTTCTTTAGGGTAGCAGAAAGACCCCTGAGTTGCAAGTGAGATCCCTTCAGCTCTGCCATGCAGAAGCTGAGTGACCCAAGATAAAAACATGCCACCACTTCCCCTCTAGAAGGTAAAGTAAACTTTCATGAAATTATCAGGTTGGATTAGGTTGATGGTTTGCAAACTGTGTTCCCTGGGGTACTTTGCACTTCACAGAAAGGAGAAAGAGGGGGAGGAGGGGGAAAAGGGAGAAGGAAGGAAGGAAGGATGGGAGGGAGAGAGGGAGGGAGAAAAAGAAGGATGTAGGAAAGAGTTGAGAGGAAAGCCAAAATACTCCTCACTCCATATAAACAAGAGCTGCTCTGTTTATTTTTGTTTGGTCATATGGCTTTATGTAAGATTTTGTTAGAAGGGGCAGCCTAATTAGCGTCTGAGATCCTGAAAGACTAGAAACAGTTTGCCTGGGTATATATCCCAGCTTCCTCTTTCTAGCTGGGTGACCCTGGACAAGTGACCTAACCGCTCTGTGCCTCAGTTTCCACACATGAGATATTGCCATAACCTACTCTAATGAGGTGGTTATGAAGACTAAATACATTCATATTTGCAGTATACCTGGAGCAGTGCCTGGCATGTAGCAAGCACTATAGAAAGGTTTATTAAGTAAATAGAGCTGTGCGCTGCCTTTGAAAAAGTTTTATAACTACAGCTCTAAATTAGGAGTCCCTAAACTATTTTGACCTCATGTTTTTGTTGGAAAAGAAATTCTGAACATACAATTCCCATGTGTGTACACTTGTACACATACACATCCTATTGTTCTCATGTATTTTGTATTTGGAGGCATGCAAACAATTCTGGGATGGGCATAAAGTGGGGACATGAATAGTGAGTGAAATGAGACCTATTGCCTGGATTCTCCTCCAATGGTCTGGGTTCAGAATGCTTTGCACTTGAAGCTTGTCTCAGGCCTCCAGAGAAAGTAGTTGGGTGAGTCCTGATTGAGCACACTTTGCAAAGTCATGGCAAAAATCTACTCACTTGTCTTCATTTCCATTCAAGATGGGATGCTCTGAGCATTCCCAAGCATGAAGTGAGCACCTTCTGTGTGCCTTGGAGGCAGAAAAAAAAAAAAAAAACAACAACGCAAGATGAGTTATCTGGTCCTACACAACAGGTGAGCCATGTTATGAACTACAAATACTAAAAACCCTGGCCACACACCCTACACTTGAGGATCTCTCACAGAAGGTCCATTCTAGCGTGTAAAAGAGAAGACTCTCATGAAGACAGGAATCGTCTTTTACGTTAGTATTCTAAGATTCAAAGCAATCTCTGGAATATCCAGGCTGGGAGTCCAGGTCCTTGTAGTCTGTGTGCAAGAGCATTTCCAAAAAGACCATGCTCAGTCGTAAAGAGCCATGGACATGCCATAGGACTCCCATATTTGGACCTTCTTGTTCTGGGCAGGTTTACCACTCATCCCTGTGGCCCATTTGGGATGCATGAATTTTCCAGACTTAATATGAGATCAGAGAAACCCTATTAGAAGCCTGCCACCTGCTATATGGAAGGAAAGACAGAATCCAGGAACTATTAAGAAAGCATCACATAGACATGAAACATTTCATTTATACCATGATAAATGTCCAAGTCACTCTCCTCTATGGATGTTCTTAAGAGGTACTGTTTCTCTCCAGAAGTAGCCTCCAGAGCTGATCATATGTATGTTATTGCAGTAGAACCATTCTGAGCTATCTGCTCAGCTGCCACCAACCTGTAAGTGCCCACCTCATACACAGAGTGATGGTCGGGCAGCTATGTTGTTTCTACAGCTCTAACGTGCATACTCATGACCTGAGGATCTTGTGAAAATGGAGATTCTGATTCAGTAGGTCAGGGGGTGGCCTGAGAGTCAGTATTTCCAACAAACTCCCAGATGAGATGCTATCGCTGGTCCAGGGACCAGTTTGAGTGACCAAGTTGTTCATAACTCCACATCCTGGCCCCAGTTGATTGGACTCGGAGTAACTACCTGCAAACTGAACCAATCAGCCTCACTCCCTGAATTTAGAATTGGGTCAAAGAGGTTCTTTTCCTGCCAGGATGGTCTCTCAAATGTAGAGAGATGTAAAAACTCAGGAGCTGTGGGGGTGACCATGTTCTGCTATGTGGATTGAGAAAACAGGAAACCAGGAGGCAGAGAGGAAAAGCTGGGAAGGCGTGAGAGATAAATGACACACAAGGGAACTGCTTGGGCCCCAGCTTTTAATTCCTAGGTCCAGATCTTGCATTTCTGTCACTTGGGCTCCACAGGACACCACTTTATCATTATAATAATTTTCTCTTTTTTATTTTATTTTATCTTAGAGACAGAGTCTCGCTCTGTGGCCCAGGCTGAAGTGCAATGGGGTGATCATAGCTCAGTGCAGTCTTGAACTCCTGGGCTCAAAGGAGATCCTCCTGCCTCAGCTGAGTAGCTGGGAATCAGTGCATGCCGCCATGCCCAGCTAATGTTTTTAAACATTTTTGTAGAGATGGGGTCTTGCTATGTGGCCCGGGCTGGTCTTGAACTCCTGGGTTCAAGCCTTCACCCTCCTCGGCCTCCCAAAGTCCTGTGAGCACATGAATAAGCCACTGTGCCCAGGCTTTTTCACTTTTTTACTTAAGCTTGTTGTAAAGTGCCTTCTGTTACTTGCAACCACAGGGTCCTAACTATACAATTTTATAGACTATAAACTGTTACTGAGGATAAATCCTGGTTCTTTTAATCTCAGACTTCAGCAAGAGCACATCAGAGTTGCTTGTTAGATAATTGATGATTGAATGAATGAACGTGATGCCTCAGGCGTGATGTTCTCTACAGCTTCCCTGTGCCCAGATTTAGAGAAACTCTTTTAATTCCTGTCTCACTGTCAATCCTAGAAATCCAATCGTGAACACAACACATTGACTGCTGATTTTTCTATTTATGCCTTCTATCCCCTCGACACTCTAATTTCATTCTTCATATCTGGCAAGGGAAAAAGGGACTTGGGGAAGGTGTATTTCCCCTTTAAATACCATGAAAGTTATGAATATATCTCTCCAAAACTGCCAAAATAATTGTTTCATTTACAGAACTGAAATTCTCCAGGGAGCGTCCCAGCGATGTTCGAAACTGCTAACATCAGATATGCAGAAAACAAATATGGAGTGAACCATATGCTCCCAATCCTGAATTTAGCATCTCAGTGCAACAAAAACTTACATTTCAATCACTTTCCATCAGTTTTGTGTTATGAGTATGCACAGGGTTAAGGCTGGATGGAAGCCACCGGCCTGGAACCTTCTGTGGAGAAGGGCTCTGTCTGCACAGCCTGGGGCTCCAGCACAAGTTGCCATTTGGAGAGTTCACTTTAAATTAACACGTATAGGCTGCAGATCCCCAGTCAAAGGGGAAACCTGAGAAGGCACTGGCTATGTGATTGCAGAAGGGGAAGTTGCCAAATTTCTCCCTCTTCTTTTTTATTACTACTCAAAAAGTCCTGTTGCTTGCGGGGGGATTGGGGTATGGCCAGGAGTTTCCATTATGAAAACAATATGTAAGAAGGACTCGCAGAGCCGCAGCTTGGCGTGATGATGATGATGATGGTAGCAAATATTTACAGATTCTAGGTTCTCCACACTATTCTTAGCACCTTACATATGTTTTAACTCATTTAATCTTCCAAAATAATCCTATCATTCATGTATCATTGTTATCCCCATTTTACAGATGAGGAAGCTAAGGCTCAGAAAGATGGAGTAACATACTAATTAGGTGTAGTGGAACAGCTATTGCTTTTTCCTGCCAGCAGCCATTGCCCCTCTTCTGCTAATAGTGACTCAATTTTCCTTTGGAGAACCAACCCCACCCTTACCCTCTGCACATTGTTCACATTGTTTTTTGATTGTTTGTTTTGTTTTTTGAGACAGGGTCTCACTCTGTCGCCCAGGCTGGAGGGCAGTGGTGCTATCTCAGCTCACTGCAACCTCTGCCTCCTGGGTTCAAGCAATTATCCCACCCCAGCCTCCCAAGTACCTGGGATTACAGGCATGCAACACTATGCCCGGCTAATTTTTCTATTTTTAGTAGAGACAGGGGTTTCACCATGTTGGCCAGGCTGGTCTCAAACTCCTGACCTCAAGTGATCCACCTGCCTTGGCCTCCCAAAGTGCTGGGATTACAGGAGTGAGCCACTGCGCCCGGCCTCTGCACATTGTTTTGATGAGACAACGATCCCAATTTATACTCTAGGGCCAAAAGGTCCTATCTAATTCAGTCATTGTTGGACTGTTAGGTACCACAAACAGGCACTGGTCTTTTTCATCCCAGACTCTAGCACTGGGCACAATTTAGGTACCCAGTAAATATCTGAAGGGCAAACAAATGAAGGTAGCATACCAGGTGTAATATATTGGTGTGAATATTTCCTGCAATGGCTGTGCGCTTAAGAGGTGTCCTGATTGGTTGATTCTGGGTCACATGTTTACCCTAGACCAATCAGGAGCTGTCCTAGTATGTGAATGAAATGACACACGGATAGAAGCTTTCTTGAGCTGAGTCATCCTGACCCTTGTGCCCTAGTGAGGTTGTCGTATCTATCTTGGACCTCACTCTGGCTGCTGTGCTTTCCAGGTCCAATGTTCGGCTTTTCCTTCTGTTCTCTGAAATATCCCTTAGCTCACACAAAATTCCCTTTTTGCTTAACTGAGTCAGAGTTGGTTTCTATTACTTGCGACTGAATTGCCCTGCATTCTAGCTGTAATATTTGTACCGTTCATGACATGGCTAGACCCAGAAAATTTAACTACAGGGGCACATGGCAGGGCTGAAGGCCCAGGACCTGGGTAAAGCCACTGGCATGGTTTACTCATTTATTCAACAAACATCATTCACTGAGTGCCTCCATGAGCCTGGAACTGAACTAGGCCTCTTCTCTAGCTTTTTCCTTTCAATCATCACAATACAATGACATAGATATTATCATGCCCACTTTTCAGTGAGGAAACTGAGGCTCGAACACAAACATAGTGAGTGAAATAGCCAGTACTAGAATCATGTCTTCTTGAGACCAAAGCAAGTGCTCATACCATGATACTGCACAGTCTGAGGGAATGGGAGCTGGGCTCACTGGCAGGGCTGAGAAATCCAGTTGCTAGGTCTTGGGCAAAAGGGCAGCGAAGAAGTGAATGGAGGCTGAATTCTGTGCAGGTTAAACTAGTTCGAAGGATGGGGACCTTAGACCAAGTAAGTTATTATACACTGAATTATTCAATGACATTTTCTTCCCTTCCCTCCCTCCCTCCCTCCCTTCCTTCCTTCCCTTCCCTTCCCTTCTGAGACAAGGTCTCTCTCTGTCACCCAGGCTGGAGTGCAGTGGCACAATCATGGCTCACTGCAGCTTCGACCCCCTAGGCTCAGGTGATCCTTCCACCTCAGCCTCCTGGGTAGCTGGGATGACAGGCACATGCCACCAGGCCCGGCTAATTTTTTAATATTTTTTAGAGATGGGGTTTTGCCATGTTGCCTGGGCTGGTCTCAAGCTCCTGGGCTCAAGCGATCTGCCAGCCTTGGCCTCCCAAAGTGTTGGGATTACAAGTGTGAGCCACCATACCCAGCCTCAGTGACTTTTTCACTTAAATAGAATACTGTCTCATTTAAGCAGAAATCTTGTCGGAGGCAATAAGGGCCCTAGGAATTTGCTGAGTCTCCCAAATCTCCCTTACCTCCATGCTCCAAGTACTCCAAATCTCCTACCATCATGGTCCAACATGCATATACAATCTCTTCTGTAAGAATCTGCTCACGATAGACTTAAAACTCATTACAACTCATTAAGGATAGTTGAAAAAATTTAAGTTGAAGAGCAATAAATGACATCGCACAGCCAAATAGAATCTTCTTTCCTTGATAGAGTGAACAGTGGATGTTTTCGCCCTCGCCACATCCATTTCACCTTCTTTTGATTTCCCTTTGAGTAAACCTGGCACTTGCTCCACGGGGGGCTTAGTGGGGCTGACCTTAATTCCTCCTCTCTCCTTAGGTGCAGGATGGGCATGTGATTTGGATCTGCCAAACAAATGACTTCTATCCCCCGAGCTACACCATTTGGTTCATCTGCTGGTCTTATGTGACTCAGTCCTGGAAATTTTGCTGGGCTACTGATAAAAAGAAACTCTCCTTTCCCTGAGATTATCATCAGCTACAACAGCTATAAGGAAGACACAATCCTAGAGCTGCCCAGGAACAAAGCCAACACAGGAGGTGGCAGAGTTGCTGAGAAGTAGAGAGGAGAATGAACACTCATTGCATCCTTTGAGTGACCGAATACAGTCATACCTAAAGTCCATGCCTTGAATTTGGTAGTTTCAAAGAAAGCCAGAAGTTTCCTTCTATTCTTATGCAAGCTGAGTTGGGTCTCTGAATCTCACACTCAAAAGAGCTCATAGTAATACCATAAATTCAACCACATGTTTTGGAATTGCATTGACCTAGCCCGACTTGCTCCTGTATTTTCCCAAATCTTACTCAAGTGGCCTAAGATTTACTAATCTGAATGGATGGAACTGGAGATCATTATGTTAAGTGAAATAAGTCAGGCACAGAAAGACAAACATCGCATGTTCTCACTTATTTGTGGGATCTAAAAATCAAAACAATCGAATTCATGGACATAGAGAATAGAAGTATGGTTACCGGAGACTGGGAAGGATAGTGGGGCATGGGAGGGCGGGGAAGATAGGGATGGTTAATGAGTACAGAAAAATAGAATGAATAAAACTTACTGCTTGACAGCACAATAGGGTGACTATGGTCAAAAATAACTATACATTTAAAAATAAAGGGTGTTATTGAATTGTTTGTAACTCACAGGATAAATGCTTGAGGTGACAGATACCCCATTCTCCATGATGTGCTTATTTCACATTGCATGCCTATATCAAAACTTCTCATTTACCACATAAATTATATATATCTACTATGTACCCCCCCAAAAAAAATGTAAAAATTAAAAAAATAGGTTGGGCATGGTAGCTCCTCACTCCTGTAATCCCAGCACTTTGGGAGGCTGAGGCAGGCAGATCACTTGAGGTCAGGAGTTCGACACCAGCCCGGCCAACATGGTGAAACCCTGTCTCTACTAAAAAATATAAAAATTAGCCAGGCATGGTGGTGCACACCTTTAGCCCCAGCTACTTGGGAGGCTGAGGCACAAGAATCACTTGAACCTCAAGTTGCAGGGAGCCAAGATCACACCACTATACTTCAGCCTGGGTGAAAGAGCGAGACTCCGACTAAAACTAATAATAATAATAATTATTATTATTATTTTAAAAAATGAAAAAAACGAGATTCACTAATTTGCTAATCTTGCTTGTTTTTACTTCATGTGCTTAACTTCATGTGCCTGGGAGTTAAATGTTTCAACATAAGAAAAGGAAAAACACAATTCATTCCAAATGGGAATTCATTAGATAACTCAATTCTCTGTAGTAAGCCCAATTAATGATGTTTAGAAAAAAATAATTATGTGCCTTGCACATTATGCAATATTTACTAAACACCTACTAAGCTCCAGGCTGCTGCAAATAAGGCAGTGAATAAAGCCAGGAAAATAATTCCTGCTCTCATGGAACTCATATCCTAGTAGAGGAGAAACTGATGATAAACAAACATATAAATAAGCAAAGAAGGGCACAGTGAGAGAAAATGGTGCAGAAGGTGATGTGATTTTAGACAGATGGCCAGGAAGCTCTCAGATAAGGTGACATTTTTGCAGACACTGAAGCAGATTGGGGAAGAGCATCCTAGGCAAGGAGAATTTAGAGGCCAGAGCGGGAGTGTGCTTGGCATGGAGGAGGCCAGCATGGCTGGAACAAAGGAAATGAGGAGAACAGTGAGCTCAGCAAGCTAGCCAGGGGCCAGATCATCTGGGGCTTTCTGGTCCTGGAAGGACTTTGGGCTTCATTTTGCTGTGATGGGAAACCTTTGGTGGGTGGGGCAGAAGAATTGCCTGTGTTTACAAGACAAAAGGATCACTCTAGTACCATGCGGAGAATGAACCACAGAAGGGCAAGAGTGAAAGCAGAGAGACAAGTTAGGAGGTCTCTGTGGTCCAGGCAAGAGAGGACTGGGCCTGGGAGGTTGCGGTGGAGGTGATGAGAAGGAGCTGGATTGTGAATTTGTTTTGTTTTGTTTTGTTTTGTTTTTGGAGATGGAGTCTCACTCTGTCACCCAGGCTGGAGTGCAGTGGCGCGATCTCAGCTCACTGCAACCTCTGCCTTTCGGGTTCCAGCAATTCTCCTGCCTCAGCCTCCTGAGTAGCTGGGATTACAGGCTTGCACCATCATGCCTGGCTAATTTTTGTATTTTTGGTAGAGACAGGGTTTCACCATGTTGGCAAGGCTGGTCTTGAACTCCTGACCTCAGGTGATCTACCCGCTTTGGCCTCCCAAAGTGCTGGGATTACAAGCATGAACTACCATGCCTGGCTGCGAATGTATTTTGAATGTGGAGCTACCTGGGTTGAGGGATGGATTGGATGTTCCATGTGAGCAAAGAGAAGAATCGAATGTGAGACTCCAAGTTTTTAACACATGCCTAAAGGTGAATGGAGGTGCCATTTCCTAAGATAAGGAGGATGGCAGGAAGAACCAGTTTGGGGGTGAGACTTAAGAATTTCGTTTTGGACATATATTTTTTTATTGTGGTAAAATTTATATTACATAAAAATTACCATTTTTACCATCTTAAAGTGTACCATTCAGTAGCATTACATACATTGACAGTGTTGTCACCATCACCATCATCCATCTCCAGAACTCTTTCATCATCCCAGGCAGAAATTCTGCAATCCTTAAACTCTAACTCCCTCTCCTCCACTCCCTGCAGACCCTGGTAACCTCTATTTCACCTCCACCTCTATTGCACATGGAAGTATAAGATGCCTGCTGGACATCCAAGTGAAGATGTTGAAAGGCAGTTGGTATACTGATTCTGGGTTGAAGGGAGAGACAAGAGCTAGAGACATCCATTTGCGAATCATCAGCAGATGGAACAGTGTGCATACAATTCCCATTGATTCGACTGAATGTTTGACTTAGCTTCTCTCACTCCAGTGCAGCCCAGAAAATGAACATGGTGCAAGACACTGTACCCAGCATAGAGTAATGCTTCAATCAATATTTATTAGGCTGAGCAACGAAACCTTTTGCCCTGTAGTTTGAAGGAACATTCATTCATTGAACAAGAATTTTTAGAACTACAAGCCTTTAAAATAAATACTTTTCTTTCTTGAAAATAAAAAGTCTCAATGAATTTTAAATACACTGGCACTTCTTTTGCAGTTTTCAGAAATAATGTTTGATTTGTGATCTCTTTGGCTGATGATTGTGCCAAAATCCAGTACCACCTGATACCATGCTGTGCTACATAAACAGAATGGGAGTGACGTGACCAGATGTGTTTTGTCAAGATGAGGACCAATCAGCTTGAGAAACAGGAGAAGAGCTTCTGTCTAAACCCAGGCATACAAGGTGTGTTTCAAAATTGCCAACCTTGATTCAAATTACCCTCGTGGCATTTAAAGAAAAATGTGGTCATGCAAAGAGGTAAAATTATGGCTACCAAGATGAGACTCAGACAGCAATTTATCTTCAGCCAACAAATGTTTTCTACACAGAATAATCTTCAAGTGCCAGTTCTTGATCATTTCAGTTACATGCAAGTATTTAGGAACTGCTGAGCCTAAGTGGGCAGCAGCCCTTTGGCATGTCTATGTGTGTAATGCATAACTGGGGTGTGGGAGACATTGGAATTTATCTTTGGGTGATAACATTGGAATCAGCTTCTCCAGCCATGCAGCCACAAGTATAGAAATACAGGGATATGTATTTGGTATGGGAAGATTTCAAAAGCCTCAGCTGTGTATTACATTCCCTTGGCATCTGTCTCCCATCACCTCTATAATTAACCATAGGTTATTAATCCACTAGTGCCATGGCTACAGACTTGAAGTTGAATGGAAACAGCCTCTTTGCCATAAGTAGAGGCTGTGAAATTCATAGTCGAGAGGTACAAGATGGGCAAGTCTTCATATACTCCAGCTTCAGTGTTTCATTGAAAAGTGAAACCTGTTCACACTAAAATCATTAAATGTTTTCTCTCAGTCCTCATACCTTCTCAATTCACACTGGCTGTGTTGGTGGATGCAAAAGTATCTGAATTTGGCATTAATAATACTTCAAGAAACCAAACAGTTTCTGGAAGGCATATGAGAATCTTCAATTACTTGAGTTGTAATTTGAACTTTGAAAGCTAGGATATATTTGCCTACTTTGAAAAAAGATAACCTATCAGCTTAAAAGGCTGCTAATCCAAATCAAATTGTGAGGGAAACATTTAATTTCCCTGGTCCCCTAACTGTCATCGAGTTTGTTCATTTCCCATTAAGTCAGAGGAGGAAGGAACCAGTATTTCCCCATATTCTTTTTTTTGTTAGTTTTTGTTTACAGTGGAAAAATATATTCAGGATGGATTCCACAAAATACTTTCTTAACCTGGTACTATGCTGACTCACCACCCACCTCCAGAAGTGAATTTCCTTAGGGTATGAGGGCCTCCACCTATCTTCAGTGATGATAGGAAAAAACTATTTTAATTGCTATTGTATCATGAAAAGACTTATGGACCAAAATAAATGCAAAAATTCCTGCTTCTGAACGTTGGCAAAACACAAACTAGTCAATGAAGGAAACTAACATGTCCTTAGTGACGCACCAACAGCATTTTCTAACAAACTCCACTGCAGAACTGAAAGCCAGAAATCTTTTCCAACACACAGAATAATTTCAATTGCCCTAGGGTTTTTGAATGAACCATATATTTGATGTAAAACCATAGTTCAGTGATGTGTCCCATTCTTTAAACTATTTTTAAGTTATCATAGCCCTATTAGACAATGCTGATGACCACTATTAGCTGAAAATTTAACCTTGACTTTCCCGCTACCTTGGCGTGGTGTATGTCATAATCCATTATCAGTTGGTGACTCTCACCACACAAGCTTATTTAGCCAAATGCACAGCTTTTCAGCAATTGCTCAGGAAATAATTAATGCAATAAAACGCTTTATATCTATTTAAAGGCCATCAACTCCTCTTCTTCCATTTTATCATTGGGAATGCATTATAAGACACAACATATTCTAGGGAGTCCAAGTGGAGATTTAAAAAATCTACATGGCATGACACGATCCATAAATTGGTCGAACTACAGCAACTGCCTCTTAGCCTCTGAGTATTTAATCAAGCCTTCAATTCAGATAAGAAGGAATAACCTATTTCCTGCCAGAAGATATTAAGTGGTCTCAACACACAGTCCAGGTTTAGTAAACCTCTAGTGTATACAAATAAGAATCATGGTAGCTAAGATTGCAAATATGGTAGGTTAAGTTTCTTGATAGCCTTAAAGCTAAGGAGAACATGGAAGGCAGTGAGAAGTTATGAGACAATCTGGTCACCAGCATGGTTGTTGCTGGGTTTTAGAAACTATATGTTCTTGTGGCTGGGCGCGGTGGCTCACACCTGTAATCCCAGCACTTTGGGAGGCCGAGGCGGGTGGATCACGAGGTCAGGAGATCGAGATCATCCTGGCCAACACGGTGAAACCCCATCTCTACTAAAAATACAAAAAATTAGCCGGGTGTGGTGGCGGGTGCCTGTAGTCTCAGCTACCGGGGAGGCTGAGGCAGGAGAATGGCGTGAACCCGGGAGGCGGAGCTTGCAGTGAGCCGAGATCGCGCCACTGCACTCCAGCCTGGACCACAGAGCGAGACTCCGTCTCAAAAAAATAAAAATAAAAATAAAAAAAACAGAAACTATACGTTCTTGTTGGATAGACTGGAGGGAACAGTAGTGGTAAGAGTGGGGGAGGTGCTGTCAGCAGGGGTGAAAAGGAACCATAAAGGAGATGGACCCTCATGTGCTGAGTCACCAACAACTGGTTTCAATTCACTGATCTGAAAAAGGAGACCAGGAAAAGGAGCTGGCATTGATTAGAGAGGGGTGTAGGGGGTTGTATTTTGAAGAGTTTTAGTTTGAGGGGCCTGTGGAATATCTGCCTGGAGGCTCAGGTCTTGTGTCCCAGGAGAAAAGACACCCCTGAAGGGTGCTAATTAGGCTCTGGGAGAGAATTAAGAAGTTGAGTGTAGAGAAAAAGAAAGCTGAGGCCAGAATCCAGCAGGAGGCAAATGAGAGTGGGGAGGGGAAACATGGAGGGACCCCAGCACATGCGGGGGCATGGACACCAGGAAGGAGAGCGTTTCAAAAGCTCCAAATGATGTAGGTTAGTTCATGAAGAAGAACCCGGAAAGGGTACATAGCATTTGTTAGTTAGGGGATTGGTTTATTCTGTTGAGTCAAATTAAAAGTGAATAAGGAGAGGGATCAATATCCGGAGGCATGATCAGTTGTGGCTCTTCAGAAAGATGGGCAGGTGAAAGAAAGGAGAAGACAGGGGGACAGCATGAAGGCTTCCTGGGACTGGAGACTTCAACAGCTAAGAAGCGGAATAACAAGACTAGCACAAAGTCTAGCTGGGGCAGGGTGCTTTCACCATACCTAGTGCACAGTTCAAACACCTGGCCATAGGTGTCAGGATCGTGCGGGGGCGGGGACATCAAAGCCACAGTGGAAATGACAGAACCAGGGACAAACCGCTTAGAGGCTGGTGAGGAAGATAAGGTATATATACTACATATGGGGTATTTTCATTATATGTTTTTCTTTTATACACACACACACACACACACACACACAGTTTTGAGTGACTAGTGAAAAGGTCACAAATTATATGTTTCACGTGGAATTTTTAAAACATTGAATTAGTTGCTAACATTTATTTGTATTTATTTATTTGAGATGGGGTCTCACTCTGTTGCCCAGGCTGGAGTACAGTGGCATGATCTCAGCTCACTGCAATCTCTGCCTCTCAAGCAATCCTCTCCAGAGTGGCTGGAACCACAGGCAGGCACCACCATGCCCAGCTAAGTTTTTTGTATTTTTGGTAGAGACGGGGTTTCACCATGTTGCCCAGGCTGGTCTTGAACTCCTGAGCTCAGGCAATCTGCCTGCCTCAGCCTCCCAACGTGCTGGGATTACAAGCGTGAGCCATGGCACCTGGCCTAGTTGCTAACATTTAAAAATTGAGAATACTTCCTGTAAAAGACATTTTTTTTCTGACTTATCTTGATAAATGAAATGACCTGGGTACTTTCCTGCTTGGCAGCCCTCGTCAGGAGCTGCTGGTGGTGGCACCTGCCTTGGATGGTGCAGGTGCTCTCCTGTGCCCTGGTCCTCACCAGTCCCTATTGTCTACCCCAGCCCACTCCATTCACTTTATCTCCTCGGCCCCTTTTAACACATGACTTTGCAACCCGTGGGCTGGAAGTTCTAGGCAGTGTGAAGAAAAAAGTCAAATGCTAATGAGCCATGGAAGGGGTTACGATTAGACTCAAGTTTAGAGCCAAATCTCAAAGGCTATTTTCAGTAATCCATAGATTTTGAATGTAACTTCTGTATTGCATTTCTTCTAAAATATAAACCTATGTATACAATATAAATACAGATTCACAGTCCCTTATTCACAATTTTGAAATTCACAGGTTCTAAGGCACAAAGTTTTATTTTTAAAAACTAACTCAACGTTGGCAAGACCTGAGCTGATGTGGGGCTCTTTATAGAGTCTAGTTAGCCCACTTAGTGTGAATGTTCACACATTTTGCTGCAGAAATATTAACGCATAGGCTATGGGGTACATAATATACAGTCTATGCACCATAGTACCTTTATAAAATTCTAAATTCTGGCCCCAAAGGTAAAAGTCTGGGACTCTTAAACAGCAACTTTCACATACTTATAAACGAAGGTATCACTTTCGCCATTTGAGAGGGGGAAAAAGTACCCTGTTGGGAAACAAGGAGAAGTCTAAAACAGTATTTTCTAAAGAACATCTATGAAGACAATAAGCAATATTTGGTGGGGGGAGTAATTCAGTATTCTCAAACCAGTAGCTGCAGGAACAAAGCAGGCATGTGATTTCACTATTTTTATTTTTATTTTTTTTTTGCCAACAGAAAGCAGAGAACACAAGTTTATTAGGAAGCAAGTCACTTCTCTTTTCCCCGTCCCCAGACAAACCTCCTCTTAATGTTCCTTACATACCAAGAAAAAGACATCTCTACACCACAGTGATCTCACAAGGGGAGGTGAGAAGCTGCAACCATCCTCAAGTCTACTTGCTACAGTAAGACTGGTCATTAGAGACTCTGGCTTGTGGCTTGCCGAAAACACTAGCCAAGCCTGCAAATTGAGGCTTAACCCACTCCGGAGATAACCTGCCTTTTTTTGTGTCAAATAGAAGTCAGGCTCTGCAGGCTTCCAAGATCATATTACCCTTGCATGGGCATTCCAGACTACCACACCTCCAGGCCCATTTCTGATTGGACTTTGACCAGTATTCTCAGTTGCCTGATGTTCTATTTTCTTCATTAGGGTGGTGGGGAGAAACATCATCCCGAAAAGGAGGCTGATGTTACCGCAGAAAGGCAGGCTCCCCAACGTCCTCCTCTTAGTCAAGGGTAGTCATTCTGTTCGCAGGGATGCTAAGCATTTCAGAAAACCATCTCATGGATGTGCCAGCAGCATCCTGTACCTCTCCCCTGAGTGTATGCTACTGAACAGGGCCTGGATACCTGCTTGCTAAGCAGAGAAAAGCACGTACCTGGTTCTATGCCAAGCCCAAGAGAGAACCCACTTGGTATGACAATAGCCTAAGATCTCCAAGAAACTGTGATATTTAAAAAAGCTTTTCTATAAAGCCAGAGAATATGCTGGCGAGTTAGCTGTTTTCAACTGCACCTGAAGCTATGGAGCCACTAGAAAGGAATTTGGATGAAGTTTTCCTCCCTTCTTTCCTCTTTAATCTCTAAGGAATTGCTACTAAACCAAGGCCACACTGGCAGAGGCAGCGCCAACTGAGCCTTTCTCAAAGACAGTGTAGAAAAAAAAATGCCCTGCTGCCTCAATATCCTAGAATACGCTTCATTCCCCAATGCCCATCTGTAAAAGGCAATGCTCACTTTATGACAAACAAGGGGATAAATGTGCTGGCACTGAAATTCAGACTCCACAGCCAGGCCCTGTGGGGTTGGCCACTTTAATGAGAATATCTACAACCCCCTCCTGTAATAATGGGAAAGCAGGGAAGGAGAGGAGAATGGTTCTACAAGGTTTTCATTTTGTCTGTAGTTATTTTACACCTGAAACAGAATCAAGAGTGGAAAACACCTTTCCATGTTTTGCACTTGCGGTTTTGGTCTGATCTCTCTTTCTCTTAATATGTTTTTAAATCTTTTCTTTCAGGTTAGATTTGAGTTTGTTTTCTCTGAAAATGCAAAAGGGCCTGTCCACATTGAACTCCTGGATCACCTCTCACCGATGAAAGTTCAATGCGAATGTAACGTGCTCGTAACACGTTTCCTAGTGAATGTATCTCTCTGCGAATCATTCGTGTGTGCTCAGCCTGCAAGCCTGGCAACCCACTGGCAACGTACCGAATCTGTTCAGTCCTTATACTGGATAGCTGACTCTTTCCATAATTTATGTTACAGTGCCATCTGATGGTAGTTTATGACCACCATTTTTAAAAAGCTGGGCTGTCTCTTCTGCCTTTTAAAGAAATATATGGGTTTAAAAATCGTCTTTAATTAATCACAGCAGATAATGTGTCAGTGTGGTGGTCTGTAAACAAGAAAGCTGTTTCCACGTGAGGTCTGCTAAAGATGAGACACTACAGAGAGGATTTTGAGCAGCCACACACACCTTAAAGACAACTGATTAATTTTTTTAAAGACATTCATGTTCTCGTTCAGTGACTATTACTGCATAATCCGACATTTCAGAAGCAGTGTTCTTTGTGAATGCCATGACATATTTGGGAAGAATATCAGAGGGAAAGTCTGTTCTAAGTAAATGATGTGTGGTCCAGAATTTTCGGCTCTGCATTCTCATTGTGCATCATTTATTTCTCCCTCTTCATTTCCAAAAAAACCCACAAAACTCTCTGGGCCCATACCGGCATGACACAAGGAAACCCAACCCCACTTTTAAGCCCAATCATTTGCAAATGTATTTCAGTCCTAGGTTTAATTCTAGGAGAAGATTCCTTGGAGAAGCCTCATTCCGGAAGTCTGCCTGCCAATTTTTGGAGGCTTTAAGGCTTGTTTCCTCTCTCTCCTCCAGGTTTCTTTCCACCCACAAAGTTAACGTGCATCGTGAATGGGCCTGAATATAATTCCTCCAACAGAACTTGCCAGTTCTGTGGCTGCACTGCCAGTCACTCTCAGGAACGCGCAAAGAAAAAGATGATTTCAAGTCCAGGTTTGTTTGGGGGGTTCTGGGTAAATAAAATGAGTTTATGAGATAGGGATCTGGGAAGACCTGGGGTGTCAGGGAGGGTTTTTTTTTTTTTTTAACTAAAGTAAATGCT
Source organism: Homo sapiens (assembly GCF_000001405.40). Taxonomy (NCBI): domain Eukaryota; kingdom Metazoa; phylum Chordata; class Mammalia; order Primates; family Hominidae; genus Homo; species Homo sapiens. The sequence continues at coordinate 71,653,890 of NC_000003.12, forward strand.
CTAGCCTCCTCTTCAACGATGAAACAGTCTGATAGCTAGCAAAGTGATTGACTTCTAACTCCTACACTCAAAAGTCTTCAGTTCACATTCCATCCCCTTTTCCAGATTACCCCATTTAATGTCTCATCACTCCTATAGGATCAAGATGAAAAGTTTGAGCTGAGGGAGCAAGCAGGGAAGACACCCCTTTCCTCTTCATAAAGAAGACACAGAACACACAGTGATTCATTAGGAAGGAAGAGAAATTAATATGCATTTAACCAGATGCAAAATAGGAACTTGGGAACAAAGGCAGTTTAAAAAAAGGCACTCGAATGTCAGAGATTTCTCAGGTTCTTCCTGCCCTGTCACAATCAACATGCCTTCCTTTCTAACTGCTCCCTTTTCAGTAATTGTAGGGATCACAATTTCAAATTAAACATTCCTAATAAGTCACGGTGGGTTTTGCTTACTTGGTTTTGCTTCTTTTATTCTCTCCTGTACTCCCCCCGCCCCCCGCCCCTTTGTTTTGCTTATAAACTTACCTTTGCTGACCCTTCTCTCCTGTTTTGGGGGGCTGTTCTTGCTTCCTTCCCTGCACTTAAAATGTTCTTGTCTCTTCAACTGTCATCCCCAAATCAGCACGAGCATGTCTGGTGCTCACATTTCCCCCATCTTTGGTTGAGTGTGTGTTTTTGTGTGTCTGTTATTGTTTCCCTCCCCACCCCCCTTTAATTAGAAGAACACTATCAGAGACTCCAACACATTCAGCTGGGTCTGAACTGACTGTACCCATTAGGAATTCTTAAAGTGCAGATCGACTCTCCAAAATGACTTTTTACAGATGCAAAACTGACTTCATGGGTTGCCTCACCCCCACTCCATCTCCCGACGTGTATGGTTTTTCATCGCTGTTCCAATTTAAATTTCTCAGTCTACCACTCAAAAGAGATGATTTTTTTCTAATATCCATCCTGCAAACTCCATCTGGGATCCCCCAAACAAGCTGTGTTCTTCTGTTTCTCTCACAGGCAGGAATTATAAAAAGTCTGCAATAAGAGCAGGAAGGAGGTCAGACCTTCTTGGTCCTGAACCACAAGCGTTTTAATGCCTGGAAACACACAGGGTAATTGAACAGGGAAGATAAAATAAATGTCCACTTAGAGGCGATTGCCCCACCCTATCCATCCAGCCTGCGGATCCGGTGCACATCACCTTGGGAAAGCCCAAGTTACAGTCCACAAAAAACCAGAAGCAAGGAGCATCTACTATAATCACAATTATCCTACGATCTTCATGCCTCGCAGGATTACTATCCTTCCAAGCTTTGGGCCTAGTGTCTTGTGTGAACAGAGAACCAGATGGGAGTTTTGGGGGCTAAAATGGATCCACCAATTATTTATAGATTCGGACTAAAAATCATGTGAACCGCCTTCTGTGGAGTTCCATCTTCCGAGAACAGACTTGAAATAGACATAGTTGTGGAAAGTCTCGGAATCATTTAGAATAATCCTGAACATGGTATTGCAAGTAGGGAATGGTAGAGTGAAGTCTAAAGAATGTTAAAAGCCCCTTCAAAAAGAAGGGCAGAGTTTTAGAACAATCTTTCGGAGAGCTCTAGAATCAGACCACGTGGTTCAATTTTATATCCTGTTGGTCTTAGTAGCATTGACCCTAGACATTTTTTTTTTTTCCTGCTGAAAAAACCTTTAAAGTTTGACATGACTGCTTTGCATAGCTAAGTGTGACCAGCTTTGGAGAAGAAGAAAATTGTTCTTACTGCCTTGCATACGATAGACAATCAACATTTATTGAAAGGATGAAAATAAAAACAGACCTTTTATCATGCAAAGTATATGACTACGTATAGTATGATAAAGTTTCCTTAAGCTCTGTATTTTATTTTTTTAACTTTTACATATATATATATATATATATATATATATATATTTTTTTTTTTTTTTTTTTTTTTTTTTTTTTTTTCTGAAGCAGTGGGAGTGGGGAGGCAACATTTCTTAAATAATTCCTTTGTGCTAGCTACCATACTAAATACCTTTTTTTTTTTTTTGAGACAGGGTCTAGATCTGCTGCCCAGGATGGAGTGCAGTAGCATGATCACAGCTCACTGCAGCCGCAGCCTCAACCTTCCAGGCTCAAGCGATCCTCCCAGCTCAGCCCCCCAAGCACCTGGGATAACAGGCACGCGCCAGCAAGCCCGACTAATTTTTGTATTTTTAGTAGAGACCGGGTTTCACCATATTGCCCAGGCTGGTCTCAAACTCCTTGGCCTCCCAAAGTGCTGGGATTACAGGTGTGAGCCACGGTACCCGGCCTAAATATTTTAACCTATGTTGCTTCATTTCAACCTCACAACAACCAAAAATCTTTTACATTTTACTGTGGAATAATCACCTGGTTATTATTATTATTATTATTATTATTATTATTATTATTATTATTATTATTTTTTAGACAGAGTCTTCCTCAGTTGCCCAGGCTGGAGTGCAGTGGCGCGATCTCCGCTCACTGCAAGCTCCGCCTCCCGAGTTCACGCCATTCTCCTGCCTCAGCCTCCTGAGTAGCTGGGACTACAGGCGCCCGCCACCACGCCCGGCTAATTTTTTTCTTGTATTTTTAGTAGAGACGGGGTTTCACTGTGTTAGCCAGGATGGTCTCCATCTCCTGACCTCATGATCCACCCACTTCGGCCTCCCAAAGTGCTGGGATTACAGGCGTGAGCCACCGCGCCCGGCCAATCACCTGGTTATTATTGGTTGAGAAAGGTTACCAGCTTGTCCAGGGTCACCCAGCCAACTAGAGCCCAAGCCCCAGCTACCCCTTAGATGCTGCTGGGTCCACTGTGATTCCGATTAAGAAATGCTGCCTTCCTTGTTACTCATTTATCTCAATACCAAGATGGAGGGAATGTTTTGAGAATGGCTGAGGCCATGAGCATTTTTCAGGGATGGTTACATTTTCGTAGCCAAAATACCATTTAAAGGAATCAGAAAAAAAGCTTTGCCTTCACATTTTTAAAAATTTCTTTTCTTTTTCTTTTTCTTTTTTGAGACAGAGTCTTGCTCTGTCACCCAGGCTGGAGTGCAGTGGTGTAATCTCAGCTCACTGTAGCCTCGACCTCCTGGGCTCAGGTGATCCACCCACCTCAGCCTCGTGGGTAGCTGGGACTACTCAGCTATAGGCGCACACCATCACACTTGGCTAATTTTTATATTTTTTATAGAGACAAGGTCTCACCATGTTGCCTAAGCTGTTCTTGAACTCCCGGGCTCAAGCCATCCTCCCACCTTGGCCTCCCAAAGTGCTGGGATTACAGGTATGAGCAACTGCACCCAGCCTTAAATTTCTTAAATAACTCTCTTCAGTCTCCTGGAAAGCATGGCCAAGGGTCAGATGCTTAGTTCCAAGCTGCTCTCCACAGGCTCTCCTGTTAACGGACTCATTTGGTCTACACGCTACCTAAAATGCTTAAAAGGAAAATTTAGAAATGAACTTAATATTTGGTGACATCCATACATGAGTTATAATGCTAATTCTAAAATAAGCTATTTATACTGATTTACTTTTCACTGATATCCATTTAAATATACATAATATCCCTAAACATACAGGAAATTAATAACTTTAATTAGCATGTATTCTCTACTTGGAAAAAATCTTCATTCATTTTGCCACTCTATTGAGCTTGCTTGGAATCAAAACAAACTTTCTCATTTTCCTGATTGCCTTTAATTCTCAGGAAACTCAGACTTTCCCAGCTAAAAGAAAACCCTGGTATTACAGGGTACCCCCCCACCACATACCCACACACAGAGGTGTTAACTGGGCCAGGCATAAAGATCTTGAAAACTGATACAATTCCAGGCTCTCTGCTCCATGTGGTTTGAATGTCAGTTGAAAGAAATCAATTTTCTAAAAATTACAATAAAGCATGCATTGAGTTATCAATGTTCACTTTCTATGGGGTCATTTTCAAGTTAATCACCTAAAATTTTTAAAGTCCCCGCTTTATGATGCTCAGAAAGCTGCAAAGGCGGAAACATATCTCTCCTCTTAGTTTCACATCCTCTTGTGTCCCCATTTTTTTCCCACTGTCATGCCATGGAGTGTCGTGGGATTGTGAGTGTGTTTGTGTGTTCTCTGCTTATTCTTTGTACTTCGATTGAACACCACCTTAGATCATCGTTGACAAGAGAGTAAAGGTTATCATTAGCATGTTGAATAATGGATGGGGTCCATTGTATTTTCTTGTTTAGGAAAATAAATCATCCTGAAAACTTGTATTATGTTCTATGTGAAATGGAAGCACATCAGCACTTGTTATGTTTTCCTCTCCTGAGTCGGTTTGGCAGGGCGCCTGAGGCTGGAAAGAACAGCCAGGGGTTGCCAAGCAAGGGCTGGCTTGATTCCGTGCCCGTTCCTCTAGGGGATGTAAACATCCTGCCCTGGAATACTTCACCAACCTGCAGCTAGAAAACTACTGTGTACAACCGGGCAACTGGGAGAATTGGAAACTGTGAGTCACAGCACCCACAAGGCCCTGCTGGGTAACGAGGAGGTCAGGTGTTGAAGCTTCCTCCGCCCCACCCCAGCCCCCAGAATGAGGATGGCACTCAATTCAGCAGAGAGACATACAGGAATCAAGTGTAGGGGAAGGGCAAAGGAGTCTAGGATTTCCTGAGGACCTACCATCCACATGCCAGATACTGTTGGGCACCTTCATGCACATTCACTCGTGTCAAATGGAGCAGGACTGCTCAGCGGTTAAGGCTACAGGTGTCTAGAGTGAGACACACCTGAGACCCACCACTCACTGATTGGGCCGTCTTGGGCAATTTGCTTAATCTCTCTAATTCTCAATATATGATCAGCCAAATGGAGATGGACCAGTTAAAATACTGAAATCCCTTCACATCACAAGGGTAGGAGCAGTTGCCCTGAGTCCTGAGAGCACACACACTCCCACTGCACTGGTGGAACAAGCTCGTTCCTGGAAACCCCCCAGTGATGCAGGAGAGTAAGGGAGACTCAAGCCCGAAAGAGCCTTGAAGGCCTGTCTAGAGGCAAGGGCTGGTTTGCTGTCATTGACTGTTACCCACATCACACCAGTCGCTAGCCAGCTTTACAGGGCTGTCATAGCCACAGAGGTGGGGTCTACAAAGACTATCATGTGACAGGCCTGAAATACATGATAATAATAGTTATGCCCATTATATAGACAGGGAAAGCTAGGCTAAACGAGGTTAAACAACAGGGCTAAAGCCATGTATGGAACCAAGATATGAATCAAGGCGAGTTGGACTCGCAAGCTTGCGCCTCTCAACCCTGATGTATGATTGGAGAATCATAAGTGCCCATTTAATGACAGCATAAAGGAGCTTCCCTCCTAGAAAGAGCCATGGCATCAAGTGGATTTCAGATGTCCATGCTCATCTAAATGTCGCTCTTGAGGATTCGTGTAAAAGGCAGGCATGGACCCAGTTGCTACATGTTTTAATTATGGCATCAGACTTATTACATGGAAACTGCTTTTCTCAAATCTGAATAGAACATACTGGTCTCAGCCATGGCATCAACTGTGACAGGGGCACAGATCGTCTTCTTGACAGGATGTGATTCTTATGTTTGGGCACTCTGAATGGGCCATGAGTTGAGCCTCTGTTGTTCTGTGTGAACTCTGAGGATAGGGGTGGAAGGAGAAAGCGTGTCAAGATCTAATTCCATATTGAGAATAACATTATTACTTTAAAACTTTTATCAGGGTAGAATACTGCCAGGATATATTAAAAACAATAAAGGTTCACCAATTAGAAATGTAATTCTCACACTGTGGTCACAACACAGTTCCTATACCCACAGTCTTCTGATTCCACATCCTGCTTCTCCATCAGGTATTAATATTTGAGTACGAGATAGTCACCTGGGGGCAGGAGGGTGCTTTCATGAGAACAGAACATAAGGCAGTTAAGTTTTGTTAAGAAAGCGGGGAAGAGGCAGGTACATTACTGGGAGGAGGCCAAAGTGTAGATTATTCTAGAAGTAATCTAGGACTTTGCTATTCAGCCTGTGGTTCACAGACCAACAGCATGGGTGTTGCCTGGGAGCCTGACAGATGTCAGAATCTGAGGCCCACTCCTGGCCTAAGGATCAGAGTCTGTATTTTAATCAAATGCCCAGGCAGTCAGTATGTATGCTCATTGCTGCTGGAGAAGCTCTGCTCTAGGGGGCCCAGCCTCTGCTCACACTCAGTGGGTAGGACTTGGTGGGGGTGGTGTGAGCAGAAAATGAAGCTGTAAGAGATGGGAAGGTACCCAAGTGTTTGCCTAAGAGGTTATCCTGTCTGAATCGGCTGGAGGGAAAAAAAATTCTGTTCTCCGATGATGAGCAGGCTGCGGCTGCAGTTGCACACAGCGTGATGACCATCTGTGTATAAAAAGTGAAGCTGAAAAAAAAAAGAAAGAAAGAAAGCCAAGAAAAGAAACACTGTGCAGGAGTGCAGAATTGCTACAGAGGCTAAGCATGGCCAGGTGTTTAAGCAGGAAAGCCAGTCTTGAAGATCAAAGGCAAGTCGATTGTAAAAGAGAACATCTTGCCCACCAAACCCGGGCCCTCTGAATGGAGAGAGAGCGACATCTGAATAGACCAGATGTTAGCAGCCGAGGGATCCTTAGAGCCTAGAATAAACTCACCTAAATAGCTCTGTGGCATCAAAACCTCATTATCTGCCAGGCCCACCGCTAAATACAAACACAGGTTCTATCAGCTGATGTGAAAGAAGTCCTTCCAGGCACCCAGCTGAGGCAGTAGGAATTTTCAGTCTCTGTTGTAAATGGGCAGTAATTAATTATAGGACAGACACCGAAGCCCAAAAAAATAAGTTCTGTTTTGCGGATGACAAGGAGATGTCGTTTTTGGAAAGAGCTGTGTGAGCACTTCGTGGTAACCAGTCTGGGGCCATCACAGGTGCTATCTCCTGCAGGCCTGACACGGGGCAGGCTGGTTATTTTTATGAAGGATGAGGGCCTGGGGCTCTGAAGCTTCCACCCCCTCATGCTTGCACTTCAGTTCCAGTACCCCAACACCATCCTTCCACCAGCAGCCCAGCAGAATCGTGGGGCACTGGCAGGGATGCGAGCGTTTCATCAACTTGTGAATTTTCCACAAGTACAAGCTGGTCTCCTCTTAATTGCCCCCACAGAGATTCTCATAAATACTTTTAAATATAATAATTGTTATTGTTATTTTACTTTGTTCTTCTAGATGGCATTTTTCCTTCAAGCAACTCAAAAGAATGATTCTGAAGTTATCCAATTAATCTTTGCAACATTCCTGTGAAGAAGAGGGTTGGGGGGCGGGGGCGGCAGTTTCTTTACGTTTCTGGAGGAGAGGGAAGGAACAGCAAGGTTAAAGGGACAGAGTGAAATAAAGATGACCCTGAAATAGAAACTGGGAAGCCTCGTGCTCCCAAAGGGTCCTCAATTTCCAAGTTTATTATCATCCAAAGTGTGCAACTGCTTAGGCCAGTACCCTATGTGAAAAGCACTAGTATTCAGATCTTGCTGTCACCTCTCAGGAAGTCATGACTTTGTGCAAGTCATTTAGCCTCCTTGGGCCTCCATTTCCCATGCGTCAAATAAAGAGGATATCTTAATGGAATGTGGCATAGAAAAGATCCAAGGCCTCTCCTTCAGGGTAGCAAACCCTCTGGAATCCAACCGCAATGGGCTCCTTGCAGTTTTATGCATGAGGCTGTTTTAGGCTTTGCAGTGGAAATGGCACACTTTGGCATGACATGGAGCAAGAGAGTCCAAGGACAGGCATGATAGACATCCTGATTCAGATCTTAGTTCCAGCACTTTTTAAGTCCTATCACTTTCAACAGGTCACTTAACCACTCTGAGCCTCTGTTTCCTCATTTGTCAAATGGTGGATGGTGAGATAATGCTTAACACGAGTCTGGCATTGAGTAGGTGCTCAATAAGTATACAGAAAGTGGTTAAGAGGAGGAGCCTGGGGTCAAAGTGTCCGTATTTGAATCCTGGCTCACCACTTTCCAGCTAAGTCACCTTGGACAAGTCACTTTGCCTCGCTAGATAAGAAAAGTTCCTAGAGGATTAAGCAAGCGAATACATGTAATTTGTAAAAGAGTCTGGCACAGGGTCCATGCTTGATAAATGTTATCATTAATCATATTATAATTATTGCTTAATTTCTTGTTTCCATTTTGTCTTAAGAAACCACAAACACTGGCCTCCACCTCCAAGGAAGGAGATTACTTCATACTGTAAGGGCAAGGTGGAGGGGAGAGTGTCTCAGTATAGAACCACTTTCCACCAATAAATTGAAAGAAGCGTCTCTTAGCTGGAAGTATTCCCTCTGGAATCACACAGGGCTGTGGTCTGCCACTCACCGACCAGCTAAGTGATGCTGGGCAAGTCTCTGCACCTTTCTCTCGGCCAACTCATCTGCAAACCAGAGGTAACCAGCTCACTGCCTTGATTTGTTAGAAAGATTACATGAGCTAATGCACACAAACACATTTTGTAAACTCTTAAATGCCTCATATATTGAAAGTGCTATAAATTCAGAAAGATACACTTATATGCGAAAAGCATGCAAAGCTCTGAATTTTCATTAGAACATGGGGAAAACTCAACATGTGTGCTTCTATGTTTCGTTCCCTTGAATTACAAAATGCAATGTTAAAAATCTCTTGTCTCAGGTAGAAGAAGAAAGAAGGCATTTTAATTTCCGGTGGTGCCAGCACATGGGGCTTGGGCTTCACCACCAGCTGCTGTAAAACCAAACCAAACAAACAATATATCCACCGACCCAAAGTAACTCAAAGTAACTGGATTTCTCTTTGCTGAGTTTCCTGTGAATACTTCAAAGCCTGGAGACTTTGCAGATGTCTTGGTGGTGATTTCCCTTTAGCAAACACATGGGAAATACTCCAATAAGAGAGAAGCCAGCTCCATGAAAGAAGACTTGGGGGCAGAAACCGAGGGAAGATGGTTTGCAAGCTGAGCATGATGAGTGCAGTAGCCTGATCTTCATTTCTCACATGCTTAGCACACATTTGCATCTGGGGCTAATTCTTCAGCTTACCTCCAGTGTTTACAGCAAGGAAGCGTTTCTTGGGTTCTAGCCCATGAATACTCAAAACTGAACTTGAATAGAAAGCATTATATTAAATACTTCACTATTGCCAAGCCCCTTGCAAGCCGCCATCCCCATCAGAAGAGAAGAACAGGTGGCCTCCTGCTCCTGCTTGGAGGTGCGGGAGGGGATTGGGACACTGGGCGAAGGATGGGTCTCCTCGCCTGTTGTGTTATTTTCAAATTTGTATTTCTTTTACATTTTTGATTCTCCTTCCAAAGCAAATTTCCCTAAACATGTAATCGGGGAAATTTTTTACCTTGAGCATCTCTAAAGCTGTAACACAGAAAGTAAATATTTGCTTTCAGGAAAGTTTGTTTGTGGATTAAAATCTGCTTCTTTGAATCAAGAATCAGCTTATCCTTTCAAAATAAGAATTTATTACAAAACTACAACACTGTCTACAAACCTACAGACAAAGATTGGTAACAGTCCATGCAGTCGGCAAAATGATTGCTCCCAGGCTCTAAGGCAGGGCCCTTGGGTTTTTTCCAGGGGTGAAGATGGTGCCCAGCATGCTCTCCCCAGGCATCAGCAGGATGCTTTACAAGGCAGTGGCCTAGATATTGGGGTGAGGACCCCCATCTGCAGGACAGAGTGAAGCTTCTTCATCCACTGGATCACCAAACTCTCAGGCCCAACCAGGCCTTTACCGGGAGACGTCCCGCCTGCCTGACTGTGGTTCGCCGCTCATGCCTGTTTTATGCAACAAAAGTCCTTTGAACACTTACTATGACCCAGCCATGGAGGCCACCTGAGTGAATATCATGGTGTCCGCCATCACCTAGTCTAGTGTGAGGGACAGGCAAACAGCGTGCCACCTGCTATACTTGAAGGGGTGCAGGGCTGCAAGCGACAAAGGAGGGGTATCCCCTGAGGTAGGGAGGGGCTTTCCTGAGGCAGATCAGGCAGGTAAGTGGGCAGGGAGAGGGAGGGAGAAGGAGAGTGCTACAGCAGACAGGGCAGCCTGGGAAGGTCCCTCCCCTGCAGGGAGGAGCGGCAGGAGGGGTAATGGGAGTGGATCCAGAAAAGGCTGCAGACTCAGCTCCTTGTGGGCTAATGGAGGATCAGGACTTTATCTACAGGGCAATGGGGAGCCACTGCATCACCAAGTCCCAGTCCACTGGCTTCTTGTTTTATGTTAATTACTCAACTTGATAGAGCCTGACTACATACAAAACTTAGGATACCACACAAAACCAGGGCAGAATCATCATCTTCATACTCCATTTAAAAAAATGGAGGCTTTGGATTTAGGCAGCATGCCTAAGGTCACCCAGCTATTGGAACTTGATGCTATAGTGGATTTTTTTGGGTTTTGTCACCCAGAATCAATGCCTCCATTTTTTTTTGGTGGGGGGTGGGGGGAGAATCATCTTCATGATTTCACCCCAGCTGTAGGAATGGGTCACTTAAGCCTGGCCTGGCACAGCACTTCCATCCTTTGGCCACAGTGATTGGCTCAGGAAAAGAGTCAGGTAGAACCAATGGTACACAACCTTGGGGCTTACTGGGACTGTTGAGAGAGAGAGAGAGGCCCATTCTGTCTCTTTTGGACTTAAAAACTCATGCCTGTAATCCCAGCACTTTGGGAGGCCAAGGCAGATCACTTGAGGTCAGGAGTCCGAGACCAGTCTGGCCAACATGATGAAATCCCATCTCTATTAAAAATACAAAAAAGTAGCTGGGTGTGGTGGTGTGTGCCTATAATCCCAGCTACTCGGGAGGCTGAGGCATGAGAACTGCTTGAGCCTGGGAGGCAGAGGTTGCAGTGAGCTGAGATCACACCACTGCACTCCAGCCTAGGCGACAGAGCAAGACTCCATTTCAAAACAAAACAAAACAAAACAAAAAAACTCGAAGACGTATGTCTACAGCTGGAGCATGAAGATGACACAAAAAAGAACTAAGAGGTTGTCTCCTGGATCAAGCTGTGCCTGAAGCCACTACTCCACAACTTTTAAATTACATCAGACATAATTTTATTTTTTCTTATAAGAATCTTAGCTGGTTTCTCTCACCTGCAATGAGGCAGCCCTGATGCATGGTGGCCCTGATGCAATGGTGCTCATGGTGACCCTCTTCTACTTTACCTATCATGTTATAGGCTACTGAAATTGATTTGGTATTTTGCTATATTCTTATTTAAAAAACTTATCCCAGTGAAAATTCAAATATGGAATAAATTGGGCTCTGAAAATACTTTAGTACGAGTTTCCAAGGATCAGCTGGTCTTGGTTTTCTCTTGATGACTCCAGCCAGTGAGCCAGATGGCAGCCCACAGTGATCCCATGAAAGCCACGCTGGTTAGTTTATAAATGTTAACACTGACAGGTTGCACATGGGTAGTGGCTTTAAAAGAATCTAATGGGCTGAGTGCTTTATTTAACTATTCTGCTAAAAATTAGCCAGAGAATTTCTACAACCAACTATTAAAGAGAGATACTTTTCCCCTATTTTGAATGTCTTGCAATGAAAACACCTTAAGAATCAGAGACATGAAAGTCTGTCACTGTAACATACTTTTAACTGGAGCTGCCTTCTGGACCAAGTGGTCCTAGTAGACATCTACAGAACTCTCCACCCCAAATCAATAGAATATACATTCTTCTCAGCACCACACAGCACTTATTCTAAAATTGACCACATAATTGGAAGTAAAACACCCCTCAGCAAATGTAAAGGAATGGAAATCATAACAGTCTCTCCGACCACAGTGCAATCAAATTAGATCTCAGGATTAAGAAACTCACTGAAAACCACACAACTACATGGAAACGGAACAACCTGCTCCTGAATGACTACTGGGTAAATAACAAAATGAAGGCAGAAATAAGTAAGTTCTTTGAAACCAATGAGAACAAAGACACAATGTACCAGAATCTCTGGGACTCAGCTAAAGCAGTTTTTAGAGGGAAATTTATAGCACTAAATGCCCACAGGAGAAAGTGGGAAAGACCTAAAATCGACACCCTAACATCACAAAAGAACTAGAGAAGCAAGAGCAAACAAATTCAGAAGCTAGCAGAAGACAAGAAATAACTAATATCAGACCTGAACTGAAGGAGACAGAGACATGAAAAACTCTTCAAAAAATCAATGAATCCAGGAGCTGGTTTTTTGAAAAGATTAACAAAACAGATAGACCACTAGCCAGACTAATAAAGAAGAAAAGAGAGAAGAATCAAATAGACATAAAAAAAATGGTAAAGGGTATATCACCACTGATCCCACAGAAATACAAACTACCGTCAGAGAATACTATAAACACCTCTATGCAAATAAACTAGAAAGTCTAGAAGAAATGGATAAACTCCTGGATACATACCCCTCCCAAGACTAAATCAGGAAGAAGTCGAATACCTGAACAGGCCAATAACAAGTTCTGATATTGAGGCAGTAATTAATAGCCTACCTCCCAAAAAAAGCCCAGGACCAGATGGATTCACAGCTGAATTCTACCAGAGTTACAAAGAGGAGCTGGTACCATTCCTTCTGAATCTATTCCAAACAATAGAAAAAAAGGGACTCCTCCCTAACTCATTTTATGAGGCCAGCATCATCCTGATACCAAAACTTGGCAGAGACACAACAAAAAAAGAGAATTTCAGCCCAGCACGGTGGCTCCTGCCTGTAATCCCAGCACTTTGGGAGGCTGAGGTGGGCGGATTGCCTGAGGTCAGGAGTTCAACACCAGCCTGGCTAACATGGTGAAACCCCGTCTCTACTAAAAATACAAAAAAATTAGCTGGGCATGGTGGCGCACACCTGTAGTCCAGGCTACCCAGAAGGCTGAGGCAGGAGAACAGCTTCAACTCGGGAGGTGGAGGTTGCAGTGAGCCGAGGTCACGCCACTGCACTCCAGCCTGCACAACAGAGCGAGACTTGGTCTCAAAAAAAAAGAAAAAAGAAAATTTCAGGCCAATATCCCTGACGAACATCAATGCGAAAATCCTCAATAAAATACTAGCAAACCGAATGCAGCAGCACATTAAAAAGCTTATCCACCACAATCAAGTTGGCTTCATCCCTGGGATGCAAGGCTGGTTCAACATACACAAATCAATAAATGTAATCCATCACATAAACAGAACCAATGACAAAAACCACATGATTATCTCAATAGATGTAGAAAAGGACTTCGATAAAATTCAACCCCTTCCTGCTAAAAACACTCAATAAACTAGGTATTGATGGAATATATCTCAAAATAACAAGAGCTATTTATGACAGACCCATAGCCAATATCATACTGAATGGGCAAAAGCTGGAAGCATTCCCATTGAAAACTGGCACAAGACAAGGATGCCCTCTGTCACCACTCCTATTCAACATAGTATTGGAAGCTCTGGCCAGGGCAATTAGGCAAGAGGAAGAAATAAAGGTATTTAAATAGGAAGAGAAGAAGTCAAATTATCTCTGTTTGCAGATGACATGATTGTATAGTTAGAAAACCCCCCATTGTCTCAGCCCCAAAACTCTGTAAGCTGATAAGCAACTTCAGCAAAGTCCCAGGATACAAAATCGATGTGCAAAAATCACAAGCATTCCTATACACCAATAATAGACAAATAGAGAGCCAAATCATGAGTGAACTCCCATTCACAATTGCTACAAGGAGAATAAAATACCTAGGAATCCAACTTACAAGGGATGTAAAGGACCTCTTCAAGAAGAACTACAAACCACTGCTCAAGGAAATAAGAGAGCACACAAACAAATGGAAAAATATTCCCTGCTCATGAATAGGAAGAATCAATATAGTGAAAATGGCCATACTGCCCAAAGTAATTTATAGATTCAATGCTATTCCCATCAAGCTACCACTGACTTTCTTCATAGAATTAGAAAAAACTACTTCAAATTTCATATGGAACCAAAAAAGAGCCTGTATAGTCAAGACAATCCTAAACAAAAAGAACAAAGCTGGAGGCATCATGCTACCTGGCTTCAAACTATACTACAAGTCTACAGTAACCAAAACAGCATGGTACTAGTACCAAATCAGATATATAGACCAATGGAACAGAACAGAGGCCTCAGAAATAACACCACACATCTATAGCTATCTGATCTTTGACAAACCTGACAAAAACAAGCAATGGGGAAATGATTCTCTATTTAATAAATAGTGTTGCGAAAACTGGCTAGCCATATGCAGAAAACTGAAACTGGACCCCTTCCTTACACCTTATACAAAAATTAACTCAAGATGGATTAAAGATGTAAACGTAAGACCTAAAACCATAAAAACCCTAGAAGAAAACCGAGGCAATACCATTAAGGACATAGGCATGGGCAAAGACTTCATGACTAAAACACCAAAAGCAATTGCAATAAAAGCCAAAATGGGATTTAATCAAACTAAAGAGCTTCTGCACAGCAAAAGAACCTATCATCAGAGTGAACAGGCAACCTACAGAATGGGAGAACATTTTAAAATCTGTCCATCTGACAAAGGGCTAATATCCAGAATCTACAAGGAACTTAAATAAATTTACAAGAAAAAAAAAACAACCCCATCAAAAAGTGGGCAAAGGATATGAACAGACACTTCTCAAAAGAACACCTTTATGCGGCCAACAAACATATGAAAAAAAGCTCATCATCATTGGTGATTAGAGAAATGCAAATCAAAACCACAATGAGACACCATCTCACGCCAGTTAGAATGGCGATCATTAAAAGGTCAGGAAACAACAGATGATGGAGAGGATGTGGAGAAATAGGAACGCTTTTACACTGTTGGTGGAAGTGTAAATTAGTTCAACCATTGTGGAATACAGTGTGGCAATTCCTCAAGGATCTAGAACTAGAAATACCATTTGACCCAGCAATCCCATTACTAGGTATATACCCAAAGGATTATAAATCATTCTACTATAAAGACACATGCACACATATGTTTATTGCAGCACTGTTCACAATAGCAAAAACTTGGTACCAACCCAAATGCCCATCAGTGATAGACTGGATAAAGAAAATGTGGCACATATGCACCATGGAATACTATGCAGCCATAAAAAAAGCATGAGTTCATGTCCTTTGCAGGGACATGGATGAAGCTGGAAACCATCATTCTCAGCAAACTAACACAGGAACAGAAAACCAAACACCACATGTTCTCACTTATAAGTGGGAGTTGAACAGTGAGAACATATGGGCAGGGCACAGGGAGGGGACTATCACACACCGGGGCCTGTTGGGGGGTGGGGGGCAAGGGGAAGGGATAGCATTAGGAGAAATACCTAAGGTAGATGACGGGTTGATGGGTGTAGCAAACCACCATGGCACATGTATACCTATGTAACAAACCTGCATGTTCTGCACATGTATCCCAGAACTTAAAGTATAATATTAATAATAATAAAAACAGGAGCCGCTTTCAAAACCTGTATCGTCATGGATAAATACATTTTGTCCCCCAACAATTGAATTTTTGAACTAAGTGTTTTGTCTGCAACATGTAAGATTTTAAAATTGTGTTTAGAATGAAATATACAAATGGATACGTTAAATGGCTATTGAGATTTGTTAGAAGGGGGGTATGTTATAATCACAAGTCACTGATGCATTTTTATGGGCAGAAATCTTCCCAGACTCTGGTAACACAAGGGAACACTCTCAACTACTCAACGTCTCGGTGAAGGCCTAAACATGACTTCAACCTTTGCTGTTTTATTTTGAGTGACATTCTAGGGCTGCTCTGTCTGGAGTCTCCACATGGGCAGAGAGACATAGATTATTTAGCAGAACAAAAAAAGGAGAAGATCAAAGCAATCAACTCTCATTTTTGAACTCTTAGAATTTGACACATACTTTCTAGCAAAATGTCCAGTAGAAACTATTCATACTGCACAGCTCCTGTCCTGGAGACTATAATTCTGCTACATAAACACAAGAGGCATAAACCGTCCTTGAGGACAAGACACAACACTGACAAGAACAACTGGATTTAAAACCACAAACCTTCAGTGAAGTTTCTACAGGCCCAACCATTTCTGCCTTATCGTGTGAAGATAAGGAATATTTGTCTATCAGCGGGACTAGTGACTTACTTAATTACCTATAGGTGGGTTTCTAAACTGTCGAACGTCAGGGGGCTCTGGTAGATTTTACCTGTCCTCAAACCTCACCTCCTGGTACAAAAGTCTTCCAGGTGTTGGAGATACTCACATAAATGAAACATGGTGGCTACATTTTCTTTAGAAAATTTCCTACACATGGGGAGGAGACAGCTTTTGCAAGTAAATATCTGTTGTACCACTTGAGATAAGGTAGGTGCCTCTTCGCAAGGCTCGCTGCATTTCTTTTGCCCCTCCTTTTTCCCATTTAGTAACCTTCCTTCCTAAATCTCCTCCATTGCACCCCCCCAACCCCCGTGGCCCCAGCCACGGCCCTCGTCTCAGCCCCAAGCAGCCCAACTTTCTTCCGTGTCTTTAGATATCTATAAGCACTGTATTTCCTACAAGTACGACTTAGGAATAAAAAAAAGTTTTTGGTGGGGAGAGGAAGCTAGCTACTGGTATTGTTTTTGTTAAAATAAGCAGGTATTACTTTTGTCCTTAACAATGGGGGTCTTTGTGGAAATTGAGAGGTTTCTGGATTCTACTGTAGAATGGAATTTTAAAACAACTGGCCACGTATCTCAAAAACAGGCCCACCTTGGTCAGACCACTGTGGTACCATGAAGCATTACTATCAAGATCTATCCATGAGAAACACTGGATAGCACGAAAAGAGCCTTCGCGTGCATTGTCTCATTTAATCTTCACACTCTGTGGTGGGAGAATTCACTATTCCTGTGACTCAGATGAAGAAACTGAGACTCAGAAGTTAGGTGGCTCACTTAAGGTCACAAGACTAGCAAGTTGGGGTGTAAGGCTGAGGAAGCCAGTCTTCTCACTTCGCAAACCAAAACAGCAATCCCCCAAGCGCGGAGAATGGGTTTCCTAAGATGGGATCTCGGATGAGCTGGTGGGAATGTTGCTCCTTCAACTCATCTAACAGCTGAACCTCTGTGTGCAGAGCTGTGTGTGATGTAAAGGTGGGAGAAGGCCTGGGAACCCTTAATCTAGTGCCACACTTACAATGGCCATACACACTATGCGTGGAATGAGTCGAAGGCCATAGAGGAGGCTAAAAGAAAACTCAAGTGCCCTCTCTGTTGCAGGAAAGGAAGCTCTTCTCTGCTGGAGAGCAGAGAACAGGCTTTGGGGAGGAGGGGGCCTTGGCTCACCCTCAGAGCATCCCTACCGGGTGAGCAGGAGGGGGCCCAGCAGAGGGCTGCAGAGAGACCAGGGGCTTGGCTGGCCGCGGCTTGGAGCACCCGTGTCGGAGAAGAGTGGGAGAGACAGCATGGCAGCATCCGGAGCCGCTCGCAGGGGGAGGGCTAACTCTCGGGGTATTGTGCTCATTGCTGGAATCTAAAATACAGCTTTAAATTATTAAGCGTCTTGGAATGCCACAAACATTTTAAAAACTGCCTGTCAGGATCAGAAAGACACTTGAAGGATCTTCAAACTGAGTGTCAGAAATGAGAGATGGGCCCGTGTGACCCAACTTCACTCCGCATACTTAACCATCCCTCGCCTCATTCCCTACTCTCCGGGCGGCGGGGCGGCTGCGTGGAAGCAGATCCCACAAACTTACAAAATAAGATCCCACGGTATATAGATTTGTGCATGCTGCCCACATATTAAAGGAAACACTCATCAGGGCCTTCTTTTAAAAATTGTGCTATAAAGGTATAAACCCTCCATTTTTTTTTTTGGAAGCCTTTTTGGGAAGGACATGAAGCACCCCCAGAACAGTCAGGGGACCATATTTTGTGCAACAGCAATTCTTCTAAATATAGACCATAGAGCAATCACAAGAAGGATGCAAGCGATGTCCTTGGATGCTCCGCAGAACAGGAGGATGACAAAGCTGCTAAGAGGGTTTTGCATTGAAATCCTGCGCTCCCCGATTTAGCAGAAGGCTTATTTCGCCCTCTCACATGAGTGGGCTGCCGGAGTGGCCCCAGAGCAGTTGCATTTTGAAGCCATTACTTTACCTTGTCCTAGTCCTGCCTTAACAGGTACATAAATTCCCTGGACTTGGGGAGTTTCATTTTTAACCCAGCAGAAGTAAGTTTACTTAACCAAACGTGGGCTCTCTCTAACATTTGCCAGATATCACCGGGCGATTTTTTTTAACCTCATCTTCACAGCAGAAACATAAAAGGCGAGATCTATAAACATTTCAGATTCATAATATACTACTTCCTCTAGGTTCTTCTAAGTGGAAACTTTGCTCTTGAGAAAAGGTGAGCATCTACTAAAAAGTAATTTTCTCTTGTCAGGAGGGCTCGCCATGCACTTGGTTGCAGCTGAAATGTGTTTTAATAAGGCCTTTCTCCTTTACAAGCCCGGCTTGCTTTTAGTTCCATCCCACAGCCTGAGCAGGGAGGAAGATGGCTCTCAGATATCCTTTTGTTACCCTAATCAGAGCCAGAAGGGCTGTATTGACTTTCAGGCCTTGGGGAGTTGTAGTTCTTTTGTATCCATCTCATCCAAGAAATCAAGTTTGATTAATTTGTCATCAAGTAAAACGTGTGATCTGCTCGGAGCCCGGCCTTTGAAGTGGAAGGATGAACTTGGGCTGCAAAGTCCAGGTCAGCGGGCGAAACAGCAGTGGTGCCGAATCGAACAAGTTCTTCTCCGCAGAGCTGCCTGTTCTCATTTAAAACATCTTTTTTCTTTTTTTTTTTAAACCTTTTCCACACACGTCTTCTGGGTTGGACTGCTCCCTGGCTGGGGCCCTCTTTTGTTTACTTTAATTTAAAAAATAGAGTTATCAGGGCTACAAAGCAAGTAAGACCCAGAAAACATTTAGCCACTCCACAAGGCATGGGGGTGGAAGGATTTGACCTCTCTACAATCTTAAAAGACCACTGTGAGTGAGAGAGCCACGAGGGCTGAACCCGGTGTCAGCACGTGCTTCTGGAATGAATAATCGGAAGGGGTCTCCAGCTGGGTCATGGGACAGATGCTCATTTATGATGCTCTGGGCTTGTTGACCTGCACTTAGTGGAGTTCCCAAACTGCTGAAAATGCATAAGGTAGTGGCCGCAAGATATTATTTAATCCTAGACTTAGTGTCATATTTCTTGTTCAGATGCTATATATGCTTTATAAAGAGTTACAGGGCTTTTAAAAATTACAGAGTAAGCAATCTTTATACATTCCACAGTATAAGGATCCCCATATTTCACATGCTGGTGCACAGGCCTTTTGATGACTGCTACCCCTCAGGTATATACATGAAGACACAGTGAATTATTGGCCAGGAGTCAAGGGCTTGTTTGGCTTTCAAAGATGTTTAAAAAGCACCAACAAATTATAAACAGCCTCTGTGGTTACTGAATTCAGTGTCTAAGCTATTATTATTATTGGAGAATTTGAAAACAATAATGAGATTAGTAAAAAAACACTCAGCTTTAGAAATCTAAGGGGTTTTTGACTTAAAAAAAAAAACACCGCTTATGACAACATTCAAACATTCCTTCATTCAAACATGCATTGCATTCATACTTACATGCCAGGTATGTGCAACTCAAAAATGTCTAAGATACACTTCCTGCATTTCTTATAGTCTAGTAGTTCAGTTTTAATATTTACCAATCCACTAAATTGTCAGCTCCATGAAATAGGAATGATGTCATGTCTTGTTTTTGTATCCCCAGTGCCTAACACATCATAGCTGTTCAAGAAATATTTGTTGAATTAATGAGTCAATATTGTATATGGTCTATATCTCAGCAATACTAAGGCCTATTAACTTTCCTTTAAGGTAGCCAGGATTAAAATAATAATATAATAATTATATATATATATATATATATAAAAAACATAATATGCACATCATACAGGGAACTCTTGGGAGCTTCTCACAATTGTCCCCTCAGTGACAAGTTTGAGTGTCTGCAATCCAAGATGGACAATAGGAGACTTATGCTTCAGTGAGAATTTGTTCAGCCTCTAAAACATTTTCATCAACTGTACTTTTTTTTTTTTTTTTTTTTTTTTTTTTTTTTTTGAGACAGCGCCTCGCTGTGTCGCCCAGGCTGGAGTGCAGTGGCATAATCCCAGCTGACTGCAACCTCTGCCTCCTAGGTTCAAGTGATTCTTATGCCTCGGCCTCCTGAGTAGCTGGAATTACAGTCGTGCACCACCATGCCCAACTAATTTTTGTATTTTTAGTATTGATGGGGTTTCACCATGTTGGCCGGGCTGGTCTTGAACTCCCAGCCTCAGGTGATCCACCCAGCTCAGCCTCCCAAAGTGCTGAGATTACAGGCATGAGCCACTGCGCCCGACCCTGAACTTCCTTCTTATGTTATGATGGCAATAATGCTCTTAGAAAATAATTGGAAAGTTCATTTCGGTTTTAAGTTGGTTTGTGGCAAATCAACGCAGAAGTCAAGTGCACAGAACTCAAGTAAATGGGGATGATTTGTTTTTTCCCAATATGGTACAATAAGGTAGAAAGATCATAAACAAGCAGTTAGAAGACTAATGGGTTTGGCCACAGTGTTGCCACCTCAACACTGTTTGTTGTAGGACCTCAAACAAGTTAAGCTGGGCCAATACCTGAGGAGGAAAGTGGGAAAGTTTCCTTGAAGCAGTTCATTCTCTTCACTGTATGGATGAATTGATACAGCCAACCAATGGAAGTACCATTTACTAACTCTTTACCACATCCAAAGGGCTGAGCTGGGTGCTTCATATGTTACTGGCTTTGAAGAAGCTCTACCTTGCCCTTCTAAAAAGGAGGAAACTGGGGCTCAGATATGTTGAGGGACTTGCTCAAGGCACAAGCGAATAGAATTTCAACCCAATAAAGCAAATTCCAAACTAAGCTCTTTGCATTGCGTCAGTTTGCTTTCTTTCTGATTGTTCATATTCAAGGCTAAATTGGGCATCCCGGACAAGTTCAAATCCAGAGAGAATCCTACGGTCTCCCTGTACTCTTAAGTGGCAAAACCACCAAACCTTTTACCAGAACACCTAACATTCTGGTCAAGAAACCAAATTCCATCTTCTCTGCTCTTCTCCTTTCCAATCCCTGGTAGAAGCATTTGCAAACACAAATAGTTAAAGGTCACCAGTAAGAAGTAGAAGAGGGATTTTGCATGATCCATCTGTGCTGGGATAATCCGGAATTGGCCGTGAATATGTTGAAGGGCCTACACGCTACATCAGTAATTCTTTTTCACCTGCCATCCACACCAGCAAATGTGTTATTCTTGTACATTCTTTGGAGAAGAGTGTTAGGCATGTGTGTCTGCAGATTGGGCACTCAATAAGTGAGACAGAAAAGCAAGCTTCAGATATAAATTTTTTAATTCCCAGTTAAAACCTTGAGAAAATAAGCAAGTAGATGGTGTGTCCTAGCTATAAACTGGTTTTAAGACAAATCTGCTTACATGGAGTTGTCGCAAAGAAGCAGGTTAGAAAACATGCATTTTTTCCACATAATATATGGAATGAAGAAAAGATCATTGATTTTAACAGCCAGGAGATTTGGGATATAGCTGCAACTTTGCCACCAACTACTTGTGTGACCTTGAACGAATTCTTTATACTTTCTGGGTCATTTCTTCATCTGTAAAATGAAAAGTTTGAACTAGGCCAGTGATTTTTCCATCTTTTTCTTAAAGCTGTAAAACCTTTTCTTTGTAAACAAACTCTCATAAGGAATCTCAAAATTCTTGCACATCATATCTTCAACTTCCACCAAGGCAGCCTCACTGAAGAACAGGCTGGAGCCACAGTACCTTAGATGTATCTTGGTTCTGCAACTGACTACTGGTGTGACCTTCGGCAAGTTATTTCACCTCTCTGAACCTCATGCATATGTTTCCACATACACAAACTGGGGACAACAATGACAGCATCTACCTCGTAGAGTGTTGGGGAGAACTAACCTCTATGCTTAGATGGCATGGAACTCCATACATGCTATTGTTATTGTGGATATTATAGCTATGGACAGAGCCACACACTACAGCAAAAGCACATTAAATTCTGCCCAGTTACTAACTTACGGGGGTATCAATTGCTTATAGTGTGTCATTTTGCACTCATCATTTAAAAGACTTACAAATAAGTTTTCTGAACCAACGTTCATAGTTAGAGAAGATTCTATATGTAAAATGATGTTTATCACCTGTGATAAAACCAGAGAGAAATGCAAGTGTCTCCTGTAGGTCAGGATAATGGTTATTTTAGTGGAGAGGGCGGGGACACAAGAAAGGGCTCCTGGGGTGACCGGCAAAGTTCTATTTCTTGGCCTGCTGTTATAGAGTGTTCTCCTTGTAACAATTCAGTAAGTTACACATTTGTTTTGTGTGGTTTTCTGTACCTTTATTTTACAATAAAAAGGTTTTATAAAACCTTTGTTTCATTTCATAAAACAAAATCAGTGAGTACATAAGTTATACTTACTGGCTTCCAAAATGTTAAAATTTGGCCATGTGATGCATGTCACTGTGTGTTATTGCTTTATTACACTTTTAAAAATACTTCTTAAAATGTATTTTACAATGAAAACTTTGCCATATCTGAAAGTGTTTCTGTGGAACCACCCTTCTAGGGAACACTCTTTGAAAGCTGATGGACCTCTGTTAAAATGTGGATTCCAAGATGTTTGTTTTCAAAAAAAAAAAAAAATTCTGAAAAACAGTCTTGTCCTTTATAACTTGACTATCTTCATGAAACACTAATTATTTTCGCCTTAAAAAGGGGACACGGCTTTAGTGTTTAACCTTCACTTCCATCATTCTTTTCCAGTAAGCATGAATCACAAAACTCAAATGTTTCCTAAGATCTGAAACCTTTCTCTAGGTCCATACTTTATATAATCCTATATGTGCAAAAAACAAATGATTTAAGTTTCCTGAGTTAAAGAGGAAATTGGGGAGTAAGAGCTTGTCCACATCTTTAATGCTTAGAGGAGCACACACATTTAGCCCTGCCATCTGTACAAATGGTACCAGAGTTCAACATGCTTACGATTATAAAGAATTTATGATTTATGCTTGCTAGTTAAATATGCTTATGATTTAAACTTATTTTCTCTGGCAAGAAATAAGCTAGTCAGCACCACAGCCTAGCCAGATGATGGGAAATAGAAACATATTTTAATGACATATATTTTAACTTGCTGGCCCTTGCAAATGCTACTGTTTTTTCTTTTCTTCATGTAACAAAAGAACCATCGTCTTGTAGGATTCCAGAGATTTTTTTATGCATTCATTAACGAAAAGCAGTTAAAAGTTCTTTAATAGCAGTTACTGCAGCGAAAGGATCACTGAGGAAGAAAAGGCATGCATGGTCTTGGCTTCCAAGAAAACTGTACGTTAGGTGACAAGGCAGAGGAACCTATGCTAATAGAACAACCGAGAACACATTCCAAAAAGTGCATCAATAACGACTAGATGATAAAGTACACACAGAATGCATGGTGGCAGTAATCAGATGCAAATATGAGAGGGAAACATTATGAAATTTTAAAGCCTTCCTAGTGTTATGCCCTGCTCTTCAACGATTTCATTAAATTCGCTGTGTTAAAATTAATTAGGCATCACACATAAGATCCTGAATTGCTTGTTTCTGCAGGGAGAGATAGGAAAGTCTGCAGATGAATGGAAGAAGAGTTTGTTGGTACGTTTTGTTTGTTTTTAAAGGAATATATTAGACAGCCAGAAAGGAGGAGTAAATTCACTTTACTTGCCGAAACAGGGGACAACTGAATCTCACCAGCAAATTGCAGCACAAAAGAGCAACGAGAGTAATTGACTTATTCTAAAACGGAACCATTCTTAATAGAGGGTAAAGAAAAAGAATTAAAATAAGCAAGATACGTTTTCTAAGAGACCCAGATGAGCCCTATTATCAAATGTGTTCAACAGGGAAGTGTAAAAATAACAACAGTTACTCCCCATCAGAATACCAGATAACCTACTAAGCGTCAGACTCCATGCTAGCAGCGTCACACATATTAGAGGTGTTGGACAGAAACTTTTAATATGTGTTGTAATAAACAAGGTTATTCTAATCACCACACACACACTGGAAATCTAATAATGATTAAGTGATGTGGTTGATTAAACTGCATGAAATTTTTAAACTGGAGGATGAAAATGACATTTCTATACTATAAGAACCTCAATACAGAATGAGAATTAGTAGCAACAGATTACAAAAGATCTCAAAATAAAGTTCTACAAACTAACACTTAAACAAACCCTGTGAACTACTACCCTGAAAAATGAAGAAGCACAAATTCATAGCAATATAGTCCCAAATTAGAAAATTGCAAAACAGTCTAAACATTTGCACTAAACACATAAATCACTACCTTTTCAAGTAAGAAAAGTATAGTCTAGTCTTACCTTATTGCTGCAAAAGGCTGGAATAAAAAATACTGACTTATAGAAGCAACTTTCACATGTATCTGAACATCAAACACAACACACAATATAAAATCAAAAATAACTAGAACAGAAAAGTTTTCAGTCTGACCTTAAAAATACTGAGCAAATCACTAGATGAAGCCAGATCAAAAGGAAGGGCATTACACCAGCTTGTAGCCAGATGTGAAAGGGTCCCCAACTGCACAGGGCACAGATGGTATAAAATAGGGGGGTGGGGGCACAAGCAGATCCAAAACATAATCAAACAAACCTGGTTCAACTTACACAGGTAAGACTATTCTAAAGAATTAATAACTTTCAATGTAAGATTTTAAATTTGGGACAAATAATGTTAGCTGTCTCAAGCTAAAGTATGCTCACTAGTTTAAATTTTGAAATTCTTTTATATAATCATTGAAATAAATTCTCCATGAGAATATATTCAAAGTCATGGTGACTTGTTTTAAATGAATACTGAAAAGACAGTGTTAAAACTTAAAAACAAAAACAATGGTTGTAAGCCACATTATCTGATTAAAGTCTGAGAACTTTGGGGAGAATTTAATGTATATCCACAGCATCAATACCTCTATTTGAAAACAGAAACACTGTAAGTTTATTAAAATGTTCAAAGTCCTTTAATATTCACCATTCATCATGTAATGTAAAGTGCTAAAATTAAAATTTTCACCCTAAGCCTTCATTAAAAGTTGCTTATTTGTATGTGAAAAGATGAGAGGTAGCATAAATTTTCTATAGAAAACTCAGAAACACTCAATTTACTTCATGTTCAGTTCTATAATGCAAAGTTGACACTTTAATAGATCCGAAATAAACATCTGTTCCAAAATAAAAGTTCAAGAAAAATTATCTGACTTCGATATTAGAAATTGAAATTTTCATAAAGAAATCTTGCATTTCACTAAATGAGTTGGTAACTTTTTTCAGGCAGCAACCAAAACAAAAACATTTAACACAGATTCCTTCAATCTCATGATTTCTGAAGGACACAAAAGCATAGAATATCCAAAAGCTATTGTATTGGATATTCTAATAAGGTACACTCAAGACACACATATACAATGGAACTCTGAATTTCAGTAGCAATGATGAACAAAAAAATACTGACTTTGCAATGACTTTTGCTTATCACTCACATCGTTTAGGGAATACTTATTTGATTTTTTTGACATTTCTATGTATTAAAGGATCTCTCCAGTTTAGTAACAGCTTTGCTAAGCTACGTTTTGAAAGTGACAATTAATTTTAGTGGAAATTCATTCCCAGGCTACTTTGATAGTCATTTGAACAGTTTTGTGTTATTTTACATGCAATTTTATAGCTCTATAACGTTCATTTAATCTTGTTCAATGATGCTGAACCCCAGATGCCATAAGACATTATAGAAAAGTAGTTACTGCACATATGGAGTAACTACTTTTCTGAACACTAATTTCTTTTCTCTTAACAGACTGAAATGGTATTTAGAAAAGAGAAAAACCACCACTCTGTATTAAAGGCTTTATATTATGGACTTCCAGGGATGGGCTCCCATGACTGCTGTGGTCCCAGCCATAAAGTTCTTATTCACGAGCATCATCTACTCAAGTCTCAGTATTAATGGTTTTCTCCAGCCTTCATAAGATTGTTGGTATCATACATTGGAATCAGGTCACCTGACAGAGCTTAGGGTTGGGAGGCTTTCCTCATTTGTCATATGTGGGAGTTGGATAAAATCAGGGGTTCTCCAAGAGCGATCTGAGCACCATCAGCATTAGAATCACTAGGGCACTTGTTAAAAATGCAGATATCCTCCCAGATTTCTAGTGCTGGGGTCAAGAAATGTGAATAATAAGTAAGTATCTGAGTGATTTTGCTGCATGCTAAGGGGTGAGAAGCACTGGTAGATGATCTCAAAGGTCCCTTCCACTCTAAAATTCTAAGAGTCCCTGAATGTTCTTTTAAAAATGGATTTATGTCAGCAACATGAAAGAATTTCTAGAACACAAGACAGTGACTTTTGGCCTGAGTGGGCCAATCTGAATAAGTATTCTTAGATTTGGATGTATATGTAAAAATAATAGAAAATAAAATCAGAACAGTATAATCTGACATGAAAGGAATCTATTTGGGATTTCTTCTTGGGAGAAGTAGAGGGGCAACCCACTCTAATTGCTATAAATGACCACAGGTTCAAAGGGACTTTTCGTTGCCTCTCAGTCCCTATTTTTTCCCACTTCACCCTCTGACTCCTCCCAGCTGTTGAGATCCAGGCTTTTTACAATCCTGAGTCACCAAACTCTTGAGTAATTTTAACTGATCTCAATATATTCTTTTCAGAAGTGAACAATTCACAGGCAGTCCTCTACTTTCACTTGTAATGAGTAAAATCTCACAGAAACATACAATGTAGGAAAGGTGAAGGGTAGAATTACATTTTTAAAAGGAAGTTCCATATTCAGAGTGCTAAAAAAAATCAACTCCTAATTTTCTCTCTTTGGGCATAATATTTGATGAAATATTTTCCATATCTCCTATATGTGAGTTTATTTTATTCTTTTTCTTCCCAATCACTTATAAGGCCAATGAGAGCCTAGGATTTGAGATATTTTAAGCACATCTGGAGCGATCTAGCTTTGACACATTTTTATTAGGTGCATGAAAACTAAATGTCTTATTGCCAAGTATCATTTTTACATTTTCTCGTCAAATTTTTATAAAAGCTTAAGAGCAAAATGCAGTAGGATCTTAAAAAAATTCTACAAACATAGCTGGATAAATTCTGCTGCTGAGCCAGAACTGTTGGCTGGAAGGCAGCGCCACCATGCGATCGTTCCAAAGGCTGTCAGTTTTGTCTAAAGACACAAGCTGGGATCCTCTAAGAGTTGGGCAACTAATAGCAAAAGCCCACTTCCTGTCATAGGAAGGTTATTTTCAAACTCCAAACCCCAGCACCACTTCTGTCTCTGAGAGGGAGAGGGAGAGAAGGAGGAGCTGTTTACAAACAGGATGTCTGATTACGGAGTTACACCAGTGGCCAGATTGGATCAGATATTTAATGCTTGATTAGGGTGGCTAGTGGGCAGGTTAAGGCTGGCAGATTCTGAGTACTCTCCATTTAAGGACGCCTGCACCGGGATACAACTTGCCGACTTCAATACCCAGCTCTGTGGCTGGCTAGCCCTACGTCTTTAACAAGGGACAAGTTCGGCCAAGGCTCAGTTGGTGGATTGTATATTATGTCTATAGGACCCAATTATACCTAAAGTTTCTAAGCTATAAAGTCTTGTGACTGTGTGCATGGTGTAGACATGGGCTAAACTCAAGAAGAGGGGTGAGAAAGAGTCATCTTAATCTTTAATTTAAAGTTTATTAGAGTTGTGGTTTCCTTTTCATGTTTTTGCTTCATAAAGTGTACCACGAATCTAACAGCAATATTATATTAAATGTACATGTTTGCAGTAAATTACACCCTCATTTAAGAAATGTGGAAAAGTTGGGGGGAAAGAGGAAATCTTAAAACTGAGTTAAGTCAGCAGTTCAGCAAGTGCTTACGAAAGACAGTCAAAATATAGGCAAGTTACTTTAAATGGGTATTATTTGTCCTTACTTTCCCAATGTAGGCAAGTGCCTGTGATATAACAATTTAGGGAATAATGGGAGAATAAAAAGCATATTAGTTTCAATCAGATTTCCTGGCATATATCACAGACCCTAAGGAATTACAAAGACAAAAAAGCAAGCTCTTTGGTTTCTGCATGGTTCTTTGCAGACTACAAGGCTGCCCCTGCAAGCACTTGGATGAAAAGACCGGGATTCTACTGGAAGTTTGCACTTTCCCCACATCAGCCAAGATGGGTAAACTGCCTTAACACAAAAGTCACATGCCCCACAAAATATTTCCTTCTATCTCAAAACAGTATTAGCTTCTTTAATCTAAGAAGGTAATGAGAGGTTTTTAAACTGATTAAATCAGCTTAGTTCATACAAAGTCTATTATGATTAAATATTCAATTAAAACAATTTCCAAACCAAAATCTGACAAAATCCTCTCTGAAAGTAATTTAGATGATAGGTTTTTAACATTAGGCAAATTAAATCCTTCTCACAGTTGGTATTTTCTAAAGGGTCAGAAACAGTTGCAGAAGTTCACTGGGGCAAAAATCTACTTTGTGTGCTAGTCATGTTCCATGATCATAAACAGAAACTAGAAATATTAACGTGAGCCTAACATTCCTATTTATTTTTACTTCAAAGGCTACATACATGCAAAAGTTGAACATGTCATCACAAATGCTTTAAATAAAGTTCAAAAAATAAAAATACTTCAAAATCCATTTACTTATGGAAATATACATGACAATTAGAGTGAAGTCAATTATATCCTTTTTTCAATCAGAAAAATACTTATATTATAAAAAAGTTTTAATTCATGTCCAGAATAATTTTTTAAAATTCTTGAGTCATAATTTTAAAACAAGTTGAATGTTAGTACAATGTTTGGAGAAACAAGTCCTAGGCTTTTGCTAACTGGATCTGATATTCTTATACTTCATTTTGAAATCACTAAGGAAACTCAAGTTTAGGGAAAAAAAAAAAGCATTTTAAGAAACCTATGATGGTAAGTATTATGGCTGAGGTGGTTACTAACCAAGTGAAGGGCACAACTTCCATAAGCAGATAATGTTCAAAGTCCTTTAAAATGTTTGAATGGAGAATTTTATCTACAAACACATAGTGGAGGCTTAAAGTAGCCTCAAGTCTCTCTGCTGGTCAACACTGCAAGAGGAATTAAAAATCCCAGGTACAGTGAAGTTCTGAGTGCACTGCCCTTTTGAAAAATGTGTGAGCAGGCACTAGCTCCCGTGACTCCAAAGCCGACTGGGGGAAGTGTCTTCAGATGGCCCTGCCCTTTATCAGGCAAAAGCAGCCAAAGGCTTGGCAAAGTCAGGAGAGGGAAATCAGCGTATTCTGAGCTAGTCTCCATGGTCCAGAGGATGACCATTTCCTTCTAATAAAACCAATATTTCTTTGGTAGCATAATACAATATATATCAACAATCCCAATAATTCATATGAGCAGAATGCACTCAAAGTTCAACTTTGTAAATGTTCACATGCATCCTGGAAATGAGATTTAACTTCCTGCACCTACATGAAAAAGGGTGGGGACAGCTGCCCAGGCTGGAGGACTACTGATGATGAGAAATGACACACAATGTGAGCAGGGAAAGGGATCATTTAACAAAATGTGTTAGCGTTGACTGGGAAAGAAAGCCCTAAGTGGGTAAACACACCCGAACTTTGCAAGGAGCTTAATTCAAACAATTAAAATATCACCTTCTCTTTAAATCAGAAACATCAGGTTTCCTATTGGAAGAAATCCCTTGCTACCACTCTAAGCCTTTGGTTGAAAAGGCCAAATTAAAATTCGGGTTAGAAATGTTTCCACAGAGGGTCCAAAGACTTAGAGCTTGATTTATATCCTGATACTGAATTGTGATTATAGTTTTCATGTTATGCAATCCAACTATTATTTTCCTTTTATCACTAAAAAAAAATGTTTTAAAAAGGAAAATTAAAGATTTGTGTGCTGTCAGTGCAAAATCACATTAAGTATGGTTTTTCTTTTCCCTGGGACAGAAAAAAACAATGCCCAGCTCACAGTACATAGGAATGTGTCACAACAAATAATCAGAAGACAGATTTCTCCAAGCTAGTGTTCCTCCTTGTACAGTGTGGTATTCAAAAGCAGTATTGTCACGATTATGCATATTCTCATTAACTAGGTACAGCAGAGCTACTTAAAGGGAAACCCATTTCTTGTGCCTCAATGAAAGGGGAGTGTAGAAAACAATAATTAGGCTGAATAAGGAATTTTAAACGGCAAAAAAAAAAAAAAATCAGAGTGAAAAGAACAGAGAATTTAGAAAGCCAAAAAAAAAGTTTTTTGTGTGTGTTTTTTTTAAAAAGCAAGTAATGTGACGGTAGAAACCCACACAATCTCCCCCCACCCCACCTGCCACTTTGAGTCCTAATTGCCCATCTGCAAGGACAGAAACCCACTCTAAATTGACCAGCATCGGCTTCGGCAAGTCTTCTCTTCACTCTCCCTCCTGTTAAGACCGTTTCCAAAACCAATCAGCAAAGGACAAAGAATTCTTTACAGAGTGCAATTAGTGTTTTCCACGTCCACCTTCAAAAGCATGATGCTCTTCATGGGCTAAAGGACAGAAAAAAAACAAAAAAGAAAAAAAGGAAAGAAAACTTTAAGCAAAGGATGGGCCAACCCTCCTCTAGGCATCTCATTCAGCTTCCCCAAATGTTGGCAAGAACTCAAACACCTTATTTATTTATTTATTTTTTTGCCAGTAACTGTTAGCTAAGGCGTGCATTTCCTGAGAAACGTAATAATGAAAATTAAAACAAGGAATAAACAAGCAATGGGCATGCTGCCTGTTTCTTCTTGCTGTGCCTGGGAGGATGAGTCATCTCAGCAAGCCGATGAAGAGAGTATGTTGGGCTGCAAGCAAATGCCGCAGGGGAAAATGTGCCCCACAAAATGCATTGCAGGGGGTGGGGAGAGGGGGTGCCTGACACAACCCAAGACAGAGCCGCTTACAAGCCTATCTTTAAAAATAAACTAAAAATAAAACAAAACAAAGAACCACACCAGGGTGACAGCAATTATATCTAGGTGCCCCTGCTCCCTACCTCTCAACACTCTCCATGGGAAATGAAGTTTCATAAAATTGCTAAGTTTTATTTTTCCAAATCAAGTTTCCCCCTGCCAATAGATATTCAGACCTATCATCTGGCTTGCAAAATTACTAATTTTAATTAGGAACTCTAGAATATATATATATTTTTTTGAGACGTAGTTTTGCTCTGTAGCCCAGGCTGGAGTGCAGTGGCGCAATCTTGGCTCACTGCAACCTCCTCTGCCTCCCAGGTTCAAGCAATTCTCCAGCCTCAGCCTCTGGAGTAGCTGGGATACAGGCGTGTGCCACCACGTCCAGCTAATTTTTGTATTTTTGGTAGAGATGGGGGTCTCACCATGTTGGACAGGCTGGTCTGGAACTCCTGACCTCAAGTGAACCACCTGCCTCAGCCTCCCAAAGTAGTGGGATTATAGGCGTGAGCCACCAGGCCCAGCCGGAACTCAGGAATTTAAAAAAATTATGCTACCAAAAATATTTTCAAACACTTAACGTTTTTTAAAGTAGAAGATGCCACAGGGAGACCTACGAAATACATAACATTTTCTCTAAGGCAAAAGACTGAGTGTGACAATCTACCTCCCGGATCTGGTTAACCATTACCAGGAAGCAACGTCTGATAAAGGTGGGGTGATTCAGGACTCTGGGTGCTTTGATCCCCAACACGCTACCCACACTTAGCAGTGAATGGGGTTCTAGGGAGGCAGATGGGCTGGCCCATTTCACCTTTTAAGCCCCTTCCAGTTCTGTTTTATTTTTCTTTTTGTTTTTTAAGACTGGGTCTTGCTGCTCTGTCACCCAGGTTGGAGTGCAGTAGCATCATGCTACTCGGCTCACTGCAGCCTTGACTTCCCGGGCTCAAGCAATCCTCTCACTTCAGTCTCCTGAGTAGCTGGGATTACAGGTATGTGCCACCATGCCCGGCTAACTTTTGTCTTTTTGATTGATAGAGACAGGGTTTTGCCATGTTGCCCAGGCTGGTCTCGAACTCCTGAGCTCAAGCGATCCACCGGCCTCAGACTCCCAAAGTGCTGGGATTACAGGCATGAACCACTGTACCTGGCCTCTGTGTTTTTCATAAGGACTAAATTCTTCAGACTATTGCTGAGGGGGTGGATGGAACGGGCCTATTTTCCCTTCAACATCATCTTGGACGTTCACCCCAACCTACTCCGCACTTGGATGAAACACTGGGAGAGATGCACTTTATACCTCCCAGGTCACCTCAGGTTGGCCATACTCCTAAGGGCAGCCTGAAATCTGAACTAATTTAATAGAACATTTCTCACAGCTTTAACTTTGCAAATATTTCACATTGAGTGTGTGTGTGTGTGTGTGTGTGTGTGTGTGTGTGTTTTCTTTTTAAGAAAGATATTTAGGGAAGATATCGAAGAAAACACGCTTTGATCTGCAAGGAAATTACACTATGCTTCAGGGTCAAGTAGAGGTACCATAGAACTACAGTGACCTGGTTTCCAAACAATAAATCCAGATATACAGACTATCCAAAGATCTGTGTTACTTCTAGGTGTGAGGGGCAGTCTGGGGTGGTCATAGTTGCAAACTACAATGTTGATGGGTTAAAGAGACAGTACAACAGAACATTCAGAATTGGGAGTGCCTAGTGAACAGGTGTACTGTCAGCCTTAGGTTACCTTGGGTAGAAAGGGATTATAGAATTGCTCTAAGCCTGGAGTTGGCAAACATTTTCAGGAAAAGGAAGAGAATAAATGTTTGTCTTTATGACCATATGGTCTCTGTCCCAATTATTATTATTTGTTGTTGTTGTTTTTGAGACAGAGTTTTTCTCTTGTCGCCCAGGCTAGAGTGCAATGGTGTGATCCTGGCTCACTGCAACCTTCACCTCCTGGGTTCAAACAATTCTCCTGCCTCAGTCTCCCAAGTAGCTGGGATTATAGGCACCTGCCACCACGCCTGGCTAGCTTTTTATATTTTTAGTAGAGATGGGGTTTCGCCATGTTGGCCAGGCTGGTCTTTAACTCCTGACCTCAGATGATCTGCCTGCCTCGGCCTCCCAAAGTGCTGGGATTACAGGCGTGAGCCACCATGCCTGACCTCTGTATCAATTACTAACTCTGCCATTGTAGCACTAAAGCAGCTATAGGTAATACGGAAACAAATGGGTATTGCTCTATGCTGATAAAACTTTATTTATGGACACTAAAATTTGATATTCATATAATTTTCATGTGTTACAAAATATACTTTTTCTTTTTTTTCCAACCACTGAAAAATGTAAAAAGCATTCTCAGCTATACCTATACAGAAACAGGAGAGCGGAGAGGGTAACACAGAGGGCAGATTTGGGCTCCAGCTTCCTGCTGTAAACAATTCTCACACCAGAAAAGACCTTTGTCACTCAGCTGTTCTGAAGAACTTAGCAGAATTGGCCAGGGTGGGGCTGGTCAGTGAGTGGAGTCTGTGCATTGTGAGTTTCTCAGTCAAATAATGTGTATCCATATCAAATGTAAGTTATCAATGGCCCAATGCCCATCTACCCGCTAGAGGCCATGACTGAATATGCTTGGGTTCTTTCTACATGGAAAATCTACAGTCACCTGGCTTATGTAAACTTGGGAATACTTACACTAGGATCCTATTAACCAAACCAGAGTAAAAGCATACATTGGCCATTTCTAACTTAGCTTACCCTGCTGT
The DNA here is from genome assembly GCF_000001405.40 of Homo sapiens. Taxonomy (NCBI): domain Eukaryota; kingdom Metazoa; phylum Chordata; class Mammalia; order Primates; family Hominidae; genus Homo; species Homo sapiens. The sequence continues at coordinate 71,687,904 of NC_000003.12, forward strand.
GAAAAAGATTTCAGCCCAAATCTTATTTTTCCAAATTACTTCTGCAGCAAGTAGTGTATACCCTGCTGAGTAAAGGACTGCCTGCTTTGTTTACAATAAAGAAAACTGCTTGTTTTTTTTCAAATTCAGATTTTTATTTGAACAATCTTTGAGTTTTTAAATGCCAATTTATGCCCTTAAAGTATGAATTTCTGCTGAGACCCTTCCTCAGTTCTGTATTACATACTTTGCAATGGCCCCTACCTTTAGGTATCTATTTGATTTAACTGGCCAAGTTGCAGTTTTCTTTCCCCTTGTTTGGCTTTTTTCTTTCCCAGAGCCATCACAACAGCTAAGCAGTGAATCATCCTGCCCTTTGACAATCTTATCTGATTATTGCCATGGCCCTAAAAACTAGCCTAACCACTTTGTGGCCTTATTATCTGATAAAACAGATATCTTATTATCTGTGTTGAGCCTGCTGCTAACCAATGTGCTACCTGGAAACTTAATCATAGAATTTTGCAGTAGAAGGAACCTTGGAGATCATCTAAGACCAACCTCCTCGATACTCAGATGAGAAAGGTAAAGGATGAGAAGTTGTGACTTGCTCAAGGTCACACTGGTGAAGTGGGACAAAAACCTAAAGTGCCTGACTTAACGACCCCAAATTGGTGTTCTCCTCTTTAGAGTCAAGTGTGGAGCTGGTTCAAAGGTGGGAAAAAATGTTTTAGCCCCATACATAAATGCCAATGAAATACACTTCCGTCTATAGAGTTTCTGCTAGTCTTGTGAAATAAAAAAAAAGAAAAAACCCTTGATGACCTTTCAATTAATATCTGGGGTGAAAATACAATTAAAGTATCCCTAAAGAATAAAAATGGCATCGGCAAATTGGCAACTTCTACACCACGCAGCCAATAAGCAACTTCTGCAGTGCCATTTTTCTGTCTCTTTTAAACTTCCATTTAAAATTCAGAATATCTGTAGTGCCAGATCAGTCCCACTGCTTAACATCTAGGTCATTTGGCCTGTAATTATATGATTCCTTACAGGGAGGCCTTAGTGTTAATATCCCCTGTCATACTAGGATACTCACAAAACAAAATTTGATTTTTTTATCCTTTTTTGGCAAAGAGTTGGAAAAAGTGAAGCAATAATGAAATGTATTTCAGCAATTCTAAGACGCACTCCTCACAACTACCACACATATATTTGAAGACCTCTGGTACCAATAATGTGTTACAGTTTAATTGGGAGCCTTTTATTTTTCTTTTTCAGTAATACTAAAATAATGGAGCATTTTATCTTCAAGAGCATCTTAGATTCAATGAAATACGGTAGTTAAAAAATGGGTTACTGACTCCAGGAACAGTTTTGGATATAGGAAATTTATCATACATGTGTAGGGCTGTCGTCCTTTTCTCTAACTCTGTTAAATGTGTGACCTGCAGTCTGATCTACCAAACATTGGTTTAATAGCACTAAGATGTTTTCATTATGAAAAAGAAGACTTTTTCAAAAGAGCACACAAAAGCAATGAAAATGAATCATGATGGAAAACAATGGGTCCACACACCTATTCATACTGTTAACATTTCACCACTAGGCGTGAATTCTCCCTCAGTTCTGTGTCATAGTCATTCATAATGAGGAAGTATTAGCATTTCAGTAGAACATTCAATCACGCCTGTGCTCAGAATGCATTTCTTCTGCAAATACAGATGTTATACATTATAAATTCCTGTTTATGAAGGGATGATTGAATATCTACCTGCCAGTTCATATAATGACATTTTTGTTATTGTTGTTTCCAATAGAATGTAATTTTTTTTCTGAGAATTACAAATTTGAGTTCAGGTACAAATTTTTGAAATAACAAATACAATATTTGTTATTTCGTTTTCTGATCCACGCAGTTAGGCAAGAATAAAATCTTACTTTAATTTCTGAGACTAAGCTTGTTTTTTTTAAAAAAAAAAAAAACTTAAATGTATTTTGTTGAATTATTTTCTGAATTATCAAATTTCAAGTAAATCTGCCTTCACCACATTTGCAAAACAGTTTCTATCTTTAAAAGTATGATAGAGTAAGCTAGAAAGTAATAACTGGAAATGAAGCACTTACGTTTATAAAATACTGCTTTAAAAGTTATGTGGGGCAGAAGTTCATAGATCTTTTCTAAAACAGTCGCTTCACCCACTAAAGAGGCATTTACATTCCAGACTTGGACGACGTCTTCTCGGTCCCGAACACTGACACTAACTCCTATTACTTCATCATCTGAGGGGAAGACAGGAAAAAAAAAAAATGAGTGATACTTCCAAGTCAGTCTGACTGTTTCTAAGAACTTAGTCTTTTTATCTGAAAATTAAGGATAAGATGGAAAAAAGAAGGTGGCACAAGATAACTTGTAAGAAATAATTGTTTCTATGGGGAATCACTGGAGGAAAGCAAGTCAGTGCACAAAAGCTGTAGCAGTCACATCACATTTATCCAGGGACTTAGATAAAGTGTTCCAGCCAAATGCATTTTCCAGATAAGTAATTTACCCTTTTTAACATTACCAAAGCTTTGTGACTATTTCTTACTCTGTTTTGATGAGACTTTTTCTAAAATGGGTTGCATAATTCCCTGCCCTCTGAAAGCCAAGTGAACTGAAATGAACTTTTCCTTGATGCCTTGCTGTCTTTGTTAAGGAGAGCAAGAATTTCTCCTGACTTCCTGCCAAGCTTTCAGGGACCTTGGAGTGGTCAGCGCTATCTGCCCCAACACGAACTGGAGCCAGATTGTGCATTCTCGACTGCTCATCTGCTTTCTGCGGTTTACTTGTCTGCTCCTTTCCTATGAATTCTTCCTGCTTCCTGATGCCTCCCTCTAGAAATCCCTTTTCTGGTTTTGGGCATTATATACTGTGGGCTAGAGAGCCAATGACCATCTGTTAGCACTGTGTATAGAGTGAGAGTAAAATCTTCTGAGTACAGCTCTGCTATTATAGGATCGTCCTTCAATGAATGAACGTTAAGGCATTTATCCACATTGATTAAGGTGGACTTTTTTTAAAAAACAAAATTCCAGATTAGGGCTGTCTTGCACATAGTTGAGAACGGCGGATGGATAGTAAGGTGTTATACTGTTTTATCCTCCCTTGCAGCCACTTTGTTTACATAAATTTGCAGCAAAATGAAAGGAATACAAACTTTTGATTCTTTGTTTCCTTGTTCATGACACGGTAATGCAATACGGTCAGCTCTCTGCACTTTCATAAACAGTATCAATATGTAATACGTGAGAGATAAGCATTATCAATATGAGAAAATTTTGCTTTAGTTAGTATGCTCTGCCTAATTTGCTGGCCTCTGTAAATCTAAATATTCATGCCATCAGTTTTTCCAATTGTCTTCTGGAAGTTAAAACATTTTAGTATTAGGATATAATTTAAATAAAAACATATCCAATTTACTAAAAGAAATAATCGGCAGTAAAGTAATTCCTTTCTTTTCTCCATTCTTCCCTTCTCTTTCTCCCCCTCTTCCTTCTTTTCTTTTTTAAAATGAATTTGATCCTGGCTAAATGTGTATGACTTGACACTAAAAATGAGTCCACTTACGTAAATACTCAAAACCAGGGAAAATTAGCCTATAATGTTAGAAGTTAGACTGGAGGTTACCTTTGAAGGAAGGAAAGAGAGCAGGGGGGATCCTGGCGGGCTGGTAATGTCCTGCTTGTACATCTGGATGCTAGTTACAGTTGTATGCTTACTTTGTGAATATTTATCAAACTGTACACATACGACGTGTGCAATCTTCTGTATATATGCCACATTTAAACAAAAGAGTCAAAAAACATAGTACCTTGTCATGGCCATTCACAGAAACTTATTATCCCATCAAGAAAATATTTTTAGATACAGATTCTTTACTTTCTAATTTACACTTTAAAAATAATCTTGCCAGAGATCAATGTTATATTTTATGTGAAAATAAAAATCATCAAATAAAAAGAGAAGCTTTGCAGTTTACCACTTTCAAGAGTGGCCATGAAGTCACATCACCCTTTTGGGGAAATGTTCATGTCTCCAGTCTTTTGGTGTTGCCCATTTCTACCCTATTGGTCAAAGCGTAATGTAACTGATGGATGCCGAACTGTCAATATTTCAGTTTGGTTTGGCTCTTGGTAACCAGGCACAGTTACTAGCACAGCACTTTCACAAATGGCTCGGTAAAAAAAGGCTGCAACTCTTATCCAAAGGCAGATCCATTAGCAAACATGTAATATTCATAAGTAGAATCAACCAGCAAAACCTTGATTATTTTAGGGTACTGGCAGCATAAGACATTAGAGCTGGGAGGAGCCACTGCTTAAAGATGAGGGGAGTGAGGCCCAGAGAGATTAGCTGACTTGCTTAAAGTGTCATAGCTAGTTAATGGAAGAGCTAATGGTTAATAGTTAATGGTGCGCTCATGTCCCAAGTCAACCACAAAACAATTGGTCTTCTTTACTCAATACTGGCTATTTATTACCACTTAGACTATTTTTCCCTGGTTCTGGAAACAGGAATAATTCATGCAGAAAACTTCCTCTCCCAGGGATTTATGTGTTTATAATTATACACAGGATACATTTTTGGCTGTATATTATCAAGTTGCTAAATACTCCCTATTAAAACAGAAGGAATCTGTACTTATAGACAAATTTATCTTAACCCAGGTCTTCTTTTTTTTTTTTTTTGAAACAGGGTCTCACTCTGTCACCCAGGCTGCAGTACAATAGCGATCATAGCTCATTGCAGCCTCTATCTCCTGGGCTCAAGTGATCCTCCCACTGCAGCCTCCAAAGTTGCTGGGGCTATGGGTGTATGTCACTATGCCCAGCTAATTTTTGCATTTTTTGTAGAGACAAGGGTCTCTCTATGTTACGTAGGGTGGTTTTGAACTCCTGGCCTCAAGTGATCCTCCCATCTTGGCCTCCCAAAGTGCTGGGATTACAGTCATGGGCCACCACGCCCAGCGCAGGTTTTATCTTAACTGAATAAAAAGTGGTGTAAGAAGTAAGCAAAACAGAAGTGGAATGATTGGAACTGCTCACGAGATGAATCTGAAATGTGCCCTGGGACTGGCAAGGCCTACAGGGCTCTCAAACACGGCCCCATCTAAGACATCTGAGGGACAACTGATCATTGTCATTAGCTAAAAAGAAAAACTTAACTGAAAGCTGGGGAAGAAAAATAGTATTCTAAATGTTACTTCAGGAGCATTCAGAAGGAACTACCCCAAAAGAAAACAAAACTTTAAACAAGCAATTAAATTCTGCTCTTTGAATGGGTTCATGATAAACACAAAGCAAAACAAAAGCTTTTTGTTTTGCTCTCAGAAATACCCTGGGTATTTGAAAATGGTCTCCAAAGAAAAGCCCTGAAGAACTTCTGTCTTATCCTCCACTGTGAGATCACAGGATATAATGGTGAGCATGTCCCCACCGACCACTCTAGTCCTCTTTGAGCAGGGGACAGAGAGAACAAGACGAAGGGGTTAGGGGTTGAGAGGGACAGAGAGGATTGTGCCTGTCCACCTAAAAACTTCACTAGACACTGAAGACACTTTCCCCTTCTGGAAGAACTGGAACAGATAATGGAACCTACTACCAATTGTGTTAAGGGCCCAGTTAATGTGAGATTTTTCTTTTCTGCCTATTTATTTTGGACAGATGGTTATAGATACTATTAAATTAAGCTAAGAGGGAAAAATATACATGAATATATACATACATATATAAATATGCACATATGTAAATATGCATATGGACACAGACACACATATCTAACACTGAACACGAAAATCACATGAAAAAAAATTGAGTAACTTTGTAGTTCCAAAATAAACAACTTCAAAACATGTAAAAAGTCAAACACGTGATAACAAGCTGCTGCAAGAAACAAGCACAAGCCAGGAGCACACGAGGCAGGGCCGGCCGGAGCCGTGGGCTGCTTTACCTGCTGCGGCACAGTCTGTGAACTGTTCCCCGATGGTTGCTAACAGCAACTCTTTCCAAACTGTGGACTGATATGGGAAAAGAATAAAAAACAAAACAAACAAAATACAGATATTTTTAGACAATTATCCTCAGGAGCTAAACAAATTATGTTTTCTTCAACTTCACATGCACTTTCTGTGCCCATACTTGGAGTCCACAGACACCTCCAAATCCTAGGTGCAAACACTTATCACCGTGGCATATTTTTCATTGGTTTACAAATAACTTTACACAGATACAAGTGAGCCAAAGTCTGGTAAAAGCTAATCTCTAGTGAAACCCCTGGTGAAATTCAGAAGAATTTCTAGGGAAAATGCATTCAAATGACTTAAAACTTTCAAATTTCTTTACCTCTCACTGATTCAAAACATAGAAGCTGATTATATGTGGATGCTATTAGTAAAATCTTTCTCTTCAAAATCCTTTCTCTGTTTTTCTTACTACTTATAAGGTACTTAAAAGGTTACACAAGTAAAGAACACTTAAGGACATTTCTTGTTTATTTAATACTAGAGTCTTGGGAAATTCCATTCATTTGAGGCAGACTGTTTATGGCAGGCGATAGAACTTTATGTAAGAATGTATGTAATTTCCCTGGAAGATTCAGTGCACGCTCCGGTCTGCCTCCTACCAATGAGAAATACTGGAGTTTCTTTCTCCTCATGATCTAATAGTGGCATCCAATAGACAGCTACATTATTTCCACACACATTACTTCCTTTGAAAAGTTCTTGGTCCCATTTATCCTCCTTCCTGTGATTCACAGGCTCCAAATTGCCCCCAAACTAGGTTTGAATCCTTAGAGGCTGCTTGCTATCTGCAAACCAGATGGGTTAACAACCTCTCTGGTCATCAGTTTCTTTAGGTGAACAAGGAAATAATAATAGGTCCGACCTTCCAGGGCTGTTGTGGGTATGAAATTAGTCAACAAGTGTGCACAAAGGGCTTAGTACAATGACTGCAATAAAAGGGCTTAACATTTAAGATCCATGCCATAAACAGCTGTGTGTTTGCTACATTCCAAGTGCTCAATACATATTAACTATAATAATAGTGTGTATTATTATGTCCTCACAAGCTTAAAGCAGTCTCGCTGAATCTTTAACCAAGGCCATGGCAGTTAGCCAGGGAACTGAAAAGTGACCTTTCATTCTTTTCTTTTCTCTTTCCTAGCCTGTCCCTTCTGGTCTATGAGTCTCCCACCTAGGAATCATTGCTTCCGTTTTCTATCTGTCCAGCTACACTCCTTCAAGCTGTTACTGATGAAGTTGAGAGCTGCGAGAGGCTGTTAGGGGAAGGGAGACTTCACCCTTCTGCTTTGAATTCAGACAGGATTGGCCCACAAGACTCCCACTGGTTGATGATGAAAAGTAGGCTAAACTGCCTGGGATGAGGGCATTTGCACGGATATGAAAGCGTTATTATTTGTGACCCAACGCAGCCAAGTGAGCTAACAAGGAGAGGACAAAACTGCCTTTCAGCCGCTTTTCAAGGAATGTTGACATCATGATTACTTCTACTAGAGTTCAAAGTCTAGTAAATAAAGTGAGTAAATAAAGAACATGGAAAGGCAAAAAGTGTTCATAGTGAAATTTTAAGAACACCTTATATTCCCTCATTCTCTTATATTCTCTGCTGCCCTGATATTTTTCATTATGTATGCCAAATAACAGTAAAATGTTGGAGCTTCAAATCTTGACTAATAGTTTGCACCTTTGACAAATAAATCTGGTCGTGTCTTTAGGTATGTTCTTATAGTAAAATGACTCCAGCTCAAGCATATGGGTCCCTGGAGACATTTCAGTTCTTTGAGCTTATCCACATGAAAGAAACCATGAAAAGGTAAAACTGCCTAGCACTTCCCCTTTGTCCATTTTCAAAGAAGCTTTTTAGTTTCCCAGGGCTTAAGATAACCGATTTTAATGTTCACGTTCATTTCCAGTCAATAAGATGAATTAGAGCTCACTCTGGGAAATCTGGGTTTCTGAGACTTGATCACTGCAAACCAGCATCCCACCAGGTCATCACACCATCCAGGTTCTCATCGGCCCCAGAGGGAGATGGAGCATAGTCTCTCATGAAACCCCAAAGGATAGTGAAATGCCAAGCCTCCCTATTCTCTGTGACATGGTCATTCTCAGAACTGCTTTTGTTCCCCCTGTAGAGGAGGGAAGAGCCTTTGGAAGGAAAGATCCTGCTTCCGACTTTGTAAAACCATATGCAACATGTTGGTCATGGCTGTCAAGGGAATGACCACCATAAAGACATTCACCCAGCTTTTCTGTGAAGTTCACAGGCATTTACTCCTGCAGACTGCATGATACAGTCACATACTACACCACGTCTATAGAGAAGCACAATTATACACTTTCAAGGTGACAGTGAAAGGCAGAAAATCATCAAGGTCAGAACAGAATTTCTCACCCCCAGCCTGTTTGGGGACTGCCAGGTAAATAGGCTATCTGCAAAGCACAAAATGCTGATGACAGGCAGTCAACAACTCCAAGCCTCGCCGGTTCTAGAAGAGGATCAGTAGGAACCTACCGTGCTGTCCTTGGGGACTTTCATCTTCCATACGCCACCCTTTGCATTACTCTCCTCTTCCCTGGGCCAAAGACCAACGTTTAAAGTTACACTCAGGACTAAGTGATTCTACATACAGTTAGATTAAATATCTCTTCATACATTTAGTTTAACAACAGATGACCTTAAAAACAAAATAGTTGGGCATTTTTCTTATTTTTGTTTTTTATTTTTTATTATGGACACATAATAGTTGCACATATTTATGGGGTATATCTGAATTTTTTTTTTTTTTTTGAGACAGGCTCGCTCTGTCACCCAGGCTGGAGTGCAGTGGCGCCATCTCGGCTCACTGCAAGCTCTGCCTCCCGGGTTCACGCCATTCTCCTGCCTCAGCCTCCCAAGTAGCTGGGACTACAGGCGTCCGCCACCAAGTCCAGCTAAATTTTTTTTGTATTTTTAGTAGAGACGGGATTTCACTGTGTTAGCCAGGATGGTCTCGATCTCCCCACCTCGTGATCCACCGGTCTCGGCCTCCCAAAGCGCTGGGATTACAGACGTAAGCCACCGCACCCGGCCCCTGAATTTTTTTTTAAAGACTAGGTCTCACTCTGTCACCCAGGCTGGAGTGCAGTGGCATGATCGTAGCTCACTGTAGCCTTGAACTCCTGGGCTCAAGCAATCCTCCGCCCTCAGCCTCCCAAGTAGCTGGGATTACAGGCATGTGCCATCACACCTGGCTAATTTTTAAAATTTTTTTTAGAGACAGGGTCTCTCTCACTTTGCTGCTCAGGCTCGTCTTGAACTCCTGGCCTCAAGCAATCCTCCCACCTTGGCCTCCCAAAGTGCTGGGATTACAGGCATGAGCCACCATATCTGGCCTACATGTGATATTTTGATACATGCATACAAGGCGTAATGACTGAATCAGGGTATTTAGGCTATCTATCCATCACCTCGAGTCTTTATCATTTCCTTGTGTTAGGAACATTCCAATTCTACTCTTTTAGTTATTTCAAAATACATAATAAATTATTGTTAACTATAGTTACCCTATTGTGCTCCAAGACCTCATTCATTCTAACTGTATTTTTGTACCCATTAACCATCCCCTGTTTATCACCCCCACAACTTCCCAGCTCTGGTAACCGTCATTCTACTCTCTTTCTCCATCAGTTCAGGGTTTTTTTTTTTTAAGCTCCTACATATGAATGACAGCATGAGGTATCTGTCTTTCCATGTCTGGTTTATCTCACTTAATATAATGTTCTCCAATTCCATCCATGTTGTTGCAAATGGCAGAATTTCATTTTTTTGATGGCTGAATACTATTCCATGGTGTACATGTACCATATTTTCTTTAGTCATTCATCTGTTGATGGACACTTAGGTTGATTCCATATCTTGGCTCTTGTGAATGGTACTACAATAAACATGGAAGTGTAGACATCTCTTCGACATACTGATTTCCTTTCTTTGGGGTATATATCTGGCAGTGGGACTGCTGAATCACTAACAGTCCTATGTTTAGTCTTTTGAGGAACCTCCATACTGTTCTCCATAGTTGGCTGTGCTAATCTACATTTCCACCAACAGTGTACGAGGGCTCCCCTTTCTCCACACCCTCACCAGCATTCATTATTACCTGTCTTTTGGATAAAAGCCATTTTAACGGGGGTAAGATTGGGCATTTTTCAATAAACACTTCCCCAGTCCTTTTGTTGGATACAGAAGCAGATTAATGAAAAAGGAAGGAGCTAGCGATTGAGAGGGAAGAAAGTGGCGTTCAGTGGCTACATGGGCAGGGAGGGTGAAAGGACTTGAGATCCTCATCCTCAAAGCACTAGTGCAGAGAGGCTCGCTTGACTCTGGGGATGGACAACAAATACAGCTGCCACAAGGGAAGGCCCTTACACTTCAATGTCATGGTCATGACACGATCTCATGTGATTCTCCTATCAACCATGTATCAAGGCCTCATAGGTGTCCCTGTGGGGGACATCTGCTGTGTGTCACTGCTTAACATCTGCTCCCTTTCTGGTAAGAGCATCCCAGTTTCCCTCTAAAGAGCCACTTGCCCCCTACTCTTCTGTGAGATCCACTCAGGCAGGGTTGACTCCACGTCCTAGCTTCAAAGATGGGCTTCTGACCCAGGCTAGCCTATGAGAGCACTGCCTCTTCCTAGTCTTTGTGATTGGCCAGAAATTGAAAGGGGACTCAAAGTGGGAGAATGAGACCCAGACCTGGGATTTTATCTGGGCTCGTGAGTACTGACAATGGTAAACTTACAGGGTGTAAGACCAGAGCATAGGAAGGCCACTTTGCCACCTCAGATGGGAGAAAATTAAACCAATGTAGAATGAAGCAGAGTAATTCTGGTGGGGACCATCAGATTCCTGATAACATGAGCTGGATCTGCCAGAAACTACCCCTACCAGTGAACTTCCCAGTCACAGGTTAAAAACATACTCAATTTTTTTGCTCAAATTACATTTCTGGTGGCTGGGCCTGGTGGCTCATGCCTGTAATCCCAGCACTTTAGAAGGCTGAGGTGGGCACATTGCTGGAGCCCAGGAGTTCAAGACCAGCCTGGGCAACAAGGTGAAATCCCATCTCTACCAAAAATAAAAAATAAAAAATTAGTTGGGGGTGGTGGCACACACCTGTAGTCTCAGCTACTTGGGAGGCTGAGGTGGGAGGTTCACCTGAGCCTGGGAGGTCAAGGCTGTGGTGAGCCGTGATGGTGCCACTGCACTCCAGCCTTGGTGACAGAGTGAGACCTGGTCTCAAAAAAAAGAAACCAACCAAACAACAACAACAACAAAAAAAACCCCACAAAAACAAATTAGGTTTCTGTCATTTGCTACTAATCAAGATGAGGTACATTTCCATTTTATTAATGAGTAAATAATGCAGAAAGACTGAATGACATGACATAAGGATTTATTACTAACTGGGACTCCAGCCTGGGCAAACTAACTTACTGTCCATCTTCATCACTACATCAAGCTATTAAAGAAGGAGGACACTTACCCCCAGACCCTGGGCCATGATTGGTATCACAGACTTTCTATGTTGTCCATGTGAGACACACATCTCAGGTGATATGATCTTTTATGAGGTTCACAAACATTTTCCTCCCACCTTGACCTTAAATTACACGTTAGACACTTACCAAAGTGGTCGCCTCTCTCCTCTCATTAAATGATAACTACATCTCAAAGGCAGGCTAGTCACAGGAGGGATATTATTGTATACACTCCAAAATATCTTTAAAAGAAAAACAAACACTTTGTTTAATATACCCAGTATTGATTTATTATGCTGCTAGATTATCAAATTAATGCATTAAAGAAAAATTTTGATTCTCATTGTTTTATCCATTCAAAATAGATTTTTCTCAGTATCCCTTCTAATTCTCTGTTAGAAAATGTAATATAACATTAAAGAATGCTGGGCTTGGTGGCTCATGCCTGTAAATCCCAGCACTTTGGGAGGCCAAGGCAAGCGGATCACTTGAGCCCAGGAGTTCGAGACCAACCTGGGCAATGTGGCAAGATCCCATCTCTACAAAAAATACAAAAAATTAGCTGGGCATGGTGACACATGCCTGTAGTCCCAACTACCTAGGAGGTTGAGGTGGGAGAATAGCTTGAGCCTGGGAAGTCGAGGCTGCAAGTGAGCCAAGATCGCACCACTGTATTCCAACTTGGGCAACAGGAGTGAGCCCCTGCCTCAAAAAAACAAAAACAAAAACACAACAACAAGAAGAAAAGATGTTCCTTGCTGATGCTGTGCCAAGCTCTATGTTTCAGGAAGCTATGGTTATTAAGCAAACATTCCTATGCAACATGTCTACACATAAAACTGGAAAGGACTTTGCTAATGATTTTTCTGGCAGCTAGGTAGTATCCACTAAAGCCTTTAGTACTGAATATATGTACTGAACATATTTATAACTATTTTGTTACAATAGACCCTGTCTTCAACATGGTGAAACCCCATCTCTACTAAAAATACAAAAAATTAGCCAGGCGTGGTGCCAGACGCCTATAATCCCAGCTACTCGGGAGGCTGAGGCAGGAGAATCACTTGAACCTGGGAGGCGGAGGTTGCAGTGAGCCGAGATCACACCATTGCACTCCAGCCTGGGCAACAGGGCGAGACTCCGTTTAAAAAAAAAAAAAAAAAAAAATCAACCCTGTCTTCTCTACAAGCCTGGAAGAAGTCTGTGATGCTATGGCTTGGGGGTTGTGGGATAAAGGAGATGGCAAAGAGAAACTACCTTAGACACTCTGTTTGCCCCTTATCTCTCCCCTGCTAAAGGAAGAGGGAACAGCTCAGGTGCTGAAACAACAAGCTGCGCAAGATACACAGTGTTACGGACTGCACATCTGTGTCTTCCCCAGATTCATATGCTGAAACCCTAACTACCAATAGGATGGTGTTAGCAGGTGGGGCCCCTGGGAGGTAATCAGGTCATGAGGGTATAGTCACCATGACAGGCTTGGTGTCCTTATGAGAAGATGAAGAGAGCCAGCCCTCCCTCTGGCATGTGAAGATACAAGGAGAGGATGGCCATGTACAAACGAGGAAGAGGGCCCTCACCTGGATGTGCCCATGCTCGCACCCTCATCTCAGACTTCCAGGCTCCAGAACTGTGAGAAACAAGGGTTTGTTGCATAAACTGCCCAGTCTATGGTATTTGGTTATAGTAGCCTGAACTAAGACACAGGGCAACTGGTAAACAGAAATAGATTATACAAAAATAATAAAGTAATAGTAAAACAGGAAGTCTTGGCAAAGACAAGTGATCTGGAGCTGTTCTCTGAGCCAGGCTTTGTTCTATGAACATTTACATGTTTATGCAATTTATCCTAATGACACTCTTAGGAGGAGGTATGATTATTATCCTTTTTTTAAAGATAAGGACACCAGGCAGAGACGAACCTGCCCAAGAGTCAGTTTGGTATGACCATTAGGATTAGGATGAGGATTGAGGCTATGAAGAAGAAAACACTTCCCCATTTGTTTGGAGTAGGTCATAGAATTACTACGCTATGAATGCTATCCACAGAATTACTGTGCAAATAAGAAATATTGTTCTGTGTGGTGAGGTAAGCATAGGGTGATCATCTGGGTCTCCCAGTAGGTCTGAGGAAAGCAGCACGAGTAAAATAGCAATTAGAAAAATCAATCCTAGGGCTCATGAACTGAGTCACATGGGTGGAATAGAATTTTAGCTATGTTGAATGATAATCCTGCTGGGTTGTTCAAGCCTGTTTTGTGTTAAAAAAATAATAAAGCTGAATTAACTGCAAAGGTGGCAATGATGAACTATAAGATCAAATTGAAGGCAAAAAACTACAGGATGACAGATGTATTAATTGAGAATCCACTTTGGCTCCCTTCTACTAAAATGGTGCTAGTGTAGTGAGGAGTTAAAAGCTACTGTATTAACAGTAGCTCCTCAAACACCCATCTGCCTCTATGGAGGTACCTATCCTGTAAATGCTTTGCTATTTGTACAAATAAGATTATTCCAATATTTCAGTTTCTGTGGTGTGAGGGTGGGTAGGCAGGGCTGGAATCTGAATCCAGGCAATTTGATTCCCAAACCTCTGTTCCTAACCACTCAGCTATTTTCTTCGAAGATACTACTATATGTTTTTGACACATCTTTCTCCAATCTTAGCAGCCAAGAATCAGGTCATGAAGCCACAGAAAGAGGGACACATGTTGAAGATATTTTCCCACCAGTAAAATGCCCATAATTCACAAGAGGCTGGTGGTTGTCAACTCCAGCCTGAGAACCTGGTTACGATGTGGCAATGACCTCTGTAGAATTTATGCACAAAATAACATTAAGAGGAAAACCCCTGCCTAAGGTAAAACTAAGAGGACTTTGGTGCTGGCAAACTTCAAGTCTCCTCAAAGGCATCACAAACCAAAGTTCCTGCCGTCATACCCCGGTCAAAGTTGTCAAATCTTGACTTTTTAACCTAGTACTTGAAGCACACTGAAAAAATACAACAAAACACTTCTTCCATTTCAAAGATCAGAAAAACACTAAAGATCATGCTAAGGATTGGAGCTTTAGAAGCTTCTCTTGAAAACAAAAACAGACAACTGATTCTGCTTGGCTTGGCAAATTTGACAGGAAGAGATTACAGCCCAAGAAGATCAGTGATAGACTTAACATATTCATTAAAGCACATATTTGTACGTTTTTGCTGAGCATAAAATAGGAGCAAAATATCCGGTCACACCATTAAAAAAAAAAAAAAAAGCCCTATTTGAAAAGCATGTGTCATTAAACTGGTCTGTTTCCCTGTTGCAAACCTCATCCAATAGGTAGAATATTTGTGAAGTATGTCTGCTGGTGAAATACCTACAGGAAGGAATCTAGCATTACTCAGCTCCTGAAAACCTCTTCCGCCCTTGCAGAAGTGAAAGGTCTGCTACAGCGGAAGCCTGGTAATTCAAGATTATACTCTCTGTAACACATCTTGAAAATGGAAACACTTAAATTTTACTATATATAAAATCTTGCAAATAGATTTCAGAAGCCTTTAGGCTTATAATTAATTCTGTTAGACTTGCAAATCCAAGATTGCAGTAAAAGTAAAACTAAGCACAATGTTTATTAATGATGGTTAAATGCTTTTTTTTCCCAAAAGCCTTGATAATCACCCTAAGACTAGGAGAGGTATAAAAGTTGAACATCATTCATTCAGTCAACATCTGTGACCATCAGTTGTGAACAGAGCACTGTGACGGGTCCTTGGGGAACTTAGCTGAATGCAGGAGGGTCAGCTTTTGACCACAGCAATCCACTCCTTGGGAGGTATGTTCTGGAACACCAATCTGGCACCTCTCCTGGAGAAACTGAGGCAGGGAAGACACCTGTCCAGTGGAGTCTAATACCTGGATTTAAGACCTAGGTTCTCAGCATAACCTTCACAGGTCATGTAGCCCGTGAAACCCACGTTGCCTCCTCTGTATAAGGATACAGCTATTTCACTGGAAAATGTAATGATGAAATGCAAAGTGAAAGCACTTGCTAGGCCTAAGGAAGGAAACAAAGTATGGTTAGACCCATTAATATGCTGACCACTTGATAAATCCCCAATCTGATAGCACTGATTGGAGCAACTATGCCCCACCTTACAGCCTTCTGCCAAATAGATAATCATTCATTACCAAGAAAACTGGCAAATTTCCTCCTCAATTTCCTACTGAAATGTTCTGAAGAAAAAGAATGCACTTGGAAATTCTTCAGAAGAAAAGATGTCATGTGTTGACAGACAACAAAGTGATATGTCTGTTTTGTAAAACAAACCAGAAACAAAACCACCCAGCAAACACACATCAAAAAAAAAAAAAAAAAAAAAAAATTCCAGGATTTATTCCAAGGTTGTGGCATGTGTAGCAAGAGAGTATTTCCAAAAAAACAAAACAAATATTTTTGCTCATTAGGTATTACTAGTTGCCTGGGGCTTCCCACCAACTGAATAAGTGGTATTTATGGGCAGGGCCAATAGGCATCTGAACCGAATAGGCAACTGAAGAGTTTAATGGATGTTTTTAACTCACAGCAGACACAAAGGCTGAAAGCAAAGTGCTTCTGATTTACAAGAGCTAGGTACTTGAGAGAGAAATGGGTTTTCCTTTGAATTCCAAAAAGGGCTTGGCTTAAAGAGAGAGCCCAAGTGTGGAGTTGTGATCATAGAGTAAACGAGATGTGACAGGATGTGAGGGTAATTTCCCACCACATAGAAAGTTAGTAAAAACCAACTCTGAGTTGGGGAGTTAAAAGCTTGGAGAGAGAGGACAGTGGGGTTAAAACCCTGAAAGGATGGGAGAGAGCCCCACCCAAAGATTGGGGATGCCTAGACCAGAGGAGTGTGGAACCTGCTTCCTGGTACAGCCCAAGAGGCTCCAAGACTCCCAGAAAAGGCCCTCATTCCTACAGCGCTGAGCAACATGGCGGTCAGGTCTGAGAACAGCTGTGAAGGCAGGAGGGGTTATTCTGGCCGGGAGGGCCTGCCACAACCTTATAGAGTTCCCCTCATTCTGGTGGGGTCGGGGGAAGGCAGCCAACATTTCCTAAATCTCCAATCTGGAGCTTGAAATTGCTAGAAAGCCTAAGGACAACAGGGCCTGGGGTCTGGATGTGTGTGTACATAGCAGGGGTCTTCATAACATGAGGTTACAGCAGGGCCAAAGGTGGTGGGCATGGCCCAAGGTCAGGAGGGGTCAGGGGTATTTCTGCATATGCCTGTTCATATGGAGAAGGAGAAGAGGGTGGTCATTTTTCCCAAAAGAGATTTAAATTAGAAGAGACCCAGTTTCACAGTTGAAGTGACTAAATTACTTTTAATTAACAAGGTCAAGTCTCACCCCACCCAATACACAGACACAACAGCCTCCACTGAGAATGTGGAGGAATACAAGCAATTTAACTTCAGTTATATTTCTTCATAACTGGATTGTAGCTATAGATGTTGATCCTATTATGCATATAATGAATAAACTAAATGATGGATAAAGAATCTTGTTATACTGGATGCAAAGTCTGTGCTAGACAGAACTATGAAGTGGACCTGGCTGCAGGTCCTTCTCTTTCTCTTTTCAGTGTTGGCTTTCCTCCTCTCTCCCCTCAGGCCCCTCCCTTCAGCCAAGTGGTTCACTCCAGGTCATTCTATTGCAGGACACCACACACCATGGGCTGTCTTGCTGTGTCCAGGGCAGCAAGTACTTGGAATCAATCTTTCCACCATCCTCCATGATCAATACTGACCTAGAAAACCTCTTCTTCTGAAGGAAGAGCCCTCATTTCCCAAGGGTTTGGAAAGCAATCTGCTGCCCTAACTTAACTGCACAACTCCAGTCAGGCGGCTTGACCTGCGGATATGAAGTCTTGATATTATCGACAGCACACAGGATAGGTTTGGCATATGCAGGGGAAACATTTTCTTAATTTCAATAGGTTATATATACTCTTTAGGAAGACTTTCTGCTTATGATAAACGATGCTGAATTTCCACTTATAGAGGAAATATGGTTTCTGTTTTATGCAAATTTAAATAAGAAGTCAAGTTATAAGAAATACTGGGTAGAATGTACCACAAGTGAGATAGGTGTGGCAAAATCTTTAAGGCGATACACCAAATAACTGATGTTCGAGACAGAGTGCTGTACAGGAATGAGTTTTCAGGGGTGGAATTTTTAGTCTTGTAGCAGATAAGGCTGAAAGAAACTGGAGAAGGGAGACTTCTCTTGCAAATCACAAATGGCAGGTAGCTCTTCATTCTCCAACAGGTAAAACAGGGCTTGTTCAAAAGCCGTGTTCTATTTTTTTTTCTCCCAGAGATGTGGGTCTTGCCATGTTTCCCAGGCTGAACTCGAACTCTTGGGCTCACGCAATCCTCCCACCTCAGCTTCCTGAGTAGCTGAGATCACAGGCATGAGCCAATGCACCCGGCTAAAAGCCATTTTCTATTCTGCACTGCAACCACTGAGGATGCAAAATCACAAGAGAAATGTGGAAAATTTGGACAGGTTCACAAAGGAGTAAGAGAATCAATAAGCATCTGGAAAATACGCCTAGATGTAAAATGGAATTTTCCAAGAAAGTTAGGAAAGTAGAAATGAATTTAACTCCAGGCAGAGAGAATTATTGTTAGGTGTGATGAAAGTGTCCTCAGCAGGGGTTCCCAGGTCCTTTGGAGGCTGAGTCTCCTCCACTCCTCAATCACGGGGAGTAAAAGAAAGAGAATTGGACTGGGAGGGAATTCTAGTCCTAGAGGCAAGGCATGACTGGCTCTTTCCAATCATGGAATGTTTGGGCCTCTTACCTCCAGCCTCAGTCTCCTCAACTAATAGACGGGGTAACGATTCCTCTCCCAAACCATCTACTTTGATTTGCTAAAGGGCCTCAAAGTATAAAAAGACTCATATGTCTTTAATAAGACAATCATTAATATCACATGATTTTTACCTTTCATCTAAACACATATGGGAGGAAAACACAGACATAATTGGAGAAGCAGTTTTTTTTAGTGCTAATGGAGTGAGAGTAAAAGGATCAACGTACAGGCCAAAGTGGTTCATGCCTGTAATCTGAGCACTTTGGGAGGTCAAGGAGGGAACACAGCTTGAGGTCAGAAATTCGAGACTAGCCTGAGCAACATAGCAAGACCCCATCTCTACAAAAAAAATAAAATAATTTAGCTGGGTGTGGTAGCACATGGCTATAGTCCCAGATACTTGGGAGGAGGCTGGGGTGGGAGGATCTCTTGAGACCAGGAGTTTGAGGCTGCAGTGAGCTATAATAGCACCACTGCACTCCTGCCTGGGTGACAAAGTGAGACCCTGTTTCTGAAGAAAAAAAAATTAATATACAATCCTAGAATAAAATAAAAAGACAGTGGGACAAAAGCATATCCTCAAATTACTTACAAGATAGTATCCTGGCCAGTTCTTAAATACTAAGGACAATTTATCAGCTGTTATGGACACTCGCAGGCTGAAAACTCAAAAGTTATTGATAAGTTAAATATCTTTACATACACCTCTGTGTTAGTGGTGGTGCGATCCAGAGTATAATCACTTGAAATAAATAATCTAGAAGCAGTGGTATATAGTTTCCTGATATAAAACATGACTGAAGAAAGCACGAAAAGATATCTCAGTAGAAGTAGACAAATTATGGCAGATGATTGGGTACTTACTATGGCTTTTTACCTCATTGTATCATTTAAGTCTCATAACAGCATGATAAAATTACCATCACAATTATTTCCATCTTACAGATGAGTAAACTGAGATTCAGACAGGTTATATAACTTGTCCAAGCTAGTAAGTGTCACATATGGGACATCAACCAAGGCATTGTGACAACCCTAGCCCACACCCTAGCCAGGTAACTGATGGAGCTGAGGGGTAGAATCCAGTAACACTTAAGTAAAAGCTGGCCACATCTGAGGGCTAAGTGCCAAGCATTACTAAGAACTATATACCATCTCATCTAACTTTCACTCTACCTTAGCGAGTAGGCACTATTACTACCTCAGTTTTACAGATGAGAAACTGAGGGAGCAGAGACAGCTGAGACAGAAAGGAATTTCCTGATCCTTAGGGCAGTGTTTATCAGCCATTTTTTTCACTGTTCCCCCCTTAGGCCCTAAAAGAACCCTTTTTCCTAATCACCTATGACGAAATTTTAATACCACAGAGACACCGTATGTTTATGGACTGCATGGACATCTATGCTTTGTACGTAAAAAGAATGAGATTTGTTCACTGATCTACTTCCCCTGCAAGAATCAACTTTGGCCCCCACTGAGAATGTGCAGCCCACAGAATTCTTACGGGAGCAGTCTGTTGTGACTCAGGAAAGTGGTTCATTTATTAACTTCTAATTCATTCTTTTTTTTTTTTTTTTTGAGAGTGTGTGTGTGAGAGAGACAGAGTCTCACTCTGTCACCCAGGCTGGAGGGCAGTGCAATCTCAGCTCACTGCAACCTCCACTTCCCGGGTTAAAGCAATTCTCCTGCCTCAGCCTCCCCAGTAAGTGCCCACCACCACTCCAGGCTAATTTTTGTATTTTTAGTAGAGACAGAGTTTCACCTTGTTGCTCAGGCTCATCTTGAACTCCTGACCTCAAGTGATCCGCCCACCTTGGCCTCCCAAAGTGCGGGGATTACAGGCAAGAGTCACCATGCTCGGCCTCATTCATTCATTCAATCCTTCAATATTCATTGAGTGCAAAGGACCAGACACAATAATATAGTACTGTATTATTCCATCAATATAAAATTCAGTAACAGAATGAATGTAATGTGGTAGAAATGAGAATAGTGGTTGCTTTGGGGGATGGAGGCTGGCAGGGGCACGAAGACACTTTCTGGTGTAAGGGAAACTTTTTTCTTCTTGATCTGCGTGATGGTTGTATGTGCGTACCCTTGTCAAAAGTTATACTTAAGAAATCTACATTTACTGTATACAAATTATATCCCAATAAAGTAGTTTTAAAGG
The DNA here is from genome assembly GCF_000001405.40 of Homo sapiens. NCBI lineage: Eukaryota > Metazoa > Chordata > Mammalia > Primates > Hominidae > Homo > Homo sapiens. The sequence continues at coordinate 71,708,481 of NC_000003.12, forward strand.
AAGTATTTCCTAGTATGTGCCTGCCTGGGTGCTTTAAATTGCTCCCTGAAGACCCTAAAATGCTGTGGATTCAGGGGCTCTACCAAATACCCTGGGTTATCTCGTGGGGTCAGGAAAACCAAGCCAATCCCCTCATCTGACTAGTGTCAGCCCCAGAACCCCTTGCATAACCCTGATGATCTAATGTCATGTGGGTTGGGAAAAGTCTAATGAGACTCTGAGAGCCTTTACATGAGGACAGGCCTTCAAATCAAGTGCTCTGAGGATTAAAAAATGGCCGCTGGGAAATGGTAACAGAAGTCCCTAAATCCACAGAAGAGACGTGCAGGGAGGCCTCCCAGACTCTTAGCGCGTTGATTTCTCTGGACAGTGGTGCTGCCTTGAGGTGCTGTCTGTACTTGGCACTGCACAGCAGCACTGCTGCTCTGCTTCCCACAAGCTTATGTCATTTCCCCAACGACACCAGAAATGGCCCACAGTCAGGACTGTGTCTTCACACCCAGCTCACTGCCCTTGGTAGCCACACGCAGCACCTTACAATCAGATTCCTGGGACTTCATAATTATGCATGCCACATTTTTTGAACCAGATACTGGGACCATAGCCTAAAAAAAAAATGGATCTCTGTGCTACTTCTGCATGTAAGAGGCTGCCTAAGAGACACAATCTAGATGCAGATCTATTGGAATTTCTAAGACATTAAAAGATTTAGGGATACAACAGGAAAGCTATTTAAAATCTCTCCCTTCTAGAAAATTTATGGACATATGGTCAATGCAACTCTGAAGCAGCCACAATAGCCTTATTCTCTACCTGCACCAGCCCGCTAAACTAGAAGACAGGAGAAACTGGGTAGAACCTGCTATTGAAGAAAATAGAAATGGGATCAATTAAATCAATCAGGTTTTTTCTTTTTTGAGACAAGGTCTTGCTCTGTTGCCCAGGCTGGAGTGCAGTAGTGTGAACACAGCTCACTGCAGTGTTGAAATCCTGGGCTCAAGTGATCATTGTACCTCAGCCTCCCAAGTAGCTGGGACCACAGATGTGTGCCACCATGCCCAGTTAATTTTTAAGGAAACTGTTTGTAGAGATGGGGGTCTATGTTGCCCAGGCTGCTCTGGAACTCCTAGGCTCAAGCAATCCTCCCACCTTAGCCTCCCAAACTCCTGGGATTTCAGGTGTGAGCCACTACGCCTGGCCAGTTGTGTTTTTTCAGTTGTGTTTTTCCAACTCCACCATCAGAGTTAGATAGAGAAAGAACTAATAGAACTAAGAGCCTGCATTCATTGAGAATCTGCTATGTATTAGGTATTCCACTAAGCATGGCATAAACATAATCTTATTCAATCTTCACAGTAACCCATGGAGGTAGGTGCTACCATTAGACCAGTTTTACAGAGATGAAAGGGGTTGATCCATGCCTAATTTAGGATGATGGAATTGCGAAGTGAAGTAGGAAACCAAGCAGAGACTCTCCACCTTCACGCTCCACACTATCCTGCTCTCCCCATGTGACCTCTAAACCTTTAGTAACCCTGCAGGGAAGGCGCCACTGCCTCTCACTGATGGGGAACAGAGGCACAGAGAGGCACTGGCAGAGCTGGAGTTTGAACAGGAACACAGATAAAGATCTTGAAAAACCTTCGCTCTTAACCACACTGCAGTCTGCCTTTTGTGCGGGTCTATGAAAGGTTTAGGTAGTAGATAAAGGTTCAGCAGGTGGCCAAGAGAAGAGCAGGCCACCTGACTGTGTGCTCAGCTGGCCCTGGAGCAGACTTGGTCAAGGGCAGCTGTGCCAACCTGGACCCGAGAGCCAACTCCAGAGCAGAACCCTGGACAGGGGCTGCCAGCACAGCAACAGATTTCAAGTTGGGTGATTAGGTGTCTGACGTGTGCCGTGTTAATCCAGTTAGTCCCTCTCTTGATCTTACCTGTACTGTCTGTACTGTGTAGATTTTCTTCAGATTTGATGCGCACTCAGCTGCTGTGGCACCAGGGAGGGATCTAGGCAAGCAGGAGCAGGACAAAGACACAAACAAAACAAGCAGTCAGTGCTCACAAAACAGCCCACAGTAGAATCTTTCACGTCTTCCTAAAAATCAGGTCTCAAACCACAGGACTGGACATTTTGGGGATGCTAGTTGGAATTTAAAATGTGAAATCCCTACTTTGTGAAGTCATGTGTTGGCTTCTTCTAAAAATCAGCAGATTTATTCTTGGAAACTTAACAGAAAAAAAAAGATAAGTATGTATTAATAAGAAAGGGAATGGACACCTGAAAATCACATTTTAAAACATACCAAAATAACCTACTGATAACCAAGCATTTTCTCCAGGACTTTAGATGAGAAACTGCCTATTGTACAGACGACAACGAAAATGCAGTGTCCTGGCCTGGTGATATGTTTGCAAACTTGTTAGTAACTGGGTGGCAAATATTCAAGCACTCTTGAGAAACAGAGTGACCATTTGCCTACTTTAAAAAAAGTCAACTCTGGTTTCATATGAATTTGCTGTTACCAAAACACTTGCTTTTAGAAAATACTTTCAGTTCTTTTCTCTGGCTGATTTAATTAGCTCAGCTGAACTTTATGGTCAGACTGCATTAATCTTTAGTTTGCTATGTGTTCCACTAGATGGCAACATACTACAGGTTTAGTCACCAGAAACACTGCAATTTAACTGGTTTTACCAAGGACCATTGCCTGGGATGGTAAAATGACCTGTCCCATCAAACCTTAGGAGTTCAAGACTCTCAATTCCTGCCACCTTTTCTTTCTCTCTATATTGAATTAGCAGTTCATGCTCAAAAATGTTGGGGTACAATTATATCAGCCTAAGATTATGTTTCATCACACAAATAATGCATGAAAGCCCACATCTGGTTGTTGGTGAGAAATAAGAAGCTTGCTGAGAGGAGAAAGCACCTCAATCACAGCTGACCCACTAGGATCTGGAATCTATAAAAGCAATGCTCTTTACCAGAAACTGATCCCAGAGACGTTGCCCCCAAGGACTCTCAGTATGTTGTACTTCCTGGACAGTTGCTAAAACACTGCACACTAGAGACAAAACTCACATGAGCTCAGAGGTGGAGGCAATGCCAAAGGCCCATGCCCAGGTTGGGGTAAGCACAGCAAGGACTACAGTCCTTGAACTATGAACCAGTGAATGCTCCCTAAGAGTTGAACCTGAATATCAAAAATGCATTTCTGGCCAGCCGCTGTGGCTCATGACTGTAATCCAATTACTCTGGGAGGCTGAGGCAGGTAAATCACTTGAGGACAGGAGTTTGAGACCAGCATGGCCAACATGGTGAAAACCCACCTCTACTAAAATTATTAATACAAAAATAAGCCGGGAGTGGTGGTGCTCACCTGCAGTCCCAGCTACTGGGGAGGCTGAGACACGAGAATCGCTTGAACACAGGAGATGGAGGTTGCAGTGCACCGAGGTCGGGCCACTGTACTCCAGCCCGGGTGACAGAGCGAGACTCTGTCTGAAAAAAACAAAAAATGCAATTCTGAATACCGCTTCCTTATCAGAAGGTCACTAAAGAAGCACAATCACGGACTAGTTTGGGGGAAAACACGGGACTTCCACTGGGCAGGTGCAGTCCAATAAAGAAATCTACTGTAAAGCACTGAATTTACAACTCGATTTGCTGGACATTGTTTTAGAAAAGCAAATCCACATTAAACACCATGACTGCATTTTGTTGTTGTCAGACTTTAAGCCTAAAATAACTATGTCAAAGAGTGTGGCAAAGAATGAAGTACTCAATCAATACCTTGCTAATGACAGTTCATACCTGGGCCCCTGATGAAATACATCAGTCCACGTGGATTGACTGGGCTATAGTTACTAAAGTATCAACTTGGATAGATACTAAGTTGGCTATTTAATGTAGGTTTTATATCTTTTTCAGCTTTAATTATTTTTTAAATCAGGGGAAAAAAACTTCAAAACTCTTAAACTTTTTCTGAATAGACTGTTAGCATGAAAAATCTATCACTTTAACATTAAAATATGACTTTTCTTCCTTTATCTGACTGCTCTACTACATATGCCCAGTAAATACATTCCTGGATCCCCCAAAGCACATAGGAGAGTATATACAGGGCTTCTTCCCTATGTGTGTGTGTTGCGGGGGGTGGGCGGGGGAGATTCTAGGGCTCAAAGGGAGGAAATATACTTTGCATTCTTTTTTCATTCAAAAAACTGTATTTCAAAAAAATTTTTTTAACTAATTTTTAAAGTTCACTTCAATTTGAAAGGTTTATAATGAGTATAATGCAAATGTTTGCTTCATACAGTATTATGTCAATTTTAAGCAAACACAATGTGAGGATAATACCATTTAACCTAGACCAAAAAAAAAAAAAAAAAAAGCACTGATGAAAATTTGCTATATATGGTTCTTTTTAAATGCCTCCGTCTCCACAGTCTGGTCTTTACTTGTATTCCAGTGCAGGAGATAATTGTACCAAGTTACATAGGTCCCCTCAGTTTCATTATCCAGGTTTTTTGAAGAAATCACGTTTCCAGAGGCCCTAAAAGGACTCTAGAATAAAATAACAACTAGGAAGTACTTATTAGTGTAACACACCAGTGTCAGTGACTAACATGTAAGTGCCGAATTCTTGCTAGTGTGCTGAGCCTCTGACCTCCGTTGAAGCACTGAATCCCTGCAATCCTATTTATGCAGCTGTCAATATTATTTATCACCATTACAGGTGAGCAGGCTGGTACTTAGAGAGGTTTGGGAACTTGCCCATAGCCACAAATATGTGATTTGAATACAGGTGACCCATTTGTGATTTCCTGCTCTTCATCCCTCACTGCTGAGCTGCCCATTCAAGCCATATACACACTTGCCTTTTTTAAGTGGAGTTTTACAGTTGATTCTCTTGGTATGTTTTCATCAAGTCCACCATTTTTGCTGAATCCCAATTTTTTTGTTTGTTTGTTTTTGGGAAAAGGTCTCACTCTGTTGCCCAGGCTGGAGTGCAGTGGCATAATCATAGCTCACTGTATTCTCGACCTCCTGGGCTCAAGCAATCCTTCTGCCTCAGCCTTCCAAGTAGCTGGGACTACAGGTGCATGTCACCACAGCCAGCTAATTTTTGTATTTTTTGTAGAGGGAGGGTCTTACTATGTTGCCCAGGCTGGTCTCAAACTCTTGGCCTTAAGTGATCCCACTGCTTTAGCCTCCCAAAGTACTGGTATTACAGGAGTGAGCCATCACCTCGAGGCCTGAACACCATTTTTAATACAAGATTGTATTCATATAATATTCTGAGAAGAAACAATATTAAAATAGTCTTTCCAATGGATAGGGTAGGGAAGATCTTCACAAAAACCAAAAGGGTTACACTCAACAAGAGCTCTATTTTAACAGTCTAACACCTGATGATACTGATGTATTGGGATTTTAAAGGAGATATGGGCTGGGCACAGTGGTTCACACCTGTAATCTCTGCACTCTGGGAGGCCGAGGCAGTTGGATCACCTGAGGTCAGGTGTTCGAGACCAGCCTGGCCAAAATGATGAAATCCAGGCTCTACTAAAAATACAAAAAAATAGCTGGACGTGGTGGTGTATGCCTGTAATCCCAGCTACTCAGGAGTCTGAGGCAGGAGAATCGTTTGAACCTGGGAGGCGGAGGTTGCAGTGAGCCGAGATTGCGCCACTGCACTCCAGCCTGGGCAACAAGAGCAAAACTCCATCTCAAAAAAAAGAAAGAAAGAAGGGAAGAAGGAAAGGAAGGAAGGAAGGAAGGAAGGAAGGAAAGAAGGAAGGAAGGAAGGAAGGAAGGAAGGAACGAAAGAAAGGAAAGGAAAGAAAGAAAGAAAGAGAAAAAGGAAGGACAAAAAGAAAGGAGATATGTCAGGCTTCATAGAAACTCAGTTTCCTAATTTCTTCATGGAGGAGGGTGATTCTGTGATCTTAAAGATTCTTTCCAGCTGATGGGCACCTTTCTGAATATTCAGGCTTCAAAGTAACAAAATAGTGATGTCGGAAGTACTGATGGTAGTAAATACTTGGCGGGCCAGAGGAAGGCATGGCGTCCTTTTGTGAGCCAAATGTGATTCCAACAGTCACTGAAAAACACCAATGTGCCCAAACCTCATGCCCGAACTTCATACTTGTTTACCAAGCAAAATTGGGCCGTATCCATAGAATCAATTTCAAAAGAGCAAATAACCTGAGATTTTTAAATGATCTGCCCTGTAAACAGGTCAGTCTGTACTGGACTTGCTGATTCAAAATTGAACTGCAGCTGTATCATCTACGGTTACTGTTTCTTAAAGTAGCAGTGCAAGCTGTTCATGGCAACACTGAAGCCTGGGCAGCCGGCAGCCACACCTCTCTTCCCTGTCACCTGAGTAGACATTTGTAGCAACTGAAGGTAAATGTCTGTAATGGATGTCAAAGAAGGAAACATTTTTACTGGTATCACACATACAGTATATTGTCTTAGCTTTAAAAATCTTTTCCTTTCATTCATGTTATAAACCTTCCTTCCCCAGCAGAACCCTAGTCCAAACCCTGTCTCCACAGTCCAGGGGTGCTCATCTGAGAGTGATGTTGCACCCCAGAAGAGACTTGGCAATATCTGAAGACATTTTTGGTTGTCATAACCGAGGAGGTGCTACTGGCATGTGGTGGGTAGAAGCCAACGGTGCTGCTGAACATCCTACAGTGCACGGGACAGCCCTCACAACAGAGAATTTGCCCTGGCCAGAATGTCCATGGTGCCCATGCAAAGAAACCCTCCTGGCAATGTTTAACAAATAGTCTCAGGGGCTTTAAAATTTATTTAATCAACAAAAATGTTTTAGCACACCTTCTGTGGCCACTGGGGATACAATGGTGATCATTCTAGAAAAAGGCCTTTTCCCATAGAGTTTATGTTTTAGAACCAGCATCCCTCCTCTCTCGGAATTCCCCAGGCTCCCAAAGACAAAGAAACAATGTTCATATCATTTTTTAATTCTCCCGGAAGGGAGGAGGTGGGAAAGAAAGCTGAGGGAGGAACATACATGCTGATAATGACCATTCCTAGTAGAAGATACAGGCAGAGCTGTGGAAAATCACAGAACCCAGGAATCAGGACCCTGGTTCGGAATTTTCTGAATCACATGCCGCCCTCCCACGGTATACAGCTGGAGCTGAGAACACAGCAATGGAACAATAAATGCCCCTGGATGGATCAGGTTAAAGAATTTCAATAGTTCCACCAGGAGTTTCCTCTTTAATAATATTAATGTAATAATGGCTCCCTTTTATTAACCATGTATTATATGAAAGGGTTTTGCACATATTATCTCTAATTCCTACAGCAATCCTGTCAGGCTGGTTTCATTATCCCCACTTCACAGATTAGGAAACTGAGGCTCAGTGAACTTGTTTTTAAGTAGCAGGTCTGGGTTCTTCTCCTGGTCTATCTGGCTCTGAGGCCCATGACCTTCCCCTTAAACTAGGCTGACTCCCAGTAATAACTGAGCAGTCATTGTCAGCATAGGTGTCCCATAGCACATCTTGTGTCATATCCCTCCGTGGGCCCACCTACTGTTTCTGCCTGTCAATCTTGCCTCCCCACCATATATCTAGCCACACTGCTGGCAAAGCACAGAGGTGGAGGTGCAGGAAAGCGCTAGATGCCACTAGAATCCCTGGCAAAAAAAATACCCCCAAATGTAATATAAATAACATGATTCCGGAAGAAGTGAAGTGCTTGAAAGCATTTTATCCTTTTTTTTTTTGGAGACGGAGTCTCGCTCTGTTGCCCAAGCTGGAGCGCAGTGGCGCAATCTCGACTCACTGCAAGCTCCGCCTCCCGGGTTCACGCCATTCTCCTGCCTCAGCCTCCCAAGTAGCTGGGACTACAAGCACCCGCCACCACGCCCAGCTAATTTTTTTGTATTTTTAGTAGAGACGGGGTTTCACCGTGTTAGCCAGGATGGTCTCGATCTCCTGACCTCGTGATCCACCTGCCTCAGCCTCCCAAAGTGCTGGGATTACAGGCATGAGCCACCGTGCCCGGCCCATTTTATCCTTTTTCTTATTCCAGAAATGCTGGGCCCCCAATAATTGAAAAGACCACATATCATGTTGTACATGCATACATGATCTCCTTTTATCCTGATTAAAACACCTTAGGTAAATAATAGTTGCAACCCCACTTTAAAGATAAGCAAACTAAATCTGAAGGTGGTAAGGTAACTTGCCCAAACATACACCATTGGTTAGTGGCAGATCTGGGACTTGAACCAAAGGTTACCTGACAACCATGCCCTTAGTCATTAGCCCAAACTAAACAGCTCCTGCATGACCAATATTCAGCCTGGCACCCTCATAAAAACACTGCACCAAGCATGGCCCCAGCTGTCCTGCAGCTTACAATCCTCCATTCAGACTTCCCAAATATGCCTTCCCCATTAAACCCCACTTTTAAAGATATAATTGCTGCAGCCTAAGCTCATTAAGAAAGTTCATGGAGATAGATACCTCTGTAAATACCTAAGGACACTATCTTAATCATTACCTGGCTATCTTTTATCAGACCACAGCACCACTTACAATCCATATGTATGCCTAGAGATGCTTCTTACAAAGTAAAGAAGCTGAAACGGTTTCTTCGAACCCTGCTGCATCTTTGCCACTCAAAGTGCAACCAGGCAATGGGTAGCATCACCCGGGAGCTTGTTGGAGCGGCAATCTCCAGGTCCTCATGAGACCTGCTAAATCCTATGTGATTTGCATGTACATTAGAGTTTGAGACATGCTGGCCTATGTCATCTAAATCAAGTTATCGTAAGAAATGCTAACTTGGAAAGTAAAATCTAATGAACTACAGCATCACAAGACAAATGTAAAAATCACTATTGTCACAAGCGCATTTGTCATCACCCAAAGACATCAAGAAGAAGTTATCCTTATATGTGAAGGACAGTTCTGTAAAAGCACTTAAATATGGGTTTTCAGGCAAGGGCTCTCTTCTTTTCTCAGCAAATTCCGAGGCAGGGAGTCCTTGGCTTAATCATCTCCCATGAAACTGGCTCTTGGTTTCCTTATTTGTAAAATTAAGAGGTAGAGCCAGATAACCTCTTAAGTCCTGTCCAGCTCCGATACTTTAGGATGAGAGAATTGTGTCCCATCTGTGTTCATGCTCACAGGAAAGCCATGTGCAGTGGGGTTAGGGACACCAGGGCTTGGAGTCATACAGTCCTAATTCAAATCCTGTTTCTGTTCTATATTGCTGTGTGACCTCAGGCAAGTTACTTCTCTGGGCCTCAATTTTCTCATCTGTAAAATGTTGCTGATATATCCTACTTCAATAATGTGAGAATTTTATGGATAATTATGTACAGTATCCAGTCCAGTGCTTAACACGAATGAGTAAATTGTAGTTCATATTAACAAGTTAAAGTGGGAAAAGATGTCTGAAACAGTATGTGGTACAGTATATCCAATTACTCGATACACATGCCCAATACACAGGCACACAATAAATGTTTGCTGAAAAAACCAATGATGACAATATTCCATCCTATGTGAGAGATAATTTTGTTTCAGCCAAGAGAACCCACCTTAAAGGGGAAGACTTTAAAGGCAGAGTTATATCTTCTAAATGCCAGTCTTCCTGTTGGATTTACAACATCGGGCTCAGCTGTCAGAGGGAAAATTTGTACAGCCCAGTTACATGATTAAGTATGCCCCTCGTATGCCATTCACTCCATTAAAGATGATTTCATTTTAATCACTGTTAGATAGACCTGTGGCTTGCGGCTACACCAGCTTCCTGTCTGATCAAGAGTCGCATACAAAAATGGCCCAAGCCCTATTACTGACAGTTAATAATGCATCTACTGAAAATATATACATCATTTAAAGGTTTTATTTCTGCATGTTTATTTGATTTTGATTTCTCCCTGCCTTCCTATGGTCATTCCTAGTCTATCTTACAGCTCTTTAACAGTAGCAACTGGGGCTCCTTTCATCTTGAGATATATTAATCCCTTCAGTACATGGAGGATGGGTAGAGAAGTACAGCAGTGTTAAGAGTTTACGACAAAATTAAGAAAGACCAAGTTGTGAACCATTCCCATGACAGATCACTAAATTGTTGCCATGTGCCCCGGGTTTGGAAGTAAGTTTAAATGGTCTCTGTAATATTAAAAGCAGAAATGTTTTTGAGCAGCTAGTGCCAGGTAAGGACCAGAAACTTTTCTGAGTGAGGATGTGAAAGGCCCTCATACTTTTCTGCAAGAAGCAACCACTGACCTGAGGTAGAAAGGCTGGAAGTACTCTATGTCAGGGCCTTGCCCTGCCAGATGTTCTCAGAGGACCTTTACCCCTCACAAAAAATAAAATCCTGGGCCATTTAGAGTTTACAGATTCAGGAGGGCAAGTGTGGGAAAAAGACAAGAAAAGTTCAGATGCCAGCCACTCTGTCCCTGTCAACCATGGCCCTTCCATCCAGTCTCCTCCCCAACCTAGTCCCAGTAGGCAACTCAATGAACAAGGATGACTTTGGGGTCCCTTTTGTCAAGCTCAGCCCTACCTTCCCATATCAGATTTGTTATTATGGAACACACCATTGGAATGTATTTTGAAGTACTGCACCCTTTAGGGTGGGTCCCTGTAGAACTCAACACTTCTCAGAATTCTTCATTGATACTACTGAAACATTCAGCATGTGAGATATCCCTCCTGCGAGGACATGGCCCAAGGTGTAGTCATGTTTGCAATCTTATAACCTGGAATGGTGACTGGTAAATAATATACTCAATTGATATGATCAATACCTAGAGCAGTAACTCTCAAGTTTGGATTTCTATGGCATTTGTTACAAATCTACCTTTCACCACAGAGGTCTGAATGAGTAGGTCTGGGGCAGGGTGGGGAGCCTGTATTGTAACAAGCACAGCCAGGTGATTCTGATGGGCGGATGAGGGAATACACTTTGAGAAACACAGGCTTGGTGGAGCTAAACCATGATTGGGTAGGGTTGGTGACAGCTGTATATGATGGCTCACCTTTCTGATGAAAAAAAAAAAAAAAGTCTGCAAATACTCAGCACCTACTGTGTACCAGGCACTGTAATGTGCACTCTCTGGAGTCACAGACATAAGGAAGTTAGATCTATCCAAGGAAAGGGCCAGTAGTCTGACGTGACCAGGAAGAGTGGACAGACTGAGTGGTAATGTGGAGTTGAAGAGTGGTAGGTGATAAGGTTAAAGAAGAGGTGGGTTTGGACAGGGCGCCTCTAATCCCAGCACTTTGGGAGGCTGAGGTGGGAGAATTGCTCGAGCCCAGGAGTTTGAGACCGGCCTGGGCAACACAGTCAGACCCTGTCTCTACAAAAAATACAAAAATTAGCTGGGTGTAGTAGCACATGCCTGTTGTCCCAGCTACTTGGGAGGCTGAGGTGGAGGGATTGCTTGAGCCCAGGAGGTAGAAGCTATAATGAGTCATGACTGCGCCACTGCACTCCAGCCTGGGTAACAGAGAATGCCTGTCTCAAAATATATATATATATTCATATCTTATATTTTAAGAGGTGGGTTCCACTTAAAAAAGCAATATATGAATGTATACCATAATCTCTAAGTCCATAGTTTTCCTTAAAAAAAAAAAGTAGGGAATCTTTTATTGAAACTAAAGGGGTCTTTTTATATATGTATGTACGTACATATGTAAGTATTTGTAGAGGCGGGTCTCATTCTGTCAACTAGGCTGGAGTGTATTGGTGTGATCATAGTTCACCGCATCCTCAAATTCAGGCTCAAGCAAACATCTAGGCTCAAGGGATCCTCCAGCCTCAGCCTCCCAAGTAGCTGGGACTACAGGCTCTTGCCACCATGCCCGGCTAATTTTTTTTTTAAAATAGAGACGAGGTATTGCTATGTTGCCTAGGCTGGTCTCAAACTCCTGGCCTCAAGAGATCCTCCCTCCTCAGCCTCCTAAAGTACTGTGATTGCACGGATGAACCACCACATCCAGCCTAAGGGGTCCCATTTCTAAAAACAAACCACCACACCACCACCTCTCAAAGCTGCTCTGGTAGACGTAGTGGTGGAGATCCAGAATCCCTACTGTCTGGATCACACAACTTCATAAAAGAGGTCCTCTTAGGTGGTAAGAGACATAAAGTAAAAATCTGCTGCTATGGCAGAGGAACAGGGCAAAGGAGTTTTGGAATGGTAAGATAAGGCGTATGTTTAGAAGGCTAACCATGCCAGTCCAGGTGGGGGATGCCTGGAAAGGGGCAGAGCTTGGGAGCAGGCAGGAAGCTAAGAGCCGGCTAGGAGGTAACTGGAACTAGACATAACCAGAACCTGCAGAGAGAGGGCATGGAGAGAGGAAAATGGCTTAGACTTGGATCAAGTTTTCCCAGGGGAATTAACAGTATGAAATATAGAACTGGATGGAGGAGGGTGCTTGAGAGAAAGAAGATTCAAGGATCAAATGGAAATTCCAATTCTGAAAAACTGGAAGTATGGCAGGATGGTTAACCAACACGTGGTCAGCAGAAAAGAAAGAGAATAGAGAGAAATGAGCTCAGTCACTGAAGAATCAGTACTGCATTTAAAGTGCCTGTGGATTTCCTTAGCTTTCAGACATGTGTCCAGAACTCCGAAGAGAGCTGAAGGCTGGAGATGGAGACTTGCAAATGATTAGCAGAGTAATGGAGCCACCACAGGAGAAGGTGAAGTCACTGCGGGTAGAATTCAACAACACCCTGTTCAGGGTATTCAGTGCGGACTGACTTGTGCTAGGCTCCAATCCAGGAGCTAAGGACAAGGCATCCGGGACGAGAACTCTGCCCTCATGAGGTTTACATCCTAGTGGGAGAAGACAAGCCAATGGTGGTAATGCTATGGAGAAAATAAAACAGGGTCAGGGGCTCGGGGTGTGTGTGTCAGGATGCTTGCGCCATTTCATAACAGTGGTCAGGCAACATAAGATGGTTTGGCTGTGTCTCCACCCAAAATCTCATCTTGAATTGTGATCTCCATAATCCCCATATATGTCAAGGGCAGGACCAGGTGAAGGTAACCGGATCATGGGGGTGGCTTCCCCCATGCTGTTTTCGTAATAGTGAGTGAGTCTCATGAGATCTGATGATTTTATAAGTGTCTGGCATTTACCCTGCTTGCACTCACTTGGTACTGCTGCCCTGTGAAGAAGGTGCCTGCTTCTCCTTTGGCTTCTACCATGATTGTAAGTTTCCTGAGGCCTCCACAGCAACGTGGAACTGTGAGTCAAACCTCTTTCCTTTATAAGTTACCCAGTCTTGGGTAATTCTTCGTAGCAGTGTGAGAACAGACTAATATGGAAGGTCTGAGAAGGTGACATGTGAGCAGAGGCTTGAAGGACAGGAAAGAGCAGGGCAAGCACTGATGGAGGTGAGAGCACTCCAAGCAGTAGGGGGTGTCAGTGGCTAAGGTCCCTGCTTGGGATGAAGGCGAAAGAGCAAGGGGACCGATGAGCAGAAAGAAGGGCATGGCAGAAGGGAGAGTGACAAGGGAGAAAAGGGTCCTGGGTGGGGCAGGAAGAGCTGCAAAGCTTTATGGTTCCTGTAAGCCCTTTGGCTTTTCCTCGGGGGGGCGGGGGTGGGAGGTGGTTACAGATGACTCTAAGATTTCTGGGCTGGGCAACTGGAAGGATAGACTTGCTCTTAACTGCTCTTATCTGAGATACAGATAGAAGGAAACAAGTTTGGGAAGGCAGTTGAGGAGGTAGTTCAGTATATGTTGAGTCTGGTTGTGTATTACATTGGACATCCATGGAGACAAAGGGGAAGGAGCACTGGATCTAAGAGTGTAAGGTTTTGAGAGTCACCAGAATTCAGGTGGACCTGAAAGCACTGTGACTGGATGAGATCCCTGGTGTAAATGGCACAAAGAAGAGGCCTGAGGCCTGAGTCTTGTGGGAAAAAACTCAGAGGCGAGCGGGTCACCATAAGATCAAAAGGAAGCAGTTAGAGACACATAACCCAGAGTGGCTTCCAAGAATCAAGACAGGATAGTTTTAAATGTCCAGAAAAGGGGAGAAAAACTCTTCAGCCTGTACCCCCAATCTAAAATTACCTTCCTCAAATGCCGAAATCCTTAACCATACAGTCTAATTTTTTAACCAAATAAGGACTTATTGGAGTTGACTATTAAAAATACTAATAACTTTACAGAGGAGTTCTCCAACTCATCCAGTGAGGGGAATGAATTTAGGTTTCTGGCTTCCCAACACAGAATTCAGACAAGCTGCTCCAGAGACTGTTTGTTGGGGTGTGGGTATGGGGAGGGGTTGGTAGCTGGGGAGCATGGTAATGACAGTGTTAGTAGTTTATGCTTAGGAAGCTCCTTCTACCAGCTGGCACCTGTTAGGTGTTGTACATCATGTCTCTCATTTAATCCTCAGAACTGCCCTGTGAGACATAGCCTATGACTATCCCATTTTACAATGAAAGTGAGGCTTGGGGCAGCTAGATGGCTTGCTCATCAGCACACAGTAGGCTGGAAAGTAGGACAGGCCGGGAGGTAGGATGCCAAAGGGGAGTTTTAAGTAGCAAGAGGCCTTTGCATGCTATGGAACTCAAAAACCGATGTCATCTTGCCAGGCAGACATTGGCTATGCTGCAGGTAAGGCTGCCTTGGAGGGCTCTCCTGAGAACCTCACCAGTCTCTAGAATGTTGTTTACCTGGGGAGAAAAGTTACTAATGAACTTCTAGATCATAATGTGTTCATAACCTCAAGGGGGAGAGGGGCACCCTATATAAAGGTAATGGATTCCCACAGAAGGAGAAAAAGTTCAATAAAAATTATGAGTTGTTTGATCGGGCAAAATGAATTCATATGTACAATATTGGAACTCATTATAATTTCTAAATTAATACAGCCATTTCTATTAAAGATCTGGACACTGTGGCAATAATGTATTTCATTTGATGATCGACCTTTAGAGAACAAAAATGTGTAAATCAATAGTATAGATATAGTTTTTGTCTTCATTAAAGTTACTATAATCTTAAGCTACTAGTCTTAAAAGATTGTGTTATCTGTAGTATTGACATTTTAGACCAGTCCTTAAAAGTGTTGTTCCTACATGTAAACTAATTTTAGACCTGTTTAAAAAGAAACTCTCTTGATACTGTTTCCACCAGTCAGCAGTATTCACAATTTAGACCACAGGTCCAGGTTTAACACCTTGAAAACAGATACCAGGTAACAATAGCACAGTTGCAGCACACCTATGAAAACAGACACGATTTCATTCTGCTAAGGTCTGCCAAAAGCACGCTTGTTATGACAGTATAATGCTCTCTTAGCATCCCATAATGAAAGTGAAAATGTTTTGAAAGAACGAAACTCACTCCATCTCCCCCACCCCCAACTTTTTTGGGTCTCCGGCAAAGAAAATGGCAGCAAGTGACAATTCTTATAGACGGGTGCTATAAGAACCCAAAAGGAAAAAAGAAATGAGCTTGTCTTAACCAAAAAAAAAATGAATATCACTTTTTTAAAACAAAATCTTGCAGTCATTTTATGCAAAGCCTTTTAAAACCAGATTTGTGTGTACCAAGCAAACTTCTCAGAACACTGTCACACATTTCTTCCTAACACTTAGCCAGAATAGACACGGTTTCATCAAAATTTCCAAATGCTCTTGGGACAACCTTGAGGTGTCATCATTGGGCACCCACTGCAGGGCAGACACTAAGAAGGGGCTTTGCATTCATCCATCTATTCATTCATAACAATTTCTGGTGTTCTTACTAGGGACCAGGCACAGTTCTAGGTCCAAAATGTCCAAAAACAAAAATCCACTGCTCTTTTATCCTTAACTGAGGGGAGGTGTTGAGGAGCTGGGGAGACAGACTGAAAGTAAACAAATTCATATATAATAAAATCCAGCTGCATTAAGCATTAGGAAGAAAAAGAAGGCAGGGCAGGAGAATACAAAACGAGGGAGCAAGGTTTCTATTTTAGATACGGTAGTCAGGGGGTCTTTCTGAAAAGATGGCACCTGGGTTGTCCCTTGAGAAAGCCATAATTCACCCCCTTCCTGACAAGGTCAGCTGCTGCTCATTATTGAATCTCCAGCGCATAGCAGGTGTGTGGCTCCACTGTAGGTGTTCAGGAAATACCTGCCCAGTGGATGAGGAAGAACTGGAAGAGGAGTCCACGGCAGCAGCGGCCGGACACGGGGTGGGAGCGCCCGCCGTGCAATAATCATTGCACCACCGCACACCTCCCAAGGGATGGGCAACTTTTCCGAGCGCTGTCACAGCTGAGGTCGTGTCCTGAGCTCCCAGGCGCCCCGCGGGGTAAGCAGGACAGCCCTCTCCCTGCAGCAGGGACGCGGCCACCCCCAGCTCGCCTACCCTCTCCCACGGCCCTGCCAGCACGCCGCGTTCCGATCGGAAGGGAACAAGGGGTAGAAAGTGTTGCCGAAACTTTTCGGGCTGCGCTGTCCTCCCCCGGCCCGGAGGCGAGGACGCCGAACAGCCGCCCGGCGCGGCCCGAAGCTGGCTTCCGACCCGGCGGGGCGAGTCCCGGGGTGCGCAGGCGGACGCGCGGAGGGGCCGAGGTCTGTGCCACAGCGGAGCGGGGCCGGGGCGAGGGGCCGCGCCGAGACAAAGCGGCGGTGGCGGCAGGACCCGGGTCGG
Source organism: Homo sapiens (assembly GCF_000001405.40). Classification (NCBI taxonomy): domain Eukaryota; kingdom Metazoa; phylum Chordata; class Mammalia; order Primates; family Hominidae; genus Homo; species Homo sapiens. The sequence continues at coordinate 71,725,160 of NC_000003.12, forward strand.
GGCCGTGCGCGGCGGGCCCCGCGCCCCCTCACCTGTCGAGCCAGAAGGTCCAGGACGAGTGCAGCGGGACCCCGCCCGGCTCAGGCTGCAGCGCCGACAGCTGCTGCAGGCCGAGCGGCGGCTCGGGGGCGGCGGCAGCGGCGGCGGCGCGGGACCCCGGCGGCTCCCGGGCCCCGGCGGGGGGCGCGGCGGCCGGGGGCAGCGCCATTTTCTCCGCCCCGCCTGCAAGGCCGGCGGACGCGCGGACCGCGGGGCGAGCGCGGCTGAGTCACCCCCGGCCCCCGCCCCGCCCCGCCCCGCGCGCCCCGCCCCGCCCCGGGCTAGCCGCCCGCCGCCCGCCGCCCGCCGCCCGCCGCCTTCAGGGCCTGGGAGCCGCGCGGAGGGGCCGTGGGAGGCACGGCCGGGCCGGGGCCGCCGAACAAAGACAGACCCACGGAGGGATGGGGGGCCGATCCCGCTCAGGCGCGGGCCCAGCGTGGGAGACTGACGGCCTGGCCTGGAGTGGCGGCCGGGGACGGGCTAGAGGGCCCACGGGGGTGAGAGGGACCGGGGAACGGTCTGCGGGCTGGCTCTGCAGCCATGCAAAAGGGCAGCGGGATGGAGCGGCAGGCTAGGGACAGATGGAGGGATGGATGGGACAGGGGATGGAGCCCCAGACCCACGTGGTGCGAGGGAAGGAGGGATGGACAGACATACCAGCAGTCAGAAGGATGGAGTGAAGGCTGGCAGATGGCTGGAGGAGAGAAGGAGGGATGGAGGGCAGATGGAAGCACAGTTGGGTGTGACAGATAAATGGAGAGGGGAACCGATGGCCAAATGGATAAAGAGACTCCAGTGCCCGCGAGTACAGAACAAAGGGCGAGAAAGAAGAACGAACAAGAGAACCACCGACTGGGGCATGAGGTTGGAGCAGGTGGGCTTTGCATTCCTCTTGGTGAGAGCATACTTCCTAACTCCGCTGATTTGAAGGGGCCAGAGCCCCCATCCCAACCTCTGGAGCTACCATGTGACCACAGTGAAGGCCTCAAGCCTGGCTTAACGTGTGGCTAACTTCAGAGAACATTTCCCAAAATCAGCCAAAGTATCCAGATCTGCCCTAAAGCACCGGCGAGTCGGGAGGAGGAAAGCGGGCACCTGTGAACACAGAGCGCTCTGCTTCCTGTACCTCTGAGCACCCAGGAAGTCCCTTAGGCGGTGAGATTCCTGAGCCCAAAGTAGGAGGGGCCCTCCTAACACAGCATCTCCCCAGGTCTCTGTCACTTTCTTTTTCAAAAGAAAAGCAAAGGCATGAGGCCTGTGAACACACATGTCACAACCAGCATGGACATCCTCTTTACACTTGAATTTCTAGATAGTTCCTCTCTGGCTTTGAACAGTGAAGGGCGTGGGATGCCATCTCCTCATTGACCTTCTACCTGGCCTAGCATGTGTTCTGTTCATGCCTTGAGCATTCGCTGGGATGGAAGAGCTACAAAACAAGATGAGTTCAGGGGCATCAACAGCATCATAGCAGACTGTCATGAATCCCAGAGTAGATGCCCTCCCTAAAAGGTAATCAAGGTCACATAAAGTGACAATAATAAAAACAAGACCGCTGCTTTAAACTTAACTTCTATACAACATACAATGCTGGAAGCAATGACAGATTTTATAAAATCTGTCCAACACTAAAACAGGGGAGGGTGCTTTTGGTTAGATGCATTTATCTTGTTGCTTAATATCTCCTTTCATTTTTCCAAGAAGCGTGGTATATGGCATTGTTTAAACTGCTCTGAGCACTTTACCCGTAATAACTCATTTAATCCTTACAATAAGCCAATGAGGAAGATACTATTAACCCATTTTACAGATGAGGAACAGAGATAAGATTAAGATAACCCCAAGGTCACAGAGCTAGTAAGTGGGACAGCTGGGATTTGAACATAGGTATTCAGACTCCAGAGTCTAGACTTTCAACTGCCAGACTCTCCTACCTCTCTACACAGAACACTAACAAGTCCACAACGTAAAAACAAGCTGTGAATAGTAGGTCTCCCTCCCTCCCAAGACTATCAATCTTCATTCCCAGAGGAAACCACTGGCAACAGTTTCCTTCCAGAAAAATGCAAGTATGCACATGCAAGCATATATCTAGATTCATAAGTTATAAATCTATATCTTTTTTATAACCAAAATGGAAGCATTTAATACCAATGCTGTACCTTCTTATTTCACTTAACATTATATCCTTGAAGATTTTTCCATATCAAAACATATAGATCTACTTTATCTTAAGGGCTGCAAAGTAATTCATTGTAAAGAGGTAATATAATTTAATTCACTAGCCTCCAACATTTATGTGGTTTCTAGACATTTTCTTATATAAATAATGCTACCATAAGTATTTTTATATTTATGGCTTTCTTCATCTACACAAGCTAATCTCAGAATAAGTTTGGAGAAGAATTGTTGGCTGCATTTAAAAATTTGATACATATTGCCAAATTGCTTTGCAAAGTGGTTACATGAATTTATATATAGCTGATATATAAATAATGGTTGATTCTGAAAATTTATATTTACGAAGTGACACATATCTGTATAAAATTCCAAGGCATGGGTAGAAAGGAAGTTTTGCTTTCTAATGATTAAAGCTAGTCAAACTGTCAAGTTTAGCTCCTTCCTTATGTCCTTTAACAATATCCTCAGCAAAAAAGGGCTAGTCAAGAATTTTTATCTGCAGTTTCTGTAAAAGGATTGTGTACCACATGAAAAAATTCCCTCCAGAATTTAGAACTAGGAACAGTCTGGCAGTTTTTCTTTACTGAATAGCAATTATATACCTTTCTCTCTTTTTGCTTTGGCTTCCAGGCTGCTCATAATTACATTTGGTGCTCAATCACAGCACCAATATTAGCCAATGAAGAAGCATCACTATTTTTATATTTATTCCTATTTCTATTTTAAAGACCTAATAGCATATATGCACCTTACACTGAACCCCTCAAATTTATTTTGGAAGTAGGTGGTATATATGAATAGATAAAATTTAAATGACCTTAAGATTAATAAAAGAGATTATACAAAATGGCTAAGGAGGGAACAATGGTCACAACTTTCATTCCCTTCCTGTTTGAAATATGTAAGAGACTTAATTATTTTTATTGCTCTTCAGAATCATTCTTAGAAGATAATAAATTGGGGAAATTTCCCTCATCTGGGAACTGGATGGCAGGAACTAGAATTTCAAGGTAGAAAGGGGATTCAGCGATCATCTAAGCAAACCCATCACTTTACAAATGAGGAAACTGAGGCCCAGAGAGGTGAGGTGACTTACCCGAGGCCACAGCTCTAGGAAATGACAGAGGCGGGACTAGAACGTGGGTAGCTTGAGGTCCGGACCAACGTGCTGTCCCACTGCATGACACGCAACACAGACGACTTGGGGTGGCAGAAGAGAGGAAGAGAAGGTGACCCCACAGCCCCTAGCAACAAAAACAACAAGAAGGACTTGAGGCACTCATAAATAATTAAGCAATTAGCTGCAGCAGCTACTCCCCTCCCCTCCAGCATCCAGTCACCAAGGCAACTTGGGCAGGGTGCCTGCTGGTTGCCTAGTAACAGTGTGGTCTGCTCCCCTGACAAGCTCCCTAGGCATCAAAGGATTTGAGAGCCGGGAAGAACCTTAGACAGGGATCACTTTTCCAACACCTTCATTTTCCAAATGAGAAAAGAAAGGCCCAGAGAAGCTGGGTAACCTGCCCAAGGTCACACAGCTATTCAGACACACAGCCAGGCTCCATTCCCAGTTGCTTTCCATTGCACTAGGGCTGCCTCAGGGAGGCTGCAGATGGAGGAGAGGGGGAAATCGCTCTACAGTTCCTAGAAGAATGAGAAAGTCAGAGCGAGCAAGCAGGCAAGAAAGAGACAGAAACCTGAGCACTCATATGCAATTAGCAGGAGCTGGTAATCCCATCAGCCCAACTTTCATCATCACCATGGCAACATGGGTGAGGTGGGTGCTGGTTGCCTAGCAACAAGTGGTCCTCTCTCTTCTACTCACATCTGCTCCCTGGGAGTCACAGGAACAGCAGAATGATGACGTTGGAAGGGAAGGCAGGGGTCCTAACTCAGTCTCCTCCTTTACCCAATGAGGAACCTGAGGTTCAGGGACACTGGAAGTCACACAGCCACAGAGTTAGCTAGTGACATTCCCTCCATTGATGGCCTCTGTCTCAACACTTTGGGAAGGGAGCCTTCCACTCAATAAAGGCAGAACATGGGAGGGAATTGGCCAGTGGCTCCCTTGAAAGGAGGGAACACATGGTCTCTAATGTCAGAAAACCTGGGTCAAAGCTAGTTCTCCCTAAACCTGGCAAGCTTCCTACCCTCTCTGTGCCTCAGTCTCCACATATGAGGACTGGACATGCTAATGGTCTCTATCTCTCGAGTTATCGTTAGGATTAAATGAGAAAATGTATATGTCAAGTCCCTGGTATATAGTAAAGATACAGTAAATGTCAGGCGTTCATTCATTCCACACTCAATAAATATTTGTTGCATATCTGCTATGCAAATGCCACTGTTCTAAGCTCTCCAGGTTCATTAGCAATACAGACAAAAGAAATTCCTCTCTCTGGGAGCCTACATTCCAATAGAATGTGTGTGTGTGTGTGTGTGTGTGTGTGTGTGTGTGTGTGTATTTAAGTGTTTGTTGAATGGGTGGCGGAACTCATTGGCAATATGCTGTTTATGTTGCTGGGCTCCTTCTCTAACACTGAGAAGTTTCCTGTTTACAGGGTGTGATACTATAAATATGCAGGCCTGTCTTTTATGTGGGAACTCCGTTTTCCTTTAACAGCAAAAGAAAAAGGAAGGCAATGGCCACTAGATGGCAGTCTTCAGTGCCGGTAGGTACAGGGCACAGGAAGGGACTGGCCTGGGGCAGAGGCCCTCACTGAAGCTTCCAGCAAAGGTGTGTTGCAGCTGGTCAGTCCTAGAGCAATGGCTTGGAAAGGTAGGGGAGACTTGACACTATTCTGGGATACTCACGGGTCAGGGGAGGCTGCGGTGTGGTTCAAGAGTGATTGCTTCAGAGTGAGACTGATCCCTGCTCTAACCAAGATCCTGCCATAGGTAAACCCTGTGACTCTGGGAAGTTATTAACCTTGCTGAGCTCCAGATTCCTCATCTAGGGTACAGATAACAAGAGCACTCTCAAGGGACTGCTCTGAGCCATGTATAAGAAAACATTGTCTATAAAGCACCTTGCAAGTTGCACATAGAAAAAGCTCAACTAGTGTTATTTATCTAGATTCCAAAAGACCTCTGAAGATCTTTTAGGGGCCAGGCCAGGCCTCTCTTGTTCAGAGCTGCTAATGGAAGAGAAAGGGGCAAAGGAAATGGCATGTGTTAAGCATCTGCAGTGAGGACACTGAGGTCCATGTGGTCATTGAGCCTGGAAAATGTGGCCTTGAGGTTTGGTTGTCCCACTCTCCACATCCATCCACCTATCAGACATTGAGTTCTCGTCCTGATCTGCCTGCAATCCGTGTGTTGGTCTTCCTTCTTTTTTTCTTTTTCTCTATTATTATTGTTGTTGTTTTTTTTGAGACAGAGTCTTGCTCTGTTGCCCAGGCTGGAGTGGAGTGGCACAATCTTGGCTCATGCAGCCTCGGCCTCCCAGGCTCAAGCAATCCTCCCATCTCAGCTTCCCCAGTAGCTACAAGCACATGCCACCATGCCCTGCTAATTTTTAAATTTTTTGTAGAGACAGGGTTTCACCATGTTGTTCAGGCTGGTCTTGAACTCCTGGCCTCAAGTGATCCTCCCACAACAGCCTTCCAAAATGCTGGAATTACAGACGTGAGCCACAGTGCCTAGCCTGCTCTTCCTTCTTTATTCCCACTGGTGCCAGCCACTCCCAGTCCTCACTCCTGAGTCAGCCAAGCATGGCCTGGAGGACTGCAACAGCCTCCTAACGGGTCTCCCTGCTTCTAACACCCGACCCTCTCATCTCCTGCCAGACAGCAGCCTGAACAACAGTCCTCAAACACTGGTTTGCTTCTGCCTGCTCTCAGAAAAAAACCCAGACTCTTTCTGGTGGCCAACAGTACTTGGCATCTTCTGGATCCTTCCTGCCTTTCCAAATCCATGGCTGATCTCTCCCCCTGCCTCAAAGCTTCTCTGTGGCCACAGGGCACCTGCATATGCTGTTCTTTCTCCTGAACTGCTAGTCCCTCCGCTTGCATGGCTGACTCCTTCTCCTGCCTTAGGCCTCCACTCTAAAGCAGGTCTTCTCCCCTTCCTCATTATTTTTTTCAGTGCACGTGTCAGCTGCACACATCAACTGCCGATCTTCCGAAACAGAATATCCAGTCCAAGTGGGGAGGGCCAGGCCTCTCTTGTCCACCTTTGTCCACCCAGTGCCTAGTGCAGGGCCTGTCCATGGCTGGCACACCAGCAACATTTATTAAGGAAACAAACTGGGTATACAGCAGATATTGGTTGAAAGGAAGAGTCTGTGACTTTGTCTCCTAATTTCTTGTCTTTCTCCTCTGCCAGTGTATCTTTCTCATGGACGGCATGTTGGTCTTCCTAAAAAGCACTTTTGTCCTATTACTTCTTTGTTCAAAAGCCCTAAAGCGCTGCCTGTTTCTCACAGGCTGAGGTCTGAAATCTGGAATCTAGCCTTTGAAATTGTCCACACCTTGACCCCCTTTTTCAAATGCATTTGCGAGTATATTTCCAAATATATTTAGAGAGATATAATTATACACCTATATTTACATATACTTGGAATATATATGTTAAATCTATATATTTGGAGAAACAGCTATACATGGAAATATATATATTCCAAACAGATTTGTCCCTATTTCTTGGTGCATTTTCAGCTCTGCCACAACATGAGCTCCCGAAGACAGGCCTGGGCCCACCCCCTCCACCACTGTCTTCTGGGTTCCTAGCACGGTGTCTGGCACATGGGAGACCCAGCTTTACTGAATCAATGATGGGCTTACTCCCCACTTGGTAAACACACCATATGTACTCATATCTCCACACTTTTGCCTGAGACCTTTCTTCTCTCCTCTGACCATCTAAATTGTCTAACCATCCTTCAAGGGCCAGGCCAAGTTCCCTCACAGGGAATCAGTCACCAAACACACCCCAGATAGGGACAAGAGATTCACAGAGTTCTAGAGACACAGCTGGGCAGTGCCCAAACTACTTTCCTGATTTAAAAAAAAATCTCTTCCCTGATTTAAAAAAAAAAAGTCCCAACGATGTCAGTATATAGGTTTTGTGGCCAGTCTAAGAGCTCTGATTAAAGACCTTTGTTGTGGCCACACAGAATTCCACTGATTGGAGGAGTAATGATTTGTATAACCAACTCCTCCTGTTAGGCACACAGATTATTACCAGTGATTGTGGCTATCATGTGCAACCCTGTAATAAACACTCTGCCAATCACTGGCTTCTTATCAAAGAGTAGTTCTGAACATTCCTGGCCAGCCAATCAATCAGAGATACAGAGATAGCTTACATCAGAAACTGGACTGAAGGGGAGAGCCGGCAGGCCTCAAATTGGTCTTCAGCAATTTTTAAAAGAAAGGAAACGATGAGCAGTAGGGAGGCAATGTGATCAGAGGAAAGTCCAAAAACATGTGCTTGAGCCAATGTCTAACAGCCATGTGCTTTGGGACAAATCGGTGAACCTCTGAGTCTCCTTTTTTCTCAATTAAAAAATGAGTGTGCCAATAACACCTGCTTTGCAGTGCTGCCTGAAGGATCAAATCAGGAACATTTGGTGAGGCTCTACATAAAAGTCAAAAAAAGGTCACCCAAGTGTTGATTCTCGTTTCCTTATCACAGTTCCTGGAGGGGATAACCCTACATCTTCTCTGCTTTTTGAATACGAGTGTCCTCCTTTGTATGCTCGTTGGGGATCTAGAGACAGGTGGAGTGAACAACTGTCCCAATTTGCCTAGGACTGTTCCAATTTGAGCACTGAAAGTTCTGAGTCCCAGAAAACCCTTTGGTCCTGGGAAAACCCGAACGGTAGATACACAAGGAGCGGGTCCTGGAGCACTGCCTGTTCCAGAGGATTTCAGCAACCATCTTGGAGGCCTCTAATCCCCACTATGAGCTGATAACTGCTCGCCTAGTGGGATAAATCAACAGCAAGCAAGTCATTTGTTTACATCTAAGAAGCTGCTTTAAGGATAAGATTTTGTTTTGGGGATTTCATTTACGGTTCATAGATCATTTAGGGGAACATTTTGTAAGCCAGTTCTCTGAGGAAGTGTATTGTGCTTTCCGAAGCTTTATTTTAAGCTGAAATAATCATATTTATGACATAAGAAATCTTGATACAGAAAATATAAGCTGATTTGGCAAAATATTAGGAGGTTATGAGTCAGGCTGCAAAAAGACCTCCTGTACCATCTTTCCCTGTACCATATTTAACCCAAGCTTCCTGAGGGGTGGGGAGCTCACCTTTGAGGTCCTCAGAGACTATTATAAAGTACTGCTCATGTACTGGGAAGTCAATAAATATCTGAATAATGAATCCTTCTGTGATTTAAAACCATTCATTAAAGTGTAGATTGAAATACTTTATAAGTCATTTACTTCTTAAGAGCTAAGTACACTAAAGTTTGAGAAGCCATTATCAATTGATGAACAATTAGTAAAGGAAAATAAAGCAATTCTTGAAAGGAAGCTGCATTATTTGTTTTCTAAAAAAAATCATAATTACATGACATTTTTAGAACTCTAACTACTGTGCAAAATGCACCATTCAGAAACAGAAGGACACTTGCAGTGTTTAGGCCAATGAGACCCCTTCAGTTACTGAATCTCTTTTGTTTTACCATCAGCAGGAATTGCATACTCACAATACAGAAAGATCCTGTTAATTTTTCACTCTTTTCCTGTTCATTCTTATTAGTTACATATTATCTACATAATGGCAGGTTGCACCTTATGGTATTTGCTTTAAATTTTCTTAGTGTTTGTGGTAAGACAGTATCTTATTCCCAGAGGCTAAAAAGATGCACATATTGATCATACTAGGTCATCATTACAAAAGAGGAGCTCTCATGGAGGCTATGATGAACATGGTATCCCTCAGATGACTTTATACAAGTATTTGATGTCACAAATATATACTGTGGTTGACAATGATCTTGGAGATAGCTGAGTCACTTTCGTCCTTTCAAAACCTACCAGGTCACTCAGAAATACACTGTGAATTATCCTAAATTTGGGATGAGTCCCTATCATTCCTAAAATGCCTAAGGGTCATGTCTGCTTGCCTTATTGGACTAAAATATTTTATAACACATGAAACATAAATTTGTCAATTAAATGCAGTATCATGTTTTTCATAGTTTGCAAAAGCACAGTTAATGATGCAAATAATTTCCTATTTTTCATTCTGAGGGAAAATCATTAATAAAACCAAACTCCTTATTAGAATTGAAATTCAGCAGTAAGAGGGCACAAGCCACCCATAAAGGCAAGATATAAATTAGCAGTGAAAAAAACAAGCCAACTGATTATAACGTCCAGATGGAAATGAATAACTGAATCATTCTTTGTCAAATCAAATAGCATCTTAATAAGTTGTTGCATCATCTCTGTTGATTCAATTTAACTGGAAGATATCAGAAAATGACTATGACCTGCACAAGTATCTTCATTTCTCGTGCTCATTAGTATTTGGCCTATGAGTCCTCTCCTTTTATTTTGGAGGTGAATTCACCTCTAAAATGGTTTTTTGGTTTCTAATCCTCAACATCATCCCATGTTAAAAAGAAAACTGGCCCCAGGCTGGAATGAAATTATTGGAATTAAGAAACTGGGGCCCCAGTGGTTGGTCAAATCTTTTATCAGAGGAAGAATTCAAGCACTTCTTTTACCAGGCAAGCTGGTAAGTACAAGTTGTCATGGAAACAGGATGTATTCAAATTATATGAGGAATGACGTTCCCCATCTAACTAGGTGTTCATCTCATCTAAATGGGGAGAGATTGGTGTAGCTGAAATCCATTATATTTTTTTCAAATCTGCATTAAAAACAATAATTTCCTTTATTTTACATAGGAGTACACAGGCACAGAGCCTCATTCTCATAAAACGAAGAATTAAAATTACTTGCAAAAGAATTGGTGCGTAAATAAAAAGACATAAAACGAAAATGAATCCTATGATATAAATCTATTGATGCATAGTGAAGGGTGGGAGAATGGAAATCAGATAATATAATACCTCCATCTATCATGGGACATATTTTTCTTCAATAGCATTAGTAACTAGTTTTTCTACAGAATGATCCAGGCCAGAGCAGTTCTCTGCAAGTTGAGGAGACTTGCTAATAGGTGTAATGTCACCACCCTGATAACAGCAGAGCACCTTGTGAATCCACAGATTCCTAACAAAGAAACGCAATACTGTGCTAAGCAGGTACTTCCCACTCCTTAATAAGGCAATTGTTGAAAAACACATGGCACAAACTAATTTTGTGGGGAGGTTATTAGAGCATGAAGGGCCCATGAAGTCACAGCTCTACTTAAGAGGCAGCCTGAAGTTCTTTCTGGATCAAAGTAACCCAGAACATCTTTTCATTTTTTTTTTTTCAAGTGAAGATCATTTATCCACCTCCCTCCAAAAAATGAGAAGAAAACATTTTCATGTTTTACTGGTTAAAATGCTGAGGTCTTAATGAAACTCTTGTCCAAGCACTTAAGATAATAGTAATTCAAATAAAAATACCAATAGCTCCAAAATCTACAAAGAAATTTTTTAATTCAACAATAAGAAAATGAACACCATGATTTTAAAATTGGACAAAAGACCTGAGCAAACATCTTGCTGATGATATACAGATGGCAAATAGGTACCAAGAAAAGATGCTTAATATCATATGTCACTGGAGACTGCAAATTAAAACAATGAGATACCACTATACACCTATTAGAATGTCTAAATCCCGAAACGTTGGTAACACCAAATGCTGGTGAGGATGTGGAGCAACAGGAACTCTCGCTCAATGCTAGTAAGAATGCAAAATGGTACAGCCACTTTGAAAGACAGTTTGGCAGTTTATTACAAAACTAAACATACTCTTACCATATGATCCAGCAATTATACTCCTTGGTATTTACCCAATTGAGCTGAAAATTTACGTCCACACAAAAACCCACACAGAGATGGTTATGGCAGCTACATTCATAAATGCCATAACTTGAAAGGAGACAAGATGTCCTTTAGCAGTCAGTAGATCAGTAAACTATGGTACATCCAGACAATGGAATATCATTCACTGCTAAAAAGCAATGAGCTATTACACCATGAAAATACATTGGGGAAACTTTAATGCATATTACTAAGTGAAGAAGCCAATCTGAAAAGCCACATACTGTATGATTCCAACTAACATAACATTGCAGAAAAGGCAAAACTATGGAGACAGTTAAAGGATCAGGGGTTGTCAGGGGTTCAGGTGTAGGAGAGGAAGGAATGAATAGGCGGAGCAAAGATTTTTATGAAAATAAAACTATTCTGAATGATACTATAATGGTGGATACATGTCATTGGACACTCATCAAAACCCATAGAATATACAAATCCGAGAGTGAGCCCTAATGTAAACTATGGACTTTGGTTGATAATGATGTGTCAATATAGGCTCCTTGATTATAAAAAATGCACCCATCTGGTGTGGCATGTTGATAATGGAGAAGGCTATGCATAAATGAGGATAGGATAAATGGAAAACTCCTTGTACCCTCCACTCAATTTTGCTGTGAACCTGAAACTGCTCTAAAAAAAGAAAGTCTATTAAAGAAAAATATCAACAGCAACAATAGCTACCATTTTGTGAATCCTTAACTATTCTCATCTAATTCACATATCAACCTGATGAGGTATTAACAAGTATGATTATCATCTCCCACTTTACACACCGGAGGCTCAAAATGGTTAAATAACATTCCCATCATCACCCAGCAAGAGGTATGGAGTTCAAACCCTAAGTCTGCCTGTGCTCCTAACAGTTGCAACTTCAGGAAACTTTAGGAAAAGTTTCACTTCTCCGAAGTCATCTCTATGATCTGGAAAATGAGGTGAGTCTTTGACTTATGAAAATATTCAAGTTATGCCCTAAATGTTCAAAACAGAGCACTGTGGCAGAAGGTGCTTGAATATCTGGTGTACAAAACATATGACCACCTATTAAATAAACAATTTAGAACCTGGAAAATATCAGAGTTCAACTACAAATTAATAGCAGTCTAATTTTTACTGTAAGGTGGGTTGAGCCACCTGCTTTTAGAGAGTGACTGCTTAAGAGGAATAAACCCTTGGATTCAAGAATCTCAATGAACTCCAATCACAAAAAACATGAAGAAAATCACACCAAGGCAGGGCAAGGGCATAATCAAACTGCTACAGTGCAGAAAAAAAGACACATTTTATACAGAGGAACAAAATAAGAATTAGGCTGGGTGTGGTGGCTCACATCTGTAAACCCAGCACTTGGGGAGGCTAAGGCAGGGGGATTGCTTGAGGCCAGGAGTTCAAGACCGGCCTGGGTAGCATAGCAAGAACTCTCATCTCTACCAAAAAACAAACAAACAAACAAACAAACAAAAAACAACAACAACAGAGATTTTTTTCATAGGAAATCATACAACTAAGATGATAACAGAACAATCTCTTTAAAGTACTGAAAGAAGAAAACCTGTCAACCTAGAATTCTATACTCAGTGAAATATCTATTCAAAAATGGAGAAGATTCTCTGCCAGAAAGATGGAATAAGACATGCTTTCTCAATTCCTCCCACGAAGTATAGTGAAAAACCCTGAACATTATATAAAATAAACATAAGAAGACTCTGAAAGAGGCCAAAAAGTGGAATACCAGTTAGGGACCTCAGTAGTTAAAGAACAACACAGCAATAACTTCCCTGGGTTTTCTTTTTGTCTCATATCTCTTAGACTCAGAGATGGAGAAGCTGGCAACCTGAAAATGCTAACAAGCGCAGACAAGAAGAGTCTAGTTTCTCTAGCCAAAGGAGCAGCCTTGCAAGACAGAAAACTAACTATGCCAGCCAAATGCAACAGAAAAAACTGTGATCCTTCCCCTACCTAAGCCAGCAAGGCCAAGTGAGAATCTTAGACTTTTACCCCCACCAGGTAGAGTGGATTAAATAACAAGCAAATACACAACAGCAAAAAAACGTGACGCAACAAAATGCTATTTATAAAAAACTCACTTCAAATACAACAATGTGGGTAGGTTGAAAGGGAAAAAAAATGAAAAAAGAGATATCATGTAACAATAACCCCACAAAGTTAAGAGTAGCTATATAAATATCAAATAAAGCAGATTTTAGAGTAAAGTTAACAGAGACAGAGAAGGACATTACATAATTATAAAAGAATCAACCCTCCAGGAAGACATAATGATCCTACATATATGTGCACCGAACAAGAGAGGCTCAAAATACATGAAGCAAAACTTGACAGACCTGAAAGGAGATAGGCAATAGAAAATTATAGCTGGGAACTTCAACAGCCCACTCTCAGCAATGGATAGAACTGCTAGACAGAACATCAGCAAGGATATACAAGAAATGAACAACAAATCAGACAGCAGGATCTATTTGTCATATATAGCACTTTAGCAGAACACAATTTTTTTTTCAAGAGTTCATGGAATATTCACCAAGATAGATTACATTCTGAACCATAAAACAAAACTTAACAAATGTAAAATAAATCAATACCAGAAAAAGAACCAGAAAATTTCCAAATGCCTGAAAATTGAACAGTATATATATATATATATATATATATATATGGGTTAAAAAGGAAGTCTCAAAGAAAATTCAAAGATACATAGACCTGAATGAAAATGAAAATACAACATATTAAAGCATGTCAGATGCAGCTAAAGCACTACTGAGAGGGAAACTTACAGCACTAAATGCTTACATTACAAAAGAGGAAAGGTTTCAAATTAACAGCCTAAATTCCTACATTAAGAAACTAGGAAAAGAAGAGCAAAGTAAACCCAAAGCAAGCATAAGGAAGAGAAAAATAAAGAGCAGAAATTAATAAAATAAAAAATTAATAAAATCAAAACAGAAAAATAATAGAGAAAATCAGTGAAACAAAAACAAAAAGAGAGAAATAGAGATGTTTTCAGATATGCAAGAGCTGAAAGTATCCACTACCAGTAAATCAACACCATAAGAAATGTCACAGGCTGGGAGTAGTTGCTCATGCTTGTAATCCCAGTACTTTGGGAGGCCAAGGCCAGAGGATCACCTGAGGCTATGTGCCCCAGACCAGTCTGGGCAACATGGTGAAACCCTGTCTCTACCAAAAAATTAAAAAATTAACCAGGTGTGGTGGCGCATGGCTGTAGTCCCAGCTACTCAAGAGGCTGAGGTGGAAGGATCACCTGAGCCTGGGAGATTGAGGCTGCGGTGAGCCGTGATGGCACCACTACACTCTAGCCTGGGTGACAGAGTGAGACTCTGTCTGAAAAAAAAAAGAAATGTCATGGGAATTCCTTCAAGAAGAAGGAACATGATGCCAGAAGGGAACGTAGATGTACAGAAAGAAACAAAGGGCACTGGAAATGATAACCACATGGGTAAAATATAACATAATTTTGGTATTTTTAAAATCTCTTTAAAAAATAATGACTGTTTAAATAAAAATAATAACAATGTACTATGGGCTTTATAACATGAATAAAAGAAAAATCTATGACAATAACAGCACAGAAGTTGGGAGGGAGAAATGAGAATATGCCACTGTAAATTGTTATAGTGTATGTGAAGAGGTATAATATCACTTGAAGGTAGACTGTGATAAGTTAAAAATGTACACTGTGAATCCTAAATAAAGCACTAAAATAACAAAGCAAAGAATTATAACTAATAATCCAACAAAAGAGATAAAAAGAAATTATAAATAATATTTAATTAATCTAAAAGAAAGCATAAAAATAGGAAAAAGGAAGCAAAGAGCAGTTAAGACAAATAGAAAACAAAAAGCAAGATGACAGATTTAAATCTTACCATATTAATATTCGCATTAAATGTACAGTTTAAATATTCCCAATTGAATTTCAGCCATTATTTGGTTGAATATAAAAGCAAGAACCAACAATAAGGCTGCCTACAAGAAATGCACTTTAAATATAAAGGCAACAATAGATTAAAACTAAAGGACAGAGTGTGCATTTTTCTTTCTGCATGTAGTAGACTCAAACATTCCATTTAACAGATATTGGCCAGTCATGGTGGCTCCTGCCTGCAATCCCAGCACTTTGGGAGGCCAAGGCAGGTGGATCGTTTGAGTCCAGGAGTTTGCGACCAGCCTGGGCAACATGGCAAAACACCATTTCCACAAAAAATACAAAAATTAGCCGGGCATGGTGGTGTGCACCTGTAGTCCCAGCTACTTGGGAGGCTAAAGTGGGAGGACACCTGAACCCAGGAGGCAGAGGTTACAATGAGCTGAGATCGTGCCACTGCACTCCAGCCTGGACGATAGAGCAAGACCCTGTCTCGAAAAACAACAAAACGAAACAACCAAATATTTACTGAGTACCTACTATTGTCCAGGAATATATGAGAAAACCTGTTAAAGGAACAAAAGAATTGTAAGAATTCATTAAAAACCACACATCCCAGCCGGCCGCGGTGGCTCACGCCTGTAATCCCAGTACTATGGGAGGCTGAGGTGGGTGGATCACAACGTCAGGAGATCAAGACCATCCTGGCTAACATGGTGAAACCCTGTCTCTACTAAAAATGCAAAAAATTAGCCGGGTGTGGTGGCATTCACCTATAGTCCCAGCTACTTGGGAGGCTGAGCCAGGAGAATGGCTTGAAACCAGGAGGCAGAAGTTGCAGTGGATGTGACTGCACCACTGCACTCTGGCCTGGGCAACAGGGTGAGACTCCATCTCAAATAAAATAAAATACAATAAAAACAAAAAAACACATCCATGCACATGCACATGCACGCGCACACACACACACACACACACATCCTGGAATCCCAGGCATAGATTGTAAGCAAAAGTAGGAGTTACATTGATCCTTAGCTTGATGTTATGAGCATATCCTACAATGAAATAATTTTTAAAGTAAAAAAAGAAGGTACATTGTGCTAATTCTAATCAAAAGAAAGCTGGAGAGGCTATATTTATATCACACTAAGTAAATTCCGGAGCAAAGAATATTATTTGGAATGAAGAGGGTCGATTAGTAATATAAATGAGTCAGTTCATCAAGAGGATATAATAATTCTAAATATTTTTTACTCCTGATAACAGAGCCCCAAGATACATGAAACAAAAACTGTTAGAAGTGCAAGGAGAAATACAAATCCAGAATTATAGCCAGAGATTTCAACACTCATCTCTCAATAACTGCTAGAACAAGTAGACAGAAATTTAGTAAGAACATAAAAGATTTCAACAACACTATCAACCATCTTGACCCAACTGACATTTACAAAACATTTCACCCAACAACCATACAAAACACATTCTTTTCAAGGGTACACAGAATGTTTACCAAGATAGACCATATTCTGGGTCATAAAAGTCTTGATAAACTTAACAGAACTCAAGTCATACAAGTATGTTCTCTGATACAGTGGAATTTAATTAGAAATCAATAATAGCAAGATCTCTGGGAATCCCCCAAATACTTATAAACTAAATAACACACTTCTCTATAACTCATGGATCAAAAAAGAAATCAAAAGGACATTAGGAAGTATTCTGAAATGAATGAATATAAAAAAACACCTATCAAATTCATGGAATTCTACCAAAACAGTTCTTAGGGGAAAATTTATAACACAAATGCCCGAATAAAGATCTCAAATAGATGGACTCAGCTTCTGTGTTAAGAAACTAGAAAATAAAAGCAAATAGGATGCAAATTAAATAGATCAAAGGAGATAATAAATATCAGAGCAGAAATCAATGAAATAGAAAACAGAAAAACAGTAGAGAACATCAATGAAAGTAAAAATCTGGTTATTTGAGACTGAAAAAAATGATAAACTTCTGGCAGGACTATTCAGGGAAAAATGTACCACTATCAGAAATGACACAGAAGATATCAATACTGACTTTATATTATAGCTATGTAGAAGATAACAATGAAATGTTATTAACAACTTATGCCAATGAATTGGTAACACAGATGAGATGGACAAATTCCTTTAAAGACATAAACCACCAAAATGTACTTGGTAAAATATATAACTTGAACAGCCATATATCTATAAAAGAAATGAAATATATAGTTAAAAACCTTCCCCCAAAGAAAACTCCATGCTCAAATACTTTTACAAGTAAATTCTACCAAACATTAAAGAAAAAAATTCTACATAAACTTTTAAAAAACAATTGAAAAGGAGAGAATACATTCCAAGTCATTCTATTAGATCACCTTCATCCTGAACCAAAAGACAAAGCCAGTACAAGAAAAAAAGAAAAACAGCTGGAGATCAATAACCCTCATGAATATAGATGTAAAAATTCAAAACAAAATTTTAGCAAGTATAATACAAGAATATACAAAAAGGATAGTAGTTCATGACCAAGTCATATTTATCTAAGGAATGCAAGGTTGGTTTAATATGGGAAAGTCAATCAATACAATTCACTATTTAACAAACTAAAAATGTAAATCAGTGTGGTTATCTCAATAGATGCATGGAAAGCATTTGTCAAAATCCAACATTCACTGCTGATTTTAAAACAAGCAAACAAACAAAAACCTCTCAGCAAAGTAGGAATGGAAGGGAACTTCCTCATCTATAGGCGCCTATAAAAATCCATAGCTAACATCACGCTTAATGGTGAAAAACTGAATGCTTTCCTTTTAATATGAGAGAAGAGACCAATAAGGTTAGCTCCAGTCATTTCTATTTAACATTGTATTAAAGGTTCTAGCCAGTGCAACAAGGCAAGAAAAAGAAATAAAAAGGCATCCAGACTGAAAAAACGGTAACATTGTCTATTCCAGACAAGACGCATGTCTATGTAGAAAACCTGATAGAATTTACCCTCAAAAAACTGAAATAAGTGAGTTTAGCAAAATTTCAAAATATGAAGTCAATATACAAAAATCAATTATATTCTTTTTAGGGTAGAAATGAACAATTAAAAATTTTAAAAATACCATTCATAAAAGTATCAAAAACACAAAATGTTGATAGATAATTCTGACACCAGATATACAAGAACTATACACTGGGAAGTACAAAAGACTGCTGAGAGAAATAAAAGAAGAGCTGAAGAAATGAAGAGATACACCTTTTTTGTGTATAGGAGAGTATTGTTAAGATGTCAATTCTCCCCAAACTGATCTAGACACAACCCCAATTAATATCCCAGTAGGCTTTATCATAGAATTAGATAACTTCATTCTAAAACACATATGTCAATGCTAATGACCAAGAACAGCCAAAACAACTAGAAAAAGAAGAACAATTTGGAGAAATAATGCTCCCTGATTTTAAGGCTTATTATAAAGCCACAATAATGAATACAGTGTGACATCAAGATAGACAAACACATAAACTCAACAGAATAAAGAGTCCAGGAAAAGACCCACACATATATGGACAATTTGTTTTTGACAAAGGTGCAGTAAGTTTTTCAACAAGGGGTGCTGGAACAGTTGAATATCCATACATTAAAAAAATGAATTTCAATCCATTGAAATTCAATCCACCTCACACCATTTATAATATTAACATGGAACATAAAACTAACTGTAAAAAACCTAAAATCATAAAACTTCTAGAAGAAAACATAGGAGAAAATTTTCACAACCATGGTTTAGGCAAGAATTTCTTAGATATGATGTAAAAGCATAATTCATAAAATAATTCAAATTGATAAACTGAACTTCATCAAAATTAAAATCTCTGCTCTTCAAAAGACACTATTAAAAAAATAAAAAGACAAGCCAGAAACCAGGGGAAAATAGGATTTCCAAATCTTATATCCAAAAAAGAACTTTTTTCCAGGATGCATAAAGAACTCCTAAAAGTCAATTAAGAAAAATAAATGATTTATTGAAAAAATATGGCAGGTTTATCAGCAAAGAAGATAGGTAGATGGCAAATAAGCACATGAAAAAAATGTTCAATATCATTGGTCATAATTGCCAACCCAGTAGAATTTTATTCCCAGCCAAACTATCAAGTATGAAGAAGGTAAAGTAAGAGCATTTCCAGATACGTAAAAAATCTTAAAATATTCACCTCCGGCTGGGCACGGTGGCTCATGCCTGTAATCCCAGCACTTTGGGAGGCCGAGGTGGGTGGATCACAAGGTCAGGAGTTTGAGACCAGCCTGATCAACATGGTGAAACCCCGTCTCTATGAAAAGTACAAAAATTAGCTGGGCATGGTGGCACGTGCCTGTAGTCCCAGCTACTCAGGTGGCTGAGGCAGAAGAATCACTTGAACCTGAGAGGCAGAGGTTGCAGTGAGCCGAGACTGTGCCACTGCACTCCAGGCTGGGTGACAGAGCGAGACTCCGTCTCAAAAAAATATATATATTTACGTCCAAAGCAGCTTTCTCAGGAAGCTACTGATATATGTATACCACTTGAAAATGAAACAAAAGAATAAAACAAGAAAGAGAAAGATGTGGGTTCATTCCAGGAAACAGGAAGTCTCACAGGGAGAGAAGAGAACAGCATGCTTTGGAAGGCAGTGCCAGGGCCACAGCTGTGCAGGGAGCTGTCCAGACCAGATGAAGTAAGAGAATGAAGGAAGGGTGGTAGCAGGGGTTTCTCTGAGAAATGCAGCTGTTTATCCAAAATGTTTGACATATGGAAATCAGACCACTGCAAGTTCACATGGGAGTCTAAGGAGAATCGAACCCAAGTCATACTTTTTATGTGATTTATCATAAAAATCTGTCTGCCTTATCTCTAAGATTTATTTTTACAGATGCTCTCCTTAACAACTGTTACAATTCTGCAAATGAAAGGGTCTCTACCTCATCTAAATAAAAACCCAATGCAAAGCTTGGTGCTGGTGGCATAGGAAAAATTTATATGTGTGTGGGAGGTGTATGTATATAGAGGGTGGGCATTTAAAAGAGCCAAACTTTCATATTTTATTACAAGGAACTCGTTGCATAATAGGTAAACTAGCAATTCAAGAAACAGTAGGTACATCCTTAAAGATGTGTCTTACAGGAACTTAAAGATGTGTCTTATGGAACTATGAACCTGTTCCATAGTTCAGAACATTTTATATGGATGTACCCCCCAAATCGCCACCATATAAAGTATATTCACTGTAATTCTCTAGAGTAGAAAGTATCAATAATCGATGCACTATTTGATTTTCGACCAAATAAGAGAGAAAGGAGATGAAGGCAAGGATTACAGCAGTAGCAGCTTTGATATGCAATATTTATACCATTATTCCATGCACATGAAGAGATGCTTAAGGAATAGGTTTGATCTTGTAATCTTCGGCACTCCCAGTAGCACTGTAGTCCTGGTGGTTGCATTGAGTCTGTCAATGCAAAATTTAGGATCACAACATGACTTAACCACTAGAGAGAGTTTAAACAGCTAGTAAATATAATGCAAAAGAAAGGGGCCACATTTTTTAAGAAGGCCTTTTTTTCTCACTTGGAGCCGTTGCTATAACTTGCTTAGAAAACCATTATAGAAATATCAATAATGGCATTGTAAATAGTGATAACATGTTAGTGTAGACTCCTTGTTTGTTTCTTTTCGATATTGAAAGTGTTTATTTTCAGGTGGTTAAAATACTGCCACCTATGCCGTTAGCATAATGGTTTTTCGCAATTCTGTACTAGCAGATACAATCCCAGTTTAATACTTCTATCATCCCAATAGATTTTCTTTCAATTATATATTAGTCGACAAAGCTTTCTGTACATATTTGTCAAGAATTCAGGCTTTTGGTCCAGACAGACTGGAATTTTACCTTGCTCTTCTACTTTGTGCTGTGTGACCACAGACTATGGTTAATTGCTTTAAAACTCAAGGCTCCTCATCTGTCAAACTGGGGTAGGAGATTTTGTAGGAGTAAATTATTAATCATATATGCAAAACAGCTTAGTGCATTTTTGGATCTAAAAAATGATAGCTTTTCTAGTGGCTGTGCTGTAATATAAAGCTATTGGTTAAATAAAACTTTCTTAATCTCTCTTCCCAGGTTTACCTAAACATCAAAGCCCCAAAGCACGTAAACGTTAAGGCCCACCAAAGGGGGCAATCCTTATGCACATGATCATATGGCAAGGCATGACTTATTTCTGTGGCCAGCCTCAGGTAAGAGTACAAGAAATCACACCTTAAGAATCTGCACTCACTCAGAAAGCCATAACTAGGAGTTCATGTTACTTGCCAGGCTCCTATCCACCTTTTAATAAAGACACCTCCATAGGCCACAGAGGTGACCTCACTTTCATATGAATTTTTTTGATAATTCTGTTTTCTTATGATATCCACAGAGTTGTGGAACTATCACTATTACCTAATTTTAGAACATTTTCATCACCCCCCAAAAAGCTCTGGACCCATTAGTGGTCACTCTCCAATCCTTTCCCCCAGCTCCCAGCAACTACTAACCAACTTTCTATCACTATGGATTTACCTGTTCTGGGCATTTCATGTAAGTGGATTTGTACAATATGTGGTCTTTCGTGTTTGACTTCTTTCATTGAGCACAGTATTTTCAAGGTTCATCCACGCTGGAGCATCACATACCAGTACTTGTTATTATGAGTGAATAGTATTCCACTGTAGGGATATATGACATTTTATTTATCCATCCATTCATTCATTGACCTTTGTGTTGCTTTATCCTTTTGGTTATTAGGAATGACGATGTTATGAACATTTACATGTGGGCTTTCATGTGGACATGTTTTCATTTCTCTTGGGTAAATGCCTAGGCGTGAAATGGCTAGGTCATAAGGTAACTCTATGTTTAACTTTTTGAGGAGTTGCCAAATCATTTTCCAAACCAGCTGTATCATTTTCCACCCCCACCAGCATCATCTGAGGGTTCCAATTCCTCCATATCATCACCAACACCTGTTATCATCTACATTTTTGATAATAGCCACTATAGTAGATATGAAGTGGTATCTCAGATGGTTTGAATTGCATTGTCCTATTGACTAATGATGCAAAGTATCTTTCCATGTGCTTATTGGCCATTTACATTTCTTTTTAGAGAAATGCCTATTTAAAGCCTTTGTCCATTTTTAAAATTGGGTTGTCTTTTTTGAGTTATGAGTTCTTTATATACTCTGGATACAAGTCCCCCATCAGACACATTATCTGAAGACATTTTCTCCCATTCTGTAGGCGGGCCTTTCATTTTCTTGATGGTGTCTATTGAAGCACAAACCCTAAAAATTTTAATGAAATCCAATTTATGTATTTTTTTCTTTTGTCACCTATCCTTTTGGGAACATATCCAAGAAACCACTTCCTAATCTAAAGTCATGAAAATTTACTCCTATATTTTCTTCTAAGAGTTGTTATAGTTTTAGCCCTGAGTTTTAGGTCTATCATCAATTTTGAATTTTTTAAAATATATGGGGTGGGGTTGGGGCGCAATTTCATTCTCTTGCATGTGGAGAAAGAAAACCAACTGTTAAAGAGTTTTCACTAAACACATTTTGCTTAAATGAAGTTTAACAATATGCTATACATATACACATAAAGATATTCAGTTATTCATTCAACAAATACAGACAGCAAGCACAATATTTTGAGATATGCAGTGATCATTTTTCTTCCTCTATTTTTCCCTTTCCTTCCCAACATTCAAGTGGATAGCAGGCTCTGGGCTTCCTTGACTAGGAGAGGTTTACGGCAAGGTGGCTTCCCGGCTTTTATTTTTTCCAAACACCTGAATTTGGGGAACACAGCTTCCCAGGGAAATTGATTCCAGTTGACTCTTGAACAACATGGGTTTGAACTGCATGGGTTGGTTTATATGTGATTTTTTTTTTCAATCAAAACAAGATGGTAAATACAGTATTTGAGAGATGTGAAACCTGCATATATGAAGAGCTGACTTCTCATATATATGGGTTCTGCAGGGCTGGCTATGGGACTTCAGTATGCATGGATTTGGGTGCACGCGGAGGCCCTGGAACGAATTCCCTGTTTATACTGAGGGATGACTATAATTACATTGTCCAGAAGAACAAGGAAGAACTGGGTTTTCACCCTCTTCCAGAGTATATAGGGAGTCCCTGGAGATGAAGGTAGGAGGAGGAGAAGAGAAGGGTACTGAGAGAGAGGGGAGCTGCACCCAGTTTCTCAGATATACTGCTGAGAAGAATACCTGTGGATGCATCTAATATCAAATGCATCCTCAGCCCAGATTCTCACACCACAAGTCTGGCACAAGGCAGCCAAGAGTCACCAAACCACGATGGCTTGGAAGAACAGGAACGATATGCCAACAACTGATGAAATATGAGAAGGGACACCCCACACACATGCGCGCACTATCCTGAATGACCATATACTAGGCAATTTAGGCACCTGCCTGAAATTACAGTATATTCTGAGAAAGCAAGGACCCATGATGAAACCCAAGATGCACTAAGGCTACCTCTTTTTTTCCCCACCAGCAAGACAAAATGGCAACACAGAGTCAGAAATTAGGTTTCTAGGAAGCAGCTGCACTTCTTGCACTCTTGATTATATAGACTGACACTCATACTTGCCACATACATATTGAGAACCTACTGTGTACAGGGCATCCTGCTAGGTTAAGCTGAGGTGGGAAATACAAAAGTCAATTAAATCATGGTTAGCCAAGACATTTATATAGTCAGGTAAGAGCAAATATGCATAAGTGTAGTTAACCATTTATTGCACACGACTTGTGTGCACACCTTGTGCTACACTCTTTGTAAATGAATCTCATTTAATTGAATCTTCCCACAATGGGCTTTTGATATTCAGACGTTCAGAGCAGGCAAGAGACTTGCCCAATGAGCCAAAGTCTGGGCTCTTTACAGTTAGGTACAATCTGGTTCATGTACAACTACCACTAATGCACAGCTAGTCAGTGGTGGAAACTGGACATGAACCAGAGTGGTCCTCACCGCAAGGCCCACTTTCATTGTCAAAGTTATGACTTCGTCCCATGGGGAGGTCAACTTGAGTGCTGCCCTTTGATAATCCAACATCCACTGGGCCTAGACTTTGGCTCACTTTTTCTAAGAGTTGGGATGGAGTTAAGTCAAACCAACCTTCTCTAACTTGGTGTTTAATGTACCTATTGGCAGGTGACTGGCCAGAAGCCTGAGGTTAAACAGGATACACTGGCCAGACTGGACCTCATGATTAGGGAACCCATGACCTTGACTGTATCTGCCAAAGGGTGCCAACCAGTTCCTCTGAACAGTCAGGATTTCTAGTACCATTCACACCATCTATACGTACATCAAAGAAGTGACATAAATGATTTGGGGAGTGGGGGTGGGAAATACTTTTGTTTCTATGTCCAAAAGGAATAATTTGATTATACAAGAATAATGGAAATTTTCTTATAGGAAAAAAATGTCATAGAGCTGTTTTGCTTTGAGATGAAGGCATGCAATTTGGTGCCTAAGAAAGCATTTAAAATTCTTGCCTGCAGCTTCCTAGAAACAGTAAAAGGAAAATACGTTGATCCTGGCCAATGAAATGTGAACAGTTTTTCCTTAAGTATTAATCTACTGAACAAATGTTGATAATGAAAGAAGTAGGCATATAAATGCTGTGAGAGAACCATGATTTATGTATTTTCTACTGCTGCTTCTGCTATTTGAGCCTGGGAAAATGACTAAACCAAATCTCAAGAGCAGCATTTTGCACCGTAGATAGAAACAGAAAACAGAAAATTTTAAGTTATAAGGAATTAATAATGTCTCTTCTTTTGTGTCCTTTTCTGAAAAATAAATCTCTCCCCATTTGGGAGACATAATCACTTAACTTCCATTTCCTTATACCTAAACTCAACTTCAGAGCCCAGGACCCTCAGAAATCATTTGGTCCAACGTCCCATTTCATAAATGGACACATTTGAGATTCCAAGAGGTTAAGTGACTTGTCGAACACCATGTGCTCATTAGAATAAAAAATATGAAGATTTAAAGTGGAAGGTAGTGACCTAGGAGTGGGAGGACCTGGGTTCTCCCTCCCACTCAGCTATTCATGAGCTTCTCTGTTTGTAAAATTCAAGTGTTAGGATTAGATGGTTTTGAAAAATCCTTCCCTCTCGAAAGGGGTTATAATTCTGTGCCCGGGAGCATCAGTAGTTTGTGTATGTTAGTTTACTGCTTTTATAAACTCAAAAGCTTTCTTCACAGTTATAACAAAGAGGCAGTGTTTGTGGAGATCATGAGGATGGACTCTAAACACAGAGTTCCTCAGCTGGGTGTGGTGGCTCACGCCTGTAATCCCAGCACTTTGGGAGGCTGAGGTGGGAGGATCACTTGAGCCCAGGAGTTCTAGACCAGCCTGGGAAACATAGGGAGACCCCATCTCTACAAATAATTGGTTTTTTTTTTTTTTTGAGACGGAGTCTCGCTCTGTTGCCCAGGCTGAAGTGCAGTGACACGATTTCGGCTCACTGCAAGCTCCGCCTCCCGGGTTCATGCCATTCTCCTGCCTCAGCCTCCTGAGTAGCTGGGACTACAGGCGCCTGCCACCATGCCCAGCTAATTTTTTGCATTTTAATAGAGACGGGGTTTCACCGTGTTAGCCAGGATAGTCTCGATCTCCTGACCTCATGATCCACCCGCCTCGGCCTCCCAAAGTGCTGGGATTACAGGTGTGAGCCACCGCATCCGGCCTCTACAAATAATTTTTTAAAAATTAGCGGGGCATGGTGGTATAAGCCTGTGGTCCCAGCTACTCAGGAGGCTGAGATAGGAGGACGGCCTGAGCCTGGGAGGTTGAGGCTGCAGTGAGCCATGATGATGCCACTGACTCCAGCCTAGGTGACAGAGTGAGACCCTGTTTCAAAATAAATAAAGTCAGACTTCCAGCTCTTACACTTACTTGAAAGTAAGTGTAAAGTAAGTGTAAGTGGTGAAAGCGTGAACAAATTAACCCTTCTGCCTCCTCTGCAAAATGAAGACAGTAACAGCACATACCACATCTGGCCATTACAATGATTACATTAAATAACACATGTCGAGAATTTAGCACAATGCTTGGCATACGGCAAGTGCTCAGTAAAAGGTGGCTGCCATTAGTATTACCATAAAGCAACCAGAGTTGGTGAATTTGTGTGGGTTATTAAGAAGGCATTCCCTCCTCTGGGCAGAGGCAGCCCAAGCGCTAAGGGCCACAGCAAGGCAGGATCGAATTCTCTACAGCCATGGGTCTAACTTTAAACAAAGAAATAAGAAACCATTTCCTACCCTCCCTTGCTCAAGTGCTCACTCTCAATTGATAGCCAATGATATGTTTAAGTGTTTGTTTATAATGTAGGGCTTCTAGAAAGCTCTTCCTACTTAGATGGCTGGAATATTGCTGCTCTTTTCCCTTTTCTTCTTTCTGCCTGGAATGAAGAAATGATGGCTGGGGCGTCGGCAGCCTACTGTGATCATGAGGGAAGGGCTAAAAGATTTTCAGAGATTCAGTCCTTGAGCCAATAAATCAATGTCAGCAACTACTGACCTCCAAACTTCTTCTTTCACGAGGAAAATAAACTCATGTACACGTTTTTTGCTACTAGTATCAAACTGCAATTCCTAACCCATACACCCTCCAAAATCTATTTTCTATCAACATACATTTACAGATGTGCCTGGTCAGCCACTTGCTGCTGGCCACTTAGGAGTCCCAAGTCAGGTGCTCAATAGTTGATTTTCTTGAAAAATCACTTAGATTTTTAAAAAAATATCCAAACTGTCCCCAAGGGCCTTACTATTCAAAGTAAGGTCAGCAGACCAACAGCATTAGTCTCACCCCGGAGCTTGTTAGAAATGCAGAACCTCCGGCCCCATTCCAGAACTACTAAATCAGAATCTTCATTTTAACAGGGTCCCCAGTGATTTCTGCACATAGTGAAGTTTGAGGCTCTGGACTAGGTTTACCGGCTCTGCTCTGTCATCCCTCCTCAACACTGCTGCCAGAATAATGTTCCTGGAGCACACCTAGTCATGTCGCTCCCCTTCTCAAAAGATTTCAAGGGCTCCTGACTGCCTGCAGACTAAAGTTTCGACTTCTTAGCCTGATCATTAAGGCCCTCTATGATCTTGCACTATCCTGAAAATGCCCATCAAGGTGCCTGCCTTGCATGTAATCAGTAGGCAACAAATAATTTTCTGCACAGAAGAAAAAACAAATGAGTGTGGGTGAGAAACAATGCGTTGCTTAATTCTGGCTTTACCATGCTAAGCACTGGGGATGCAGTGGTACCAAAAACCAGGCATGATCCCTTGCCTTCAAAGAGCTTAGAGCCTAGTTAGAAGAGCATGATTTTTAAAAAGAAATGAAAGTATATAATGACAAATTATAAGTGCTAAGAAGGAAATGACTAGAGGGCAGGGATACAGAGTAAAACAGACGGGTTAGAAGGAGGCCCTACGGAGAGGGAGCCTGTTGTGGGGCTGGTCCAGGCAGAGGTACCAGCACATGCAAGGTCCTGCGAGACAAATGCGGTGTGTCTGAGAATCATAACAGGGGCTGCCCTTTCAGGCTTACCCAGAAAATAGATATCCTGGGAGGAAGGTGGCATAGGGTTCACCTTCCAAGTCACTTAAAGATGAAATGCTGCATTTCTTTTCCCTGATATAGGTCCTTCACCGGGATCACGGATGAGTTAGCGAGCAGGGGATGCTGCGGAGTCGCTGTGAGTCCAGCACTGGAAATCAGACCAAGCGAAATTTGAATCCCAGCTCCGCTACTTCCCGGCTCTCAACTCCCTTGACCTCCAAGCCTCTGCTTCCTGAGGTATAAAGTGGGATTAAGGATGGCAACAACTTCGTGATTACTGTTGAGGGAGATAATGCTTGCCAAGCTCCCCAGCACACTGCCACCCACATCAGTGCGCACCTGAGTATCAGCGGTTTTAGGATTACGATGACTATTACTATCGTAAATTACTCCCAGCTTTCGGGCAGAAGGCTCATTCCAGATATTCCTGTCCCCTCTGAGGCCTCCCGACCCTGCCAGCCCAGGCAACCTCCCCCGCGCACGGCCACCGTGACCCCAGCGCGGGCGCCGCCGCCGGACCCCCGTTACCTGGGGCCAAACGCGACTTGTCGCCACCTTGCGTCCTGGGCCCTGCCTCCCTCCCGGCCGCCTCCCGACCCCGCGGCTGCTGCGGAGGCGCCCCCAGCCCAGCCGGGCCCAGGCGGTGCGGGATGCCTCGGCGGGGCTGGCGGCGGCGGCCGCGCTGCGCGCTCCGGCGGAGGGGAGGGGGCTCCGCGGCGGCGGCGGCGGCGGCGGCAGCGGCGGCAGCGGCGGCGGCGGGCCCGGCGGGGGGCAGAGCCAAGAGGCGCGGCGGCAGCAGCGGAGGAGTAGGAGGAGACGGAGGAGGATGCGGGGGGCTGCGGACGGTGGCGAGGCCCTGTCCGCAGTGAAGCCCGCGGCGCCTAGGGCGCAGGGAGTGGCCGCCTCCTCCTGCGCGCACCATTCCTGAGATGGCGGCGGCGGCACAGCGGCGGCTCGGGGAGCCCAGGAGGGGCCGGCCGGGAGCGGGCTGAGCCCCGCAGGACGGGGAGCTCGCCCAGGGCCGGCGGAGCGGCGGAGCTCGGGCCGGGCGGCCTGCGGGAGCGGCGAGGCAGGGGACGGCCCCGGGGCGGAGCGCACGGCCTGGTGAGGCCGCGATGGCGAACGCGAGCGAGCCGGGTGGCAGCGGCGGCGGCGAGGCGGCCGCCCTGGGCCTCAAGCTGGCCACGCTCAGCCTGCTGCTGTGCGTGAGCCTAGCGGGCAACGTGCTGTTCGCGCTGCTGATCGTGCGGGAGCGCAGCCTGCACCGCGCCCCGTACTACCTGCTGCTCGACCTGTGCCTGGCCGACGGGCTGCGCGCGCTCGCCTGCCTCCCGGCCGTCATGCTGGCGGCGCGGCGTGCGGCGGCCGCGGCGGGGGCGCCGCCGGGCGCGCTGGGCTGCAAGCTGCTCGCCTTCCTGGCCGCGCTCTTCTGCTTCCACGCCGCCTTCCTGCTGCTGGGCGTGGGCGTCACCCGCTACCTGGCCATCGCGCACCACCGCTTCTATGCAGAGCGCCTGGCCGGCTGGCCGTGCGCCGCCATGCTGGTGTGCGCCGCCTGGGCGCTGGCGCTGGCCGCGGCCTTCCCGCCAGTGCTGGACGGCGGTGGCGACGACGAGGACGCGCCGTGCGCCCTGGAGCAGCGGCCCGACGGCGCCCCCGGCGCGCTGGGCTTCCTGCTGCTGCTGGCCGTGGTGGTGGGCGCCACGCACCTCGTCTACCTCCGCCTGCTCTTCTTCATCCACGACCGCCGCAAGATGCGGCCCGCGCGCCTGGTGCCCGCCGTCAGCCACGACTGGACCTTCCACGGCCCGGGCGCCACCGGCCAGGCGGCCGCCAACTGGACGGCGGGCTTCGGCCGCGGGCCCACGCCGCCCGCGCTTGTGGGCATCCGGCCCGCAGGGCCGGGCCGCGGCGCGCGCCGCCTCCTCGTGCTGGAAGAATTCAAGACGGAGAAGAGGCTGTGCAAGATGTTCTACGCCGTCACGCTGCTCTTCCTGCTCCTCTGGGGGCCCTACGTCGTGGCCAGCTACCTGCGGGTCCTGGTGCGGCCCGGCGCCGTCCCCCAGGCCTACCTGACGGCCTCCGTGTGGCTGACCTTCGCGCAGGCCGGCATCAACCCCGTCGTGTGCTTCCTCTTCAACAGGGAGCTGAGGGACTGCTTCAGGGCCCAGTTCCCCTGCTGCCAGAGCCCCCGGACCACCCAGGCGACCCATCCCTGCGACCTGAAAGGCATTGGTTTATGAGGGAGGCCCCGCCACATAGACCCCCAACCCAGCCTTTCCCTTTGGCTCGGACGGTGACGTTGTATCTTTTCCTTCTGGCCCCTGTTTAATTTTCTAAGCTGCCTTCAAAATGACTCGAAGTGGACAGACACTTGGATTGTACTGACTCCTTTGGGGGTGGGGTGGGTGAGGAGTAGGATGCTCAGCCCACTCCAGCTCCGCACATTCGTCCTCCTAACTCGACTTTCTTCCTGACAATAGGCCCTGCAGTCTTTTTGTAGCGGTACTGACGTCTTTTATTCCATGTGTGGTTCCTTTTTTTCTTTTTCTATAAAGGCTGTACTAATTTTCTTCATGCAACGTTTCCTAAAGACCATGGCCAGTTTTCTACAGAAGCTATTTTTGACAACCTCAAGTGGCATTACATTTTGCAGTGAAGTAGAGGAACCTAGGGGGACTTCTTCACAAGTTAGATTTCTTGAGGATCTTCTGTTGGAAGCAGGAGAAAGTGGGGGGTGGGGGGAAGTTGTCCGAAATGCCCTCTGAATTGCCGGCTGCAGGGTCCTTGTGCTGCGCTGGTTCTTTGAAAGTCTCAGTGTTGATATTGAACTTAAAGAGCAGAGATGGAGATCAGTAGCAAGGCAGTCATTTTTTTAAAGCAGTAAGTAACAAGTAAGATTTGGTTCCCGGTTTACTTTCTGCTGCTAAAAACCACGTCAGTGACAACTGCTCTCTGTATTATAGCAATCTTGAATGGAAACATTTCTGTCAAGTTGTAAGTTTTAAAAGAGTAAAGTGTTTTGGTTAGTAATGATGTGGAGAAAAATACAGTATTGCATGTGTTCGTGTGTATAGATTGTGGTTCGAGGATTGGGAGGGCTCTGAGAAGCAGAGTACTACATCAAAATTGTTTTAAGTATTTTTTGCCAATAAAAAATTAATTTTATGGAAATGGCTTGTGCTTTGAGAAGCCCAGTTTTATTCTGTCTTATGAAACTAATTTCCACTTTGAAAATTGTTCTTCTGTTGTTTATGGTATAAATGAATGGAATATAATGATATCCTCCTTCTAGGAAACAAAGCATTTCCTTAAAATGTTTGCTAGGTTAAGCTGTGCTGTTCTACTGATGGTTGTTTTAAATTAATAATGAGAACTATAATTTAAATAATATTTCTTTGTTAGACATTATAATGTTAAACTGAAAGACTAAATTCTGCAAGTACTATATAATATTTTTGGCTTATAATGCTACATTTTTATTAATGTACCTTCCGTTTTGAGGATTTATATCTGTATTTCTCTTTGCATTATACAAATATACCAGTATTTTCATTCTGGAGTGGTTGTTTTGTTGTGGTGGTGGTGGTGTTTGAGGCTGTAATAATACATGCGTCGAAGTATGTTACATGCCTCTAAGTATGTTATGTAAGGATAACATGCTCTATGATCCTTTTAGCACGTGTTCTTCAGTTACAGGTTTCATAGTTTGACCATCAGCATATCCAAGAAAAGTGGAGGCTTAATTTAAAATGCAAGATAAAATCTGCGAAACTTTTCTTTAAAGGGAAGAAGCAGTAGACATATATACGGCTTTAAAACTGTTTTTTTATTTGGATGACAACATTTCAATGACTATTCGTTAAATGACATAAAAAAGCTTTTAAGTAAACATATCAAACTCAAGTACAAGCGATCATTTTGATAAAAGTACTAGGTAAAAGTGGGGGTGGTAGATTATATTGAAATTTAGCTGAGTATAATATAAACTATTAAATGTTCAGTCCAATGGGAATAAGTTATAAAAAGAGTGTGGCCAATTTAATTGATCTCTGGTAAATAGGCTGCATGATTTTATTTTGTTGTGGAAGTTAATCAGTCTGTGAAGACAGTCTCACACTTGGAAAATATGAGACAGTTACCCTATTTCTCCCCACATCATGAATCCAGGTTGGCCTCAATCATCCAAGGGCCACTGATCGGAAACCTCAGCCAACCCCAAGATAGAGGAGCCCAGAAGTACCTCTCTCCTCATCTAACCCTCCACCTGCCCAAGTGATCTCAGTTCCAAATAGAGGTCGAACCAGTCTACGATGGCTCATGCCTGTAACCCCAGAACTTTGGGAGGCCGAGGCAGGAGAATTGCTTGAGACCAGGAGTTTGAGGCCAGCCTAAGCAACATAGCGAGACCATGTCTCTACAAAAAATCAAAAAATTAGCTGGGTGTGGTAATGTGCACCTGTGGTCACAGCTACTGGGGAGGCTGAGGTGAGAGGATGGCTTAAGCCCATGAGGTCAAGGCTGCAGTGAGCCATGACTGTGCCATGGCACTGTAGCCTGGATGACAGAGCTCTCGAGACCCTGTCTCAAAAAAGCCCCCAAAACAGAGATCACCAAGTCTCTGTGATTTTCCCACCTGGCATGGCACAGGAACCAGCCCATCATGGCTGACTCCTGAGCCACTCCAGCTTTGGGCAGCAGCTCAGCTGCACCAGAGGTGACGTGTTGGCCTGACATAGCCTTGAATTCAAGGGATATTTTGTCATATGAGAATTCATAAGCCAGAGGTTCTCAAATTCTAACATTCATACAAATTAAGTGTCTGTGTGATCCAGAGTCTTATGAGGACATGTTGAGTTGGGTCCTGGGGAAAAGCATTTCAACAGGTTCCTCAGGTGGTTGGAGACAGACCTCCAGGACTTCGTTCAGACATGATTTACTTCAGACATGATGCGTTCAAACTTGGCTACCTGGGTTTTTTATTTTTATGTTTTAAAGTTCTGATTAGATGGGGGAAGGCAAGATTTCTAGTGAGTGTGCAGGTGAGAGTAGCAAGAAATAACAGCCAACTAAAGGAAACGAGAACCAAAAGAGCCAGAGAAACAAGCTATGTAGCAGAAAGTGGGGAGGTGCAAAGGGCCACCCCAACAGCTTTTAGGATTGGTGAATCTATTAACATGTACTTTGATAGTTAATTACATTAATCAAAAATTATAAAAAAAAAAAAAAGGTTAGTTGTGTCCACAGTACTCTACTTATTGTACCAGCACAGGCACCATGTATTTAGGGAAGATTTCATTAAAATTGCTCATTTTATTTATTTGGGAAGTTAATTTAGCACAACTTCCCCACCCTCCCACGCAGTTGTCACTATACTTGAAGCAATGTAGGCTTCCCGTACATAGATCTTTGTCTGTATGTTCTAGCATGGAATTGCTGGGTCAAAAGAAGCATTTTTAGGACTTTTGATATCTTGTCAAATAGTTTTGTAGAAGGACCATATGTCTATATGTCTGTTTAAATGTACAGTACACCTGACATATTCTTTTTTTTTCTTTTGAGACAGAGTCTCGCTCTGTTGCCCAGCTTGGATTGCAGTGGCGTGATCTCAGCTCACTGCAACCTCCACCTTTGGGTTCAAGTAGCTGGGATTACAGCTCAGCCTCCCAAGTAGCTGGGATTACAGGCGCCTGCCACCAGGCCCAACTAATTTTTGTATTTTTAGCAGAGACAGGGTTTCGCTATGTCGGCCAGGCTGGTCTCTAACTGTTGGCCTCAAGTGGTTTACCAGCCTTGGCCTCCCAAAGTGCTGAGATTACAGGTGTGACACATTCATTTTTTAAATGAAATATTTTAAGCAAAGTGGGGAAGCATGTAACAAATCAGTAACAACAGTGATAATCTCTGTGTCCACTACTCAGCCTTACCAAATGCCATATTGGTTTCTACTCTTCCTTTTCTCTTTTCCCTTCCTTCCTTCTTTCTTCCTTCCTTCCCTCCCTCCCTTTTTTCTCTTTCTTTTTTAAAAAGAAATAAAACGGCAAAATTATTTCTCCGAAGTCTTTGTTCTCACCATCAGCCCTCTACATTCTCAAATGCCCTGCTCCCTAACAGGTGACAGGGTGCCAAGTCCTAGGGCTGACTCAGGGTTATTGTTTTGCAGGTGGATCACTGGGTTGATGAGATAGAGTCCACCCTGTTTTCCCAAGGCCTACAGGATGGAGGAGAAACCTCTTTGTCTGCCACAGACCTTTCACAGTCAGGCCCTCTACCACCCTGGCCTCATCCTTCCCTTGTATTCTCATCTCTCCCTTCTTGGATTACTCTTATACCAGCTCTCCACTCTTCCCGGAAAGCCCATTCCCACCTTTCTGCCTGACAATTCCTCACCAACTCCTCTAGAGCAGGGGTGTAAATTCACAATATTTAACAACTGGAATGGCACAGGCATAACTAATCTATACCACTGTACCTCCAAGTTCTGGCTGAACATTGGATCTTGGATCCAGGTCCAAGGCTTCTGGAAACCCTTCTTGGCTCAGTCATGCCTCCTCTGGGCTCCCAGAGTGCATGGTTTACCTCCTTGAAGTCTGCACTCCTGCGTCTGGTGCATCCCATCAGCTGCTGCTCCCTCTCCAGTCTCACTTCCTCCCACTCTCTCCTCAGGCCGTGTGACATGCTTCAGGCACTCCTAGTTGCCAGCAGTGCCTGAACAGACCACGCCACGTCACACCACCATGCCTTTGCGTACAGTGTTCCTCATGGCCAAAGCCCTTGCTCCTTGTCCCCCCTCAACTGCCTCTTAAACTTTCAGACATAAAGAGATAACTAAACATAAAGAGTGAATTCCTAGCCTCTACAGAAAGAGGGTGATGGTCCTGGGGCAGGCCCTACAAGATTTTCAAGGCTCCAAACTAAGTCATTAGATCCGAGCACACAGCTGGCTAAGTGGCAGACTTATTGTCTTACTGGTATTTTAGGTTTTCTGTGTGCACCGAGGTGGCTGGGGTTATAAAATGCAGCTGACCCAAGATACTGTTCTTCAGATGTGCACCCTGTGTGGGCTGCCAAGACCACTGAACTTCAGGACCCTCTCTCCCTGAGGGGCAAGGGAGGCAATGGGAAACCACCTCCACCCATCCACATCCGAGTCCTATTAGCTGCTTCAGGAGTAAATATAAGTAAAAGCAAACTTAATCTGACGCCAAGGGGTTCTTTATGCTTCTCCCCCAGCTGGGACGAGACTTTTGAGGCCTAACTCAGCCCATAAAGAGAACTCTTTTTCCTTCCCTCTTTACTCCTTTTGGGGTGATAGGATGTGATGCTTGGAGCCACAACAGCCATCCTTCAACCATGAGGGGAGACACTGTCAAGACAGTGAAGATAGCAGAACAGAAAGATAAAAAGTGCAGGCACCCATTTTAACATTCTTGAGTTGCTTAATTAGATTAGCAACCTCCTATCTCTAGACTTCTGGTTTTGAAATTAAAACTACTTTTGTTTCAGCCATTAGTAGTCAGGAAGCTTGTTAGTTGGAGTGACAAGAAACTGCAACAATACTTGAAACTACTGCATCTCCTTGACCCCTTTGCTAGGTGTGCCTGATATTCTAGAGCTGCATCCACAATTTTTTTAAAAATTTGGCTTATTAATATTTTTCAACTCTCTGATTGTTCTGCCTGCTGCTGTTAAATTAACCTGGTTCTAGAAAAATGAGATATATTTGGCATGATTTCTTAAACTGAAATAAGTCCAGAAGATTAAAAAGATACCTATTACTAGGTCAGTTCTGTTTAATTGCACTTTATGATACTTTTTTTTTTTTTTTTTTTTTTGAGATGGAGTCTCACTCTTGTCGCTCAGGCTGGAATGCAATGGTGCGATTTTGGCTCACTGCAACCGTCGCCTCCCAGGTTCAAGCGATTCTCCTGCCTCAGCCTCCCGAGTAGCTGGGATTACAGGCACCTGTCATTATGCCCAGCTAATTTTTGTATTTTTAGTAGAGACGCGGTTTCACCATGTTGGCCAGGCTGGTCTCCAACTCCTGACCTCAGGTGATCCCGCCACAGCCTCCCAAAGTGCTGGGATTACAGGTGTGAGCCACCGCACTGGGCCTTTTTTTTTGTTTGTTTGTTTTTTTGGACAGAGTCTTGCTCTGCCGCCCGGGCTAGAGTACAGCGGCATGATCTTGGCTCGCTGCAAGCTCCACCCACTGAGCTTAATTGATGCTCCCACCTCAGCCTCCCAAGTTGCTGGGACTACAGGTGTGTGCCACCACTCCCGGCTAATTTTTGTATTTTTAGTATAGACAGGCTTGTCTTAAATTCCTGGCCTCAAATGATCTGCCTGCCTCAGCTTCCCAAAGTGCTGGAATTACAGGCATGAGCCACCATGCCTGGTCTATGATACCTTTTTGATCCACTCATGTTTATTCGTTTGTTTGTTTGTTTGTTTGTTTATTTGAGACGAGGTCTCACTCTGTCTCTGAGGCTAGAGTGCAGTGGCACCATCATAGCTCAATGCAGCCTCCAATTCCTGGACTCAAGTGATCCTCCTGCTTCAGCCTCCTGAGTAGCTGGGCCCACAGGCATGTGCTACCACTCCTGGATAATTAAAAAAATTTTTCTGGAGAGATGGTGTATCTGTTTCCCAGACTGGGCTAACTTCTGGCCTCAAGTGATCCTCCTGCTTTGATCTCCCAAAGTGCTAGGATTACAGGTGTGAGTCATCATACCTGGACCAAACTTTTTTGATATCATAAATCTAATTACAGGAATCTGGAAAACCACCTGAATAAATCCATCTAACCAATAGATATTGAAAGCTAATAAGAAGCCAGTTTCTGTGTTGGGCAGTGGAGAAGGACACAGGGATAAGGAAGGGGCAGCACTCTTGCTAAAGAGATAGCAGTTGCGGCAGCTCATGCCTGTAATTCCAGCACTTTGGGAGGCCGAGGCAGGCAGATCACTTGAGGCCAGGAGTTTGAGACAACCTGGCCAGCATGGCAAAACCCCATCTCTACTAGAAATACAAAAATTAGTTGGGCATGGTGGTGCATGCCTGTAGTCCCAGCTACTCAGGAGGCTGACGTGGGAGGATCAATTAAGCCCAGGAGGTGGAGGTTGTAGTGAGCTGTGATCATGCCACTGTACTCTAGCCTGGGTAACAGAGTGAGACTCCATCTCGGAAAACAAAAGAGTTAGCAGGCTAATTGGGAAAACTTGGCAAATGTACCCAAAACCATAAAGCAAGGCAGAACATGGTAGATGCCAAAAGAGGGATCTAGATAAAGAGCTCGGGAATACTGAAGAGATCAGACATCATCGTTGATTGTCCAGAAGGAGCCCTAGGCGTTCTATCTCTGGTTACTCAATGGAGGGAAAAAGAAACACCCGAAGACTGAAACAGAAATTGTCCAGTTTCCATCTCTCCCTCCTCCTGGGTTCTTACATTTCTTTCTGACTTCCTCTGCACTCTCCACACTCTGGAATCCATCTTCCAAAATACATTTCTCTGAGCGAAATAAAACCACATAATTCCCTCTTCAAAGGTTTTTCTTCCAATTCTATCCAAATGTTCAAGTGCCAGTAAGGAATGTGGCCATTTTATTGGAGGAAGTTTGTTACATAAAATCATGCTGTGAGGAGAGCCAGCAAAGACGCCGTTGACCAGAAATGTCAGAACTGAATAGAAATCAAACAGGTAGCCCCGAAAAGTGCCACTCCAATACCCTCCCAAAGGAGGGATGGGGGAAATGGCAGGTTTACACTACAGAAAAGGGTATTTTGTGCTTTCATTTAGGAGAAAAGAGGGCAGGGAAAAGGCTCAGTAGGTACCCAACCAACTCTGTATCCTAGTCGGAGAATATAAGATAAATAAACAGCTCAAATTTTATATGTGAAAGCCTGAAGTTTTGAAGTCATTTCAAATTACACAGAGAAATCATGAAAAAAAAACATTTTAAGTTGCAATGCCAAGGCATAAATGCAATATTTGTATTTCTCAGTTACATTTAGGAGACAGATAAATTAAAGCTATCATTACTTGGCTTCTAGGAGAAATAACTTATTTATAAATTAAGTTTTAAGTGGCCAGCCCACTCTAGGTGGAAAGCATGTAAACTGTTGGAAAAGTGTATATTTAAACATTTCCCTGATAAATGCATATTATCTGAACTATGCCAATCTGCCTGCCAAATCTGCCCAGCTTTGTGGGATGGAAATCTTATTTTCTGCCAGAAAATGATATCTGAGAAGCCTACATTGTTTTTTGGTTTGAACCTGGAGGGAACAGTAAAGGGTTTCGTTTTCTTGAAGATACAGAAGTATTCTAATTTTGAAGGGCTTTGAAATAGTATTTACATTTCAATGCCACCTAATACATGTCTTATTAAAAAAATTCTATAGGAATCATTAAGCTTAAAGTGCATGAGATGAAACTTTTTCTTCTTTTAATTTAACAGATTTATTTTTCCCTTTTATTCCTTATAAATTCTCCATATATTTCCTGAATATTGACCAACGTGTATGGCAATGTCCTGCACAGAGGAGAAAGAGAAGAGACAGGAAAAAACCCCTTACAGGAACTCATTCTGCAAAGTGACAGAAGGAGCGTAAATGTACAGTGTGTAATTCTTTTAACCCACAGTCACGATGAGTTTAATTTGCATATCTGTCTTGAGGAATTATGGGATACCCAGAGCTATTTCTAGAACTTAATTTGCATAATTGCTCTAATCCTTTATGAGTATAGTGACACGTGGTCTAACGAAGGATTTTTTTCTCAATTTGTAAGTTACCTCATAAGTTTTATAAATATATTAGAATTTAATACTTTTGGAACACATTTAATGACCTGCCTCTATTGAAAGAAACACAATTATATAAAGACATAATTAGTTTTCTGTTAACTGTATATTAATTTGCTTTTGCTAGTTTGAAAAGCAGCTTTGTTCACTCTAAATTTGTCATTTAAAGTTTGGTCTTTTTTTTTTTTTCTGGTACCTTTTGGCCAGATTAAAATTCATTTCAGCATCATAAGAAAATTCACAGTTGTAACGGGCCTCAGTGACTTTCCCTATCTCTAAAATGTCTTAATCCATGGGAAGGTGACAGCTTTCAGAGATTAAAACATCGGCTGCAAGAAGATGGATTTACACATTTTCTTAGGGTTTGGAATTAGAAGCTCTCGTGACCAACATTTTTAAGTAAGTTTAATCATTTCTCATTTGAAGATTCTTTATTTAGTTAGCAGGTTCTCATTAAGGTATCGGGACCATAGTTAAGAGGAAAACTTCATTTTGACATTGGAACACTGACAGCCCTCAAACCCCAACATTCTCTCTCTCTTTCTCTCTCTCTGCTTGTCTCTTTGCCCTACACCTGAGCTAGCCCACCCTGGTAAGAACCCTCAGCCCAGCTCTGCTTCCTGGTCACAACAAAACTGAAAATCAACCTCAGTGCCTTGCCTTTGCCACCTGGGCCAACCTGTGCTTGCCCTGTTCTCACCAGAACATTCCATTATGTGAATAATAAGTGTTGTCACACCCTCCATCAGTCCCAACATCCAAACCGGTTTTGGATGGGTGAGTGTGCCTGCCGACTGATCCCACTCTCTGCATGGCAACCACTGAACAAGAACACAAAAACGATGTTTAAAACATAAAGGCCGGGCGCGGTGGCTCACGCCTGTAATCCCAGCACATTGGGAGGCCGAGGCGGGCGGATCACTAGGTCAAGAGATCGAGACCATCCTGGCCAACACGGTGAAACCTCATCTGTACTAAAAACACAAAAAATTCGCTGGGTGTGGTGGCGGGCACCTGTAGTCCCAGCTACTCGGGAGGCTGAGGCAGGAGAATGGCGTGAACCCATGAGGTGGAGCTTGCAGTGAGCCGAGATCACGCCCTGCACTCCAGCCTGGGCAACAGAGCGAGACTCCATCACACACACAAAAAAAACAAAAACAAACAAACAAAAAAAAACCCATAACAAAATGGGCTGGGCGCGGTGGGTCCCGCCTGTAATCTCAGAACTTTGGGAGGCCGAGGAGGGCGGATCACGAGGTCAGGAGATCGAAACCATCGTGGCTAACACGGTGAAACCCCGTCTCTACTAAAAATACAAAAAATTAGCCGGGCGTGTTGGCGGGAGCCTGTAGTCCCAGCTACTCGGGAGGCTGAGACAAGAGAATGGCGTGAACCTGGGAGGCGGAGCTTGCAGTGAGCCGAGATCCTGCCACTGCACTCCAGCCTGGGCGACAGGGCGACACTCTGTCTCGAAAAAAATAAATAAATAAATAACAAAATCGGCTGGGCGTGGTGGGTCATGCCTGTAATCTCGGCACTTTGGAAGGCCGAGGAGGGCGGATCACGAGGTCAAGAGATCGAGACCATCCTAGCCAACATGGTGAAACACCGTCTCTACTAAAAATACAAAAATTAGCTGGGCACCGCAGTGCGTGCCTGTAGTCCCAGCTACCTGGGAGGCTGAGGCAGGAGAATCGCTTGAACCTGGGAGGCAGAGGTTGCAGTGAGCCGAGATTGCGCCACTGTACTCCAGCCTGGCAACAGAACAAGACTCCGTCTCAAAAATAAATAAATAAATAAAAAATAACAAAATGAAGTATAAAGTATAAAAAACATGATGCACTTTTGAAGAGAATGATTCCACTTTTTGGTTAGTAGAGGTGGGAGTGCTTTAACAAAGTTACAACGGTGGCATGATTGTCTCTCTCTAATATGAGGTGACTGCTTTTGGAGGTTATCCAGGGACCCACGTTGGTGGGTCAGCTCTACTATCTTTCCCAATTGCCTTCACTCTCTGCAAAGCAGACAGGTTCATTATTGCATCTCCTTATTGGAGAGGAAGTGGAGTTTTCTTTTAAGTAAATGTGGCAGATCACTTCTGTTCACGTTTCATCGCTAAGAATTTACATTACATGGCCACACTTGGGCAGCTGGTAAATGCAGTCTCCAGTCTCTAGATGTCTAGATGGGTGGTCATGTACCCTGCTAAAACAGAGAGAGAGAGAGAGAGAATATGAGAAGTAATGAATAAATGTGAGAATAAAAGAACTGTGGAAGACAATTAAGAGTCTACCAGTTTTATTAAATATCTTCCATGTAGAAATTTTTCCTCTTCTAACCAGATTCAAAAAAATTAATACAGAATATTCACATTTGCTGTTTAAAGCAAATGTGACTAATTTCAGGCACCATTCAGCTCCTATAAACCAATCACAGCACCACAGTTAGACATAAACTTCTCTAAGTCTCCTATGTTTTGAGTCGCAAAATATTTTCTTTTAAATTTCTATACAGGAGCAAACGTTCATTCACATACACATTCTGGGCCTGAAATATTTTGCTCCTCCATTTCAAACGCCTATTTTGGATTTCAAAAATATATCTCAAGAGCAAATATTTAAGAGTACAGGCTGAAGATGTATTGATAACATACAGAATGTGGCTGGCTGTCTTTTCCATATGAAATAGTGACCAGTGGACCTTGTCAAGAAAGGACAAAATTGATTCACTTCAACACAATACAGAAGGGGTGGAGGTAGGTGGGGCGGTAGAGGTAGAAGACGCTTGGCATCAAGATGATAAATGCTGATGAGACACTGAATGATGGATAGATGAGACTGCTTTACACTCCTTTACTTTTATGTTTAAAAATTTCAATAATACAAAGTTTTTGTTGATTTGCTTGTTTGCTTTTAAGAATGAACCAAATGCATCCCTGCCAGCCTCAGTCTTGTTTGCACGGAAAGACTACATGTGAACTTCTCAGCAATTATTCAACTGTTTAACTTAATAAAGCACAATTGCCCCCAATTTTGCTTGTAAAGCTTTTACATTTCTGCAAAACAATTTTCCATTAGTTATATCACATTTTAATCAAGATGATTAAAATTTAGATTTAAACAGTGTGGAAATGTGTTAGAAGTATACTCTAAAGATGTGAAGTTGGCCGGGTGTGGTGGCTCATACCTGTAATCCCAGCACTTTGGGAGGCTAAGGTGGGAGGATCACTTGAGCCCAGGAGTTCCAGACAAGGCTGGGAGACACATTTCCTCAAAAAAAAAAAAAAAAAAAAAAAAAAAAAAAAAAAAAAAGATGAAGGGCTCAGATTAATTATTAATTCAATCATAAATTAGATGAATAGATGAATATCAGATGAATTATATAGCATCTTTTTTCTTTCTTTTTTTTTTTTTTTTTTGAGACGGAGTCTCACCCCGTCTCCCAGGCTGGAGTGCAGTGGTGCGATCTTTGCTCACTGCCACTTTTGCCTCCTGGGTTCAAGCAATTCTCCTGCCTCAGCCTCCCGAGTAGCACCAAGCCCGGCTAATTTTTGTATTTTTAGTAAAGATGGGGTTTCACTATCTTGGCCAGGCTGGTCTTGAACTCCTGACCTTGTGATCCACCCGCCTCGGCCTCCCAAAGAGTCCTTCATCTTAAACTTTATTTTAAAGAGTGACTATAAAAATTTCTTCCTTGAAACACAGTAAACTATAGAGCTGACAGATAACTGATTTTTTTATTGAATATGTAAATTATATCAAATGTTTTACCCTTCCACTACTTTTTTTTTTTTTCTGAGACACAGTCTTGCTCTGTCACCCAAGCTGGAGTGCAGTGGCTTGATCTTGGATCAAGGCAACCTTCACCTCCTGGGTTCAAGCAATTCTTGTGCCTCAGCCTCCTCAGCAGCTGGGATTATAGGCATGCACCAGCACACCTGTAATCCCAGCTACCTGTTTTGCCATGTTGGCCAGGCTGGTCTTGAACTCCTGCCCTCAAGTGATCAGCCTCCCAAAGTGCTGGGATTACAGGTGTGAGCCACTGGCATGCCCAGCCCCATCCACTATTTTGGATACAAAATATTTTGCTTGTTTTTTAGGATACTTATTTTGCAGTGTCACATTTGGAGGTTTTAACTTTTTAAATACTGTCTTTTCAACTTTTTATACTGAAATAAAAACATATTATTATCAAGTGAAGTCAAGCAGACACAAAATAGCTTTAGACTAAAGCAGTAGTTTTCAAAGGGGGACAATTTATCCCCACCTGCAACCTGCAGAGGACACTTGGCAATGTCTAGAGACGTTTTTGGTTGTCGAAACTTGGGGAGTGTTACTGGAACTAGTAGCCAGGCATGCTGCTAAACATCCTACAATGCACAGGAGAGTCCTGCACAACAATAAATTATGTGGCCCAGGGCCAGGAGCAGTGGCTCATGCCTGTAATCCCAGCACTTTGGGAGACTGAGGTGGGCAGATCCCTTGAGGCCAGGAGTTCAAGACCAGCCATGGCCAATATGGTGAAACACTGTCTCTACTAAAAACACAAAAATTAGCCGGGCATGGTGGTGCACGCCTGTAGTCCCAGCTACTCGGGAGGCTGAGGCAGGAGAACCACTTGAACTCAGGAGGCAGAGGTCGCAGTGAGCAGAGATCATGCCACTGCATTCCAGCCTGGTGACAGAGCAAAACTCTGTCTCAAAAAAAAAAAAAAAAAAAAAAAAAAAAAAAAAAAAAAGTGGCCCAGAAAGTCACTAGCGTTGAGATGGAGAAACTCTGGAGTAATGTGAGAGTGCCTGGAACTGTTCACCATGGTTGTCACTCCATGGAGAAGGCCATCGTTTTGCCCAGCTGGCACAACTGCATGAGTCGGCATTCCAGGCTTTATGATGAGGGAATCTCCACAGGGGCACAAGAATGCTTAAATATGCGTTAGCCTCTGCATTTTGTTGCCAGCCATCGTGTTGCCTATACCACAATTTCCTACTTTTTTGCTTTTAATCTTTTATGACAAATATCTATTTTATTGAAATGCTTACCATTCTGATTTATTCAGTTACAGTGTGGTGCAATATTGGGCTTTCTAAAGCACTTAGATGATTTATGGACCCAGCAAAATAGAATGAAATCCTGAGATGTATGCGGAAGGGGCTGGGAGAGGGGAGTGCCTGCTAGGGAGTTTTGAAGCTGGGTCACCCCGGAGGGTGCACTAGAGGATGTGAGAACTCATGAAACCCAGGGAGCTGTGAGGCTAGCCAGGTTGGACTGGGGCCTGCTTCCCTAATCTAATTCTAGGGAACTTCACATGAATTCTTCAAATGGGCTAATTGCTGCTGGGAATTCTCCAGTGGGACCCCTCTGTGTGCTTCCCTCTAGAATGAAAGGGAACTGGTGCTGAGGACCACAGGAACTTTTGAGGGTAAGAAATTCAAAGACACTCAGCTACTATCCTCATTTCTAATTCAACTAGGAAGGTGTCTCATCAAATAGTGTCACTGGGTACCAGTAACCTTTCTATAGGAACACAGTCCTGTATTGGTTCTCAG
The DNA here is from genome assembly GCF_000001405.40 of Homo sapiens. NCBI lineage: Eukaryota > Metazoa > Chordata > Mammalia > Primates > Hominidae > Homo > Homo sapiens. The sequence goes on from NC_000003.12 coordinate 71,769,287, forward strand.
TGGCTCTCAACTATGGATGTACCTTGCAATTAATCAGGGAGCTTTAAAAAAAATCCTAACACTTAGGCCTCATCCTATAAAAATCAAATCAAAATTTTTCAGAGTGGTGGGTGATGGAAAAAATGGGAACTGTACTTCAAGAACAGCATCATAATTGCATGTCTAATTTTGGGAAATGTGTACTCTGAAAGTACCCTAAAAATATATACACATATGCATATATATATATATATATATATATATATATATATATATATATATGGGGGATAATAAAGTTTATTTAAAGATCATGTTGTTAAAGACTGTCATCTTTGAAATACATTAAAAAATCCTGGAACGAAGATATATCATACAACACAGTGACTACAGTTAATACTGTATACTTGAAAATCACTAAGAGATATTAACTGTTCTCATTGCAAAATAATGATGTGTGAGGTAGTCTATACATTAATTAGCTCAATTTAGCATTCCACAATGTATCCATATTTCAAAACATCATGTTGTATACCATAAATAAATACAATTTTTGTCAATTAAAATTTGTGAAAATGCTGGAAGAAACTGAGTTCTCTTTAACACAAAAGGGAGTGAGAATTAACAACTTTGGGAAAGATATCAGAGACTAATTCTGAGGATATTATCAGAAAGACATAGCAACATGGAGGTGGAAACACCATAAAAGGTTGCTAGTGAATTGCACAGGGACCCTTACTGAATACCAAAAGTGTCTGGTTTTTAAAGTTAAAATGGCCCCCAGCTTTAACCTTCTAAAAATGAAGCTAGAAAAGTGTGGGATGAGGTTTCTAATATTGAAACCAATGAAGAGGAAAATTGGGCTATGTGTTTGATCTATCACTGAACTGACTTTATAAAAGGCTCTAACAAAAGAACTACATTGAAATACTGAGAAGAATAAAGGTTCTCAGTGAGATAGGAGGGTTTATAGGAAATAGTTTCGGCATAAACTTTTCTATGGTTAAAAAAATGTTGCTTCTGATAAAAGGCAAAACAAAGTCAGAAATGATAGTTTTCATGAAAGTCAATGTTTGCAAAGAAATCCGAAGGTCCAGTAGGGTTTGGGCATCATCTTCTAGCATAAGATTTCTTTCTACCTTGGAATGAAGGGAATTCATTCATGATATTTTCAAAGTAGACTGTGGATTTAGTTTTTCTCGTGTAAATTTTCATCTTGCCTTACTTTGTGGAAATTCTGGTCTATGAAGTCCCAGCATGTGTGTGAGACAATCCTAGGAACTGGAAGAAACATCATAGCCTTTTTTTCTTTCTATATATATATATAGGGTCTTGCTCTATCAACCAGGCTGGAGTGCAGTAACACAATATCACGGCTCACAGCAGCCTTGACCTCCCAGGCTCAGGTGATCCTCCCACCTCAGCCTCCAGGGTAGCTGGGACTAACGGTGCATGCCACTGTGCCCAGCTAATTTTTATTTTCTCTCTTTTTTTTTTTTTTTTTTTTGGTAGAGACGGGGTTTCTCCATGTTGCCCAAGCTGGTCTCAAACTCCTGAGCTCAAACAATCCTCTTGCCTTGGCCTCCCAAAGTGCTGGGATTACAGGTGTGAGCCACCGCCCCTGGCCAACATAGCCTCGAAAGTCTTGAACATTATATGAAAACAAACAACAAAATTGCCAAAGTGCCTATTTCTTTACTCATAATTCCCCTTATTGAAGTTGAATTTTCTTCAGCAAACTCGCAGAGGAATGTTTCTTGAACACAAACTGAACAACCAAAAATAATACTTTTCTGACCAAGTTTGGTAATTAGCACAGCAAAATCCCATACATTTGTGGGACACATTAGCTCAAGGGGTAAAATTACATACAATGTGCTATCATAAGCCCTGGCTGTCAATAACTACAAAATGGACAGACAGTTTCTGTGTTTGGAAATGGTTGGTGGGTTGGCATGGGCAAGTTTAGTCAGTTGAACACATTTCATAAGTTGTTTATTTGCGACGTTGAAACCATTTACAATACTTGGTGGGTTTTTGAGGCCAGCCTACATTGGCATCACTGTGTGGTAGCACCTAGCACCCTGCCTAACCACTCGCGACACACACTCCCATCACTCTTTGCCAAGTCAATACACTTAAGCCCCATCAGTCCATTCCTGATTACAATCAGTTTTGCACAGCATCATTTTCCTTCACACTCCAAAACCTCACTGATTTATGCATCGTTTATTTTTTGAACTACCTTAAAATCCATGCAAACACAACTCTGCTGTATGTAAAATGAAAATGCACATATCTTTGGGGCTATTTTACCAACCTTGGGGTCTTTATCCATGTTGGGACGTAGCCTATTTAGAAATTTGCTTATAATAAAAACTGACAACAACCGTGACAAAAATAAGGATATAATATTAAAATAAATCAAATGATATACAGTACTGTTATTATTCTGATACAGAATTTTTACACAGCAATACTGATACAGGTACAAACGGCAATCCATTACAATCGACCTTTCAGTTACAAACAAGGTTTAAATTACAACTTAATACTGCTTTAAAAATGGTAATTAGTGTTGTGCCAGATTAAAATAAATACTTCCTCTTCAAGTGACATTTTCTAGAATATCTCTAAGTAGGAGACTAAGGAAAAAAAACTTTATAAAAAGTAAAAGAAGTAAATGTAATCTTTTATTTTTAGAAAAACCCAAACCTAGAAATCTGGACTAAATTAATTTGGCTTTCCATTCCTTCTGTCCACACACCAGCCCAACAGCAGAGCTGAAGTCCTCTTGAGTGACAGGTTTAGGAAGGGTCCAGCAGCACTCCTAGCTTCCGTGCCATGACAGGAGTTTGGAGTGTCAAGTTCACATATACACTCTTTTCACTATTTAAATGCCAGCAAAAAGCTGGATTCCCATCAGTGATTCTGCCATCAAACTCAAAGAGACAAACCCTCCACTTTAAAATGCAAGAGGAGGGAAGAGAAATGGACAAAAATAAAGTAAGGTAAGAGCCTTGAAATTCTTTGAGGTGGAAGAGGCAAGGGACCAAAAGCTGTAGGTGTATTTGTGTGGCAGGGCACAAATGGGGCTTGGGGTGGTGAGAAAAAAAAAAAAAAGTTTTTCTAACAAAATATCAAATTCTTATTTTCCTCATTTTTGTGAAAATGGGTACGTTTTTGACATTTAAGAAAAAAGCCAAATCAAACCAAAACACAAACAGGGAAATAAGAACCAGTTCCATAATGCCTTACACTTCATATTTCTATCCAAAAGTAAAATTCTCTTTCGATAAAAAAAAAAAAAAATCATTTACAAATCAAAGATAAAAATGTTACTTGGAAAGTTGAGGAAGCAAGAGCATTTCTTTCTGGCACATTTTTTGTTTGGCACAATCACAAGTAAGACTTTACAGGTAAGATGTGGCTATTCACATTTGGTTTCTACTCCAGAGCGATTACTTTTGGGCTAAACAAATAAATCGGTTAAATGAAGTCCGTAAACAGGCCAAGCCTGGCAGACATGGGCAAGTGTGATGCATCCTCCGCCCAAAAAATGGAACCTAAATAAAAAAGAAAACGGAGTCAGAGCTGGAAAGGTTTCAAAAACAAACAAACCAAATCATTCTTGAGATAGCTCTTTAAATAACAATAACTAGTGTTTACTGAGCGTTAACTACCCATTAGGCAATATGCTCAGTACTTTTTATTTATTTATTATTTACTGTTTTTGAGACAGAGTCTTGCTCTGTCGTCCAGGCTGGAGTGCAGTGGCACAATTTTGGCTCACTGCAACCTCCACCTCCCGTGTTCAAGCGATTCTTCTGCCTCGGGCTCCCGAGTAGCTGGGACTACAGGTGCATGCCACCACGCCCAACTAACTTTTGCAGTTTTAGTAGAAACAGGGTTTCACCTTGTTGGCCAGGCGGGTCTCGAACTACCAACCTCAAGCGATCTGCCTGCCTCAGCCTCTCAAACTGCTGGGATTACATATGTGAGTTACCATACCCGGCCTGCTCAGTACTTTTTATATGTTATCCTTTCCCATTCTTACAAACACCTTGTAAAGATGGCAAGCACTTTAATTGTACCCATTTTACCGATGAGAGAATGAGGCAAAGAGAGACTGGTATATTGGCCAAGGTCACTTATGTAAAACTTGAAGCTTGGCTAGCAGTGAGTGGGCCCGAGAGACCAAGCTTTTAGTCCTCAAGCTGTACGGCCTTTTACTTTTTCTCATTTATTTCTTTTTATGGTATCCTATCATTGAAGCTCCTTGAGCTTGAACCTGGTATCATGGGCATGACCATGTCTATGCAATCAGCAAATATAAACTCACCATCAATGAGCAATATATTAATTCATACATTTGCACACAGATGCCAGGAGTCAAAATGCTGGGAAAAAACTTTAAAAGGAACAGAGGAAAATCAGAGAAGAAGGCAAGCTCAATTTGCATAAATGGAAATTGAGTAGCAGTGAAAGGTCTGCTTCATTCGAGAGTCACTCTAAGAGCCCAGCCCATTTCACCAGCCAAGCTGGGTTGAGGAGGGTCAACCGACAGCGAGCATGGTGGTTGTCTGTGCCAGTGGCAAATGGTATACACACCAAATATGTATGCTTTCTAGAATAAAGATAGCAAATGTTATTTTCCCTCCCCTAAGCAATAGCACCTTCCTGAGAATCTGCCTGTCTTACAAGTTATACGGAGAAAGTTTAATCCCAGGCCTGGAGCGTCTGTGAAATCAGATGGCAAGTGACTCTGACTCAGGCTAAAGTGAGTGAGACGAGTGACTACAGACTCATGTCTCAGAGATGTTTCCAGAGTTTAAGCATGGCAGAGGATGTGTTCTTCCTGCTTCCAAACTCAAATTCAACATCATTCTAGTGTATTTCTTATTCTGTTCCACCAAAAGAGGCCACCCCACATCAATGATCTGTCCTTATGAGAAAATCTGAAATGCATCTTTTAGATGCCTTCCAGATAAATTTCTTTGTATATATCATATAGATATCAATACAGATTATCAAAGCTGTCTACAGATAGTGGCAGAACCATTCTAATCTTATGTTGGGGCTGAACTGATAGGACAGACCCAACTCTATGGTAGTCCAACAATGTAAAGGCTAATTCTTCTGGGCATGTCTTTCGGTGGTACCACATTCGCATTCTTCTTACCTCCTTTTTCCTTTTGCTTCTCTTCCTCTTTCTTCTTTCCTGCCTTCCATTTCCAAAATTGTTCTGGAAGGGCCAGGGAGACGATTGAGATCAATAAATACAAAGGGAAGAAAAAGAGGCAATGGGAGGGCAGGGTATGCATGTAGTGAACTGGCGGAGCAAGATACAGCCAAGCCATCCCAGTTCCTCTGTCCTTTTGCTATGTCATGACTTCCCAGGTTCTAATGACAGCATCTACATGCAGTCATGTTCACCACTGGATTAATAGAGACTTGTGCTCAGAATGGTTCTGTCACTGTGTGTCAAAGGGAACACTGAGAGCCGGCTCTTTTGCTGCCACCAAGAACACATCAGAGGAGGTGAGTACAGCTAGACTGGCTTAGACAGTTATAAGTGGATAGCATGAGAAGTGATCATCAACGACCTTTATAGCCCATTCTGACCCTGAGACCATAAGTTTCCTTTCTGCCAAGCCTAAAACTGCTGCATGGGCCAGTGATTCTCCACTAGGGACGATTGTGTCCCCAGGGGACATTTGGCAATGTCTGCAAATGTCTTCATTTGTCACAACTAAGGGCAGGGAGGGGGATGCTCTAGGCGTCTAGTGGGTAGAGGCCAAGGATGCTGCTAAACATTTTACAATGCACAGGACAACCCCTACGACAAAGAATTATCTGGCCCAAGACATCAATAGTGCTGAGGTTGAGAAAAACAAACACAGATAGCAATATCCAAGTAAAAGGAGCCTGAAGTGTGTCAGTGAAATACACCTATAATGAGCATGTTAAACTGTTACAAACAGAGATCACCAAATATGTTTCTTTCATTCACTCATTCAACAGATACTGAGTGCTACCTACATACCAGGCCCTATCTTAAGTGCCGAGCATACAATGATGAGCAACACAGGTGAGGCTGTGCATCGTGGAGCTTCCCTCTTGATCATACAAGACAGAACACCAGTAAAATTGTTTCAGCTGCTGGTGCTCACAGCCTTGTGCTTTCTGCATCATGACACTATGATCATTCTCTGGCCTGTCACATGGGGTGGGCAGTACCTTGGGCCCAGCAGAAAAGAAAAATCACATGGATTGTGCGCCATGGGTCAGGTCTCAGAAGGCATCATGTATGAATGTCATCCCAAACCTCAGCACCAGATTTTTGCTTTGTCTGAGATAGAGGTAAGTGGCTTCCTTTTGAGGTGAAGCAAAGGTCCTGGACTGAGGTTACTCAGCTAGGAGGGGAAAGTGCTCATAGTCAAACAGGGTCCTGCTTTCTTCCAGATTTTGCTCTCTTCTCAAACACCACCAAGCCCAGACTCCAGACTCTCTAAAGGGGGGACCATATCCATTTTACTCATGAGCATATAGCTCTTAGCCTGGTACACAGAAAACACTCAGGAGATATTTGCTATGTGCCAATCAAATGCCCTGCAATGCCCCACAGAGTCTAGGAACTCCCCGAAGGGCAGAAGATGACCAACTCAGATCCCAAGGCTCCCCTCACTGCCCTGCCCAGCTCCGAGCAGGCAAAACGTAACTCACACCACCAAACTCAGAGATGGACTCACCATGAAGCCCAAGAGGCCGAAGCCCCTCTCATGTATAGGCCTCTAATCCAGGACCTAGGAGGGACCCTGGTAGTGTGTTCACAAGGTCATCTGTTTTTGTGAAACTTAAAAAAAATCTTTGTATTATTTCTTTAAATCAAGGACACCAAGACTGTATGAACATCAATCTGGATCTGCCTTGACTGACCCTAACATAATGATTACACTGAACTGCAGGGTCCTTAATACTTAGGTGCTTTTTTCTCATTCAAACCCAGTTCACTCAGTTCTGTGAGCTCCTAACGACAAAAACCATGATTCCTTTTCTCTTTCTTTTCTCTCTTCTTTTCTTTTTTTCTTTTCGCTTTTCATTTTTTTTTTTTTTTTTTTTTTTTTTGAGACAGAGTCTTGCTCTGTTGTTGTGCCCAGACTGGAGTGCAATGGCATGATCTCAGCTCACTGTAGCCTCAGCCTCCCAGGTTCAAGTGATGCTCCCACCTCAGCCTTCCACGTAGCTGGGACTACAGGCATGTGCCACCATGCCCAGCTAATTTTTGTATTTTTAGTCGAGACAGGGTTTTGCCATGTTGCCCAGGCTGGTCTTGAACTCCTGGCCTCGAGTGATCTGCCCATCTTGGCCTCCCAAAGTGTTGGGATTACAGACGTGAGTCACTGTGCCTGGCCAAAAACCATGATTTCTGATATTATACACTCGGTAGATGCTTGTCCGTTTCTTGACTGGCCCACTCACTTCTAGATCTACAGATACTGTGTGACAAAGCTAACAGGCGTCTCATAATCACAAATGCAAGAGAAAGTGCTTACAGAAGATGCACACTGGAACCACTTAGTCCAAACTTCATGGTTTACTTTAGAATCAACCAACACTTAATGCAAAGTTTCCAATAGCCTAGAATTCCAAACAGCAAATTCTAGAAGTTACCGAGGCAGAACATCCAGCACTTTGAGAAAGCATGACTTTTACTCTTTTGCAGCACTTTTAAAGAGAAATTAGCACTTATAAAAGGGCAACATGAGGGATCCTTATAGTGATGGAAATGTTTTGTGTCTTAACTGTATCAACGTCAATATCCTGCTTGGAATATTGTACTATAGTTTTGCAAGATGTCACCATTGGGAGAAACTGGGCAAAGCGCATATAGTACCAAAGTTGAGAAACCTGTATTAGACTAAAGCCTATTTCTGTCTTGTAAGTCTTTTTGCTGAACTGAACCTATAAACACTGCTATGATGCTATCCCAAGAAATAATCATAGACAGTAGCTCTTGACATTGTGATAGGAAAGATGAGAAAATCAGCATATTATGCTTTCTTCCCCATCTTTTGCTAAATTTCTAGTTGCATTAGTTATATTTTAGTATTTTAAAATTTTTTTACTTTAAAAAATATGTAAAAATTTTAATGACTTCATATTCTGAAATTATGTTTACAATGTTTCCTCATAGGTTGGTTCTAAAGTAGAAACCACTAATAATTTTTTAAATATCAAGTTAAAAAAATAAAACAAGTACCAGGTTTTTATTTGAATTTTTTTCCTTCAGAAAAGGAAGGAAAGTGAAGTTTTTAAAAAAACCTGGTGCTAAAAATGTTCACATAAAAAGCGCAGGAAAATTTAAAAACAAGATTGTTTGAAGGAAACATAGTTGTTTAAACTGAAAAAATTCAGAATACAATAAGCAATAAAGATTAAAGTATTAATCACATAATTATTGAATACTAAAAAGTGTTCAAAGCTTTCAAAGCTAAACATTAGTCAAAATGGGAAGGAAATGGCTAATCTTCTATGTAAACTTTGGAAAGTTACCGGCATTAATAGAAACCTTGTTGTTTTGTCTTTTTTTTTTTTTAAACAGAAAGTTTCTTCTAAAGGCATGATTCAGTTAAGTCATTCTTAAGTGTTAAAAAATTGTGAAAAATGTGCCTGTAATCCCAACACTTTGGGAGGCCGAGGCAGGCAGATCACGAGGTCAGGAGATCAAGACCATCCTGGCTAACAAGGTGAAACCCCGTCTCTACGAAAAATACCAAAAACATTAGCCGGGCGTGGTTGTGGGCGCCTGTAGTCCCAGCTACTTGAGAGGCTGAGGCAGGAGAATGGCGTGAACCCGGGAGGCGGAGCTTGCAGTGAGCCGAGATCACACCACTGCACTCCAGCCTGGGTGACAAAGCGAGACTCTGTCTCAAAAAAATAAATAAATAAAATAAAATAAAATAAAATAAAAAATTTGAGAAAAATGAATACCTGTTAAAACTATTATTTGCTTTAAAATGTATTTAGAAAATATGCATACTATGCTTCCTAGGTGAACTCATATATCTCACATATTTTATTCTATCTTAAAATTATCAAACATAAAGTTCAAAACTATACAATTATAAAACAATAGCCTGTCAGGGACTGTAAACTGTACAAGTTAATTGGTACATGTTAAATAAAACAGCAAACTGAACTCGGTAGCTATAAACTCCTATCTATGGTTCTCAGTTTCAGTCATCAAATACTGTTCACTTGACCCAAATAAACGGATTTTCGGTGGCTAATGACTAAGCTGAAACAAAATGAAAAAAAAAATTCTATATAGGGTCTACATTTTTACTATCTACTAATGAGTCATTAAACTTCAGAGCATAATTGAATACTGTACATAATGTTCATCAGTATGTATTGAGGAAAGACTTTTTTCTTGAGTTGTTTTGAACAGACCATACAGCTGAGAGATATTCTGGAAGAAACTAGATCTTTTTCTACAATAGGTAAATTTCATCTGGAACAAGTACAACTCTAGGATCTTCTCTTAAAATAGGTCATCAAAATAACCTTTGAAAATGTATTTGAAGATAAAAAAGCAACCAATATGAAAAGTTAGAAAATAAAATTCCAGAAATACATTTCAAGTGAACATCTGAAAACCATACTCTATTATTTAAAGATTTCATTATTGGATCCATGATAAAAACAGAACCAAAGAGATGTAGCCAGGCTTATGCAAGAAGACTGCATTTGTTTACTTTCAAAATTAATCTTGGACTAAACCTGAAATTGAAGTTATCTAGGAACTAGGGAAATAGAATTCGGTTCTCTTTTAAATATTGCAGAGGATTGGAACACTCATCAAAACTATCGGACGACACAAATTCCCATTCTGAACTGTTATCACTCATTCCAGTGATCATTTTGTCTCTGTTATCCAAACAAACCAGTTTTGGTTAATTGGACTACAAAGTGTTCAAATTAAACCCAACGACTGCTTTCGCGGAGGCAGAAGCGTGTAATGATTAAGACCACATAAACAACAGAGTGTCACAAAGAATGAAGTTGAGTGTCTCTTGTTTACTCACAGCCTGTGTTGCTGAACCCCTCTGGGGCTTAATGTTGTATACAGGCTTGCTGTATTAAGTAAGAAGTACATATACAACATTTAATATAGAGGATCTGGTACATCACAGTATTTAACAAGGTGCAATTATGATTGTTATTAACACAAACATAGTTCCATGGGATATGTCACTTTTCCCTTGTTTCAGTAAACAGGCTATGTGATTCTAGCATCTAGGGCATGTGAAGCTGTACTAATACTGCATGAAAACAACACAATTTTTCTTTTTCCAGACAGAGTCTTGCTCTGTCACCCAGGCTGGAGTATAGTGGCAAGATCACGCTCACTGCAGCCTGAAACTCCTGGATTCTACTGATCCCCTCCCCCACCTCAGCCTTCCTGGTAATTAGGACTACAGGTGTGTGCCACCATGCCCAGCTAATTTTTAAAAATTTTTCTATAGAGACGGGGTCTCACTATGTTGCCCAGGCTGGTCTCAAATTCCTGGGCTCAAGCAAACTGCCTGCCTCAGACTCCCAAATTGCTGGGATTACAGTGTGAGCCACTATGCCCAGCCAAAAACAACGTAATTCTTAAAGGAGAAAGTTAAGAGTAAATGTTTCAGAGACAATGACTTAAGTGTACAAAAGATAACTCATAATTCAATAAGGGTGTTGAAAATAACGAGAGAAATGCTAAAGGCAGCTGGGCCAGCGGCCCCTCTTCTAGGGAAGTTTGGCATTGAGACACACAAGTAACGGTTTAAACCTCTTCTGTCCAAGAAAAAACAATGCATGTCATGTTTTTAAATGACATTGCAGTCTTGCATGGTAAAACCACAGGAGGGATGGTTTAAATGTAACAGGAAGCATTTCACAAGGCAACCACAGGAAAGCCAAAAGCAAATTCAGTCTTTAGATAGGCCCAAAACAACTGGAATCCACATTATAGCTTGCAGAGTTAAACCTGGGCCAAGGGGCCACAATTTATTTCATTCTGTTCACTCCGAGGAGGTGAAAATATTAACTGTTCTCTGGGACTGTGGAGTATGGGAATGATGTTTGGCTGTGTTACATTTTTAAACCCTAAATCACATGTGAAAAAATAAGACAGAAAATGGAATTTGGTTTGCTCTGATAACATTCTACTTGTATCTAAAAGAAAGTATACAATGTGTAGAAAGAACATTCTAAAGAGACTGAGCTCTGCCTCTCGAAAACCACCTGCCCTAGGACTTGTTGCAACGCCACTGGAGGCACTTTACCAATGGGAAAAATGCGGAGGTGGGACCAGAGGAAGGCAATGCAACCTGGCATTCCTGGGGTGCTCTGTTGAGACCACACTGTGTTTCAAAGGTTTTCAACCAGAAGGCCAAGAACCTCCAGCTCCACATGCCTTCTGCCTCCCACCCACCCGCTTCCTCATGTAATATAAACCTTCCTGACCCCTGTAGACAGGTGGGTCTGCAACCCTTGGAGATACAATCTCTCAAACCCTGTCCAATCCTGCCACCCTATGATCATGCCACTACTGTTAATAACTTTTCAAAAGTGTTATTTAGGTCACTGTGATATTGAGCTGACAGATAATAAAGCAAATTGGAAAATTAAATATCATCGATCTCTAAAATTTTGAAAAATGTGTCCTGTAGGTAGAGTCAAAATATAGAATATTTAAACTAACATACAAGAGTAATTGTATAATCGATTTTCTAAAAAATCCCAAAACACAGAGCTTCCTTACTTCTGCCTTATCAGTAGATCTAATATTAAAAGCAGTCTTTTTAAGAACTTCTATACTCAGATTTCTGCAAAGATGCATACTAGAGTATAATATATATTTTTGTTCTAAATAACTTTTAAGCAAATTCATGTGTTGCAAATTATATTGGTAAAATGCTTCTAACACCATGAGAGCAGTAACATGAAAACTATCACTGGAATAAGAAAGACAGAGGATACAATTCTTTGAAATGAAAGGGGAGAGGAGAGGGGGTAGTTTTACACTGTTATCCTTGCTAATGTCCAATATTCATTTTGTTTGTCGAGCACGTTACCCAGTCCTTCATGTCATACAGACCCTGCTCAGAGTTACCACAGTAGAACCACCATGAATACAAATATATATATACTAACTTTACGAGTCAGTGGATGGCAGCTGTCTCCCAGTTTGCCCATAGGTGTGCAAATCCTTATGCTCTTGACCCAGATACTGACAGCACAGCACATGCCTCCACCACATTGGGAGTCCTTGTCACAAGCCTGAAATGTAATAAACAAACAGATAAATATAGATAACAGGAAAGACTCAGGCTAAGGAAACCTAAAATTAGCAGTGAAATGCCCTTTAAATATCTAAACACTTGGACTTTAATAATCAGGTATATTTTTTAAATGATAACCTTCATTTACTTGTATATAGCTATTATAAAATCTGATCAGAATAGCTATTTCTCATTTTTCGAAAGTGGGCTAAATTCTAGCCCCTGGATTATGAAAATCTTAAATAAACATAAGATTTTTTTTTAAATGAAATCAGCTCTCTTTTTCCAGTGCTTTATGGCTGAATTGGCTTTGAACTTGAAGAACAAGACTATATTACTCTTATACTACACATGGCCATTAGGAACTACATAAATGGAATCACAAGATTTTGTGACTATTAACTGCAGAATACACTGGGGCCAATTTAAAAAAAGAGATTTAAATAGTCTCTAAATCTGGCATGAAACACTCCAGACCCATAAAGGCACTGATGTAAATTTCAGAAGTGCTCATTTTCCCCTTCAAATATTTGCATTTTGGTTCAAGAGACTTGACGTTTCTCACACCACTGACTTGCTTTTTCACCATTTTCTCTTTAAAGAAGTCTCATAGTTTGAAAGTGGACAGACCAAGATGCTTGCCTTATGTTACTCTTCCTTCAGGTGAATAAGCTGCAAAGAGCAAATTACTGGCTTAGCATAAACATATATGTACATTACAAAATCAGCTAACAATCCTGTAAGATCCATCAAATTAAGAAATGCAAGTAACAGGTGCAATTGTCAATAGTAATTACTCAAGTCACCTGCTTTCAATATAAAAGTTGTAAATACATACAATGAAACAATCAACTATGGAGGAATTTCCATACTCTAGTAAATAGAAATAAATAATAAAATCTAAATCTATTTGCATGAAAATGGATCTGAAGAACTATTATTCTTTCCTAGAACCAACAAAAAATAGAATGCTTTGTTTGAACCGTGGGCAGTAATCTGTTTTGGTAGTGATAAGATAAAAACATCCTGTACTATATATGTAAGAAACTAAAACCTCTATCATCTAGGCACAAATTTAAATGTACAATTAGTGGAAACAACTAAAACAGTCCTTCAAAATTCTTAGTTTTGAGGACAGTCATAACTTCTCAAGATATAAAAATATGGGTACATTCTTAACATTATTTCTCATTAAAAGTAACCAACTATTTTGCTTTAAAGTTCATTTACTTCCCTCATTAGAATTTATTTCTCAGTCTATTTAAACAAAGTATCTGGATAAAAGCTAAAAATTTCACCTTGAGGTGTTTGGATTTTATAGGACAATATGTAAATGTTTCAATTTTCCAATTTTTATCTGCATGCCAGAAATCATGTATATGTAGCCATTACATCCCATAAATAAGATGTCTAGTCAATGATCTTTTACAATATAGTTTTAACAAATCTATGTGGGCATATAAATCAATTTCAAAATACCTACATACACTACCCAAAAAACTGTGGATGTCAGGTGAAAGTTTTAGCCAGCATTTTATTTCAACAGATGCTCAATACCTCGAATTTTGAGGCCCCATGAGCTTTTTTTTATGAACCAATCAAAAATCCAGCCAAAATCTTTTAAAATTCAATCACCTGGATGTTTAACATGCTATACACAATGTATCTTGATAAGTTACTGAGTTTTTCATTTGAATCCAGATGGTTCCTGTCATGGAGACATAACTACATTTTATTGCCCTGTTGCTTTAGAGACATTTTTAAAATTCTCTTTTTGTAACACTGAGTTAAAATAACAACAACAAAAACAGCACACATAACTATATAATAAGCCCAGTCTAAGCCTCTCTAACAGATAGACAGCCAATGTGATAAAATTTTATTTTGTAACAAAAGCTTCAGTTCTTGGAAAATTTACAAAGAGTTGCATAGGTTTATATATTTTTAATTAGACAGCTGTTTCCTAATGCCCTTCATCCTTAACCCATTGCAAATCTATTCAGATAGTGTTGTCCTGTGAATGGAACAAAAAGATACTTATATTGCAAAGGGATCTTGGGCTCAGAGGATTAGGAGAAACTTTAAATGAGCCAGCAGGAGAAGAGGGAGAAAAAAATCCAATCATGTTTCAATTCTCATGTATTAGAAAGACCTGCAAAAAGTTTTTCTCAACCACATGGACTGGCAAAGCTATGCAAGTAATTTTTTGAAAAAATCTCTTTTCTAATAAATATCACAGAGCTTACAGTTAAATATCTGTTGGATATATACAAATGCTGTCATAGCAAAAGGACTTTCAAAATTCTATAAACCTAATAACTAATATAGAGAAAATAGAGCTTGATTTTTTCAAGACAAAGATACTTCCTTTAAAGTCAAATGATATTATCTATGTATCAACATTTCAAACATAGACGTTTTATTTAAATCCCATTATGTGCACTTAAATATTTGAAGTAATTTAATGAAGGTGTGAAATAATTCCTCACTTAAAAAACAGTAAAGAAGTTGAACAACCAGGAAATGATAGCAGTTTTGCCTTGTTAATGTAAACTAGACTATTTAGTATTGTACTGCAAACCCAATTTTTTCAGATCCACACAAAATTGTTGAGAGTGGGAGAGAACTGAACTAGTTCCTACTTACAGAAAAGATGAAAACATCGTCTCTAAGTTTAAACATCTACACAGCAACCTACTCCATCATTATGCTGGAGCACTGGAGGTGCTTTGCCAGGAATTAGAAATTTAAAACTTTTATGGGGATACCTCAAGACCCTGAGCGCGGGGGAAAGCCCCGGAACCCAGAAGGAAGCTCCCACAATTGCTTTTCAAAGCGCTCACATGGCCCTGGACCAAGCGATTTCAAAGGGTTTCTGCGGAGGACGCATCGGGGAGCAAACTCTTTGACTGTAGGATTAAGACTCTGGGCACTTGGGGAATTCGTCTTGGTCCTTTGCATTTCAGGAAGGGGCCGTCAAATTTTAAGGTTCGAGGTTGGAGAGCCTCCAAAAGTACTTGAGAAGACTCAGAGAGAAACTTCTTTCAGCCTAACAGAAGAAAAATGCGAGGAGTGAGGCCGTGGGTGATGAGGGAGAAGTAAGCGGGAGAAGGTGGTAATAAAGGTGGTGGGCGACATCCTTGTCACTGTTTCTTCCAGGACGCGCCCAGTGTCCCCAGCCGTCTGCTGCTTTTGGATCTGGGTATTTTCCCAAGTGCACCAAGGGGCGACAGGGGCAGGTGTCCCCGCCCAGGGCGACCCTCCCTTTGCCTCTAGCCTGCCCTTCAGGGTCCCCGTCCCAAGCCCCCTGGGCACATCCCAGGCGCGCATCAGGGGCAGACAGGTGCGCCCGGGCCGCTTACCCCGGTGATCACGGCGGCGTCCCCAGCGCGGGGCGTGAGCAGCAGCGGCGGCAGCAGCAAGAGGAGCAGGAGTGGGGCGCAGCACAGGCTCCTCATGGCGCCCTCGGGACTGGGCGGCCGCCGGAGGCAGTTGGGGGCGCGGGGCCCGGGTGCGCTGGGTGGAGCGCGGAGCGGCGGGCGGACGGGCGCGGCGGCTCCCGCGAGCCTCCGGGCCGTTATAAAGGCTAGCCCCGCCGTGACTCACGCCGGCGCCCGCCCGGCAGCACACGCGGGGGGCACGGCGCGGGCACACACCCCACGCCCCACGCGCACACGCGCGCCCGCCTCGGCCCGGCCGGCTCCCAGACGAGCACGTGCTATGCGCGGCCCCCCGCGCCCCCGCCTCGGGCGCCACGCAGGCAGCGCTCCCGGCGGGGCGCCCCGCTCTGCGCCGTTCCCTCCGCCGTCGCCCAGCCACCGCCTTTCGCACGCGCCGGAACCGCTTTTGTGGTCTCCGAGACACTCATTTGCTGTCCTGGTTTCCAAAGCTCCACGTGCTCAGCGCCGAAAACTTGCAAATCATTTGCTGTACAGATGTTTAGGGGTCGCCTACTACGTGCGGGGCGCTGTGGACACATAGGGGGCGGGGGGTGGGTGAGGGGGACACAGCAGCCCCTGAATCCATTCGTTTGTTCAGCAGGTCTATACTGGGCGCCCGCTGCGTGCCAGGTACTGCCACCGGCTCTCTCCTCACGGTGGAATAACTTAACAGAGAAGACAGACATCAATCAAATACCCTGGAAACGTGGAAGGCAGGGGAAAGAACAAAGGGAGAGCAAAATCGCCCCAATCCCACATCACCCGCGACGTGAAAGGATTTGTCCTTCCAGCTGCGGGACTCCTATTTGTTTATTTCAAGTCAGAGGCCTTCCCTTTATGCCCACATCTGTTCCCGACCCTCTCCTCTGATTTTCCTCACATGTATTTCCTCCCCTCTTCAGCCCCGCGCCAGCTCCAGGCACAGCCGTTCAGGGTGATGCCAAAGGGAAATGAGAACGCCTGGTTTCGAGTGCCAGCCTGAGGCCCCTTAAGCCCTAGGTACGCAGCTCTCTCTTCTTTCTTAAACTTTCCAGCCCAGGAAAATCACCCTTCGGTTTTACAGATGCGATAGGGCGTTATTGTGATTCCTTCATTCACGTAAACATGAATTGAGTGTCTAGTGGGTTCCAGGCACACCAGGAAAGAATAAGTGACAGATTTGCCCTCCATCTCTCATCCTAGCCTGGCTCCAAAAACTGCAGCCTGTTTCCCTCAACAAAAATGACGTCAAGAATACCTAGATGTGACCACACCGAACTTGCTTGCCCGTTTTGGGAAACCCAACTTTCTTCCTGAATAGTCAGAACCTCTGGCTTTCCTGGTCTCTTAAGAACCGCAAACTATTGAAAAGCAGATGCGTCTTTCAGCCTCTTTAATAAATGCAGTAAGGAGAGTTGGGACAGAGTTACTTTCAGACTGTGGGGCTCCCCCGTGCCAAAGCATTCAGACGAAATGTGGGGGATAGCGGGGGGAAGGCAGGCAATTATCTGAATGTTAAACAGCTGAATATTTGGAAACCCCAATCTTTGGCTGATTTTTAAAAACCTTTTTCACACGTGTTCTCATGTTTAAAAAACGCCTTGAACAGAAAACACAAAAGGAGTCAAACCCTTTTTTCAACTTAAAAAAATGTTAAAATTGGACTCACAGTGGAGTAAGTAGAAACAGTAGCAAGTGACAGACTTGTGGAAAGTTTCCTTTTCCAGTCTCCATGCCAACGCTAGCTCGGGAATGCTGCCGGGTAAATGTAAAAACCAGTCAACATGGATTTTAACATTCCTATGACTTTCTTTTAATGGTCTATTTCATATTCGCTACTATTGAATGCCAGCTTGGGTATTCCCTGCTTCTTCAAGCATAGAAAATATGATATGTCTACACAGGAAAAATCAGATTTCAAAAGTGGCTGGCTTCTTACACAGCTGTTTGGAAAACAGTCCTCATAAGGCTGTTTTGAAACAAGTTTAAAAAAAAGAAATAAGTTTGGAAACACTTAAAAATAGGGTTGTTTAGTTTCATGTTCTTTTGGAAATTTTAATTGCTTTAATGCTTTAGGAGAGAAATGAAGGCTCTTGATATGTCATCTTTGTATCTGAGGCCAAGTTTGAAAAATGAAGTCTGACTTCAATTGTTATAAAGGGAAAAATGAAAAAAAAAAAGAGTTTGGATTAGTCCATTAAAAAAGGTAGTTGGGACAACTTAGCAACAATGACATAGAAATGAAACAGTAGTTTATTGATTCTTTTCTATTACTGTAACCTGTTGATATTGCCACATGATCACTTCTGCCCAGGCATAACTGTATTAGGTGAAATGAGCCTTGTGTGTGTAAAGTGTAGCCTACCATATTCCAGCAGACCATCAAGGCTCAGCTTAAACGAAAATGCAATCTAGGAGCGTCTATAGAACCCAATGTTTGTGAGACAGGCTGATCAGGATTGGAATCCTGTGTGACCACTGGGCAAGTTACACAACCTTTTGAAGCCTCTGTTTCCGGTCTTGTAAAATGGTTATAAAATACCAACCTCATGGGGTACAACCCCTATGGAATTTAATAATACCTGCAAAATGCTTATCACAGTGCCTGGAACAGACTGGGAGCTCTGTTAGGGTTACCTCTTATTAAGCCTTATTATTTGGTCTCCCCTGACAATTTCAGCCAATGCTGATATAAGTCTTTTCTGTCCTGCCCACTATATTAGATTGTACACTTTTCATGATTAGGATCCTTGTGTCTAATTTTCTATGCATCCCTCTTGGCACACAGCACGATAATAGGCATATGGCAGGCATTCAGTAAGTGACCAGCAACAGGAATATGTCCCATGAAGGACAGTCCAGAGACAGTTACGAGAAGATCATATACAGTACAGACTCATGTCATGTATATGAATCCGTTAAAGGTAGTCACCAAAAAGCAAGAGAGATGGAAGCTTTACCTGGTGCAGATGATTCAGCCTGTCTCTTTACTTGGGGGCCACGTGACTGAAATGAAGTGAGCTGGGAGACACAGGCCTGTCTCACGGCAGTCAATTTGGGACTCAGGCTGACTGATAAGGCTCCATTTCAACATGTGCTTCATGATTGCCAGTGTAGTGGCCTATACTGTGACCCCTAGCAAGTTATTTTCAAGGCCTAAGCCCTGGTACCTGTGGACGTGACCTTATTTGGAAATAGGGTTTTTGCAGACGTAATCAACTTAAGATGAGGTCATGCTATATTAGGGTGGGTTCTAAATTCAATGGCTGGTGTCTTCATAAGAGAAATGGGAGGGAGAGCTGGATACAGAGACACAGGCTAGACTCCCCCCACCCCACCCCCCCCACACACACGGGAGAACATCAAGTGAAGATGGGGGCAGAGATTGGAGCAATGCTTCTACAAGGCAAGGAACACCAAGGATTGCCAGCAGCCATCAGGATCTGAAAGAGCAAGGAAGGATTCTTCCCCAGATCCTTCACAGGGAGCACGGCCTTGTCAGCCCCTTGGTTTTGGACTTTTAGCCTCCAGAACCACGAAAGAATAAGTTTCTATTGTTTTAAGCCACCCAGTTGTGGTGATTTCATTATGGCAGACACAGGAAACTAACATAGTTGGGTGCAGCCAGAGGGTTGTACACCAGCTTTCTCTGCCTGGAATTCATGCCTGTCACTTTTGCTCACTTTTTAGTGACCAAAACAAGCCACATGACAATCTGTCTTCAAGGGGACAGACAGTGCAAGTCTGTCACTGGTTTCTGAAGACAACAAGGTATCAGGTGAGCAGTGCTATATTCTACAGGAAATGAATCATTCATGGCTTGGACTCCTTAATGAGCATAATGAACTTTGAATTATATTAGTAATTGCTATTATAAATAATAATGTGTAATTTCCTTTGTATTTTTTCTAGTACAGCATTCTTTATACCAGAATTATACAAAGACTCTGAAAGTGAGTAAATGTGTAAGCTAATATTTTCTTTTAGGTGGGTAGAAAACCATAATTTATTCATTCAACAGGTATTAACTAAGACTTACTATATTCCAGATATTGTGTGCAGCATTGGGGGTACGAGGGTGAGCAAAACAGACATGAACCCAGCCCCCTGGGAGCTTACCATCTCATGGGAAGATGCACATGAATCAAATAATCATACAACTTTATAATTACAGAAGATAAATTTAGGGTCACTATGAGAGAGCATATGAGGAAACCTGAAGCTTTCCTTACAGTTCTGGAATATGGGATGAGAGCTGAAGGTTATGCAGAATTTAACTGAGGTGAAGAATGAAACAGGGCTGGGTGCAGTGGCTCATGCCTGTAATCCCAACACTTTGGAACGCCGAGAGAGGAGGATCGCTTGAACCCAAGAGTTCCAGACCAGCCTGGACAAAACAGGGAGACCCTGTCTCTACAAAAAAATTTAAAAAATTAGCCGGGAGTGGTGACGGGCGACTGTAATCCCAGCTACCTGAAGAATCAAGGTGGGAGGATCACTTGAGCCTGGGAGGTCAAGGCTTCAGTGAGCTGTTATTGTACCACTGCACTCCAGCCTGGGTGATGGCGAGACCCTGTCTTAAAAAAAAAAAAAAAAAAAAAAAAAAAAAAAAGAATAAAACAGCAGACATGGAGGATGGCTGGGCATTCCAGACAGTGCAGACAAAAGGGTAGCTAATGTGGCCCAAGGAATGTGCCTAAAGCGAAGTCTGGAACAAATACGGAGCCAGAGGGATGGCAGGGATCCTTTGCAGGGTCTTATGTAGGCCACACTAAAGATCTTGGTCTTCATGGTTGGTCGGGGAAGGAGAAAAATCATAAGAATGGGGCAAGTGTGACATGAGCAGCTTTCATAAGGAAGACCTCCCTGCAGTGTGACTCAACCTGTCCACATCCCAACACCTTCTGGCAACCCCCAAACCCCTTTCACTGAAGGCAACTCTATCCTTCCAAAGATGACCCTGGAGTCATCTTTGACCCTTCTCATTCTCTCACACCTAAGACCCATCTGTCTGAAAATCTTGTTGCCTTTTGAAGGCAAATCTACTTTATATTATTATATTATATTATATTATATTATATTATTATTTATTATAATATAATTATATTTGTGATAATGTAATATTTTATATATAAATAAATACAAAATAAAATAAAACAGAATATATTTTAATAATAAACCCTCTGTCATGCTACCCTTCTTGTTCTGAGCCCCTGTCACCTCCAGCCTGGATTACTGTCACTGTCATTGCCTCAAGACTGGCCTCCCGGGTTCACCCTTGCCCTCTACATTCTATCATCAACACCTATTTTTTTTTAAAGTAAGTTAGACTCTTTGCTCTAAACCCTGCAGTAGTTTCTCGTTTCTCTCGCAGAGACCTTCAGATCTTTGACTTTGTTTACTACTCCTACCTCTTGTCTTCCTGCCAGCTCTGCTCCTGCCACACTGCCCCCCTGGAGGTTTCTAGAACACTCAGGGCATGCTCCCACTTTGGGAAATTTGTCCTGGATCTTCTCCTTGTCAGACTGCTCTTTCCCCAAATAGCCACATGGCAGACTCCCTTGTCACTTTCGAATGTTTGTTCAAATCTCACCTTTGCAAGGAGGCCTATCCTAACCACCCTTATTTACATTTGCAACTGCCCCAGCATGCCAGTTGCCTTTTAGTCCTTTTATATTTCACTTTTCCCTAGCACTAAGACCTTCTAGCATATTCTATTACATATTACGTTTTATCTTTGTTGCCTTACTGCCCCCACCTCCCCACACATACACCAGAATCTAAGCGCCACAGGATAAGGGATGTTCAGAAACTTTGTTCTGTTCACTAATTTATCTCCAGTACCTAGAAAGATGCCTGGCACATAGTAGGCACTTGATAAATATTTGTTGAACAAATTACAAAAAATATAGAGAAGAGATTGGAGAGTGGCTGAGAGCAGGCCTGATGAGAGGCCATGGCAGCGGTCCAGGTGGCCTCTGCTAACGGTGTTGGCAGCAAAGAGGGAGAGAGGTGAACCCACTCACTTAAAAAGTAGAACAGGTAGAGAGCTGGGCGTGATGGCTCACACCGGTAATCCCAGCACTTTGGGAGACCAAGGTGGGCAGATCACCTGAGGTCAGGAGTTGGAGACAAGCCTGGCCAACGTGGCAAAATCCTGCCTGTACTAAAATACAAAAATTAGCCAGGTGTGGTGGCTCATGCCTGTAATCCCATCTACTCAGGAGGCTGAGGCAGGAGAATCACTTGAACCTGGGAGGTTGCAGTAAGCTAAGATAGAGCCACTGCACTCCAGCCTGGGTGACAGAGCAAGACTCTTTCTAAAACAAACAAACAAACAAACAAACAAACAGCAAAAAAACCAAAGTAGAACAAGTAGAATTTACCATTGGTTAAGATAAAGGCTGGACAAGAAACGTCAAGATTCACCTTGTATAACTGATTGACAGTGCAGATGGATGCTGAGGTGTTGGCAACCTCTGGGTATGGGGAAAGGCAATCAGACAGACCCGGGGTACAGAGAAGATGGTGGCTAGAGCTAAAACTCAGGCAATTTTCCCCTTAAAATTTTCAGATTTCATATAATGTAGGCACAGTGGTAAGAATTTAGATCAGGGGCTGGCAAACTGAGACTTACTGCCTGTTCCTGTAAAGAAAGTTTGAGTGGGACCCAGCTACACTTGCCAATGTTTTGTCTAAGGCTGCCTTCACACCACAAGGGCTGAGTGGAGTATTTGCAAGAGAAACTATATGACCTGCAAAGTTGAAAATGTTTACTCTCTGGCCATTTACAGAAAGTTTGCTGACTCATGCATTAGATCATAAAGAGCCTAGAGTTTTATTATTGCCCCTCGAGTAAATTGTTTCCCACCTCCTTTTCCTAGGTCTGTTCTGGGCTGTCCTTTTGAGGCTCTCTCTGTTTACTGGTGGAATTCATCTGCTTTCTGAGTTGTGGGAATTTGCCCAAAGTTCTGGCTCACTGGTGGACCCCTTGCATGTTCACCTTGTTATGTGTACTTTCATCTCAATTGCCAGTTATATAGTAAGTGCTCAATAAATGTGTTGGTAGAATTGGGGAAAGGAAGCAAATGGGTCTTCCATCTGCCATCTTGCAATGAAAGCCTGACACAATCTCAGCTACATAAAGGAAGAGAACTTCTGTTACTCTTTTACATGAAGCTCTAGTTTTATTTTTAATTTTTTAAAAAAAATTTATTTATTTATTTTGAGACAAGGTCTTTCTCTGTCACTCAGGCTGGAGTGCAGTGGCATGACCACAGCTCACTGCAGCCTCTTCCTCCCAGGCTCAAGCTATCCACCCACCTCAGCCTCCCGAGTAGCTGGGACTACAGGTGCGCATCACCACATCTGGCTAATTTAAAAAAAAAAAATTATGGAGATGGGTGTGTTACCCAGGCTGGTCTTGAACTCCTGGGTTCAAGCAATCTCCCACCTTGGCCTCCCAAAGGGCTGGGATTACAGGTGTGAGCCACTGTGCCTGGCCTGCTCTGGTTTTAAAAATGATTCCAGCTTGTCTGAGGGCTTACTTTGTATGTACCTTCTTCGTATGACTTCTAATTATTTTCACATAATAGGTGGGTCTGGTAATTTCCTAGCTAGGTCCCATTTGTCTTTGTGTAAATGATTTTTCATTTAGAAGGGTTCCAAAAAAGTAAAATAGATATTCTTATTTTTTTCACCCTTCATCTTTTATCACTGTTCTATTACATGGTGGCTTTTCTTGTTAACAAACCCATAATATCAGTCTGAAATATCTTTTAAATATAATAACTATGCTTTAAATGTGACATGAAAAATGAATTGCTTTTATAATTCTAAATAAGACATCTATTTTAATCTTTTCAAAGCTGATGATTTCTCTTTATATTTAAAAATAAATCACCAAGATTCAATTTGAAAGCCAATTGTCTATGGAGGCACTAACAATTATTTGGTCTATTCAAGTGATAATGTAAAATAAAGTTTACCTATTTTTAAATAGTTGAAATATTAATTCAAGAGAAAGACTTTTTAAAAAAAAATTAGTATAAAATGCGTTTGAAATAATATGAGGGATCAGGATGAACATTTGGTTCTAAAAGATTTAGGTTTTATTCATTACAATGTTGACTGTATTTAATATCTATTTTTAGCATTGAAGGTGAGCCTTAAGGCTATGTATCATGTACTTCATTAAAAGGAAGAGATTGTTATGCAAATCGGTAGCATATTTGTTAACTTTCCAGAGAGAAAGTCTCATGCAGAAAATAACTTTCTTGGCCGGGTGCGGTGGCTCACACCTGTAATCCCAGCACTTTGGGAGGCCAAGGCGGGTGGATCACCTGAGGTTAGGAGTTTGAAACCAGCTCGGCCAACATGGTGAAGCCCTGTCTCTACTAAAAACAGAAGAAAATTAGCCGAGTGTGGTGGCAGGTGCCTGTAATCCCAGCTACTTGGGAGGCTGAGGTAGGAAAATCGCTTGAACCTGGGAGGCAAAGGTTGCAGTGAGTGGAGATCTTGCCACTGCACTCCAGCCTGGGCGACAGATGAGACTCTGTCCAAAAAAAAAAAAGAAAAGAATTTTCTTAAGAGGAAAAACCAGGGCTAGGTAATTACTTCTTTATTATTTTAGGTCAACATTTATTAGCTAGCCCACACAAATTTTATTTACTAATTTTTTTCTCCCCTAAATTTGAATTGTGTGTGTATATATATATGTATATATGTCTGTCTGTCTATCTATCTATCTATCTATCTATCTATCTATCTATCTATGTATCTATCTATCTATCTGTCTATATTTTTTTTTCCTGAGGGAAAGGACTTGGAAGAAATAATAAGACATCTGGGTATAGGAATTTATAGGCACAAACCAATTACAAAAATCTCCATTTCTAAATGTAAAGGCTGCCTCTTTCTATGCACTGCATATGGTAAGTACTCAATAAATCTCAATACATCTTATATAATACCTCCAGTTACCCTATGGGGTAGCTACCACCACAATTCCTATTTTACAAAGGGGGAAGTAAGATTTGCAGAGATTAACTGTGTCATACAGAATCACAGTAACTTCGAAATAGTAGAGCTGGGTTTCCACCCAGTTAGGTCTTATGCCAAATACTTAACTATTACAGCTTCTCCTTGAATTTATATGCTTTACTTAAATATTGCCATAAAAAATTTAGATAGCCAATAACCAAAAGGAAGAAACAATGACTATGATGTGAATTTTCCTCAAACTTATCTTAAAACCTGCCTGTTTCCCTCCCTCTCACCTCTTTCTCTCTGTTGCTTTCTCTCTCTTTCTTCTCTGTCTCTTTTTACAACTCAGAGATCAAGATTTAAAAACAAAATGGCAGAGAACAGGTACAATTCTACACATGTGACCTTTTGTCTGGAGGTATGTTTACCCTCAGAGGAATCCCCCGAAGAAGTTCAGAAGAGATACTATTTTTGTGAGTGGTAAGAAAGTGGGCCATCCGTGTTTCTGCTCTGCAGGTTCATTTGTCAGCGTTCTAAGTGGGGACTGGGTGCCTTTGCTCTCATAAGGTGAGTTGTCTATCAAAGGAATCCTCCCTGCTTTTTTAGGTGGCAAGATCAATTAGAGTGAGCCTAACACTGGAGACTGAGGACTCTAGTACAGCATCTGCCAGGGAGTGTGTCCTCTTAGAAAAATTGTGATTTTTTTATGATTAGATAGAGACCTCTTAGGAGCCATAATTTGTATTAGCACATTAAAGACCCCGAGAGGTTCTGCAAAAGGAAACTAGTTGTACCAACTTGGTACAACTCAGCATTTCCAAAATATTTGGTTACAGAGCACTTTTTGCATGTGCCAGGGATAAAAGGCTAGGCAAATCTCAATCCCTTATCTTGACCACATCCAAGCCTTAACAAAAAACCCACTCATGTAGAGGAATTTAGAGGAATTGGTTACATTTTGAATGTGTAGCCAATCTTGAATGAACTCATTAATCAAATACAGAAAATGATGGGATAATCTAATTCATCTAACTTGCTTTACAAATGAGGAAACTGATAATCCGAAAGATTTAATCTCATAGGAACCAGGTGACAGAGCAGGAAATAGGCCACTGGTCTCCTGCCTCGAAGTTCTAGTTTTTCCCAACCATACTGGCTCCTCTTTGAGGTGTGGGGACCCCTCTACAAAACAGTTATAAACACACTTTCCAAAACACAGGAGACTACTTTTAGGAAGGTCTCTTCCATATATATCAAGTCATTGTGATCACCTGTTCCACTGTCCTCACAGTTAGAAGTGGCCATGGAGTGTGTGGTTGCATCCTGGATCTCTATCCACTGAAGTCATTTATTTTTTTCACACAGTTTGGCAGAGTTTGGGTTTGCTAAATGTATACGTAAGTATTATCAACCTTTGGCTCACGAATTAGCAAAAAGGATAGCGCAGGTTTGAGCGGGAGGGGACTGGAAAATTAATTTTGGTAGGATAAGACTTCACCTAGAGAATCCTAAGTGGCAGATTGCTAACTCTTTTCATTTGTTTACTTCCAAAATGTTTTCGAGCTGATGGATGCAATTCGCCATAATGAAAGTATTTCCAAGCCCTAGCCAATGATCCATGGTAACTGTGCTTTCATGATCTTGTTACAGCATTCTCCCTTCCATTTTCTTATGTGTTTGTCTGTTTAATAGGCCCCCATCGTAATAGCTAGAGGTGGAGGAGTAGAGAGAGGGAGAGTGGTCAGGAGGTGAGTTTACTGGGGTGCTTCAGATAGAACTGTTTTCCTTGCTGAGAGAATGAGGTTCCAGAACTCAGCCTTGACTGTAAGTTATGATTTTCCTAAAGGCTGATGTAAACCCCCAAATCCTATCTCGGCATCAACCGATTCCGGTTAATCAGTTATTTTAAAATGAATCAATTGTTAGTCTGATTTGTAATTGATCTCTTTTACATCTAGTTTGTGTGAGCCAGTAGATTTCAAACTTTTTATTTTTGGGGTGGAACATCCAAGTTTTGATAAGAGTCCTGTCCAACAAAACACTCCCTGGCCAGGCGCAGTGGCTCACCTCTGTAATCCCAGCACTTTGGGAGGCCGAGGCGGGCAGATCACTTGAGGCCAGGAGTTCGAGACCAGCCTGGCCAACATGGCGAAACCCCGTCTCTACAAAAAATATGAAAATTAGCCAGGCATGGTGGTGGGTGCCTGTAATCCCAGCTACTTCGGGGGCTGAGGCAGGAGAATCACTTGAACCTGGGAAATGTAGGTTGCAGTGAGCTGAGATGGCACCGTTGCACTCCAGCATGGGCAACAGAGCAAGACTCTGTCTCAAAAACAACAACAACAACAACAAAACTGAACCAAAAACAAAACCAACTCTCTCTGATTTCCTTTCATTTGTGGTTCTTTCACATGTAGGAGAGGAGGAGCTGTGAAGGAAGAACACAGGCAATTTAATTCACCAGAGATATACCGCCTATCACTGCTATGTGCCTGCAGGCACTGTGCAATAGGTGCTGTGAGAATAGTGCAGTAGCTGCTCTGTACGATGCAAGTTGCTACCAGATGGTTCTTTTTAGAGCAGCAATTTCACCATTACCACATTCAAAGTCTAAACCTGATTTCCTAAACTGGCAGCTCAGCTCATTAAGTCTACACCCCTCCTGAAGAGAATTCATGGTTCTCCGTGACTGATTATTGAAAGTTTACTCTAATTATAATAAGCCATGACATCAAGTGAGCTCTTGAAGTATAAAATGTACAACTACCCTGCAGTAGTCTTTATATTTTGAGCACTATTTTTATCTTTCTCAAACATTAAGATAAATTTAATAAGCATTTGAGCAAATTTTGGCTTTAGCAATGCATCATCAGAATTTGGGGGTTGTAGCCCATTATTCCCCCTTCCCCTTCCCAGGGAAAGTGCAGGTTTAACACACACTGAATCATCCGGGAGACATAGGCCGCAAATACAAACAGGCAGAAAAGCGTCTTGGTCTGGCGTTTGAGGTCTGCTTGTTAAAGTCTTTCCCATCCATTCATATTTAGAGAGTGCTACTCTGGAGTCAGATTTGGTAGAGTCCAATCCCAGCTCTGCCATCTACGGTCTATCTAGCCTTAGGAAAGATATTTAATTTCTCAGAGCTCCAGTCTTCTTCTCAATAAAATAGAGTGAATAATAATAATACCTACAGTGTAGGATTGTTGTGAGAATGAAACAAAAATATGTCTGACACAGTGTAAGAACCCATTAACACATTTGCCGTTATCAGAGGAAAAGGGTATTGTGCTAACGTCAATGTCCTGGTTTTGACAATGTACTCTAGTTATGTAAGATGCTGTTGTAGTGGAAACTATGGGAAAGGTACTCAGGAACTCTTTGTATAATTTTTGCAATGTTTTGTGAGTTTAAAATTATTTTAAAATTGAAAAAGGGATGTAGGGAAGAAAGAAAAAAGGGAAGTCCCAGGAGTACAACTTGGCAATGCTGACCACCATCAGGCCAGTGGAACTCCAGCCCAGGATGTGCCTGTCTGGCTCCCGGGACAGGCAGGTCCCTCTTGATGCTGGGCAATAGCACATTCAGAACACACAGACCACTGCCATTGGCCTGGCTCTGACTCACTGCAGCCGTTTGATTATACATGGACTTCTGGTGGCCTTGCCAGTGGGGAGAAGTCACGGGAGCCAGCGGCCTGAATGCCAATCCTTGGGCAGTGAAAGTAGTAAGGGTTTTCACGGTAAATCAATAGATTGACATTCTGATTCATGACCCAAATGGAGGAGACCTCTGGTGCTGACGAGTCAGGCTCTGAGTCTGCAAGGCTGAGAGAGACCCTGGATTATCGTCACTGGGTCAAGGTGAAGCCACCTTGTGAGGCCTCTTGGGAGACAGCCAGGAAGCCTTGCCCAGAGATGCCTCTCCTCTCCACCCCTCATATGAAGGGCTCTGTGCTTTTTAGGTTCTGGTTTTAATTACTCCCCAGCATAGCACAGTACAGCTCAATAGAACTTTCTGCAATGGTGGAAATACTCCATATCCATGTAGTCCCTAGCAGTACGGCTAGTCACAAGTGGCTGTGGAGCACTTGCAATGTGGCTAGTGCAACTAAGGAATGAAATTTTCACTTTAATTAAATTTAAATAGCCCCATGTGGCTAATGACTACTGTACAGTACAGGTATAAATTACAATTTTGCTGCACTACTGTGAAGATTCTTGAAATGTAAGGCTGGTTAAGAGCTTGAATGGTAGGAGGAAAAAGCTTAACCCACAAAGAAATATCATGGATGGCCTGCTTTTATGGAAGGTATGTTGGCCAAGAAAACACATTATCCAGTTCGGATAAAAATGATAATATTAATAGCAAACATTAAAATAAGCATTTCATGGATGACAGAAATTGGGCTAAGTGTTTAATATGCATTATCTTATGTAATCCTCCCAACATCCCCAAACAGTTATGATTATAACAACATCAAACATCTATGGAGCACTTGCCGTGTGTCCAGCATGGTTTGGCATCCTTTCATGCTTTCCCTCATTTAATCTTCAAAACCTGGTGAGATGAATACTAACACTGCCTCATTTATAAGTTCTGTGATTTTGTGCAAGTTTCTTAACCTCAAAGATATTGAAATATATAATGTTAAGATAAAATATAAGATGTATATGTGCATAAAAAAATAACAATAGGCTAGGTATAGTAGCTCATGCCTATAATTTTAGAGCTTTGGGAGGCTAAGGTAGGAGAATCACTTGAGGCTGGGAGTTTGAGACAAGCCTGGTCAACATAGTGAGACTTGTCTCCACAGAAGTAAAAAACATCAGCCAGGGGTGGTGGTACACACTTGTAGTCCTAGCTACTCAGAAGGCTAGAGTGGGAGGATCACTTGAGCCCAGGAGTTTGACATTACAGCAAGTTAATAGTGCTTCTGCACCCCAGCCTGGGCAACTGAGGGAGATCCTGCCTCTAATAATAATAATAATAATAATAAATGCCTTGTGGCCAATACCCAGCTTTGGCATTTGAACACTGCCAGGGCTTTGGAAGCCTGTGTGTGCCCCTCCCCACATATGCGTTTTTCCTTAGCCCTAGAGCTAAGCACTTTTCTGAGTGCTTTTGTGTGTTTAACCATTTCCTAATTTGTTCCTCATAGTTTTGCAAGCTATGTACAGATCCCTGAAAAAAAAACATGGATTTTTCTTTACTTCATTGCACAAATATCTCTGGGCTATGAACATTTCTCTAGGTTCTTGCAGAACTTGACTTTTTTGACTTCCTCAGGAATCTTTCAATTGCAAGCAATGAAACCCAACTCAAACTGGCTTAAGCAAAGGGAAAGAATTTACATCCTCTAGAATCCCAGAGGACCAGGGGTAGGTTCAAGCTTGTCTTCCCTCGTGGTTTGTGTTGGCTTGGGTTGGTCTCTGTTTCATCCTCCTGTGAGGTAGTCCCAACAGCTCAGGCACCCTCTCTGTTCCTCATTTATTGGAAGTAGGGCTCTAACTCCTCTCCCCTTCTTCCAACCGGTTCAGCAGAAATCCAAGGATTGAGTCTCTGTGGACCATTTTGGGTTAGGTGTTCATTCGGAATGAATCACTCTGGCCACGGGGATGGAATATGCTGATTGGATGGGCTTGCAATGTGGAGGTGTCTGCTGATGCTATACATATGGGGGTAGCTCCACTCTGACCACCTGAATTGAGGGTAAGTGGGGGTGGTTCTCCTAAGGAAAATAAAGGTTAACAAAGGAAGAGGGGATGGATGCTGCAGCGGCAAAGGCAAGAGCCGTGTATCCCACTTCTGAGCAAAGCAGGGTTACTCTGTACACACCCATCAGTGACCGACGTGCCCTTTGTATCTCTCCAGGACTGAAGAAGCAACATAACTGCCCGTAAGAGGGACTTCTCAACCTCTTAGGAAAACACATAGTGTCTTAAACATGAACTGTTCTCTTTCCCAAGGAAAACATTGCTGAGGACTTTATCTTTGGGTTTTCATTTTTTTATACCATCCTCTTTGACTCTATAAATGTACTTTATATGTTGAAATTGGATAGTTATGTATCTAACTTCCTACTTGATGACTACATATATTCTCTATATACCAGAACGAGATAAAAAAGAAATTAGTAGGTGCTATTTCAGAGACTTGTGGCACAGAGATCAGCAGAAAAAAAGCCAGAAACAAACAAAAAGCAACCCATGATTACTCATAATAAAGATCACCACTGAACAATGAGATTTTATGGAACTAAAATTATGATATATTTATAGATCAGTTTATTTCGTTTGCCACAGCAAACTAGTTTTTATTTTTCACATTTTTCTCTGTGCTTCTATTAGAAGCCATGGAAACAACGCTCTCCTTTTTTTTTCTTATGCAAATTGATTCACCTCAGCATTTACTGACCTTTTCTTGGCATATTCTCTTTGACTCTGGTCATGTCAGTTGTAAAAGCATGCAAAGAAGCTGATAATGAATGCTTTCAGAAGATAACAGTGTAAAAACCTGACCTTGAATCAATGATAGCACAATTACTTTATAGAATTATTTAATCAATGATGATTTTCCTACCTTAAAATAATTATATTCTTTAACAGAACCTCTGGAAGAAAAAACATAGTGTGCCTCATTCTTTTTTTTTTTTTTTTTTTTTTTTTTTAAATGGAGTCTCACTCTGTTGCCTAGGCTGGAGTGCAGTGGTGTGATCTCAGCTCACTGCAGCCTCCACCTCCCAGGTTCAAGCAATTCTCTGGCCTCAGCCTCCTAAGTAGCTGGGACTACAGACACACACCACCACACCCTGCTAATTTTTTTGTATTATTAGTAGAGACGGGGTTTCACCATGTTAGTCAGCCTGGTCTCGAACTTTTGACCTCAAGTAATCCATCTTCTACCTCGATCTCCCAAGGTGCTGGTATTGCAGCCTTGAGCCACCGTGCCTAGCCAGGATGCCTCTTTCTATAGACCTATTTTCCCCAAATTTGCATGTAAATCACATTTTTGTAAATGGAATCATATTTTAAGGTCCAGCATAACTCAAAAATTGTGCAGTGAATCATGGAATGATTTTAATTTTAAAGGAGAAAGAAACTTCTGGGCTTTCTTGCATAAGCGTCTCCATTTATAGATGTGGAAATTGTGGATGTATTAGTGGGAAATGTCTTAGCTAAGGTGCATTTATAGTGAATTTGTTCTGTGATTGATATTACTATATATTTTTCTAGTTGCCAATTTTTGTTTTCGATGTTTAATTAAAGGAAGGTAGTAGACCTGTAGAACCAAAAGAAGATTATTTTTTCAGCTTCCTTACAGTTTGGATATAATTTGTCAATAATTATAAAGTTTGTAGATAATTAAAATAATACTTGTTGAGGTGTTTTTTTCCTTGGTTGCTTGATACAATGCGTTTTTTAAAAATAACTAAACCACAAATATAGGAGTAATATAGCTTGCTGTCAATTAAAATTATTTATTTAAATTGACAAGTAAAAAAGGTATATTTCATATACAGCATGTTGTTTTGAAATATGTATACATGCGGAATGGCTAAACTGAGTGAATTACCATATGCATACCTCACATATTTTTGTTTGTTTGTTTTTTGAGATGGAGTTTTGCTCTGTCACCCAGGCTGGAGTGCAGTGGCACAATCTCAGCTCACCACACCCTCTGCCTCCTGGGTTCAAGCGATTCTCCTGCTTCAGCCTCCCGAGTAGCTGGGATCACAGGCATGTGCCACCATGCCCAGCTAATTTTTTGTTTTTGTTTTTGTTTTTGGTAGAGACAGGGTTTCACCATGTTGGCCAGGCTGGTCTCAAACTCCTGACCTCAGGTGATCCACCCACTTTGGTCTCCCAGCGTGCTGGGATTATGGGTGTGAGCCACTGTGCCCAGTCATTGTTATTAACTATAGTCACCATGTTGTACAATAGATCTCTTGAACTTATTTCTCCTGTTTAACCGAAATGTTGTATCGTTTAACCAACATCTCCGTCACTCCCTCATTCCTTCCTCCCATCAAAAAACAAAAAAACAGAAAAACAAAAAAACCCTTCTAGGTTTTAAATATCTTTCTGAGAGAATAAGTTCACAGGCTAAACCAGTGATTTGCAACTGGGGTTGATGTTGTCCCCCAGGGGACATTTGGCAATGTCTGGAGACTTTTTTTGTTTGTCACATCTCGGGGGAGGTGCTACTGTGGGTAGAGGCCAGGATGCTACTAAACACCCCACACTACATAGGACAGCCCCCTACAGCAAAGGAGTAACCACCCCAAACATCCATAGTGCTGAGATTGAAAAGCCCTGGGTTAAATGAACCAGCTTTCTGCAGGTGAAGACTCTCACAGAGATCATAAGCCATGCCCTTTCACTTACTGTGTTGAGTGCTCCTTTATTAGAGTGTCACAATCATCTCTACCTCTATTAAAAAGCTAGTGTGAGAAGCCTCTTCCCTACTTTTGCATTTACCCTCTGCTGCTTCTTCCTGTGAAATTAAACAAGTGCTCTCATCTCTCTAAGGCCAATCCTTCCTCTAAGGCTTGGAGACCAGCTAGGATTAAGTTCAGCTGCATGAAACAGAAAAATCTAACGTCCTCTGGCTTTTTACCACTGGTATTGTATTCCTCACATAAAAGCAATCTGGAGACAGCAGTCCAGGGCTGGTGCCCATGCTCCACGATGCCATCAGAGGCAGGGGCTTCTTCCATCTTCCCACCCAGCCATTCTTGGAATGTTGGTCCTCACACATAGCTCCTGGTGGGGGCACCATGGCTGCTCCATCACCAGCACGGGGCCTATGTCTAGTTGGGGAGTCAGGGGAAGGGGAAAGGTTAGAGTGCTTGCAGGTTGAGAATGTCTGCCTCTTCCCAAATAGGTACTTACAAAATTGCACTTTATTTATTTCCTATGCTGCATTTATTGCATTTGATAATGGCAGATATAATGGTTAATTTTATGTGTCAAGCTGACTGGGAGAAGGGATGCCCAGATAGCTGGTAAAACATTATTATTATTATTATTTAAAGGCAGAGTCTCCCTCTGTCACCCAGGCTGGAGTGCTGTGGTGTGATCTCAGCTCACTGCGACCTCCACCTCCTAGGTTCAAACGATTCTCATCCCTCAGCCTCCTAAGTAGCTGGGATAACAGGCATCAGCCATCATGCCCAGCTACTTTTTTTGTATTTTTAGTAGAGATGGGGTTTCACCATGTTGGCCAGGCTGGTCTCAAACTCCTGACCTCAAGTGACCCACCTGCCTCGGCCTCCCAAAGTGCTAGGATTACAGGCGTGAGTGCCTAGCCCCTGACTATTACCATCTTTTAGGGACCTTGTAGCAGCCACTGCTGATGCTCAGCTCAGAAGCCCTCACATTCCTTTACCATTTCCATGCTCTCCTACTTTGGCTGCATTGTTCTTTTGCTATGTCAGTGGGACCTGCAACAGAACTGCTCTCAGGCTCCCAGAGAGGCCCTGCTCTGCTTGTGCAGAGGGCCAGAAATGCCGGAGTGCTTTTTTCTGCTTGGGGTAGCCAGTAGCCAAGGACCTGCTAACCCAGCAGAATGAAAGCCCAGCTCCTTTATTCTGACTCAGGAAAAACCCTTAGATGCAGTTGACTCTCCAGAGCTCCCTGCAGGATCAGGTGGAGTCTGGCCTTTGGTTTGAGATCGCCACTCTGGTGGGCTTCTTCCTCTTGCTTTGCCGTGTTCCCCTACTCTTACTTTGCCCAGTGTTCCCAGGAGACCCTGCCTTCATAAATCATTTTCACAAAAAT
The DNA here is from genome assembly GCF_000001405.40 of Homo sapiens. NCBI lineage: Eukaryota > Metazoa > Chordata > Mammalia > Primates > Hominidae > Homo > Homo sapiens. Next base: position 71,803,778 of record NC_000003.12, read on the forward strand.
CTTTATCTCTGAGTCTGCTTCCGGGGACCAGACTATGCCTTTTTAATTCACCCAGTGCCTAGCATAGCACCTGACACATAGTGGGAGTTTGAAAACTTCTTCAAGACTGGTTGAAAAATGCATAATATTAAACCCAATTAAACAAACAGTCCTGTTGGAAAGACACTTTTGAAGCCAGTCAAATTCAGATGATTCAGTAACAATTAGTAACATAGGTTTGATTCTTTTTATTTTTTTATAAGACAGAGTCTCCCCCTGACGCCCAGGCTGGGGTGCAGTGGAGTGATCTTGGCTCATTACAATCTCCATCTCCTGGGTTCAAGCAATTCTCCTACCTCAGTCTCCTGAGTAGCTGGGATTACAGGCGTGCACCACCATGCCTGGCTAATTTTTTAATATTTTTAGTAGAGACAGGGTTTCACCATGTTGGTCAGCCTCGTCTCAAACTCCTGACCTCAATGATCCACCTGTCTTGGCCTCCCAAAGTGCTGGGATTTACAGGCGCGAGCTGCCGTGCCCAGCCTTACATAGGTTTGATTCTATCTAGCAGAACTCAAATTCAAAATAACCTGGTGAAAGTTGAATACTTAAATTTAAGGTCACAGATCACTACAATATGACAGGGACCAGGCATTTTTAGTGTGTACAATTCTTCTATCAGCTTAGGTTCCTGCTCAGAAATCTGAAAGTCTCGCCCCACTACATGCCACAAACCGTTTTTTTTCCTTTTTTTCTTTTCTTTTCTTTTTTTTTTTTTTGGAGACGCAGTTTCACTCTTGTTGCCCAGGCTAGAGTGCATTGGCATAATCTCGGCTCACTGCAACCTCCATCTCCCAGTTTCAAGCAATTCTCCTGCCTCAGCCTCCCGAGTAGCTGGGATTACAGGTGTGCAGCACCACACCTGGCTGATTTTTGTATTTTTTGTAGAGATGAGGTTTTGCCATGTTGGCCAGGCTGGTCTCGAACTCCTTACCTCAGGTGATTCACCTGCCTTGGCCTCCCAAAGTGCTGGGATTATGGGTGTGAGCCACCAAGCCCAGCCAAACCCTTATTTTTTTTAAGGAGGTTGTGCACACTGGTTCCCCAGAAGCAAAGCATCAGGTAATGTTAACTTCGGTTATTGCAAATGATGGCTGGAGGTCTGGGGAGAGGGATTGATCATACTGGGCACCTGCATCTCCTGTGCAAATCTCTCCTGGGGCCTCAATGCTTACGCAGTTTGCTCCATACACCCTTGGTTTGAGTGGACCCTCCCCTGGCTCACAGGCTGCCTTTCATTGTTCTGGGTGCTCTCAAGCAGTGATGCCACTGTGGGGCATGGTGCCTGACCCCTAGAGCAATGCCTCCTCCAGGCCCCAGAGAGCTCTCCCCTGAAAAGTCAAGGCTTGAAAGAAGGAAGCCTGCCATTGGCTGAGAACTGGAATTATTACAACCCCCAATGCTGGAGGTGGGACTTGCGGGAGGTGATTGGATCATGAGGGCGGGTTTCTCATGAATGGTTTAGTACCATCCCCCCTTGGTACAGTATAGCGAGTGAGTTCTCACAAGATCTGGTTGTTTAAAGCTGTGTGGCACCTCCCCCATTTCTCTCTTCCTCCTGGGGTGGCCATGTAACATGTGCCTGCTTCCCCTTCACATTCTGCCATGATTGTACATTTCCTGAGGCCACCCCAAAAGCAGAAGCCAGTATGCTTCCTGTAAAGCCTGAGGAATCATGAACCAATTAAACCTCTTTTCTTTATAAATTACCCAGTCTCAGGTATTTCTTTATAGTAGTGCAAGAACAGACTAATACACCCATTCTTGACTTTGGAGTTAGATTAGACTTCTGAAGTTCAAATCTCGACTCTGCTACATTCAAGCTGTGTAACTTTGGGCAATTCACTCAATCCCTCTCAGCCACAGTTTCCTATTTCTCGAATGTAGTTTCCATGAGGGACTGGGTCTTGGTCTTTTCCTGCTGTTGCTATATTCCCAGTGACAAGACAGTGCCTGAAGTATGGTAGGGGCTTCATAAGTATTTTCTGAGGAAATAAATAAGGGTATTTGTGAAGGCTGATGGAAATGATGGGTAGTATCTGGCACAAAGCAATCACTTAATAGTATCTGAGTGACTATCTGGCACAAAGCCAGATCTGGCACAAAGCAATCACTCAATAAATGCTAGCTATAAATATATAAAATATACATATGAAGATGTAATTTTATTTTATTTCTTATATCTGGTAACATAGTTTCTAACCACAATGTAATGTGTTAGAATTCATCCTCTCTCATGCCTGTAATCCCAGCACTTTGTGAAGCTGAGGCGGAAGGACTGTTTGAGCCCAGAAGTCGGAGACTGCAGTAAGCTGTCATCATGCCACAGCACTCTTGCCTGGGCAACAGAGTGAGATCCTTTTTCTAAAAACTAACAAAACAAAACAATTATTTCCAAAAATTTAAAACTTAAAAAAAATTAAAAATTGAGAAGTTTTTTAAAATATGAAAAAAGAGGCATCTCCATATTTTCTGAGAGCAATAGTACATTGGTGAACACTGATTGCCCCGCATCCATTCACTTGTGTCTTTCTTCCTAACACAACTCCGATTCTGACCAAGTATAGCTTAGAAGAATGTGACCCGAGACTCTAGAAGTAAATCTTTTTTTTTTTTTTTGAGACAGAGTTTCACTCTGTCGCCAGGCTGGAGTGCAGCGGCACAATCTCGGCTCACTGCAACCTCTGCCTCCCCGGTTCAAGCAATTCTCCTGCCTCAGCCTCCCAAGTAGCTGGGACTATAGGCACCCACCACCATGCCCGGCTAATTTTTTGTATTTTTAGTGAGACGGGGTTTCACCATGTTGGCCAGGATGGTCTCGATGTCCTGACCTCGTGATCTGCCCACCTCGGCCTCCCAAAGTGCTGAGATTACAGGCGTGAGCCACCGCGCCAGGCCAGGAGTGAATCTTAAGGAGGCTATTGGCATGTGCCATTCCCCCATCACCTGCCTGCATGACTCATTGGTCCTGTGACTAGGACTGGTTCAATCAAAATGAAGGAAACATTTATATTACACACTTGGAGATGTGGTTTTTCCATTTTTGACCAGGTAGTTGAGAACAAAGAAGTATGTAGCTCCAGTTGCCACTGACAACTGTCTTGTTATTATGAGGCACTTGGAAATGAGGCTTACAACATCATGAGAAAGACGGAGAGAGTCAGTTATCTGACGACATCTTTCAGCTACTGATGGTGCCACTCCTTCCAGTTAGGTAAGATAATACATTTCCTTACTGTCTTATTTTTTATTTATTTATTTTTGAGACAAGGTCTTGCTCTGTTGCCCAGGCTGGAGTGCAGTCGTGTGATCTGGGCTCACTGCAGCCTTGACCTCCCAGGATCAAGTGATCCTCCCACCTTAGCCTCCTGAGTAGCTGGGACTACAGACGTGTGCCACCACGTCTGGCTAATTTTTGAAGTGTTTTATAGAGATGGGGTTTCACCATGTTGCCCATGCTGGTCTCAAACTCCTGGCCTCAAGCAACCCTCCCTCCTCGGCCTCCAAAAGTGCTGGGATTATAGGCATGAGCCACTGAGCCCAGCCATTTCATTATTATTATTATTATTATTATTATTATTATTATTATTATTATTATTAAGACAGGGTCTCATTTTGTTGCCTAGGCTAGAGTGTAGTGGCAGCAAGAGGGCTCACTGAAGCCTCAACCTCCCAGGCTGAAATAAGCCTCCTGTCTCAGCCCCTCATGTAGCTGGGACTACAGGCATGCGCCACTACACCTGGCTAATTTTTGTACTTTTTTAACAGATAGGATTTCACTATGTTGCCTAGGCTGGTCTCCAACTCCTGAATTGAAGCCACCCACCTGCCTCGGTCTCCCAAAGTACTGTGATTATAGGCTTGAGCCACCATGCCCAGCCACCTTATTTTTTATGTCATTTAGGATGGGTTTTTCCAAGCCTTACAGCCAGAAATATACTACCTAGTGGGCTGCAAAATTATGTAGGAGATGAAACTAAAAATGTCTTCTTCGAATAATAATAGTAATGGTAGCCAATGCCTTCTTCAGCACAGTGTCAAAACATATGCCAAGCCCTTCAGCTATATTAGCTATTTACTCTCTCAACAATCCTATGAGGTGGAGACTATTATTTACTTCATGTTTCACATGAGGAAACCAGGTATATGTCAAGTTACATACATACACACACACTAAACCCAAAACAGGTCAGTGGAAGAGCTGGGATTTGAACATAAAGGTCTAGTTTTGGAACCAGACTTATACCTACCCATGAAACCTAACCATTTCCATCAATAGATGAATGGATAAAGAAACTGTGGTATGTATACACAATGGAATACTAAGCAGACACAAAAAAGAATGAAGTCATGTCTTCCATAGCAACATGGATGGAACTGGAGACCATCAGCTTAAGTGAAACCACTCAGAAATAGAGAGATAAATACCACATGTTTTCGCTTATAAGTGGGAACTAAATAATGTGTACACATGGGCACAGAGTACGCAAAGACAGACATGGAAGACTTGGAAGGATGGGGTATGGAAAGAAGTGTATGATGAGAAATTTCTTAACGGGCGTAATGTACATAATTTGGGTTGATGGATACCCTAGAAGCCCTGACTTCACCACTACAAAATCTATACAAGTAACAAAATTATACTTGTACTCCATAAATTTTTACAAACAAACAACAAACCCCTACCCATTAAACTATACTTTAAAGTATTTACTTCTATGAAGATTCATAGTGAGAAAGAAAAAAATGGAATGTAATATGCTTCAGTTTTTTAAAAAGTATACTAAAGCTTTCATAGACAAAAATTGAACACTTGCAAAATTTTCTTGCTTGTGTACCTTTTCCAGGGAATTTGTCTCCTTTTGAAAACATGTATTCGTTTATCCAATCAAATATTTATTGGACACTACGTGTCAGGCATTGAAGCAGGTGCTAGAGTACATAGTGAATAACTTCCTGCCAGGTGGAGAAGACAAACAAGTAAACAAGAGGGATAAGCCCTTTCCCAGGAAGGCACAGTGTGCCATGGGCATCTAAACATGGTACCTGAACCAGTCTGATGCAACAGTCGTCTAAAAAAATGCTTCCCAGGTGAGACCTAAGATTTCCCCAGGAAAGCGGTGAGAGGTCATGTCCAAAGGCCTGGAAGAGGAAAGAAAGAATGTGTCACATCTGTGACACTGCAGGCGGTGGTAGCTAGGAAAGGGTTCAGTACATAGAAAGAGAGATGAAGTCAGTGATGCAGGCAGTGGCCAAGAAGTTCAGCTCTTGTCTAAGGCCAGGTCCTCCAGAAAGTAGAGCCTGAGTCAAAAACTAAAGTGCTAACAATTCCGGAGGTGCAAGTCCAAGGTTTAAAAGGTAAGTTAAAAAGGGAAGTATCGCAAATAAAGAAGCCAAGCATGGTGAGGAGACTGTCACACACTGCTGTGGGGCCACCATGTTACAAGGAGCTGAAAAGAGGCATAGCAGGTGGCTTAGCAGGTGAGTCTGCCTGGGACATGGGACTGCTCTGGAAAGGCTGTGGGAAGAAACCCTGTCTTTTAGTAGGCCATGAAAATAGAAAGAAGGAGGAATTAATCTGCCCAGCTCATTCTACCTCTTGTTTTCCCTTATTTAGGGAGCATCCATGGGGAGTTAATTTCCCCACACTTCTGGGTTGCAGCATCTGGTGCTTGGAGGCTGCCCAGGAAGCCAGATGTCATGCTCCATCATGCGACATTTCATCCCATTCTGGAAGTGGAGGGATGACTCAAAGCAGAGGTTGGTGTGTAGACTCAACCGGCCCACGGCTTCAACTTGGGCCCCAGGCAGCTTGGGATGTTCATCCATGGCCAAGCTGAGCTTCTTCAGAAATGAAGAAATTGAAAGAATCTGCAATGGTACATAGGTTAATGTCCGATAGTCTTTTTCCCTGAGAGAAGCTATAAAGAACATCAAGCCTAGGACAGCCCCAATCAGATGAAGAGCTCAGACGGTTCATCCTGGCTGCAGGGTGGAGATGGATTGAAATTAGCAAATCTGAAAGTGTGTCTGTCACCCTGTGGCCTGGTCTAAGGGAGTAAGAATGAGGATGAAGCCAGGTGGATAGATCTAAGCAATATTAAGGAAGTCAGTTTCACTGTATTTTGTAATTAAGAAGATGAGAAGCGTGAGGGAGAGGATGGCACCTGCTTTCTGGCTTAGGCAGCTGAGGAGTAGATGGTGGTGCCACTTTCTGTGATGGGGAATGGTTGAGTGGGGTGCGTGGAGACTAAGTGGGATGCTGAGCTCAGTGTTGAACTAATTGAATGTCAGAAGCCCAAGGCACATCCAAGGAGAAGTGTCCTAAGGCAGTTGGTGGCACTAGTCTGGAGTTTGGGAGCAATGCCTCAGCTGGAGACAGTTTTTGAGTCACTGGAGTATATGTGGGTAATGCAGCAGGCATGAGGGATGCATAAGATGCCTGAAGGCGAATATTTTAAAAAGAAGAGAAAAGGGTAGAGGACCCAGCCCTCCTGGGCTCCTCAGTGTGAATGCATAATTAGTACACTACCAGATGAAGGGAAGATTCCAGAAGATGCAGAGAAAGCACGGCCAGAGGTGACCCCAGGGCAGGAGCAATATTTTGGTGAGTGAGCAACAGTGAGAGATGTGCAAAGGAGTCAACTTAGGAAAAGCGTGAGAGATGTTCAATGAACTTAGACATGAGGAGGTCTTTGGTTTCCTCAGGAAGGGCAGCATCAGTAGCGTGGTGGAATTTGGGGTGAGTGGAAGCAAAATGTAGATAAACCATTAATCTTTTATGTAGGGATTACTTATAATTCAAAGCAGTTACTGTAATTCAGAATGATACAAAGGTAAATAAATTATAGAGCAAGTAAGCATTCCAGTAGGTTTTAACCCCTTATCCTGCTTTACATTTCTGCATAGCGTATTTGACAACTTGAAGTGATTGTATTTGTGCCACTGGTTGCTGTCTGCCTCTCCTATAGAAGGAAGAACCAATCCCAGCACTTTGGGAGGCTGAGGTAGGTGGATCACAAGGCCAAGAGATCAAGACCATCCTGGCCAAAATGGTGAAACCTTGTCTCTACTAAAAATACAAAAATTAGCTGGGCGTAGTGGTGCGGGCCTGTAGTCTCAGCTATCCAGGAGGCTGAGGCAGGAGAATCGCTTGAACCTGGGAGGCGGAGGTTGCAGTGAGCCGAGATCGCACCACTGCACTCTGGCCTGGCAACAGAGCAAGACTCCATCTTAAAAAAAAAAAAAAAAAAAGGAAGAGAAGCATGAAGGCTGCAGCTTTGTCTTGTTCACTCCTGCAGCCGCAGTGCTTGGCCCAAAGTGGCCAAAATGTTGGTTGAATAAATGATAGAGAGAATCTGATGAAAATACATAAATTAAAAAAGAAATCATAATTTGAGCTATATATGTACAGGCTATTTACAAAATAATTATAGATAAATGTTCAAATGAAAAAGAGGAAGCTGTGAAGATGACTGTAGGACATCTCTTGTTTTCAGCCTCCCAGATCTTCTGGTAATTTAAGTGGAAATTGATAATACTAAAAGATTGTCATGAATTTCAAAAAGGCTTTTCTAATCTACAACTCCCCTGTAGACTTTTATAAAGAGATTTCTGTATAAAGATTTTGACTTTTATAAAGAGATTTTTGTTACCAATTAGATGCTAGACTGGAAAGTAATCAACTTAGGGAAAAATATATAAATATAAATGTGTATGTGTGTATTTTTTTTCATGATTTTAATCAACTAAGAGAAGTAGAGTTTTTACACTAATTTTGAAGGTTGCATATTTAGAATCTTGCATTTTATTAAAGGCAATATCATAATACTTAACATCTATGCCAGAGACCTGCTTGGTTATATTATATGAAGAGAGGCATGCTTTTTATGGAATCATTTCTAAGGAAGTGGACATTGAAATGACAATTCCAAGAAAAATGCTTTCCTTTGTCTAATTTGTTTTTACCCCTTCTTTACAGGTTTTTTATGTTACCATGCTTTAGCAGAAGTCAATTAATCATATATTTTAAATAAAATGTTTCATAATTTACCAAGACCAATTCTGTCAGTAGCACAGTATGCTAGATGTGTATTCAATTTAGATGATGGTGAATCCTGATCTCTAAACCCTGTGGTTTCAGTGATAAGGATGGAGTGTGCAAACATGGAACATGGAACATCTTCTTAAAAAGTTAAGGGACAGTCTTCTTCATGATTTCAGTGGAAGTTAAGATGGAAAGGGTACCACTTAAAGTATCTTAACAGTGGAAGGAGAAAAGCAAAATTCACAGCATCAGAAACGTTCAGGGAAATTCATTTGTCCTTGAATAAGTTTCACAAATATAGATGTGAAATGGTTAAGAAGCAACATTCCAGTTTTGGGTAAGTTAGGCTGCAGAAACAAATATAACCCCAAGTCTTAATGGCTTTCAACCACAGAAGTTTATTTTTAGTTCTTATTATATGCCTGAACTGGCTTTAGAATTTCACCTCAGTATGACAGAGTAGATTTCTAAGAGCCTGGCCTGTTCGCAGGCAACAGCTCTGAACTCCAAACAAAATACTCTGGAGAGCGAGCAAAACCAGGCAGATTTTGGGAGGGAGTCAAAACAGGGAAGAGGGATTATCAGAGGGTGAGTTTCCCATTTTCATGACTTCAGTCTGAGATTGGGCTGCAGACAGCATGGATGGGCAAAACCCACGAGAACATCTGCTCTTTTTGGCCTGAAGAACCAAAGGTTCTGGGGCAACCGCTGCTGCTGGAAAGTGACGAGAGAATCCCAGAGATGAGAGCCAGGGCAGAGGAGCCTCAAAAGCCTTCTGTGCATAAATATTGCCCCAATTCCTGACACCTGAATGATCTGCGCATGGGGCAGACTCAAAGCAGCTTGTAGGTCAGGCTTAGAGAACAGAATTGAGATCTGAGCTGCGGCCCTCCATACACAAGAGAGAACTCCTAGTTTGAGCCTGTCTAAGTTAATTGCCTGCTAAAACAAAACCATCAACATTCTTTGTAAGAATGTAACAGAATCAAGAGTTTCTACAACATAACCACAAAGAAGGCAGGGGAGGAAAAACAGGAACAAAAGATGGCAGGGTGGAGGGGCAGGGACAGAAAACATACCAAATAATATCACTAACTGAAATCATATGGATATTTACCTCAGATATTAATATTGCTTCTATCACAGCAGAGGGAGAAGAGCAGCAAGGAAAGAGGATGATGGCCCTTAAGGCCTCTGTTGATAAGTAACAGCAATCGTTTTCACTAGCATTTCCTCAAGTCCCAGGTCTGGGCCTGACTTGCAGTCATGGGGCAGGAAATGATAATCGATTCACAGGGATAATCGATTCACAGTGAAACTGCCATCATCTGGTAGATTGTATCATTATTCAAAAATAAATTATTTATTCAAAAATTATTTATTCAAAATTTATTCAAAAATAATTATTCAAAAATTATTTATTTTTGAATAATAATACAATCTATGTACAATAAAAAAGAAATAATTTTTGAATAAATAATACAATCTACCAGACGATGGCAGTTTCACTATTAGGAAAGAGTAAGTACTTATAGAGTCAATGACTTCTGCATAATGAGAAAATTTTTAGAGAGTATTTGCTCTCCTGACAAAATCCAGTGTTATCTATGTAACCACAGCCAGCTCAGCAGCCAATTGCCTGGTTGATCCATACCCCTTCTCAGAGATTCTGTCTCTTGCTAAGTAAATGGCACAAAACCACTTCTGTGGCCACAGCTAATTAGACCATGGGTTGGATGCCTGACCAATGTTGGGCCATTTAGATTTCCAAATCCCATCAACCCGTCAGTGCCTGCACTGAGAGGCCAAGCAAAGCCAGGGTTGAGATGGAAGAGTCTGGCCTTATAAAGGTGAAGAGAGAAAGCCAACTGCGGAGAGAACCTCCTGTGTTGTCGAGATAACCCTATAAGCTTTTGTTAATTTAATAGGTGAAATTAATTTCAGAGGATTTGCAACACTCCAAAGGGCACCATTCACATGGTAGTCTATAAAAATGACACTAGGAATTCACTTAAACTACAGTGTGAATATTGCCTCTGGAGTTGTGCAATGCTGTGGTGCTGGGTTTCTGTCGCTAGAAAAGAAGTCTTCCCTTCTGCTATTTCAGATAGAGAGCTCATGGAAGACACAGTGAAGAGACAGAAACATCATTCTTGGGGTAATAGGCAATGACAGTAGTAATTTTGCTGAGCACATTGAAAGAGAACAAAATTCCAAATTGCTTCTTGGATCTGTGCAACACCAAATTTGGAACAGGAATAGCTAGAATTATGGAAATACAATAGACAGAGACAAAACAAATTGTGAACTTTGACTACTCACAGACAGACAGCATTTTTTTTGCAACAGGTATAAGCATCCCTTGCTGTAAGAGTTGATTCTGATGCAGTAATATACCATTTATAGTTATTTGATAATGCCTTTCTACTTTCAAACATGAGAGTACAATCCAGTACATATTTTATGTATACATGTACTTTTCATTGACTAATTTGTCTACATGTCTTATTCCTGAATGGGAATTCCACATCAAATAGCTTTACTTCTTTGATTTACCTTCCAAAATTGCACAAACCTTCTATTAGTTTCACTTTGCAAACTAGTCTCCTTATTTAGTGAAATATCTAAATATAAGTTTTACAGCCTCATATATTTCAGAGTTGTTGCCTTCATCACATAATGTTAAAATATGCCATATGATCCTAATCCATACAATTCAAAACAGTAATACAAAATGTATAGACAAATGCTCTCCTGCTGTTTTAAACACCATTTAGCAAGTTTTATAGTTGAAGGGTTTGCCGACATAACTATTACTTTCCTATTATGGTGAGTATATGAATATTTCTTATAGAAAGATGCTTCTATAGCCAGGCACAGCACGGACCACTCAAAAGCCAAGGCCAAGCCCTTTGCTTGCTCTTAACCCCTTTGCAGTATTCTTTTGAAGCATTGTATTTAATAGTACAGCAAACTCTCAATTTCCTAGACTTGCAGACAGAGATAAACAGCAAAGAAAGTTCTCCAGTCATTTTCCAGTCATTGGTTCTCATATCTATACTCAGAATGTGCATGTGAATTAAATTTTTTTCTACAACATTAAGTGTTCTCTACGCATTTACTATCAAGTAGATACTTTATGTCTGTGATGACGAAATAAGTTATATTAGATAACAAAAGTATCTTTAGATCATGTCATTGTCACCTAAATTCAGCTTAAGAAAAAAAGACTTCGACAACACTTCTTAGCCCATCTTTCTTTGTAATATTTTAGCCTGTTGTCTTAGACAGTTGAAAATTACAGTATGATACAACAAAGCAGATGAGTTGATAAATGAACTTGACCATTCTTTGCAAAAAGTTAAAAGCACCATGTCAATTTAAAGTGTTGTTATTGCTGATAATTAAGGAGACAAATATCACCAGTTGAGGCTAAATTCAATCTGTTACCCAGTGGCACAGATTATAAAAATATTCCTTCAAAGCTCTTTTGAACTCTTAAATTTTAGAAACAGCTTTGCACATAAAAGGAAATTGTGAATGCTGGCTAATTTTGGTTTGCCCGATGGTTCTCGGACTGGTTTAAATGTCCTTGGCAAACCCTCAGATAAGCTTCATTCAATAGTCACAGTTATTTACTGGAAGAAGCCTGATTGGATTTGCTAATTCCATAATATGCACAGTGATAGGAAGGAGAGGTCTTGAAAGTCCATTTGTAAACAGCTGTTTCCCTCAACTAACGCAAAAGAGATTTATTTCCCTCAAAAACCACAATTGGTCAGGATACCTTGGCTAATTTCACTCTAAGATGTTAAAATTGCTCCCTTCTGCCAGGTAGCCCCTGTGGCAGAGGATTGGGTGGTCTCCATGTTTTTTGCTGTCTACTTAGCTTCTGTCTGCTGTATTGCAAATAGCTTTGCTGAAGCAGTTCAACAGTTCAGCCCAGGCAAGAATTACAATTAGAAGTGGTCAGCTGGGTGTGGTAGCTCATGCCTGTAATCCCAGCACTTTGGAAGGCCGAGGCGGGAGGATTGCTTGAGCCTCGGAGTTCGAGATCAGCCTGGGCAAAACAGTGAGACATGAGTGTCTACTTAAAAAAACAAACTGCCAGGTGTGGTTCTGTGCTTGTAGTCCTAGCTATGCAGGAGGCTGATGCCAAGGAGGTTGAGGCTGCAGTGAGCTATGATCATGCCACTGCACTTCAGCCTGGGTGACAGAGCGAGAGACCCTATCTCAAAAAAAAAAAAACAAAGAAAGAAAGAAAGAGAAAAAAAAGGGGGGACAAAATTTGTTTGGCAATTAGTATCTCTCAATAGCCTGAAAGTGTTTTTAAAATAGCCACATAAATATTTCTACATCACCTGGCATTGTGGGCATACTGAAGACAGATCACTCCATTCAAAACCTTTGAATACTCAAACAATGACAGCATTTACTTGTACTGGAGAAGTGAGGGAGGCACTTGAGTAATCCTGCCTCTGCTACACACTAGCTGAATGACCTGGGGCAAAGAAGTCACTGGCTTGTTTTAGGCTCAGTTTCTTTTTTGTAAAATGGTGGTTGGTAATAGGGATTTTCTGAAGAATAAGTAAGATCATATCTGAAGTGTTAAACAGTAAGTAGAAGGGGCTCAATAAATGCTAGCTGCCATTATCCCACAGTGTATTAGTCAGGGTTCTCCAGGGAATTGGAGCCAGCAGGATACGTGTACATAAATACCCGTGTGTGTGTGTGTGTGTGTGTGTGTGTGTGTGTGTGTGTGTGTGTTCATATAAGAGAGATATATTACTCTGTATCAGTAACTCACTCTTAGCTTTAAGTAACTCTTACTTACGGATGAATACAGAGTTACATATCTCTCTTATATGAGTATACACACATATATACACACATAGATGTGTATGACAGAGAGAAATAAAAAGGTGGGAGAGAGATTGAGATTTTAAAGCATTGGCTCATGCGATAGTGGAGGCTGGTAAATCCAACATCTGCAGGGTGGCCCAGCTGGCTGGAGGCCTTAGGGAAGAGTTGGTATTGCAGTTCAACTTTGAAGACAGTCTGCTGGCAGAATCCCCTCCTCCGCGGGGGAGGTCAGTCCTTTCTCTCAAAGCCTTCAACTTATTGGGTGAGGCCCACTCACATTATTGAGGGTAGTCTGCTTGACTCAAAGTCTATTGATGTAAATGTGAATCTCATTTAAAAATACCTTCATAGAAACACCTGCAATAAGGTTGGAGCAAATATCTGGGTACCGTGGGGTAGTGAAGCTGACACATGACCTTAATCATCACACAAAGTGACAAGAATCTAGTGCTTCGTTCACCTCCTTTGACAATGAAAAACAAAAACAACAACAACAAAACAGAGAATATAGTGCTTTGTGGATGCCAGACACTGTGCGAGACACTTTCCATATATTAATTCACCATCTCTTTCACCACAATCGTTTGAAGTAGGTGCTGTTATTATGCCCATTGTAAAAATAGAAAACTTAGCACCGAGAGGATGAATCATCTGCGCAAGGTCATACTGCCAGGGATTTGTGCTCCCGACTGCAACAATAAACTGTCAGCTCCATCAGGACAGAGCCCATACGTGTGGTACCTGCTGTGCCTAGCACAATGGATATCCTAACAGCTAATTCATTCAACCTCTTGGATTCCTTCAGACAATGAGATATTTTTTCTGAATCAATTAGCTGTTTTGTTTTTGGTTTTGTCTTGTAGATGAAGCCTCAATGTAAGATATACTTTGTGAGTCTGAAATACTCCCAGGCAATTAGTGACAATGTGCTGTGGGAATGAATTTGGATGGCATAGTGAATGAAGGCATGCATACTTCATTTAAGTGTGGATACAGGTTTTAAGGAGATAATGTAAGTTTCCAAGTTGACTTGTTCATGTCATGGAAATGGCCCAGGCAGGGAGAAAACCTGGAGTTACTATAAAATATGTATTAAGTACAAACATCCCATCAGTGTAAAATTTTTGATCATGCATTCCCAATATTCGTATATGTATTTATAAATTACATAATGGGCAGGGTGCAATGGCTCACACCTGTAATCCCAGCACTGGGGGAAGCTGAGGTGGGTGGATCACCTGAAGTCAAGAGTTTGAGACCAGCCTGGCCAACATGACAAAACCCTGTCTCTACTAAAAATACAAAAATTAGCCGGGCATGGTGGAGCATGCCTGTAGTCCCAGCTACCCAGGAGGCTGAGGTGGGAGGAACGCTTGAACCCAGAAGTCAGAGGTTGCAGAGAGCTGAGATCATGCCACTGCACTCCAGCCCGGGTGACACAGGGAGACCCTGTCTCAAATAAAAGATATAAATTATATAATGCACAATTGCAACGATGCATAAATGCTTTATAATGTATACACAAATAATGAATTTTGAAAAGGATGAGATAAGAAATAAATGTTAATTGAAATTCTACATTCTTTTTGATTTTCACACTTCAGTAATTCTTCTTGTGCCCTCCCCACTGTGGTTTTAATTGACTTAGAATCTTGTGTAATTGAAAGCTTTTCCTGCCATACAACTTATTGAGAAATGAATTGGCTTGCCCCATTGACACCAAGTATTCAATGATATAATGTAGCTCAGCAGAAGAGCACAGTGAGAATTAAATGAGATAATATGTGCGGCACTTGTTGTTATCACAAGAGATGCCTTATTGCAGAGTTGCTAAAGAGCGCAGACTCCAGAGGCTGACACCTGGGTGCAAATCCCAGCTTCACCATGTACTAGCTGTAATCTATTAAATGAGGTTTTTGTGGGGATTAAATGAATTAAAAACAATAAACAAGTAAAATTCTTATAACACCTGGCATGTACTAAGTAAGCACTATATAAACATTATTGGGTGCACCACAAGCACCCATAAATGTTAACTGTTCTTAATTGTAAAAACCAAAAATGTAATGACATACACTGAGGTCATTTGACCTTCATCCTTTTCGCTTTGTTCACCCCAGGGCTATACGATAAAAATGTTCTGAATGATGACTCTGAAGTACTGCCACAGGATTCCATTCATTTGAGTACCCGTCACAATTTTTGCTACATCTGAGTACCACCCGTACCATCATTAATATTTGTCTTTAAATCAAGTTGGGCTTAACACCAAGATCTATTTCATTATTTCCGAGAGCAGTAATATTGGTGAAATCATGTATTTGATGTGCTATAACATTTATTTTCCTAAAAATATATGGCAATAAACATATAGCCATTAAAACATTTCCCAAAGGAAATCTTACATTATACAATCCTTAAGTCGTGAATGTTTCAATTATATTTATTCTACTTAATGAGATACAAGGATATAAGAACACGTTTTCTATTTAACCAAGTTTCTTTCAGGACACCCTAGTTCCCTAGAAGTTTAATGAATTAGGATTCTAATGTTTTAATTTTTGATACTTGATCATTTTTATTAATTATTATTATTATTTTTGAGATGGAGTCTCGCTCTGTCACCCAGGCGGGAGTGCAGTGGCACGATCTCGGCTCACTGCAACTTCCACCTCCCGGGTTCAAGCGATTCTCCTGCCTCAGCCTCCCGAGTAGCTGGGATTACAGGCTCATGCCACCACGTCTGGCTAATTTTTGTATTTTTAGTAGAGAGAGGGTAGAGACGGGGTTTCACCATCTTGGCCAGGCTGGTCTTGAACTCCTGACCTTGTGATCCACCCACCTCAGCCTCCCAAAGTGCTGGGATGACAAGGCTGAGCCACTGCGCCCGGCCAATACTTGATCATTATTTTCTTTTGGATGAAAAGAATTTCAGTTTCTTTTACTTTTCCTCACTGGGCTATTTCATAATAATTAGATTTTATTTAAATAAATAAGACCTATATACAAAGTTTGATCATTGTTATCACAGGGGAACTACAAGTGTCAGGTTAAATTATATCAAATTAACCAGTTTCCCCATGCATGCATATGATAGACAGATTAGAGAAAAAGCTAACCTACATCTAGAATGCCAAAAGAGAAATTCTACCATATTCAAATTAAACTGATTCCTATCAAAAGTGTACAATTCCTACCTTGAAACAGATTGTAAATAATGTTCCAAGCAATTCTGAGCTAAAGTGAATCAGATTTTTTTTTTTTTAAGAGACAGGGTCTCGCTCTGTCACCCAGGCTGGAGTGCAGTGGTAAGATCATAGCTCACTGTAAGCTTGAACTCTTAGGCTTGAGCTGGGCCTCATGAAGAGCTGGGGCTATAGGCACATGCTACCAGGCCAGGCTATTTTTAAAGAAAATTCTAATTAGTTCAGCCACTGTGAAAAGTAGTTTGGAGATTTCTCAAAGAACTAAAAAGAGAACTACCATTCGACCCAGCAATCCCATTACTGGGTATATACCCAAAGGAAAACAAATTGTTCTACCAGAGACACCTGTACTTGTATGTTTGTTGCAGCGATATTCACAATAGCAAATATATGGAATGAATCTAGCTGTCCATCAATGGTGGATTGAATTTTAAAAATGTAGTACATATACACTAATGGAGTACTACATAGTCATAGAAAAGTACAAAATCACATCCTTTGCAGCAACACGGATGCAGCTGGAGGTCATTATCTTAAGTGAATTAATGCAGAAACAGAAAACCGAATATTGCATCTTCTCACTTATAAGTGGGAGCTAATCCTTGAGTACGCATAGACATAAAAATGGGAACAGTGGACGCTGGAGACTCCAAAAGGGGGGAGGGAGCAGGGAGTGAGGGGACAAGGGCTGAAAAACTTCCTACTGGGTACTATGCGGGGTAATGGGACCAATTGAAGCCCAAATCTCAGCATCACGCATATATACCCTTGTAGCAATATACCCTTGTAACAAACCTGCACATTTATCCCAATCCAAAATAAAAATTTAAACTTTTTTTTTTTTTTGGAAAGACAAGGTCTTAGTATTTTGCCCAGGCTAGTCCGAAGCTCCTGACCTCAAGCAATCCTCCTACCTCGGCCTCCCAAAATGCTGGGATTAAGTGTGTGTCACCACGCCCAGCCTGAATCAGACCTTTTGATCTTCCCATTGTTTGCCTTCATTCTTGACTCTGGCCATAGATCTGCTGGCTACTGACTCCTCTCATCTAAATTGGAGTCTCGAACAGATTTCTTTTAAATATGTTCAACCAATATGCTAACATACTGAAAGCTATTAGGTAATCAGATGCTTTTGCTTTCAAATAGGAAAGGTATCTCCTGGAAGATAATGTAAATGATTGAACAAACTTAAGTCATCTATATTATCACCATACTTTATCATCTTTATTGCAGATGCTGAAGTCTTTATTCCTGTAACTATTAGGGGAAAAATATCATCTGAGCCAGATCCATTCCTTTACTTGGTCTCGCTCTAAGCCTACGTGACAGGATGGAGAGTGATCTCATTTTAGAAAACATTGAATGAAATGGAGCATTCTTTAAATGAGACACATACACACAGTTCAGGGCTTCTCAGTCTCAGCACTATTGACATTTTGGCTGAATAATTGTTTGTTGTGGGTGCCTGTTCTGTGCGTTGCAGGATGTTTAGCAGCATCCTTGGCCTCTACCCACCAGATACAAATAGCACTGTCCTTCCCTCTCCTGCTAGCTGTGACAACCAAAAATGTCTCCAGACATTGCCAAAATCCTCCTCACCCCCACTGAGAACCACTGACACAAATCAAGAAGAAAGTTTTGCCATTGTATTTTCTGAATGCCTTTCCCGAGTTTAGCGGGGGGAAAGTCGATTTCTTTATGGGAATTTTTTTGTGTGGGGCTGTTTTACAAAATCCAAACTATAAATAACAGACGTAAGTGAGAAAAGATTGAACGTTTATTACCCAAGGCCATATAAATTCAATAATAAATTATGGCTTTCTCTAAAAATATGAGAAGTCTTTTCAAAGTCATTAGTTCTAATCATAAATGAATTTAGCAGCATTTCTTTAAATTTTGCCCTCTTGTAATGAACTCTGATACATTCATGGAACTGGTTGGTAAATAAAGAGATAGAAAGGTCTAATTTGCTGGTTCATTAAGCTAGCTTATTTCAAGACACCGTGCATATTGCTTTGAATTTCATATTTCTGAGCAGTGGAGACAATAGTAGTATCCATCTCTAATGTAGTGTGGCAGACAATTAGGAGCTCAAATGTAGTAAATCTCATTTCATCAGAGATATACACAGTGATTATTATTTTATTGCCAAATACTGTCAGCATTACATTTCTTCAACAGCTATTGTGATACCTGATTCACATGCTTAAATTTGCATTAAACACTGTGCTAACAACAATAATAATTTGGGCTGTGTTTTCTTACGTGACATTATTCTGTTCTTTTCCGTGTGTGTTCACCCAATGCTAGTTTCAAGGGTGCAAAGTTTTATGAAGACTTGATACAGGAAAGGCAGCTGTAGCTCTAAGGAAAGGCCATGGTTTTGGGGTCAAAAACAAGCACTAATGCTGCCCCTTTCAATTAAGGTAATCTTGGGAGGTTACTTCACTTAAAATAGAACTAGAAGAAAGAATCTTATTTTATTGTTTTACGTTGTCTTTGTCAGATTTTTAAAACTGCAAAAACATTGCTTTTTGAAACAAATGAAATTATACAACAAAGAAGCTGATTATTCACTCTTCCATCTCCCTTGACCATCCCTATAGCCTATTTCTCTTCAAGTAGGTAATACTAATGATTTAGTATATATCTACCTTTCATTAATCTTCCATGAAGCCCTGCAAGTAATTTTACCTAAATATAATCTTTCCTTTTTTAAGTAAAAAATTGAATTGATTTATACATATTTTTCTCTAACTTGCTTTTCTGAGTTTAGATCTAAGCCATTATTTTAAATAGTGGCATAGTATTTCATACTATGGGTATATAACATTTGTTCAACATTTCCCTCCTGATTGACCCCATGTTCTTTCCAGTCCCTGGGCACGCTACAAACAATGATGTAATCAATGTCATCAGGCCTACAGCGCTGGGGCTAGATTCTTTCCTGCAATTAGAAATGGGAAACAGGGACATTTCACCCAGTTGAATACCTCTGGGGCTCAGTTTCCGCATTTGCATTGTGAGAATCACATCTGTCCTACTTCCTTCACACATTGATACATGGATGGTTGGAGCCAGCAGATTAAAATAAAGTGATGGTTTGAGGATCAGAAGGGCCCTCCATAAAAACCCCACTCTAGCCAAGCTGCAGCTTTGGAAAGCTACCTGCTTTTCTCTGCTTTCACAATCTCAAATAATATTTGTACACTTGCTGTATGCTCTTCAGCTCTGGAACATTTTTTTCAGCAGTTAAAACCACTTTTTCAGTGGATAATTCACTATTTCAGTGATCGGTATTTAGTTTACAAAGAGTCGTGTCAGGTAATACTCCAAGGCAGCGCCTGACTTCTGAAAGCCAGAGTAGACGAAGCATGTGCATGTGAGTGAGTGTGTGTGTGTGCATGAGAGGATAAGTGTGTGTACGGGGGAGAGAGATAGAGTGCACTCAGTAAATTCACTCAGTGTGAAAGTCATCCAGTAACACGGTCACAAGCAAGAGCGAGCTCTGGAAACTGCCCATATGGTGAAGGGATATATAAATATTTAATATATTTAATATTTTACCTGGTACCATAGCCATTTTAAATTATTCTACTAATATTATCTAATAATATGTGGTATACCATTTCTCTCCAAGAAATTAAAGTTCTGAAAAATACATCCATACTTACATCTTATTGCTTCTTCAAACCACACTTGTGTTCATGAAGCAGGAAAGGGTCAACGTGCAATGACTCATTATTTCACATTTACCTGACAGGCTGCAAAAGTGCACATGATATTATAGTTCAAGGGCATTTAGGTCAGAGGGTATGCTGAGGGCTATGACCCACCGGGTTATGAAATGAGCTGAAATATCAAGACTGACATTTCTTAAGTGAAATAGAATAGAATGGAAAATGTCAGAGTACAACACTCCAAAATATGATAGTTGTTGCTTCATGAATATTCTGTTTCAGAAACATAAATATGTGTAGGTATGTCGTATGTGCTAGATCTCAATGTTATTAAAGCTATTAAACACATTATAAGGTACCTATTCTAGGCTGGGCACGGTGGCTCATGCCTGTAATCCCAGCACTTTGGGAAGCCTAGGTGGGTGGATCACTTGAGGTCAAGAGTTCAAGACCACCCTGGCCAGCCTAGTGAAAGCCTGTCTCTACTTAAAAAAAAAAAAAAAGAAAAAGAAAAAAGAAATCAGCAGGGTGTGGTGGTGCACACCTGTAGTCTCAGCTACTCAGGAGGCTGAAACAGGAGAATTGCTAGAACCTGGGAGGTGGAGCTTGAGGTGAGCCAAGATCATGCCACTGCACTCCAGCCTGGGCGACAGATTGGGACTCTCTCTAAAAAGAAGTACCCATTCTAGTGACACTTTGCTTATGAGATCCAAGACAGTCAACCACTTTGCTATCTAGTACAGCTGCCTCTCTGTGTACTATAAAGATGTCGCCAGATAAACCTTCCTTCCTTCTTCAAATGTGTCTTTTCCCCCATTATTTCTTTCTGGAAAGTGGTCTTTGATGCAATGGAGTATGGAAACAGGAGGCTAACACATAACCACACATTTATGTTAAACCTCAAGAGGTGGTCAGTGCTGGTGAGATAAAAATCTGTTTGCTTTGGGGAGGCTTTGCTCTGAAGAATTGGGTGAGGCCTGGAAGATGGAATCCCTTCACCCAAGACAGAGCAGGAACCCTGGAGGGAGGGAGGGGGTGGAGAAAAACAGGTGGGTGGGCAGATGGCGAGAGTAGGAAGAAAAAGGAGCCCACAGAAGAGGAAGAACTCCCAAATGCCCATTAGGAGGTGATTTAAGAGATAAAATAATATTTTGTTCCATCTTCTGAGTTGCTGTAAATCTTTCTGTTACTCCATCGACTCAATAAATCTTTATTGAACATTTTCTACATGTCAGGTTATACTTCCTGGACATACCAGGAATGACCAGAACAGACAGACGTTCCTACATTACGGGACTTACAATCTAGGAGAGTGGGGGAGGACAGACAGATATTAAACAAGTGAAGCATGCCGAATGTCAGGTGGCAGTATAGGTGATGGGAAAAAAAAGTCAAGCTGGGAAGGAGATAGGTGTGTGTGGCATGGGGGCTGGGGGTGAGGGTTTGCAATTTTATAGACAGTCGTTGTGGTCAGTGAAGAAAAGGTAACTGTGAAGCTGAGACTTGGAGAAAGCATAGAAGCCCAGATATCAGGGGAAGAACACTTCATGCAGGAGTGTCCCTGGGTGACCCAGCAGAGATGCAGGGGACAGTAGAGGAAGCTGGGGTCGCGGGACATTGTGGGTGGTGGTGGGGTCCCATAGTGCACAGAACCTTGAAGGTCATTGTGGAGACTTTGCATTTTGCTCCAGATGAAATGAGATGCCATAGGAGGTTTGGAGCCAGGGGTGACATGCTCTGACTTACATTTTAAAAAGACTACTTTGGGTGCTGTGTGGGGGACAGTACCTGCATGCTCTCTCAGACGCGACAGATGTGACTAAGGCACAACAGAGAGCAACACAGATGTATGTGAAGCAGGAATTCAAGCAGTGAGGGAAACGTCAAAGTCGGTTACAGGTCAATGTCCACTGCTCCCATCCTATCATATCATCAACTCAATCATGAACAGGAAGTGGGAGTTTCTCCATGACCAGCAGCAGGAGCCTAATCTACAAGGGTCAATGGAGAACCAGGCCATGTCTCCCTTCAGACTCTGGAATCGGAGTCTCCCCTTCCATGAGCTCTGGCTGACATGGACAGTCCCCCTCCCTCGCACTCGTGCTCTCTGCCATTGCTGCATTCTTTGCTTCCTGGGCCTGTTTCTGAGGCCAGGCCTCAGGTCATGTAACACCAAGGAATACAAGGTCCCTGTAGCTGGGCTATTGTCATGGTCAACCCAAAAAGCAACTCTGTGCTTTTCTGCTGCCAACTTATCTGCATGGCCATGGCTATGCCATTGCACATTTCCTGCGGCCGCTCACTTCTAGGAGTGGTAGGAGTCCTTTACTCTGTCTCTTCCCTGGGCAGAAAAGTAAAGAGAAACTGCCCCAAAGCACTCAGTTCCACTCTCCTGAGCAATCTTTGCAGGCTGACAAAAGGCCATGAGTCTTTCTCTTTCTCTACTGTAGGCCTCTCCCTACCTTGCCCTGTTAGATAGGTGGGTGGATGGGTGGGTGCAACAGAAATGAGTATCCTAAATGTAGTTCCCCTTTCTCTGTCTAGTTAATGGAGGAGGGAGGGCAAAATTAACCCCAAAGGCAACCACTCTGCTGGCCTTTCTTCAACTCTGGAATACATTCTCCCAGTATTCAGACCTTTCAGCAGCAGGAAGACCACCCTCTCTCCCATCCTGACTGTGCCCAGTACTTGTTCTCAGCCTCCCGCAACATATGTGTGTTGTCAGAGAACAGAATGTTAGCTCCAGCTGTCTCAGGTCCAGACCAGCAGGTTATATAGAAATTATCATAAAATAGGGGCTTAAAACCTAGATGACGGGTTGATGGGTGCAGCAAACCACCATGGCACATGTATACCTATGTAACAAACCTGTGTGTTCTGCACATGTATCCCAGTACTTAAAGTATAATAATTTTAAAAAAGAAATTATAAAATAAGCGAATCAGTTGCTCTCAGAAAGGGATGTATGTTGACCATACAGATTAGTACCTATAAATCCTAAATTACCTTCCTTAACATAAAAATTGTCTCCTGCTCAGAAAGAACTTTGTAAAACCCCACTAACCTGCTGCTTTCAGATACTCAGACCACTGAGGCCAGTGGATTATCAGTTTTCCAGGAAGTGTCTGGCATGGAATCCTGGTTCTGTTGAATGAGCTCCTTTAGGTGTGATGGTGAAGGAAAAAAAAATTAAGACCTCTTGGCATTCATAAAATCTGCAGTGTAGAAATTCACATACCTTTTTCCGTTACATTACATTGCTACAACACAACTCTACCTTGCAGTGTATCAAAAATGATTGGAGGACTTTCCTATCTTTACCTTTCTTCCCCTAGTCTTTGTGCTTGCAGACAGAATGCCATCTCCTCTCTAGTGGCAGCCAAAGGATGTTGGGGCAAACAGTCCCTCATTAATTAATTAATTGAGCAGTTGATTGTCAATTTGTATCTTTTTGTAAGTGTTTAATGTTTGACTTTTTTTCTAATATTCTTTCTTTTCAAAAAAATTCTAACATACAAGAATCTACCTCCCTCCTAGACCTAATTAACTCTGAACATTTTGCTAGCTGGGTGTGGTGGCACATACCTGTAGTCCTAGCTACTCGAGAGGCTGAAGCAGGATTGCTTGAACCCAGGAATTCTGGGCTGTAGTGTGTTATGTCAATTGGGTGTCCACACTAAGTTTGACATCCGTATGGTGACCTCTTGAAAGCAGGCAACAGCAGGTTACCTAAGGAGGGGTAAACCGGCCCAGCTCAGAAACCAAGCAGTTAAAAACTCTCATGCTGATCAGCAGCAGGATAGCATCTGTGAATAGGCACCGCACTCCAGCCTGGGCAATATAGTGAAACCCCAACTCAAAGCAAAATTTTGTCATATTTGTTTCATGTGAAATTTTTTCCCAAAGAAACAAAGCATTGATTCAGTGGAAGCTTCTTTTGTACTCTTCTCCCTCCTTCTTCAAAGGTGCATTGAAGCAGATATTCTTCTAATTTATGTTTTCGTGTTTTATTACATATTTGTGTAAGATGAAGCAATATACGATGTATTTTTGAACTTTATTATGAAAAAATTAAACATAGACAAAATTACAGGGAATAATATATAAACTTTGTTTGGGGATTTTTAGCATCTGGGTAAATGATATCAAATTCCACATATCTTCCTGCAATTTGATTTTATATACCTTATCATGTTTCTGAGGTGGATCTATATTGACACATTAGATTCATTTCATTCATTTTAACTTCTCTGGAGTATTTCATTGTAGGAATGACTATAACTTATTTTTATTTTATTTTATTTTATTTTATTGAGACAGAGTCTCACTCTGTGGCCCAGGCTGGAGTGCAGTGGTGCAATCTTGGCTCACTGCAACCTCTGCCTCCCAGGTTCAAGCAATTCTCCTGCCTCAGCCTCCTGAGTGGCTAGGATTACAGGCATCTGCCACCACGCCTGACTAATTTTTGTGTTTTTAGTAGAGACGGGGTTTCACCATGTTGGCCAGACTGGTCTCGAACTCCTGACCTCAAGTGATCCGCCCACGTAGGCCTCCAAAAGTGCTGGGATTACAGGCGTGAGTCACCGCATCCGGCCCCAGACCCTTTTAACTGAAAATGATAAAAACTCAATTCAACTTAGCTTAATGAAAAAGAAAATGTACTGGCTCATGTCAACTGAAAGTGTAGCTGTGGCTGGATCCAGGCTTCACAGAATCCTCTGGATTCTCTCTCCATTCATCTCTCATCTCCACTTCTCCTTGTGTGTTGGACTAATTCTATGTAGACAGGCTTTCTAAGTGGCAGTGTTAGGGGGCTGGGGATGGGGGAGTGGGAAAGGACCACTGACATTACAAGACCTAATTACTTACAATTTATTGAGAGAGAGAGAGAGAGAGAGAGAGAGAGAGAGAGAGAGAGAGAGAGAGACTGAGTTCTTCCTGGTAAGCCACACTTTTATCCCAGTTTGGAAAATTCTTAGAAAGGATGTCAACTGGAACTGGAACAACCACAGGGATGATGAGTGGTCCAACCCAGCGATGGTACAGTCCAGCACAGGGGAGAACAGGAATACGGGTGTGTGTGTTTGTGGGGGTGGTTAGGTACTGTGGTTGACAGCCCCACCAGAACTACTTGGAATGGGAAAGAGTTTCTCATCAAAATAACATTAGACAAAAGTGAGAGCTGTACACAACAGAAGGACCTCAGAGAAAGCCACTGAGAGGGTGGGTGTAATTTTGGCCCAATCTAGAACCCACTGAGATATAGATGCAAGAACACTGGATTTGGATCTGGAAGTCCATGGTATTGATAGCAACACTGACACAAGCTGTGTTATCTTGCACACATTACCAAGCCACGCTAAGCTTTTTTTCTTCATCTTTAAAATGAAGGTGGTTATATCAATTTTCTAGGGCTATGGTGATGATAAAATGGTATAACCATCTACAAGCTTTTGCTAACTTCAGATTTTGCTGTTCAAGTTGTTCAAAATAGTTAGGGCATTGGCAGCTGACTTCACTTCATTGTACAGAGATCTTGGTTGCACTAAGTTGTAAGGCTTTATTCTTCTGCAATAAATATTTAATCACTTGGGCTAAGAATGGTATTGAACAAAAATACTCTCAAAATATAATGTATACTTGTTATTTCATTTTTGATACATTTCCACCAATGCGTTTTTGTAGTAGCAGTCAATCTTTTTAATAAATATTCATCTTCATTTGAGAGCAAGAGCGGATTCATTGGTTTCCAATATTACATTTTTTGAAAGGGCATATTTTTAAGCACCAGTGATTTTTTAAACCAGTGATTTTTTAAAGTCTCTTTTGAACTCTTGAAACATTGATATTTTCAACTGGAATTAAGGAACATTTCTGACATATTTCAAACCCTTTCTCTGAACAAGGATGCAAACAAATGTATTACATTAAGGAAAAATACAAATGGGAAAATGCTTTTTTGAAAAACAGGTAATGATATTTCAAGGACGACACAGAACTATTCATTTCCGATATTCTCATTACCATTCCTAGCAACAGGCATAGACGTCTCTCAATTCCTGCGCAGTTCTGCTAATCTCTGTACAGAATATTCAATTTTCTTACAACGATTCAGCTGATTTATTATTTCCCTCTTGTGTTTTAACTGCTAAAGATGCAATGTAACCCCATAAATTTGTTTCAGGCTCTCAGCTTCGATACCCAAGGTCGTTAATACCCCCCAAATATTCTGTGCTTACATCATTCCTTTAAATGTGCTCTTTCTTGACCAATGAGTTGTTACATAATTACATGGTGCCAGCAACAATATCATCTTGTTTTTATAGTTTTATGATTAAGGGTATAAAAATCAACTGAATTGAAGTAAATGTTAAAAGATATTTGCAAACTATAAGAGATTGCTACAATAGTTTATCACATGTAAACGATAGAGTATGTATATATTTAAAATGGGGTTTTCTTACTATATGGTTTAAAAATCTGTTAGAGTAAAATGCATTATATTAATGTGTTACCTGATGATTCTGTACACACAGATTATGTCTTCTATGGTGGAAGTTAAAAACAATTGTGGGAGATTTATTTTTGCTACCCGTCCCCTTATGAGAACCAAAACATTTCTATCGAATATTTGCATTTAAAGTTACAGCACTCAAGAAAGGAGAACATTTTTTAAATGGGACTAGTTCTTATACGACACAATTCTCAGCCTTTTTACAACTTAAAGCATACTGAAGAGTAATTAGGGTGACCAACTGTCTCAGTTTGCCAGAGACAGAGGGGGTTCCTGGGATGTGAGACTTCAGTTCTAAAACCAGGGGGAACTACAGACAAACTTGGACGAGTTGGTTCCCTCATGGATAGTTTGGCCTCAATTAATCCCCCATGCCCTGCATCCATATCTTTGCAATGGCTTCACTGTGGGCAAAGTGTACCTGCATGCCTCTTGTCTTTGGGCTTGGCCATGTGACTTGTCTTGGCAAAAATATATGGGTAGAAGTGATGGTGTGCCTCTTTCAAGGTTTAAGACGTCTGGTACATTTCTGATTTCTCATATATCTCTGCCACAGAAATGCTCTGCACTGGGACCTGCCACCTCACTGCACCAAGGAGAGTGAGACACATTGGGAGTGGAGCCACCCTAGCTGACACACACATCTGCAGTGAGAAACAGAGTTGCCCAGATGGGCCCAGCCTAGATCAGCAGAACCCCAGGCAACTTGCAGATGTGTATAGAAAATCCTGTTACAAAGCCACTGAGACTTTGTCGTTACTGGTTATACAGCATTATTGCAACAAAAACTAATTGAAATAGGTGTTAAGAAATACTCTTCCAATAAATATTTATTGAGGTCCTACTCTGTGCTAGCCACTGGGGATGCAATGACGAGCCAAGATGGATACAATTTTATTCTCATGGAACTTACAGTTAATTGCTGTGGTCCCGGAGGCCCTTTTGGGAAGGGCTGCAATGTCAAAATCATTTTCAAAATAATACTAAAACATGATTTGTCTTTTTCTCTTTTTTTCACTGTGTTGACATTCCCACCAGTGATACAAAGGCAATTGTGCACTTAACTGCTGAAATTTTGATACAGATCATGGCAAGGGTACCAAACTATAGGAGTAGTCATTGTATTTACTATCATCATGTACTTACAGTTTAAAAAATACCAGTTTCATTGATGAATGTACTCAACGAAGTGGTAAAAATGATTGATTTAATTAAATCTCCACCCTGAGATTAATATCTTTTTAATAATCTGTATGCCACAATGGGAAGTACCCATGAAGCACTTCTGCTGCCCACTGAAATACGATGGAGCAGTCGACAGATGACTAAAACTGGTTACCCATTTCGATGGAAAAGTCCAATTCCTACCTCACAACATAACTAAAAAACATACTCCAATCATATTACAGATTTAAATACAAATGAAAACAAAAAACGAATGGAAGAAAATATAGAAATATTTTTTAAATAATTGTGCTTGGACACTTTTTTCCAAACATGCACAAAGGCCAAAAAACACTGGGGCCTTCAGTTTTTCCTTTATGCACTTCAGAATTATTCTAATTTCTATGATAATGTTTCATAATAAAACTAACCCCATTAAGTAAACAAAACAAGTCTATGCCAGCATTCTTAACAAATTGCAACACAGATTTCATTGATGTCATATGAAGAATGAGCACGTTTTAAGCACAATGATTGCACAATTGATCACAGTTGAATGGTAAATCTTATCAGAAAACAAGTATGGACGACCCCAGACTCTCCACACCATTTGTTACCCACAGTCAGCATTTCATCCCCTTTAGAGTAATAGCCTATTATCAAAATTATATCATTTCCCTAGATATTCCAGAGGGCTAGGATTTTTAAATACCTATGACACAATCAGAGGGGTAAGCGCAATCCTAAGATGTTCAGCTTGCCACAGTCGATTGTTAAGAGCTACTCTTAATAATTTTCAGGCCTAAAGCGTCTTCTTCCTGGAAGATGGAGCCAAACCCTATGGTTTCAAATTAATTCTTATTAAAGAACCATGCAAAGATTGCTTTTTGAGCTACAGCCCACAAACATGAGAAGAATATGAGTCAGGTTCTTAGGTTTTAATTGGGCCTCTTCTAGCACAGATCATGCCCTTTTAGGAATTGGAAAAAGACACCCCTCCCATTGGAAAAATTAGAAAAAGGTGCCTCTTTGGGGTAGAAGACTTAGAAAAAGTCAGTCCTTTCTCTGGGTGGATGCATCAGAGCATTAGCTACATTTCCACTTCCCTTAGCTTCTATGGCTGGAAGCCTTCTTGGGAGAGCACAGCCTGGCCATCTGTTTATTGTAGCCCTGCATCTTCACAACATAGATTCTGCTTTTTGCTGCCTGGTCAAAGAGTAAGATTTGAATGAAGCAATAATAGAGAATATGCACACAGGTTGTATAATTCCTCCTTGAATGACTTGTGAAACAAGGTCATTGGACAACTAGTATTTCAGACAGAAGGATGAAGGGATATAATCTCACAGCTCTACCTTTTATTCTATTAGAATGGAGGTTGGCAAACAACAGCCCATAAGCCAAATCTAGCCTGCTGCCAGTTTTTTTGTAAATAAAGTTTTATTGGAACACAGCCATACTCATTTATATACACTGTTTATAGCGCTTTTGTGCTATGACTGCAGAGTTGAGCACTTGCAAGGGACCATACAGCTCACAAAGCTTAAAATATTTACTCCTCGGCTCTTTAGAGGAAAAGTCTGTCAACCCCTGTATAAAATCACCCAATGGTACTATCTTGGTGCAATGAATTTTATTTCTATAAAACCACATCTTAAGTATGGCAATACCTAGATTACATTGCCTAGCACCTCTTAATCAAGAACCTAGGTCACAAATTCCTCTATCAAATCATTTGCTCATGCAAATGAGCGTATTCATTGCCTTTTTTAAGACAAAAAATAAATATGAAATCCAATTTGCTGTTCCTTTTTCACTTGGCTGCTAGGACACTCAGCTAAGTTTATGACTCAACTAATGTAATTTCTCACTCCAATGTAACATCAACTCTCTTAAACTATCTTTTGTTGTCTTCCTTTTTAATTGTCTTGTTTTTACATTATGTTATATAGCCTCTAATCCTTTGTTGAAAGGCAGAAGTTTATAAATTTTATATTATCAAATCTTGTCCAGTGCACCTTCTGCTAACAACAGGGAAAGTACGTGGATTTGGTGCCAGCCAGACCAGGGTTCAAATCTTAGCTCTGCCCCTTACTAGCACCATGCCTTTGGGCAATTTATTCACTATCTCTGAGCCTCAATTTCCTCATCTGTAAAGTGAAACAATAATAGTTATCTTGCAAGGTTGCTGGGGGAATTATAATGAGTATATATAAAGTATCCTTTAGATACTATTAAACAATATGTTTTTTTAAATTTATTTTTGTAAACAATGTCTTGTTCTGTTCCCCAGGTTGAAGTGTAGTGTTGCAATCATGGCTCACTGCAACGTCAACTTCTCAGGCTTCAGCCATCCTCCTGCCTCAGCCTCCTGAGTAGCTGGGACTACAGGAGCATGCCACCATGCCTGGCTAATTTTTGTATTTTTTTTTTTTTAGAGATGGGGTCTAACTATGTTGCCCAGGCTGGTCTTGAACTCCTGGGCCAAGTGATCTGCTTCAAGCTCCCAAAGTGTTGGGATTACAGGCATGAGCCTCTGTGCCTGGCCCTACATTTTTAAATATTTGTTGGTTGGAGAGTAGGGTGGTAATGCCACCCCACCCCTGCCCTATTTTTATTTAATGTATTTATAACATTAAAAATTTATTGGCCGGGCATGGTGGCTCACATCTGTAATCCCAGCACTTTGGGAGGCTGAGGCAGGTAGGTCACTTGAGGTCAGGAGTTCAAGACCAACCTGGCCAACATGGTGAAACCCCATCTGTACCAAAAATACAAAAATTAGCCAGGCATGGTGGTGTGCACCTGTAATCTCAGTTACTTGTGAGGCTGAGGCAGGAGAATAGCTTGAACCTGGGAGGTAGAAGTTGCAGTGAGCCGAGATCACGCCACTGCACTCCAGTCTGGGTGACAGCGTGAGACTCTGCCTCAAAAAAAGAAAAAAAGTTTATTAATTTTTATTTAAAACATTTAAATAGAACTTAAGGTAGCTTTGAAATGGAATCTTATAGCCATTTCATTACTTTAGCATATTGTTTATGAAAACTTTTTACATAGCTTCTTTGGCAATAAAATGACATCATTTTGCCCTACTCAAATTTTATAGAAAATAAAATTATCCCCGTTTAATAACCAATAATATTTGTAATTTTCTTAAACTCACTATGCTCATGTGGTGACTGTTATCTGTCAGAAAATCAACATCACTCAGAGTCGTTCTTGAAATTCTTCCCTTTGCATAATCGTGTTTATGACCCTCAATTGGTATTTGGCAAATGGAATAAACTGATGATTCACTCAAAATGTTTTTCCACATAACATTTAATAACTCACCTTTGAAATGGCATTTTTAATAATATTATAGCCTCAATTTACAACCTAATGCTTAAATTATATGGAAGCCAAATCGAAATGGCTCAGGTACAAATCGTGACAAAAGTAACAACTATTATTTTGACAAGGGTTTAGGAAGGACTTACCTGAAGAATGAACAGAACAACACTCTCATGAGCAGCATGGTGCTTATTACTTCTTATCCTGAAAATAATAGAGAATTCAAATCAAAGACTCGTGTAGACAGGAAAAGCAGAAACAACATAAAAGAAAAACAGAGCATGCTTAGCCAATTCACACATCAGTTTTATTTGTTTGCAAAGAGCTTCGAAATAAAATAAGCCAGGCCGAGCGCGGTGGCTCATGCCTGTAATCCCAGCACTTTGGGAGGCTGAGGCGGGTGGATCACCTGAGGTCATGAGTTCGAGACCAGTCTGACTAACACGGAGAAACCCCTTCTCTACTAAAAATACAAAAATTAGCCAGGTGTAGTGGTGCATGTCTGTAATCCCAGCTACTCGGGAGGCTGAGGCAGGAGAATCCCTTGAACCCGAGAGGCAGAGGTTAAAATGAGCTGAGATCACACCATTGTACTCCAGCCTGGGCAGCAAGAGCGAAACTCCATCTCAAAAGAAGAAAAAAATAAATAAATAAATAAAATAAACCAATATCAAATCACATACCTGAAAGGAGCATGTCCTTTTCAGGTGGTCATACATTGGTTGCAACAAAGAATAGGTTGTGTTGGACTATTTGCTGTTCATCATTACATTTCCAAGTGTATGAAACATGAACACACATACAGTTGGCTTCTTCCAGCTAGACTGGGACTAAATCAGGGTATTTCTTCAGATGAGGCAATAGTCCTGCTCTGGTGGTAACTTGCAGAGGGATTCAGGATCCCGCTTGACCAGCTCCTGCTCTTTGACTTGAGACAGCCAAGTTCTGTCCCCATTTCAAGAAATATCAGGGGCCTCTCCCTTTTTCTTTCATTTCTTACCTCAGTTAGGCCTCTGGAGGAAACAAAACCTAGACAGTCTTCCTGAAGATGCAGAAGTAGCCTCTAGGCCAGACCCAGTGACTAAGGTAGGGTTGCCAGGTCATCCAGTTACATTTGAATTGTAGATCAACAATGAACAATATTTAGTATAAGTATGTTCCATGAAAGTATTTGGGATATACTTAGTCTAAAACATTCATTGTTGATCTGAAATTCAAATGTCACTGGGGATCTTGTACTTTTTACTTGCTAAACCTGGACACCCTTGCTGCGGGAGACACTTTTAAGTGATGGCATTATTATTTTGGCAGTTGTTGAAGAACCAAAAATTAGGCCTAAAGCAAAACCCAATGACTGAAAATAACATGAACTAGAATTTCCAGAGTAGTAAGAAATTTCTTTTAGTTTCAATGAAAACATCCAACAAAGATTGGGCTGAGGTCCTTTATAATAAAAATGACCAAA
Organism: Homo sapiens; assembly: GCF_000001405.40. NCBI lineage: Eukaryota > Metazoa > Chordata > Mammalia > Primates > Hominidae > Homo > Homo sapiens. The sequence continues at coordinate 71,836,089 of NC_000003.12, forward strand.
ACTAGGGCCACTTGGTTATTTGGGGGAGGGGGGCTTAAGAAAAATTCATACTGATCTATTTATTCAGTTTTTGAAAATATAAAAACCCTTATGTGCTTATTGCAGTAGGCAAAGCTAATTGACTCTAATTTATCTCATTGACTTTATCCACTGTTTGTTACATTCCTACCGTCTTCACTGATTGCCAAGGGAGATTTGTTTTATTTGTGTATTAACATACTTCCTTTTTCCTAATCCTGTGAGATGAGTTGCCCACAGGCTTTCTGCTGCTTGAATGGCTAAAATGACTAGATGAGAGGTAATATTTTCAACTCTGGTTTTGTGAAATGCTTTACATATACAACTGTGTGAGGTTAGCATTAACATTTTCATCTAAAAAATGAGAACACTAAGACCCAGAGAAGAGAGTGGCTTAGCTGTGGTGGGTGGTATTGTCAGAGGTATGTAAACTAGAGCAACACCATCTTGAGTAGGGGCTGAGTAAAATGAAGCTGCGACCTACTGGGCTGCATTCCCAGATGGTTAAGGCATTCTAAGTCACAGGATGAGATAGGAGGTCGCATGAGGTACAGGTCATAAAGACCTTGCTGATAAAACAGGTTGCAGTAAGGAAGCTGGCTAAATCCCACCAAAACCAAGATGGTGACAAGAGTGACCTCTGGTCGGCCTCACTGCTACACTCTCACAAGTGCCATGACAGTTTACAAATGCCATGACTACATCAGGAAGTTACCCTATACTGTCTAAAAAGAGGAGGCATGAATAATCCACCTCTCGTTTAGCATATCATCAAGAAATAACCATAAAAGTGGGCAACCAACAACCCTCAGGGCTGTTCTGTCTATGCGGTAGCCATTCTTTTATTCCTTTACTTTCTTAATAAACTTGCTTTTGCTTTGCACTGTAGACTTGCCCTGAGTTCTTTGTTGCGCGAGATCCAAGAACCCTCTCTTGGGGTCTGGATCGGGATCCCTTTCCAATAACAGTATGGCTGTGAAGAGCAAAGCTGGTCTTTAAATCTCAATGAAGAATTCTTAGTTGGATGGTCCTCCGTGCTACCTCTTTCTTTCTTCTCTGAAGCCCTGCAGAGGGACCTGAATGTGTACAATCAAACTCTGCACATTTGTAGATGGCAGTGAGATGAAAGTGAGCCCTCTGAGGAGACAGTGAAAATTCAGTGGAAGAACAGTTGGGACTTATGTGTGTCCTACTATCTTCATTCCCATTCTTAGTTCATTCATCCATTAGTCATCATTTATTGAATGCTTTAATGCCACACCCGATCAGATTTTGTTTTCTCCAGAGTTATTTGTGCATCCTTTGGAAAATTTTGTGTTTGTTTATTTACAGGGTGCTTCCCTGCAAATGCAAAAAAATTCTCAAATATATCATCCATTGAAAATTGCTCACTACTGTCTTGGAATGCTTTCCTGGACCCAGCATTTGATCTTGTTTAACACCATATTCAAAAGCCATTTAGGAGGGGGTCTACTCATTCTAACTTTAAACAGTTAATCTAGTCTCATTGTTTGAATATTCTTTTTGATTGATTCACTTTGTCTTATTGTATTGAATTTATTTAAGTGCTTCTGGTTTATAATTGTGTGGGATTTGGGAGTAATTCATTCAGAGATGTATACCCTATAAATCAATTACTCTCCCTTTGCTGTTAATGTTTAACTGGTTCTATTGAAAAAAAAAAAAAAGCAGCAAAAGAAAGCCGAAGATACAGCTTTTGTTAAAGTGAGGAGTAAAAGTATGCCAATTCCATTTAGAAAAGACCTTTAAAAACCCATAGATTATACAAAAGGGAGCAAAATCATTTTAGGGAGAAATGAAATAAATGGTAAACAATCAGACCTCCAACACAGAGAATGTGTCACTTTTTCATTTAAAAGAAGATGCTGGAAGTCAGAAAAGCTGATGTTCTTCATAAGAAAGAGAGCAGAGGTTGGGTTTTTTTTTCCTGTATTTTGTAGCACTCATAGAGGCCATCCTGTTCATTAGTTATACTCTTATAAATTACACTATGAATCAGTTTTTCAAATTCTGAAAACTAAGTAAAAAGAGAAAAGGCTCAGGTCTGTGTAATTTGCAATTTAAGTAACTGGGCCTGAAATTTTGTTTATCCAGATAATATTTATACGCTTCTGTGAAAGGAAAATATATCTTGGGACCCCAAAATCACTAAGCCGAAGAGAAAAGCCAAGCTGGGAACTGCATAGGGCAAACCTGCCTCCCATTCTATTCCCAAATAAGATGGCTACAAAGATTTAGACAAACAAACAAACAAACAAACAACTATATAACTCTCTCACAATTTGCCCACAAGGAAATTCCTTATGGACAAAGGAAAGACAGAACTCAAAGTCATCTGTCTGCTCACATGAGACATACGCATATCTGATTGCTTCCTTTGACTTATTGTTTCACTAAGCCAGACTAAGGCATAAGTGACTATTCCTGTAAATTGTGTATTCAGTGGAAGGCTAATCAGTAACTCAAAAGAATGCAACCATTTGTCACTTACCTACCTATGACCTGGAAGCCCCTCCCACTTCTAGTTGCCCTGCCTTTCTGAACTGAACCAAGGTACCAGTATACATCTTACATATATTGATTGATGTCTCATGTCTTCTTGAAATGTATAAAACCAAGCTGTGTCCTGACCACCTTAGGCACATGTCAGGACCTCCTGAGGCTGTTTCACAGGTGTGTCCTTAACGTTGGCAAAATAAACTTTCTAAATTGACTGAGACCTGACTCAGATATTTGGGGTTCACACTTCCGGCACCTAAGCATAAGGGCAGATTTCACGCTGCTTTTATTTAGAAAGTTGTTTTCAATTGTAAATATCTATGTGGAAAAAAGATTGCAACCAATACTTTTCGTAATCCATGTTACCATGGATGTCCATGCATAAATTACTCAGGCATGCTGTCATGGCAAAGGGTAGAAATGACATTGGGTGAAATTACATAGAAACGTCTCACAGTACCACATTTATAAGAATTAATAAGCAAGATAAATGCAATTGGAAGAATTTCTATGCTTCTTCAGGGGAGTGAGCTTTTCCTAACAGAGGAGAATCAAAGAAGAAATTGTGATCCATGGTTTTTTTTAGCAATGAGATCCCTTTTAGTTGACTCATCTAATGTGAAAATGAAATGAAACATCATCTATTCTGCCATCAAGAAGATAATTAATGAGGCACTCATTTCTAAACGAAGGCCTAAGGAAATAAAGCAATCGGCCTCAAATTTATAAACGGAAAGTGGTTACATGTTTCAAAGAATACTAAGTCAAAATCACACCATTAATGTTTGAATTTGAGTTCTTATTTGGTTTAAAATGAGCTGTAACCCATGCTGAGTGTCTCTGTGGGTGCTACACATCAGCTGTAATTACTATCTTCAGTAAGGTAAGGGAAAACAGGAAGACTTTTCCTTTCAGCTTCTTTGCTATAAGCTTTTCTTTTGGACAAAGTCAGACAGATTATAAATGTAGCAGCCCCTCAAATACATGCCCTAACTTCAAGGTGAATCTTCAGGCCATTGTTCTCCCCTAAATTTCAGATAAACAAATAGCTGCCTGAAATGAGGAAGAGATTTAGAACAGAGTGGGATCTCAAGCTTTGGATTCCTTGCCTATCAATTTCAGGCCTTGGCTTGGATGATCTTTAACGATAATAATAGTTAGCATTATTGAGTGCCAACTGCATGCTAAGTACTTTACTTGCATTGTCTTCTTTAATCCTTGTCACAAACTTTGTGGTAGGGACAATTATTACTCCCATTTTAAAGATAGAGAAACAGGCTTAGAGAGGAAAAATGCCTTGCTTGAGATCTTACGATTATGGCTGATATGGGCAGAATTTGAATACATGTCTGATTGTTTAAGAGCCCAAGTTTAAACTCTGCTTCTATCCAGTTGCATGCGCCAATCTGGGGTTGGAGGGATCTGAGGGTCATCATCTGGGTTGCGGGGCAATGTGTTGGGTACTGCACAACAGAGTGAAGGGCTGTTGTGCAGTGGAGTGGAGTGTTTTTCACTCCTCAGAGTGGAGAATACTCAAGGATCAAAGAGGTCAACATTACCTTTCCAGAAAGGGGGAAAATCACTTTTCAGTTCTGAAAGACCCACAAATGAACATGCTTATATCCTCTCTGTAATGGGTTGAATTGTGTCCCCTGTTAAAGAAAACCAGGGCTGGCCAGAAGTTAAAGCAGTGAAAGTAAACTGTATTCAAAAAGAAACTGTTACAATAGGGGAGAAAAGACCTCAGTATAGAACTTGGAATGCAATAATTTTGAATACAGCATGAAAAAGTGGGAATTTATGGCCAAGGAGCAGGGTGGAGGGGTTCAATGGATAGAAAATTACTAAGAGGAGACAGTAGGAGTAAGAGGGGTCTCTGGCTAAACTGACTTGATAGGACTCTTGCTGAAGGGAGGTCAAGGTGATCAGATACCAAGAGTGGGGGATGAGGCATTGGATCTGAGGGGGAAGTTGAATAGTTGCCAAGGTTGAGGATTCTTGCTAAGCTGACTTACCAGGATTGTTGCTAAGACTGGATTTTAATGGAAGAATACAAGGTTTAGGCCTAGCTTTTTGGTTTTTTTTTTGGTTGTTGTTGTTGTTGTTTGCTTTTGGCCAGGCTCTCAGAGGAGCCTGGCCAAAGGTTATTTAGAAAAAGTCTTTGTCAACCCCCAAAATCCCCATGTTGAAGCCCTAATGTCAAGTACTTCAGAATGTTCCTATATTTGGAAATAGGCCCTTTAAAGAGTTAATTAAGGTTAAATGAGGACATATGGGTGGGCCTGAATACTTTCGGAGATAAGCCCTTCAAAGTACGGCAGGCCTAATCCAATCTGACTAGTATCCTTTTATAAGAAAAAGAAATTTGGACACAAAAAGAGACACCAGACACGCATGTGTACAGAGGGAAGACCACGTGAGGACGCAGTGTTAAAGGAAAAACTTGGGCCGAATGAAATTTAAAGGAGTTTAATTGAGCAATGAACGATTGGTAAATCAGCCAGCCCCCGGAATCACAGCAGATTCAGAGACTTCAGGAGTGCCTCACGGTCAGAACAATTTACGGATGAAAAAAGAAAAGTGACGTACAGAAATCAGAAGTGAGGTACAGAAACAGCTGGATTGGTTACAGCTCAGTGTTTGCCTTATTTGAGCACAGTTGGAACACTCGGCAGTGTATGAGTAGTTGAAGTGTGGCTGCTGGGATTGGCCAAGACTCAGCGATCGTTCCAGGCGCATACTCCTAAGTTAGGGTTTCGATCTTGTCTACCTATTAAGTTAGGCTTCAGTTCGCCCACAAGGACTCAAATATAGAAGTACGGAGTCCTTCTCAGGCCATATTTAGTTCGCTTTAACAGCAGTAAGAAGGTGGCCATCTGCAAGCCAAGGAGAGAGGCCTCAGAAGGAAACCAAACCTGCGGGCACCTTGATCTTGGACAGCTTCCAGAACCATGAGAAACTTCTGTTGTTTAAGCCACACAGTCTGTGGTATTTTCTTATAACAGCCTTAGCAAACCAATACACTCTCTGAAGATCAATTTATTTTTATTTTTTAACATGGGGTCTCACTATGTTGCCCAGGCTGATCTTGAACTCCTAATCTCAGTCTATCCTCCTGCCTCAGCCTCCCAAGTAGCTGGGACTACAGGTGCCTGCCACCATGCCTGGTGTGATGATCAATCTTAATGAGCATCTTTAAGTAGAAGACAGAAGTAAACTGCTTAAGACAGAAAAAGGAAAAAATTGGAAAATATTCAGTTTATTAATTTAGGTAATAGAGACCTTTAAAAATATCAAGTGAACTCTATTGGACTAAATTTCTTTGGAAGTATGTCCCCAGCTATACTTCCTGATCCTGTGGGGGTTTTTTGTGGGTTAGGGGGGTAAGCCCTTCATCTTAAAAGATCTTTTATTACTGAAGTCCTTTTCTTAAGGGACCACAAGAAAAGACAAATCTTTATTATAACCCCATTGAACTACGTAATCTAAATAGCTCCTAGGGGAGGAAAAAAACCTTCTTAGAACACATGCCCTTTCATTTCAAAATGATAGCTCCAGGAGCATTTCCTTCATAAACCATGAAATGTCCAACGACAGAACAAACCTATTAAATTAGACTCATTTCTAATTAAATTCAAACCAGAGATATGCTAGAAGTGAAGCCGTCCGCACGGTTGTGTCAGGTTTATCATCAACCATGGAAGTAACTAGTAACTAGATGAGTCACTTTTCCTCTCTGTGTCAATTTCCTCATCTTGAGAATGAGAATCAGAATGCATTTCCTCACCAATATTTGGTAAGGATTAAAGCGGTGTAAATTGTTGTGAAATATTTAGGATAACAATGGGCTAGATAAGTGTAAGGCAGTGTACACTCAGCATTTTAAAAATTGGTTTTGTGTAGGCCAGGCATAGTGGCTCATGCCTGTAATCCCAGCACTTTGGGAGGCCGAGGTGGGTGGATCACTTGAGGTCAGGAATCTGAGACCAGCCAGGCCAAATGGCGAAACCCCATCTCTATTAAAAATACAAAAATTAGTCTGGTGTGGTGGCGCATGCCTGTAATCCCAGCTACTCGGGAGGCTGAGGCAGGAGAATCACTTGAGCCCAGGATACAGAAGTTGCAGTGAGCCAAGATTGATCATGCCACTGCACTCCAGCCTGGGCAACAGGTTTCATGAAGTTCTAAAAAAACCTTTGGAAACATACCAGAAAAAAAAAAAAGCCTTCTTGAAGTTCTAAAAAAAAAAAAACCTTTGGAAATATACTAGAACTATCCTTAAGTGGATCCTATAAGGCACATACAAATTAGCTTTCTTTTGTTATTGCTGTTTTGCGACAGGGTCTCACTCTATTGTCCAGGCTTAAGTGCAGTGGCACGATCTTGGCTCACTGCAGCCTCAACCTCCCAGGCTCGGGTGATTCTCTCCCTTCAGCCTCTTGAGTAGCTGGGACTACAAGTGCGTTCCCCCACACCTGTCTAATTTTTAAATCTTTTGTAGACACAGAGTCTGGAGAGGTTAGCCAGGCTGGTCTTGACCTTTAATGCTCAAGCAATCTGCCTGGCTCAGTCTCCTAAAGTGCTGAGATTACAGACATAAGCCACCGTGCCCAGCCAGTTTTCGTAAATAAATTGCCTAACCTCTTACTGAAGTAACAATATTACTACACAAAATAATGACAAGAAAATTACGTAAACACAGAAGTTTTCCATATATCACGTGTGCTGTTCTTCCACAATTTTCTCAAAGGCATAGATTCACCTCCAAATTTCTGAGCAACTGTTTTGAAAGCTTTCCGCAATGAAGCCTCCAAAACCAAACCCCTTTGTCACTCTCATTCATAACAGCATCCCCGACACCACCTTAAGTGTACCTTCCCAGATCCTTCAGCAATGTCTGAGCCTCTCTTCTCTGAGAAACTCAGCCTCTGTGGGATTCAGTGATCATGTGCATGGAAATGGTGGCCAAAGCTATATCCCACTTGTCGTCTGTGTCGAAGCTGCCAAACTTAAAATGCGTGTATGTGTGCTTGTGTGTGTGTTTTCCATCTTCTCCTCTCTACTCACCCTGTCTTAGTGTCTTAGCCAGGCATGGTAGCTCTCAGTGGTGGTCCCAGCTACTTGGGAGGCTGAGGTGGGAGGATCGCTTGAGCCTGGGAGGTTGAGGCTGCAGTGAACTATGATCGTGCCACTGCACTCCAGCCTGGGTGACAGAGTGAGACCTCATTTCAAACAAAGCAAAACAAAAACAAAAAGAAGAAGAAATGTAAAAACGAAGACTCAATCCCACTGGGGACCTCTGGGAGATGCTACAGAACACGACTCATGAAGATGAGGGGTATTTTCCACCAACTCCTATCAATTATTGGTGAATCAATGCCATGAGCATTGTTCATATTCTTTGCTTTGTTTCAATTCCTCTCTCTCCTTCCCTCCTTTCCTCTGTTCTCTCACAAAGCCAGTGGGTTCTTGTCCCTCTAATGAATGTGTCTCAGCTGCACGTTTCCTTTTTTCCTTCCACGTCTACTCATAAGCCCCTTGGACAGAGTTCTGCAGATCCTCTGAGCTGGAAGCTCTGTCTCCAGTCTCACTCCTGATCCCAGCCTGGCTAATACTCTGGTTTCTCTTCAGATTGCGTATTTTTTTCCCCTTTTACCAACCTAGCTATGCTCTATTGCTCAAATACCATTGACAGAAAGTTTTTTCTCCTACTCAAATGGGGGCACTGTTGTTTATTATATTAAAGCCTAACTATTTGGCCCAATCTTTCCTTTTTTCTCAAACCTAACCCCAGAAAATGAAATTTACATGGTGTCTTTTGGGTGACCTGTATCATCTCCTTGACCTCTGCTTCTTTCTGGCCATATCCTGCCATTCTCTTATTCAGTCTCTGCATTTCAACCATCCTTGCTTTCTTTCAATTCCTAGAACTGCTATGCTCCTTCCCACCCCAGGGCCTTAGTACATGCTGTTCCCTCCTTGTCTGTAATACTCTCTGCTCTTCATCTACTAACTCCTTCTCCTCCTTCTCTTTGCTTAGTTAAGCCTTTCCTAAGTGATCCCCTGCCCACCATTCAGCCCTCATTTTCTGTCCCCAACAGGTCAGGTTGCCTTGTTACATACTCTTATCATGTGTGTATTTCATATCACTTCTCATGATTGCAGTTAATTAATTGCATAGTTACTTCAAATATCTGGTGCTCCCAGCAGTCTGAAAATTACGTGAGTGCCTGTGTTGTTCACTGCTGTGTCTCTAACACCTAGCATGATGCTTGGTGTATTGCAAGTTCTTGTTGTATATAGAAGAATGAATATGTGCAATGCACACTATCTAGCTCTGAAGGCTTTGCCTTTCTCCTCCTGTGATGCCCACCACCTTCCTCATTTAGATGAAACACTTTGTAGATAACTATGCTCAATAAACCTGATGGATGTTTATTGATGGATCCCTGGGCCAGCAGTTTGAGAGACCACTTATAAATACAAAGGTGCACAAAATCATTCTTGTTCTTTGTCTATAACCAAAAAATCATATTGTGTATCAATTGCAAATGAACTATAATGAAACAATAATATTCTTAGGGACTTGATAACAATGTTGACTGTTGGAGACTCTTGAAAAAAATAAGATGATTTTGGGAACTTGTTAAAGCTTGTGTTTACTCTCAAATTTAAGGGAGAATGCATATGGCACTAATAGAAGTTAGACAATAGAGTGATGACTTAATGTTTTGGAAATTTAGGGGACAGGTGTGACAGCCTATTGTGTCTCAGAACAAGCAATTTGAACAAAGACATAAAGTATACAAATGGGAAGAGAATTTGATTTCACTTAATTTTATTTGGTAGAACTTAACACTTGAACAACTGCTGTTTGCTAGACTTTAAGAGTTTTAAAATTCCCCTTTCTCCCTAATGGATCCTGAAGAGAAATGTATCCATTTGTTTCATGGCAAATGTTCAATTGCAGATTTGAGGGATAATAAAAGCTCTTACCTTACTATTTAATTATTCAGTTGACTGCTAGAAAGATTAAGCTACCTAAATGGGTTTGTAACTCAGAAATGACAATATATGCTTATTTTAAAAGATAGCCATGTAATTCCAAGACAAACTAGTGGCAATCTAGATTTTTATTATGACAGTAGCAATTTGGAAATTATGCCAAAAGTTCAAAAAAATTGGCAGTCATAAGTTTGCTTTTTTACTTGATAGTCTTGAATATGCTTTCTGTGACAAGTATTATATTCCTGAAACTTCTACACTGAACACCCAGAGTGAATAATTGCATAAAATGTAACAATGAGATATTTATAAATATAATATTTTTCTATTCAACGATTACATTTTTCTATAAGAAGAGTTTGATGTATATTTAATGCTAGACCTACTTTAAAATATGTACACATTACTAAAGGGAAAATGCATTAAAAGAAACCACTGTATTATCAATTTCTGGTAAAGCTTAAAAATGTTGTCATTAATTATAGATGGAGCACTTTTCCTGTGATATATTCCTATTTGTTTGACACCTGGCAGGGCCTGCACCAATTTATTCACTTTCTCTGTTACACAGCATTCAATCCCTGGGGCCATTATTTCTGAGGGAAACCAAGTAACATAACCAGAAGCCTCCATGAATGATTCATACTAGAACACTCTAGAACATGCTGCCCAATGGGATATGCTGACTGACTAATCCAAATTGATGGCTGGAGCTTCTGTGGTGTCACAAGGAAGTGATCCACTTACCAGATCCTCGAGATTAGCTAAACCCTTTCAGCAGCTGCTGAGCCTCATAGGTCTCCCCTTGTCCGCACGTATTATCTGCAACGTTATCGGGATAGAGCATTTCCTAAACAAACGCACGCGCATAAACACTGTAAAATAGCTGCTTGTCTCTGGCACCTCCGAGACACTTAGTAGCGTCTTTATCTCTTTTATATTGAATAACCTCTTCACTAGTATAGAAGCAGTGCATTTATATTTATAGAAAATTAGGAAACACAAACAAAAACTTCACCTTACCATCACCCAGAATCACCATATGTTAGATCTTCGTCCATATGCTTCCGAATCTTTATGTATTTGTACATATATTTGTATTTATATACACACATATTAGTATGTATTCTGCTTTACCAGTGTGAGATGACACTCCACTTACTGTCTTAAAACTTACATTTTCAGCCAATGATCTTTACCTTTCCACTTCAGTACTTTTTTTTTGAGACAGGGTCTCACTCTGCCGCCCAGGCTGGAGTACGGTAGCGCAAACACTGCTCACTGCAGCCTCTACCTCCTGGGCTCAGGTGATCCTCCCACCTCAGTGTCTTGGGTAACTAGGACTACAACTACTGTCACACTGGGCTAATTTTGTTGTTGTTGTTGTTGTTGTATTTTTTGTAGAGACAGGGCATCACTATGTTGCCCAGGCTGGTCTTGAATTCCTGGGCTCAAGTGATCTGTCCACCTCAGCCGAGCCACTGTGTCTGGCCCACTCAGTATATTTTTATGTCATTGAATAGCTAAACCATATTCAAATTTCACCAATTAAGCTAAAAAGACCTTTATAACTGGCTTGTCCTCTCCAGAAATCCTCTCAAGAATCAAATCTGGCTGATATAGTCCTTATTTCTACCCAGTCTATCCTGATTTCCTTTTTGATGACATTGGCTTGTTGAGGACACTGGACTGGTTTTCCTGTGGAATATCTCACCTTCTAGATTTGTCTGATTGCTTCCTTACTGTGCCATGTAGCTGATTCCTGTACCCCTCCATCTCCTGCAAATGATAGGTTAGATCTAAAGGACTGATGGATTCAAGACAAGCATTTTTGGCTAGAATATACCATAAGGGATTCTGTATCTAGAACTACACTACTCAGTGTGGTAGCTACCAGCCACATGTACCCATTTAAATTTAAGCTTAAATAAATTAAAATGAAAAATTCAGTTCCTCAGTTGTATTAGCCACATTTCAAGTGCTCAATAGCCCCATGTGGCTAGTGGCTACCACTTAGACAGGGCAGATATGAAATATTTCTTTCATTGAAGAAAATTCTACTAGACATACTAACTAGAGAATGAGTCCATTTCTCCATCTCTTGAATCTGGGCATCACTATGCAACTTTGTTCAGCCAATAGGATACTAATAAACATCATGCAATCAGAGGCTCGGAAAATGCTTGTGTACCAGGGCTTTCCCTCTTTTGCTATTGAAACCTCGAGACCACCACGTGAAGGAGCTCAGGCCAGCCTACTGGAGGATGAGACACCACATGGAGCATGGCCCCAGCTAGTCCAGATGAGTTCCCAGAGATGTGAGTCAAGCCATCCTAGATCATCTCAACAGACCATGTGAAGGGAGGCCTCAGCCATCCAGCCATCTCTGCTAACTGCCAGACATTTGAGTGAGGTCATCTGGGATCCATCAGCCCCAGCTGGGCCACCAGCTGTCCGTAGAGACCAATAAATTTGGCCCAGACAGAAGAACCAACCAGCTGACCCACAGAGTAATAAAGAATAAGAAATGATTATTGTTTTTAGCCACTAGATTCTTTGAATGATTTGTTACTCAGCAATAAATAACTGACACATGATCAGAAAGGAATTTATATAATGTTACTTTGGTCCTATGTCTTGTTCTGTATCCCACTCACTTAATATATAAATCTTGCCTAAATCAATAATTTCATTAGGTTTTGCAAGATCAGGTTTTCAACCTTTATCGTTTCTTCTACGTTCATTAACTGGTGTTCTTTTGTAAAGTAGAGATTCTCTTCAACAGGTGGGCTAGTTGGCTATCCTGTCATATAGTTCCTACTGGAAAAGGCAAAATGTTTAATTTTTTTCCTTTAATGACCAACTAAAAAGTAAGGAGTGGTTTAATGGCCATCTCGTATAATGTCTTTTCAGGCTTTCTCTTTTTTTAGTATCTTTATGAAGTCACACATTTCATTTATTAAATACATTTTATCTATAATCATTATTTTATTAAATTTTATTGTGGTAAGAAAACAACATGAGATTTCTCATTTACAAATTAAAAATTTGTAAAAAAACCCACAAATTTGTAAGTGTTCAATACATTATTGTTGACTGGGGGCACCATGTTACACAGTAGATCTCTAGAGCTTATTCATCTTGCTTGACTGGAACTTTATGCCTGTTGTTGCCTCTGTCCCAGAGCTCCAGCTCCTGTCAACCACCATTCCGCTTTTTTAAATTTTAGTTTTTTGAGATGGGAGTCTCATTGTGTTGCCCAGGCTGGTCTTGAACTTCTGGGCTCAAGCGATCTTCCTGGCTCAGACTCCTGGATAGCTGGGATTACAGGCATGAGCCACTGTGTGATTCCATAAATTTGACTGCTTTAGGTACTTCAAATATGTGGAATCATGCAATATGTTGCTTTCTGTGACTGCTTTACTTAGCATAATATTCTCATAAAGTTCAGCTATGTTGTCACATATAGTAGAAATTTCTTCTTTTTTAACTTTGAATAATATTCCACTGTGTGGATATACCACATTTCACTATTAATTTTCTCATGAACATTTAGTTTTTTCCATATCTTGGCTATTATGAATAACCATTGTATATGGTATAAGGATCCAATTTCATTCTTTAGCAGATGGATAGCCAGTTTCCCATCATTTATTAGAGACTGTCCTTTCCCCATTGTATATCTTGATACCCTTATTGAAGACCAGTTGACCATGTATTATGCACGGATTTATTTCTGGGCTATTTGCTCTATTGGTCCATATGTCTGTCTTTATGCCAGTATAGACATATATACTATACTGTTTTCATTACTGTAGCTTTGCAATATATTCTGAAATTGGGAAGTATTATGCTTCCAGCTTTGGTCTTCTTTCCCAAGATTGATTTTGAATATTCCTTCCTGTGGTCTTTTATGGTTCCATATGAATTATAGAATTCTGTTTTTGTAAAATATGTCATTAGGATTTTGATATTGTATTGAATTTGTAGATCACTTTGGAAAGTATGAACATTTTAACAATACAGTAGTTCCCCCAACAATTGTCTGCAGGTTTGCTTCCTATGGTTTCAGTTATCCACAGTCAACCACATTCTGAAAATATTCAATGAAAAATTACAGAAATAATTCATTAGTTTTCAATTTTGTGCCATTCTGAGCAGTGTGATGAAATCTCATGTTATGTTGCTCTGTCCTACCTGAGACATGAATCATCCCTTTGTCCAGCATATCCATCTTATATATGCCACCCACCCATTAATCACTTAGCAGTCATCTCAGTTATGAGATTAAAAAACATAGTATATTTAGGTTTCAGTACTATCTGTGGTATGAGGCATCCACCAGAGGCCTTGGAATGTATCCCCCATGGATAAAGGGGGACTTTTATATTAAGTCTTCTAAATGATGAACATGGATGTCTTTCCATTTGTTTGTGTCTTGTTTAACTTCTTTCATCAATGTTTTGTAGTTTTCAGCATTCAAGTCTTTCACCCCCTTAGTTAAGTTTATTCCAGTATTTTACTTTTTTGGTGCTATTGTTAGTACGATTATTTTCCTAATTTCCTTTTCAGGTAGCTCATTGTTAGTGTATAGATATGCAACTGATTTTGATATGTTGGTTTTGTGTCCTGCTACTTTACTGAATTTATTTATTATTAATAGTTCTAAAGGATTTTCTAATGGAGTCTTTAGGGTTTTCTATATATAACTTCATGTCATCTGCAAACAGGGACAATTTTACTTCTTCCTTTCCAATTCAAATGCCTTTTATTTCTTGTTCTTCTTAATCGTTATTCTTTTTGATGCTCAGTTGACCCATCTGTAACCAGAAGAAGCCCCTTCATACTGCCTTCTAAGTTATTTTGACACAAATCTACTAATCCTGGAAATTTACTTGCTCTCTGGTAGAACAAGCCGCCTCCGGCTCACCAAGTATCTTCTTTGCTTCAGACTCGCCATTTCTCTAAGGAGTGCCAGGTCCTTTAAGAAGGATTTTCTTCTATTGAAGAAAATCCAGGTACTGTGGTGTTCATTTCTACTGAGGTGACATGACTTGCAGGCCATTCCATTTATAGAAATATAATTTGGTATAAGGACTTCCTTTCCCAGGCTCCTCATTTTGCTCTTTGTTCTCAAATTAGCTCACAGCAGTTCTCACTCAAGGTGCAACCCTCTCCTGTGTTTGGTCATTGGGAGATTTGCAGTTTGTAGGAAATTTCAGCATTCTGCTTTCCTTCCTGTTGCACCATGGTTGATTTCATGCCAGTTCTGCTACCTTGGGGTTTGAGGTTTTCTAAAATCTCTTAGTTTTGCTAAAGATGTTGATGTTGTCCATGAGTTTTGTCTTTTCTTATTCATGATGTTCTGTGTGCTTTTCAGAAACTGTAGTAGAACAATTGAAAACCGAGTGCTACAATCCCTATACTTAATCCTCAATGCGTGGGCAAGTGACCCAGGCCAGGTTCATCAGAATGGTTCATCCTCCCGGTCATGGTTATTAGTCAGAGAAAGGCACTATTCAATCAAAAGCCATGTGGTCCTTTTGCTGGAACTGTTGGGTTAGAGGAGCCTAATTCTTCCCGTGGTCTTTTGTGGTTCCATATGAATTATAGAATTCATATGAAAGCCTGGAATTGCTGATAGCTAATGGAGAGACCCTGACTGACTGAGCCTGAAGCCAGCATAGAGAAGAGAATGGAAAGGTGAAAAGAGATAAACTGCTGAGGACTTCATTTGAGCATCTGGGTCTGGCATTCCCTGGAGCCAGACCAAACCTAGGTTTTTCACTTATGTAATTTTAAAAATTCCTTTTGGTTAACTAAAATAATTAGGATGAAGTGTTTATCCCAGCAAGTGGCACACAGTAAGCCCCCAATATATGTTATCATTGTTATTTTTGAAACCAATTTGAGTTGCGTTTCTATCATTTGCAACTACAATAATAATGACAACTAAGAAAATAATACCAAAGATTTTTGAGAAGTGTGCTAGGTACTTTACATATTACTTCACTAAATCCTCACTTCAAGCCATGAGGTAAGTATTCTTATTCACATTTTATAGAGTTGAAAAGGAACTGAAGCTTCAAGAAGCTTAAGTACTTTGGTCACAGAGCTAGTAAGCTGAGATTTCAACCTTAGCATTTAGTGCCTCAAATCACTTAAAAATTATTTGTGATTTTTAAAATAATTTAAAAATATAGGCACTTAATTGAAATCAGCCAGAAAATCACCTATAACATTATGCTTTGTCAAGAGATATGTCTGTGTGTTTAGAGTCTACGCTTTGTTAATGGCTCATGAAGTTGGAAGCTGCGCTGATTTTCCCAATAGTGCACTGTAATGGCTTTATACCAGATTTTATAACCAAATGCCCAATTTTACTTTGCAGAGCTCTTCATGTTGATTTCTTTGAAAACTGCCAATTCCAACAATTAGCAGAGTAGCTGAACAACTGAACATAGTGGGATAAAGAAGACCAGATTTCTAGGACAATGCCTTATTTATGAGAGGAAATTCTATTCAGCAGCCTCTCGCTTCCAAAGCAATGAAATTTCTTCTCCTAGACAAATAGAACAGCATGTTTCAAAATATGCACTCTTCACCATTTAATGGAAATTTCATGAAAGTGTTACAAATGGAATTAAATTACTATCCATTTTTCTTTTTAAATATGTTCAGTAATAAATAAGTTTAACCAAAGTGGTGTTATCATTATACATTCATTTTAACCCCATTTCTTTTTTTTTTTTTTTTTTTTTTTTGAGACGGAGTCTCGCTCTGTCGCCCAGGCTGGAGTGCAGTGGCGGGATCTCGGCTCACTGCAAGCTCCGCCTCCCGGGTTCACGCCATTCTCCTGCCTCAGCCTCCCAAGTAGCTGGGACTACAGGCGCCCGCCACTACGCCCGGCTAATTTTTTGTATTTTTAGTAGAGACGGGGTTTCACCGTTTTAGCCGGGATGGTCTCGATCTCCTGACCTCGTGATCCGCCCGCCTCGGCCTCCCAAAGTGCTGGCATTACAGGCGTGAGCCACCGCGCCCGGCCTTAACCCCATTTCTTTATGGCACCTTTGTAATAATCATTCCATTAATAAGCTCTAATGCTTTTCTACTTCCTTCAATGGAAAAAAAAAACAGTAAAAGGAAAAAGAAAAAGAATGAAAATACTCTGTCCCATCAACATCTAATTGGAACTTCTCTGGGGAAAGATTTATTTTTTAAGTACGATTATATAGCTTTTAATGTCTAGGATAATTCTCTTAAGTTTACAGCCAGCCTGTGTCTGGAAAAGTAATTAAAATAATACTATGAGTTAGGTACTATTGTTGTCCCCATTTTACAAATAAGAAATCACAGGCTCAGAGAAGTTAAATGAGCTGAGAAGCAGCACACAGCTAGTCAGTGAAAGGATATAAACCTAGATGATTAAACATTTATGCTTGCCGTTTCTACTTTTTCTCTTCTAATGAGTTTATTGAAGACTTGGGAGTTGGAAAGGATAACTCACATCTGCTCCAGGAATTGCCACTTCCAGAGCCTACTGTCCTGAGCTTATCCTCGGGGACTTACCTGCTTCCCAGGAGACCTCCACAAGCCAAGGATACAGCTAAGCCACCCGCCGAGAGATCAAGGTCTCCCATACGGAGGAGAAAAGTTTTCCCTAGCTTCTTATCATTCCCAGGTTGACTTCTCAGTCCCTAGAATGACAGACAGTGCTAACATCCAATTCCAAAGAGGGAGGCCCACCACCGTACCACCTGGTCTGCTCTCAGAATCCTGTTCCATATGGAACGCAGCAGGTCAGATGCTTGGTGCCAGGCATGGTAAAATGGAAAAATGCTGAAGGCTGTGTCTGTTGGGCATGTGCCATCTTATAGAAATGGAAAGTAGATTCCAAACATTCAATAATCTCATGTTACGGTTCATGAGTACCTTAGAATCAACTGAATTTTCACTTTTCATCTATTGTAGGGGATAGGTGTTAGAAGGATCCACGAGGATGGCTTCCACCTTCCAGCAGTGGTCGGCAATCCCATGACTGGAATTGGTCCCTATTGATCTTCGGTGGCATTTTGTCCAAGGTCACTGCTTACCTCCAATCTGATCCTTATTTTGGAGGCAGTGCAGCACAGAGGAAAGAACTAGGCACTGGTATCTCAGAGATTGGGAATGGAATCCCCATTCTGTTTCTCACTAGCTGTATGGTCTTGAGCAAGAAGCTTTCACATTCAGATCTTCAGCTGCCTCATCTAATATCCAATAGTGATAGTGAAGAATAAAGGAGACAATATATGGAGATTATTTAGCACATGCCTGGCACACAGTGGGTATCTTAGAAAGAGTAGCTTTTGTGTCTTCAACTCAGCTTTTAGAGAGCATTCATGTTTTACTGATCCATTTCCTACTGCCCTCCTCGGTAGCCATGAACCTAGCATGTGCCTTAATATGTGTTCAGTAAATATTTGCTGAATGATGAATACGCGAATAAATGAATGAATATGAAAACTGTCTATGATGTCTAGAGGGACATTTGAGCAATCTCATTTTTTAGTCGTGGAGAGCAATATCTGCTATTTGGCAGATAGCATTATCAGGAATCATCAGAAAGCATGCAGAGTTGTGAAATGTCAATGCACCCATCCTTTGAAGAGTCGGCACTTCTGCCAAAGCTGCACAGAGCAGAAAGCTAGCTGGAAATGAACAGTGGCCTTCTCCATCACGCTTCAGCCCCAGGAGAGCAATGGGGGTTGCCTTGGGAGCAAGTACCCCATCACTGAATGACTAGACAGCTAGCAGCACCCAGGAGGGCCCATGGGCTGCTGGGCATTGGGTTGAGAGCTGGGAAACAGAGCTGAAAGACAAAACTCCTGCTTTTGAAAGTTCACAGCTGCTGAAGAAGACAGCTAAAGAGAATCCAGGTTGTGGGGTGAGCAGGGTGGATACAGGATGTGATTTGAGAGGTGGCAAGACCCCCTTGCCTAACAGTCTCTCCTTATCTGGTACCAGGCCTGGAATCCCCCATTCTGCAGACTCTGGGGCTAGATCAAGCTGTGTCTAAATTCTTCTCTGTATCCATCCTTGGCCCCTTACAGCCCAAGTTCCTTGATCCTTTGGTGACAATGGTCACTTTTCACATAACTTTCAGTTTCAGTCTGAACAAAAGGCAAGATTCACTCAAGCCAACACCTGTCATTCACCAGTCATTCTTCCTTTAGTTATTGAAATTGTCGCTGAGGATCTTTTATATGCTGGACACTGAGAAGAGGCTGGAGTCACAGGGGACACAGGCTACACATTTATGGGGCCCAGCCTGGCAGGAAAGACAGACAATTGAACAAAGCGACTATAGAAGAGTGTGCTGACAGCTATCAGAAGGGAAGAACAGCGGGCCCAGGGAAGTACACAGCAGTGGGGAACCAACGTTGATTTAAGGGTAGATCTGAGTGAGACCCAAAGGCTAAATAAGGGTGTTTAGGCAAGATGGAGTCCTCATGTCATAATGGCTAGAAGGGTGCAGTCTAGGGTCTGATGGCCAAGGTTCACATCCTGGGCAAGTCAATGTACCCACCTCAGCCTCAATTTCCACATTTAAAAAATGAAAATAATAATAATTCTGACCTCATAGGTTATTGTCCTCATGGATAAAGATTAAAATATATAATATTAAAATATATCTATATTATGACACAACTATAAATGTATTTATATATAATGTTTATTGTCAGAGTATCTGACACATAAGGAGAATTTATAAGGAAAATAATTATTAAGGATGGGCGTAGGAAAAAGTTCTCACTATTGAAAGGATAGCAAGCGTCCCCAGATATAAGAAAGAGAACAAAAAATGAGGCTGAGGAATTTGTGAAGAAGTTTGTTATGGCTAGATTCTGCATGAGAAGTAGGGAGTGTCTAAAACTTGGTTTGGAAAAGCAGGCACCAGAGAGGATCACCTATGCTGCTAGTCTAGTCCTGAAGTGGGGCTTCATTTTTGATGTCTAGACATCTGGCTCATTCAAAACCGTCCAATCCTACAACTGGCCCCAAAGACAGACATCCCCCTCAGTCACTGTTCACTGGTTTTGACTGCAGTGATCTCTTAGTACCCAATTCTGTCTCAGGTCTGTTGTGTCTTAGTCCGAAGTCATCCAGTTGCAAATGGCAGAAATTGACTCATTAAAAAAAATAATAATTTTTAAAAGGGCTCACGTAACCAAGAGATCTATGCACAGTCATGACTGGATCTGGTATTCAAACAAGATTGTAAGCAATCTTTTTCCCTTCTCATGGTTCTGCTTTTCTTTATGCTGGCTTCATTCTTTTTTTTTTTTTTTTTTTAAATGGTGTCTTTCTCTGTCGCCCAGGCTGGAGTGCAATGGCACAAACTCAGCTCATGGCAACCTCTGCCTCCCGGTTTCAAGTGATTCTCCTGCCTCAGCCTCCTGAGTAGCTGGGATTACAGGCACCTGCCATCATCCCTGGCTAGTTTTTGTATTTTTGTAGAGATGGGGCTTCACCATGTTGGCCAGGCTGGTCTTGAACTCCTGACCTCAGGTGATCCGCCCGCCTCAGCCTCCCAAAGTGCTGGGATTACAGGCGTGAGCCACTGCTCCTGGCCTTAAGTTGGCTTCATTCTAAGCCATGTTTTTCTCTATGGTAGTAAGTTGGCCATTAGTGACTTTAGGTTTATATTCTGGAAGCCCAGCTACCCCAGCAGAAAGAAGCTTCCTTTCTGCTCTTCCCAATAGTCACAGCAAAAGTTCCAGGGTTCACTCTTCTAGAAATGACTTGGGCCACATTCTCATTACTGAAGGAATCACTATAGCCAGCAGAGTAGAATACACGGATTGGCCAGACCAAGGTCACAGGCCCACCCCTGGAGCCAAAGGTCAAGGTCAGCACCATGAGAGTCATGTGAACTGGGTAGTGCGGGACACAGATGGGTCCTGGGCCTTTCATATGCCTTTCTGCAGAACTATATCTCCTTAAAGCCTTTGCCTCTGGTTCCCAGGTAGATTCAATTGGAGACACTGATGGAAGGACGAGAGGAGCGAGAAGCCAATAAATTTATCTTTCTCTCTGCTTCAGGTGGTGTCATAGACAATGGCTGTGTCTCCTCTGGGACCCTCCCTTCATTGTCCCAGCTTCTGCTGATCAGACTCACCATAGTTCTGGCATCTACTAATTGGCCCTGGGCTCTGGTTGCATTGCCTCCTCCCCTGGTCCTCCCCAGCCCTAGGTGCAGAAGAGAGTCACTAACCACTGGGCAGGCTTGCCATCTATCATTTGGCCTCTCAACCCTTCCATCATCTGCATAATCAGCTCCCGATATACATTTCACTCTATTTGAAATACCTGGAGTGGTTCCACTGTGACAACCAGATCTTGACTCTTACAGCTCCCCGAAGGAAAGTCCAGGAACGAGAATGAATGGCAGGCAGACAAAATTAATAGATGCCCACTGTGGATTAAATGCTGGTTTGTTCTTGTGAGTTTCTCTTCCAGGAACTGAAGTTTTGCCCTTCATTCCAGCCTGTCCCTGCTTTATTGTTACTTTTGAACATAACTCTTCTGTGCTGTCTTCCAGGAGGCCCAAAATAACAGCAGCAGCAAGCACTTACGTGCCACACACTGTCCAAGAAGTGACTTACATGCTTTACAGGTGTTAACTCGGTTCTCATAATGACACTATGAAGCAGTACCACTGTATCTCTGCTTTACAGATGAGCAAACCGAAGCACAAAGAAGTAACTTCCTCAAAGTCAAAGAGCTGGCGAGAGGTCAAGCTAACACTTGAATCTGGCATTGTAGCTTCAGAGCCTACTTTTTTTTTTTTTTTTTAGATAGGGTCTTACTCTGTTGCCCAGGCTGGAGTGCAGGGAGCGCCATGTTGGCTCACTGCAGCCTCTGCCTCCTGGGTTCAAGCAATTCTCCTGCCTTAGCCTCCTGAGTTGCTGGGATTACAGGTGTGTGCCACCACACCTGGCTAATTTTTGCATATTTAGTAAAGATGGGGTTTTGCCATGTTGGCCAGGCTGGTATTGAACCCCTGACCTCAAGTGATCCACCTGCCTTGGCCTCCCAAAGTGCCAGGATTACAGGCATGAGTCACTATGCCTGGACTGGAGCTTACTTCTTAACCAGGAGGCTTGATTGCCTCTAGGAAAAGGAGGGGTCAGCTAAAGTCTGCAAAGATCCACTTTCCACAACATTATTTGGATAAAGGTGGAAATTCCTCTGTGCAGAAGTGACAGGCACACCCCACCCAAAACAGCCAATCTCCACCACAGGTGCCCACCACCTGGAGGGCCCAGAGGAGGCAGAGATGCCCTGCAATTTTGTTTTGGGTTTTCCTCTTGGCAGCACTTGCCAACTATGGAGCATAGCCTGATGATCCCTAATAAACTCTGAGTTATAAAAGGGGATTAAAGCTCTATCTGCAAAAATCATTTGTGGTTCAAAACAATCACCATGCTTGCAAGAAATGTGGTGGCGAATTATGTGAAAATTGCATGAAAACCTTGCCAAATCCTCGCTCAGCATTCCAGTTAGTAGAATCCAAATGAAATGAGGAAATAATCACGGGGCTAAGATGATGCCTAATTAAAGCTAAATTTAGCCAACTCTGGTTTTTCAGAGTTGTCATGAAATCCATTTCAACTCAGACAACAATAACAGCAAACCAAGATAATGAGGAAAGGGATTTAATTTGAAAGGTGGAATGCCATCAATATAATAATTAATATTAAAAACACACACACACACAAGGGCCAAATGACATGGGCAGTTTTTGGTTGACATTTTCAGTGATTTCACTGTGGCTTCACGGCTTTTTTACTTAAAAAAAAAAAAAAAGAAAAAAAAAGAGCAAGTGAGAAGAATATCAGGCAATATGGTGATTTTCTTGCCATTTTCAGTGGCTCTCAGTGACCTGGTGGGTGTCTCATTGCAACACAGCGCAGGAGACCAGACTCTAATTACAAGGCAGGGCAGATTCCGGCTCTGCCCTTCCTGACAACTCCATCGCAGGCCTGGGAGTGATACCACAGGTCTGGCTCTAAATTAGATTGGGAGGAAAGGAGAGACAGTCTGCTCAGGGCGCTGGCAGGCCACACCAAATGAGTGCTTTAGCCCTGGGCTGCCTTCCCCGTGAGGCTTTGCTTCCGCCTCACTTAATATACGACCCTGAGAAATAATCAGGAAACATCAGTGAAGTTTCCAGTCTCATGAAAGAGAAGCAGACAGGAGAGTGAGATGAGAGGTGAGGAAGTGGTTGATCTAGGAAGTATCCTTCACAGCTGGGATTCGGACACCCGCTGCCACACACGAGTATAACAAGAAGGCCTTCGGCTTCAGCTGATTTTCTGCCTTTCCTCAGCCCTTGGAGGCAGGGAAGGGACATAAAAATCTGAACAGTGTTTATGTGGATACTGACCTGCCCTCCATCTCCAGTGAGAACTGAGTGAGCCCAGACTTGAATTTCTCTTAGAATTCCCCAATATTCAGTTATCGTTTCTTAGCTGCCAACCACTTTTATCGTCTTATTTAGGGTGTAGTGCAATACTAAAAAGTAAGTATCATTACCCCCATTTTACAGATTAAGAAACCAGGACTGCAGGAAGTTGAATAACTTCCCCACAACCCACAGAACAGTAAGTGGCACATTTGGGATTCAAGCCAAAAACTGCCAGACTATAGTACAATACTGCCTCCTAGCTACTTCATTCAGCCAGGTGTCAGAATGTCACCATGTGTGTATACCCTGATTATGAGATGTCAGTTTTGAAGATGTTTTTAATATGGTTTTTAAAATGCAAACTATAAACTTTCCGCTTAAAAAAATCCAAGTAATGAACAAAGGAGACATTCCCAAACAGCCCTGAGCCTCATCACAATTACTCAAAAGGGAGAATAAATTAGAATGTTCAAAAGAATAATGCCACACATGAAATGAATCTAAGGTTTTTCAATACTCCCAAGAATAAGATCCAATGAGAAAAGAAAGAAACTTAGCATGTATACGCATATGTGCATTTAAAATCAACTTTACTATTAAGGTAAGAATATTCATAGCCAGGTATGGTGGCATATGTCTGTGGTCCCAGCTACTCAGGAGTGTGAGGTGGGAGGATGGTTTGAACCTGGGAAGTGGAGCTTGCAGTGAGTCAAGATCATGCCACTGCACTCCCGCCTGGGTGACAGAGTGAGACCCTGTCCCTGCCCCACCAAAAAAAAAAAAAAAAAAAAAAAAGATAAGAATATTCACAGTCTTTGCCCTTCCCTGACCTCTAAAGAGAATCCACTGTGCTAATCTGACACCTGCCTCTCCCACTCTGCCAAGCCCTATGGCATCGGTTCTAAAAGGGTGTTCCAGGGAGAAAGGCTGTGTGGGCAGAGCGGGAGTGCAAACAAATCAACTAATAAATCCCTCTCTTCATCTTTTTATGAGAGGGGGTAGTTTAAGTAATTTAAAATAGTATCTATCAAAAATAAAGTGACCCAGGAAAAATATTATTAGATACCAGATGCTCATCACAATTTGATCACTTCAATATTAAAGATGGTATTTTCCAAAACTGGTTGCAATAATATCTCCCTTCCTATATCCCCTTCTTGTAGCATAACTTTGATACTCCTCTCATTGACAGGTGGGTCTCAGTTCTCTTCTTCTGAGTTTTGGCAGGCTTGTGATCATGGTGGAGGTCACACTGTGTGACTTCCAAGACTTGTCCATAAAAAGCAACACAGCTTCTATCAAGTTGTCTTTGGACACAAGCTCTTGGAATTGGCCACCATGTTGAGAGGAAGTCCAAGCAGCTTCATGGAGAGGCCAAGTGTAGATGTTTCAGTCGGCAACCCCAGCTGGGTTCCTCACAAGCATCAGCATCAGCTGCCAGACAAGCGAGTAAGGGAGCCTTCCTATGATTCCACACACAAGCCCCTGAGTCAACTCCTAGCCTTCATAGTGAGGTTCTGGACATTATGGTTGAGACAAACTGAGTCCTCTGGACCACCTTTCATGACCCACAGAATCATGAGCATAATAAAACGGTTGTTGTTCTATGCCATAAGTTTGGGGTGGTTTGTTAGGCTGTAATAGCAAAGAGAATAAGGTTCCTTCCTCTCATCCTTCTGATACAGACAGGAGACAGGGAAATACTGGGTAGAAGAGGTCAGTTCCCCAGCAAAGGCCCCACCCTCAACCTGGAAACCCATGGCCCTAAATGAGAACAGGCATTCCTGTTTTCATGCCCAAAAGTTGCTTTCGGCCTGCCACATTCCCCATATAAACCATAAACCCCCAGCTCCATGAGGAGACAAACAGGAGAACAGAAGAATGGCAGAACGGCGTAGCAGAGAGAAGAGAATGAGTGTCTGAATGCTGAGAGGATTTCAGCTGGGGATGGTCGGAGAGGAGCTTGGCCGTTCAGCGGCTGCTGAACGGCCAAGTTCCAGGGGAAGATCATTTTCCCACTCCATCCCCCTTCAGGCTCCCCATCCATCCTGCTGAAAGCCACCTCCACCACTCAATAAAACTCCCACATTCATCCTTCAGGTCCATGTGCGACCTGATTCTTCCTGGACGTGGGACAAGGACCTAGGTACCAACAGGGCACTAAGCTGATTAACACTTAAGCTGTCTGCAGACAACAAGGCTAAAAGAGCACACTGTAACACGCACCCACTTGGGCTTCGAGAGTTGAAGACATCTACCCCTGGATGCTGCTGTGGGGTGGAGCCCAGGGGCACTTACCCCAGCTCCTGCACCTGCCCATCTGTTTGCTCCCCCTCCCATAAGGGCTTTGCACATGTGTGGTGACAGGAAAAATGAGCCACTCTCCTGTTGCACATCCTGCGAGAGGGTTCAGGGAACTCTCCCCTTTTCACTTCTTACCTTTTAAGATGCAAACACTGCCTTCTTTGTCATTCTACCTGTGCTCTAATATAGTTTATATCCACCTTTATTAAAGCAAGTCTCATTTTATTCCACCAGTAATTACAGTTGTTTCTACCTGACATCAGCTTCTGAGTTTTGCAAGGATAAGGACTTTTGCTTATCGATTTCTGTTCCCCCAAAGTATTTGTTATATGAATGCATAAATGAGTGATTGAAATAGGCTGGAAAACATCACCACTTTTGACCTCAATCTCATCTTTTCAAATGTGGAGAAAGCTTGATAAGTTTTAAAGCTGCTGTGTTTCTGAAGAGTCATTACTTATGAATCAACACACATGCAATCAATACACCTTCTTAGCCACTATATGAAAAGAGGCTAAGCCAGAAGCCTGGGAATTGAAACAAGAACACTTGCAGTTTCTGGTGCAAGTGCTGCCTGGGCCCCTCCAATATCCATTTGTATTCTTAGGGTCCCCCAAGCCCATGCCTACCATGTCCTGCTGCATATACTTGCAACTCTTCACCTAAAGGCTTGTTCTGGGCTCCTGAGCAGGGCAGGCTAAAGTCCTAGGGGAGTTAAAGTTCTCGGAACAGCCCTGAGCCAATGATGGATGTGAGTTGGAAGATGAATAACCCTCATTCCCTCACTCCTGGAGGGCATAATTCTGGGGCTCATTCTACATTGTCTCCAAGAGTTTCCCGGCTGGAATGGGCCCCATGGCCCTCTGTAGTAACCTTCTCAATACCTCATCTTTCTTTTTCCACTTCTATTTCCCCAATTCCCTACTGATGCTCTTGGGATCACCTCTGAAATAAACTATGGGCACTCAAACCTCTCCTTGGGGTCTGCTTCTGGGAAAAATTCAAACTAGGTAGCACAGAAGGCTCATTGACAAAAACAACAAGAAGAGGAAGATATAGAGAGATAAAATTCATCCAGTAAGTTACAATTCCTCCCAATAGATTTTGACAAGGGATGCCAATACAAATCTCCATGTGTTGTTGATTAAATATAATCAACTCAAGATTCAGGCCACAATAAAGTATAATAGACAAAGAGTTCCTTTGTGCATTAGTCAGAATATTTTTGGCTACACGTAACAGAAAACAAATATAGACTGGCTCAAGTAAAAGAGAAATTTATCAGTTTGTGCAACTAAAATGCCAAAGGAAAGGGAAAGACTTCAGGCATTTGCAGACCCATATCAATATTATCAAGAAATCTGTTTATCTCCATTGTTCAGCTTTGCTTTTCTCTTGATTGTTTTTACCAATGGGTAAGCTCTTCAAAAGCAATGGGGAGATGCAGCTTCAGATTTACATTCTACTCAGTAACACCAGCAGAAATAGAGAGGCTCTTTTCAATAGTTCTGTGTGAAGTCTTGGGCTTGGCTCTCATTCCCAAACTGAGGACAACAGCCAGGAAATTGCAATATGCTAATAGAACAGTCTAGTGTGTGACCCGTCTGCAGTGGGGAACAATGGTGGAGGTAACTCCCACCTAAATCATACAGCCTGGCAGTGGTCAGGAATGGTTCCTTGAAGGATGCAGAGTTGAAGAGGAAGGGATACTATCAGGGAAGCACAATAGACACCCACTACAACATTAAAATAGACTTTCGTTTTTTAGAAAATGAGAAAGTAAAGATAAGCAAAACCAAACATACAAATAAATAAACTGAACTTTTCAGATACTCAAGGCAATAAAAATTTCTTCTTCCAGGTAAGTGTCTTAGTCCATTTGGGCTGCTATAATAAAATATCATTAACTGGGTAGCTTCTAAACAATGGCAATTTATTTCTCATAGTTCTGGAAGCTGGGAAGTCCAAGATCAAGGCACTGAAAGATTGGGTGTCTAGTGGGAATCCACTTCCTGATTCATAGATGGTGCCTTCTTGCTGTGTCCTCACATGGCAGAAGGGGCAAAGTAGGTCTTTGGGCAGTAATCCCATTCATAAGAACTCCACTCTCATGACCTAATCATCTCCCAAAGGCCCCACCTCTGATGCCATCACCTTGGGGGGTTAGGATTTTAACATATGAATTTTGGAGGGACACCAACATTCAGACCATAGCAATAAGCCAGTTTCTCTGATTTGTAATTGATAAAGTCCTGGCTGATAAACTTATGTCATTAAAAAAAGAGGGTTCCAGGTGAGATGAAGTAAGCACATTCCACTCTGCCTTTCTGTTTTAAAATGTAGCTTTCATTATTATTCAGGCACTGTGGGGCCAACATATTAGGAGAGGACTGCCCCGGAGACGATAGTTACTCATAGTTCCCCAAGAGGAGTGGATACCCCGCCCCACAGGGAGCCACATGGGGAAGCACCAGGGTCATCAGAAGGCAGAGGGAAGAGCCTTCATCCTGGTTTTCATGGAAAAGAATGAGAAAGGCAGGGTAAGGAGGCATAGGATTGACTAGTTCAACAACAGCAGCAGGCTAGGGGTAGAGGGGCTGTCCTGAGTTGTCTGGCATCTGGCCCTGGGGTGGTGAAAACAGGTGGATAATGGCCTGGAGTGTAAGGGCACAATATAAGGGATGGTTGGTGGGCGTGAGCTTTGGATTAGTCGGTTTACATATGAAATGTGTGCTGGGGGGCAGGGTTGGGGGTGGGGGGCAGTTGTTTGCTGCCTTAGGAATTAGCTAATTAGAGAGGGGTAGTCCTTTCCCCGCAAATCATCAAGGCCCCAGATGCCAAAGTATGAAGAATACAGAAAATAAGAAAATATAATTAATATATTCTGCCACTGAAAGCAGCTACACCACCTGGAGAGATTTCAGGGATCAGCTATTTGAGGACTCTGAAAGTAAATAGTAGCAGATGCCGAGGGAAGAACCAAATTTGAAGCACCATCAAATCAGCTGTGAATTTACCCTTCTTCCTTCTCTGGTATCCACTGGCCTGAACTCAGTGCATCCTGAAACCTGAGATAGGCATCAATATGGACAGAGAAAGCTCCAGGAGAAGCCTCTAGTTCCGGCTTCAGGAAAGGGAGAGGAGCCTCCGAATATTGAGAGAGGGTGGGGAAATATGATTCTCTTCTTTTACTCTTTCTTTCTTCTGTTCTTTTGCTCCTCAGCCCACAGGTCATCTTGAGATGCTAATGGCAGTGGTTTCAGAGGTAGACACAGAGGCTCCCAGACACGGAGGCTCCTCATTGATAGGAGGAACTGTGGTCCCCAGAGAGGGAGGCAAACTTCTGTTGTTTCTTTACTGTCTCTGTCCCCATATTGGTCACAGCCATCAGCATAGCTGTGGAATGTATGGCAGAGGGCAGATAAATAAAGTCCCAGTTTTCTGTCTAAATGAGCAAATAGGGGCGCTCAGGGAGTGGAAAAGTGTCGAAGACATTCGGGAGAGAAGGGAGAAGATTGTTTACAAACTCCTGGACTCACCCCTGGGCTACTCACACCTGGATGTGACCCTACGCAACATATAGAGACCTTAGCACTGAACTAGGAATAGACGATCACCCAGGCTCTGGGCTGGGCCCCAGGTGGTGAACACAGCGGACAGATCTGAACAGCACTGCACTGCCAAGGAGTCAAAACTGAGTTTACCCTAAGACCACAACCCCCAGAGAGCTGGTTGGAAATTGACGTGTGAACCTGACTGGGTTGATTACCTGCTAAAATGAAAAAGTCAACACTTCCATGGGATTTAAGCAAAACCCAGGGTTTTGTAACATAATATTTAACATGTCCAGAATACAAGCCAAAATTACTCAGCATACAAAAAACAGGGAAATCTCGATGCACTCGGGAAAAGATGCCACCGCTGAGCTAACACAGATATTGGAATTATTTGACAAAAACTTTAAAGCAGCTATTAAGAAATGCTTCAGCAAGAAATCCTAAACACTCTTGAAATACATGGAAAAATGGAAAGTCTAAGGAAAGGAATGGAAAATGTAAAGAATGAAATAGATATTTTAAAACAGAAAACACGATAATGGAAATAAAGCTCACTTAACGGGCTCATCAGCTGAAGGAAGATGTAGCAGAAAAAGTCTGTGACCTTGAAGATAGATTAATAGAACGTATACAGTCTGAACAACAGAGAAGGAAAAAGATTAAAAAAAAAACAAACAGAGCTTGAGCGACGATACCAAAAGGTTTATCATTCCTCTCATTGGACTCTGAGAAGAAGATAAAGAATCAAGCATGCAAAATACTTTTGAAGAAATAACAACTTTAAAACTTCCCAAATTTGGCAAAAGGAATAAACCTGCTGAATTAGGAGGCTCAGCAAACTTCAAACAACATAAACCTTCAGGAAACCCATGCCCAGACATATCATAATAAAACTGAAAACCAAAGAAAAAGAAACAAATCTTGAAAGCAACGAGAGAACAATGGACACATTACTTATAGGAGAACAACAATTGAAGTGACTGCAGATTACTCATAAGAAACCACAGAGTTCATATTTCTGCACAGTATATATTTAAGGTGCTGAAAGAAAACAAATGTCAAGCCATAATTCTATTCCAGTAAGAATGTCCTGCAGGAATGAGTTGAAATAAGGACATTCTCAGGTGAATGAAAACTAAGATAATTCATTGCCAACAGCCGAAGGAATTTCCAAAGAAATTCTTCAGGCAAAAAGAAATGATACCAGAAGGAAACTTGGAACATCAGGAATGAAGAAAGAGAAAAGAAACGGTAAACTTACCAGAATGGTACATTTCTGGATAAATATAACACACTACTCTTCTCCTATTGAGTTAAAAAATATTATTGATGGTTGAAAGCCAAAATTATAACATTGTCTAATGGGGTTTTCACTGTATGTAAATGTGGTAAATAAAATAACTGCAGCAAAAAGCCTATATATGCTAAAGGTTTCTGTATTCAACTTGAGATGCTAAAATATTTGCAAGCAAAAAATGAAAAGTAGTAGGCAAAGGACATAAACAGACATTTTTCAAAAGAAGAACTACATGCAGCCAACAAGCATATGAAAAAATGCTTAATATCACTCATCATTAGATAAATGCAAATTAAAGCCACAATGAGATACAATCTCACACCAGTCAGAATGGCTATTTATTAAACAGTCAAAAAATAACAGATGCTGGTGAGGTTGTGGAGAAAAGGGAATGCTTACACACTGCTGGTAGGAATATAAGTTAGTTTAACCATTGTGGAAAGCAGTGTGGCAATTCCTCAAACAACTAAAAATGGAACTACCATTCAATCCAGCAATCTCACTACTGGGAATATACCCCCCAAAATATAAATTGTGCTACCATAAAGACACACGCATGTGTATATTCATTGCAGCACTATTCACAATAGCAAAGACATGGAATCAACCTAAATGCCCATCAATGGTAGACTTGATAAAGAAAATGTTTACATGTATACCATGAAATACTATGTGGCCAAAAAAAGAACGAGATCATATCCTCTGCAGGGACATGGATGGAACTGGAGGCCGTTGTCCTTAGCAAACTAATGCAGAAACAGAAAACCAAATACCACATGTTCTCACTTATAAGTGGGAGCTAAATGATGAGGACAGCTGGACAACACACACTGGGGCCTATTGGAGGGTGGAGGGTGGGAGAAGGGAGAGGTTCAGAAAAAAACCCCAAAACTCTTGGGTACTATGCTTAGCACCTGGGTAATGAAATAATCTATACACCAAACATCCAAGTCATGAGTTTACCTATGTAACAAATCTGCACATGTACCCCTGAACCTAAAATAAAAGTTAAAATATTTTAATAAATAAATAAATTGAAAAAAGAAAAGTGAAATGTTCTGTATATTGTAATCCCTGAAAGTATATTTTAAGTACTATTGCAAAATACTATTCAAAGAAATATAGTCATAAAAGAGGATACATACATACAAACTATGTTCTCAGATCATAATGAAATTAAATTAGAAATCAGTAACAGTAAGGTAGTTGGAAAATCTCAAAATACTGGGGAGAAACAGAATGGACAAATGAAATGGAATACAAAAACATGCTCGAATAACCAATAAAAAGGGCAGGAAAGGGGAAACAAGAACAGAAAACCCAGGGAACAAATAGAAAACAAATAATAAAATGGTTGACTTAAATCCAAATATATTAATATCTACACTAAAATATAAGTGATCTGAATTAAAAGATGGAGATTGTCAGAACGGATTTAAAAAATGACCCAACTATATATTGTTTATATAGAACTCATCTCAAATATAATGATAAAAATAGGCTAAAAGTAAAAGGAGGAAAAGGATATATTATGTAAAAACTAATAAAACGTAAGCTAGAATGGCTATATCAATGTCATATAAAGTAAATATCAGAGCAAAAAAAATTAACACGGATGAAGAGGGAGACTACATAATAAGAGGAGAAGACAGCAAGAAGAAATAACAATTCCAAATGTTTGTACATCTAATGACAGAGCTTTAAAACACACAAAACAAAAGCTGAGAGAACTAAAAGTAAAAATAGATAAATCCACAATTATAATTGGAAAATTCAACCTTCTTTTCTCAGTAATTGACAGAACAAATAGATAGAAAATCAACAAGGATATAAAAGAATTGAACAACATCATTAAACAATTGGGTCTAATTGATATGTATACAACATTCCATCCAGCAACAGCAAAATACACATTCTTTTCAAGTGCATGTGAAACGTTCACCAAGAGGGACAATATTCTGGGTAATAAAACAAACCTTAACAAATTTGAGAGAATTAAAATTACATAAAGTATATTCTCTGACTATAATGGAATTAGATTTGAAATCAGTGAGAGAAAGTTAACAGGAAAAAATCTTCAAACACTTGACAAGTATTAATATACTGCTAAATAATGTATGGGTCAAAGAAGACGTTCCAAAAAAATTAGAAAATATTGTGCAGTGAATGAAAATGAAGAAAAATATATCAAAATTTGTGGGCTAGAGCTAAAGCTGTGGTTAGAGGAAAATTCTTAGCATTAAATGCTTATATTAGAAAAGAAAGTCTTAATAATAATCCATGCTTCCACTTTAACAAACTAAAAAAGGAAAATAAAAACCCAAATCAATTGAAAGAAATAATGAAGAAGAGAACAGAAATCAATTAAGTTGAAAAGAGACAGATAATAAAATCAATGAACTAAGAGTTGGTTCTTTGAAAAAATCAGTAAAATTTATAAATGTCTAAAAAGACTGACAAGGAAAAAAAAAGAGAATGAATATCATGAATATCAGGAATGAAACAGGACATGCCACTTCTGAGCCCAGAGAGTATTCATAATTTAAACTTTCCAAAAAAAAAAAAAAAAAAGAGAAATCTACAGTTCCAGATAGTTTCACAGAAAAATTCTAGCAAATATTTAATGATTAAATAATGACAATTCTATACAATCTTTTCCACAAGACAGAAGAGGAGGGAATACTTCCCAACTCGTTTATCCTGATACTGAAACCAAAGACAGTACAAGATAAAAACACTGCAGACTAACATTCCTCACGAACATATGATATGGTTTGGCTATGTCCCCACCCACATCTCATCTTGAATTGTAGTTCCCGTAATCCTCATGTGTCCTGGGAGGGACCCTGTGGGAGGTAATTGAATTATGGGGGTGGTTAACCCCATGCTGCTGTTCTCATGATAGTGAGTGAGTTCTCATGAGATCTGATGGTTTAATAAGTTGCTTTTCCCCCTTTTGCTTGTCACTTCTTCCTGCCATCATGTGTTTGCTTCCCCTTCCACCATGATTAAAAGTTTCCTGAGGCCTCTCCAGCCATGCGGAACTGTGAGTTAATTAAACCTCTTTCCTTTATAAACTCTCAGTCTTGGGCAGTCCTTTATAGCCATGTGAGAACGGACTAATATATCATAGATGCAAAAATCCTTAACAAAATCTTAGCCATTTGAAGCTAGCAATGTATAAAAAGAATAATAAATTACAACTAAGTGGAGTTTCTCCTGGGCTATGCCAGGTTAGTTCAGTATTTGAAAAATCAGTCATTGTAATAGCAATAGTCAAAAGGAAAAAAGCCATATGATCATATAAATTAATACAGTAAAAACATTTCACAAAATTCAATATCAATTCATGATTTAAAGAAATTATGAAAAACTCTTAGCAAACTACAAAAAGCAATTTTTGTCAACCTAATAAAGAACATCATTAAAAAACCAACAAAAATCACACCTAATGGTGAAAGATTGAATGCTTTCCTCCTGTAAATGAGAACAAGGCAGACTTCCTCTACCTCCATTCCTATTTGATGTCGTACTGTAATTCCTAGCCAGTGCAATCAGGAAAGAAAAAGAAAGGAATCCAGACTGGAAAAGAAGAAATAAAACTATCCCTGTTCACAGATGAAATTACTGTTTACATGTGTCCAAAAAACAGACACACTCGACACACACACACACACACACACACCCCTCCTAGAACTAATAACCGAGTTTAGCAATGTTGTAGAGTACAAGTAAAAAAAAAAAAGTTGATGATATTTCTGTATACTTATTGCTAATAAGGAACTGGAAACCAGGTATTTTTCAAATGCCGTTTAAAATAACTCCAAACATTGAAATACTTATGTATAAATTTAATGCAATATGTAAAGGGTCAATAAAACGCAGATGAAATAAATCAAAGAAGACCTACATAAATGAAAAGACATACTGCACTCAAGAATTGGAAAATTATAATGTAAAGATGTTAACCCCCCCAAACTCATCTATAGATGTAACACAAACCCAATGAAAATCCCAACAGGATTTTTTGTAGACAGAAATAAGTTGATTCTAAATGTATATGGAAAGGCAAAGAAAGAATAGCTAGCAGGATTTTAAAAAGAATAGAGTTGGAGAAATCATACTTTTCCATTTTAAGGCTTCTGTAAAGCTGCAGTAATTGAGATCAAGATAGCATGGTATTGGCAGAAAGATAAACATGTAGATCAACGGAACAGAATAGACTTCCAGAAATAGACCTACACAAAGATGGCCAACCGATGTTATTTTAATTGAAGTATAATTCACACACAATAAAATGCCGTGACTTAAAGTGTGTAAATTGATGCGTTTTGACTAGGGCATATACCCATGTAAGCCACACCCTGTAAAGTATATGCCCATTTCCATTACTTCAGAAAGTTCCCCTGTGTTGCCTCCCCCCATGGGCAACTACTGTTTTCCAGTTGAGTTTTTGATCAGTGTGCAGAGGCAATTCAATAGGGAAAGGATAGTCTTCTCAATAAGCGATGTTTAAAGCATTTGGGCATCCAAATGCAACAAAATGAACCTTGACCTAAATCTCATACCTTATTCCAAAGTTAACTCAAATTAAGTTATACATTTAAATGTAAAATACAAAATTATAAAATGTTTAGAATTAAACATAGGGAAAAATCATGACCCATAACAGAAAAAAAAAATTGTAAGCTGGACTTCATCAGAATTAAAAACTTTTTCTGGGAAAGACACTGGTAAAAGAATGAAAAGACAAACTACAGACCGAGAAAATATTTACTGATCACATATCCAGCAAAACACTTGTATTCAGAATATATTAAGAACTCTCGAAACTCAACATTAAGAGAACAAACAGTCCAATTTTTAAAATGAGCAAAAGACTTGAACAGGCACTTCACTAAAGGGATGGCAAATAAGCTCAGGAAAAGATGTTCAACATCATTAACCATTAAGAAATGGCAACTTAAAAACCATGATGAGATACCCTCCACATCTATTAGAACGGCTGAAAACGTGAAAATACTATGGCAAACACTGTGACGGTTTCTCGTAAAGTTCCAGGCACGTCTACCAGCTGACTCAGCATCCCACTACTAGGAATTACCTAAGTATTACAACATGAAAATTTATCTACACCCCCAAACCTATACAGGAATGATGATAGCAGCTCTATTTATAAGACATACTGCACACATAAATGGGAAGATAACAATGTAAAGTTGGGAATCCTCCCCCAAATTCATCTATAGATTTAACACAAACCCAGCTCTATTTATACTGATTATAGCAGCCAAAAACTGGAAGCAGCCAAATACCCTACAACGGGTGAAAAAAGCGTTATGTCCACACAATGGAATTCTGCTCAGTAATAATAATAATATTAATTTTAAAAAGAACTATGGATACATGCAACAGCTTGGATGACTCTCAAATACATTATGTCGACTGAAAGAAGCCAGTCTCAAAAGGTTATATATTGTATGATTCCATTTACGTGACCTTGTGGAAGAGACACTTTGGTGATGGGTAATGGCAGTGCTTGCTAAGGGTCAGGGTTGCAGGGTTGGGGCGGTGGGGGGTTCTGACAACAAAAGGATGGCGTGAGGGAATTTTCTGGGTGATGGAATTGTTTTGTATTGATTGTGGGAGTGGTTACTTGAATGTGTATGCGTGTTAAAATTCACAGAACTGTGCTCACGTACAAAGTCAATTTTACTGTATGTTCATTTAAAAAGTAAAGTTTTAAGAATTTTTTTTAAAAAGAGTTAAAATGTTTTCAATGAGACAGTCAAACATAACAGGAAGAAAATACTTATCCAGAATGTGTTATTTATATATTTTCAGTGCTCAAACATTCAGGAAAAACATAATGTGTTGTTTTGTAGGGAAAGCTGAAAAGGAAAAAAAAAATTAAAAAGGGAAAAAGTAAGTATTGCCTTAAGCAGGGGTTCCCAAACTTCAGTTTCTATAAGAATCATCTGGAGAATTTTTTAACTTTTGTTTGTTTGTTTGTTTGTTTTTTGCTAGACTTCACCCATCCTCATTCTTTGAGAAATTACTTGGCTGGAACAGAAAAGGTAAGTTTTCTCAGCTGCATAGGTAGAGACACGTGTTCTATAATGCTAGATCAAGACCACACTGGACTTGTTCCAGTAAATCAAAGAGAGATGCTTCTGGTTTCAGTTAAGTCATTAGAACAAAAATCTTCCTTCAGAGAGTTTACATTTGCAGTGCTTAGGCTTGTAAAATGAGACACATAAATAAACCCTCCTCCGACCAGCAAAACAAAAGTATTTTTTTCCTCTTCACAGATTGAAGTAGTTCAAGTGAGAGTCTCTGAGTTTTCCTAGGCAATCACCAAAGAACATTAGCCTTTAAAAATAAGCTGATGATTAAATGACTTGCTCCAAGTTATTGGTGGAATATAAAGTTTTTTAGATTGGTTGGTTTTTGTTTTTTGGGGGAGGCAGGGAGAGGAGATGCCATTGTGTAGAAGCAAGCAAACATGGCATTTTGGATTCTGGAAAATAATGTCAAAAGCATAACTAAGAAAGCCCTTTCTTTCCTATAGTTTCAGTTTCATATTAGCCTACCTTTAAAATTGTGTTTTTAAAGTAACGTTAAAGGGGTCATATCTGATTTTTCATAGCCTTTAAAAAAAAAAAAAAAAGAGAGAAGAAAAGTAAAATAAACTCCTGGCATGCTTATAGTTCCATTATCTCCCTAATTACCCTAAATTTTAATATTCTAATTACTCTAAATTTTGGAATGATGCAAATTAAACTGTTACCTAACTTGTTGACCTTGTAGAAAGAGTGGAAAGGGAACAAGAGCTGGATATTTTGATTCCAGAGGCACTGGTTTCATCACGGTTTTAGGCAGGAACCAAAAGTACCGCACATCAAAACAGTAGCTGTTTTCTTCAACCCACACGCGCACACTCAGGTCAAGTATTCTGAACCAAAGGCACAGGTTGACTCTTGAGAGCCGTGGGCCCCTTCACCAGCCTGAGGGGATGACTTGGGAATTTCAAACATCCGGGATTGCCACAGCATTATACCTCATCTAAAGTAGGTCCCTCTTTGTAGGATGAAAAGAAAAGCGCTTTTCTTGCACCTTTCACCAGAGGAAGTGGATTTGGCTCAGCAAAAGGGCAGACTGCCGATGGGACCAGAGGACTCCCAGGCCTAACCTCTACTTCGAGAATGGGAAAACCCTGGCCAGCAGGCCTGATCTAAGAGCTATGTTCAGAAGCACAACAGAGTACAGCCACTTTGGAAAACCATCTGGCAGTTTCTTACAAAACTTACCATGCAATCCAGCAATTGGGTTCTTAAGTATTTACGCAGTGAGTTGAAAACTTATGTCTACACAAAAACATGCACACAGATGTTTATTGAAACTTTATTCATAATTGCCAAACTTAGAAGCAACCAAATGTGGCCGGGTGCAGTGGCTCACGCCTGTAATCCCAACACACTGGGAGGTTGAGATTGGCAGATCATTTGAGATCAGGAGTTTGAGACTAGCCTGGCCAAGGTGGTGAAACCTTGTCTCTACTAAAAATTCAAAAATTAGCCAGGTGTGGTGGCAGGCATCTGTAATCCCAGCTACCCAGGGGGCTGAGGCAGGAAAATCACTTGAACCCGGGAGGTGGAAGTTGCAGTGAGCTGAGATCACGCCACTTCACTCCAGTCTCAGTAAGAGTGAGACTCCATCTCCAAAAAAAGCAGCAGCAACCAAGATGTCCTTTAATGGGTGAATGGATAAACAAACTGTGGCACATCCATTCAATGGGATATTATTCAGTGATAAAAAGAAATGAGCTAGTAAGCCATGGAAAGATATGGAGAAACCTTAAATGCATATTATTACGTTAAAGAAGCCAATCTGAAAAGGCTGTATACTGTATGATTCTAAGTATATAACATTCTAGAAAAGGCAAAACTATAGAAATAGTAAAAAGATCAGCGGCGGCCAGGGGCTGGAGGAGAGGGAAGGATAAATAGGTGGAGCACGGGCTCGGCGCGGTGGCTCACACCTGTAATCCCAGCACTTTAGGAGGCTGAGGTGGGCAGATCACCTGAGGTCAGGAGTTCGAGACCAGCTGGCCAACGTGGAGAAACCCATCTCTACTAAAAATACAAAAAACTAGCCGGGTGTGGTGGCAGGCACCTGTAATTCCAGCTACTTGGGATGCTGAGGCAGGAGAATCGCTTGAACCTGGGAGGCGGAGCTTGCAGTGAGCCGAGATCATGCCATTGCACTCCAGCCTGGGTGACAAGAGCAAAACTCCTGTCTGAAAAAAATAAAATAAAATAAGTGGAGCACAGGGGATTTTTAAGGAATGGAGCTATTTTGTGTGATTCTGTAATGGTGGATATATGACATCACGCATTTTTCAAAACTCAGAATGTTCATCACCAAGTGAACCCTAATGAACCCTAATGCAATCTATGAACTTTAGTTAAAAATCATGTTATCAATATTGGCTCATCAATTGTAGCAAATGTTTCATGCTGATGCAAGATGTTAGTAATAGGGAAAATGGCTGTGTGTGCATATGTGTGGGTAGGCGTGAGAGCATATATGGGAACTCCCTGTACTTTCCACTCAGTTGTTCTGTAAATTTAAAACTGTTCAAAAAAAAATTAAGTTTCCTAATTCAAAAAACACACACAAAACACATGTGAAGGGCCTCTTGCCCTGGCCAGGTCCCCGGGCCCCATTGCAACATTTCGTGGATTTGGCTTAGTTTCCTGATGGTTTGCACCCTGGGTTTTCTGAACTTCAAAGGACCCTGGCTACCTGAGGTGTTCATTCCTACCTGTTGCCTGTCTTGACCATCTTCAAAATCACCTGCAGTGATAGACAAGCTCTGCCCACACCAGGAATGTTTCAGCTTCTCCCACAGGTTTACCCATAGTACCTTGAGCCTTTGTGTCTCTGAGTGACAATTTCCTCATCCATAAAATGGACATAACGACACAATCTGTCTTTACACTTGTTCTCATGCAACCCACCTGTACCAAGTTCCTTCCTTGTGCCAGGCACTGTTCCAGGCACAAGGGCTGCTGCTGTGAAGAAAAGAGACAAAACTCCCTGCCCATGTGGGCTTCTATTCTAGCAAATGGATTAGTAGGAAAACTCATGGAATTTCTAAAATAGTATTTGGCTCATAGCAGGTGCTTGATAAATACCAGCAACTGTAGCGGTGAGCCCACTGCCTCTACTGGGACAAGAGCTATCATTCGGGGCTTGGCAGGAAACACCTGTGCAAACCCTAGAAATGCCATCCCCAGGCAGGCTGCAGCAACTTTATGCCCCAGCAGATGGCAGCAGCTGCAGACACATCCCATGGTGGCCCTGAGCGCCTGCTAAGGGGAGGGAGGAGGGATGGGCTGATGAATGAGAGGCTCAGACTGTTATCCTCTGGATCACAACAAAATCCTGTTCTTTCCTCCTGAAAACAGAGCTCCTTATCTTATCGAGTCATCTCTAGCTTTGTCCTTTCAAAAGCAGCCACTTAACCCCCTGCAGCAGGGAGACAAATCCTTCCCAGCCCTGCAAGTCAGAACTGAGGTTTCAACTGCTGAATTTGAAAGCGGAAACCACCTGAGAATTTAGTGGGTTCAGAGGGTCACAAAGTCAAAGGCCTCTAGGGGCCAGGTAGGGAATGATTGCATGAGCAGGAGGAAAGAGGAGAATTGGCTGAAAGGCTAAAGATGCCTCGCAAAGCTCTTCCTGGCTCCACCGGATCACCCCAAATGCTGGGAGGAGCCAGATATCTGGACTGTGATGTGATGTCACCCCATTTTTTTTTTCTTGAGACAGGGTCTTACTCTGTTGCCGAGGCTGGAGTGCAGTGGCACGATCATGGCTCACTGCAACCTCCGCCTCCCAGGCTCAGGTGATCCTCCCACCTCAGCCTCCAGAGTAGCTGAGAGTACAGGCACATGCCACCATGCCTGGCTAATTTTTGTATTTTTCTTTTTTGTTGTTTTTATAGAGATGAGGGTTCATCATGTTGCCCAAGCTGATCCTGAACTCGTGGGCTCAAGCAATCCACCCACTTCTGCCTCCCAAAGTGTTGGGATTACAGGCGTGAACCACAGCCCCTAACCTGTTGCTCCATTTTCAGAGCACAGTGTTGGCCCAAGAACTTCTCTGACAATTGGATTTGGCCTGAGCTCTTTAAGTTGTGACCCCTGACACTTCACTTGAGCTATTTCCAGATAAATTACACGTCCTGATGGAAGCCCAAAGAGGAGTGTTTATTTGCTGAAGGCCACCCTTTGAGTTGGGCACAGGCCAGAGTTAAACTGAGTTCCCTTTGCTGGTTCTGCTTGTAAAGCTGCAACCCTCTGCCATTAAGTGGGGTGTGTTTATGTGTGTGTCTGAGAAGAAAAGCGAAGTGGTAAAAATATGGAGTGTAGCCTGAGATAACTGCAACTGGTATTATTACTTCTCAACTATAGATAATAACAGCACTAACAATGCTGAACAATTGATTGGGCATAGGTGCCAGGCACTGGGCTGAGAGTACTTTCCATGGATTAACTAATTGCATCCTCGTACCCAGCCCAGGAAGACATTGTCATTATCCCCGTGTCATACAGGTGGAAAGGAGGGCATGGAGTGATCTTCCGAGAATTGCTGAGCTGGAAGTGGTAGGATCTTAATCCTTTTGCTTTGACAAGGGAGTGATCAAAGGAGAGCTCTCTTCCTGGCCTCTTGGCCCAGGGGCCACCCCAGGGAGGAGACTGGAGGGATGGTACCCTGAGATGGGGGTGCTGTAGGAAAGGGTTCACAATCCAGACCCCAAGAGAGGGTTCTTGGATCTTGCCCAAGAAAGAATTCAGGGCGAGTCAGTAAAGTGAAAGCAAGTTTATTAGGAAAGTAAAGGAACAAAAGAATGACTTCTCCATAGATAGAACAGCCCTGAGGGCTGTTGGTTGCCCATTTTTATGGTTATTTCTTGATGATATGCTAAACAAGGGGTGGATTCTTCGTGCCTCCCCTTTTTAGACCCCATAGGGTAAACTTCCTGATGTCGCCATGGCATTTGTAAACTGTCATGGTGCTTGTGGGAGTGTAACAGTGAGGACGACCAGAGGTCACCCTCATCACCATCTTGGTTTTGGTGGGCTTGGGCCGGTTTCTTTACTGCAAAGTGTTTTATCAGCAAGGTCTTTGTGACCTGTATTTTATGCTGACCTCCCATCTCATCCTGAGACTTAGAATGCCTTAACCGTCTGGGAATGCAGCACAGCAGGTTTCGGCCTCATTTTACCCAGCTCCTATTCAAGATGGAGTTGTTCTGGTTCACGCGCCTCTGACAGGGGGAGCCAGGACCCAGGCTTGCTGGGAAGGGGTTTGGAGAGAGCGTTTCCTCCCCACCTGGCCTGCAGGCATCACAGCTGACAACTTTCTACCTCTCTGCATCCTCAGATAACCTTCCTGGGGAAGGTGACAAATGACACAGGAAAGAGAAACAGGCCTAGACCAGGAAAACTGGGAGGAAGGGTAAGAAATTTGCTCTGGCTTCCTGACAGAGACCGACCCCAGATGGGCCCTGGGGACTCCAGTGAGGCAAGGGGGTCCTCTGGGGAGCTTCAGAGCCTGCTAGAAGTGAGTGGAATGCCTGTTGGTTCTGCCAGGACACTGGTGACACAGCATATGGACTAGAAGCAGGAGGGTAAGGGCAGCCAGCACCAAGTCTCTTCCCACCCCTCTCTGCTCAAGATTCTTCCAACGTCCTCTTACAATAACTCGCTCCCCGCTCTCCTGCCTCACATTCAGACATAAACTCAATATTCAGTGCTTTTCTAGTATTTTCTAGCTTGCCAGAACTCTCAGAGTTGTAATGCTGTATCTGGACTCTCCCTTCTCAGTATTTACTAGTTTATCGCTTAGGTAAGTCTCGTAACATCCCCGAGCTCACTTTTCTCATCTGTAAAATGGGATAACAATACTTACTTTACAGGTTACGGTTCTTGTGAATTTTCCCTCCAGGGTAAGATTTGCACTTTAATAGAATTTTTCAATGCCTTAAGTTGAATGAATGATGAATAGAGGGGGCTGCAGCAGAAACCAGGCTGCCAGTGCACATGTGCAGCTTGGAGGTGCTGCGGTGCTGATGCCGAGGAAAACTAGGACACAGAACACGAGACACCGTCATTTGGAATCACTTCTTCTCTCCTTTACCTTCTATACACACACCCCTCAAACCATCAGAGTTAGAGATGCCTTGAGTCAGGACTGTGCTTTTCCTCTCCATATTTCCCGATATGTAAAATGAAATCATAACAACCATCATAGCCATGTCCTAGGGTTGTGATTGTGAGGACTGAATGAGTTAATGCACATAAAACCCTCACCGCAATGCCTAACACCTAGGAAGCACTATATATGGGTTACTTGCATAATTACTGGGTTGGCCTTAAGTCTCAGTTCCTACAAATGTGAGCTATTAGTGAACGTTATTCCTCCTGTTCAAACTTGCATTTGAAGATATACGTGTGTCACATTTCCTGAAATCTTGAAGGTCTCTCAAACGTCATTTACATTTGGATTCAGAGGGAACTATACTTAATCTATGCACTATTGTTAGCATAAAGCAGCTTGCTGCATTGGGAAAGACACAGGGGCAGATGATTCAGAGCTTGCTGACCTTGGAGCTGTGTGACCTTGGACAAGGTGAGAAACAGGAATAATTCATGGAGTCTTTTAAGGGTCAAATGGCATCATGGATGTGAAAGGTAAAAACCTTAAGAAAAGAGTAGAAAGCTCTTATTACTAACACTGCCAAGTGGATTCCTAGGAAGTGGGACGAGGGGATTTTCCCTGCTTCTGCTCCCTAAACTCAGCATCTCATACATCAGTAGATGTGGGTGGGGTGACTGGCCCGGGATAGCACACACGGCTGCTTAAAGCTGGCCCGTGGAGATGTTTTGGCTTAAGGATCACAGCATGGAAGGGAACACATATGGCCTTTTCTTGCTGAGAAAGGAAGATGATAAGCCTTATTCTTGTTCTACCACATCCAGCCACAGTATGGAGCAGTGGGACGCCGGGATATTTTAATGGGAGCAGGGTATCTCTTAGCAACCCGCGTCTTTGCTTCATTCTGTGGAATTCCTGAACCTCTCCGCACTGAAGTTTTCTTATCGGTAGAATGGGGATACCACACATATAGGGTATTGGAAACATTAAATGCAATGATGCTTGTAATTGATGAGCAGAGTACCTTCAATAGCATGTGGGAGCAAATGGTAGCTATGAATCTGGGACAGTGTTGAGCACAGAATGAACGAGAAACCTTTTGTTATAGTACCAAGGCTCAGAAGAGCTTAGTTTGTATTTGGATCTGATTCTTGGGCAAGACACTTACTTAGCATCTCAGTTTCCACAACTATGAAATAACCAAATCAGAATTTCCTAAAATGTTTCTGCAAAATATCTAAAAATAAGGGATGGCCCTTTAGATGTCCCATAAAGAGGATGCTGTGGCCATGAAGTCTGAGGAAAAGCTCCATCATCTCTTGTTCAGAGATTTCCAACAGGGGTGGGCATTACCAGGTCCAGCACAGCTAGCCTGTGCCAGCTCACAAGATTGTTACAGTTTCAGAAATTTTGTGAGCCGGTTTTTAAACACAGCCATCATTAAAAATTAAGTTACATAAACGGACAAATCATATTAAACACAAATATAGTAAAGACTCAAAACTTTTCACTTCCTGTGTTACTACATTTCACTAGTATCTATGCTTTTGAGGACATGATGTTTATTGTATCTGTAGAATGGAAATACTACAGAATGGAGTGCTACTGCGTATCTCTTGTCCACTGTGCATTCAGTGACATCACATCCGTAGCTTGAAATCAGTCATGGCAG
The DNA here is from genome assembly GCF_000001405.40 of Homo sapiens. Classification (NCBI taxonomy): domain Eukaryota; kingdom Metazoa; phylum Chordata; class Mammalia; order Primates; family Hominidae; genus Homo; species Homo sapiens. The sequence goes on from NC_000003.12 coordinate 71,880,140, forward strand.
GAGTATTATACTCCAGAAGCTGATAAATGCTACAAATCACGGCGATTTTATTTGAGAGAGAAGGTTGTTAAACATTTACCAGCACACTATTGGCCCGTGATTAGCTTATTAAAGACCCCAGCAAGTTCAGCAATACACTCAGTTAACTAGGTAATTTTCAAACCTTTTGGACCAGAGAACTACTTCATAGACAGCTTTTAGAAAACATTTGGTGATGTCTGAGGCTGACGCGGAGGCTCAGGCCTGTAATCCCAGCACTTTGAGAGGCGAGGTGGGTAGATTACCTGAAGTCAGGAGTTGGAGACCAGCCTGGACAACTTGGCGAAACCCCGTCTCTACTAAAAATACAAAAATTAGCCAGGCATGGTGGTGGGCACCTGGGAGACTGAGGCAGGAGAATTGCTTGAACCTGGGAGGCAGAGGTTGCACTGAGCTGAGATTGCACCACTGCACTCTAGCCTGGGTGACAAGAGTGAAACTCCATCTCAAAATAAAACAAAATAAAATAAAATAAAATAGAAAACATTTGATAATGTTTGAAATGCAGCACTGGCTGATCCTATCGCCCCTTTCTGCCATTTTCCTGAGAGGGTGCAATTGCTGAGTTACCATGTTGCAATGCGCACCTGGTTAACTGAAGGCTCCGTTCAATGCTCACTTCACCCACTTACCGAGAAAGGAGCTCCCTGTCACAATTCCATGAGATTTACAGACTTCTCCCCTTGCCAATGAAAGTTTTTTGCATTCTTCACATTTGTGAAATGTACCACCTGCCACGTGTCTTTGCATGTGTCATTCTGCTGCCTAAACGCTACCCTTTCCTTGTCCCTCTTTATTCTTGAGATCTTAGACATAGGTTTTAAGGGGCGATCTGAGCTTTTGGTCAAGTTAGATTCCTCTGAGCCCTGAGATTTCTTCCACTCCTCTGACATTCCCGTAGAACCCTGCTCCTTGTCTTCAGGGTGACTTTCTTTAGTTGGTAATTATACATTTGTATCCAGGGTGTGGTGGATGAAATATTAGCATAAACTCTTTGTAGCTCTTACCATTAAATTTATTTCCCCATTCCTTGAATGACTGGGGCTGGCCTTGTAACATGCTCTGACCCATGGAATATGGAGGCCCTACCCCTCCTGGCATGCTGCCCTGTGACCTCCATGCTGGTCAGCCCAGCAGCAGTGGAGAAAAGGACAGAGAAGAACTGAGATCATGCTGAGGTGTCTCACGTGAAAAATCAGCTCATGAAGGGAGAAATAGCCTTGGGAGCCAGACCATCCTTGTGAGGGGAGGCTTCCAGTTTATTTTGTTCCCATTCATTACATCAGCACCTGATCCAGATTTTAGATTTTTCTCATGCCAGCTCTGTGTATGGTGAGATGTACGGGAAGTTTAAATAGCTCCACACAGTGTAGTATTTTGTATGTGTTAGCTCGAGCTGCATGCTAGGGGCAGACTGCTACCCAGATGAGAAATTTATACACCAGGGCAATCAGCTTGGTTTTAATCAGAAAGGATTTCAGAAACATTGATTCTAAAAGCATTGCTAATCCTTGCGTGAAATCCAGAGTCTTTGGTCATTCACAAAATGAACATTAGAAATATGTTCTGTTAAAATTAGAGGTTTTAAATTAACATATTAGATGCTGTAAGTGGATTCTCCTTGGGCAATTTAGTGGTAGTCAGGATACATGGCTTGGCCAGAGCATTGTGGGGCCAGTCCTCTGCCCTTGTAAGAGGGTAGAAAGTCCAGGGAGGCCTGCAGTGGGTACTCTCAGGGATGACACTGGAGACTTTGTCTCCTGGTCTCCTGCTGCTGCCTCGAGGCTAGTGTCATGCCTGCTGCATGTGAACCTTTTTAGGAAAGGTGAGGTTAAAAGGGCAAAGACCTGGGACTTCATCCAGCTTGCAAAAACATTTTCTATAAGCCATTTTATGCCTTGTATTTAATAAGTACGTTTAAATAATATATCTGTAATATATGGGCCACAACTTGGAGACTTGCTTACATTATAACTTGGCCTTCACTTGCAAAAAGTGAAGACGTTGATTGATCTACTTTTTTTAAAGCTTTTTCCAGATCATGGCACATGGAAGGAAAACTGAAACAGAGAATGGCAGTGTTACTGAAGAGATGTGATGAGACTGGAGTTAGGTCTGATAACATGGCTGGAATTTACAGGGCAGAGTTCTAGAGAAGTAGCAGTCATACAGAGAAGAAGCTTCTGAAATCTGCTCAGAAAAAAAAAAAAAAAAAGAAGCTTCAGGAATCCTAGACTCTTTGGGTACCAAGTGACAAGTATGCAGCACACGAATCCAGGTGGCTAGGAAAAGAACAAAGCTATGAGCTGAATTGAGATTTGGAGCTTGTATGGAACTGAGTTTTTTTGTTGCTGTTGTTTTTGTTTTTTTATTTTGACAGGGTCTCACTCTTTTGCCCAGGCTAGAATGCAGTAGTGTGATCTCAGCTCACTGCAGCCTTGACCTCCTGGGCTCAAGTGATCATCCCACCTCAGCCTACCGAGTAGCTGGGACTACAGATACGCGCCACTACACCCAGCAAATTTTTGTACTTTTTGAAGAGACAGGGTTTTGCCATATTTTTAGGCTGGTCTCAAACTCGTGGGCTCAAGCAATCTGCCTGACTCAGCCTTCCAAGAGATATTGGCTTAAGTGTATATGGCGTATACAATCTCATATGGAACAGAAGTGTATTGTTGTAAGTGTAAATGAATAGGCTGCTTTGAAAATTCTGGGTACTCAGTTGACCCTCAAGAAAGGCCATGTGTTAGGAGAAGGTTACTATTGTCTTGGAGTTAAAGATATATTAGCCCCTCCCTAACAAACATTAAAAACAAACCTCAAAGGATCAAGCTGATCCATAAGGAAATTAACTGTCTGCCAGACAAAATCTGATATTTAAAGGAAGACGACAAAATCCAGACACTGAACAATGCATCATCCAAAATGCCCAGAACACAATAAAATATGCACAGACACCTGAAGAAGCAGGAAAATGTGAAGGACAGAAAATCAGTCAATAATTGAAACAAATCAGAAGAAACAAGAAGAAGGAAATAGAAGAAAAGGCTTTTAAACAGCTACTATATACACAGTCAAAGATGTTAAAGGAAAACAAAAATGTTATGAGGAAATAGATGGCAAATCTCAATAGAGAAATGGAAACTATAAAAAAGAACCAAATTATAAAAACTGAAAAATACAAGATTTGACATAAAAATTCACTGGATGGGATTAATAGAGACACTACAGAAGAAAATATTAGTGAACTCAAAGACAGGGCAATAGTTAACTAATCAAACTGAAGCATGCAGAGAATAAAAGATGAAAAAAAAAAACTGAATAGAGTTTCAGTGACCTATGGGATCACATCAAGTGATCTAACCTACTTTTCAGAGTCCTTGAAGGAGAGAAGAGTGAGAGAAGGACAGACAAAAATATTTAGGAGGCTGAGGCAGGTAAATCACCGGAGGTCAGGAGTTCAACACCAGCCTGGCCAACATGGCGAAACCCTGTCTCTACTAAAAATACAAAAATTAGCCAGGCATGGTGGCATGCACCTATAATCCCAACTACTCAGGAGGCTGAAGCAAGAGAATCTCTTGAACCCGGGAGCCAGAGGTTGTAGTGAGTTGAGATCACACCACTGTACTCCAGCCTGGGCGACAGAGTGAGATCCTGTCTCAAAAAAAAAAAAAAAAAAAAAAATTGGAGAAATGTTAGCCAAAATATTTCCAAATTGATGAAAACTTTAAACCCATAGATTCAAGAAGCTCAGCAAATCTCAGATGGGGTAAACACAAAAAAATCCACACTAAGGCATATCATGAAAAAAATTGCTGAAACCTAAAAATAACATTATTAGAAGGTTACAGAAAAAAAAGACATTACACACAGACGGACAACTATACAAATGATGAATGACTTCTCATTAAAAACAACATGAGCCAAAGACACTGGAATGACATCTCAAAAGTACCGAAGGAAAAAAACTGCCTGTCTAGAATTCTATGTCCAGTGAAAATATTGTTCAAAAACTCATTTTCAGGTGAAGAAAAACTAAAAATTTAGCACCGGCAGAAGAAATACTACTGGAAGTTCTTTAGGAGAAGGAAAATAAAAGAAAAATCTAAATCTACTCCCCAAAATGAATGCTTTAAATGGTAAGTACCATTAAATGTACAAGGTCCTTCCCCTATTTATAACTTATGTAAAAGATAATTTACTGTTTAAGGCAAAAAATAATATCAACCTATTGTGAATGTTATAATATGTGTAAATAAAATGTATGTTAACAATAGCTCAAAGTGGGCTGGGCATAGTAGCTCATGCCTGTAACCGCAGTGTTTTGGGAGGCTGAGGCAGGAGGATCGCTTGAGCCCAGTGGTTTGAAACCAGCCCGGGCAACACAGTGAGATCCTGGCTCTACAAAAAATACAAAAAAATAATTAGCCAGATGTGGTGGTGTGCACCTGTAGTCCCAGGTACTTGGGAATCTGAGAGGAGAGGATCGCTTGAGCCCAGGAGTCAGTCTGCAGTGAACTATGATTGCCACTGCACTCCAGTCTGGGTGACAGAGCAAGACTCTGTAAACAAAGAAGGCAAACAGTAAGCCCCACAACAACAACAACAACAACAACAACAACAACAACAACAAAACTAATAGCACAAAGGATAGAAGAAAGAAACAGAAGTATTTTTTTAAAAGTTTTTATACATATTTGTGAAATGGCATGTTATTTGGAGGCAGACTGTAATAAGTTAGCAATGCACATTTTAAACCCTAAAGCTACCACTAAATCAAACTATTTGTTGAATGAATGAAAGATTTATTCTGGATATTAAAAACTTACCTTTTATGGGACTGCTGATTAAATTAGATGTGACATTTGTCTTCTCCTGTGCACTTTTATTCAGTGGGATAAGACAGTGGGCAATTTTCACAAGAGCAAAGAAAGGATGAATGGGGAGCAGGATAGGGTGAATTTTCTGCTTCACTGTGCCTAATACAATGCTCCAATTGTTAGAATGTCAAACCAGATTCAACCAGACAGTACTGTAAATTCCAAGGGAAACATATTCCAGGAAAGTCTTCCAGCCAGGACTTTAGCTGGCCTCCTGTGGTGACATTCCATTAAGAAACATTCCAACTTACATTTAGGAAAGGATTAGAACTGACAAAGTGTCTTGGCTGCTAATGTAAATACTTGAAAGAAAATTTCCAAATTTTTAGAATATGACTTTTCCTTCACTTTTAATGTCTGTTTGAGGGTCCACTTCTCGTATTTTACCTTCAGACTTAGGTCTTGATGTTTACTCTGCATGTTTTGTAATGCTGTGTAGTGGATTAAAAGGAATTACATTTTGGGTGCTGGGTATGGATATTCCTGGGCGAATGGAAACCAGGCTTTCTTGGTTGTGGATAGGATAGAGTCTGTGACTAGGAGAAGTTTCTATTCATGGTGTAGCCCCCAAAGGGTATATAATCAAAGAACTGATGTTTTTCCACTCCTCCTCTTCACGGGAGGATATATTAGCTGGGTCACAGAAAGGACCAGGAATGGGGGTGGATCCCCATTAGAATGATGTTGAAAGGCACGGGGTGAGTGCACCCTCCCTTCTTCCTTGAAGCTTCTCCACCCTTTCTCTAGTCTTCTCAATAGAACCCCATGGTGGGCTGTTTGGAATCAGTATAATAGCGTGTGTAATTATAATAATCATTTTGCATGCATGTAGCTCTTTTCTTCCAAAAAAACTCAAAGGCAACATTAAAAGAAAAACACAACTCTCAGAACCTAGGTCAGCTTTTAAATCAGGATTCCTTAACATAGGGTTTGAGGCCAAGTGTGGCTTTCAGGGTATTGGTGAATTATTTGAAATGGTTTGGAGAACAAATGGTCATGCATTTTTCCCAAGAAGAGAGTCCTTAGATGTACTGGGGGTTGGGGGGAGTCCAAAAAAAAAGTAAAATCTATTGTTATAAAACATGAATTCCTCTTACAAAAATTAAGAAACCAAAATATTTAAGTATTTAATTTAATCACTGAGTTACTGAAGCCAAGAGTGAGAAGAACTAATGTATTGAGGGTACATTGTCCTGGTCTCACGATTTATGGGATAAATGTTGTGTACCTATTTTACGGAAATAATTGAAACTTTTCCTGCAGATCACGTGGGGCAAAAAAGAAAAAAGAAAAGAAAAAAGTAATACTTTGAACTTGAAGAATCTGTCCTTTTCTGAAAGCAAATAGCGTTAAAAGTTCTAAAGAGAATTCAAACCAAAATATTTCAGTCAAAGTCCTAATTTTTTCCACTTCTTTTTCCCACTGTCATAGATGACAGTCCATGCTCTAATATAAAGCCAGTTCCTCCACCTGCACATTGGACTCCTCCTCCACTCACCTACTCAACCGCATTGTCCAGCCATCTTCCTACCAGAAACTGGTGAACTGTGGTCTGTAGGCCAAACTAGCTGGCCCATTTTCCTATGGCCCACAAAATAAAAATAATGTTTACACTTTTAAATGGTTGGGGAAAATGTTTTTGAAAAGAAGAATATTTGGTAATACCTGAATATGATACAAAACTCAAATTTCACTGCCCATGAATAGTTTTATTGGTACCCAGCATGCTCATTCATTTATATATTGTCTATGTTTACTTTCACACTATGTCAGCAGAGTCAAGAAGTTACAACTTCATAAAAACCATATGACCCACAGAGCCTAAAATATTTGCAGCCAGGCGCAGTAGCTCATGCCTCTATTCCCAGGACTTCGGGAGGCTCAGGCGAGTGGATCACTTGAGGCCAGGAGTTTGAGACCAGCCTGGCCAACATGGCAAAACCGAATGTCTACTAAAAATACAAAAATGGGCTGGGTGTGGTGGTACACGCCTGTGATCCCAGCTACTTGGGAGGCTGGGGCAGGAGAATCACTTGAACCCACGAGGCAGAGGTTGTAGTGAGCCAAGATTGCACTCTAGCCTGGGCAATAGAGTGAGGCTGTCTCAAAAAAAAAAAAAAAAAAATGCTACTTTCCTTTTTACAGAAAAATTCTGCCAACCCTTACCCTACACCATTATTTAATTTTTGCCCCTAGCTATAGTGGGCTGTAAGATGGTCCCCAAAGATATGCCTTGTCCTAATCATGGAATCTGTAAATGTAAATGTGACCTTAAATGGAAAAAGGATCTTCGCAAATTAAGTGAAGGATTTTGAGAAGAGGAGATCATCCTGGATTATCTGGGTGAGCTCTAATTGCTATCACAAGTGTCCTTACAAGCCAGAGGCAGAGGGAGACTAGACAGACACACACCATGGAGAAGATGATGTGCAAATGGAAGCAGAGATTGGAGAGATGTGGCTACAAAGTCCAGGAATGCTGACGGCCACCAGCAGCTAGAAGAGGCAAAGAATGGATTCTCTCCTGGAGGGAGTAGAGCCCTGCCAACACCTTGATTTCAGTTGAGTGGAAATGATGTTAAACTTCTGGGCTTCAGAAGTGTGAAAGAAAAAAAAAATGTTTATTTAAGCCACCAACTTTGTAGTAATTTCTTACAACAGCCTCCGGAAACTAATACACTACTGGATTGTTTCTACCCCATCAGGGTAGAAACATGTTGTTATTTCTTCCACTAAGGAAGTTCTCTGATTCCACTTCCCCTGCTGGCTACTGTCCCATTTCTTTGATCCTGTTATGGTAAAACTTCTCAGGTGAGTTGCCAAAGTGTATTCTTTCCAATTCCTCTTCTCCCATTCCCTCTCAACCCCATGCCAGTGAAGCATTTTCTCCGCCCCCCTGCCCAAACTGCCTTCATCAAGTTGCCAATGATAGCCACATGGCTAAATTTAATGGTCAATATGCAGATTTCATCCTGATCGATTCACCCAGCAGCACTGGACACAGCTGACCCTCCTTCCGCCATGACACGATTTCCTCTTTTGACTTCCGGGACATCAACCCACACTCTTGGTTTTCTCCTGCCTCACCAGCTGCTGCTTCTAAATCTCCTTTGCTGCTCCTCCTCTTCTCAATGTCGTAACTCCTACCTTCTCTATCCAAGCTTCCTCTGCTGGAGATCTTAGCCTTACAGCTTTAAGTACCATCTGTGGGTCATGGATTCCCAAATGAATATTCCCAGCTGTCCAGACCTCTCTGTTGAACTCCAGACTTACTTATCCACTGCCTGGATGAGATCTCCACAACAGTGAAGAGACATCTCAGATGCAGCATGTGTGATCTACCCAACCTGAGATCAGCCTTATTCACAGCCTCCCCCATCTCTGTTGATGTCTTCTGCATCCTTCCAGTTTCTCAGGCCAAAAATCTTGGAGTAATCTTTGACGCTTACCTGTCTCTCACGTCACACATCCAACCCATAAGGAGATCTTGCTGACTCTCATCTGGATCAAAATCTTAACCCCGCTCAGCTCCACTGCTGCAACCCTGGTCCATGTTACTGTCATGACTTGTTTGGATGATTGCAATGCCTTTTGATAGGTCTCCTTATTCCACCTTTGCTCCCTTCTGTCTCTCTCATTATCGCACCAGAGTAATCCTTTTCATAAAGCAGCTCTTTGTTTAAAACCAGGCAGTAGTACCCTGTTTTTTCAGCACAGAAGCTGAAGTGCTGAGCTTTCTCGGACCCTGGACAAGAGGGACCCTTGTTCTGAGTCCCACGCACTTGAGAGTGGTGCTTCTTAAACCATTTGTGTTGGTGGACTGGGGCTTTTTAAAATATTATTTTCAATCCATGTGGATAGGCATATAGTCTCACTCCACAGAACTGGGATACAGCTGTGTTGCATGAAACTCAAGTTCATCAGTGCCAGGCAAGTTCAACAATACCCGATTGGTCCATAGCTCAGGACCAGACTTGGCCACAAGCTTGGATGAAGATCTTTCAATTCTGAAACTGCTATGCGAGTGTCTCAATGTCTTTTCATCCCCTGTCACAGATGGGAAACAGACTGCTCTTGGACTGGCACTGGTTTTTGGGCTGCACTGGGGAGCACTGCTGGAGGGAGCCCTGGTCTTCTCTTCTCTGGCCCCTTACTGTGGGGTGAGGCTTCTGCATCACAAGGAACGGTGCCCACTTGGAGCCCATGACCACCTGGAGATCACATTCTGAGTACCCTGGGTCTTGGAGTCTCCTGCTTGCTGACTCCAAGTCCACATCCAGGGCCCACACAGCCCTTTTCCCCAGGTCCATCCACCTCACCTCCAGATCCAAGAGTTGACAAAAGGGCACCTGTTTGTGGTGGTGGTGGGTGTGGACAAAGCTTGGGTGCTCAAGCACCAACCACCAGCTGGGAAGCTCTTCTGGTCTAGGCTTGCTTGGATGTATTCAGAAGTTAGAAGATGGTGGCTGGGCTGGGGCTGGATGGAATATTAGTCAGTGTTCTCCAGAGAAATAGAATCAACAGGAGATACATACATATATACATATATATGTATGAATATATCTAAATGTATATCTGTATGTATCTCCATATATATTTTATATATGTATACCCTATATAGATACATAAAGCCTGGGTGACAGAATAAGACCTTGTCTCAAAAAAAAAAAAAAATTCATGGACACACTGCAACACTTGGGAGCTTAGATTTAATCTAAGAACTTCATGATTAAGCCAAAGATGCTTCTTCTCAAAACACTTGTATTTTAAAAGGAAACTTAGAGTTCACGCGAGAGCTTTACAGATTGGGCCACTGGAGGTAGTTTAAGAATTAGCTTGGGCTGGGCGCGGTGGCTCAAGCCTGTAGTCCCAGCACTTTGGGAGGCCGAGGCGGGCGGATCACGAGGTCAGGAGATCAAGACCATCCTGGCTAACACGGTGAAACCCCGTCTCTACTAAAAATACAAAAAATTAGCCGGGCTTGGTGGCGGGCGCCTGTAATCCCAGCTACTCGGGAGGCTGAGGCAGGAGAATGGTATGAACCCGGGAGGCGGAGCTTGCAGTGAGCCGAGATCGCGCCACTGCACCCTATCTAGCCTGGGCGACAGAGCGAGACTCTATCTCAAAGGAAAAAAAAAAAAAAAAAAGAATTAGCTTGAGATGGCTGCTGGCAGGTAGATGGGATCTTATCCAAGGAAGGGCTGTCTCTGGAGGCCCTCAAATCCCACCTGTGGCCAGGATTTCTCCAAGTGCAGCCTGCCTGCAATGTGTTTTACACACACCCAGGGAGCCTACTTATGGGGGTTGTGGGGAGCCAGGAAAGCTAAATTCTATCCAACTCTGTCCAGGATGCTGACACAGCATGTGCCTGAGAATGTCCCCTACTCTTCCTAGCTATGACAGGTCCTCTAAGGGGAGTTCTGTTTAAGAGTCACTTTTTTTTTTTTTTGAGACAAGGTTCACTGCTGTCACCCAGGCTGGAGTGCCACGGCATGATCTCAGCTCAGTGCAACCTCCGCCTCTTGGGCTCAAGTGATTTGAAAAGACTCAGTCTTTGCTTCATGAACCCTCTTGGCCAAACAAAACCAAAGTGATTTCTCAAAAGTTTTTCCTATGTGTGAAACATTCCTGATGACAGCCCAGCCCTGTCAAGCTGATCTCTCACACCCTGAGGAAACCTTCATAGCCACGCTGCCTCGCTTTGAATACAGAGGACAGACAATGTTCCTAAGCATCATACCTCCAAAAATAGCCCTTTATTTCCTTCTTATCCAGTGATGAAAAAGGTTAACCATAGTCTAAAAACAAAGTTGAGAAACTCACACTTTAAAAATGGGAATACAGAGAAAAGGGAAGACTTTTGTTTCTAGTTGTTCTCTCTTCTCACTCTGGGTATTGCAGGGCGGTTCTCATAAAGCAAGCTCCTGGTTTCTGGGCCAGCTTTGCCTGGGGCATTTACCTTCGCTATGACTGAAGTGTCAAGGTACTCTGAGCCAGCCTTGACAGGGGAATTTGGCTCATTGGGAATCTTGGTTCAGGGGAACTCTGGGGTTCTTGGGGTTCTTTCTGCCTAGATCCCCCCTTTCTTTTTGGGGAAGCTTACAAAGAGGAATTGGCAGTTATTGCCAAGTCCCATGGATGCCTGAGTTTGAACTCTGCCTGGAAGACATTATTACAGTCTCTACTGGGCAACTTCTAGGAAGGCCACTTTGAGGGGCCTAACAGCCAAGACTTTCAGAGTAAGAAACTGAACTCTACCTCAAACTGTGTAGGCAAAAAGGGAAGGTGCTGGTTCAGATAGCTGGGAAGGATCCTGGGATAGTCCCTAAAATCCAAGGCAGATGTGCAGGAGGCAGGCCCTCAGAGTTAAGAGCTGGTGGTCCCTGTCTCCAGGCTCCTTCTCTCTCCTAGCTGGCTGCCTCTGCTTTCTTCATTCTCCCAGGCTGCCATAGAAAAGGCTTCCTCCATTCTGTGGGAAGATAGCCATTGTTGCTCCCAGCTGACACAGTAGCTACTGGTCATCCTTAATCTCACAACATCTGTATTTTTTCTCTGGGAAGGGCTCTGATTGGTCCTTCCTAGTTTCTGTCATACTAAATGGACCACTTGCCATTGCTGGTTGGGTGAGGTCCTGAGATGGATCAGGCCTGAGTCACTTGCCCACTTTTGGCCTAGGAGATTGGGCTGAATTTCAGAGGCAGGGCATTTGCAGCACTTGCTGGACAGGAAAGTGGGAAGAGCTATAACTATCTACTTCAGGGGCAGGAGAGCTTACCCAGAACCAAGTGAATCTGCTCCAGGGCATATTAGGAGGGGGCAGCCGAGGGGCAGCCAGAAGTGGGTACAGTGAACTTCCCTCCTATAATAGTGCTGAGCTTTTAGGAGTATGTTAAATAGAACTGCCCATGGCAAAGCTGCCCCAAGGGGCTTGAAACAGTCTTAAAAAGAAGGCAAGCTGGAAGTTCTATGATTGACCCGTGTGTGCTATTTTTAATGGAAAAAAATATGAAAATAACCTAAACACCCAACAATGGAGGACTGGTTAAGTATATTACAATGCACACTCACAACAGACCATCATCAAGAGGTTTTAACAGCAGAGTAAAATGGTTACAGGATAATGTTAAAAGAGGTAGGAACCAAAAATTCAAATGCTCTGTGGGCTTAACCATGTGCCTCCTTCCCCAGAAAGGTAAACCGAGAAGCATGCCTGTTAACCACAGTTGCCTTTGGGTTGTAACAGTATGCCCCCTCTACCTCCTTATTTCTTTATATGTTATTTTATTTTATTTTATTTTATTTAAGACAGCATATCGCTCTGTCTCCAAGGCTAGAGTGCAGTGGTGTGACCACAGCTCACTGCAGCCTCAGCTTCCTGGGTTCAAGTGATCCTCCTGCCTTAGCCTCCTAAGTAGCTGGGACTACAGGTGCATGCCACCAAGCCCAGCTAATTGTTTTATTTTTTACAGAGACAGGGGTCTCGCTATGTTGCCCAGGCTGGTTTCACCCTCCTGGGCTGAAGTGATCCTCCCATCTCAGCCTCCCAAAGTGCTGAGATTAATTAGAAAAAAAAAAAACAAACTGTAATAACATCATCACCAAAACTGAACTGTAAAGGTTTAAGCATCACGAGAAGAGATTAAAAGAGGACCAACTCCTGAGAGCTGGTGTGCTGGGCAGGGATAGAGGTTCAGGAGAGGGGAAGAGAGAGCCGCAAGAAACTCACATCCTTCTTTTTCTTCTGAAAAGAATACTTCTGGAATAGTTTTACATTTAAATGTTTCAGTACCATTATTTATCCCATCTTTCCAATGAGGAAATGAAGTCTCAGCGAAGTCAGTTGACTTGTCCAAAGTCATACAGCCAGCAATGTGGTCGGGCTGGGGCTGGACTCTTGCCTTTCACACTGCACTGCAGCAAAAGGAAGCCTAGGGATGACCTCATTTCTTAGCTTTTACAGGGGCGATCCTAAGGGAGAAGGATAGACAAGGTGGATCTTCCAACAGGTTTCTCCTAGTAACAGAGTCCTTGAAATATAACTCAGAGTTCATATTCTCAGAGAAGGATGTAACCTAACATGGAACGGCACAACAGTCATGCAGAATTTGTTTTAGATTAAGAGGGACACTTGTAAGAGCATCGCATCCAGCTTACTGCTTTTACAGATGAGGCCACTGAGGCCCAGAGAGGGTAAGTAACATGGCCAAGGTCACACAGCAAGTGAGCAGTGTTGCCGAAGACAGGCAAGGCTTGTAACTGGCAATGCAGTGCTGTTTGGGGGCCATCACGTGGCAGTGCATCATTTGCTATAAAAAGAAGCAGACACCTCAGCTGGGAGGAAGCATCAGTGCCTGTCTCCTAGAAACACACATCGCTGAGATGATCTAGAGCTGCGAGGGACTGATTTGATAGGGATTTTGATACAGGGCTGGAAAACCAGTTACATTTAATCACTGTTCAAAAACCATATTTAATTTAAAGGCACTTTTATGAAAAAGTAAAAATAATCTTTACATATTTTTCATGCATATATATATATATTTAATGTATTTCATTTTGTTACCCTGGACCTTAGGTTGCCAGGGAGACAGTTATCAGTGGGACTAAGCTATTGGTGAATAATTAATTGCCTGTTCTCAGCGAGGCTAGGAGAGAGAACTTCTCAGCGAGCCTCTGCTGGGTTTAGGCAAGGTCTGCCTCTGTCAATAGCAAAAAGAGACTTGAGGGAGCCAGTGAGACAGGCTTATGAGAGGTGGGTATGCGGGATGGAGTCTCCCCGCTTCCCTTGGACAGAGCCAGTAGCAGCCACTGCCATTTTCAACCTATGTCCCTCGCACCTGGCCATTGCAGGGAAACTGCAGGCCACCCACTGTCACCATTTGCATTCTTTTGCTTAGGAGTTTCCTCTGGAAGCCAGAGGTCTCCTGCCTGCTCATGGCAGGCCAGAAGTTCCAAAACCAAATATTTTGGGGTGGGGGGAGTTGCCCTTAACCAATGAGTGATGGAAGGATAACTCCAAGATGTGTTGTGCACTGGTACCCCATATTCCAGAGGGACTCAGCTCCACTTGCCCACAGTGCTGGCTTGCTAATGCCCTCTTTATGGGCTTCCTTCCTTTTCTGGGCTTGCTTCTACACTTCTCTATAGGTACTTCCTGGATTCTCCTCCCAAATAAACTCCTTACATTCAGATCCTGGCCTCAGGCCTGCTCCTGGGACAACCTAAACTAGGATGGTCACATGGTACAGCAAGACCTGGATGAGTAAACAGGAGCTAGGGGCAGGATTCCTGTCTACTGTTTCATTCTACCCTAATTTTCTGCAAAATGAAATTGTCCTGTAAATGTTTTGTTTGAGACAGAGTCTCCCTCTGTAGCTCAGGCTGGAGTGCAGTGGCACGATCTTGGCTCACCGTAACCTCCCCGTCCCGGGTCCCAGTGCAAGCAATTCTCCTGCCTCAGCCTCCTGAGTAGCTGGGATTACAGGTAAGTGCCACCATGCCCAGCTAATTTTTGTATTTTTAGTAGAGACGGGGTTTCACCGTGTTGGCCAGGCTGGTTTTGAAATCCTGACCTCGTGATCTGCCTGCCTCGGCCTCCCAAAGTGCTAGGATTACAGACGTGAGCCACTGCGCCCAGCCAAAATTGTCCTGTAAATGTAAAATGGCATTTCTCAGGCTCTCCCTCTCTTTTCTGGCTAAATCTGTTACAGATCATATTAGCCTAAGTTCAAATAGTGGCATGCTCTGAGCCTGTAATAATTTATGCCCAAACTATTTTCTAAGTTAGACCTTTCTCCAAAGCATAGTGGGCTACCTAGGCAAAAGCCCCAGAAGGAACTGAAGTTTTCTCAGTGATTGGCATTGATTGGAACTTAATGGTGACAACCTTCTATTTTCTAAATTAAGTTTCCAGGCTAAACACTCAACATAAAAAAAGTCAATTCAAGGAAGTCCTATGGAAACTAATTTCTTGACATCATTACTTTGTTCACTTACCTCGTTTACTGAAATCAGCATCCTCTTTACTGATCAGTTTGTTTGCTTTATAAGGTTGCTACCTTCACTCCAGGAAGGTTTAAAGAACAGAAGATGATCTTTTTCCCACTCTGAGATTCTTATTACAGAAACCATTTTAAATACACAAATACTAGATTATCAGGTGGGATTGGGAGAGAATGGGGCGCTAACACTCAACTCACTAGAGCTAGCCTCTCCTACAACATTGTTTATGAGGATGACCTCTCATGAGAAGTGTAAAATGCAGCTCTCTGAAAATAACCTATGATCACTGATACGGTTTGGGTGTGTCCCCAACCAAGTATCATCTTGAATTGTAGTTCTCATAATCCCCATGTGTTGTGGGAGGGACCCAGTGGGAGGTAATTGAATCATGGACGTGGTTACCCCTATGCTGTTGTTCTTGTGATAGTGGGTTCTCATGAGATCAGGTGGTTTTATAAGTGGCTTTTCCCACTTTGCTCAGCGCTTCTCCTTCTGGCCATCATGTGAAGAAGGACATGTTTACTTCCCCTTCCGCTGTGATTGTAAGTTTCCTGAGGCCTCCCCAAACCTGCAGACTGTGAGTTAATTAAACCTCTTTTACAAATTACCCAGTCTCAGGCAGTTCTCTATAGCAGCGTGAGAATGGACTAATACAATCGCGAAGAGGTGTGTTAGCTGAAAACACTATGTGTATGTTGAGTGTGAGATGAGAAAACATTACAGACCATTTTCTCTGGGCCATGAGTAGGATCCAACTGTCAAAGCAGAGAACTGAGAGTAGAGAGAAGATGGGTGGGGTAGGGTCCCCACAGCTGGGACTGATGGCCATCATTTTAACATCATAGCTACATCCAGATGGCTGGCTTACCACTCTGAGCAAGCTATTCCAAGATGGAGCAACTTCCTGGGTTCTCAATCCTTCCTAGGTTTTCTTCTCAAATTTTCATGAGGAGTACCCCTACTGTCTATGCCCCTGAACTCAAAGAACTACTCAGATCTGTTGTATGTCACTGGAAGTACATATTCTTTAAAGTGGTAGATTTCCATCTTACTTGCTCCATCTCTAACTTTTTTCTTTTTGACCACCTTGTCAATGGCCAGAGTGAGTGCAGCTGAGCAGGGAGAAGAGAAATAAGTACTCCCCCCAAATCCAACCATCTCTTTCTGTCTTTGTTATCTGGCAACAATAAATAGCTTTGGGGGAAAACTGTCTGCTATGGAGGAAAATTAAGGACCAGTAATCGGGACTTTGATATTCAAACCTAAGGCCCAAGTCTTTCTACCAAGAAAGGTATAAACCAATGGTTAGTGCGGACATCTAGGACACACGCAACTCAGTTTCAGTTTGAGCTTGCTTGGCTTCTCCAGCTAAATGTTCAGAGGACAATTGAGTAAAAAAGAAAAACCTCCTAACTTTCTAGCATGTTCTATATGAATCTTCCCAGTTCAACTTCTTCAGGGTTAAGAGTTGTGAATCTTAGCTGGACATACCATAGTCAAACATCTGTGTGATGCATTGGTTGGGTGCACCTTTCATGAGCTCTACCACTGTTCCTGGTTGTGCAGAGAAGAACTTTACAGTGTTCCTGGTTGCACAGAAAAGAACTTCAAGTTGCTATCACCTCTCTCCTCCTCTGCCATGCAAAGGGATGGGATCTTAAGGCTCCCAGAAGAAACTGGGTCCTCTGGAAACTTCAGTGGTGAATCGATGCAGAAACCACCCTTCACTCTTTCTCAAACACACAAATTGTCCACCTTCTCCCTAAACCCACATTCAATTCTACTTTATGACATATACAGTGTTAGAACTGAAACCTTTACTCTTTGCCAGTTCATTTCAAAATCTATTAATTACGTAATAGTATGAAAGATTTCTCCATGGTCACAATAGGTTGCATACCGTAAACACTTAATAATGCAGTGATGTTACAACTGCACTCTGATAACATCAAGTCTCTTTGTCAGACTCTAAACATGTCCCAACTTTCCTGGATTGTTAAAATGAAAAATCTTCCACCTACCTCACCCCAAAGTCCCCTAATATAAAAGTTGTCTTACCAAGCATTGACGAGTATTACAAGGCAGCTATTCACGGATTCTTCACTGGCAGCATCATTCGCTTCTGCAGGGAGGGAGAAAAAAGCAGTTTTCTCAGCTTACTGGTCAATTTGTGCAGAATTACCAAGGTAAGACAAATCTAACAGAGTGAGAATGTGTTTATCATTAAACTTAATACAAGTCTAGTGTTATGGGCTAGCTCCTTGAGTCACTAGCTGAAGGAACTTGGCCAAGTTGTTGTATCTCTCTGGACTTCAGTTTCCTCATAAATTTCTTGTGGGAATTAAAAAGAGATAATATACAAAAAGTACTAAGTTCAATTCCTGGGCATAGTAACCACTTCTTGCAAATTGATTACATCTCATTTTCTCTTCGAGTAAATGAAGCACCCCTAGAATAAGAAAGCAGGAAGAGTGTTGGGGTTATGTGCTTTTGCCTATCTATCACTCTTTCTCCTCCTTTCAGGAACCCACTTCTTTTCCCCCAGGGGATAGCCTTTCATATGTGTTAAGTGGGGCTGACCTCCCTTCTTCTCCCCAGCTACAAAAGTGGGAATGAGCCTCGGGCTTGGCCGAACCTCCTAACTTGCCCTGATCACAATGATAGGTACAGGAATGAGTATATGAACCAAGCTGCCTCCATTATGAGTCCTCCCGTGGACATTTTTCTGGTTATAGATATCATAAAAGTCTCTTTCAGCACTAAACTTGTAGAGTGTGAATTTCATGCATACGGCAACCAGCTTTCTTGCTGTATGGGTCAGGATTTGCTCAGAAAAGCAGAAGCTTTACAAGATCTAAATTATAGGGGATTAGAGGAATTTGGCTTTCTGCAATTGTAAGAGCTAATTCTATAGTCTATGTGAAGCTGCTGTTTCTGTGACAGGTTCAGGAAAACAAGGTCTACCCTTATCAACAGGCTGTTGAGACGGGAAGATGGACATGAAGTGGGTGAATCAAGGATAAACTGAAATCTGTGAGGATGGGCTGGGACTCATGAGGAGAGACTTGGACCAACATTGGTCTCTCCCCACCTCCAAGCCACCCACTTCAATGATGGAAGCAAGCTGGAGGGGAAGCTGGCATCCTTCATCAGAAAGCTAATCACGCGCCTGGCCCAGGAGTCAGAGAGGGTGGAGGAGGATCCAGCAGGAGGTGAGGATGCTGTGAGCTCAACCTGACGAGGTGAGTGAAGAGATGAGTGACAACAGGAGCAGCCACGACAGCACCTCCTGCACTGCCCTGGCCTTCCAAGCATAAAGCGAAATATGATTGCTGCTTTACTTCCACTTCCCAATGGCACACAAAATGTCTCTGTGGCCCACACTAACTGCAATTATGTAAAGAAAAGAATTCTGGGAAATACAGTTCCAGCTTAGCTAAGTGGACAGTCCAAGCATCCCACATTGGCTATATGGAGAGAACTCTTTCAATGGATGGGTAGAGGGCAACAGCCCTGATGACAGCCTTGGAGCCTCTGGATCCAGCCAGCTCTGAAGCTGTAACTATCACTAGAATTTTCAGTTATGTGAACTATTTGGCTTATACTTGTTTGCTGGGGGTTTTTTTGGTTTTTTTTTTGTTTGTTTGTTTTTTTGAGATGGAGTCTCGCTCTGTCACCCAGGCTGGAGTGCAGTGGTGCAATCTCTGTCTCTTGAAAATAAAAGTGGCCTGACTCATATGTGGAGCTAGTTTAGCATCTAAGAGTAATTTAGTTAAGGCGTTGTAATAGAATTCCAATAAAGAAGTAACTTTGTCAGGGCAATTAGGAACACACTGAAAATCTCTTGGGTAATAAGGAATGACTATTACACAGCATGTTCAGTTTTGGTGGGTAAAAGAGTGATGGGTAAAGAGTGCGCTAAAAAATGGCCAAAAAAAGTCTTATGTACAAACTGCTATTAACCTCTGCTGTTAACTTATTACCAAGTGGCAGGTGTAATCTTTGTAGGAGGTAAGATGACACATAGTGGGAAACAGAGGGACACCCAAACAGGACCTCCCTGGTAAGTAGCCCCTGAGTTAGGATCCCACATGTCAAAATTTCATTCTTGTTTCTGCAGGTCAAGAAAACTCATCTGGTGTGTGCATATAATTGTTCAGCTTTCAGGTGTCTGACTCCCTTACCATACCCTCAAGAGACTGATAAATTAACCAGTATAAATTAATTTATGAAGTGTATGTGGCAGTATATTTTTCCAGGGACTGAAATCCTTGCACCCTTCACCTAGGACACATCTTTCCCAGAGAGAGCTCACTTAGGGTTATCAAATGAAGACCCAGAAGCCTTTTGTGGAAAGCATGGAATGGTTTGCACAGGGGGAATTTACCTAAGCTCTGGGCCAGCCTGGTACATGACCCTCCTTACTCCACAACCAAGTGGACAAATGTTTGTGAGTATACACAACCACCAGAAAGTTCTTTTCTTAATGGTTCTTTGGATCCCATCCTATCCTCAAAAACATGCTCTGATTTTTGTGATTGACTCTTGAGAATTTCCCAAGTCACCTACTTGTCCCAGTTACAGATGACCAAGTAGAGTATCATCTACATAGATATTAAACTTCATCACTAAGAACATACTTTTTAAAAATCAGGCTTTTAAAAAAATCCCTTCTTTCTCCCTCTCTTTCCAATCCTTTTAAGGTATTAAGCAGTATATGCAAATAAATGTGTGAGGCCCAGGCACAGTCCTTCCCTTATGGAGCTCAAAGAATCACCCTCCTTATTCTAGATACTATTTCTCTAATTATGCAACCCAAAATTCCATTAGCTTTCTGGAAAGCCATCTCTCACTACATATTGAGCCTACCATTTACCAAAGCTCCCTAATATATATTTTCCCTCTTCCAGATGGATTAACTACCCTCCTCCCCTTCTTTCCTTCAGTGGATTTTTTTTTACTTTTTCCCTCCAATTTCAAAAGTAATATATGCAGCATGCAGAAAATGTAGGACACTATGCAAAAAAAAAAAAAAAAAAAAATTTAACCACACTTTTATTCTCTCTCAAAGCCCGGGAGGCCTCTGTCTACCAACTGCAGGAAGAAGAGCATGCTGGGTAGACAGGACAGATCTCAACTCCATCCACTGTCCCTGTCTGAGCTCCTCCCACCTGGTGTAAGCCACCTTCACCTCTTACTGCTACAGTCGCTTGGTAACTGGTCTCACTGCTTCTGTTTTTGTGTGTCTCCTTCACAGCAGCCTGGGTGCTCCATTAGAATGTAAATCAGACCCCACCACTTCCTTGCTTAAAGCCCCCAGTCATTCCCCATCACAACTAGAATACAGTTGACTCTTGAACAACACAGGTCTGAACTGCAAGTGTCCCCTTATACTAGAATTTTTTTATTCCTCTGCCACCCCTGACATAGCAATACCAAACCCTCTCTTCCTCCTCCTTCCCAGCTTATTCAACGTGAAGATGATGATTCACTTCCACTTAATGAATAGTAAATATATTTTCTTTTCCTTATGGTTTTTTTGTTGTTGTTGTTGGTTTTTTTTTTTTTTTTTTTTTTTTTTTTTTTTTTTTTTGAGATGGAGTTTTGCTCTTGTTGCCCAGGCTGGAGTGCAATGGCACGATCTTGGCTCACTGCAACCTCTGCTTCCTGGGTTCCAGCAATTATCCTGCCTCAGCCTCCTGAGTAGCTGGGATTATAGGCATGCACCACCACGCCCGACTAATTTTGTATTTTTAGTAGAGATGGGGTTTCTCCATGTGGGTCAGGCTGGTCTCGAACTCCCGACCTCAGGTGATCCACCCACCTCTGCCTCCCAAAGTGCTGGGATTACAGGTGTGAGCCACCGTGCCTGGCCCCTTATGGTTTTTCTTAACTTTCTCTCTGGCTTACTTTATCATAAGAATACAGTATATAATACATAGAACATACAAAATATGCATTAATCAATAGTTTACATTATTGATAAGGCTTCTAGTCAACAGTAGTTAAGTTTCTGTGGAGTTGAAAGTCATATGCAAAATTTCGACTGTGCAGGGTCGGTGCCCCTAACCCGGTACTGTTGAAGGGTCATTGTCTGACCCCAGTGCTTCACGGGGTCTGCAAGGCCTTGCCCTTTTCTTCCTCCTCACACCCTCAAGTCACCACATTCTAGCCCATGGGGCTTCCTTCTGCCCCTCAAGCACTCCTGGCTGTTCTCAGTTCCCATTCTGGGCACCTCCTGGCTAGCTCTGACTCGGTGTCAGGACCAGAGGCGCCCCCTACCCCCGCCCCCCAATATCTACTTTCAGACATATTGAAGTCCTAACCTCCAGCGCCTCTGCCTAACTCAAGGAGTCCCCCCATCTCTTTCCCATTCTTTTATGCCCCCACTTCTACTTTTTCTTTAAAGCACTTATCAATATCTGAAAATATCTTGTTTCTGGGTTTACTGCTTGTATTCCCCACCCCAAAGAGTGGAAACTCCTTAAGGATGGGTTGTTGAGAGACCCCAACACAGCGGCTCTGTGGTTCCCTTCAGGCCTAGGGGTGCTGAGGGGCCCGGTGCTTCCCCATCCTTTCTCGGCCTCCTTCAGTCCTGCTCTCACCTTTGTAAAGAGTCATCTTCTTCATTAAACTCGCCTTAATTACCCCCTTCTAATGGGCCACCTCTTCCCTCCCTCGGGCCTGACTCAGATTTGAACTTGACTTTTGTGACAGTGGAGGCTGCGCTGATGATGGATGCCGAATCATCAAAGGCCAGTCCTGGGCTCTGGTCTGAGTGTCTGGGTAGTCACCACCCGCCTGATCAGCAAGCGCCTTGTCATTTCCCTCCGCCGCTGGCACTCTGTAGGCACAGGCATTATGAATTAATGCATCTCTAAAAATTAAGCACTGAATCCGGCCCTTTATTTATAGCTCATTTTACAAATGTGAATTAAAGTGGGCCAGTCTTATGACATAATCAAATTTATTATCCCCACTTGATAGCTTGGATAGTTAAATACTTCAGTGAATAAACTTAGAATTCATTAAGTCTCATTTTCTCATATTTCATATATTTGTAATCTACTCTCTTCCCTGGCAGTTTTCAAACAGGAAAATTAAGCCTGGCTCAGAAATTTATGAATGTATTCTTCTAATATTCCTTTAATGAGAAACTCATAGGCGGCTTCCTAAGCGAGCCACCCACGGAGCTAACCTATGTAATGTGAGCTACCTTATTGTGTGAATCCTTCTTCATTCCAATTTTCTTTTCTTAAGCTCTCATTAGCTCTGGAACACCACCTAGGAGAAGTTCTATAGAAACACAGCGAGGAGGGCTAACTTTTCACCTCCAGGTTGATATTCAGAAGGTTTGGTCATAGTTTATGTGCTTAGTGCTCCCTGTTGATTATTAACAGAGTGGAATTAGAGCTTTTGAGCTCCTAGGCAATGTGGTACTCTCTGAGATAGTTTGGAAATCAGTTTTTCTGTGGGGAAAGGGAGTCTACATTTCTAGATGCAGACTAAATCCTTCTAAATCCATCCTGTTGCCACTTGTGCTGTGTCAGGTACCACTTTGGAGGTCCTGTTAACTACTGCAGGAAAGAGTGGGGGGGAGGAGAGAGGGGAGAGAAAGAGAGGGTGAGAGTATACGGCACATACCCAGCTGGCATTTGAGGAGATCTTAGGTTATCCAAGTAGCCCTGTTAAGTGTGCCTAAAATTCAATATCACTTCAGGATCAGCTGTTTATGTTGGGAATGGTTTGCGTGGTAGGACTGAGGAGTTAGAGATGTTCTAAAACTGTTACAGCCAAACATTTTTGGCCTGAAACTTAATAGACAGAGCTAGAGGAAGTAGAGTCCGTTAACAAATATTTATCTTCTATTCTGTGCAATCCTAGTCTTAGAAGCTGGAGATGCAGCTCTGATCAGGCAGTTAATGCTTACATAGGGCTTATGATGGGCTGGGAGTAGTTCTCAGTGTTTTATATTAACTCCACTTAATCCCCATGGTACCCTGAGAAGTAGGTACTAATATTTTTCCCAGTCTACAGATGGGGAAACTGAGGCTCTGAGAAGTTAACATGCTCAAGGTCACACAGCCAGTAAATGGGAGGAGAGAGAAGTGACTCCAGAGTTCGTGTTCCTAACCACTTTATTAGTCAGGGTTCTCCAGGAAACAGAGCAAACAGGATGTGTATATATAGAAAAGACAGATTTATTTTAAGGAATTGGCTCACGCAACTGGGGAGATTTCAGCCCCAAATCTGCAGGGTAAGCTGGCAGCCTGGAGAGCCAGGAAGACCTACAGTCTGAGTCCAAAGGCAGTTGGCTGGCAGAGTTCCTTCTTACTCAGGGGAGTAAGTCAGTCTTTGTTCTATTAAGTCCTTTGACTGATTGGATGAGGCCCACCCACAATATGGAGGGTAATCTTTTTACTCAGAGTCCACCCATTTAAATGTTGGAATCTCCGCCAGGCGTGATGGCTCACACCTGTAATCCCAGCACCTTGGGATGCCATGGAGGGCGGATCACCTGAGGTCGGGAGTTCGAGACCAGCCTGGCCAACATGGTGAAATCCTGTCTCTACCAAAACATACAAAAATTATATGGGCGTGGTAGTGGACACCTGTAGTCCCAGCTACTTGGGAGACTGAAGCAGGAGAATTGCTTCAACCGGGAGACAGAGGTTGTAGTGAGCGGAGATAGAGCCACTGTACTCCAGCATGGGTGACAGAAGAAAGACTCTGTCTCAAAAAAAAAAAAAAAAAAGAAAAGAAAAGAAAAGAAAAAAATGTTAATCTCATCCAAAAAACACCTTCACCTTCTTCACCAAAAAACACCTCAGAATAATGTTTGTCCAAATATCGGGGCACTGTCGCCCAGCCAAGGTGACATAGAAAATCAGCCATCATAACCCCTGTTGTGGATTTAGTTACGTTCTTTGGAAAATATACGGTGAACTCCTAATTCCCAGTACCTCAGAATGTGGCCTTGTTTAGATACAGGTCTAGGGACATGTAGACCTGTATGTTGCAGACATTTAGTTAAGATGAAGTCAGACTGGAGTAGGCTGGGCCCTTAATCCAATGTGACTCATGTTCTCAAAAGCAGAGGAGACACAGAGCAGAAACGGCCAAACGAAGACACACAGACACAGGGAGAAGGCCGTGTGAGGACAGAGGTGGGGACTGGGGTGTGCTGCCACAGGTCAAGTGGGAGAGGTGAGAAAAGATCCTCCCTGGAGGCTTCAGAGGTGGCACCTTGCTGACACCTTGATGCGAGGCTTCCAGTCTCCAGAACTGTGAGAGAATATGTCGTGTTAAGCCACTCAGGGTGGGGTACTTTGTTATGGCACCCCTGGGAAACTGATACAACTGCTATGCTATGGGGGTCTCTCAACAACCCAACCCTTAGGGAGTTTACACTCTTGGAGGGGTGGACAATCATCACGAGCCTCATGAGATTCACAAAAGACCCTTTCAGTGCCACGCTTGCAGGGTGCAAGTTTTATGCATATGGTGGCCACCTTCCCTGCTGGAAGGGTCAGGACTCAGAAAAGCAGCACCTTTAGAAGATCTTTACTATTGGGGTTTTATTATAGGGATTTGGCCTTTTGCAGTCGTAAGAGCTGGTTCCATAGTCCCAGCTGTGTGGCAGCCCATGTCTGTGTCTGATACAGGAACCTGAAGTCTGCAGGCCAGGCCTTTGACTAAGGAAAGATGGGCAGAAAATGGGGGAAGAAAGATAAACTGAAATCCTTGCAGTGAATGTCCTGGCGGAGGTCAGACACTGAGGCCGTGGCAGAATGGACTCAGCATCACCCGACTTGTCATTGAGGGTCTTTCCATTATGTCATGGTGCCTCTTTAGAAGCCTGGAACTTTTTTTCTTCCAAAATAAATCTCGAGGGCTTCACTAGATCTGTAGGAACTAGAAAGTGTCAATACTCAATGAGCTTTAGTTAAAAAGTGATCTTCTTCTGGAATGAAATACAGCAAAATGCATATAGTAGTTATGAAGTTTAAGGACTTAGAGTAATACAAAAATTTCCTATTCTGCTATGTTTTCTAAATTTCCTATAATGATCGAGAATGCATTTAAAAATGAAACTTAAAACAACACTATTATTAAAAGGAAAAAGAGAAGCCTTGATGTTCATCTACGCTGGGTATCCTTCTCAAGCAGGACAGATATGAACTTGCTGGTTAGCTGGTCCTGGCTGACAGTTATTTATTTTGAGACAAGGTCTTGCTTTGCCACCTAGGCTGGAGTGCAGTGGCAGCCTCAACTGCAGTGTCAACCTCCCGGGCTCAAGTGATCCTCCCACCTCAGCCCCCCAGGTAACAGGGACTACAGGTGTGTGCCACCATGCCCAGCTAATTTTTGTATTTTTTGTAGAGACAGGGTTTTGCTATGTTGCTCAGGCTGGTCTCAAACTCCTGGGCTCAAGCGATCCTCCTGCCCGAAGTATGGGGATTACAGGCGTGAGCCACTGGGCCTGGCCCTGGCTAACATTTAAAGCAAGTAGGAAGCCTGTGGTTTTAGAATTTGAGGAAGTTCAGAACCCACATTTCGAAATTACATGTCTAACTTCTGGTCTTATTTGAATGTCTACTTCCTTCCCCCTCACCTTTCAACCTCTGTTTTACATAAGGATAAGGCAGGTTTAGGACCAGATTAACCTAACCAAGGAAGCGTAGGAGTCCTTAGATCCATAATTTGGTTGGTTTAACATTGGGTCAGTACCTGCTGGCTTCTGAGTCAATCATGTATTGGTGCTAGTAACTAAGTTACTAAGTAACAGATTCTATAGCCCCCTCTTCTTCCCCATCCTTTCCTGAAATTAGCCCAACTTATTCCTCCAGACCTGTGTTTTTCCTGATTCAGTCATTCATTCCATCAACATTTACTGAGCTCTTACTGTGTGCCAGAGACTATGACAGGCACTGGGATGCAAAGATGAAAATGGCATGATCCTGGTTCTCAAGGGGCTCACAGATACATCATCAACTCCTCTGTAACAGAGGCTACATTTGAGTGAGCAGTGAAGCCCATTTGTTAAGTCTGGGCTTAGCTATCATACTGCTTGGATTCAAATCCTGACTTCACTTCTTTCTGGCCACATGACTTTGATGAATTTTTCTAGTCCTCATCTGTACATTATAGGCAATAAGGGTGGCAGTACAAGTAGCTAATCTTCGTTGTACCCTTACTAGGTTCTAGGCCCTGAGCTCTTTCATGTGGATTATTACCTCCTTTAATCCTAACCCTTGAGAATATGTTTATTGTCCCCATCTTCTATATAAGCAACTTAGGTTTAAGAGGGTTAAATTATTTACAAGCAAAGTGGTTGGTGGGGATGAGGATGCCTACCTGCTGTGTGTGACAAGCCCCGGGCCTGTCCAACTCTATCTCCTGGGGCAGCACCCACCTGGCCCTTGGCTCTGAGCTCCAGGGGTCAACAATGACATGAAGTACAGCAATCCAATGCAAACCACAAAACCCAAGGTCCAGAGTGTATAAATTAAACACGTACCCCCTGCCTGAGAGAATAACCTCCCCGTGATTACTGCACTGTGAACAATGTTGGCCTTCAGAAGGGTTTCCTCCCTTCCTATCCTGTTCACACTCACACAGGATTATTGTCTGTTGGGCCTGTGGCAAACCCATAAGAAGAACCCACTCCTCCAGAGTGCTGGCCGTGGTTTTAGATCCAGGCTGCTGGTGCATGCCACCTGCCTAGGTACCCAGTTGCAGGATTTACTGTGCCAGGTGTGTCCCAAAACCACCCTGAGATGCTAACACTGACAGATGTGTTTCATGGAAAAATATATAGGCTGCTACACATGGGCAAGGAGAGAGGGAACAGAGAGGAGTAGGGGGAAAGGGGGGAAGGAGGGAAGGAAGAAGAGGAAGGGAGGACAGGGGAGAAAAGAGGAGGGAAAGGAAGGAAGGGGAGAAGAGGAAGGGAGGAGAGAGAGAGAAGGGCAGAAGCAGATCAGAAAGGAGAGGACTGCAAAAGAGTCTGCCCCATCCCTGGGCCTTTAAAAGTAGGAAGCAGTGAGCTGCTGTATGGTATTAAAAATTTAGTTTCAGAACAGATATTTTCCCTGTGGTCAAAGGAGGGAAGTAAACTTACAGACACGGTCTCGGTCCTGTAGGGGTTATGATGGAGGCAGAAGGAAGCGGAGACAGTGTTGAAGGAAAAAGTCCAAGTTCCACCCAGCAGGGCCAAACCCCTCTCCTCTCTTCCTGCAGAAACAATTCCTCCATGGTCACCCCTCTACACAGGAAGGTGCCCCAGCATCCACTGGACAAGTGCCACACAAGTGTGGGCTGCTGGTCTAATTGTTTGTTACCAAGGGAAGTACAGAACTGAGAGGATGGGATTGGAAACTTTTATTGCAATTTAATGCTATTGAGATAGCTGTGATCGTGGGACTTACTGGTTGTGGCACAAACCAGCTAGGGTGGTGTTGAACTTGAACTTGGAGGGTGAGTTGCATGTGGCCTGAGCTATGTGTTGTTGCTCATGCACAGACACACCATATACCAGGCTGCAATAGTTTGAGCAGTACTGTTGTAGAGGTTATGCAAATACCTCTATGGTCACTAAGTGGCTGCGCCTCTCTGAGCCTCAGTTTCCCTATTTGTACACTGGTGATAAATTACCTATGTCCAAGGGATTCTTGAGACATTAAATGTGGATGATGCACATCAAGTGTTCAGCACAGTAGCTGGCACAGAGCTTGCACTTAATTAAAGTCAGCTCTTGTCACTTGGTCATGGCGAATACAGCCTTCAAATTGGCTTGGAGCAGTGTCTCAGCACGACAGATGTCTGAAGAAATGAGCCCAGTCTTTCAGGCTTGACCCAGAGCAAGCCAGGGATCCCCAAGTACAAGACAGAGGGGCTGGTCAGCAGCCAGGGGATGAAGATGGCAAAGCTCACCCCCTTGGCTGGGAACAAGCAAATCGATGGTGAAGGAAAGCCTCAGGTCCTCAAGCGCTCTAAAAGCCAATAATAAAATTTAAAAATCAATGAGGAAGCTGACGGCAAGCCGATGACGGGGCCAGAGGCCAGGAATGATGTGTCTCCAAGTGAGGAGCAGGCAGACAGCCCAGGCGGCAGGGCTTCCAACCAGAACCCCAGACCCAGAGCCCCGAGCATCCTGGCGCAGACGCCTGGGATTTGGCAGAGATCCTGCATCCCTGGACGGCGCCTCCCCACGGATGCGGGAAGCACAAGTGGGAAATGAGGCTGTCCAAGGATTAAGACCCAGACCCCCAGTGCCGTACTGTTCTATTCTTCCTGTCTTTGGAGGAGTGCAGCCAAAGCCTGGGAAATCATATTTTACAACATTGATCCCAGCTGCACTTTTTTTTTTTTTTTAATTGGACAGGCAATGTGGTCTGGCACAGAGAGATTCAAAGTATTTCTCAGCTGAGGGGTTATATAGATTCATTTATCTGTGCAAACATTTCTTGAGCCCCGTCAATCTATCAGGGACTATGATGAAATAGGACAGTCTAGAAATAAGGTTCTAACCATGAGTTCGTGACTGGCAACGGAGACAGTGGATGAATAAACACTTGCCATCCAGTGTGGCAGGTATAATAGCTGCTTTAGTGAGCCCCCACAGAGGGTGTGGGCAACTCTATCCGGGGCAGAGGTGGGTGGAGACACTGCTGAAGACAGCCCGGTCCTTGCCTGTTCACACTCGTTCTCGGGACACGGTGGGCAGTGGGCTCACGGTGGCTGCTCACGGCAGAAGAGGGAAGTGGGCTCATTGGACTATTTCAGGAATTTTAGTAGTAAGTGTGGGAATAAAACCTTAAATGGGCCATGAAAGCTGAAGGAGGAGAAAAGGGAGATGCTTAGGATATAGGAGAAAGGAAGAGAGAAAGAGGGAGAGAGAAGGGGAAAGTCCTTAGTCCCAGTTTTGTAGTTCTGTTCCCTTGGCTGTATTTGGCTTCTGTTTTTGTGAATTTCCGTAAGTTTCTACCAGGATTCCTGAGAATAAGCAACCTTGACTAGAAGTAGTGGGAGTGGCTCTCTGATCCTAACAACCCAAGCAGTCCTCACAAAACTCTAGGAGTGATCCTGGAAGGCAACATTAACTCACACAAATCCAATGTAGTCTCTCACCAAAACAAAACAAAGAGAAAAGAGAGAAATAACAATTTGAGTATTGTGGCTGATGTCATCCTTCTGCTTGAGTATAAACCTTGGTGTGAGTGTGTACCTGGAGAAGTGACCCTGCCTGTCCCTCGGTCCATGAACTTCTCTTGGTTTGGGGACAGGAGAAAGAGAGAAAAGGAGAGAATAATTAGCAAAAGCACAAATGAGCATCCCCCATTTTCATTTCTATTGCCAAAGCGAATCATTTATTTCAACTGAGGCACTTGGTAAATTAAAGCCACATGTAAGTTTATTGTGTTGATTTCATGCTGTAACTCTTGAGAGCAAAAGCACCCAGTCTCAGCCTTGGGTTTGAAGAACTGAAGCCGGTAATTAACTCATAAGGTCTTAAACTAACAAATGACTTCCTTTACAAGTGAAGTGTCAATCGAATCTTGATTCATGAAGTCAGTAATTGGCCTTCTTGGCTTCACATTTAGTCCAGAGCCATCGGATAAATAAATACATTACAACATGTCCCTGAATTGCCTCTTTTTCAAAGATAAATGTCAGACGAACAGATCAAAACCCAAACCCAATATACTAGACCTGGACTGTGGGAGAATGGGTAGAAAGACAAGAACAACATTCAGAGATCAGAAAGATCTTAGGGTTTCTGAATGACTTATCTACTGGAATTAAAAACGTTTTCTCTGAGCTGTTCAGGGAGAGGGGACAGTCAGGTGCCCAGGTGCATCATTTTGTTCATTTTAAATGTGCTAAGTGGAGCCGTGAGAACGGTTGCCTTGTGGGCCAGGCAGAGTTCACAATTTAACAGCTGGCAAGGTGTGAGCCCAGTGCTAATGCACACAATATTTTCCCCCATCTAAGTGCACAGATTGAGCCCCTGCAGAGGCTTCTCTGGAACAGATCGACATTCAGGCTCTGACCTAGGCTTGGCAGGTTTCAAGAAAGGACTATAGAAGACTCTGCCCCCAGCAAGTAAAAACTGAGCAGCCCTCAGCAACTTACACATTTATCTCACATTGCAAGATTTAAGTCTGCCATAGCTTAGATGTTTGTTTCCAGAAACCTCATGTTGAAATTTGATCCCCAGTGTTGGAGGTGGGGCCTAATGGGAAATGTTTGGTTCTGGGGGGGCGGATCCCTTACAAAGGGCTCAGTGCTATCCTCCCAACAGTAAGTGAATTTTCGTCTTATTTAACAACTACGAGAGCTGGTTGTTCAAAAGAGCCTGTACTGCAGTAGGACTATTTAAAAAAAAAAAAAGTGAAAGAGAGAGAGAGAGAGAGTCCGGTACCTCCCTGCTAGATCTCTCCCCATGTGATCTCTGCGCCTGCTGGTTCCCCTTTGCCTTCTGCCATGAGTGGAAGCAGCCTGAGGCCCCCACCAGAAGCTGAGCAGATATCAGCACCATGTTGCAGAATCATGAACCAGATAAACCTCTTTTCTTTAAAAATTACCCAATTTCAGGTATTTCTTTATAACAACACAAACAGACCAAGACAAAGTCTAACCCTGAATCAAGCTCATTTGTGAAATTAACAGTAAACATTCATTTTCCTGCTGAAAGGATCCAAAACATGTCACTTCAAATGATGCCGCTTTGGCATAAGGATGTTTTTGAGGTGAAGGCAACTGAGAATCAAGATATGCAGGAAGAGAGCTCATACTTTCTGATTTCAAAATTTACCACAAAGCTACAATAACCAAGAGGGGTTGGTACTAACATAAGGTCAGACACAGAAGCCAATGGAATAAAAGAGAGTACAGAAATAAATCCTTACATTTAAGGTTTAATTTGAGACAGGGTCTCACTCTGTCGCCCAGGCTGGAGTAAAGTATCATGACTTCAGCTCACTGCAGCCTCAACCTCCTGGGCTCAAGCAATCCTCCTACCTCAGCTTCCCAAGTAGCTGGAACTACTGGCACATGCCACCATGCTTAGCCAATTTTTTTTTTTTTTTGTATTTTTGTAGAGATGTGGTTTTGCCATGTTGCCCAGGTTGGTTTCGGACTCCTGGGCTCAAGCAATCCACCGGCCTCGGCCTCCCAAAGTGCTAGGATTACAGGTGTGAGCTGCCACACCTGGCCCAGATTGATTTTTTGACATTCTTGCCAAGACAATTAAATGGAGAAAGAATCATTATTTTTCCACAAATAGTGCAAAAGAATGAAGTTGCACCCTTTCATTACATCATCTACAAAAATTAACTGCAAATGGATCATAGACCTAAATGTAAAAGAGAAAAAAAACTCTTAGAAGAAAATATAAAAGAAAAATCTTCATGACCTTAGATTAGGCAGAGGCTTCTTAGATATAACACCAAAAGCATAAGTTACAAAAGAAAAAAAATAGATTGGACTTTATCAAAATTAAAAATTCTTCTGCTTCAAAGGATACCATCAAGAAAGCAAAAAGACAACCCACAAAAACTGAAGAAAATATTTGAAAATCGTACTTAATAAGGGACTTATATCCAGAATATGTAAACATCTCTTATAATAAAAAAGACGACTCACAATTTAAAAGTGGACAAAATATACAAAGAAATATACACAGGGCCAAGAAGCACATGAAAGGATGCGCAACATCATTAGCCATTAGGGAAATGCAAATCGAAACCACAGTGAGATTTCACATCACATCCCCTCGGGTGATCATCAACAAAAAGACAGCAAATAAGTGCCAGTGAGGATGTGAAGTATGGTATGGTGAAAAGAAATAAGGATGGTACCTGAGTAACATCTCAAGAAGGGTGTTAAACTATATGTAGAGTATGGTTTCACATATATACATATAAAATAACCCATCTATACATATGTGGATGTGCATACATTTGGATGTAAATACCTAAAAGGAGGCTTGGGAAGGTGTGCCCAGAGCTCTGAAGTCATTTATTCTGGGAGGAAGGGGAAATCAGAGCACCAGGAAAGGGGTTTTTGGTCATTTTTATTTACTTCCACATTCTTTCACTGTACTCAACAAGCATGTTATCTCATATTACCAGTGTAATAAAGTTTTGGAGGAGAAAAAAAAACAAACTCCCAATAAGCGATGTACAAGGAATCGTCTGCAGGTGGCATGGATATTTGGAGAAGGGAATCATCATCATGGTCTGACAAGATGAGGGCAGAAAGTTGGTGGAAAAGTTATTTGATTTGGAGAGGGAAGGTTGGATGGCACTTGGCCGGGCAAGGAGTTGAGGATGTGGAAATTTAGATAGGAATGGAGTAGCATTGTGATGAGTCCAGTACCGCCCAGGTCTCAGTGTTCCACAGCAGTGGTCACCAACCTTTTTGACACCACGGACTGGTTTTGTAGAAGACAATTTTTCCATGGACCAGCAGGGGTGGGAGATGGTTTTGTGATGATTCTAGTGCATTACATTTATTGTGCACTTTATTCCTATGATTATTACATTGTAATATATAATGAATTAATTATACAACTCACCATAATGTAGAATGAGTGGGAGCCTTGAACTTGTTTTCCTGCAACTAGGCAGTCCCATGTGGGGGTGATGGGAGACAGTGACAGATCATCAGGCATTAGATTCTCATAAGGAGCATGCAACCTAGACCCCTCACATGCTCTGTTCACAATAGGGTAGGATTTTCTATGAGAATCTAAAGCTTCAGCTGATCTGACAGGAGGCAGAGCTCAGGTGGTAATGTGAGTGATGGGGAACAGCTGTAAATACAGACGAAGCTTCGCTGGATCACTTGCTACTCACTTCCGGCTGTGCGGCCCAGTTCTGAACAGGCCATGGACTGGTATCTGTCTGTGGCCCAGGGGTTGGGAACCCCTGTTCTAAAGTGCATTCATTAATCAGCTTATACTCATTATTGCTCTGTTCTCATGAGGAAACCGCAGGCGGATCTGTCAGTATCAGATAAGATTTTACAGAAGAAAAAAAGGCAAGGAAGACAGGAAGGGCAGGAGAGAGGGAGGGAGGAAGGGAGGAAGGGAGAAAGGGAAGAAAGGAGAAGGAAAAAAGGCAGGCAGGAAGGAAGACCAAAAACCAAAAGGTGAAACTCCAGTGTCATTTTAATGACCAGACCTGTTAAACAATAATGAAAAGTGTTGAAATTTCTAGAATTCTCTGGATTTTATACAGTTCAGTTCTTTCCTCTGAGAGAAGAAAACTCTCATA
The DNA here is from genome assembly GCF_000001405.40 of Homo sapiens. Lineage (NCBI taxonomy): Eukaryota > Metazoa > Chordata > Mammalia > Primates > Hominidae > Homo > Homo sapiens. The sequence continues at coordinate 71,913,347 of NC_000003.12, forward strand.
GCAACCAAAATAGTATCATTTTCCTTGCTAATTCTGTTTTTGGCATCACCGTCTAGTTGGACTTCATAATTGGGTAAAAGTATCTTTCAGAACAGTCTGCAGCCTGGAGTTGTGGCTTCCTTCACAAAGAAGTGTTGCATAAAGACAGAAGAACACGTCTGACCTCACCTCCTGGGTCATCTTTAGTTTGATCTTTGGGATGATTCAGGCTCAAGTTTCTAGTTAGTTTTGGCCTTGGGCAGCTCATAAAGAGCCCGGCTTTGCTTTCAAAGTATCCAGATGCAGAAGAATTAACCAAGTCTGTTGTGCATATGCACTAGGTGCAGGTATAACCTAAGTCATAAGAATACCCATCCATGGTTTCTGGAAACTTTTTGTCACTTCACTCATACTCCTGGGGTGGAAGTGAAATAAATGACAAGAGAGAGTCCTTGGAGGAACAGGATTGAGATTACTCCCTGAAACCCTCGATTTCAAAGCAGGGACAACATTAGTAAAGAAGAGTCAGGCCCATGGTACCAAAACATTAAAAAATATATATATATGTATGTATGTATGTATTTCAATAGCTTTTGGGGGTACAAATGGTTTTTGGTTACAGGGATGAACTGTATAGTGGTGAAGTATGAAGGTGAGTAGTGTACATTGCACCTAATACGTAGTTTTTTTTTTTTCCTTCACCCTCGTCTCGCCCTCCTCATTCTGAGTCTCTAAAGTCAATACTCTGTATGCCTTTGCACAGCCATAGCTTAGCTCCCATGTATAAAGGAAGAGCACATGGTATTAAGACATTATTTAAAAACTTGGTCTGGGCCAAGTACCATGGCTCCTGCCTGTAATCCCAGCACTCTGGGAGGCCAGGTGGGAGGATCCTTTGAGTCCAGGAGTTGGAGGCTGCAGTGGGCTATGATCATGCCACTGCTTTCCAGCCTGGGTGACCCTGAGTGATACCCTGTCTGTAAAAATGAAAACGAAAGAAACAAAGCAACAACAAAATAACTTGGTCTGCCGCTAAATATGGACTTGCTGGAGTCACAATCTTGTTTAAACTAATTGGTGGGGTCCCAAACTCCATCAAGCTAAAGGAATTCAGACATTCAGACAGCGTGAGTATCCATCCCTTTGAATTAAAAGTGAAATCTTTGCTTTGCAACAAACAAACAAACAAAACTCAATCAAACCTATGTTGTAAGTAGTTTCAGCTGTGGGGTATGCTTTTATCAGAAGCAGAGAAAAATTAGTTTTTAAAATGCAAGCATTTTGTAAATGAGACTGAGAGATGTTTTGGTTTTCTTTCTGAGACGAAAGCATTTCTAAATAGTTGTCCTTGAACCTGGATTACATTTCTTCTTCCTTGAAACCCAACAGTTGACATTGATAAAGACAATATAAACAGGTTGCAATCTACTGCAAGGACATCACTCCCAACCTTGAATATATTTTAAGGGCCTTTGATCAAAGGAGGAGAAAGTAAGCAAACAATTCAATGTAATACCCACTACTTGGTTTATCCCAGTGGGCAGCCACAGTGAGCAACAATCTGATACCACTCTCTAACACACCTGTACTACCTCAGTGGCTGACAAGTTCAAATTAAGTCAATATGATTGCAGAAAATTAATTTTTCCAATTCTTGGCTGTTGTCACTTTCCCCTTCCATGAAAATTAATGCAAAAAATTCCTTTCAAGTTATTAATATGAAAGAATAGCCCAACTTTTATGACTGAAAGGCTTACCATCATATCTTTAAGAATAATGATACAACTTAAATATTGGGAGTTGTGCGGGAACCACTTCCCTTCATAAATGTGGCCTGAACAAGATGGTTAAAACACCAGTTAATCTTTATATTCAAGGCAAATGAAAGGAAAAGACTTGCAGATAAATTATTTTCTCTATAGCCAGAAGCAAAGTGTGTACAATAAAGCACATACTCCTCAAATAACAAGAATAAATCTATTTCATTTTTCCCCTTGCATACCATGCTTATTGAACTAGGGCCTTGTTTGACAAGCTCTCTGTTCTGATATAAACAGTGCAAAGATGAACACAGTTCTTCTTGCTCATGATTAATATATTTGGGGAATCAAGTCTGAATCACTTAGGTAAATCATTTCAGTATATTCATGGTAAGGACAAATTTTCACCCTCTTATCTGAAGTACAGTCTTTCACTTCTATTACCCTAAATAACTACAGGGACTTTTACCTCAAAGTTATTCCTAACAAGAGAAAATTTTCCAGTGATGTATTATCTTTTTAATCCCTAAAGGTAGAAGATAGAAAATATACATCTGGGATGTGAACAGGACATAGAAAATCTACTGACCAACCACGAAAAATGTTACAGGTCTGTGGTTCCAAGAAGCTGAGGGAATTGGGGGCATGCATGCCTGTTTAGATGAGAGAAGCAGGCCAACTGATAAATAAAACCTATGTTTGGAATACAGCTGAGTTCCCTTTTATAATATGTGGGGTCAGGGATAGGTTTTTCATTTTTTTAATTTTTATTTTTTTATTTTGGAAACAGGGTCTTGCTCTGTTGCCCAGGCTAGAGTAGAGTGGCATGATCATAGCTCACTGCAGCCTCCTGGGCTCAAGTGATCCTCCCACCTCACCCCTCTGGTAGCTGGGACTACAGCCACACACCACCCATGCTTGGCTAATTTTTTATAAGGAAATGGTCTCACTATGTTGCCCAGGCTGGACTTGAACTCCTGGCTTCAAGGGATCCTCCTGCCTTGGCCTACCAAAGTGCTGAGATATGGGTATGAGCCATTGTGCCTGGCCTAGGCTTAACTTTAGATATTTACTAGTTATAAAGGGAGAATTTGCTAAACAATCAGTATAAACAAGAAACCAGAATATTTACCTGTATCAAAGAACAAGGTGGAACCTGAGCCTCTTGAGCCAGCAACATGCAGAATTCAAAAGACTGAGCTTCTACATGGGAGCCACGGCTTAGGAAGAGTGAACATTTGCTTAGTACTTTACGGTTGCAAAGAGCTTCCCGCTAAGGCATCTTGTTTGATTCAGCTCCCATGTCAACCTTGGGAGAAAAGATTTTTTTTTAAAAAAGAACTAGGCTGGGAATGGTGGCTCATGGCTGCAATTTCAGCACTTTAAGAGGCTGAGGCAGGAGGATCACTTATGGCCAGGAGTTCGAGACCAGCCTGGGCAACATATTGAAACCCTGCCTCTACCAAAAATTAAAAAATTAACTGGTACGCACCTGTAGTCCCAGCTACTCAGGGGGGCTGAGGTGGGAGGATCACTTGAGCCTGGGAGGTTGAGGCTGCAGTTAGCCGTGATCATACCACTGTACTCTAGCCTGGGCGACAGAGCAAGACCCTGTCTCAAAAAATAAAATAAAAGAACTATATTCATTATACAGATGAAGAAACATAGCCATACATAACAGACCTAAGACAGGAACCCAGATCTTTGAAACCTAAATCCACTGTACAAACTTTTGTCCCGAAATAGCTCCACAGCAGGTCAGCCATCCTCTCTGAGTGTGTCTCCATTTGTAATGTGGGAATAACAGCATCTTACAACAGGGTTGTCATGGAGATAGGATGAGATAACTTATCTGATGGGTATCAGTTAAGATGCTTTAGGCTATAAAGTAAAAGAAAAATCCAGTTTAGCATGGTTTTAAAATAAAGCAATTTATTGGATCCTGGGCCTGAAGAGTTTACAGTGAAGGAGGGGGAATTTCAGAATTGGGTTGGTATAGAGGTAGCTGGTGAGCCAGGATGGGGCTTCATTTCTCAGGCAGTCTCCTGTCTCCGCCTTGCTCTGTGTATTGGCCTTGTGCCCGGGCTGGCTGTCTTCATGGCAGAGAGATGACTGTTGCAGCTCCTTGGCTGCATGACTTCTCCTCTACAGCACAGCAAAGAGGACGGCTTCCTTTCTCCCAACCATCTAGCCGAGTCCTGAGCTCTGCTGTATTGCATGAACAGCCCCACTGCAACAAGTAACTGGCATGGAACATGGCAAGGAGTGTGGCTGCTACCCCAGGGGATAGCAGAGGAATAGTTGCTGTACAGGCAGCCAGGATGACGGCCATGGTGTGTGAAACACACAGTACGGTCATGAAGCACACCAGCCCTTCGAAAGCACTCCAGGTGTCCCAGCATTTGATGCTATATTTCTGTCATCCTTTTTTTAAATATATGAAGCAGATTCTTTGGTCGGCAGCACTTATAAGCCTTATTAAATGTTAATGTTAATTATCTTACCAGGTAACATTTACTGAGAACTTACTGTGTGCCTGGCACTGCATTAAGCATTTTGTTAATTCTCAGTTAATCCTCACTCTGGCCATTGTGGTAGGAAGTATAATTGTTCCTATTTTTACAGATGAGGAAGCCGAGGCATAGAAAGGCCAAGAAATTGCCCAAAGTCATATAGAGAGTCAATTGAGGAATTGACACTAGTCTTGCAATCTGATTTAGAGATCGCTTTTTTTTTTTTTTTTTTGGAGACAGGAAATCTCATTCTGTCACCCAGGCTGGAGTGCATGGCATGATCTTGGCTCACTGCAGTCTCCACCTACCAGGTTCAAGTGATTCTCCTACCTCAGCCTCCCAAGTAGCTGGAACTACAGGCATGTGCCATCACACCTGGCTAATTTTTTGTATTTTTAGTAGAGACAGGGTTTTACCATATTGGCCAGGCTGGTCTTGAACTCCTGACCTCAAGTGATCTACCTGCCTCTGCCTGCCAAAGTGCTGGGATTACAGGCATGAGCCACCATGCCCAGTCTAGATCCCATTCTTAAATCACAATCTGGTCCATGTTTTTTTATAAAGCAGAACAGCATTTCACAAGAGATCCTGTAACTTATACTTTTCACTTTCTCCACTGGTCAGTTTAGAACATCATTCCATTACCCACGTCATATCATTAGTGTTGTACTTAGAAACTGTCTATTCCAGTGGGATGTTAATCCTGAGAATTACATCATCAAAGAAAAAAAATGATAGTCCCGTTTGAGGACATCAGTGTGGAAAACACAATCTACCTCTCTACCAGTAGATGCCAAGAGGGAAGGTTCCACACAACCTCTCCCCCTCTTCTCCCACATCATCTCACCACTGTCCCCATATCAGCTGCATTCACCCCCTTGATGTTCTGTGACCAGGAAAAATGTTTTGCCACCTTGCATTTACAGTTCCTCCTTTCCTTAAGGTCTCTGCTCAAAAATACTCTTATGAGAGAAGAAAGCCTCATCTCTCCTATGTATAGCACCGCCTTCTATCTCCTGTGCTGTGTTACTATGATTACTTTTTTGTACAGGATTTAGCTCCATTTGTCATTAGACCTATCACTGTTGATTGTCTCTTTGTATTCCCTCACTAGAAGGCAAATACTTTCACAGAGGGACTGAAGCCTTTTGTTCACTGGTAGGTCTCCAGCACTAGAATAGTGCCCGGCATATGCTTGGTGCTAATGTAGATCAAACAAATAAATGAATACTTTATCACATTTCTTAGAGATTTATAATATCCAGCATACCAAAAGCTCAAAGAATTCCTGCTCATTTAAAATGAGTGTTGCCCAAATCTGACCATTTAACCCTTTTGGTGAGGAAAAAAAAGAAAAAAAAAACCCTACTAACGTTACAAATAATTAAGGATCACTGGAAATCACTTTGGGAAACTCTGAACTGCCATCCTCCCATTTTACAAGTGAGGAACCCATGCATCTGAGGAGTCCGGGGTGCTTCCAGGCTACGCAGGGAACCAGTGGCCCTCAGGACAGAGCCCAGCTCTCCACTCCCTGTTCTGGATACATTGGCTCCATCCCCTCCCCAAGCTGCACTGATTGAAGATCAGTGGGGCTAATTATACTGGACACACAAATCAATAAACCCATCAGTGAGTATTAATGGGCCATCTATTCTGTGCCCAGCCATTGGCACCTGCATCATGACACCGTGAAAGCTCTGATGACACTTTTACGGGAGATACAATTTTTCAAGAGCTGCTGATTGATTCCTTGAAGACAGGGGTTCATGGATAGATACATTTTCCTGGACAGGTTTGGCTTCATTGATCCTTGCGACTTGCTCATCCCGTTCTTGCCATTCTATTTTTTATATTTTATTCCCATTTTCACCTCCTTGGTACAATTATTGACCGAATGGGACAAGACCTTCTTTGTGACCTATAGAAAATGCTCTACAGCATATATGGGGAAAAAAATGAAGTTGCTGTGTGGAGAGAGCTGGAGAGAATGCCAGGGACCATGGGCCCTTGCAGCTCAGTCCCTGGATTTTTCTTGAAAGGTAGCACCTCCCCAACATTACTTTCTCGCCTCCCACTCTACCACAATTGGACTTTGTCCCCTCTCCTCCAAAGCAGCTGCTCCTGTCAAAAGCACAATGTCTTCCTCCCTGCAAAAGCACTTCTCAGACTTTATCTTACTTGGCCATCCAGCAGCTCCAGACACAACTGGCCACTTCCTGGTCTTTGGAATGCTTCCCTTTCTTGGCTTCCGGAATACCTCACTGTCGTTGATTTCTTCTTACCTCACTGACCTTTCTCCAGTTCCCAGTAGTGGCTCCTACCCCTCTATATTCTCATCTCTAAATTTGGGAGTGCTTAGGGCTTGGTCCAGACACTCTCCTTTTCCCAGTCTAGGTGCTTTCCCAGGAAGACTGATGGGATCAATAGCTCTAAATATCATCTTATCAGCTGTTGACTTCCGAATCTGTATTTCCAGCTTTGTTCTCACTCCCACCACACACACCTCTCCAAAATCGTGTAACCAAATGACTACTTGCCTTTTTTGTTATGTTCCCTTGAACAATTACTTAATCTCCTCAGTTTCCTAAATGGAAAAAGGTGTAAGTACTAACCTCATAGGGTCGTTGTGAGGATTAAATGACTTAATCTATGGAAAGTGCCTAAACCAGTAAGCACGAAGCAAGGGACACTAACTGCAGTTACTCCACCTCTCCACTGAAATAGTTAATGGATATACCCAAACACAATTTTGGATTTCCCCACCCTGCACCCCACTCCAACCTCCAGGGTCTTAGTGTCTTGTCACTCGCATGTGGGACCCGTAATAACTCCAACAGGGATGACACAAGGTTCAAGAGGCCGAAGGAGAGACCTGGAGGCAGCCAATGAGACCTAGGGTTTTACCAGTGGGAAAGCTACGTACAGCGATGGCCCAGCAACAACAGTCAAGCTGGGCAGGAAAACTGCAACTGCTTAAGGGTGCAGTTCACATAGCATCCTCACTTAGCATCCTCCCCCTAACAACCTCCACCTGGCAACCTTCATTTAACCCAAAACAAAGGCCTCCATCCACTACACGGCCATGTTCTACAGGACAGGCTGGGAGTGCAGGTGTTCCTTATAGACAAGGAATGACTCTCCCGGTCGGCCACGTGCAGAACTCCGAACACACATTCAGGTGTGTCTGCCATACAGGGTCATCCTCGGGGTATGTGTAAGTTAAATTATTGCTATCAGATGTGTCTATCAGACAGTCACCATTGTCATAACAACCACAAACTAAAAATCTCAAATAATTAGAAAGGTTCAAGAGCCATCGCTTGTGAAGAACATCTCAGGGTGGGGGTGACAGTCAGCCCTGTTCACCCATCATTGCATCCAGCAAGGGTCCTGTGCCTCTTCGGGCTCTAGTGGGATGAGGCATAAATGCTACAACTCAGTGAACCCAAACCCCTTGTTCCCCCAGACCCAGGAAATGTAAACCTCCCACCTTGCATAGTCTCCCCTATTTAGGTAGCTCAGTCCTTTGCCAGCCAGAGCTTGGATTTTCCTCCTCTAAAAGATTTGTTTTGTTAACCAATCCTCTGGGACAAGGGAAACTTGAGGTTCCATGTTACAAAGACCTGCTTGTCCTCTTCAGAGAAGGCGAGGGAGAAAAAGTTTGTTCTTCTGGGCTAAGCCTAAGGGAAAATAAGCTGGTGAATTTCTCACTTTATTTTCAGATATTCTTGCCAAGAAGGAAGGCCCAACTATTAAGGGGTCAGGAGGGAAGCAGGGTTTAGGAGGATTGATCAGGAAGGGTTTTTGGAGGGCTTGGACATTCTTGCCCTCTCTGTCGACAAAGGAAGTCGAGATCGTGTGACCAGGACAGTGAGCTGTGAGCACATTCTCTGTCTGCCAAGACATAGACACCTCCCAAGCCTTCTCTAGGAGGGCAGAGAGGAGTCTCCAAGCCTGTTAGATCCACCAGTTAAATAAATAGGACACAGTTCCTCCACAAGGACCCCTGACCGGTGAGGTTCAAGTGTCTCTGGCTGGACTGGATGTGGTTACAGCTGAGTTGACTTGTGGCCCGTGCCCTGCACGCCCCGTATCAGCCTCAGGTGGAACTCTGCAGGTGTCCACTGCAGGACCACTGCAGGAGTTTGTGCTCGGTCCACCCACCCCAGTCTCCCGCTCTGCTTTCTAGCACCTTCTTGTGGCCCTGAACCTCCAAGAGTCACCTGTCCCAACACCTTTGCACAACCTGTTCTTTCAGACTGTGATGCAACCCTGGAAGTTCCTGAATATACTAACCCACCTTCCTATGTGTATTCAGCCATTTATTGGAGACCACCAATGTGGCGGCTGCTGTGCTAAGCATTGGTGGAAAGTCATTTCTGCACACACATTTGATGCCCTCAAGATGCTCACCATCTGGAGCCCGGGCCTTCAACCTTAGCTGCACATTGCAATCACCTGGAATCATCAGGGAGAACTTCTGATACCTGAGTCTCACCCCTAGAGAGTGATTTCATTGGTCTGACATGTGGCCAGGATATGGGGAGTTTAAAAAGCTTCCAGCTGATTCTAGTGGGAAGAGCTGAGAACCACTGATGCAGAGGTCAGATACGTGAGCAGTTAGAATAGGAGGCGAAAGTGCTGAGAGGTGTCCCAGGGGACACTGCAGAGGGTCCTCCCCGAGCCCAGGTGGAGGAAGGAGGTCAGGGAGGCTTCCTAGGGGAGGTGACCGCTGGGCTGTTTCAAAGGATGAGTAGAAGTGTATTAAGTAACCCAGGATGGGGTTATTGTTGGGGAGAGAGAATGAACTGTAGAAGGAGGAAGGAAAAATGTAGGTAGTTAGGTAGGTAGGTAGGTGGGTGGAAAGTGAATTGGACACTGTGCAATATGAGAGTTCAAAGGTTCTGAGTGGTAAGATAAGGAGCTGGAGAGGTCAGTAGGGGCAAAAGCATGTAGAGCCTTGTATGACTTTAACATGAAGGCAATAGGGAGCTGTCATGCCAAACCCCTATCAACTCCAGTGGGAGTGGCACCATGTTCATGAGATGAAAGAAAAGACCCAGACCTGGGGTTTTATTAGGGGCTTAACATCCAGGGGAGAGAGTCCAGTGGTAGCAGCCTGGACAGGGGAGCTGCAACTGCTTGCAAAAGGCATGCAAGTTTATATAGCATTTTTACTTGGCACCCTTTCCCTAACACTTAAGCCAAAACAAAGGGCCTCGATCCCCTGTACACCCTGTGTTCCACAAAAAGGAATAGGGGTTTAGATGTTCCTCATAGAGAAGGAACGAATCTCTGGGTTGGCCACTCTTGGGTTCCCTAGCTCACAACACACACTCAGGTGACTCAGCCATAAAGGGTCATTCTCATGGTATGCTTGTTATTGTTCTCAGGTGCATTTACCCTAAGGGAGCCATTGAGGGATTGTAAGGTGCGGTGGTAGAGCGGGATGAGATATGGATTTTGGAGCCATCTCAGGCAGCTGTGTAGAGGATGGATTGCCTGGGTAGGAGGGGAGGGAGTGATGGGAATCTGTTAACATTAATAGATCCTCTAGCACTTGTATCCCTCTACAAATACCTCATAATAAATGGATACCATTTTACCCCGGTGTATGGTAGGCAGTCACAGTCACACCTGACAGCAATAGCAATCACTGCCTCAGAATGACCCTTTATGGCAGACTCACCTGCATGTGTGTTCAGAGTTCTTAGCATGGCCAACCTGGAGATCCGTTCCTCATCTATGAGGAACATCTGAGCCCCCGGCCTGTCCAGCAGAACACGGGCTGTGCAGGGGATTGAGGCCCTTTGTTTTGGGTTAAATGAAATTTGCGAGGTGGAGGTGTTAGGTGGAGGGTGCTAAGTGAGGGTGCTATATAAACTGCCTGCTTTTTGCAAGCAGTTGCAGTTTTCCTGCTCAGCCCACCACCACGGACCCTCCCTGTAAGGTTTCCCCTGATGAAACCCCAGATCTTGTTTATGGGCTCTGGGTCTCTTTCTTGGCCTCTGGAGCCTGGTGCCATCCCTGTTGGAGTTAGTAGGGGTCTGACATGACACCAAGGCATAGCCTGGGCCATATACAGAGGTCAGCCATTTATATGCATCATCCCTATGAGGTTGTCATCATCCCCATTTAATGGATGGACAATCCAAGTTAAAGAACTTGCCTGAGACTCACAGGGCTAGTGAGGTGACTGAGTGGACCCCAACTCAGCAAAGCCAGCACTCCTAAACTTTAAGCATTTGTCCCTTCCCACTGCAGACTGCATAGTGTCCTAAGCGCTGCTAGCATCACTCAGGGCTCAGCTAATGTTTGCATTTTAATGAGGGCCTTCTCTTACCTTAAAGCAATGACTTTTCCTAATTGATCCAGATGTCTGATGCCCCAGTGGCACAATCTAAGGATATAAAACCGACTTGCCCCCAGTAAATCATTCTGACTTGCCCAGAAAATTCAAAGGCTTTTAGGCACATGTGTTCATCAGTTCTAAACTCAAGGCAGATCACCAGGACAAGATGGAAGGACTTGAGCTAGGTTACCACATCTCCTGGTCCTAAATCACAAGGGAGAGCAGCTTATTAGAGATGCAGATGCTCCAGGCCTGTTGAATTAGGACCTCTGGGTCTGGCATCTGGGAATCCACACCGCATAAGCGCCCCCTAATAACAGCTTAGAGCAGACAGCTGCTTCAGCTCCTGTGTCTTCAGGAGTGGGGGGGTCTCCTGAAATAATTGTTCCTTCCCCTTCCTTCTGCAGATCATCTTAAAGGATCCCGTGTGCACATGATTTTTGAAGCCCAACATCTCTCTTAACCACCTGCAAATCTGCAGGTCTTGGTACACAGCCTGTTTCCCATGACTGCTCCTGTCCAGCAGATCAAGTGACACGTGCAGTCCCAGGTAGAAGCAATGGGGGAGTGCAAAGCAGATGATCAAGAAGTGAGGGGTGGGGCGAAGGTAATTTGTAGCTGACAGGTAGGTGAGCCTTTCTCCTTTAGCCAAAATGGACTACAGCTTGAGTCTGGCCTAATTTCCTTACTCAAGTGCTTAAGGGCAAAAATCTGTGTCTGCAGGGCTCAAGGTTGCTCTCGCGTGGTAATTGCATGGTGGGATGCCCTAATGAAGGGGTGATCAGCAAAGCCTCTGAGGATTGCTTAGGTTTTAGCAACCTGGTCGCAGAAGGATTTGCTTTGAAAACTAGAATAAGTTGCCTGCCTCAGCAGAAAAGACTTTTATGTAGCAAAGCTAACAAGGAAAACATTGTCTGCAACCGACCCACCAAATACCCAGCCATATGCCCCTGGTGACTTGCCTTTAAGAAATGAGATGCTTTGATCCCCAGCCAATTCCTGCTGCTCTAAACTTGAATGGAGTTTTGCTGGCCAAGCTCTTCATTCAGGATTGTAATTTAGTACAGTGAGGATGAAACAGTTCCTTAGAACTCACTGAGATACTAAAGTCTCCAGAATAAGGGCAGAGGAGTGGCCTTTGTCCTAGAGATAGGCAATGACCTGCTCAGTCCTGTCCACTTACGTGCAGATCTGCCTAGACATCTCACAGTGCCAACCTGTTGCCTCTCCAACTGGCCACAGTCCACAACTTCCTTCTTTCTGGGAAAGGCCCAAGGAGTGGTTAATGGATCTTTTTCATCTTAAACCTGAAAAAGCGAATCAAATGTTCAAAGACCAAAACGTGTAATTACAAGTTTGATCTAAGGTAAGACTCAAGCAAGAGAAACGACTCCCTGGAATAAGTATTGGGAGAGATTTCCTTGCAGAGCATTAGGGGAGGGCAGGTTCCCATGTTTGGGGTGGAATAATGACTTTTTGTTATTTTTAAGGATCTTAAAATATTTTATTAACCTCATAGTGTCAGGCCTCTGTGCCCAAGCCAAGCCATCGCATCCCCTGTGACTTGCATGTATACGCCCAGATGGCCTGAAGTAACTGAAGAATCACAAAAGAAGTGAATATGCCCTGCCCCGCCTTAACTGATGACATTCCACCACAAAAGAAGTGTAAATGGCCGGTCCTTGCCTTAACTGATGATATTCCACCACAAAAGAAGTGAAAATGGCCAGTCCTTGCTTTAAGTGATGACATTACCTTGTGAAAGTCCTTTTCCTGGCTCATCCTGGCTCAAAAGCTCCCCCACTGAGCACCTTGCGACCCCCACTCTGCCCGCCAGAGAACAACTCCCCTTTGACTGTCATTTTCCTTTATCTACCCAAATCCTATAAAACGGCCCCACCCTTATCTCCCTTCGCTGACTCCCTTTTCGGACTCAGCCCGCCTGCACCCAGGTGATTAAAAGCTTTTATTGCTCACACAAAGCCTGTTTGGTGGTCTCTTCACACAGACGCGCATGAAACATAGTGCCTGACCTCTGTCACCAAGTGAGTAGTCTGTGTTTTGATTCCCAAGCCTAATTCAAACAGGTAAACTTACTAAAATTACATTTGGTCATCACTACAGTGTTTTCTCTAACCACTTCCCAAATTCGCCCTTTTTATTAGTCATACAGTAACCTGTATAATACATAGCTTATGACTTGTCTTTTTGGTCCTATGAGTGGCCATACCTGTCCCCGAGGAAGGAAGATACATAGTTAGGTGGAATGTTTGGTTCAGTGTCCACCTGATTGTTCAGCCTATGGATAGATCGAGGCCTAAGTGTTCAAGCCACTTCCTAAATGGTCTAGGGCAGTTCCCATGGCAACACCACCTCATTGACATAACCGGGTTCTCATTTACCAGCCTACAATCCAGGTGAGCTTTCCTGCCACCAGGTGGAGACTGACTCAAATCTATAAACTGGGATATTCTCTGCATATCCAAGAGGCAGATCATTTGAGAGGGAAAAAGCACACAAAGATAGGCTAGTGATTCCCAAACATGACTGCTCAGAGGTACCAAAGGGGCACTTGAAATATACAGATGGCTGCCTGTAGATGACATTAAAATTATTGTCTTGCTGAATGTGATCATTGCATTTGTGATGCAGAGTGATTTGCTTTAGAATATTCAGGCACGAATAAAAAGAGGGTTAGTCCCCATGGAAAATAATGTCATATGCAAATTAGGTAATTAGAGAGCATTTGCTGTTTCTAAAGATGTGGGCAGGGCTTAGGGAAATCAAAAAAGGGTGAAATAAGCAACACTAGGGAAACCACAATTCTTAGACCTGAAGTGTCAAGGGGCGGGAATCGTTAAGACGCTATGGACAGATGCAGGCTGCCAGGGAAGGCTGGCTGCCTTCAGCTGTGCCCTGGGGTGGAGGGACATAGCCATTGCCAACGCCCAAGGAAGGGGGAGCCAGAGAAATGCATGGCCCAACCTTGCTCTCCTCCTAATTTCCAGTCCCTGCTGGAGACAAAAGGCAAGGGAACCTGGTGAAAACAGTTGTTGAGTTCATCCTTCCTGAGGCTCAGAGCAGGGTATAGTGGACCTGCTCTGGGGGTGGCGAATGAAGAACAGCCTGCATAGGATAGATCAAACAAATACAACAAAGCCTTGGTGACTATTGAAGCTGGCCAACGTATACTTAACGGGGCCATTGCCTTTCTTAGTATTGAGTCTATTTGTACTTTTTCATCATTAAGTTAAAAGCAATGCAGATTCCCAGGCCTGACTCCAGAACTAGCCAATCTGAATCTTTATGACATGGAGCCCAAGAATCTGGGTTTTTTAAAAAAGATCCTCAGGTTTTAGCCTCTCATCTAATCCAAGTTTTTTTTTTAACAGCAAACTCTGTAAAAAGAAAAATTGAGTCCCTGTAGAAGTGACTTGTTCGAAAATCACAGAGTCAGCGGTAGAGATTGGACAGAATGGAAGAAACCAGTCCCAGAAGAGTTCTTAGTAACAACGTCAGAGGCAGCAAGAATACTATGGCTATTATAGCCACGTTCTGAGCGCTCACTGTAAAGAGTTTAAAACAAGGCCCAGTGCATAAAACTACTCAACAAATCATAGCTGTTATTCCTACAAGTTGTTTTAAGTCTGGACAAATTTCTGAGGTCGCTATTTCCTTTTTTCTTCCGTTTCAAACAGATGAAGAAACTGAAATCTAGATAAGCTAAGCCCCTTCCTGGGTGTCACTCTAGTTACTAGGTTTTGGACACAAGCCTGTACAATTCCAAAGCCCGAGCTGTTAATGTGGTTTGTAGGAGAACACACTCTCTTCTGAAGTCTAGACTATGTTGGTAGCACCATCTTCACTTTGCTTCTCCAAGTCCCTCTTTGGGCTTGTGGGTCTGTAGTATTATTGCATCACGCATCACTTTTCCTACACAATTGGAGCAGCAGTGAGACTTTTCTAAGTTCCTCGAGGGCAGGGACTGAGCCTTCATAGAGCTAGCCAGCCTCAGCATCCTGCAGTGCCTTGCACCCAGTAAACACCTAAGGGACGTTTTTTTGTTGACTAAATGAAACAAAGTAAAGTCAACCCTTAAACATGCACAGTAGGGCCAGGCATAAAGGCTAATGCCTGTAATCCCAGCACTCTGGGGAGCTGAGGTGGGAGCATTGCTTGAGGCCAGGAGTTTGAAACCAACCTGGGCAGCAGCATAGCAAGATCCCATATCTCCAAAAAATAAAAGTATAATTAAAAAAGAATAGCAATCCACCCATTTGCCATGCTTCCATTTTGTACCTTGGTAATCAAAGCTAATAGATAGTCAAAGTCCTTGTCAGGCCTGGTAAATTATCAAAGTTCTTGTTAGGCCTCGAAACAATTTTGAAATCCTCAACTGAGGATGTCATTCAGCCACAATTTATGAGTTGGACTGGGCTTGTGAGATAAATTTTATCGTGCTGCCTCTTTGTAGCAGGCTTTTTAAAAGTTGTTACCCTTCATCCAAGAATGTTATTGTTTGTTGAAAATAAGATCACAGATCTCAGATTCAGAAGAACCTAATCCAGGCCCTATGTGTAAATGTTGGCTGAGTGCCTTTGAACAAATTTCCTACCTTCTCTGAGTTTGAAGCCCTTGGCTGTAGATTGGGAATGCCAACATCCATTCATCATGGTTCTTACAAGAATTAAAGGAGAAAGCATTTGCAACAATACCTGATACAATCCGAAGCATCATATAAATATATGTTTGTTATCAAAAACAATAATGCCACTGGCCTTATGGGAGTAGATGCTAGTTATTCTCTGTGATACTAACTTTATAAATGTAGTGGTGGCATCCTGGGTAGCCCTAAGTCTTTCTTATTAACCTCTTGTTGATTTATCATCCATAAAGGTAGGAAAATGTTCTCTGAGCCTATTTATTTTATACTTTCTATGATCCATTTGCCCCGTCCGGGAGGGAGGTGGGGGGATCAGCCCCCCGCCCGGCCAGCCGCCCGGTCCGGGAGGTGAGGGGCGCCTCTGCCCGGCCGCACCTACTGGGAAGTGAGGAGCCCCTCTGCCCGGCCACCACCCCGTCTGGGAGGTGTACCCAACAGCTCATTGAGAACAGGCCATGATGACAATGGCGTTTTTGTGGAATAGAAAGGGGGGAAAGGCGGGGAAAGGATTGAGAAATCGGATGGTTGCCATGTCTGTGTAGAAAGAGGTAGACACGGGAGACTTTTCATTTTGTTCTGTACTAAGAAAAATTCTTCTGCCTTGTGATCCTGTTGATCGGTGACCCTACCCGCAACCCTGTGCTCTCTGAAACATGTGCTGTGTCCACTCAGGGTTAAATGGATTAAGGGTGGTGCAAGATGTGCTTTGTTAAACAGATGCTTGAAGGCAGCATGCTCCTTAAGAGTCATCACCACTCCCTAATCTCAAGTACCCAGGGACACAAACACTGCGGAAGGCCGCAGGGTCCTCTGCATAGGAAAACCAGAGACCTTTGTTCACTTGTTTATCTGCTGACCCTCCCTCCACTATTGTCCTATGACCCTGCCAAATCCCCCTCTGTGAGAAACACCCAAGAATGATTAAAAAAAAAAAAAAAAAAAAAAAGAAATATGAGGTCCATAAGTTTACTGTCTTTTGCATGAAGTAGATTCTCCTTTTATCTGCTAAAACAATCCCCTAGTTAGAGCAAATTCTCCTGCTGTTTCAGAACTTCTTGCTTATATATGGTAACTACAATCCTTTATCTAAAACTCTTGGCCAGGCTGGGCACAGTGGCTCACACCTGTAATCCCAGCACTTTGGGAGGCTGGGACGGGCGGATCACCTGAGGTCAGGGGTTCGAGACCAGGCTGGCCAACATGGTGAAACCTTCTCTCTACTAAAAATACAAAAATGAGCCGGGTGTGGTGGCGGGCACCTGTAGTCCCAGCTTCTCAGTAGGCTGAGGCAGGAGAATTGCTTGAACCCGGGAGGCGGAGGTTGCAGCGAGCCGAGATTTCGCCACTGCACTCTAGCCCGGGCAACAGAGTGAGAGTTCATCTCAAAAAACAAACAAACAAACAAACAAACAAACAAAAACACTCGGGCCAGATGTGTTATGAAATTTAGGATTTTTTGAATGTTAGAAAGGCAATACTCTATGTATGCCATTTATTATTTAACACCGATCATTGAACTCATTAATCCTTCTACACAGGAAAACATTAATATTCACATTAAGTGGACTAAATAGATTAAGTTACATTATGCCAGACAGAGTCGGGATGAATGAGTTTAGTTTAGGCTCAGGTTTGGTCATCAAATGAATCACCAAAAAAAAAAAAAAATTTGTTTTCAGAGCTTTCTGGATTTCAGAATTTCAGATAAGGGAATGTAGGTCTCGGCTTCTGTATTTCACAGGGAGGAGTAGTCCGAGTAGGTGTCTGCCAACAAGGATAAAATTAGCCAGGATCCCAACAGGCAGAAGTTCAAGTGCACAAAAAGCAACCTCCTCTTTTCAGTAACTATGCATTCCTTCCTCCTCTGCATTCCTGCATGCTGCTGCCAGTGCTGATGTGCTAGAACATAGCTTGCATCATGTCACTCCCTGACTCAACACCCTTCCATGGCTCGCTAACATTCAGCCCCTTAGCCTGACACACAAGACCTTTAGTGATCTAACCTCTGACTGACTGACTTTAAGTCTCATCTCTTGGTCTTCCTCCAGAAATCACCTGTAATTGGCAGATCCTCGACACTGGACACTTGCAGCGCTTGGGCCAGCTCTGCCTGGCATGTTCTTGTCCTCCCCTTCATCTTGCTGAAATTGCATTCAACTACCAACAGGTGGCTCTGAGGTTAACCCTTTGCTGACACCCACACTTCCCTGCACACAGCTGGGCATATGGTTCTGTGAGCTCTAATCCAGAAGGCAGCTGCTCTCCCCCAAACCAGGCTCCACCAGCGAGCGGACGCTATAACTCTGTATCACCAGTACCCTGCACCATGCACATTGTAGGCACTCAAAACACACAGAGATGATCAGACCACCTGCTAAAGGGTATTATCTCCTACTTAATACTCCTTAGCAGCTTCCAGTGCACTTAGAATAAAGCCCCACATCTTAACAAGGCCCGGGTTCATCAGGTCTCTGCCTACCTTGCCCTGTTTTATCTCTCAGTACCTCATCTTCCCATCCATGGTCCAGCTACATTAGCCTGTTTAGTTTATGGGGAGACCTACGTCCCTCCCCCTTTCACATGGTTAGCCCCTCCTCATCCTATATCTTTCAACATAGGCATCACTCCCTGGGAGAATGGCGTTCCTTTGTTTCATGTGATAGAGGGATCCGACTCCCCACACAATATCCTTTCTGCCTTTTGTCCTTGGTTTTAGAATCATGATTTTATTTTAGGGTGACATGAGCCCAGTTAAAGTCTATTATTTCCAGCCTCTCTTGCAGATAGGTGGCCATGTAACAGGGTTCTGATGAGGACATGTAAGTGGAATTTGATTGGTTAATACTCACAGGAAAGCTCTTTAAAGGGGTATAGCGTTTTGTTCTTCAGCCTTCCTGGAATATGAACCTGATGCCTGGAGCTCCTGTGGCCATCTAGCACCATGAGATATGCTAAAAATTATGGGCCAGAGGACCGAAGGGGCCTGAGTTCCTGATGACTGTAGAGTCGCTGTACCAGCCATCTCTGAATTTTATTTATGAGAGAGAAAAACTGCTAATATTTAAACCACTGTGATTCTTAAAAATGGAAAAAAATCCTGCAAATCTAATCCTACCATTATGTTATTATCTGAATTTGTAATTAAACATTTATTTGAAGGATTATTTGGTTACTGTCTCTCTCCCAGTAGACAGATTGTTAATAGCCTGGAGGATAGGCGCAATATGGATTTTTGCTTACACTGCGACATGGCCAGTGTGTAGTAGCTACTGACCAATGAAACAAATGCCATCTTATTTTATATCAGCTCTGGAAGCTTGCCACCAGGTCCTTCTGTTTAGATCTCCAAGCTTGCATGTATTAGTCTGTTCTCATGCTGCTAATAAAGCCATACCTGAGTCTGGGTAATTTCTAAAGGAAAGAGATTTAATTGACTCACAGTTCCACATGGCTGGGGAGGCCTCACAATCATAGCGGAAAGCAAAGGGGAAGCAGGACGTGTCTTACATGGCAGCAGGCAAAAGAGTTTGTGTAGGGGAACTCTCATGTATAAAACCATCAGATCTTGTGAAACTTATTCACGACCACGGGAACAGCATGAAGGAACCACCCGGTGATTCAATTATCTTCACCTGGCCCCACCCTTGACCTGTGGGGAGTATTACAATTCAAGGTGAGATTTGGGAGAGGATAGAGCCAAACTATATCATTGCAGTTTGCACTGCATATAGAAATGATGACTCTCAGACACTTGAGGTAAGAAAAAGAATTCCTACAAATAAAGATTCTTCCGTGCATCTCTCTTCTTTCCCAAGTGTCTGCTGCTCAGGAAAGTTCCAGCTGGCACAGTTCCATCTCTCTTTTATCATGCTCCTCTTGTGCCATTATTCTCTCGTTCTTTCTGATCTAACGAGTCTGAACTGCTTATCCTGTAACGTACCATGCTTTTCCCTTTCTCCCGGTCTGTGCATGTGCTGTTCCTTCCTGGAACTCATTTTACCTCTCTAGTGCCTAGTCATCCACAGGTCTCCGTTTGATGGCGCCTCCTCCAGGAAGCCTTTCCAGTCCCTGTAAGCCCAGGCCCTTCCCTACAGTGCTCCCGGGCCTCCCCACTCTCCATTACAGCATTTACAACACTGTATTATGTCCTCTATCCTCTGTATTGTGAGTTGAATTGTATTCTCCAACAAGATACGTTGAAGTCCTAACCCCCGAACCTGTAAATGTGATCTTACCTGGAAATAGGGTCTTTGTAGATGTAATCAAGTTATGATGAGGTCATTAGGGTGGGCCCTGATCCGATACAAAGTGTGTCCTTTTGAGAAGAGGAAAATCTGCATATAGACAGACACGGAGGGAAAACGCCGTGTAAAGACGGAGGCAGAGATTGGAGTGACGCATCTAGGAATCAAGGCATATCAAGGACTGCTGGTTCCTACCAGAAACTAGGAAAATGCACAGAGCACATTCTCCTCCAGAGGGAATGAACCTGCCAATGCCGTGATTTTGGACTTGTAGCTATTAGTGTGAGAGAATAAATTTCTATTGTTTTAAGCCACCCAATTTGTGGTACTGTGTTATGGCAGCCCGAGTAAATGAATGCACCCTATAAGGCTAAAAACTGCAGGGATGGCGATGAGGCTGCTCTTGTCATGGGAAGCCCTGTATCCATCTCTTCTCATTTCTAAGCATCCGATCTTGGCCATGATTATCAGCATCACTGATGGTTTTGCCTGGGTACCATGTAGGCCTTTGACCTATTATTGCCATCTCTAGGTGACCTCATGAGAGACACTTTTCCACTGGGGCCCCTGAGTGTCTTTGTCCTCCCAGCTGTTCCTCCCACCCACTCCACAGCACAAGACCTAAACCTCTGACTGCATCTCCCCACTCCTCTTGGTAAGATCCATACTGTTGAAACAGCGACCGCTAAACCACCAGGACAATTCCTTTTTCTTCTAGAATCCTCCTTGACTCTTCCAGAAACTTAAACATTGGCTGACTATTCCTGCCAAAGCCCCATAAAACCATCAGCATGTGCTCCTGGCATCTCTTCGGAGCCTTCTTAAGAGTACACAGTATTGTGGTTTGAATTGTGTCCCCCAAAAACCTATGTTCAAGTCCCAACCCTGGTACCTGTGAACATGCTCTAATTTGGAATTAGGGTCTTTGCAGATGCAATCAACTTATGATGAATTTATAATGAATTAGGGTGAGTCCTTAATCCAACATGATTGGAGTCTTCATGAGAGGAGCAGAGGAACCGAGACAGACACACAGATGAGGAGGCGGCCATGTGAAAACACGGATGCCCAGGAGGAAGAGAAACACGTGATCACAGAGGCAGCTATGGGAGTCATGCAGCTACGAACCAAGAAACACCACCAATTATAGCAACCAGGAGCTAGGAAGAGAGGAAGTGGCCCTGCTGACCCCTTGATTTTAGACTCCTAGTCTCCAGCCTTGAGAGAGAATACATTTCTGTTCCTTTAGGCCACTCAATTTGTGAGACTTTGTTATGGCAGTCCTATGAGACTGAATATACAAATAGACCATGGCCAGACAACATATAAAGCCGACCTCTGATCCACAACCTGAAGCAACCAGCCCAGGAAGCCAATCTACTGCCTACAGCAACTAGTCCAGAAAGTTAGCCTCCTGTCTGTAGTAACCAGCCCAGGATGCCACACAACAACCGCTGTAGCAATCAGCCCCAAGTGGCCAGGATATCATCAGTAACTGACAGCTTCCCCAACTTGTGTCCCCATGTTCAACTTAGGCCCAATCAGAGGAAGCCAAAGATGCACGCTAGCCCATCACATAGGATTGCCCCACTTCTCGTTAGCCCACCTCCCATGCCAACAACCTGAATCAGGGCTGAAATCTTCTCCTTCTTCCCTTTACAAAGCTTTCTGGCTCCTCTGCCTGCTTTTGCGTCTCTGTCAAACACACATGATGGTGGCTGACTCCCTTCCTGTAGCAAGCTCGGGTTGGTCTCATTTGGGTGGAAGGCAACTAATGAGAATTGGGAAATGAATACACCCGCATTTTTAAATAAAGTCTTAGACTAACAGTGTCCTGGTTCCTTCTCATCCACACCTTTCTCTGACGTCATTTTAGGCAGTTTTAGAGAGGTGAGCTTATTTTGAACGTATTTTGTGACTCATTAAATATCTCATTCACCATAATCTCCCCAGTCTCTGGCTGAATGCCAAGCAGATAGCAAGTGCTCAATTAATACCTTGTTTAATGGAATTGATGGTTCTCTTTTACCTGCCTGGGTAGAGATCACCTGGCCAGAGCATCATACTTCACAGGGGAAAGCTGTTGTACAGAACAGGCACGGCCTCATGCTTATTTAATACCCTAATAAAGGAGCTTTCCCACTAGATAATGTGATCCGGAGTGGACGGTTAATCACAGCTGGTCAATATTTATGAGGCCAGAAACCCAGCTGTGCCGTATGAGTTATTTACAAGCCAATTCTGGAGCCCATAAGCCTGCCTGTGAGACCCACCTGTTCCTAGGAACTGGAGCTAGTGAGACCGCCAAGGCGTGAAGTAGAGACCCTGTCCTCATCCCAGCAATTCAAATGACAACTCAGATGCCCCCCTGCTATCTTCCTGGAGCAGTAGGCATTTCTTTTGAATAAAAAGCTAAGCTTTGGCTTTTCTTCACTGCAAGCTTCAACACTCCCTTTACCAACCCCCTCCAGGTAATCACAGCAAAAACAGAAAAATCAGACAAGCACCAGGTACCCTAAGGCACTGGTTTTTCAACCTGGCTGTGCATTAGAAGCACCTGGGGGTGCTTGTTGATACTGCAAGTACTAGAGTCTCACCTAGCCCTGCAAGTGGGGCTGGGTACTGGGGCTTTTAAACATGCTGGGTGCCTGAGATTTGGGGTACCTGAAACCAATTTACAGATTCACTCTGAGAACTGCTGCTTCTAAGGCCCGTGGATTTAAAAGCAAAATGCCACACATGTGGGCATTCAGACTAATTGTGGAGATTCTTCAGATCTTGAAATAAGACATATCTGGTCTATGTGAGAAGCAGCATGGAATCATAAAAAAGCTCAGGCTTTGGGGTCTGAGAGATGCCCTGCCTGGTTCTGCATCTTCCCAGCTGTGTGGCTTTAGTTGTGCTGAACCCCTCTTAACCTCAGCGGATTCAAGACGCTGAAGACAGAGCCGGCAAAGGAGACATGAGATTTTATTTGGGGCTTCCGTACAGGGGAGAGTCCAGCAGCAGCGGGCTGGGCAGGAGAACCGCAACCCCCTGCACACAACATGCAGTTTATGCAGTATTTTCACTTAACACCCTTCCCCTAACGACCTCCACTTGGCAACCTTCATTTGACCCCAAACTCAGGGCCTCGATCCCCTGTACGGCCTGTGTGCCACAGGACAGGCCAGGGGCTCAGATGTTTATAGATCAGGAATGATATCTGGGCTGGTCACCCCCGGATTCCCTAGTTCGGAACACACATTCAGGAGCATCTGCCATACAGGGTCAGTCTAAGGGTGTGATGAAGCTATTGCTATTAGGTGTGTTTACCCCACAGCACATCATTTGCACTCTCTGAACCTGTGTCTTTACCATAAAAGTGGATAATAAAGGTTATTGGGAGGATTCATGAGTTTAGCACAAGGAAGAGGGAAAATATAGCAAGCACCTACCTGTTCCCAGCAATGTACCAGACAACGGAGATAAAGTGGTACATAAGAAACAGCCCTTGCCCTCTTAGAGCTTGTAGCCTAGTCTAAGGGACAGACATGAAATAATTAAAACAAACAGGTCATTGCACGTGTGATAAACTCAGCGAAAGAAAAGCATAGCATATTACCGGAGCGTGAAACTGATGACCGTGAGCTCCTCTGAGGGTCGGTGATAGGACATCCAATTAGAGAGCTGCAGAGGAGGAGGAGTACCAGGCCATGGAAGGGGTTGGAGGCTAGAAGGGGCTTTCCAGGCAGAGGGAGCAGAGTTTTCAAAAGTCCTGTGGCAGGATTGAGCGGTCAGGAAGCTAAAAGGTATTCTAGAAAACCCTTTGCGAATAAAGTTTAAAGCTTCCCCAATTTAAACAGAAATGGAGCCCTGCCTAAATGTAAAAGGCTACTAAGTAGAACTTGCTTATTGTGGCAGACAAGCTGTGGGGTTCTGGCCAGTTGTCTGCATCCGTCTCTGAGAATTCTTTTCCTTCAGCCACGGGGGAAGGAAGGCCCCTTCAGCCTAATGGGACCTGCGTAAGCCCACCCCTCTTCTGCAGCTGTTCGGCCAGGAGCGAGCTTTGGTTGGCTTCTTGCCGCTTAAATATTTCTCTCTCTCTCTCTGAATCAAGAAACAGAGATGAGAGAGTTGGCCGTTTAGTTACTTTAATGGCGCAACTTTAGAATGTCTAGACTTCTGCTTCAGAGAGATGCCTGGCTCCTACCTTCTGATAAGGCTGGCAGGTGAGCATTTCCTTAAATTCCACTCAAGTAGCCAATGTGAGTAGGTTATCATTCTTTATAACTAAACAACCTCTAGATCCTTCCACCTCCACCTCCACCTGGGGTTCTACAAGGCCCCATGGGCTAGGAAAGCCCGGCATTCATCAGGTTAAATCCCACCAGATTTGTATCTCTTCTGGTCCTGGTCATTTCCGTTGCTGACCCCCTGGAAGAATGAGTTCCTGTGAATGGCTTCACGGTCGTGGCTCTCAGGTAATTCCCATCAGATGGTGGCTGGCAGGTGCGACAAGTCGCTGTGGAGCCGCACACTGGGATTGCTGAAGCTCTACTCACAGTGTCCCGACCTAGCAGAACATTCCCTAGCAAAGAACAGGGCCTGACATAACTCCCTTCCACACCTCGGCTGATATTCCTCTAAAATGGCAAAGCAAGGTTGTACATCCACAGGTCCCTGCCGTCCACGGACCCCCTACCCAACACAGTGAGACTCTTCTGAGGCCCGGGAAGTGGTTGGGAAACCCTGGAGGTGGGTAGGATGGGATTTAATATTTACTGAACAGTTACTCTACAACAGGCGTAGTACTGGGTATTTTTTTTTCAGTTGACTCTCACTGTCACCTGTGAAGTAAATATCTTTTCCTATTTTACAGTGAGAAAACTGAAGTTCTGAGTTTAAAAACATGTTCATTTGCAATTATGTAGCTCAAATTACAATCCACCTATGTTCTGCACCTTTCAATAGCCATGTGACTCACCCTTTTAATGAAAGCTTCAGGGAAGTAAGGTAAGGACCCTGGAACTATTGCAAAGACGGACAAAGGGGCTGCATGATAGCAGACCTCCAGAGCCATGATGACAACAAGAAGGGGGATGTTTTCACCCCACACCCCTAGAGGAACTTAAGGGCAGCCTTCTTCTGTGTGTGTGTGTGTGTGTGTGTGTGTGTGTGTGTTTAGAGGATAATTAAAAAGAAAAAACATATATTGTATCAACCCATTCTCTCGCTGCCATGGAGAAACACCAGAGACTGCATAACTTATTTTGTTAAAAAAGAGTTTTAATTAACTCACAGTTCCACATGGCTGGGGAGGCCTCAGGAAACTTACAATCACGGTGGAAGGCACCTCTTCACAGGGTAGCAGGAGAGAGAATGAGTGCCTAGCAAAGGGGGAAGCCCCTTATAAAACCATCAGCTCTCATGAGAGCTAACTCACTGTCATGAGAACAGGGGAAACCACCCCCATGATTCAATGACCTCCACCTGGTCCCTCCCATGACACGTGGGGATTACAGGAACTACAATTCGAGATGAGATTTGGGTGGGAACACAGTTAAACCATATAATATATATAGCTGCATATCTATCTATCAATCATCTATAATCTATCTGCCCTCAGAAATCTCAATTCCTGACTGTTCAGGAGAAGATGGAGAAGAGCCACATAATGTGGGCCTTCGAGTGATTCTGGATGGGCAGTGTGCCTTTTAAAGTGGTTGAGGGTGCACTGGTTTCTTTTTATTAATCTGGAAATGTAGCAGGCTGTGGTACCATATCAAGAGCCCCAGACTCAGTCAGAAGCCCTTGGTTCCATTTCTGATCTTGCTCTTTCCTAGCTGTGTGACCTTGAGCAAATCCTTATCTTCTCTGATCTTCAATTTCTACCTTTGTAAAATTGTACTAATAATGACACCTAACTTAAAAGCTTTTTAGGAGGGTTATTCCCCTCATTTTTGCAAGCGAGGAAACTGAGGCTTAGACATTCATTAATTCTTCCTATAGACATTTTTTATTTTTGAGATGGAGTATTGCTCTGTTGCTTAGGATGCAGTAGAGTGGCATGATCAACAGCTCACTGCAGCCTCAAATTCCAGGGCTCAAGCAATCCTCCCACCTCAACCTCTTGAGTAGCTGGGACCACAGACACGTGCTGCTACACCTGGATAATTTTATTTATTTAATTTTTTTGTAGAGATAGGGTCTTGTCATGTTCCCCACGCTGGTCTTGAACTCCTGGACTCAAGCAATCCTCCCACCTTGGCCTCCCAAAGTGCTGGGATTCGCGGTGTGAGCCACTGCACCTGGCCACAGACGTTTATTGAAGAATGATATAATGGGAGGGACAAAGAGAAGAGCCAGATAAAGCAGGTCTTTGAGTGATCCTGAATGGGCAGTGTGCCTTTTAAAATGGTTGAGAAACGTTGTTCTAAAGATCAAAGATAAAATAGAGAGAAAGCAGAGAAGAGTCTGCAATGCTGAGCTTCAGGGACCTCAATGTAGACCTCCAAAGACAAAGACATACATATTCTGTCTGGTTCCTGGCCTTTCAGGAATCTTGGGAAATCCTGGGTGAAACTATTTCATTTCTGGACAATAGGATGGGGTTGTGTGTGAGTCAGGGTCCTGGCAGAAAAAGCACAAAGGGGTGATTAAGGAGGTGTTCATAAAGATTCATCTTACAAATGGAGGTATAAGGAAAACTGAGGAGGAACAAGGAAGCACAGCCCAGCTAATACAGAGAGGAGCTGCTTCCCTTTCCACAGATCCAGTCCTGAAGGGCTAAAGGGAAGGAACAGTTTCTGGAACTAACAAGAGCCATGACTCCAACAGTGGAGCTGAGAGGAACTGTGGCCTTGGAAAAAGGAGCATGGCCTCTGCCCTTGGCTAGGGACTGAGGAAGTCAGGAGGAAGAAATAACCCAATCTCTTTCTGTTCCCCTCAACATTCTCCTATTGGTGCCTCCCATTGGCTGAATCAGAATAGAAGCTGGAAAGTAAGGGAGCTCACTGATGCAGCCTTGGAGATCAGTCCCACCTGAGACACGGAATGGGGTGGAAAAAGTGGGAGAATGCCCAGCACAACTCCTTACAAAGAAGAAGGGTACAGAAGTCCATTTTAGAAGGCAAGGTCTATGTATGTTGGGGAAGAAAACTACTGAGAGGCCCTTTAGCTAATTGAAAGGAGAAAGTGGTTCCATTGGAAGGGACAATCTGGCATTCCCTAATGGCCACATATCAAAGGAAGGCTTTGATTTGGCATCTCTTGGCACATGTACCTGTTTGGTATTGAAAAGTCAGTTCCAGAAAGCAAGACGTGAATCAACTCCCCAGTAAAGAGTTAGATTGGATTGCCACTTGATATTCTAAAAGAGGTGAAGAAATGGAATGTTTATCTCCTTGAAACTTATAGAATGTTATTTTGTGGACACTGTGGTGCGTCACCTAGTCCCCCTTCAGGAATGAGGGACTTACACCCTGACTGCTGGTAGCCCGATGCAGGGACTGGCTCTGATGAGTCCAGCAGGTGGGTGTTGTATCCAATGACTGATCAAGGTGCGGAGGTAAAGGCCCATTCCCTTCATCCCAACTAGGGTTGACGCTGAATGGCCAGCCCAGCTCCAGAGTGCCCCTTGGGGGCATTTAGCCATCAACAGGGTGCATTGCAAACCAGCTTCTCCCTCTGCCCAGTCCAGCTTCCTTCTCCTCCTTTCCTTGGGTATAAACCTCAAGAGCATGTGGGGCACACCCTGTATCCCAGAGTCTACTTCCTGACACTCCCACAAGCACAGTTATTAGAAGCTCCCTTATTAGCAATCCTTAAAAACAAAACCACTGTTGAGAGTTGACAAGCAGTAACAATAACAGACATCTGTGAAGCTTCATACTTCACTCAGCACTCATCACTCACTTAGTCTTCCCAGCAATCTGGAAAGGTTGGCAGACACTTGGAGGACTGGTGCCTTCCCTATTTTATTGTCTCACAAACAGGATGCCCAGCGTGGATGGGTATCAGCAAAATCCTGTTGTAGGCAGTAATTAGAAAATTTAGGATGATGATTGCCAAACTGTTTGATGAAACATGAGTACGCTACCAGATGTTAACAGGTGTTCTGTTTTAAAAAGTGGGAGTGATGTGTAGTCATATATTTTTGGAAAAGACTAAAATTGGTTTCTTGGCTGGGTGTGATGGCTCATGCCTGTAATCTCAGCACTTTGGGAGGTCAAGGCAGGAGGATCGCTTGAGCCCAGAGTTTGAGACCAGACTGGGCAAGATTCTTGCTGTCTCTATCTCTTTACAAACAAAAAATAAAACAATTAGCTGGTTATGGTGGTGTACACCTGTAGTTCCAGTTACTCAGGAGGCTGAGGCAGGAGGATTGCTTAAGCTTGGGAGGTGAAGGCTACAGTGAGCTGTGATCATGCCACTGCACTCCAGCCTGGGTAACAGAGTGAGACCCTGTCCCAAAAAACAACAAAAACGGGCTCTGGGGAGATGGGGAGGAAAAGCTTGGGGCTTTCTCCAGAGCCAGGTGGATTTTCCCAGAGCTTCTGGCTTCCTAGTCGACTCCGCTGAGGCTGTTGAAGGCACTGATGCTTTCAAGAGAGCAAATGAGAAGGAGAAAAATAAGCCTGGGTAGTTGTGTTCCAGCTGACTGATGTGGCAACGGCTCCTGCTGCTCTCCAGGGCTTTGGTCTGCTCCTGCTCACGACCCTCCATGACAGGAGTCCCTGGCTGAAGCCCAGAGCAGCCAACTCTTTTCTTGAGGCTAACTCTATCTCTTTGGTCCAGAAAATATCAAGCCAGAGTTCAAGTATGAGCCTGGCTATCTGATAGCAGGGAGGAAAATGCAAACCAACATTGAATAATATTCCTCTGCCTCATATTTACTTAGTGAATTCTCAATGATTTCCATGAATAGAGAGATCAGAAATGTGGCCAATCCCAAACAGCAGATCATTCCTAAGTCTGATTAGTGTGGGGTATATTTGCATTTGAAAATGAGAATCATGGATGCTCAGGGGTTTGACTTGTGTGAGACTCAGTGGCATCATGGTTCAGAGAGCTGGCTTGGGAGTCAGTGTCTGGTTCAAATCCCAGCTCTGTTCTTTCCTTTTCCTTCCTTTTCATACCTTTTCCTCCTTCCTTCCTCCCTCCCTCCTTCTTTTTTTTTTCTTCCTTTCTTTCCCAGGATGGAGTGTAGTGGCGCAATCTCAGCTCACCACAACCTCTGCCTCTTGGCTTCAAGTGATTCTTCCATCTCAGCCTCCCGAGTAGCTGGGATTAGAGGCGTGCGCTACCACCCCCAGCTAATTTTTGGAGTTTTAGTAGAGATGGGGTTTCACCATGTTGGCCAGGCTGGTCTCAAACTCCTGACCTCAAGTGATCCACCCACCTCAGCCTCCCAAAGTGCTGGGATTACAGGCATGGGCCACTGTGACTGGCCTTCAACTTTGTCATTTCTTACATGTCTTAGGTCGGGTGCCTCTGGAAGCTGGCCCTGAGACAAGGATTTGAATGTAAGTAGTTCACTGGGAGGTGATCCCAAGAGTCATTGTCTGGGCATGGAGAGTCTAATGGTGAGGGAGGGCAGCTGAAAAAGGGTGTGTTATTGATCAGCTTTCTACTATGGACAACTGAGGCTGTGTCATACTGGACAGAACTTAGGAGACCGTGTAAAGCAGGACTCAGAGGGATCCCACCCAAAAGGCAAGGAAGCATGTCCCTCAGTAGCTGAGGGTTGCTCCTGGAAGCATTCACTCTCTGGTAGCTCTGGCCTGCCCCATGTGGGGGTGGAGAGAAAGCTTTCAGATGGAGAATTGCAGGTACCTGCAGTAGGACGGTAGGATGTGGCAAGGACTGGGAGGGTGAAGACTGAGGGGATATGGATGAACCACCAATGGATCTGGTAAGCAAGAAAACTTTCTGTTCCTCTATTTTCTCATGTGTGAAATGTGGATGGCTAATAGCATCTATCTTGTAGGCTGTTGTGCGGATTACAGGAAATAATGCTGTAAAGCAAGGGTCTCCAACCCCAACCGCACCGCCCACCCCGTCCCCCGCCCTGGTAGCAGTCTGTGGCCTTTTAGGAACCAGGTCACACAGCAGGAAGTGAGGAGTGGGAGAGCCAGTGAAGCTTCACCTGTGTTTACAGCTGCTCCCAATTGCTCACATTACTGCCTGAGCTCCGCCTCCTGTCAGATCAACTGCGGCATCAGATTCTCAAAGGAGCACAAACCCTATTGTGAACTGCACATGCAAGGGATCTAGGTTGTTCACTCTTGATGATAATCTAATGCCTGATGATCAGTCACTTTCTCCCATAACCCCAAGATGGAACCGTCTAGTTGAAGGAAAACAAGCTCAGAGATCTCACTGATTCTACATTATGGTGAGTTGTATAATTATTTCATTATATATTACAATGTAACAATAATAGAAATAAAGTGTACAAAAAATGTAATGTGTTTGAGTCATCCCAAAACCATCCCCACACCCCTATTAGTGGAAAAATTGTCTTCCATGAAACCAGTCCCTGGTGCCAAAGAGGTTGGGGACTGCTGCTCTAAAGCACACACAGAGCATGTTAGTGATCTATTACAGCTGACCCTTGAACAACATGGAGGCTAAGGGTACACAGTTGAAAATTTGGATATAACTTTTGATTCCCCAAAATCTTAACTGCTAATAACCTACTGTTGACCAAAAGCCTTACTGATAACATAAACAGTCAATGAAGACATATTTTGTATGCTCATGTATTGAAGCATATAGGTGGCTGTATTCTTACAATAGAGTCAGCTGGAGGAAAGAAAATGTTATTAAAATCTTAAAGAAGAGAGAATATATTTACTATTCATTAATCATAAAGGTCTTCATCCTCATTGTTTTCAAGTTGAGTAGGTTGAGGAGGAGGGGGAAGAGGAGGAGTTGGTCTTGCTGTTTCCAGTTGGCAGAGGCAGAAGAGGTGGAGGAGCTGGAAGGGGAGGCAGGAGAGGCAGGCATGCTCAATGTAACTTTTATTGAAAAAAACCTGCATATAAGTAAACCTGCATAATTTAAACCCATTTTGTACAAGGATCGACTGTACTCTCTAACAAACCACCCCAAAACTTAATGACTTGAAACCACAGCAATCATTTATTGTACCTCACAGTTTGCATGGATAATTCAGATGGAGTACACTTGGGGCCGCTTAGCTCTGCTCCACTATCTGGGGGGCTGCAGCTGGAAGACTTGGAAGCTAGGGGCTGGGATCATCTGAAGGCCTAATCAGGGCTGGAGCATCCATTTCCAAGGTGACTCACACACATGGCTGGCAAATTGGTGCTGGATATTGGCCAAAGGCATCAGTTTCTCCCCACACAGGCCTTTCCTGAAGACTGCTTGAGTGTCCTCACAACATGGCAGCTGCCTTCCTCCAGAGCAAGCTATCCAAGAGGCAAAGGCAGATGCCTCAATGTCTTTTATGGCATAACCTCAGAAGTCACATACCATTCCTTATGTAATATTCTTCTGCTCACACAGGTCAACTCTGCTTCATTGTGGGAAGGGACTACCCAAGGGCATGTGTACTAGAAGGTAAGGACGACAGAGGGCCATCTTGGAGGCTGGCCACCAAACAAAGTGATAGACGCATAATAAGAACTCAATAATATGAGCTATTGTTTTCATTCTAAGAACAAAAGAGGGCCCCTTGGTAAAGACTTCACTCTGGAGAGGCAAGAAACTGAGAGCCAAGTTTCCCACCTGGTGCTCACCCAGCTCCTCCCAGCCACTGCTCCCTGGGGGTACACAGCTTATTCTCTGCTTGATGAAAGGTCTGCCTCTCTAACCTTCCCTGGAGCCAGGCAGGTGGCACTTGGCTTTCAGCATGCATCTCAGCAGGCAAAGTAAACAGAGGGTGCAGAGATATCCATAATGCTGTAATTAAGCAGAGAAAGGTGCTAACTGCAAATCCGGAGCTCCAAATGTCCTCCAAGGGGTAGTTAGGGCTGTGTAGAATCTGTTAACTGGCAATAACTTTGAAAGGAGGGTTTGCCAGAGAGAAGCCAACGTCGACATAGATCACCTGCAGACAACCGTAGGCTGACTGTGCATCCAAGCTCATTTGTTTTAAACTGAAAGCTCTGAGCCAAAGAGTCCAGCCTGGGATTGAATTAATGATGAGCATGAATGAAGCTTGGCATTGCTTCCCTCACAGAC
This sequence comes from Homo sapiens, assembly GCF_000001405.40. Classification (NCBI taxonomy): domain Eukaryota; kingdom Metazoa; phylum Chordata; class Mammalia; order Primates; family Hominidae; genus Homo; species Homo sapiens. The sequence continues at coordinate 71,945,053 of NC_000003.12, forward strand.
AGGCAGGCAATCAATGAATTTTTCATGTCTTGCTCATGGTGCCATTTTCTCTGCCAGGTTCTCAGACCACCCTTGGTACGTGGGCTGTGAGGGGTGGGGTTGGCTGGAGAGGGGAATGACTTTATTCTCTACTTTCTCTACAGTCACCCACAGCAGACACTTTGAGAGTGTCTGCCCTGTTCACAACAATCTCCTCTTAACAACCACACCCCCTTAGTTCAGCAGGCATTTGGTGACGTGTGATAACATGTGGCCTCTCCTGTGGCTATAGGTGACTGCTTTGCAGTGGGCTCTTGACTCACATTGGGCCAAGCAGAGTCCCTTCCCTGGGGATGTGGAAGTGGAACCCAGTGAGAGAGTTGTTCTTGTGGCGTGCCTGGATCTTCACCATGCATTCCTGATAGCTATGAGGGGGAGTATTTTTCACCAAGAAGCAGAAGAGAATATTCTAGAGGGAGAGGGAAAGAATGAAGCAGAAACATCAAAGCAGAGTTGAGAGATGGAAAGATAATCTGGACTTCCTAAGTGCCAGTTCTGGTCCCTTTCTGAGAACATGTGTGTTTCCACCCCTGAGTTCTCAAAGACATGTCTATATCCTTATAAATTTCCACCTTCTACTGAAACTATTAGGTTGGTGCAAATGTAATTGCAGTTTCAGGTCATGAATTTTAAATCATTATAACCAGGCTCAAACACATCTTTATTAATCAACATAGGAACCACTATAATCAGCACAGTTTTGCCAAGGAGAAATAAATTTGTTTTTTCTTGTAGCATAAAAATCTGTGTTTTGGGATTCGATGAACTCTTGGAAAGCATTTTCTGTTTCCTGCTGATTGTGGAAGCTGTTTCCCTGCAAAAAGTTGTCAAGATGCTTGAAGAAGTGGTAGTCAGTTGGCGAGAGGTCAGGTGAATATAATGAATGAGGCAAAACTTCATAACCCAATTAGTTCAACTTTTGAAGGGTGGGATGTGCAATGTACGGTTGGGGATTGTTGTGTAGAAGAATTGGGCCCTTTCTGTTGATCAATGCCAGCTGCAGGCATTGCAATTTTCAGTGCATGTCATCAATTTGCAGAGCATACTTCTCAGATGTAATGGTTTCACCGGATTCAGAAAGCTGTAGTGGACCACACTGACAGTAGACCACTAAACAGTGACCATGACCTTATTTTGGTGCAATTTGGCTTTGGGAAGTGCTTTGGAGCTTCTTCTTGGTCCTTCCATTGAGCTGGTCATCATCAACTGTTGTAGAAAATCCACTTTTCGTGGCACATCACAATCTGATCAAGAAAGGGTTCATTGTTGCGTAGAATAAGAGAAGATGACATTTCAAAATGATGATTTTGTTTTATTTTCACTCAGCTCATGAGGCACCCATTTATTGAGCTTCTTCAACTTTCCACTTTGCTTCAAATGCCAAACAATCATAGAATGGTCGACATTGAGTTCTTCAGCAACTTTTCGTGTAGTTGTAAGAGGATCAGCTTTGATGATTGCTCTCAGTTGGTCATTGTCAAGATCCAATGGTTGGGCACTACACTCCTCATCTTCAAGCTTCTTGTTTCCTTTACAAAACTTCTTGAACCACCACTGCACTCTACGTTCACTAGCAGATCCTGGGGCAAAGGCATTGTTGATGTTGCAAGTTGTCTATGCTGCTTTATGACCCATTTTGAACTCAAATAAGAAAATCACTCAAATTTGCTTGCGGTCTAACATCATTTCCATAGTCCAAAATAAACATAAAATAAATGACAAGTGATAAGTCATTAGCAAAAGACATAAAGTGAGAAATGCCCATTAAATTGATATATAACATAACCACATTTATTTAATAATGTATTCCAATATCAAATGGCAAATGCCAACAGTGCAAAAACTGCAGTTACTTTTGCACTCACCTAATAGGACAGATGTGGTTTTCCGTTACTTGCATAATGGGTTCACAAGTTTGAGAAGTTATTTTGTCCCGTTCACCCTCCTTCTGGGACCAGCTGAGCTTTAGGGTGGGAGAACACAGCACTGAGAAGGAATGGCACAGGCCTCTGTTCTCAAGGGCTGAACTGGGGCTGGCACACCTGGTGTCTGGGCAGGCAGGTCAGGCCCCATGAATCAACCAAGCCTGGAGAAAGCGCCCCTCCTGCAGAGACCATCACTGCTACTCAGCTCTATCCCATTCTTGGCATCAGGATATGTGAGATCATTGTGGTTGGATTTTTCTGATATTTCAACGGTACAAGGAAGTTTGGACTATTGTGTAAAACTTACTGATTTTAGAATGTTGCAGATAATTTTTTTGAACGTTAAATACATTCTGAGAGCCCAACTGAATATATCTATGGGCACTGTCCAGCCTGCAGCCCTCCAGTGGAGGGCTCTGCCAGGCCCATGGGGGGATGGAGCCAGACGTGTGTCCGGTAGAGGGATTCTGCATGGCTTTGCTTTGGGATACTGATGGGGTGAGGGGTGGTGGCTTCCACTACAGCTGTGGTGGTCCCATGCAGCACCTGAAAAGGAGCTGTTCCTCTGAGGACATGCTGGTGAGGCTGGACATTAAACACTGTGGCCTTGAGTGCATCAACAAGGGTCCCCTGAGGCCAAAGCTGTGATGGGAAGAGAAGACCACTGGGAAGGACATTTATGTGGCCCACCCAGAAAAGAAGTCTCTGATAAGCGATGGAGAACCTGAAATTGACAGCAGGGTAATGAAACAGAAGGAATGATGCTCCACAGGATTTCCTGTTGTTATCAAGGAACCAGCTCCCTGCCTGCTCCCTAAAGACTGGATGAGCCTGAAATTCTTATACAGAGAACAAAGGATGAGTCCTGGTGCTGCCTGACAACAGACATCCAGCCAGCCAGGCAGGTGCGGGCTGGAGCCAGTTTTAAGTTGATTAGAGGAAAATATAAAAATAGGACATTTCTTAACCTGAGAATTGTGGGCAAATTGACAATGGTTATACTGGCCACCAGCAAATCATAATAGAGATATTGCACTAGAGCTTTCCCAGTAAGGCTGTATCAGTCAGGGTTCCACCAGGAGAACAAATCTCACTCTAGGTGTTTAAAACAGAGGCAATTTAGTCAAGGTCTTGGTCCCCAGATAGAAGAGACCAAGATGGCCATCAGGGCTTAGTGGGCAAGTGCAGGAAGCCTCCACCATTCCTAGGCTGGGAGGACAGCACTGGCATCACCTAGCAGAAGCTGGAACATCGGTAGGCCTATTGGTGGGAGCTGGAGCCATGTGGGGAGGGAGGATGTAGCTGGCCTCAAAGACGTCCCCTGAGCAGACAGAAGAGTGGAGTTCCCCGGTTTGTCCTTTCGACTCTCTAGTATCCCACCAGTGCCTCCAAATGACTGAGCTTCAGTGGATACCAGCTAGAATGGGAGCCTGGAAAATATTCTCCAAGCATTGGCCTCCCTGAGCTGCAGAGCAGAGCAGGGGAAGGATGAGAAGTGGACCTGAACAAATCAGGGGAGGATGGGCAGACACACCACAGAACATAAAGAATGGAGAACATTCTAGAAGCAGGAGTACATGATACCGCACTCCTATTTCCAGAGGTCTCTCCTAACCCGTAGCTATTCCCCACTCCTACCTGGCATCTACAGGTTCTTAGCCAGACATGGCCAGATTACCATGCTAGTGAAGAGAAGGAGGGGAAAGAACAGCTACTTATGGCCACTCCAGAACTGTCAGTTGTATGACAGGAACTATCTAAAAAGCCTTACGCTGCTAATCTCATTTATGACTTTTTAATTTTTTCAGAGAGAGGGTCTCACTCTGTCACCCAGGCTGGAGTGCAGTGGTGCAATTACGGCTTACTGCAGCCTCGACCTCCTAGGCTCAAATGATCGTCTCGTCTCAGTCTCCCAAGTAGCTGGGACTACAGGTGTGTGCCACCATGCCCAGCTGATTCTTTTTTTTTTTTTTTTTCTAGAGATGGGGTCTTGCTGTGTTGTTCAGGCTGGTCTTGAACTCCTGGGCTCAAGCAATTCTCCTGCCTGGCCTCCCAAAATGCTGGGGTTACAGGTGTAAGCCACTGCACCCAGCCATGCTTATCTTATTTGGAGTAAGGGTTAGTTTCTCCTTACTTCACAAACAGGCTAACAGGACTAAAATGGACAAGACGTAGGCATATACTTTTGGGTATGAAACCACAGAAGTTACTCACCAGGATGTTGGGTTCCTTGGTTTTATACACAATTTGCTTTCTTTAGGACTTAATCTGGTCCCCAGATGCTTTTTATTTCGGCAGTCAGGGTCCTGACCAATTCATCTAATATTACCACTCGTATTTGTGTCATGAAAAATTTGTATGACAGAGGACAAGCTTGTGAAGGTATCAGATGTATAAGTATGGCTAAATGGCTGATTAGAGTTTGTAAAACATGCCAACCTCTGTCTCCCCCTTACCTCCTCCTCCCCAGCCCCCGTGCTCTCCCACAGAGCCTGAAATATTAGATGGATAGTGGTTGGCAGTTTTAATTACAGGATGTCTTTTATGGCTATCAGTCTTTCCAAGTTCTTAGAGTTAAAGAACACTGATGGTTGTTCATGTCATCGGTTGTGGTTGGAGTCCCTGGGGAACTGTGATGGATTGGTTTTGTGGCCTTTGCTTCAAATTCCTCTCTGTAAACAGAGGTCTGGGTTAATTGCATATGGTGGAGCTGGATGTGGGATTGGGATTAATTTCAGCCAATCTCATTTCCAACCACTCCCCCGACACACATCCTCACTCCTACATGAGCCGACCTCCTGACTGTCACTTCTAAACCCACCATGCCCATCCTTCTTGCCTGCGTTTCTGTTGGCCATTCCTTCAGCTTAGGACAGACACCCTTCCCATTTTTCTCTGGAAAGCTTATTCTTCAAGGCTCAGTCAGGATCCTCCATGGAGCTTTCTCAAAGGAACTCCATGACACAATAGCACAAATTCTGCCAGTACTCATGGCATACAATCAGCCTCATCATTAAGAAGATATCTTTACTGATACATCAAATGCACAGTATCAGGCATCGAGGTGTCAAAGGGTTGGAAACCATGGTCGCTAATTGTTATGTGTTTACAATCTATTTGAGGAAACAGCACATTCATTTATTCATTCTGTAAGCACTTACTAAGCAGCTACAAAGTGTAGGCACAACACCAGGCACTAAGAAATACTTATAAATATACACAGATAGGAAACATTAAGCAACAACATGAAAACATGCAAATGCTAAGTAACAAATAAGTTAGAGTATTATCCAGCAGTACAGTACAGTTGTTTGAAATGAGACAGAGAGAGAAAAAAGAACTGAGACTGGAGCCTTTCTCTTCCACTTGGAGCTGTGTGACCCTGGGTGAGACATTTAACTAAGGCTACCAGGCAGGCACATGGCCGGTTGTGTCCTGTCCTTTGTGCTTGTACTAGAGGATGTGTGGGCTAGAAATCCATCCCCAGCTCTGCTCATCAAGCTGTGCTCTCTGGCTCTGGGGCCACAGCAGCCCAGAGGAAGGGGTGCTTTTTGTAATTCTCCTGCTCATAGTGGATGCCAATTTGAAATTCACTCTCCAGGAACAGATATTTTCTTCTTATTCACAGAAGATACCACAGAGCTAGCAGAACCCTCCACTTCACCTCTCTGAGCCTCAGTTTTATTTACAAAATGGGGTTAATAATATCTACTCTAAAAGCTGGTTGGGAGGATTAAATGAGATAATACATGTGACTGATTATGAATCTTTAGTTGGAAAAGAATGAAGAAAGAAACCCAACTTAAACTGAAAAAAAAGAAAAGAGATGCTTTTGTGTATACTGTTAGGAAGATCATAGAGGAAGACCCAGGATCTCAGGGACTAGAAGTAGGGCATGTAAGTCAGAATTTAGGAAACCAAAACCATTCCAGTCATCTCAAATAGAAAATAATTGAATACAGGAATTGGGAGCTTATAGAATGAGTGGATGAGCTAGAGGAGCAGAAGTCAGGGGCCACATTTGGTGTATAGATTTCAAGGGCATTACCAAGGCCGCGTCTAGTTCAGGGATCAGCGAGCCTCAGTAACTGCCACCCTTGCTGCTACCAACAAGGGCCATGCATGCCTGTGAAACTGGGGACTAGACTCAGAACACTGAATATGTAATTAAATAATAGACACAGAAGTCCCCCTGGGAGGGCTCTAAAGATGGAAGAGCTTGTTACGGGCAGATCCACATGCAAGTCCTAGCCTCTGGGAGGCCACAGAAATTCTCCAGCCCACATGTGCAGAATGCCAGAGGTAGCCTTTCATGGAGTCTCAAGGGTAAGGCAGTGAAATGGAGATTGCACCTACATTTTCCCTCACATCTTGGAAGTCACCCAAAGCCTTCAGGGGTGCTACAGGCAGATCCAGTGAATGATGATGGGGATAGCAGGATGAAGTATCAGCCCTGGCTGGAAGGAGGGCAGGAATTAGCAGTACAGGGTGATGTAAAAAGCTCGGGCTGGACAGTCAGATGAATCTCAGTCAAGTTCCTGTTTCACGCGTCCCAGCTCTTTAACCTTAAGGAGCTGTTTGAAAACCTCTCCGGGTCTTAGTGAACTCAGTGTAAAATGGAAGCCACTAGGCAGTTGTGGGGCTGAAGTGAGATTGTGTCAGGGCAAATCTAGCAGGAAGTTTATGTACCAGGGTGCCTGGCACACAATAAATACTCTCTGTAAGTGGTGATTACAAGGTTTCTTATAGAATGCATAGCCCTGCTTCAGGGTAATAGCAATGGCACAGTATTCACTAAGCCCCCGCAGGAACCCCCAATAAGCCCAGCTCACCCACAGTGATGACATGGCCACAGCCTAAACTGGAGAGTCTATTTGGGTGAACAGCAAAAGCTAATGGAGAGAGAGAGAGAAACCAACCAACCCAAGCCATCTCTTTCTGATGGGCCTTACAACCTAACCTCCTAGGAGCATCTCTCAGACGGTCTGGCTGCTAAATCACCACCACCGCAGTAATTGAAACAGAAAATCATGCTCTACAGAACAACCTAGCAACACCACCATTAGCAGCTGTGGTTTTTCGTTGCGAACTGGGGAGCTAATATGCCTCTTTATGTGTGTGCTGGCACAGTCAGATATATATCTTCACCAATATTTCAGTAGGGATGGGGCCCTTCCTGCTCCTTCCTTCCACCCAGTGATATGTGGGGCTGTTCATTCAGGGTGCCCAAAAGGAATAGTAAACTTCTCCATGTTATCTGAGGCTGCTCAGCTCTGTGGCTAATACAAGAGGCTCATATCCTCCGTCCCTTCCTTCCTTCCTCCCTCTGCCATCACTGAGCTTACCTTTGTATGGGGAAACAGAAATTAAACAAATAATCACACAAGTCTATAACTAAAAACTGCAATTTGTGCTCAAATTGGGAAAACTTTGCTTTCCAGGGAAACCTGGTATCTTTGGAAAGAAGAAGGAAGATTTATCTGAAGAAATTCTGAGAGTGAAAAGGTGCGGGTATAAGGGAGAAACAGGAGAATGTTCTAGAGATCTACAGTAAGTGCAAAGGCCCTGAGCCACGAGGGAGCTTAGTGCTTACAAGGAGCCTAAAGGGCACTGGTGCCAGTGGAGGCTGTGGGAGATGGCAGAGTGTGAGGCATAGATCTTAAAAGTAATTGGAAGACTTTCCCGTATGCTGCTGCTAGACTAATCATAATGCCTGGGTCTGATTTTGTTGCTTTCTTGACCCAAATTTTTAGTTGTTCTTATGATCCATTACAGTGGTTCTCAAGGAGAGAGAATTATGCAGGTGTAGGGGGTGTTTTGCATTTCACAATGATAAAGATGTGCTACTGGCATTTGGTGGAGTAGGGATGGGGTTACAGAGCATAAGACAGTCTGTAATATGTGGGATTGTCCCACATTATGGATTTTTATTCTACATCCCATGTAATTTTTGTTTGTTTGCTTTGTTTTGTTTTTTTTTTTTGAGACACAGTCTCGCTCTGTCACCCAGGCTGGAGGTCAGTGATGTGATCTCAGCTCACCGCAACCTCTGCCTCCCGGGTTCAAGTGATTCTCATGCCTCAGCCTCCAGAGTAGCTGGGATTACAGATGCGTACCACTACGCCCGGCTAATTTTGTATTTTCAGTAGAGTCAGGGTTTTGCCATTTTGGCCAGGCTGGTCTCGAACTCCTGACCTCAGGTGATCCGCCTGCCTCTGCCTCCCAAAGTGCTGTGATTACAGGTGTGAGCCACTGCACTCGGCCCATCCCATGTAATTTTGAGTAGACTGAATGTTCCTGAAAACCCTATTGCAAGTTATCTGAGCTATGGTGGTTTTAGTATATGTCTGCAAGTTTGTTGATACCTCTTCCTTCAAGGCATGGAGCCTAATTCCCCTCTCCTTGAATGCAGACCAGACTTAAAGACTCTCTTCTAAGGAAAAGAATGTGGTAGAAGTGATGCTATGTGACTTTTGAGGCTAGGTTGTAAAAGGAAGAGCTTCGGTTTGTCCCTCTCTCTGGGATTGCTCACTCTGGAGGAAGCCAGCTGCCATGGTGTGAGGACACTCAAGCAGCCCTGTGGGGAAATTTCACAGGGAGAGAGGCATCCTACCAACAGCCAGCACCAACTTGCCAGTTGTGTAGATAAGCCACCTTGAAAGTAGGTCTTGCAGCCCCAGCGAAGCCATCAGATTATTCTAGACTTCAGCCTTTGAGTATTCCAGCTATGGCCCTGGACATCACAGAGTCAAGCTCTGTGTCCTGTTCCCTGTCTGAATTCTCCAGCTACATACTAGCACAATGTTTTTTTTTTTTTGCATGGGATCTTAATATGTATTATAGATTCTAGAAACACAGTGACTGTAAATCAATGGATAGTTGCACTTAGTTATGTTTGAACCTTTGCCAAAAGTTTTTCTCCGCTTCAAAAATAACATTGCCAATAGCAAATCTCCTTAAGGTATTAGAGTCACCGAAGCAATACGCCTGTTAACAGTCTACAGTTGCAGCTCTCGCCACCACAGTGATTCCTCGTGTGTGAATATTCAGCTGAATATTGCCTTACATTTTTTATATTCAAATTTTTCCATTATGAGTTGCAAACATCTGACTACTTCATTATATCTCCTAATAAATCCAGGCCTATGCATATGATATTGTAAATGACATTTCTTTCTTTTTTAGACTAGACTTGGGCCATTATACTTATTTTTTAAAATTATGCGAGTAGGTGGGTTATATTGAAAAGATGAATTTCATTTCAGGGTGGTAAAGGGGCATTATAAGATATTCATCAAGAAAAAGAAGGTGAGACATGACCAACTGCTAGTGAATATTTTATTGACTTAGGAAATGAAGATCAGTTGTTCTCTTGCCCCTCAGCAACCTTCCAGCATGATTCTTCACTGTTTCATTACGTAAGCCATCTTCTCTAGTTCAAAATGGGCCTTCTCACTATTCCCCAAACAGACTCAGCACATTTCTGTCTTAGGGTCTGCCATTTCCTTACATGAATTCCATCTCTTTTCTTTTTTGTCTTTCAAAATCCACCGATCTCTGATTTAAGTGTTCCTTCAACAAATAAAGACAGTGTGCCCCTGGAGGCCAGACCCTGTGCTGTGTCCGAAGTCTCCTGTGAAGAGACACAGGCCTTGGTGTTTCCCCAGAGCCTCCGGTCTGTCCAGGAATCTGACCCTATGCAATTACAGTGAAGCTTGATAGTGGGAAATACTGAATGCCCACATAGAGTTGGCACCGAGGGAGCTTCATGCAAGTGAAAAACCTGTTTTGAGTTCTCTGTGCTGAGTGCTCTGTGCTGTGTGCTGTAGTGTATTTTGAAATATGTCTGCAGAGAGCACAGTGGTCCCCGCCTAGTCCTGAAGAGGGTGAGTGACAGGTAGGCTGGAAGACCACCCGATGCCGAAAACCTCTCCTCTTTCCAGCCTGAATAGCTCCTTAGCTTTTAATGTTCATTTTGCATGCACTTTGCCTACTTCCTACAAATTATATTGTAGGGCTTTGCGATTAGGCACTTCCATTATCTCCCCATCTCTTGGAGCGTCCCTCTAGAAAAGGTAGTCTTGGGAACTGAAGTAGGCCTGGAAAACTGGAGAATTAGACCTGGTTTCTCTCTGGTGGCTGCCACATGTTAAAACTGGTGAATCAAGAGAGAACACAGAGTCTGTGTGACCTGGTTGCAGGTAACGGAGGCCACTTGGATAAAGACTGCGGTCTCTTTCCCAGAGGTCTCCCTGCAGCTCACCTGGTTGTAACAGCTGACAGGGTCTGACTGCCCTCTGCCAGCACGCAAGGCTCATTTATGTGTGCCCAGCACGGTGGTGTGGCCTGCAGCCCCTTCTCTCAGCACTGACTCCATTTGCATTCCTCATTACTGACCAGACTTTGAAAACCACACACGTTCATAACACATGCACACACAGCCCGTAGGATCAACCTCTCAGGGATGCGCTCAAAAACATGCTCCAAGAAACAGCCTGAAGGAGACACTGCTGAATTTTTGTCACGTTGTGAGAAAACAGATTTTCTAGAAGCACCAAGCAAGGGGAAGGTCCCTGCCCCCCATAGTTCTTTCCAGAGCAGCCTGGAATTTGGAGGGCAGCCAAACAGATGGCAGTTTCTGGCCACTTGAGGGCACTCTGGAATTCTGAGACCAGCAGGGAGCTGATGTGTTGGGCTTTTTTTTTCTTTTTTACCAGAAATGCAATCCCAGCTAGCCATCAGCAGACAATCTAGAAATTAATCCTCAAAAAGGAAGCGGTGACAAATGGGTTTTATAATGAGGACTTGAAGCCAGGCAGGGCAGAGGGCAGGCGCATCAGAGGTAAAGCAAAGGACTGCAAGTTTCACCGCAGGTGGGAAACAGTCAGCCTGGGTTTTGTTTGCCATTGCTCAGAAGAAAGAGTTCAGTTAACCCAGTGGTTCTGAACCGGGGGCGATTTGTTGCCCCACAGGGGACATTTGGCAATGTCTGGAAACATATTTGATTATCACAATGGGATGTGTGTGTGTGTGTGTGTGTGTGTTAGTTGCATCTAGTGAGCAAAAGCCAGAGATGCTACTAAACATCACACAGCGCACAGAGCAGCACCCCCAACCCTGGGAGCAAAGAATCCTGTGGTCCTGATGCCCAGGTTGAGAAACCCTGAGTTAACACAACAGCAGTTTTAAGCCCTGCCTGCTCAGTGAGCAGGAGGTCTGCATTCCAGTTCTTTCCACAGTTTCTAGCCTGTGCTGAGCTGAATGGTTTCCCAGGAAGTGGTCTAGTTTTGCAGATGCTGTCACGATTCATAGAGGAAAAAAAATTAAAAATCAACCTGGGATTTTTACTTAACCCCACCCCACCCCCACCCCAAATCCTAGGTGGGGGTTTCCCTTCTAGCAGACCCGGGGATGAAGATTGTAGTCCAAGTAGTTTATTTGGAAAGGAACCCCAGGAAATACTCATGAGGGATTGGGGGAAGTGAGGCAGGGAAGGGAAGGATGCCAGTCTGAGATGTGCCCTCCAGTAAGTAACCACTGTGGGCAACAGGGGCATGATCCTGCTGAAGTGTCCTGGGAGCCAGTGTGTAACACGCACCTGTGCTGCAGCTGTCATCAGCCATTGGCTGAGGGCTGTAGGGTAGGATGGGATGGGGAAAAGACCCTGGGGCATGCGTTCTCTGGTATTGCAGCTCGCCTTGTTAGCAGAGGGAGGGGTTCTAGCTGTTCCAGAATGCCCTCAGCAGTGGATAAGTGCTGGCCAAGGCTAGAATACTAAGGCCTGAGGAACTATGAGGGGACAGATGGCCTCTACTCTATCCTCCACCACCTCAAGGAGTGTCCCAAGTCCTATAAAGACCCACTAGTCCTCTGTTTCAGTACAACAGCTCCCTCTTTTGACTGTGCTAGGATGCACCACGGTCACTTAATAAAGGACAAGTGGACAGTAGCAATGCCACAGTGAGGACTCTAGTGTCTTGGTCCCTCAGGCAGACACCCTGTAGCATTAGCCAGTGGCAGATTGGACTACAGTGTGTACGGATCACAGGAGGAAACGTCAGCATCAGGGCTCCTGGCAGGAGCCAAGGTGAGGCATTTGGAGTTGACAGGACTCTACAAAGTCTATGTCTACCCACCTTTAATGTGTATAGGAATCAATCCCCCAGCGCCTTATGAAAAGGCAGACTTGCAGCCCAGCCAACATGGTGAGACCTTGTCTCTACTAAAAATACAAAAATTAGCTGGGCGTGGTGGCATGCGCCTGTAATCCCAGCTACTCAGGAGGCCGAGGCAGGAGAATCGCTTGAACCTGGGAGGTGGAGGTTGCAGTGAGCCAAGATCACGCTCCTGCACTCCAGGTTGGGTGACAGAGCAAGACCCTGTCTCAAAAAAAAAAAAAAAAAAAAAAAAAAAAAAAGGATAAAAGGAAAAGAAAAGGCAGACTTGGATTCAATGGGCCTAGGGTGGCTGTACTGGACTGTTCTTGGATTGCTATAAGGAAATACCGAGACTGGGTAATTTGTAAAGAAAAGAGGTTTAATTGACTCGTGGCTCTGCAGGCTGTGTAGGAAGCATGGTGCAGGCATCTGCTTCTGGTGAGGCCTCAGGGAGCTTTTACTCACGGTGGAAGGCAAAGCTGGAGCAGGCTCGTCACATGGTGAGAATAGGAGCAAGAGAGCGCGGGTAGGGTGGTGCTACATGCTTTTAAACAAGCGGATCTGTGTGGACACAGAGCAAAAGCTCACTCATCATCATCACCAAGGAGATGATGCTAATCCATAAATGAGGGATCTGCCTCCATGTTCCAAACACCTCTGTATTTGTCCATCCTCACACTGCTGATAAAGACATACCTGAGACTGGGTATTTTATAAAGAAAAAGAGGCTCAATGGACTCATAGTTACACATAGCTGGGGAGGCCTCACAATCATGGCAGAAGGTGAAAGGTGCATCTTACACGGCAGCAGGCAAGAGAGAATGAACACCAAGTGAAAGGGGTTTCCCCTTATAAAACCATCAGATCTGGTGAGACTTATTCCCACCACCACGAGAACAGTATAGGGGAAACTGTCCCCATGGTTCAATTATCTCCCACAACAGTGGGAATTATGGGAGCTACAGTTCAAGATGAGATTTGGGTGGGGACACAGGCAAACCGTATCAACCTCTTACCAGGCCCCAACCTCCAACACTGGGGATTACATGTCAACTTGAGATTTGGAGGGGACACAGGTCCAAACCATATCAGCAGGGCCTGAGACCCTGTATTTCTAACAGACTTCCAGATGATGTCCTTGCTTCTGTCAGCTGAACCAGGAGAGGAGGCCGTGGTGCAGCCAGCAACCTATCTCTGTAAGCATCCCTGAGAAACTGCCTAAGGAGATCTCAGAAGAAAGGGAATGGCAACTCTAAGTCTGCAGTAAGAGACATGATGTGATTTCTCTTCTCATTCTATGCAGGCTGTCATACCTAATTTCCTTTTGTTTTTCCTCAAAGGACCTTCCTCTCCTCACCAATTTATAGGCTGTGGGTCTCAAGAAACCTGGATCTTCCCTGTCTGAAAGCATTTGAGAGGGCTGGGATTTAGCTCTGAGAGTCTGGGCCCCAAACATTTTGATATGTGTATCAAGAGTTCTGCAACTTTCAGCTTCCATTTCCTGCTCCCTGATCTCAGGCAGCTTTCACAGTTAGATGCTAAGTGAAACAAGAGAGGAAAGAAGAAAACCGAAGAAGGGCAGCTCATAGGTTAGGTCACAGACAGTGTGAAGCCTAGTGTGCAGGCCAGTGAGTCAAGTGTGGAAGGATGTCAGTGTCTAGACAATTTCCATTCATTTGCACAGCAAACCTTTATCGCACATTTATATGTCAGGCATTGTTCTAGGTGGTAGGGTTAAGATATTGAACAAAAGAAACAAAATCCTTGCCTTCAAAGAGTTGACATCTGAGAAATACAAGTAAATTCTAAGCCCCTCAACTGACTGAACGGACCCCCTCTTGGCCAAAGGGACCTCTGAGAAACCTTGAAAACTGAGTTCCCAGCATGATAGGAGGTTGGACATGCCTTATTTTACCCCTTCCCTTGCTAACCATCATTAGGCTTGCTTTCTTAAGAGTTAACCAGAGAGTGGTGGGGTGGAAGGGGAGGGAGAGCATTAGGACATATACCTAATGCATGTGGGGCTTAAAGCCTAGATGATGGCACATGTATATCTCTGTAACAAACCTGTACTTTCTGCACACGTATCCCAGAACTTAAAGTAGAATTAAACAAAAGTGATTTATAGACTACCGTGACAGTATTACAGTATTCTGAATTTGACTATGTATTTACTTTTACTAATAAGATTTATACTTTCATATGTTTTCATGTTGTTACTTCAGCATCTTTTTATTTCCACTCAAAAAAACTCCTTTTAGCATTTCTTATAAGGCAGGTTTAGTGGTGATAAGCTCCCTCAGCCATTTTAAAAATAAATTTTATCATTTATACTTGAGGTTTACAACATACATGTAGATAGTAAAATGGTTACTACAGTGAAGCAAATTAACATGTTTATCCTTTCACATAGTTACACTTTTTGTAACAAGAACAGCTAAAATCTATTTAACAAAAATCACGAATTCAATACAATTTTATTAACTACAGTCCTCAAATTGTTCATTAGACCTCTCGACTTGTTTACTCTGCATATCTGCTACTTTGTATTTTTGATTTACATCTCCCCCTTTCCACTGTTTTATTCTCTATATCTGTGCATTTGACCTTTTTTGTTTTTAGATTCCACATTAAAGTGAGATGCAATTTAAAAAAAAAAAAAGAGTTAACCAGAAACCAGCACTTTCAAAAGACTTGCTCTACCTCCAATTTAAACCACTGACTAGCTTCTCTTCCTGATAAGAGACTACCGATCATGGACTGGTTCTGGCTGGGTTACAGGGACTGTATACAGGATGCCTCTGTGTCCTCTGTTTACACCTTTTGACATATAGGGCTGAATTTTCATGCATTTAAATGTCAAGTCTCTATCTCAAAGTGAACATGGGATGTATATAACATGCATGTTTGCTTACTACACCGTCATGCGCATTCATAGCCCCTCCTATAGTCTGTTAAACATATCTACTTAACCAACCCTTTTGGCATAAAGTCCAAATTCAGTACCCTGCTTTTGGTTTCTGCTCAAGGCTATACTTCCCAGCCTGCAGGCTGCAACCCTTTATAAGGAATAAAGCTGAGTAGGGGGTACAAGATGGGTGGGAGTGTGGAGTTGCAATTAAAATAAGATGGTCAGGGAAGACCTCATTAGGAAGGTGACATTTGAACCAAGCCTTGAACAGGGTGTTAATATGGAATTTTAACTTACTTAATTTTGTTTAATTACATTTTAATTTAGTACAGAAAAATAATTTTGTTGTTTTTCTTTTTTTTCCTTTGCTGTGCTCCCCTGAAGGATGGAGGGCAAAGAATTTCTCTCTCCTCACAGTTTGAGGATTTAAGCTCATGCTGCCCTGGAGGAAAGACGAAGCAGTTTTTCAGTTGCTAATGAATTAGCCATCAAGGTTTACTGTCAAAAGATAAGAGAAGTATCTCAGAGGGAAAGAAAAATAGGGGAAGATTTTCTCTAGAAATAAAGGAGGTCTAAAATCAGGGGAAGAAGGGGAGAGGAAGAGGGAAAGTCTGGGGTGAGGTCTAAGGAACAGTGAAAATATTTCTTGTTGCTGGCTTCTTCCTTCAACTGTCAGGCACTGCAAACTTGGACAACCACATGGGTGACAACCATGTGAATTACAGCCTATAAACTTACGGACAACTGCAATCATGATTGTCAAGAATAACTGGAAAAGCCTTTGATACAGGCTCAAGAGATCACTGGATAGCCTTTCAGTGGAATATTAGGTGCACCTTCTGCGTGGGTTATCTGATTCTATCAGGGTCTGTCCTTTTCATTTTCTTTAATGAGCTCTTTCAAAACTCTTTTGTAGGAAACTGATAATAATGCAAATAAGATTGGTCCAGTTGAGATGCCACTGAGTCCCCCTTGGAAGAAGACAATATTGTATCTGTAGGAAAGGAAAAAATAATTTTCTCTCTACCCTTCATAGTTCTTAGCTGGGACAGACTTCTATAACAAAAGATGGATTAACAAGGGCAAAAGTTTATTAACATGAATGCTTCATATGTACATGGGAGATACCCATAGAAATGAGTAAATCTCAGAGGTTGCTCTGTCTGCGCAGATTTATCAGTACAGTTTCTATTGATATTGCCCAGGTCACAGCTTACTAGAGTAAACTGTCCAGCATTGCACAGCTAGGAAGTGGTACAACTGAATGCCAAAGCCCATGCCCTTGGCCCTGGGCTATTCTGCTGCTAGTACACAGAAAAGTGGGGATTTCTGGGCCTTGGGACTTAGCAAGGCCCAGCACCCTTGGAAATCAAACACCAGCCACTAACAGGAAGAGAAAATGGGAGAAGTCATCTCTCCCACAATTTTCAGGACTTCCAAAGGGAGAGATCGGTCAGTCAATGAAGGACTGGGATGAAGGGGTGAAGGTGCATGCAGGTGGACCATGGTAAAAGGAGAGATTTTCTAAAAGGTAAAGGCATGACTCACACATAAAATGAATGCAGGTCAAAGATTTCGTTTAACTCAATTAATGAAAAAAAAAAAAAATCAGTTAGGTTTAATCAACCAGTCCAAAGGAGAATGAGGGGAAAAAAGGCAGACACCTATATAGGTAGTCAGAAATGCCCAAATGGATTTGCTAATAGGTGTGTAGGAGACCAGGATACGCCACCCCAAAAGATGCCATTTTGGCATAAGGATCATTTTGAGCTGAAGGTAATTGAGAAGAAGCAGGTACAAGAAACCTCTTTGCCCTCCTCCTACTTGCCGAAAAGCAGGATATAAATTTACAAAGGTAAGTTTTTCCTCCTCCCCTCTCTACCAGGAAGGACAAAAACAAGACAATGAAGACAACCTTAGAACCTTATCAGCTAGAAGGCAGCAGAAGCATCTACCTGACAAGCTGTATTATCAGCGTTTGTCTGCTATTTGCCTTCCCACAATTTGCCATCCCTAGAGACTTAGAGTCCTTTTCCTTTGTCTTATCACTCTCTAAAAATGTACTGCTTTTTTTTTTGTGAAAAATGTTACATAATCCTAATTTCAAAGCTTCCTCTGAGATTTAGTCATTCTGTGGGTATCTCCCATATATACATGAAACATACATGTTAATAAACTTTTTCTCTTGTTAATCTGTCTTTTGTTATAGGAGTCTGTCCTAACTAAGAACTATGAAATGTAGAGAGACTATTTTTTTTACGCCCCTACAGATGCGGTACTGTCTACTTCCAAAGGGTACTCAATGGCATCTCCACTGGACCAAACTTATTGGCATTATTATCAGTTTCCTACAACAGAGTTTTGAAAGAGCTCATTAAAGACAATGAAAAGGACAGACCCCAGTCGTACCACTTCCTAGCTGTGCAGTGCTGGACAATTTAGTAAATTGTGATGTGGGCAATATGAATAGAAACTGTGCTGATAAATTTGCGATGATTCGATCAGTGAATGCCTGTAAAATGCTCAGCACCAGGTCTGGAATGTAGTGAGTTCCTGCTTGGTAGTGATTGCTGATATTCCATTTTACTGTCACCGTGCTGGGTATTTTCCATTGTCACAATCTATTCTTGGCCATTCTCCACCCTGCTCTGTGGCCCAGGAGGCACCTTTCCTGTGGCTTCTGGTTGGGTTCTACCAATTCATTCTTTCCCTCTGGAATTGCCTGGGAGTGGCAGCATCCCTCAAAGATCACAGCTCCTCCCGGGAAGCCCATGCCACCTCCAGGTCCCCATAATTGTCCCTTCCTGTCCCTTCAAGGCATCAGGGTGATAATAGCTCTCTGTTACCAGCCCTGCGTTTTTGCAAGTCCACTATGGTGTCCCATACTCTGCCCACCCCTTTGTAGATAGTGCCTTTACTAAACACACCTCAAATTACTCATGCTGAGAGCACCATCTGTGTCCTGGCAGGAACTCGACTGATGCAGTCATCAGCAATTTTTTTTTTTTTTTTTTTTTTTCTGAGATGGAGTCTTGCTCTGTCACCCAGGCTGGAGTGCAGTGGTGTGATCTTGGCTCACTGCAACCTTTGCCTCTTGGGTTCAAGCGATTCTCCTGCCTCAGCCTCCCTAGCGCTAGTCACCAGTATTTTTAATACCCCACTGTGTCCATCTCCGTTCCTTGAGTGATGCTGATGCTGCTCTTGAGTCTTATGAAAACTGAAAGCTGGATCCTTTGCTCCTGTTTTATCTTAGATGTAACTTCTCAGCAACGCTTGCAGCACAGGGAGTGAATGCCACCAAAGTCCCACACCAGAAGGCGGCATTCCTTTTTGTGACTGATCCCAAACACATGTACCAGGAAGAGAAGAGTGAAGAGATGAAGGGTCCATACAAAGATGAGTCTACGTAAACAGACTTTACTAAAAGAATCCTTATTTTCCCTTAGTTCCCCCGTATATGTCCCAGTTACTGCCCCACAATTTATGATCCTCTTTTCTTTGTTAAAAGGGCACACAAGCTCTCAAGTCTAACTGCTTGCGTTTCACTTCTTTTCTGTGAACTCTCATGCACATAAATATGAATAAAAATTGTGTGCGTTTTCTCCTGTCAGTTTGTCTTTTGTGAGTTTAATTCACAGGCCCCCAGTTATCTCACCTAAGAGGGTAGAGGAAAAGTTTTTCCTCTCCAATACCAGTGTCCCTGCTTCATCTCAGAGAAAAGATTATGGGCCCTTACAATGGATCATTTAGAAGAGGTTTAAGCTCTGTACTTTTTTCAGGAAGGAGCATCTTCAAATCTTACAAACCTATTTCTTGCTAATTGCATAACACCCATATGTTATTATGAAAATGTTACCAGGTTATTGAAAAATCTAAATTCAGTAAAGATACAAACAACTGTCTTATTTTCTCTAATTATTGACTTTAACTGTGCTATGTCTACTCTCCGTTAATCAGATTTCAGCCCTAGTTTTCCAGTCATTTTTACGTTTTAAAAGTCCAGTCCGGGCTAGTTTAAAGTTTGAAGATTCAATCTCATACCCCAATTTAACTTCATTTCCCAACCCCCAGAGCACACCTGGTTTTGACCTAAGGCATCTTGAGGAGGAAGGGATGTGGTCTGTTTTTTAGCTCTTCTTCCTCTAGTGCTTTAGGGGTTGAGGAGCAGGCTGGGGAAAAAGGGACAAATGCCTCTTAAGGGGTGTTATTGTTTCTTTTTGAGACTTTCCTGGCTTCTCTGGCAATGGCTTCTACTGGGCTGGCAGCCAACACCTGCCTTCTCATGGGGCAGATAACTAAGTTATATAAAAGGCCCTGGGTGGGGGACCTTCCCTGACCTGAGACAAACATTCTGGCTAGACATATGCGTAATGCCTCCTGGATATATAGAGATGGCTATGGAATCTTTGCTACTCCTATCATAGAGAGGAGGAGTCTCTTTCCCCTCCCATTGAAAGTAGGCTCACCTTAGTGACTTCCTTGGCTGATAGAATGCAACGGAAGGGACAGTCTCAAACTTCTGATGCTAGATCATAAGAAACCTTGCAGCTGCCATCAGGGTTTCTTGGACCTCTGAGCCACCATGTAAGAAGTCTGACTGTCACACTGGGAAGGCAATTGTAGGTGTGCCAATCAATAGTCCTAGCTGAACCCAGCCTTGCAGCCAAGGCACTAGACCAGCCCTTCCACCAGCTGCACACCACCAGAGGCCCTCACCTGATTCCACGTGGAGCAGCAGAATTCTCAGTAGAGCCCTGCCTGAATTCTTGCCCCACAAAATTATGACATATAATAAAATGGCTGGTGTTTTAAGCTGCTAAGCTTTGGGGTGGCTTGTCACACAGCAATAAACTAGAACACCCCCTCCAATTATATCTTTGGTTCTGGAGCTCTTCCTTGGATGCGTCAGTGGCAAGATGGCCCTAATGGGGTCGCATTCTTGGTATCTATGTGACCTACTCTTGCACTTTGGTCTCCCCTCTCTCTTCCCATCTCTTTCCCTTTCTTGTCCCCCTGCCCAATGCCCTAGTGATCCTTTTGAAATTTCCTTTGTTTGGCTTCAGGAATAAAGCACCACCCCTTCCATCCTCCATGGGGAGGGAAGAGAGGTGCAACAACTCTATTCCCTAGGCACCCACCACTTAAGGGACAACTTCAAATACCTCCCTCCTCTAGCCTTCTGCTTGTTTAGGCCAGTGGGAGTGGGGAGGGGGCTGGAGGATGGGCACTGCTGCACAGAGGCATGTCAGTTCGTTTGCTTCTTCATACACCATGGGATGTGTCGGTTTGGGGCTTGACACAAACTTTTGACACTCACAAAGTCCTCAACTTTGACTCTCAGTTGCCAGTTTTGAGGTTAAAGAAATATAGCTTTGGCCAGGCGTGGTGGCTCACACCTGTAATCCCAGCACTTTGGGAGGCTGAGGTGGGCTGATCGCTTGAGGTCAGGAGTTCGAGACAAGTCTGGCCAACAGGGTGAAACCCCATCTCTACTAAAAATACAAAACTTAACTGGGCATGGCAGTACATGCCTGTAGTCCCAGCTACTCTGGAGGCTGAGGCATGCGAATCGCTTGAACTCGGGAGATAGAGGCTGCGGTGAGCCAAGATCGTGCAACTGTACTCCAGACTGGGCAACAGAGCGAGAGCCTGTCTCAAAAAAAAAAAAAAAGAAAAAAAGAAATATAGCTTTTTCTTTTCTACTTTAGGTCAGGCACTGAGCAATGACAAACGAAAGGAGAAAGGCTGACAGGGATCGGGAGACCAGTTATTTCTGATAAAACTGGATGAAAAGATGTATTTAGATCTGGCCAAAGGACTCGCGAAATGTCCCACATTTGGGACATCCCAAAATGTGGTGTATTTACCTAGCCAATCTCAAGCAATATTGGAAAGTCATGGGCCTTTCTTCTTAGGGGCAGGGGTTTCCTGCCAAGATAGCTGCAGTGCTGAGAGTGGACTGGAACACATACTTTAAGTAGTCAGGCTGCTCCCTAAGGGGGACAGATGGGAAGGGGCTGGGCTACCTTGCCTCCTCTGTCCCAAAGTCATCACTCAATTAATTCTTTCTCTTCAGGCAAATAAATGAAGGGGCAGAAAGAAGCCAAGATTCTCCTGATCTAAAAACAAGTGAAGAACAAACAGGGGAATAAGTATTTTCCCCCCAACAGTCAAATCTCAGGAAACAAGTTTGTCCCACTGAATATCCGGTTGCACACGGCTCTATGTCATCATTCTGTTGTGCTGGATATTTTCTATTTCTCATTCTAGACTCAGCTTCTTCCTGGCCCACCTGTGGTGTGCCTAGAAACACTGCAGCTGTGAATGCTGCCCCCAGTGAATGTGGCTTCGTTGCCCTTTGGATTTGGGTTGGGTGTAGCTGAAAGCAGGGGCTGACAGGAGAGAAGGCAAGAGGAGAATGAGGCTGGACCCCCTCTTTACCAGTTCACTTGCTGTGTTCCTCTAGGGAAGCCACAGCCCCTGTCATGCAGCCACCTCCAAGCAGTTACCTTCTCTAGGTCCCTGAAACCACTGACTCCCCAACCCCCATTTGTCTTCATATCTTAGGACGTAGCAGCTCTGGCTTTTGCCTGACTTGGAATTTCTCCCCATCCCTCCCTTGGTTTCTTAAACCCTGCCCTCAGCTCTGTAGAGTACTTTTATTAAACAGTCCACAAGTGCCCTGATTGAGTGAGCCACCTGTTTCCTGTCAGAACCCTGACTCTCCTGTCCCTATTCCTAAGGGCAGGTGGTCCCTGATGGGAGAAAGCCTGTCAAACGCCAGCCTCTTCTCAAAGCCCTCAGTCCAGCCCACAAGCTTTGACTTGAGCATTATTTCATGCTCCCAAAATGGCACTAGGACAAACCCTTTGGTCAAAATGAGAATTAAGAATGCTTTCATAGGAAGATATACTTCTTTAACAGGTACAGAAATGGGTTGCCCCCAGATTTTGAAAAGTGATTGAGAGAAGGAGAGCCATTTTGGTCAGGGGTCTCCAGAGAGATAGAACCAATAGGACATAGAGAGAGAGATGCATGCAAAGAATTTATTAGGGGAACTGGCTCGATTACGGAGCTGAGAGGCCCATGCTTGCAAGCTTGGAGACCCAGGGAAGCTGGTAACTTGGCTCAGCCCAAGTCTGAAGACCTCAGAACCAGGGAGGCAATGGTGTTGCTCTCAGTCTGAGGCCACCGATGTGAGTCCCAAGTTCAGAGTACCTGGAATGCTGATGTTCAAGGGCAGGAGAAGAGCTACCAGGCTTGGCAGAAAGAGGGTGAGGATTCTCTTTTTCATCCTCCTTTTTGTTCCATCTGGATCCACAGCTGATTGGATGGTGTCCACCCACTTTAAGGGCGGATATTCCCCACTAAGTCTACCAACTCACAAGCCAATCTCTGGAAACACCCTCACAGACACATCTGGGGCTGCCCAATCATTCCAGTCAAAAGCAAAGCCACCTGGGTTTCCTTTTCAGCAGAAAAGAGATAGGCTTACTACCTACTGAAGCATGGAGAATAAATAATGCCAGCAATCTGGGTATCCCTTAATCCAGTCAAGTTGACATTCCAAATCAACCATCACAATAGGGTAGTGGTGAAAACCTTGAGCTCTGCAATCAGACAGCTTGAGCCTGAGCTCCATTTTCTGGGTGACCTTACACAAGCCACTTCCCTCTCTCAACCTCGGCTTCTTTATCTGTGCAATAACCGTTTTAACAACAGTTGTGAAGGTGGAGTGACTTAATGCTTGGGTGCATAATAACTGTGCATTAAACATTAGCAACAGGCCAGGCATGACAGCTCATGCCCATAATCCTAGCAGTTTGGGAGACAAAAGCCAGCAGATCGCTTGAGCCCAGGGGTTCAAGACCAGCCTTGACAACATGGTGAAACTCTGTCTCTACAAAAAAAAAAATACAAAAATTAGCCAGGTATTGTGGCATGCACCTGTAGTCCCAGCTACTCAGGAGGCTGAGGTGGGAGGATCCCTTGAGCCCAGGAGGTTGAGGCTGCAGTGAGCCAAGATCACACCACTGCCTTATAGCCTGGGCAATAGAGTGAGACCTTGTCTCAAAAAAAAAAAAAAATACAAAAACATTAGCAAGGACCAGCACATCTAATTATGTGGACACCAGATGCCCAGCCAAGCGGGTGAAGGGAGGTTAAAGTACAGCCCCAGCCCTAATCACCAAGCCAAGGGGTACCATGCACCCTGTATCTGGCATCTGTAAACTATAAATAAATTGTGGATGCATTGGATCAAAATGACCTTCTGAAAGGTGGCCTCTGTAAGTTGATACCAGAAGAGTCAGTTAAGGATTATTCCTTCTATCACCCATGTTTCTCACAGTTCTCTCCTGAGCCCAGCCCTAGTGCGAGAGAAGACAGAAGAATGGCAGTGACAGATGGAGGTGCAACTGCTCTTCAGTGTCTTTTGCATGTGTGCGTTTGAATGGGAAAAGCCATTTGATCATTAGAGTTCCAATTTAGTGGTTTGCGAGAATTGGGCACCCTCAGAAGCCCTGCTGCAAGCATGGGATAGATTCTGCGACCAAGACTGATGGGTGAGCAACTTTAATTACCCAAGAACTGTGTTAATGGCCCTTGGGGTATCTTATTGCTATTCTGACACTTGGGAACACGGCATTTTCCCATTAAAATGCCAATTATCCTTGAGCACTTCTGCAAATCCATCAGCTGGAGGCTGCTGGATTGTCGAGTGATGCAGTCTGATGGTTTGAAGGAAACCATCAGATCAAGGGCATTTTATCTGGCAGTTCATGACTGCTCAGGGTGCTGCACCACCCCTGCCTACTGCCCCCAGCCTCCAAGACACACACACACACAAACACACACACACACACTCCACTAAGCAGAAAGATCAGAATCTCTGGTCCTAGGTAGCTGCTAGAGAAGAGGAAGTGTTAAGAGTTGGGAATAAGGAAGAAAATTGGGATTTGGAAAAGAGCCTCCGAAATGGAATTTTTCTTCATCTGGATAATTGAAAGCACAAGTCCAACAGAAAACATATCTCACCGGGGAAATTAGTTGATTTACCTCATCTAACTACCAGGAGAGAGGGTCTGCTTGCAGAATTCACACTGCCCTGCAGAGCTTCTCTGTTGCAGATTAATTACACCTGAAGGGTTTGCTAATGCTGGATTTGGAGCCTCAATTAGATGTGCTCTTCCAGGACAATGATACCTTGCCCAGGCAGCCTTGGGTTTGGCTTATCCCAGGCTCTTGCTTCTGGAAGAAGTGGTTATACCTCAGTATAACAGTCCTCTTGGGAAAGCGGCTGTAGACCTGCTGGTCCTTAATTTCTTGGGGCTATGTTTAAATCCAATTATAAATCTGAATGATTATATAATAGAAGATCAAGTTTGGTTTGCTTTTTTCTTACTGGATTCTATTTCAGAACAGCAGTATAGTAGTGAGACTAACAGCATAGATTTGTGGAACCAGATGCTGAGTTTCAAACTTCAGCTCTGCCACTGAGCAACCATCTGAACTTGGGTAATTTACATAACCCTCTTTGGGCTTCAGTCTTCTCATCTGTAAAATAGGGATGATAATGGAACCAACCTCCTACAATTGTCAGGATTAAATCTGTTAATAGTTGGAACAGTATTGACCCGTTGTAAATATTCTCATTGGGCAAATATTATTATTTAGCTGTCTAAACAGTATCAAAAAATGTGATTATTAAAAAAATTTTTAAAAAATATTTTTCTACTTAAGAGGTGATGCCATTTTTATAATTGAAGAATAGTTGGCTGTAGCATGCCATGGAAGGGGATGAGTTGATCCACTGGTCTGCAAAGGACTGGTTGTTACGTTCCTGTAGCAGGTGTCCTGTAGCATTGCTCCCAAATGCCTGGTACCAGGCCAGCTTGCCCAGCTGCAGCAGTGCTGGTTTAACAGCCCACACCTGCACCCTCTCTGAAGGCTGGGCATGGCTGGCAGGAGACACAGCTCCTGAGATGCCTGGGAGGTTACACACTCCCTGCAAATTCTTTGACATTCTTCTCACCAAAAGGCAGATTCCCTCTCCTTGAAGGTGGGCCAGTATTAAAGACTTCAGGATTCTAAGGAAGAGGATGAGGTGGAAGTGGCTGCATGCCTTCTGTTGTAGGTTGAATGTGTCTTCTAAAAAGATATGTTCAAGTCTCAACCCCTGATATCTATGGATGTGATCTTACTTGGAAACGTCTTTGCAGATGTAACCAAGTTTTAACGAGGTCATACTGGATTAAGGTGGGCTTTAATCCAGCGACTCATGTTTTTATATGGAGAAGGAGGGGGAAATTTGTCTTTATATGGAGAAAGACAGGGAGACAGGGTTTCATCATGTCGTCCAGGCTGGTCTTGAACTCCTGGGCTCAAGTGATCCACCTGTCTTTGTCTCCCAAAGTTACAGGTCTGAGCTTTCATGTCTGGCCTGTTGCTAATGTTTAATGGACATTTATGACACATCTAAGCATTAACTCACTCCATCTTCACAACTATTGTTAAAACAGTTATTGTTTTACACATAGAGGCATGCACACACACGGGAATGTCACATGAAGATGGAGGCAGAGATTGCAGGGATGCTTCTACAAGACAGAGTGCCAAGGATTGCTGGCAACACCAGAAGCTGGAAGAAGCAAGGAAGGATTCTCCACTGGAGCTTTGAGAGGGAGTGCAGCTCTGCCAACACCTGGATTTCAGACTTCTGGCCTCCAGCACTGTGAGAGACCAAATTTCTGTTGTTTTAAACCACCCAACTTGTGGTCCTTTGTTACAGCAGTCCTAGGAGACTAATGTACCTTCCAAACTAGATTGTAAGCAACAATACGGCTTCGGCCTGCCTCTCTGTCTCTGTCTGTCCCTCAGGACATGTGCCTTGGAGTCTGAGCCGTGATGTAAGAAGCTCAATGACCGGGAAGCCACCACACTGAGGTAGAGATAGAGACCCCTAAGGAGCCCCAGCTGTTTGAGTCTTCTCAGCCCAGCTACAAGACACATGTGTGAAGAAACTTTCAAGACAGCTAAGCCCTAACTGCCATCTGCCTGTACCCTCATGAAAGACCCTGAGTGAGAACAGCCTGGCGCAGCCCAGCTGAGCCACCCTCAAATTTGTGACCCACAGAGACAGTGACAGATAATAAATGATTACTGTTGTTTAAAATTTTACTTTTTATTTTAATTGTGGTAAAATACACATAACAAGGCTGGGCAAAGTGGTTCACATCTGTAATCCTAGCACTTTGGGAGGCCAAGGTAGGCAGATCTCTTGAGCCCAGGAGTTCGAGACCTGCCTGAGCAACATAGCGAGATCCCTGTCTCTACAAGAAAAAAAAACAAAACAAAACAAACAAAACAAAAAAAAAACATTAGCCAGGCGTGGTGGTGTGTGCCTGTAGTCCCAGCTACTTGGGAGGCTGAGACAGGAGAATTACTTCAGCTCAGGAGTTCAAGGCTATAGTGAGCCATGATTCTGCCACTACACTCCAGCCTGGGTGATAGAACAAGACCCTGTCTCCAAAACAAAAACAAAATAAAAAAATCCCACATAATGGGGAATTTATCATTGTAACCATTTTAAAGTGTACAGTCAAGTAGATAGTGTTAATATATTCACATTGTTGTATAACCAATCAGCTTTTTCATCTTGTAAAACTGAGATTTCATAGCCATTAAACAACTCCCCATTCCCACCTCCCTCCAGTCAAGCATCATTCTACTTTTCATCTCCATGAATTTGACCACTCTACGCAGCTCATATAAGTAGACTCATACCATATTTGCCTTCTTGTGACTGGCTTACTTGACTTAGCATAATGCCTTCCAAGTTCATCCATGTTGTAGCATGTCAGAATTTTCTTCCTTTTTAAGGCTAAATAATATTCCATAGTATGTATATACCACATTTTGATTATCCTTTCACCTGGCAATGGACACCTGCATTGCTTTCACCTTCCGGCTGTTGTGAATAATACTGCTATGAACATCTGTGTACAAGAAGATGACTGTTGTTTTAAGTCATTAGTTCTTGCGGTGATGTGTTAAACTACAAGAGATTATTCCAATCATGCCAAGAGGATGTTGTATACCAGCCAAGCCTTCTTGCCTCCGGGCAGGATAACCTCTGCAATTCATGCTTCATGCTCCAGAGCTCCCCAGAGGATCATACTCAGGCCAGTTCCCTCCTGAAACCACCATCTGCCTGCTCGCTCTCCTGCCTGATCCTGCTTCCCTCACTCTGCTGCAGGTTACCCTGAAGCGCCACCTCCATAGACCACCTGCTCAAAAGTCCCCATCTTAGGCTCTGCCTCCAGGACACTAACTTAAGCCAGGCAATGCCACATGGCCAGGTGGTATGAGTTGTCATGAATGATTGCTGGGATGTTACAGTGATCTCACAGCATTGCCCCCAGCGATGTGATGGTTCTTGGTCATTTAAATACTTAGGTGGGTATCAACTCTGTTGAAGTGTTGAGTAGCAATTGTACTAATAGATACACTGAAGCTAAAAATAGGCTTCTCCTGATGATTGCGCTCTTTTGGAGTTAAACTACCTAACTCTGGAAGTGGTATTAACCCAGAGCAAGTCAGGCAAAAGTTCTCCGGCTGCATTGCAGAACATTTTGCATTTTGCAGTGTGTCTCCACATACATTCTCTTTGTGAGTCCTGCAGTGGTTCAGGGAGGTGTGCAAGGAGTAGTCACCTCATTTGACAGTTGACGAAAGGGGTTCAGAAAGCTTACAAGAATTGACCAAATAAACAATAGAGCTTGAACAAGAAGAGGCATGGTGTTTTGATGCCCCTTCTGGGCTCCCTGCATCTACTCTATCCTCCTCCAATCCACTCCCCATAAAGCAGCCACAGCAATACCTCAAAAACGCAAACCAGACTGTGTCCCTCTTCTTGTGACCTCATGATGGTGTCTTGTTGCACTTGGAATAAAACACAAATTGCTCCTCACAATTGAGGAGGCCCAGCCTCACGTTAGGCAGCTTTCCCCAGGGGCTGGCCCATGAGGCTCTAGCCACGCTGACCTTAAGAGGACAGCAAACAAACACACAGCAAAAGACACACATCAAACTCTTCAGGGTCTCCTGATGTCACCTCTGCCCCAAAACACTCTTCTCTGGCTCTTCAAATTGCTGCCTTCCCCATAGCTTAAATACTGTCTCCTGGTTTTAAAATACACCCGTAAATCTTTGACCCTGCTCTCTTCAAAAGGTGGAGCCTAATTGTCCTCCCCTTGCATGTGTTCTGAACTCAATGACCCACTTGTAATGAATAGAATACTGGAGAAGTGACAATAGGCGACTTCCAAGACTAGGCTATGAAAGGCATTGCCGTCTTCTCCTCATTCTCTTTCTGGGCCATTCACTCCGGGAGCAGCCAGCTGTCACTGTCGTGTCATGAGGACAGTCAAGCAGCCCTAATGAGGGCCAACGTGGTGAGGGACTGGGCCTCTTGCCAACAGCCGAGGAGGAACTGAGGCCTTTAAGAGCCACTGGAGTGAGTGTCATGATGTGATGGGTTTGCAGTGTGTCAGCTTAACTAGGCTGAACTACAGAATCCCCTTATTTGTATGTTTCCAGTTAGGGTTGGCCATGAGGGAGAGTCTCAGTGACTTGGAGTAGGGGGTAGTGGTACTGGGGGCAACAGCAATTTTGTATTGCAAATACATTGTTACTCACCTGCTGACTCACCTTGTTGATGTGATGCAGGAGCTGGGCCAGGTGTGTGTGTTCAGATCTGGAACAAATGCCCAACCTCTGTAGGATGCCCTCACCACAAAGAACATGAGTTTCAGTCTATCCTTGTGGAGCTCTAGCTTGTGCTGGTGGGGTTTCCATTTGCTTGTGGCCTTTCCTTCCTGATTGCTTGCTCTGTGGATTTCAAGGTCTAGCATCAGATGTAGGGAGAGCTTTATACCTGGAAAGAGACTTATAACCATCCCCCCAACTCTGTGATCTATATCGTTGCTACTGGTTCTGCTTGTCTGAGAGAACCCTGTTTGATATAATGAATCACCTTGGAAACAGATCCACTAGCCCCAGTCGAGCCTTTGGATGACTGCAGCTCCAGCCAGGCAACATCTTGACTACAATCTAGTGGGAAACCCCAAGCTGGGACTACGCAGATGAGCCTCTCAAAAATCCCTGACCCACAGAAACTGGGAGATAGTAAAGGTCTATTATTTTAAGCACTACATTTTTGGGGTAGTTTGTTATCCAACAATAGATAAGCTAATGCACCCACTCCTAGACGCCCTGTGGGACCATGCTCCTATGTCCCTTGCTTTATTTTCTATTATAGCACACTGCTGATTCTTTTCAGAACACTTATCACAACCTACAATCAGTTAGTAGATTTATATGCTTATTTGTTTCATATCTGGCCTTCCCACAAAAATGTCAACCCCCTGAGGGTAAACGTCTTCTCTGTCTTGTCCTCCTATAGGTCCAGCACCTGACTAGTCTAACTCCACTTCTCAGTAGCCATGAGGCCTTGGGAAACTTGCTTTCTGTGACTCAGTTTCTTCAGCCTTTGGGATGATGACAACAGTCCCTACCTCATCGGATTGTTGTGAGTGTAACATAAATTAACACTTATAAAGTGCTTCAAATATTACTTGCCCATGGTAAATATCCAGGACATATAAGTTGCTAGTATTTTTAATATTACAGTAGAAACTCAATAAACACCTACCGAGAGACTAAATGAAGGAATTAATTGATCTCTTTGTCCTATAATCTTAAGTATCCAAGACACAACTGAGAAAATCCCAGAGGCACCTAGACAGCTAAAACGGATGTCCCACAGGCTAGCAGCAAAGCCCATCTAATTAACTTATAGGCAAGCTCTTGGGCCATTACTCAGAACTTAATTACTTAATAGTCTTAGCAGATATTTATTAGTCACCTAACACATGGAAAGCATTGTGCTGGGTGCTGGGGGAAGGGGACAGAGAGACACGAAGGTGAATTGAGCTCATTACCTTTCCTCAAAAGAGCATGCTCTCTAGAGGGAAGATACAAGAGCCACCAATCACACAATTACAAAAGTGTGAGCAAGGTGGGTGGAGGTGGGATAGAGCGATGTTGACTATCAAGGTGGCCGGGCTCAATTAGTCACAATTATAACGTGCATAACAAGCTTAATTGTCTGGTTTCCTAGTCCATAATGGATTAGAAACAGCATATTAGAAGAGAAAAAAGAAGGAGTTATTGCTAGCAGCAGGTATGATGACAATGGCAAAAAGTGACAACCAACACGAATAAAGAATCAAAATTGTTAACTACATGGAAAGCAGAAATTAGATAACTGAAGCACAGTAGTTTAAAGTCATTTAGCGTGGAAGCACCTGCTACATAAAACTCAAGAGGCAGTACAGCATTGTAGTTAAGATATGGCTCTGAAGCCAGACTGCCTGGGTTTAAATACCAGCACCATCACTTACTGTCACTTCAATGAGCAACTTAACCTCTCTGTTCCTCAGTTTTCTCATCTATACAGTGAGGAAGGATGATAGTAGCATCTACTTCATAAAGTTGTAAGAATTAAATGAGTTAACACTGTTAAGTACTTAAGAGTTCCTGGCACATAGCAATTCTGAGAGCCTGTATTTGTCAGGACTGGCTGGGTTTGCTGCAGTAACAAACAGTCCCCGACATCTCAGTGACTTAACATAATGAAGGTTTATTTTTCACCTATACACATGTTCATCATTGAGAGGCAGGAGGTTCTACTCTGAATTATCACTGTCTTCCCTCTAGGACCCATACTCATGGAGCAGCCATTGTTACAACGTCTCCAGCTGTGGCCAGGAAAAAAGAGCACCTTTGTGGATTGTTCATTGACAATTCATTGTTCATTGCAGAAGGGGCGTGCTCTCTGGCTCACAGCTCATTGCCCATTGCTGGACACATTGCTCCTACCCTTCCGTGTGTCCAGAATGGGGATGATCAGAATGTTTGCCTAGCAGCACAAATCACGACCAGAGGGCCTCTGTGTACCAAGATATCACACAGTCATGGTTACGCCACAGAGTTTAAAAACTGTAGTGGCCCAAAGAGCTAAGGCTACTCCTTTGGGAAAGTGAAATGAAGCTCCCTGGGATTCTGTGTTTCTTAGTATGAACACTATTGGCATTGGTGGGTTGAGTGAGGGAGGGATGTGAGGTGAGAACAATTCATTTGTGGGGCTGTTGCATACAGTGGAGGACATTAAGTGCCCCTGGCTCCTATGTACTAAATGTCAGTAGTGGCCCTCCTCCAAGTCACTGTGACAATCAACAATGCCCTCATCTATTTCCTAATACTCCCTTGAGATAGAACTTCCCTCATCCTTGCCTAAGAACCACTCACAAATGTTTAATTTTGCAGTGTTGGTCTGAGCCAGAGCTGGTGCCCAAACACCGCTTCCTGCCTCACAGATGACTGATTAGGACTCTGAATTGTGACTATTATGGTTTGTTAATCAAGAATCAGAGGCTGGGCTAGGTGCGGTGGCTCACGCCTGTAATCCCAGCACTTTGGGAGGCCAAGGAGGTTGGATCACTTGAGGTCAGGAGTTCAAGACCAGCCTGGCCAACATGTTTAAACCCTGTCTCTACTAAAAATACAAAAATTAGCTGGGTGTGGTGGTGGGCTCCTGTAATTCCAGCTACTCGGGAGGCTGAGGCAGGAGAATCACTTGAACCCAGGAGGCGGAGGTTGCAGTGAGCCAAGATTTTGCCAGTGTACTCCAGCCTGGGTGACAGAGACTCCATCTTAAAAAAAAAAAAAAAAAGAATCAGAGACCAGGTGCAGTGGCTTATGCCTGTAATCCCAGCACTTTGGGAGGCTTAGGTTTGACTCCCAGCTCTAGCACCTGCTACCAGCTGTGTGACCTAGGGACATAACAACCTTTCTGAGCTCCTGTTCCTATACCTGGAATATGGAAGTTGATGGAATCTAACTCATAGAGTTCTTAAAAAGGGGAAAATGAGGGCTGGGTGTGGTGGCTCTTGCCTGTAATCTAGCACTTTGGGAGGCTGTGGCGGAAGGATCGCTTGAGCCCAGGTGTTTGAGACCAGCCTGGGCAACATGGCAAAACCCTGTGTCTGCAAAATATACAAAAATTAGCTGGCATGGTGGCACACACAGGTACTTGGGAGGCTGAGTTGGGAGGAACACTTGAGCCTGAGAGGTCAAGGCTGCAATGAGCTGTGATTGTGCCACTGCACTCCAGCCAGGGTGACAGTGCAGTCCCCAAGAGTACTGTTGGACCAGCGAGTGTGTGATGATTTTCCTGCTTCTTAGAAGCCTTGGTCACTTTTTGTTCTTGGATTCCATGAGACACCCCTCTGTCTGCTCCATAAACCCCATTTTACCTATGCTAGTCTGAGTAGGTTTTTTGTCACTCATAACCAAATTATTTCTGACTTGGGCACATACCTCCTAGCAACATTTCTTTCAAATATAATTAAAAATTTTAAATGTGTTGCTTACAAGGATAAGCTCCATTTAGCCGAAAAATTTACTTTTGTGGAACCTTTCCTTTTACACTCAGTCAATCAATGAACTATTGATGTGTGGCTATGCAGAAATCAGCTACCATGGACAGAGGAGAGTGATGTGTATTCTGATAAGGAACATTCTGGAGATAGCCTCAGGAGGGTTTCAAGAGGGGGCAGGGCTGAGGGTCAGCTGTGGGATTAATCTGTCCTTGTCCCATACCCAAATAAGCACGTGAAACAAACCCCAGGTAGGGTAAGCATCTCCCTATGATGTGACAGGATGACCGACCTGCTTAACAACTTTTTGTTCCGTTAATGGATAGCAGTTCTTTCAAGCTCCAGAGAAAAACTGACATGATTCATAAAACAGAAAAATAAGATGATATTAAACCTAATACAAGCATTCAAACCAAATTTACAAGACATTTTTAAAGTCAAAGATTTCGTTAAAGCATTATGATAATCTAGTATAAGGATGAGGTCTCCTTCAAAGGTTTATTTTATGCCTGTGAATGATCAGCAATTATCCAAACATCTCTCTTCTATCCCTGGGGCATCTCAGCTCACTCAATTTGGATTTCACAGGAAGGAGACGGAGTCACTGCATGCTCTGTGGCTAATCCTTACAGCACTTTCTATATGTGTGTGCTGCTCGGGAGGCAAAGGTGACGAAAATTGAAACTTGAAAGAGCTCATTGTGATTCTTTGTGCCAAGAAGTTGCATTCAATTCAGTGAGCACCATTTCAGGTAAAAGAAAACACTTAAAAGAGATTGGTAATAATGATAACAAGAACAACACATAAAATAGAGTGTGTGTTTATTCAGAGTCAGGCACCGAAGCTAGCATATTCTGTGACTTGTTTCAAAATGTTTGTGCTTGTAAAATTCCGATGTATGCTCATTTGCATTGTACAGATGAATGAACCCAGGGCACAGAGATTGCCGTCCTTGCCCTGGATCCTGTGGCTGGTAGGGGACTGGACCAGGGTGTCCTGTATGCTGTTATGTTGTTCTGTGTCTATTAAGTGTAATGGGTTAGACAACAGGCTGTGAAGCTGGTCTACCAGGGTTGAGATTCAGGCTCCAGCAGTTACTCACTGAGTGATCTTGCGTTAGATAACTTCAACTCTTGGTGCCTGGGTTTCCTTTTCTGAAAATGGTACTAAATCAGCTAATAGGATAAAGAGCCTAGAAAAGTGTCTGGTTGCAAAGTAAATGCTTGGAAAAAAAAAGGCTTTAATTATTACTCAGAGTCCAGTATTTCCTATGGAAATAAGTCTCAAACTAGTGTATCAGGCACCTCTCCTGCATATTGGACTCACCACTGTGTGGTCTGATCACTGTTAAAGATAAACTATTCCGACACTCATGAAAGGCGAGAAGGAACACCTTATTCAGGTGACTGCTACGATGGGGTTTTGCAGTAGGGGAGAGAGATTGGGTTCAACCCTGTCTACCTAAAGAAAGAAACGGAGGTAAAATTAATACAGTTGAGTTTATCTGGGACAAGTTTGAGGACTACAGTCTGGAAAATGCTGGGAAATGCTCTGGAGAATAAAGGAGAGGCTAGTGTTTTTAAAGAAAAAAGGGCGAATTCAAAGAGGGAGAGATTACAAAGGTTGTTCCTCAGGAATTCTCACTGGTTTGCAGAAATAACATTGATGAGTAATTGACACTATATTGTTGAACTGTAGGGTGTGGGTCATGGTGTCCAGTGTGAGGCATTGTTAGGTTAATTTATAGCTTCTTGGTGAGGACACTCAGTCTAGAGTCCAGGTAGCAGGCAGATTACTTAGCTCAAGGAGGGCAGGTGATCTGAGCCTTCTGTCACATTTCAATGCCTCTCTGGGCCGGGTTTTTTAATGGACTGGCATTCCTCAGATAAAAAGTTCCTTTTCTTTCTCAGCTCTGAAAATGCAACAAGGAAGGGTGGGGATTTATAGCCAGCGAGAAGTTGGTGGGTGGAAAATCTCTGAGGGTAAGGTAATTCTTCATTAAACTGACATAATGGGATTCTTGCTGAAGGCAGGCCAGAGTGATCAGACATCATCTGATATGGTGCCAGATGAGGAGGGTGATTGGATATGGAGAGTGAGGAATTCTGGCCAAATTGACTTTGTAGGTGTATTAGTCAGTGTTCTCTAGAGGGACAGAACTAATGGAATATATATATATATATATATATATATATATATATATATATATATGCCCCCTTTGTATATATAAAATATATGTATGTGTGTGTGTGTGTGTGTGTGTGTGTATATATATATATATATATATATATATATATATATATATATATATATAAAGGGAAGTTTATTCAGTATTAACTCACACAATCACAAGGTCCCAAAACAGGTCATCTGCAGGCTGAGGAGCAAGGAGAGCCAGTCCAAGTTCCAAAACTGAAGAACTTGGAGTCTGATGTTCAAGGGCAGGAAGCATCCAGCACAGGAGAAAGATGTAGGCTGGAAGGCTAGGCCAGTCTCTCTTTTCTTTTCTTTTGTTTTTTTTTTTTTTGAGATGGAGTCTCGCTCTTTTGCCCAGGCTGGAGTGCAGTGGCACGATCTCAGCTCACTGCAAGCTCTGCCTCCCGGGTTCACACCATTCTCCTGCCTCAGCCTCCTGAGTAACTGGGACTACAGGCGTCTGCCACCGCGCCTGGCAAATTTTTTGTATTTCTAGTAGAGACGGGGTTTCACCATGGTCTGGATCTCCTGACCTCGTGATCCACCCCACTTGGCCTCCCAAAGTGTTGGGATTACAGGCGTGAGCCACCGCGCCCGGCCGGCCAGTCTCTCCTTTCATATTTTCCTGCCTGCTTTTTATTCTAGTTGAGCTGGCAGCTGATTAGATTGTGCCCACCCAGATTTAGGGTAGGTCTGCCTTTCCCAGCCCATTGACTCAAATGTTAATCTCCTTTGGCAACACCCTTACAGACACATTCAGGATTAATACTTTGTATCCTTCAATCCAATCAAGTTGACACTCAGTATTAACCATCCCAAGTCCACCACTTGTCAACTTGAACCCACACACCTATCCTGAGATCATACATAATCTTCAAATAAAGACAATAATAAGGTCATAATTACGCCTAACATAATACAAGCGGAAACTCACCAATCCCCAACCCAAATAGTTAAATGCTGATGTGAAGTCAATAAATCTTGTCACATGATAAAGGAGAAAAGAAATAAAATGAAGATATTTTCTTAGTACAAGTGTACACATGCACAAACATGTTTTTAACAAAAGAAGGAGGAAATACGCATGACAATTACAGTCCTTGTTTCTGCAGCTGGTCACGTGGTCGTAGCTGGTATTGATGACTACCTTCTTTTACTACCCATTCTGTATTCCCTTTTCCTTCAGCAAGCACCCCAGAAGATCGTGGTTTTTTTCCTGACGGAGTGACCCAAACCTTCATTCCTGAAAGGTCTGGGTTATTTGTAGTCCTGCCTGGATTGGGCTGTTGTAGCTTCCCATTGACCTTAGTCACAGGGCATGGTGATACTAAGAGATGCCCTAATGGATCTCCTGTATTCCATGCATACTCTTCCTTACCTCCGTTGTGGAGTAGTAGACTGATTTCATCTTGATAGTCTGGGTCGATCACCCCAGCCAACATTGTAACTCCCTTCTTAGCCTGTTGACTTAAAGGTAGGAGGAGCCCAAAGTGTCCAGGTGGCACTCTTAACTTCCAGTTTAATGGGATTGTTGTTGTGTCGCCTTGTGGTAGCATTCCTCCCTTTGGAACTAAGACCTCTAGGCCAATAGAACATAATGTCGTGGAAACAGGAAGCAAAAATTTTTCTAGTGGATCACTAGGGGTGATGGTGAGTGGTGCCACTTCCACTTCCACCCCTTGATTCCTGGACCAGTGAATCCTGGCTATGGGAGAAACAGTGCCATATATTGGACGTTGATTCAGAGCATACATGGCCTTCTGGAGAACTTTGCTTCAGCCCTGCAACGTATTGTCACCTAGTTGGTGTTGTAATTGTAACTCCAAAAAGCCATTCCACCAGTCTGTCAATCCAGCTACTTCAGGATGATGGGGAACATGGTAAGACCAATGAATTCCATGAGCATGATCCCACTGCTGCACTTCTTCCCTGTAAAGTGAGTGCCTTGGTCAGAGGCAATGCTGTGTGGAATTACCATGATGGTGGATAAGGCATTCCACGAGTCCACAGATGGTAGTCTTGGCAGAAGCATTGCATGCAGGATAGGCAAACCCATAACAGAGTAAGTGTCTATTCCAGTGAGGACAAACCTCTGCACTTTACGTGATTTGAAGAGGTCCAATATAATCAATCTGCCACCAGGTAGCTGGCTGATCACCCCGAGGAATGGTGCCATATCGAGGGCTCAGTGTTGGTCTCTACTGCTGGCAAATTGGGCACTCAGCAGTGGCTGTAGCCAGGTCAGCCTTGATGAGTGGAAGTCCATGTTGCTGAGCCCATCCCTACCACCATGGCCACTTTGTTCATGGGCCCATTGAGTGATAACAGGGGTGGCTGGGAAAAGAGGCTGAGTGGTGTCCACAGAACGGGTCATACTATCCACTTGATTATTAAAATCCTTCTCTGCTGAGGTCATCTGTTGGTGAGCACTCACACGAGATACAAATGTCTTCACAGTTTTTGACCACTCAGAGAGGTCCATACCTCTTCCCCAGATTTCTTTGTCACAAATTTTCCAATCATGCTTCTTCCAAGTCCCTGACCATCCAGCCAAACCATTGGCTATACAGCCCATGAAATCAGTATATAATCACACATCAGACCATTTCTCCTTCCATGCAAAGTGCACAACCAGGTGCACTGCTCGAAGTTCTGCCCACTCGGAAGATTTCCCTTCACTGCCGTCCTTCAGGGATGTCCTAGAAAGGGGCTGTAGTGCTACAGCTGTCCACTTTCGGGTGGTGCCTGCATATTATGCAGAACCATCTGTGAACCAGGCCCTAGTCTTCTCTTCCTCTGTCAGCTGATCAGAGGGAACTCCCCACGAGGCCATCAGGGCAGGCTGGGGGTGAGAAGGCAGGGTGGCAGGAGTGGAGACCATGGGCATTTGAGCCACTTCCTAATGTAACTTACTTGTGCCTTCAGGACCTGCTCAAGCCTGATCACGTATATGCCACTTTCATCTGATGATGGAATGCTGCTGTGCGTGACTCACTTTATGGCTAGATGTGTCAGAAAGCACCCAGTTCGTGATAGGCAGTTCAGGTTGCATGGTGACTTGATGACTCATAGTCAAATGTTCAGTTTCTACCAAAGCCCAGTAATAGGCCAAGAGCTGTCTCTCAAAAGGAGAGTAGTTATCTGCAGAAGATGACAGGGCTTAGATCCAAAATCCTAGAAGCCTCCATTGCAATTCACCTATGGAGGCCTGCCAAAGGCTACAAACGGCATCCCTACCTGCCACTGACACCTCAAGCACCATTGGATCTGCTGGGTCATATGGCCCAAATGGCAGAGCAGCTTGCACAGCTGCCTGGACCTATTGCAGAACCTTCTCCTGTTCTGGACCTCACTCAAAACTGGTAGCCTTTTGGGTCACTCAATAAATGGGCCGGAGAAACACAGTAGGATTCTCGATAAAATTGGGCTCTTGGCCAGCCATGGCACTTTGTAATTCCTGTATTACCGGCACCTTTGGAGGCTGAGGTGGGTAGATCACTTGAGGTCCATAGTTTGAAACCAGCCTGGCCAACACAGCGAAACCCCGTCTCTACTAAAAAAATACAAAAAATTAGCTGGGCATGGTGGCGCATTGCCTGTAATCAGCTACTGAGGAGGTTGAGGCAGGAGAATCGCTTAAACCCAGGAGGCAGAGGTTGCAGTGAGCCAAGTTCACACCACTGCACTCCAGCCTGGGTGACAGAGAAAGACCCTGTCTCAAAAAAGAGAAAGAGCTCTTGAGGACATGCCCAAAGATGGGGCCTTGTTGACGAAGAGCTCAAAGGAGCCTGGCTAGAGTTTGGTCAAGGAGAGAGTTTTTGACACCACCTGCTTGAGCACGACCCAACAGCTCTTGCCCCATGCCTGACTTTGCCTCCTATGCTGAGGACTCTCTTCTTCTCTCCTGCCCTAAGGCATCTCTGTTGCTGCTGAGACACCAGGTGGCCTAGACCCCAACATGTGTGACCTGGAAGTGAGCAGGGTGGTTAACACTTTGATCAGTGAGGGACAGAAGCTGGTCAAATGATAAATTGGGAGAACTTATTGGAAAGGATAAACTCTGATACTGTCCTCCCAATGAGCGCACACTGTCCTAAGATGTGTGTACAACCTGTCGGAGGACAGTGACAAATTGGAGCAATCGATCGCTTTCCATGCCAACTTGGCATGCACCTTCTTATATTTGCTGTCATTCATTCCTGACCTCATTCCTGTTTCCCCTCACTCTATCATCCCTGGGACTGCACTTCCCAATAAAATATTAGTGTATAATCATTTGCCTCCAGCTCTGTTTTCTAGAGAATCTAGGCTGAGACAACTAGCACTGTGATGCCCAGAGGAGACTGGGATTCAAAGAATATTATGTTTGAAGACCTTTATGCTCAGTAGAATCCTTACGTGATGCAAGATTAAGTTAGGATTAATATCCGGATCATGCTTGAGGCTAGCTCTGTTTTAAGAAGGCTTTCACAGGGAGCCCCTCTCTTGCTCTTGACATTTAGAAGTATGGGAAGGTACAGTCCTTTTCCTGAGCTGTCTGACTTTTAGCTGCCAGACACACCTGTAGCAGCCGCCAGATGATGCAGGCTCTTCCTCCTTAGTAACCATCTGTCTACAATGATGGGCAGCCTCAAGGGAGGGTCTCCTCTACCATCTCCCTCTCGTTTCTTCTCCTTGGTCTCTCAACCCCTCTGAATAGCTGAATACCTCCCCTCTTTATATCTTAGCTTTCTGTGGACCAAAACCCAGAAAGGCAAGGGGCTGTGCACCCAGGCGCATAGTTACAATCTGACACCCAATAGATACTTTACGTTCCAGGATGTATCAAAAGCAGGTGGCAGTGGGCGCGGTGGCTCACGCCTGTAATCTCAGCACTTTGGGAGGCCGAGGTGGGTGGATCACTTGTCAGGAGTTCAAGACCAGCCTGGCCAACATGGTGAAACCCCATCTCTACTAAAAATACAAAAATTAGCTGGGCCTGGTGGTGGGTGCCTATAATCCCAGCTACTTGGGAGGCTGAGACAAGAACTGCTTGAACCCGGGATGCAGAGGTTACGGTGAGCCGAGATGGTGCTACTGCACTCCAGCCTAAGCAACAGAGCAAGGTTCTGTCTCAAAAAAAAAAAAAAAAAAATACATGTGGCAAATAAGCACATGAGAACAGTTTTGACATCATTAGTTATTAGGGAGACTCAAGTTAAAACCACAATGAGCTACCAAAAAAAAAAAAAAAAAAAAAGAAAGAACAAAAGCATGTGCAAATCTGTC
Organism: Homo sapiens; assembly: GCF_000001405.40. Classification (NCBI taxonomy): domain Eukaryota; kingdom Metazoa; phylum Chordata; class Mammalia; order Primates; family Hominidae; genus Homo; species Homo sapiens. The sequence continues at coordinate 71,985,050 of NC_000003.12, forward strand.
AAAATCATGATATGAAAATGTGTACACAACATAATGCAGTGTGCCAGCATTCACTGAGATTTCAAAGTCAATTCAAGCAATAGCTATCAGCGCTGGTCCTGTGCTAATCTTAAAATGGCACAAGGCAGTTACGGTCACAGGTGCTTCCCACACACCAGGCATGTACCGAACGTTTCATGTAAGTGTTTCATTTTGAATCAAAACCTTGTGAGGTAGACTATTATTATCTCTAATTTACAAAGGAGGCAAATGAGCTTCAGAGAGAAAAGGAACTTGCCAGAATCTCACAACTGGCTGAACCAAAATTCGGATCCAGGACTTTCTAACTGCAAAGCCCACAATCATAAGCCTTGTGCTTCCCCCATATCCTGTTGGCCCTGACTTCCTTACACGCCTACGAAGTCCTCTGTGATCTCTGCCTGAGGGTTTTCTCCTCTGCACACATGTTGGGCTGCAAGTGCTCAGGAGTTGATACTCCCAAGAGCAGCCCCAGCTGATGATGAATGAGCATTGGAGGGTAAGCATCAGCTTCCTTGCCCCTTGCGGGCCTTAACCCTGGTAGGTTCTGCACAGTCTTCTGAAGGTTCCCAGTTGTCTGCAGTGAAAACCCACTCAGCAACACACAAAATTGGCTTCCTTCTCTTCCCTGTCTCATTTCCCAACTCCCCTAGTGGGATCACTTTCCAAATCAACAGTGTGTACTGAAACTCCTGTCTCAGAGTCTGCTGCTCGGGGGCGGGTGGGGTGGAAGATAGACTCGGTGGGAGGTAGGGTTCCTTATTCTGGAAGAACTTACATATTCTTATGGAGAAAACACACACACACACACACACACACACACACACACACACACACACACGCATGCACAGAGAAGTAGAGAAATAACAAAGACTGTCTCCTGAAGGTAGAACTGCGTGGTATCATGTATCAAAGATAGAATGGGCCTGATGGTACAAAGTGAAGGCAGCTGCACCTGATGACCCCTCACTTTTTTTTTTTTTTTTTTTTTTTGAGACAGGGTTTCACTCTGTCACCCAGGCTGGAGTGCAGTGGTGCTATCTCAGCTTACTGCAACATCTGCCTCCCTGGTTCAAGTAATTCTCCTGCCTCAGCCTCCCACGTAGCTGAGTTTACAGGTGTGCACCACCACACCTGGCTAGTTTTTGTATTTTTAGTAGAGACAGGGTTTTACCATGTTGTCCAGACTGATCTCAAACTCTCGACCTAAGGTGATCCTCCCACCTCAGCCTCCCAAAGTGCTGGAATTACAGGTGTGAGCCACCATGCCTAGTCGACCCCTGATGTTTTGACTGAAAGACCTCAGATTCTCTCCCTTGTGCCACCACCCAGGAGGGTACAAACAGAACAAAATCTGGGCCTTAGGCCTTTCCTCTGATTCCTTAGGGGAATCATATCTGCCCAGCACACTGGGCTGGCTTTGCACAACAGTAAAGTTTATTGCCACGTGAGAGGTGCTAATGTTTTACCACTGAGAATATCTCAGAAGTTAGAACCTCAGGTCCTTCAGTTGTCTTAGCTATGGATGAAAAACCTTCCATCACCCAGCTGCTTGGGTCTTAAGATAGGAAGTGACAGCTACGGTCTTAAGGTAGGAAGCAGTATGTTTTGAGAGCGATCTGTCATTTCTCCACATTTGGCCCACTAGAGTCTTTCTTACTTGAGCACTAAAACATGCTTCTGACCTCTGATCAAAACGGTGTTGATGATACAGAGTCATGTGCCTGACTCAGGCCATGCAAATCACCCCACCGCCAACTCCTAATTCCCTCAAGGATTATCAAAAGAACATAAATAAAGGGTCGACTGCCTCCATTATCCAGCATTCAACTCCTTTTTCGATGTGGGCATGAAAGCAGAGAGCTGTGTAGTTGGTTGAATGATGGCCCCCTAAAAATATGTCCACCTAGTACCTGTGAATGTGACCTTATTTGGAGAAAGGGTCTTGGCAGGTGCAATTAAGCAAGGCTCTCAAGATGAGATCATCTTGGATCATCTGGATAAGTCTTCAGTGGAATGCACGTGTTCATATAAGAGACAGAAGATAAGAAGACAGAGGAGGAAAAGTCCACATGAAGGCAGAGGCCGAGATTGGAGTGATGTGGCCACAAACTAAGCAATGCCAGGCTCCACCAGAAGCTGGAAGCAGCAGGGAACAGAATCCCTGCTACAGCCTCCAGAGGGAGTGCAGTCCTGCTGACACCTTGACTTTAAATTTCTAGCTTCCAGACAGTGACAGAGTACATTTCTGTTTTCCTAACCGAGCCAGTTTTTGTGGTATCTGTTACAGCAGCCACGGGAAACTAATACAAGTTGCTAACAATTTTTGGCCCTAACAACGTTTTCAGGGCTTTAACCCTTAATCTTCATAATGATGCTTTAAATGTTTTAATTAAATTAATTTTTTTCTTCTTATAACGAAGCTTTTTGGGTTCTTTTAGAAACTGGGTCTCGCTCCGTTGCCCAGGCTAGGGTGCAGTGGCGTGACTGTAGCTCACTGTAACCTCAACCTTCTGGCCTCAAGCAGTCCTCCCACTTCTGCCTCTCAAAGTGCAGGGATTACAGGAGTGAGCTACTGCACCCAGCCCATAATGATAATTTAAGGTAAGGATTGTTTTTGCTTCATTTCATAGGCAAGGAAACTGAAAAGCAGAGAGTTAAAGTGACTTATCCAGGTACATTAAGCAAGAAAATGGCCAAGCTTGACTTCAAATCCAGGCTATCTGATCCCAGAGCTAGTACCTTTAATGACTGTGGCCTCCTGCTTCTCCAAGCGGAATTACAAGCAGAATCCACCCCCTCCTGCCTCATGTGTGTAGTAATTGTTGGAACGCGGTTCCTTGCCTCTCACAACAGTTCCCTGTGCTCCCCTGGCAGGCAGGATATATACACATCTGACTGGGCTGAGCTAATTGGACTCTAAATCTGCAGGGAGTGAGGCAAAGCCGCAGGGTGGTTAATTTCTTCCTGGCGGTGGTAGTGGTGGCATCCTAGGCAGATGCTTCCTGTTAAAATTCATTGTGGTTCTTCCTGTTGATTGACCTACTGCAACTGCCTTGATTCCTGCCCTGTCCAGTCCCCAATATTCTTTCTCAATTCCTTCTCCACTGAAGAAAGCCAGAGTTAATTTCTGTTGTTTGAAATCAAAAATCTGTCTAATGCAGAGGAAAAGCTGGCACCTGGTGAACCCCAGGCAAAGCAAACATCTCAATGTAATCCTCAGCTTACCCTGTGCCTTCTTTGAGGCTGAGCTCAGCACTGGGGCCAGTGCCCCTGCCTCAAATAGATCAGTTTTACAAACTATTAGGAGGTAATATAGATGGGGCTGATGATCTCAAGGAAAATGAGAAAGGGAATTTATAGCACTGCCCAGACTGAACTTCATAAAACTCTAAAAACCTCTCTGTCTTCCCCGTCACTTCCTCTTAAGGAGTTGGCTATCTCATCTTCTCCAGCCCCTGGCCTCTGTGCATTTCCACTCTGACCATCAGCTCACATTCCCTACTCAAGAGAAAGGAGCCCTGGATTTCTCCCTTTAAAAATCAGTTCAGGCCAGAGGTGGTGGCCTACTCCTATAATCCCAGCACTTTAGGAGGCCAAGACAGGAGGATCACTTGAGCCTAGGAATTTGAGACCAGCCTGGATGATATAGTAAGATCCTGTCTCTACAAAAAAAAAAAAAAAGCTGGACATGGTGTCAGTCATCTATAGTACCAGCTACTCAGGAGGCTGAGAGGGGAGGATCATTGAGCCTGGGAGGTTGAGGCTGCAGTGAGCCATGATCATACCACTGCATTCTAGCTTGGGTGACAGAGCAAGATCCTGTTTGCTTAAAACAAAAACAAAAAACTAGTTCAATGAACATACACTGTTTCTCAAACATTCTTGGATATTCAAACTGCACAGGATGTAACTTATGGGCCTCCATATATTTGCTCAGCTTCACTATTCTAAGCTTTAATCTTTAAGCAACATGAGCTAAAACATCTCCTCATAAAAATAGATGTTTCTTGGGTGGCTGGGCATACACTGTCCTGGAGAAAATAAAATTATCCTCTCAATATTCTATCAGGGAGGGGCTCACATCTGTATCCTAGGTCCCCATATTCTAATCCCCGCAGCAGCATCAGTCTCCCCTGGAGTAAAGGCAAAGCCTTCCCATGACCCCCGTCATGCCCACTCTGAGGCCCAGGACTGACCTGACTCATCAGGGCCCTGGCTCCTCCCTCTAATTCCAGGCGCAGGAGAAGCATCATGCTTTGGGGCGTGGAATTTGGCTTCCTCAGTGGCTGCTTAGATGGAGATGACACCACCCAGAAATGGCATGAGTCAATGCCCCATGGAGCTAATGTTGACCAAGGAGAGACCTGGCAGTGAAGGAGCCACAGTTAAATTCCTTGCACTTTGCTCCCCTGATGGACTCTTCTGAGGCTTAGGAGTACCTCTTTTACTTCTCTGCAGATGTACTGCATGAACAAGCAACCTGCTGTGTTTCATTGTGAAGCTGTGGCCAGCCCAATTGGTAATGCACCACCTACATTTGCGTTCCTTCCTTCTCCACCTCATTTCTTTGTTCCCTTATTCTTGTGGCCTGTGATTGCACCCCCAATAAGCACGGTCAGGTAAGCATCATCTCAGGCTCTATTTTCTATGGAATGTGAGCTAAAATATCTCCCAAGAAAAATAGCTCCTTCTTATGTGGGAGGGCAGATTTTGCTCTGAAGAAAATAATAATTTTATTACATTATTATACCACAGAAGAGTCCTAAAGCCATATGCCAGAAACCTTAAAGAACTTCTGCAAAATGTGACGGTTCAAGACAAGATTAAAGACTGGCTTGACCTGACTTCACAGAAACAATGAATTCGGAAAGCAAACAGAGGAGTCTGCATGAATGGAGTAAAATTATTACTGTTATCATTGTCATCATCATCTTCACAGCTAACACTTTCTCTGAGCTTACCATATGCTGGGCACTCTTCTATGCACCCTATATCTAGGCTCATAGAATCCTCACGACATAAACCCAGGAGGTCAGCATTATTAATATCTCCATTTTATGGAGGAAGAAACTGAGGTTCAGCCCAGTCAAGTAACTTACCCCAAATCACATAGCTAGAAAGTGGTGGAACTGGGACTTGAACCCAGGCAGTCTAGTTTCAGGGCCCTGCCCATTAACATTACTATCTTGCATGGTCTTTCTCCTTCATCTGAGTATCAGTGATTCAGACATGGATGAATACAGTCTCTGAAAGAAACTTAGCCCATCTCAGTAATTTGCAAATATAGGCTATTCTCTGAATAAATAAGAAAACAAAAAAGAATTTACTGTTTGTGGCAATGGAAAGGGGCCAATGTGAAAACAGCAAATTTATCTTGAAAGAAAAACATGTGAAACTAGGTAAGTCATCATTAGTATTTTCAAGATAACTTAAAGACCCATCATATCTATTAAATGACAGCAGGTTGTCATGAAGAATAAACATAATCCAAGATCCATAATCCAGTCTATAAAGACTGCAGATGAAAATTATAGGTGTCATATTAAAAACACAATAGAAGCAGTGCCTTTCCTGAGTCACTGAAGAAAACCAAGATCACAGAAGAGAGAGATAGGCTTAAGAGCTTCTTCAAGAGCTCTGTGGAAAAGATTAAAGAGGTGAGAATCAAAGAAGAAAAAAAAATGATGTCCATGAGACCCAACATGCATATAATAGAATCCCTAGAAAGAAAAAGCAGATCTGACTGTCTGGAAGTCATGTTTGGGCTTGACTTAAGCCCTCACTTCCACACCATGACACTGTCCTACACAGCAGGGTAGGAGTCCCAGTCAGCCTGGTGCATTGGGAAGAATTAGTTGCAAGGTTGAATCTCTTAAGCTAACCTCTAACCCACAACACACAAAAAAGAGTATAATTAGGGTCTAACCAGTGGTGGGATTCTGTGCACTTCCTGTTTGCATTCCTTTAGAGAATCAATTTACTAATCCTTTGAGAGGTCATCAGGGGAAGAGAATACCCTGTTCCTGCTCTCAAGGAGGTTCCAATCTACTGAGGGACTCGGTCTGCTTCTAAGATACCTAAGATCATGTGTAAGGAAGATGGTCATCACAGACACAGGAACTCCTTTCTGGAGCTCCACATCGCCTGTCTTTCTGTAAATGGATTGCTAAAATGACTCATTTCCCCATGTACAGGGCTCCTCCAATGATGTCACTACAAAATTGCTTAGATATTATTTTAAAGTAGCCATCTTACTTTAAATATGGTATATTAGCCCATTTAGCATAGCTATAAAAGAGTACCTGAGGCTGGGTAATTTATAAAGAAAAGAGGTTTATTTTGGCTCATGGTTCTGCAGGCGGTACAAGAAGTGTGGCACCAGCATCTGCTTCTGGTGAGGCCTCAGGAAGCTTCCACTCATGGTGGAAGGAGAAGGGGGAGCAGGTGTGTCACATGGTGGGAGAGGGAGGAAGAGAGAGGGGAGGGAGGTCCCAGACTCTGGTTCATGCAAGCAGATCGTGCATGAACTCGTTACCATGGGGTTGGCACCAAGCCACTCTTGAGGGCTCCACCCCTAAGAGCCAAACACCTCCCACTAGGCCTCACCTCCAATTTTGGGGATCACATTTCAACATGAGATTTGCAAGGGACAAACATCCAAACCATATCATATGGGAATTGAAATTTTTTATAGATTATTTACAATTATAACCAGACCTGTGAAGAGAATGGCCTTGGGATCAGTCAGGCCTGGATTTGAGTCCTGGCTCTTTGCGGCTTCTATCAGGTGACTCAGCCTCTCTAAGGACTGAGTGTCCTTATCTGTATGATGGAAATGATAGTACAGCAGCATAGTGTTCCTCAAACATTACTGTGTACACCTTGCTAAAATGCAGATTGTATTCAGTACCGGGGGTGGTGCCTGGGAATCTGCATTTTTGCAAGCTCCTGGGTGCTGCTATTGCTGGTCTGTAGGACAGGCCTTGGCAATCTGTGGCCCTCAGACTCATTTTGTTCAGCCCCACAAGCTAAGAAGGTTTTTTTATGTTTTTTATATGTTTAAAATCTTGTAAACCACAAGCAAATAAAAAATTTGAAAAATATGTGACAGTGACCATATGTGGCATGCAAAGCCTGAAATATTTACTGTCTGGTCCTTTACAGAAAAAGTGTGTTGCCTCCTGTTGCAGATTCCAGTTCTACTGCTGCTTTATCCCCTATACCCTTGGGCCGCCTGAATTCACCTGCGGCTGCAGGCAAAGGCATTTTCCAGCATGCTAATAATTCCCATCTCAAATACCTGTGCCTCTCTCTTCTCTGCTGGAAGGCTTTATTTTTGGCACTAGGTGAGCTTTCTCAAAGATCTGGAGACCTAATTGGAGCTGGGGGGAAAGTTAACTTCAATCAGTAGGGAATAGAGTCAGATGGGTAAGTGTGCCAGTGTCCCTGTGAGTGGATTCTGAGGTGTGCTCCATGCTGTTTCACAGAGTGCACCCATGAGAGTGAGTTCCATGTGTCCACGTTAGTGACCTGCTTATTAAGGCACGCTTCATTGGCTTTATCTTGGCTAGCTCTTCCTTTTGATGTGCTGGTACCAGCTTACATAGGTTTTTGAGAATCAATGTGTGCATCTCTTCCCTCTGTGTTCAGTGATGTCATGATGGTGACCTAAAATTGACTATGGTGTCATATTTATACCAGGGAAATCCCTAGATGCTATAAATCAGGTTGTTGTTGTTGTTATTGATTTTTTTTTTTTTTTTTTTGAGACAGAGTCTCCCTCTGTTGCCCAGGCTGGAGAGCAGTGGCACGACCTTGGCTCATTGCAACCTCTGCCTCCTGGATTTAAGCAATTCTCTTGCCTCAACCTCCCCAGTAGCTGGAATTACAGGCACCTGCCACCACGCCCAGCTAAATTTTGTATTTTTAGTAGAGACTACCATGTTGGCCAGGCTGGTCTCAAACTCCTGACCTCAGATGATCCACCTGCCTCTGCCTCCCAAAGCGCTGGGATTACAGGCATAAGCCACCTTGCCCGGCCTGTTGTTATTGTTGTTGGACAGCCAGATGTTAGACATTTACCAACATACCATTTCCTTACTTGTCCTTTCTGGCCCAAATAAACTATGTGTACCCAAGTCCTTGTCTCAGGGTCTGCTTTGGGTAGAACTCATACTAGGAGAAGTACCTACCTGCCTCATAGTTTTGATGTTCCTGCACCAAAATCACACAAGATCACATCTGAGAATCATTAGCACAAGACTTAGTACGTGACAGTCACTTAAATGTCAGTTCCTTCTTCTTTCATCTCTTTCCCTTAGGAAAAGGGAGACTCCACAGCATTTTCCAAGATACCTGCCCTACAGGCTTTTGGTACCAAAGTCAGCTCGGGCCCCCTGGGCCACCTGGTCACCTTACTGGAGGCTACAGAATGACTTATTTGGCCTGTGTCCACACACAGACCACCACGCACAATGGGCAACAGGACATGGGCTGAAACTTGAATTGGCGTCAGGAAGGAAGCATATCCATTGCAACCACATGAAACTGAAAACATGTGGGCAAGGCAACCATGACAGCACCAGCATGTTCTACCAACTCCCACCAATGGGATGCAAACAGTGCCCCTTTGTGCAGAGGTGACAGAAATGAGGCTGGTAGCTCCTTCAGGGTGCTGTAAAGTGAGGTTGGAACTCAGAGCTAGAGAAGAAGAGGTGAGGCCCAGAAAAGTGGGAAGGAGGAGACAGAAAAGGCACGACTTGAAAGAGACTGCCAGGTCGGAAGAAGTGGCTCACCCCTGTAATCCCAGCACTTTGGGAGGCTGAGGCAGGAAGATCACTTGAGCCCAGGAGTTCGAGATCAGCCTGGGCAACATGGTGAAACCCCATCTTTACCCAAAATACAAAAAAATTAGCCAGGTGTGGTGGCGCATGCCTGTGGTCCCAGCTACTTGGGAGGCTGAGGTGGGAGGATCCCTTGAGCCTGAGAGGCTGAGGCTGCAGTGAGCCAAGATCTCACCACTGCATTCCAGCCTTGGTGACAGAGTAAGACCGTGTCTCTAAATAAATAAATAAATGAGAAAAGAGAAAGAGACCGTTAGGTGCCACCCCATATCCATTTTCCCCTTCCTACTTAGTAACGACCCCAATTTTTAATTCAGTGCTCAGCCAAAAGACCACATGACCCTATTTCCCTTGTAGCTGGGTGTGACTCTTATTCTAGTCAATGAGATAAAAAGTGGAAGTTGTGTGTGGGGCTTCCAGGAAGGCCCTGTAAAGGATACTGACTCGTCTAACCAACAGGCCGTTTTGCCCTCCCCCTCTTTTTCCTTATTGCAGCCTGGAGCTTGGTGTGACAGTTGGAGCTCCAGTAACTGTCTTGGGTGATGAGTTACCCTGGGATGGAAGTTGGCGCTGAGGATGGCGTGTGCAGATTGCAGTGTGGTTCTCTCTCCCACTCCGCCCTGGATCTGCTGACATGCCTCATTTTCTCCTCGTCCTGCCAGCAGCTGTATGTCCTTCCTCACGTCTAGCCACCGTGCCTTTCAGGATGCCAGCTCTCTGTGCTACGGCTGTGCCTCTTCCCTGAATTACTCAGGTCTATGCTAAGTTTTGGGCTCTCGCAACTTCCCTGGATTCTCCCCAGAATGAGAGTACAAGCCCCGGTTTTCGGATTCCCCAATCAACATGAGGGTTTTGCCACTCCGCAACGGGCTCAGTTCTGTAGCAGTGTCTGGAATGACCAGCATCTAAGCCTTCTTTCCTTCCTTTCTGGTCCTTACACTTCCTCCCCAACTTGTAGAAACTTTATAGGTGGCAAAAGGTACAAGGAACAAGATAACGTCTCTCTTTTGTTATATATGACTCTAAATTTCAAAACATCTATGACTTTTGAAACACAAAACTGTCAGAATTATTTCCCTTCTTCTCCCCATCCTGTGATAACATCCTTTTTCTGAGATAATAAAAGCCGTTGGCCCAGGTTCCCAGAGTGGGGAAAGGGTTGGCAGCCATAGGAAGTACTACCGGGCCAAAGCATCAGTGTGTATCTTGCAATACCTTACCACATTGAGAAAAGGGGGAGGAGACACTAGGAGAAGAGCTGAACAGCATCAGAGCCAGAGATGGATCAGGTCAGTATTGGCAATGTAGTTAAGAGCAGTGTGATGCTGCTGCTGAAATATCAGAGTCCTGTATGTCTCCCCTGTCTCTCCTCAAAGTCCCATGGGGGGGACCTCATCACTCATCATGAGAGGAAGCTGCTCTCAAGCCCACCTTGCAGCATGGAGGAAAGAAAGGAGCCCACATCTGAGGATGCCCAGCATGGCCTGGGCCCTTGAACAACAGGGTCACAGCCAAGGATTCTCACCCCTCCAATGTGGCAGAGGGGCCCCACTCTGGGGAAGGTGGCCTGCTCAGGGTCACAGTGGGTGGAGCAGCTTTCAAGGCACCCAGCATTTAATAATTGATCCTGTCAAAAATCATCGATGGGTGCTAAAACAAGTGGGCCTAAGTTTGCTGAGGAACAGGCATTCATAGCATCTCCACATATGATATTCAAAGTCTCAAAGTCTCTTTCAAAGCCACCAAATTTAACGTCACCAGTTATGGGACAAATTGACATTGTGTGCCTTCTGATAGGATGCACTGAGAAAAACACATCGCTTTTGTGACATTTCTGGCCAAAATGTCTAACCTGAATCTAATCACAAGGAAACATCAGACAAACCCAAACTGAGGGACAGTCTACAACAGTAACTGGTCTGTATTCCCGAAAAACATCAAGGTCACGAAAATCAAAGGGAAGGCTAAGGAGCCATTTCCAGTGGAAAAAGACTGAATAGAAGGGACACCCAAAAGCAACGTGGATTTGATCCTAGACCAGAGAGGAAAGGGTGTTTATGACGGCCATCTTTGAGGCAGGCAGCTGCATCTGAAAGGGCCCCTCGATTGGATGGTTGCATTTCTCTCCATGTTAATTTCCTGATTTGGGTGATTGTATTATCTTTATGTAAGGACGCTTGTTCTTAGGAAATAAATGCTGAAATATTTAGGGATGAAGGAGCATTCTTTCTCCATCCCATTTCTTCCCCCACCCCTTCTCTTCCTCCTTCCCTCTCCCACCCCCAAGCAAGTGTGGTGAAATATTCATCAGTGGGGGATCTGGGTAAAAGGTACTGGTGAGTTGTTTTTTGCACTATTCCTGTAAGTTTTCTACACATCTCAAGTTATTTCAATATAAAAAATTACCACCCCAACCCACACCCTCTAAAATATTTGAGGAACATGAGATCAGGGAGGGGAGGAGCCCCGAGCGCCCCCTAAATGTCCATGTTCAGATCAGAAAGGGGCTTTGAAAAGCCTGAAGTCTAACCCTCTCATTTCACCTCTGAAGGCTGAGACACCAGAGAGGTACAGGCACACAGGTCCCATGAGCCCAGTGCAAATGCGTGTAAGCCCCTTGCCATACTGCCTCCCTGCTTCTGAATCCCAGATCTGCCATTTGGTAACTAAGAGAACTTGAGCAAGCTACTGACAGGCTCCAGGACCTGCTACCCCCAAATATGATACCTTGGCACATTGACTGTTTCAAGCTGAAGGAATCTGTAAAACAGCAGGTGCAGGAAGATCTCTCTGACCTTTCCCTGAGGCAGGTCATAAGCCCCTCCATGAGAGGTGCCCTTTCTATGCCTGGAGAAGAGGAGGATCCTTATCTCCAAGTCACAAGGACATGTAGAGGAACCTAGATGCAGGCTTGCTGTCTTCCCCAGCTGACCACTCTTACTTCCTACCTTTCTTTTGTCCTGTCACATTTTCCCAAGAATCTCCATTCTTCATCAAACCTAGCATAAATACATTCAGGTTTAACAACTTCTTTGGGTCTTCACTTTCTCATACTCTCCTGTGTCATGTAAAATACATATATTAAATAAATTAGTATGTGTTTCTCTTGTTAATCTGCCTTCTGTTACAGGGGCCCCAGATGAGTCTTAGAGGAGTAGAAGGAAAAGATATTTTTCCTGCACTACACTGCGTATGCTTTCTAGTCCCCAATTTCCTCATCTGGAAAATGAAAGGATAAGAGCACCTCTTGGGGAAGGGAGTGAGATAAAGTTCATGCGCAGCACTTAGCACAGATCATGCTCCATCCATGACTGATCAATGTCAGTGTGTACTACTACTGTTGTTGTTATCACTGTTATTTATACCCTGACTCACTACCCTGGATTTACTAAGAAAGGAACTGATTAATGTATCTGTAAGAATGTTTCCAGTTGAGAGAGACAGAGACAGAGAGAGAGAGAGAGAGAGGAGAGAGAGAGAAAAGAAAAGAAGAAGAAGAAGAAGAAGGAGAGGAGGAAGAGGAAGAGGATGAAGAAGAAGAAGAAAGGAGGAGGAGGAAGAGGAGGAGGAGGGAAAGAACGATAACACAAGAACACAAGGGAAAGTATTTTTTAGAAAGTAAATATGTTATCTCCTGTAACAACAAGTCTGGATATGAAATGGCTCCCCAAGGGATTCGTCAGGTGGTTCATTGCTGTCACCAAGGATACAGGTTCTTCCCCACTAACTGTCCTGCCAGCCTCTGCTCAACTTCGGGATGGATCCTTCCAACATCCCACATTTGCTGTTGAAGTTTTAGCATCATAGGCAAAAACAAAACAAAACAAACAAACGAACAAAAAAACCAACCCCCGGAGACAGACAAGTGAAAGATCTCTGTTTTGTCTCAATCTTTAAGATCGAGGAAAAATTCCTAGAGTCTCATTAATGTCCCTTTATATCTCCTTTTTCAAAATAACTTCACATGCCCCATGCTCAACCAAACTTTTATGAGGACATGGGATGAGCTTGTGTATAGGTAAGAATTACACTGGCCGGAAGGGAACAGAAAAACCTCGTATAACAGTGTCTAAACAAGACAGAAGTTGCTTTCTTTCACATTTTGGAAGCCTGGCTATGCAGTTGGGCACCTCTACTTCAGGAACCCAGGCTCTTTCTAATCTCATGCTCCTCTGTGCATGGTTCCACTCCAAGTTGCTTCATAGCCCCAAATGGCTGCTCCAGCTCCAGTCCTCTTGCACTCATTCCAGCACCAGAGGAAAGAAAAAGAGAGGAAAAGCAAAGTTCCAGGCCGGGTGCGGTGGGGCTCACGCCTGAATCCCAGAACTTTGGGAGGCCAAGCCGGGTGGATCACAAGGTCAAGAGATCGAGACCATCCTCCCCAACATGGTGAAACCCCGTCTCTACTAAAAATACAAAAATTAGCCGGGCGTGGTGGCGCGCACCTCTAGTCCCAGCTACTCAGGAGGCTGAGGCAGGAGGATCACTTGAACCCGGGAGGCAGAGGTTGCAGTGAGCCGAGATAGCACCACTGCACTCCAGCCTGGGTGACAGAGCAAGACTCCATCTTAAAAAAAAAAAAAAGCAAAGTTCCTTTCTATAATGGACACTTTTAGAATTGTACATTCTACATATGCTGACTCCACCTGGACAAATCTCAATCACATGGTCTTACCTGGCTGTAACGAAGGCTGAGAAATGTCTATCCTGCACAGCCATGGGCACAAATAAAAATTGGAATTTCTATTGCTATTTAAAGGGGAGAAGGTACAGCTTACTGGGTGATAACCAGCAGTCTATGCCACACACGATTCCATCAGCACTGGGCGTGACCTGGCCTACCTGAGGCCATGGCTGCCTCATACCTGCACAAAATCAGGTTCAGCTAACCTTGTGGCAAGGTTGGGAAGGGTTGTTGGATAGGCAATCACAGGTTACAGAGACTAGCAAACTCCCATCACTGCTTACCAGGTTACCAATTAGTAGAAATGAGCAAGTTTTCCTTTTGGTCTTTTCAATGTACCACATCTTCCTCCTACATTCTCTCCTCTTGCTCCTCTAGAATAAAATCTATAAAGCACGCAGTTGCATTATTCATGTGCTAGTCACACAACTCTTGTGCTCAGTAAGTGCCTGAATCACTTGTGAGACCCAGAGCACAGAACATTCCATCCCCATCAGATCCACTTGGGGGAGGAGGTGCTATTACCCTGAAAGTCATTTCTATGGTATAAATTCACCCTTCTTTGCAAAATGATTCATTTTTAGTGCCCACAAATCACTCTTCCAAGAATATCACCACACATGTGGAGGGAGATTCTTTCCCTCCCAAAAGCTCAACAGTTGTGGATCTGATGACGTTATTTCCAGAATTCAGAATGAACAGGGTTACTGGGAATAAAGGATGTGACTTACAAGATGACACATGGAGGAGAGGCACATGATCAGCTCAGCTATCTAGATATATTTAAGTATGGTTTATCATGGGGTTTCACGAAGAAGGCTCCATGTTTAAACATCTGGCTGTTCCATCTTTACAGGAGACATTTGTTGCTTCTCTCTGTCCAACATCCAATTCCTTGACTTTATTGACAGAATCCATATTTCCCTTGGGAACCGGCCCTGCAAAAGTCTCAGTTCAAGCTGAGATTAACACCACCTTTGTCTTTTGGAGTTGACATGTTACTCATGCTGTTATAGAAGTATTGAGTTCCCTTGTCCACAGCAATTTGTTCATAATTGGAAAAATGATCCCAATCACTCAATATATCCCATTACCTGGCTTTTTATCAAAACTGTAGCAAAGACAGAGGCTCCATGTTCAGCTCGACTTGGGATTAGGAAAATGCAAATCTAGAGATGCTGGGTGCCATGATGTGAAGAGAGGCCACCTAAAAATGGAAGGATTTACTTGTCTCAGTAACCTATTAACTCCCAGTACAGAAGCCATTCTCTCCTTTGTCTTGTTAGCAAAACCCTGATTTTGTACATAAGGAAGCAGAACCAAGAGGTTTAGAGAGAGCTTGAATTTTCACGTCGTATATTAAGTGCCTGGGTCCACCATACCTGAAGGAATGTCACTTAAATTTTCCATTAGTGAGCCAACGTTTTTGCTTAAGCCAATTTTACTTGGATTTATATTACTTGCAATCAAAGATCCTGGTTAATTACAGCCATGTCAGTCATTGAGCTTCTCCTTTATTTGACATTGGTATGCAGTCATTTTTTTTTTTTTTTTGAGACAGTGTCTTTCTCTGTTGTGCAGGCTGGAGTACAGAGGTGCAGTCTCAGCTCAGTGAATCTTTGACCTCCCAGGCTTAAGCCATCCTCCCACCTCAGCTTCTCAAGTAGCTGAGACTACAGGTGCACACCACCACATCTGGTTAATTTTTGTATTTTTTGTAGAGACAGCATTTCGCCATGTTGCCCAGACTGGCCTCCTGGGCTCAAGTGATCCTCTTGCCTCAGCCTCCCAAAGTGCTGGGATTACAGGGATGAGCCACAGCACCTGGCCTAGTCTGTGCTTCTTAAAATGGTTTCTTCTCCTTGAATATCCTACGATGAACTTAACCATGAGCATTCTCCAAGGCTTGGGCTGTGATCTTCTCTTTGAGGGACACACAGTTCAACCCATACACGTGGGAAACATTGTGAGATGGGGTTTGGTATGCAGGATGGTTATCAGGGAGTGTTCATGTTGACACATGTGAAAGGAAGATGAGGAAGTAGGACCAGGCACAGGGGGAATTCAGCTGTTGAGGCAGGACCACTGACTATCTTGGCCAACCCCACTGGAGGACCTGGAGCTAGAATGGCCCTTCAGAGTCACCTGGTGTTGGGACAAGAGGGCCAGGCCCTTATATTCTCACATCTGTCAGTCACTGGATATTAGGCTGCACCAGGAAGGGGCACAACCTTGGCATGACAGTGGCATGCAGCTGAGGCAATCTCTGAGGGGCTGAAGCCGGAAGCTCTCTGCAGACACCACTGTCAGCAGCTGGGCAGTGAATCCTTCACTGAAGCGTATCTGGGGACAGGCATCCGAGCATCCTCCATGTAAGTTGGTCCCTCTGCCTGCAGGAACCTGCTTCCTTTCATCACTCCTTCAAGCCTAATGGGTTGACAACCCCTCAGTTACCAGCCCTCTGGCACTGCACGATGCCTTGTGGGATTCCTCTTTCCTACTTACGACTTTGCAAATGGTTCCTTTATTAAAGTCTCCTCCAACTGTTGTCAAGTCCAAAGCTTGTACTGCTCACTGCATGACAGCTATTGGTCGAAAGACAAGATGTTGGGGCAAGGGAAGAGATTTTATTTTGGAGGGCCAGCAAACTGAGATGGCAGACTAGTGTCCTAAAGAAACATGTTAAGCTAATATGAATTTAGGGCTCCCTTTATTTTAGGGAAATGGAGAAGATGCAGGGGGCTGAGGCCAAAAAGTGACAGATGACCACAGACATCTGAGTGGCAGTGAGGGTCAACTTCTTTTTCCTTGGTCCCGTCACAATAATCTTATAAAATTTTAATATAACATTGTTACTTCTGTGTACTCCCTTGTTTTCTCCTGGGGTGTTAGTTTCGGGGAAGGGCTATTCTCATCCTTGCTTGAAAGTTAAACTATAAGCTAAATTTCTCCCATAGTTAGATTGGCCTATGTGCAGAGATAAGCAAAAACAGTTAACCTAAAAGATATTGATACAGGAGACAGAAAGAAATTATTTAGGCAAACAGCGAGGGCAAAAGGGTCCTTGGTGGAATTACCCTTTTAACAAAAAGCAGCCCCAGAATTATTTCTTTTCCAACAAAAAGCGGCTTTAAAAAGTTGAGCTGCAGACGTAGATAAATAAGCAAGCTGGAAGCTTGCATGGGTGAATGCTGGCAGCTGTGCCAATAGAAAAGGGCTACCTGAGGGCCAGGGATGTTCAACATGGAGGCTTCATCTTGCCTTTTCTTTGTCACTACATATATGGTAAAGGAATAGGCAACATGGCACTGGCAGGTAGAGAACACATCTGCATAATAAAAGATTAGGGTGGGGATGGCCAAATGGCATGCCTAGTCCTAAACCAGTTTTCAAGCCTTATGCAAATGGCACACCTGGTCCGACCAATCTTTTGTGCCCTATGTTAATCAGACGCCACCTCCTCAAACTCATCTATAAAAACCCCTGCCTTTTGTTGTGGGCCAGAAACCCGCTCAGGACCCCTCTCTCTGCAGGAGAGAGCTCTTCTTTTTTGCCTATTTAACCTCCACTCTTAACCTCATTCCTTGTGTGTCCATGTCCTTGATTTCCTTGGCATGAGACAATGAACCTTGGGTATTACCCCAGATGAATGATGTCGCTTCAATATCATCATGGGAGGCTGGACAGAAGGGGTGTGTGTGGAGGGAGTTAGTTGTGCTAGGCTTCCTTTTTATGTTACATGCCCATCATATTGAGTGTGCTCTCTGCTTCCTGATGGGACCCTGACTGATGTGACCAAACAGGTCCAGAGTACTCCACCTCAAAAGATGCCACTGTGGCATATTGAGTATTTTCAGGTAAAGGCAATCAAGAATCTGCAGCAGATACAGGAAGAGCTCTCTGCCCTCCCTTGATCTGCCTGAGAGCTGGGCATAAGTTGCCCTTCCTTTGTGAAGGTGACTCCCCACTAGCACCAGGAAGGGAAGAGTAGTAACTCTCATCAACAGAGTATAGGGAGTTGACACAGAGACGAGTTTGCATAAACAGACCTTGTAAAAATAATGCTTACTGCAGAAGTGAGGGGAATTTTTCCCTTTACTTTCTGAAGATTCAATTCTTTAAGTCTGCTGAAATAAACTGGCAACAGACAGAGTAACAGGAGAAAAAGCATCCAAATTCATTTCAGTCGATGGTGTCATCACAGGCAAGTGAATACCCAATAACCCAATGAGGTCTAGAAGCTCAAATGCCACTTTATGTTGTGGAAAAAAATGGGGAATGGAAGATTCCTGGAGGGTAGTTGTGACAACATATGTGAGGTGGGGGGAGGAAGGCTGTTTTTATGCACATAAGGTCTCCCAGGTAACAGCCATCAGAAAAAAAGGTGATTGCCTGTGGTAATCTCTGTCTTGAGGAGGTTTCAGACCTTTATCCATCTTTAGGCAGATAAAACGGCCTCAGAGAAAAATCTCTGCTTCCATCTGCAGTTTACCATACTAAGGTAGATCCACGTAAGTTTCCTTTAAGAAAGGACAGCTTTTCAGGTCTATTCCTGCCTGCAGTTCTCTGAATAGCCAGTTTGAAATATATCAAGGAAGTGTGTTCTGGGGTGGCATATTCTTGCCTTCCACATTAGCTTCCACTCGTTCCCCTACGAATTTCCTAGTCACTTCCTTACCCAGCACTGTCCCTCAAAGCCCAAAGCCCCTTTCATTCTTTAAAATGGTATATAAGCCCCCAAGTCTAACCACTCTTTATTTCTACTTCTTTTCTATGAACCCTCATGTATGTAAATATTAATAAAAATTGTGTACCTTTTCACCTGTTAATCTATCATTTGTCAGGTTAATTCACAGGCCCCCATTTACTGAACCAAAGAGCGTAGAGGAAAAGTTTTTCCTCCTAGACATAACTTTAGGTTCACCTCAGCAGAGTGTGGAGAATATCACACAGCCAATTAGGAGGACAAATCTTGATTTTATTCCCTTTCCCTAGGTTCTGACCAATGGTACTGAACAAAACCATCAGGAAGGCCACTGTTGATGGGGCAGTGTTGGAAATATAATAAAAAGCAAAATCTCCTGGCCAACACGGTGAAACCCCGTTTCTACTAAAAATGCAAAAATTAGCTGGACATGGTGAGGTGTGCCTGTAATCTCAGCTACTCAGGAGGCTGAGGCAGGAGAATCATTTGAACCCAGGAGGCTGAGGTTGCAGTGGTTGCCACTGCATTCCAGGCTGGGTGACAGAGCGAGACCCTGTCTCGAGAAAACCAAAAACCAAAAACCAGAAACAAAATCTCTTTTTTTCCCAACCCAACCCAGAAAATATCTCCACAAAGCTAAAAGAGAAAGAAAACAATTTGATTATTGAATGAGCATTAAACCAGATGTGATGCACATCACAGGCAATGCTGCTGAAAGGATTGTAAAGACAGAAAGAAATCTCACTCTTTTATGTAACTAAGTGGATGCAACCCATTCAATACATCAGGTAGGTTTTGCAATTTGGAGTCAAGTGACAAGTTAAGCCTGTGCCCTCCCAGGAAACCGGGAGCTGGGATTTATCTTCCTTGATGATTACATTTCAAAGAGAAAGAGGTGGCTCCCAGGTCCTTGAGGAAATATTCTTGAGTTGTGAGACTGATCAGAGGCTATTTAGCCGTTCCAAAGATTTACATACATTTGAGAAGGACAGAAAAAGTAATTCTGAAAGAAAAGGAAGACAGGGAGAGAAGGCTCTTTCCTTATTTTCAACAGGGAGAAAAAAATGCTATTTGCCTTACAGAAGCCAAGGCCACACTCCAGCTGTGATACCAGGGAAAACGGGCGCAGCAAGGAAAAGGCCAAGGAGCTAAGGGTCCCTGCTCAGGTCCCTTGGGCACTGGCTCCTCCAGCCACCTACAGCAGGGACAGCTGTTGGCCTCTTGTTCAGCAATTTCAGAAGCAAAGAGAGGGCTCCCCTGCTCCCATACCTCTCTCTCTCTCACCTGTTCAGCCATTTCTCAAAATATCTGTTTTGGGTTCAGGACACGCGACTCCAAAATATGACTGTAGAAGACCAGAATAAGCTGCCTAGGCATATTGATTATTTTGAACTAAAAGAAATCAAGAACCAGCCAACACAGTAAAAGCTCTTCATCTTCCCCTCCACTGTGTAAAACAGAACTTGAAACCG
Source organism: Homo sapiens (assembly GCF_000001405.40). Taxonomy (NCBI): domain Eukaryota; kingdom Metazoa; phylum Chordata; class Mammalia; order Primates; family Hominidae; genus Homo; species Homo sapiens. Next base: position 72,004,775 of record NC_000003.12, read on the forward strand.
CCTTTGCAAAATGACTGAGACAGTGAGAGATCTAACTTAACCGACCCCATTTTGCTTCTAACCTCCAAGCTGTCCTTGTTCATTCCTGGGCGTAAGCTGAACTAACTTTAGGAGAAACTTAGTTTATAGTTCTGTACCAGCCCTTTCCCAAAGCAGACGTCCTTCTTGCCTGGGGACTAGATTGCCTTTGTAGGACTAACGTTGGCCACAAGATTGGAAATTATGGTTTAGGAGTCATGCAGCTGGAGGCTGCAAGATTCTGACCCTCCCTAAACTGCTCCTCAGATAATTTGCTTGAGATATTTTGTAGACCTTGCACTTGATGGATCAGCTGACACCACCCAGATGAATAAACTGGCTCATCTGATCTTGTGGCCCCCACCCAGGAATTGACTCAGCAAGAGAAGACAGCTCCTACTCCCTATGACTTCATTCCTGACCAATCAGCACTCCTGGCTCACTGGATTTCCCCCATCCACCAAGTTATCCTTAAAAACTTTAATGCTTGGGGAGACTGATATGAGTAATAATAAAACTCTGGTCTCCTGCACAGCGGCTCTGCGTAAATTACTCTTTCTCTGTTGCAATTCCTCTGTCTTGATGAATCGGCTCTGTCTAGGCAGCGGGCAAGGTGAACCCCTTGGGCAGTTACAAACTCCCCTTTTGTAGAGAGAAATGTATAAAGGAAATTTTCGTTAGTAAAGATATCTATACCAGGAAGAAAGCTGCTTTGAGCCAGCTTTTATTACCTGAGACACTCTTATCTGCATAACAAGGTAACCTTTATTTCCACCATACATTTCCTCCCCTCACCCTCCTACGATCTGTCTCTACTGTTCCCTAGAAGCCCCAAACCCTTATGCCTTTCTGTAGTTCAGATTAAGTGTCAATCATCTGGCCTATCTTTTTTTTTTTTTTAAGAGAGAGATGGGGTCTTGCTATGTTGCCCAGGTTGGTCTCAAACTCCTGGGCTTAAGCAATCCTCCTGCCTCAGCCTCCCAAGTAGCTGGAATTACAGGCATGAGCCACTGTAATTATAGAAGGGCCCACATTGGCCCTTCTTTGAGTCTTATGTTTTCATGGGGCTCCTGTGTGTGCATATGTACATAATTAAAATGGTTTCCTCCTGTTAACCTGTCTTATGCCAATTTAATTTGTAGACTAGTTCACTGAGGAGGGTAGACGGAAGCTATTTTCATTTCCCCTACACTTTCAACAGGAGCAGGGGTTGTGATGACTAGAGTGTGGGCTCCGGGGTCAGATGGTATTATGGGCTAAACTATGTCCCCCTAAAAAGATATGTTGAAGTCCTAATTCCCATTACGTCAGAATGTGACCTTGTGGCAGGCCAGGTCTCACTAATGCGGGCCTCCAGTACAACTGTCCCAGCACTGACTGAGTAGCTAGGTTAAACAGTAAAAGCTGATTGAGCCAGTGCTCTTATAAAGAGTCTGAAATATAGCAAAGAGCCCAGCAAGAGTTTTGCCTAGGCTTTTCCTGGGCCTTGAAGCATGACAATATAACAAAGGAATTCTTAACAGGACCTTTTTAGGATTAAACACGTTTTGTTGGGGGTCTGAAATAACTCCCCAGGCCTCCACAAACAAGTTTATTGGCATCTAAAGGAACTCCCCAAATCTTTATGATTTAGCAGGAGACAAGATTAGGGTAATCACCCCAGCACCTAGACCCATTTAGACTAAGTAAACTTACTGAGGCTTCAGAGGAAGGTCTTCAGGACTCAGACCTTAGTTATAGATTATAAGAAGTTAATCACTTACGTCTTTGAATAAATACACACTTACACATAGATGTACAGCTTAGAAGGTATATAAGCTCTGGAAAACTTTATAATTTTGAGTTGGTCTGGCGATAATTTCCAGGCCTTCTCCCTGTAACCAGTTATGGAAATAAAGACTCTCTTCCTTCCCAGTTCATCTGCATCTCGTTATTGGGCCACGAGAAATAGCAGCCCAACCCTCAGTTTGGTCCAGAAACACATCTTCAGCAAGAACCACAAGCAATTCCGCATAATCAGCTGGAAGCTGGATGAGCTGCACTGCCAGTTCCCGGTTCTGCTGCCAGGCAGCCTGCACTTGCTGCCGCTGCTCACACTCCACTGCAACATCACGGAATCCTATCCATCTTCTTCACTGATGTGGTTTGTGGACTCTGATGACCCAAATCTGACATTAGTTCTGGAATGTACTAAGAACAAGTTGACACCAAGAACCTGGACACCCTCCACTGGTGAGAACCTTATTTGGAAATAGGGGCTTTGTAGATTTAACTTCCTTCCACAGGTGTTGAGTGCGATAACACCCTCAGTTACGATGAGGTCATTAGGGTGGGCCCTGATTCAATATGACTAGTGTCCTTTGACAAAGAATCTTTGCTTGGCCTTGAAGTTTGCTTCACTCACGTCAGTAATTCTTATAAAACTTTTCCTGGCCCCATCTGTGTACTTCCTTGTAAAATCCAGTTTTAGCAAAAACAAACAAACAAATGAACAAATGTGAAAGGGAAATATCTTGGGCCCCCCAAATCACTAGGCTACAGGGAAAAGTCAAGCTGGGAAACTGCTTAGGGCAAACCTGACTCCCATTCTATTCAAAGTCATCCCTCTGCTCACTGAGATAAATGCATATCTGATTGCCTCCTTTGGAGAGGCTAATCAGAAACTCAAAAGAGTGCATCCAATTTTCTCTTATCTACCTATGACCTGGAAGCCCCCACCCCGCCTTTCCAGACTGAACCAATGTTCAGTGTTCATCTTACGTATGTTGATTGATGTCTCATGTCTCCCTAAAATGTATAAAATCAAAATCAAACTGTGCTCTGACCACCTTGGGCACATGTCATCAGGACCTCCTGAGGCTGTCATGGGCGTGTGTGCGTCCTCAACCTTGGCAAAATAAACTTCCTAAATTAACTGAGACCTGTCTCAAATTTTCTGGGTTCACACACACAAACAAAAAACCCTGCTGAAGCAGCTTAGGAGGAAGCTCCTCATCCTCGAGACCTGATCATCCTTGATAGCTGATCAGGTTCCTCATCCTCCACCATCCCCCAGGTGATGTCTGATCACTCCAGCCTGTCTTCAGCAAGAATCCTAGTGGGTTGGTTTAACCAGGATGCCCCTTACCACTGATGTTTTCCTCTTGGTAATTTTCCACCCACTGACCCCCACCCTGCTCAGTAGCTATAAATTGGCTCATGTTGTATTCGGAGTTGATTCCAATCTCTCTCCCCCGCTGCAAGACCCTTTTGCAGTGCTCCTCATACCTATCGCAATGGTCCTGGATAAAGTCTTCCTTGCTGTGTTTTAACAAGTGTCATTGAATAATTTTTTCTTTAACACCAAACAAAAAAGGGAAATTTGAACACGGACACAGAGGACTATGTGAGGACACACCAGGAGAACACTGTATGAAGAGGCATGCAGAGATGAGACTCATGCAGCTGCAAGCCAGGGAATGCCAAGAACTCCTGGCCACCACCAGAAGGTGAAGGATGCAAGGAAGGATTCTACCCAGAGTTTCAGAGGGAACATGGCCCTGCCGAGACCTTGGTTTGGGACGTTTAGTCTTCAGACTTGTGAGACAACAAATTTCTGTTGTTTTGAGCCACCCAGTATGTGGTACTTTGTTATGGTAGCTCTAGCAAACTCATACAGATGGAATCCAGGCTGAGTCAGACAGACACAAGTTCAAATCTTGGTTTAGCCACCTATTGGTTGTGAAATTTGAAGGAAATTTACTTAATTGCCCTGCGTTTCCATTTCCTCTTCTATAAAATGGAGAAATAATATTAATAGCACCATTGTTTTCAACTTCTGAAGATACAATGTCTGTAAAGGCTTGTGCCAGTCAGCCTCCAAGATGGCTCCCAATTGTTCCTGCCTTCTGCTTGTCACTCCTTTGTGTAGTCTGTTCCCACACTGAATGGGGATGATCTGTGTGACCAAAAGCATATTGCAGAAGTACAAGAATGTCACTTCCAAGGCTGAGTCATAAATGATATTGCAATTTCTGCCTAGCTCTCTTGAATCACCGCACTGGATAACACTGGCTGCCATGTCGTGAGGGTCATGAGGACTCAAGCAGCCCTGTGGAGAGCTGAAGCCTCCTGCCCACAGCTAGGCAGCCATGTGAGTGAGCTATCTGGAAGTGGCTCCTCCAGCTCCCATCTAGCCTTCAGATGACTGCAGCCCTCAATGACATCTTAACTGAAACCTCATGAAGGACCTTGAACTAGAATCACTCAACTAAGCTGCTCCTGATTTCCTGACCTGCTGAAACTATGCAAAATAATAAATATCTCTTGTTTTAAGCTGCTAGGTTTAAGGATTTTTTTTTTTTAGCACAATCATAGGTAAGGAATACAAGGCTAACAGTTGCTAAGTAATCACTCCATAAATGTTAGTGGTTGTTTGTTTTCCACGTGACTACTTAGGAATATGCCTTTACAGGCACTTTGCTCCTAAATCCAAATTTCTAACTGATCTTGAGTCAATGTCCAGTTCCAACTGTTAATTAGACTTTTATACTGGGGGCTCCACTTGCAAGTAAGACTGGCAATGTGCATGGTTCCCGCTTTCCTTGAACCATTTCCCAATCCTGGAATCACGTCACCCTCTGCCTCACCCAACTAATATCCGCCCCTCCTTTAAGGTCCGTCAAGAGCCTGCCTTTGGGAACAGGTCTCACCACGGCTCTCACCTTCTATGACTCTGAACTTACCTCCCGATGGACTCCCACAGGATTTATTGCCTTAACTCCCAGTAGGTATTTATCTTTCTCTGCTTTATATTGTAGCTTACTTAAATGACTCTTATATTTTCTTATTTTTTAAATGGGTTACACATACCACAACTTCAGTTAGAATGATATTTGAGGTCACCTCTCTGAATTTACCTTCCAACATTCCTAGCAGAGAACCTTGCACATGTGCAGGTTTTGAGGAACAAATTACTGAATGAATTAGTATAAAATTTGGAAGTAAAAACATCTGGCTAACTGGCTGACTTTCCTACCCCTCACCCTCCTTTTCTGGCTCTTTTTAACTTACTTATACTTGGAAGCTAGGAACAAATTAGCATTCATCATTAATATATGTAATGAAGCCGTTTTCCACGTGCCTGGCTCTATCCGTGAATTTGTCCCCTGTGTAGGAAGTGATACATGGTATTTCTCTCTCTCATTCTAACTCAGAAGGCCTGTAACATGAGCTGAAAATATGAGGCAATTAACCATGTAATTCAGACAAAATCGCCTGGAAATGTACTTCGTGAGTAGGTACACAGCCCAGTAATGGAAGACTTGAAATTCATTCATGATAGATATGGAATCATTTATTAGCAGAAGCGTGGGCTGTGCCGGGAACATTTCTAATCTGTTAAAGTCAGCATCTTAGAGCAAAGCAGGCTTGATGACACAATCTCCCTTAATGCTGCCACTAGAGACAGAATCTGCAACTGTGAAGAGAGGAAGCAGCACTGGTTTGTGTGGAGGTGGTTTCACTCCGTCATTTCTGTGCTGGCTAGGGTTCTAGGGTGGCAAGTGACAGAGACTGAGTCACAGTATTAGGCCAAATTAACAAACAATAAAGAATTAATGGAAGCTATGGTATAGCTCTCAGAATGGAAGGAAAAGCTGGAAAATGAGCCTTTGGAAAAAACTAGAACCAGAGAAGCTCTAGGTTTCTTGGTAGCAGGAACTAACACTGGCACTTTTTCACTTGGGAGCCCCAGTGGGACCTGCCAGTACCCCTCCTCACAGGGTGCCACTGCCAGGATGAATCTGCTCCAACTGCTTTCTCCCTATGCCACCTTGCCCTCTGCCATGTGCCTTAAATGGGCATCTGTTGTTACAGATTTGCATTAAATTTTAGTGGGTCTTTTCAGTATCCATTCATTCATCTACCCAGTATTTCTTGAAAACTGTACAAACCTTGCGACAGGTGTTATGGAGGACTGAAAAGTAAATTCATTACAGATTCTGCCCTCTATGGAGATAAGTGCTCAAATATTCTTAAGATGGGGTAAAAAGCTGTGCACATCATGATCTTTTCATTACACAGGGCAGAAACCAGTCTGCAGTCATCTTTAGGAAGGAAGAGAGATATTGGTCCCAGACAAATGAAAGTCCAGTGACAGAGCTAGCTGAGACAAGGCCGGAGGCAGGGGCCAGACACTGGGATTGTGACTCTGTCCTTGCCCATCTCTTGCTCTTCTCTCTCTCTGCTCCTCTGTTCTCAGGGACGGTCTCTGCAGCAGGTCATGATGGTGCCCCGTGCATAGCCCTTCTGCACTTGGCATTCCTGGACACACACCTGGGGCTCCTCAATGCAGCTCAGTTGATTCTCAGCCTGGGGGCTTTCTCTTCCCACAGGGGCTGGTTCAGTCTGTTGTGGGCAGGCAGAAGAACCAGGGAGTTAACAGCCCTGGTAGCAGCCTTCAGCCAAAGACAGATCGATTTAGTAGATTCAACAATGAATTACTACGGTCTTTGGTTGGGAGGACTCCTGGACATGTTCTATATTTTCTCCAGATGTTTCCAACAGTGCTAAGCCTCAGTTGCCCGCTGTGGCAGCCTGCTCTCCAATGCACTCTGATTTAGCCCCCTTCTCTTTCCTGTCTCACTTTCCTATTCTCCTTCCCATGCTTCCTGGGAGTCTCCAAAATAAACCTCTTGCACAGAAATCCTTGCCTCAGAGTCTTCTTCTTAGGGAGCCCAGCCACAGACTCCCTGGGTGGTGGTAAGGTGGCTGCCAACAGTTGTAGGCTTGTACCCTGCCAGTTTCTGGTCTGGTGGAGACAGAGTTTTCTTACAGACACTTCCATTAGAATCCTGAGGCTGACTCTCATTGTTCAGAGTTGGCTACATTCCCATCCCTGGGTTGAAATATACTCATTGACTAGTTCCAGCCACCTACTCACCAGGGAGCTGAGAAGGATGGAGTGAATTCCACTCAATCCTCATGGTCTGGGAAGGGAGGAGGAATCGTTTTCTCATGAATAATGAGGATACTGTTGCCAGTTCAGGGCTGAAGGGATGGTGAACAGGTCGAATCATCAGGTGTCCGTAGCATGTGGGGTCCCCCGAAGGGGACAAACACAGTTCAGAGGAACATGACACAGGTTCTAACTTGGTGGGGAAGATTGTAGGAGGTTAAGGATCAAGGAACCTGAGATATCACCTTCTGAATTACCTACCAACCCCCCCTTTTTAAAGCCACTGAGACTAGGCTTGGTGGCTCATTCCTGTAATCCCAGCACTTTGGGAGGCTGAGGCAAAAGGATTGCTGCAGGTCAGAGTTCAGAACTAGCCTGGGCAACATAACGAGACCCCCATCTCCATTAAGATAAATAAATAAGTCAGTCATCAAGAAGATGGCCAATATTCTTCCTCTCAATAATGGCATGTTTTGAAATACCATGTCATCCAAGCAAAACAGCATGTAGTCAGCAGTAATTAATTCATTCTCATATTTTTAAAACTAATAAATGGCATTATTGAGTCCATGTTCCTAATAATAGAGAAACATACCATTTCCAAGTGGTTATTGGAAATATGAAAAAGGCCTTCCAGTCTCTTCTGTTCTTCTGAGCCCCTAGGAGCTGGGGGATCCCGTCATTTGATAGTTGAGGTCCTCTGGTTATACACAAAACTCTTATCAGGAGATTGGCTAGCAAATTGGGCAATTTTCATTTCTATTAATAGTCTTTATGGCCTGGTGAATTACCCTTCAGGTCACATCTCCCAAAGAAATCCCCTGGCTTCATCATCACAGCGTTTATGTGCTAGAAAGGATCTTTGAGAGATTACACATTTCATGCCTAACTAAGGAAATTGACATGACTGGATGAACCCAGGTTCTCACATTAATTCACAAGCCCTGCGTCTCGGGCCCCTTCTATGTGCCAGGCATCGTGGGGAAACAGAGTGAAGAAATTGGAGACAGTCTGCCTAGCAGAGGAGGCAGACAAAACTTAACAATAAAAACCATAGTTGGTTTCGGTCTACAATGTAAGGAGCTTGGAATCATCCTCACAACAAGAAAAATGCTGAACACACTGGAAATCAGCAGCTCTTAGATCCATCAGAGAATTTTGCTTACAGGGCAAGCTGCTGCCCCCAAAAAACTGGAGAGACAGATGGGTGGCTACAGAGAATCCCAGTTTCCTGAGAGCAGACGTCTCGGCCGAGCCAGGATTGGGATGAATGTGTTCAACTGTAATTGACAAATTACTGGAAGCTCAGTGTGGACCGGATTGAGATGTAAAAATTCTGAGGGGGCTCGTCTTAGGGGCTGCTCACACTTTTGTGGGTTTACCTTCAGGAGCCCTACCAGCTTCTCGCAGTGAAGATCAGAGAAAAAAATCCCTCATGCCTCTGGCAGGGAAACGGAAAAAGAAGCCATTTTTAAGAACTTGAAGTGCTAAGTGCTACGGAGGCAATAAAAAGCGAACACTGAAACAGGAATGAATGAGGAACCCATGGGAGGAGGCAGCACAGAGGACTGAGTGAGCGAGAGCTCAGTCTGTCCCAGGAACTGAGAGGAGTCCCTGGTGGCTGGAACATGGTGAGGGAGGGAAGGTTGGAGAGGAAGCAGGGGCCAGATCACCCAGGTTCATGGGAGTCTGGTCTTTACTTTTCCTCTAACAAGCTTCATCCTTTATTTTTATTGCTCATTGTTATCAAGGCCCTCAGAAACAAACTTCATTCTCTTTTTTTTTTTTTTTTTTTTTTTTTTTGTGACGAAGTCTCGCTCTGTCACCCAGGCTGGAGTGCAGTGGCGAGATCTCTGCTCACTGCAACCTCTGTCTCCTGGGTTCAAGCAATTCTCCTGTCTCAGCCTCCCGAGTAGCTGGAATTGCAAGCACTCGCCACCATGCCCAGCTAATTTTTGTATTTTTAGTAGAGACGGGGTTTCACCATGTTTGTCAGGCTGGTCTTGAACTCCTGACCTTGGGTGATCCACCCGCCTCAGCCTCCCAAAGTGCTGGGATTATAGGCGTGAGCCACTGCGCCCAGCCAAGCTTCATTTTTTATATACAAGCTTGTTAGCAGATGAGCTGGGACATGAGTCTAGTTCTCCCTGCTTTCAGTCTAATGCCTGCTTCCTACTGCCCGAACAAATAAAGTACTAATTTTACAGTGTACGGTCTAGAAAAAACATACATTCAGAAGCAGGTAAGATTTTCAGCAGCCCCAAGTCATGAGGGTCTCCTACAGGGGCAGAGAAGTAGTAAAAAAACAATCATATGCAGTTGGGTAGCCCGTATAGAATGTAGACTAATTATATTCAAATCCTGCCTCTGCCACTGGCCAGCACTAGGATCTGGGACAAGTTACACTACTTTTCCAAGTCCCTGTTTCCTCTTTTGAGGAAAAGAGAAAATAAAAATACCTCTAGATAGGGTTATTGACACAGTTAAATTAAATGAGATAAAGATTGATTTTTCCCCAGACATGTTCATTCCCTAGTCATCCATCTCAGTAAATGGTACCACCTCCCATCTAGTGCAGAGGCTCAAGACAAAGCTATTAGAGTCATTCTTGATGTTTTTCCTTTTCTTGAATCCCAAATCTATCAATCTACTCCAATGATTCTATTTCTGAAACATATCCTAAATTTGTGTGCTGTGGTTTACCTCCATTGCCCACATCCTCGTCCATGACACTATTGTATCTTACCTGGGCTACTGCAATGGTGTCCTAACTGGTCTCCCCGCCTTCTTTTTGTGTGCTACAACCTATTTTTTCACAAAGCAGCTGTTTATACTTGTTAAATGTAATTTGACTATGTGTAACTCCTTAGATTAAGCCCATCCACTGGCTTTTCGGTGTATTTACAATAAAATCCTTAGTCCACGCCTCTCTAATGTTGCATGTGCCTGTGTCTCCATTCCTGTCTCCCTCTCTGCCACACCCTGTGAGAAAAAGTGGATCATTCCGTGTGATTCTTAACCTTCTAGAATAACCCTGCCATGGCTTTACATGGTAGAGGAGACTTCCTCATACCTGGACTTGGGGCTTGGCCATAAGACTTCTTTTGGCCAGTGGCATATTAGTGGTCATGACATGGAAAGAACCCTGAAATGTGTGGATGGTGCACTTTATCTCTCCCCTGTTCTTCTGGAAACACCACCAGGAGAAGGGTGTGCTCTACGCAGCTGCTTGTCCAAGGAGAGTGAGAGAAGATTTGCAGCAGATTTTAACATAACCCATAGTCTGGAACCAAGCCTCGCCGAGCTGCAGCCAGAAGAAGAGCCATCCCAGAAAACCCCCAGTTTAATGGTAATGTTTAATACACTCGGACCACCAGTTTTGTCTCCTTTCCTGAAACTTTCATGCTGTTCCCTCTGTTTGAAGCTATTCTCTTTGGAACAGAGTTTCTCAGCCTCGGCACTATTGACATTTGGGCCTTGATAATTCTGTGTTGTGTATGTATGCGGGGCAGTTGTGGGGAGTGTCCTGTACATTGTAGGATGTTTAGCACATTCCTGGCCTCTGTTCACTAGATGCTATAGCACACCTTCTGGTTGTGACAACCCACCATGCCACTAGACATTGTCAAATGCCCCCTGGAAGGCAGAATTATCTCCAGTTGAGAATCACTGGACTAGAACATCCCAGATCTTCACAAAGCTGGCTCCTTCTTGTCATTTAGGTCTCACCTCTGATGCACTTCTTCAGCAAGTCCATACCTGATCATCTTGTTGGGGCTCAGAACACAATACTCCAAAGTACAGCGCTTTAGCATGCTGAGTACTTTGAACTAAAGGAGACTGGATGGACCTCTGAAGCAAGCAAGGTCTCTCTGACCTTCTCCTGCCCTCCCCCCAGCCTCCGCCCCTCTTTCTGCCCTGAAATGAGTCATAGAAGCCAGAGTTCTTCTTCCTCAAGGTGGGTCACAGAAACTAGAACTTCTCTCCCGCAAAGCAAGCCATAAAACCTATGTAGGCCTCTCTCCCTTCCCACTTAAAGACCTTCATCTCAGAAGGGTCCTGCCTCGTACCAGGGTGGGGTGGAAGCGGGGAGGAATGCTACACAGAGAGCCAAGAATCAGGCGGCAGGCCTTGATGGGTGTGATACTACCATGTATTTTTTGGTCCATCCCGATTCCTGGCTCTCAGTTACTGTAAGCCTTGTTATTTCCTAAGTGACTGGAGCAATAAGAATATCATCTGTTAAAATATTTGCTCTTTTCTCTTTGGTTCCTGAAGTAGCACCTAAACGATAAAGGTGAAAGACAGTCTTTTGTTAATTACACCAAGCCCTTTCAAACACACCTGGGCTTATGTTAATTAGACAGTTTTTGGAAAGCCCCTAGATACTACAGGATAAAGGTCTGGTTGCCAGGAGAAGCAGCCTTGTGATCAGAGGGTTGAAACTGGAACTTTCGGACCCACTCCTTAACCTCCAGGGAGGAGAGAGGGGATGAAGGTTAACTTGATAGCTAGAGGCTAATGGTTTAATCAATCATCCCTTCGTAATAAACCTTCTATAAAAACCCAAAATGGACAGAGTTCAGAGAGCTTGATAATAAACCTTCTATAAAAACCCAAAATGGACAGAGTTCAGAGAGCTTGGGGAGAGCTGAGCACATGGGGACTTACACATTCCCAACTCCTGCATTCGGGACCCTTCTAGACCCTGCCCTATGTTTCTCTTCATGTAGCTGTACATCTGTAGCCTTTGTAATATCCTTTAAAATAAGCTAATAGACGTAAGTAAGTGTTTCTTTGAGTTCTGTGAGTTACTCCAGCAAATTAATCGAACCCAAAGAAGAAGCTGTGGGAATTCCAATTTGTAGCTCGTTGGTCAGAAGCATAGGTAAGACAACCTGGGGCTTGCAACTGGCATTGGAAGTCAGGGGCGGTCTTGTGGAACTGAGCCCTCAATATGTGGGTTGTCATGCTATCTCCAGGTAGATAGTGTCAGAAATGAATTGCGTTAAAGGCAGGTGGTTTCTGCAGGAGAATCTGCTGCAGAATTAACTGACTGGTTGGTTGATGGTGAGAAGGAATCCCCCCATGCTTCTTGGTGACCAGGGAACATTGAAGGCTTTTGCATTGATTGTTGAGTGACAGTGTGGTAGGAGAAACTGAGCTTGTTTTTTTCTACTCACTGGATTCTCCCCCTCAGTCTATTACCATTAGATTATACCCTTCTGTCCAATCACACTTCTACACGGCTATCCATTCTTCATGCAACCTAAGCATAAAAATTGATAGTTTTCCTTGGGTCTCTGGGTCTAAATTTCTGAAGGCTCCTATATCACATAAAACTTTGATTAAACAAATGCGTTATGTTTTTCTCTTGTTAACCTGTCCTTTGCTATAGGAGTGTAGGCCATGACCCTTACGATGGGTGAGGAAGGGCATCATGTCTTTTGCGGCTACAGTTGATTATCTTGCTCATTTATTTCTTGACTTGTTTTTCTTCCTTTCCTTCTTGCCATCACAGTGTGAGAGCCACAAAAGCAGGACCCTTGTCTGTTTTGTTGGCCATGAAAGTCTCCACTTTTAGAATGGTTCATGGCACATGACAGGCATTCCATAAACTTATTCCAATGAATGAAAGGTCAGAAGACACCCTGTCAACTGTGTTGACTTTAAAGCATTATATGAATTAATTATAAAAATAATAAAAGAAAGAAAAGTTATCAGAAGCAGGTCCACAGGGAGTTGAGCAGCTGGGAAATTTCTGATGCTATAATTTCCTTCTGCAGCTGTTGTCCTTCAAGTTTTGGACAGAACTACCATCAGAATGAATGTTCTGGAGCCCTAGCTGGGTTGTTTGAGAGCACTCATTGCTCCTAGGATATCTTTAGAATGGATTTAAACAGCAAAATAGTTCAGTGGATGTGATTTAGTTTATTCCCCCAAAGCAGCTGTGTCCCCCCATCCACCGCCCCCACCTCCACTGATAGCTCTGCCTCTATTTGCATATGTAGCCTTCAAATAGGCACAAGTTAATAGATGGGGGTGAAGGAGGCATGTTAAAGCAAATGAGTAGGGGTACAAACCTGTTCTTAATAACTCAATGCATGGAATTTATCATCACCCTCCATGTATCCTCTAACTTAATAACAATCGACAATGCCAGTTTCCCATCGGTATCAGCCCATCAGAGTGAAATTATTTTTCCCAAATGAAGACATCACCTTAAATACAGAATCAGCAACATCAAAGGATTTGCTGGTACTTTCAGTGGCTCAATGGGAAGGTAAGGGGAGGGGAGGTGTGACTGGGCCCCAGTGCTCAAATCACACTTTGCTCTGCAAGCTGGTGAGATAAGAAATGGCCCATGCTCCTCTCGGGGAAGGCAGTGAATGTGTTGCATGTGAACTGGGATTTAGGGGCTTGAGAGAGGGAGTGGAGACAATGACAGATGATGCTTGACAAGGTCTTCCCAGAGATCAGGCAAGACAGATATGTTTTGACTCAATCTGATAGGACCTGAGACCCTGTGGTAAATTCTCAGAGCTTTACAGCTCCCTTTGGAAGACCAAATGTCTGATTTAAATTCCTTGTGTTTCAGTTTAGGCCTATTTCATTTCATTCTTTCTTTTCCATAAGCTGCAAGTTGCTTCCCACTGGGTGATATGATTCCCATTGACACGGAAAAGTGATAAACAGCTTTACCTTGACCCCTCACTCCCTCCACAGGATCCTGCAGTTTCAGACCCTCTTCTTTAGGAACCACTCTGTCACTCTGCCCACTCAGTAGCCACATTTTCGCTGAGTCATCCCTCCCTGGCCCTAGCTAGCCCTAGCTGGCCCTAGCTGACCCCACCGGCCCTAGCTGGGCCAATCAGGACCTCTCGCCTCAGAACTGAGCCACAGAGAAGGAAGCTGAGTCACATCACAGCAAAGCTCTGAAGGGGTTCGGTTCTTGCTACCCCCAAAATTTGCCAGTTTGATACACTGATTATTTTGAGTTGAAGGCACTTAAAAAAACAGCAGTGCAGAGAGAGGCCCTCTCTGAACTTCCCTTACCTGCCTAAGGACAGATCCTGCAAAAGAAACTAAATTGTCATCAGTCCCATCCCTGGGAGTTTCATCAACCAGGGAAGATGAACTCATCACAGAGAGACTAGAAGTTGACACCACTCTCAAACAAACTTTGTCACAACCTAGCATATTTCCCATCTTATTTTCTATGGGCTCATTCATCTTTCCTAAAAATCTTCTACTCTCCTAAGTGACCTGCATCCCACCCCACTTTCCTTATTAAGATGGAATGGAAGCTCTCAAATCTCACTGCTTTTCTGAGGTATTCACTTTTTTTTCTGTGATGCATTCATGCATGTTACATTAAGAATTCATAAATTTATATACTTTTTTTCCTGTTAATCTCCCTGTTGTCAGTTAATTTCATAGATCCAGCTATCAAACCTAGGAAGGTAAAGAGAAAAATCTTTCCTCCCCTACAGCTCTCAAGAAGAAACCACAAACTGGACAGAGATCTAGCTGGCAGATATGCTTTATTTGGCCTGCATGGTTTTTAAAATATTGTAAACTTTACTAAAAACCCAGACTTTTGGATTCTGTTAGAAAACTGGACCATCTAACTGTACCAGGCCTGGGATTCTGAAAGGCAGCAATTGTCTGGAGCTAAGTAGCACCCTCTTTAGTTGGGTCCCACACTCTCCAGTTCCCCACAGTCCCTGCCAATCCATTTTGTTTACCCTGCCCTCGTTAATCCTACCTTCTAGTGCTTGGGAGCATTACTGTTTGGGATTCTTGCTCTAGAAGGAAAAATCTCAGCGGGCCTCGGTGACTCACGCCTGTAATCCCAGCACTTTGGGAGGCCGAGGCAGGTGGATCACTTGAGGTCAGGAGTTCGAGATCAGCCTGGCCAACAAGATGAAACCTAGTCTCTACTAAAATTCAAAAATTAGCTAGATGTGGTGGTAGGTGCCTGTAATCTCACCTACTCAGGAGGCTGAGACAGAATTGCTTGAACCCAGAAGGCAGAGGTTGCAGTGAGCCAAGAATGTGCCACTGCACTCCAGCCTGGGTGACAGAGTGAAACTCCATCTCAAAAAAATAAAATAAAAAGAAGAAAAAATCTTAAATACCTGTTGGAGCAGCCCTGGTGTTTGCTCTCTCTCTCTGTTTCTGTATTGTTTAGACAGAGTCTCGCTCTGTTGCCAGGATGGAGTACAGTGGCACCATCTCGGCTCACTGCAACCTCTTCCTTCCAGGTTCAAGTGATTCTCCTGCCTCAGCCACCCAAGTAGCTGGGACCACAGGCATGTGCCATCATGCCCAGCTAATTTTTCTATTTTTAGTAGAGATGGTGTTTCACCATATTGGCCAGGTTGCTCTCGAACTCCTGGCCTCAAGTGATCTGCCTGCCTTCCAAAGTGCTGGAATTACAGGCGTGAGCCACCACACCCAGCCTGGTATCTGCTCTTTTAAGGTCTGTTTGTTCAACCTTTTAATGAAGTCCATGAGATACCTCTGTAACTCTTGTTACAAAAATATAAGGAAAAGAAATCTTGGGACCCCAAATTCACTAAGCCAAAGGTAAAAGCCAAACTGGAAACTGGATTACACATACCTAACTCCCATTTTGGTTCCCAAATAAGACAGCTACAAAGATGAAAAGCTACGTAACTTCCTCACATTTTGCCCACAAGAAAATTCCTTGTGGTCCCCAAGATCTTCACCCTAAAGCAGTTCTGCTGAAGTTCACCATGATAATGTAAATTGATGGCTTATCTTCTGCAGCTGCATAGGGACACAGGACAGAACTCAGTCATCCCTCTGCATATCTGATTGTTTCCTCCGCCCTACTGTCTGCATTCCCTCTTTTTTGTTTTTTTTTTTTTGAGATGGAGTTTCTCTCTTGTCACCCAGGCTGGAGTCAAGTGGTGCAATCTCAGCTCACTGCAACCTCAGCCTCCTGGGTTCAAGCAATTCTCCTGCCTCAGCCTCCCGAGTAGCTGGGATTACAGGTGCCCGCCACCACGTCCAGTTAATTTTTTGGATTTTTTTTTCTTTGTTTTTTTTTTTTTTTTTTTTTTTTTTTTTGAGACAGAGTCTCACTCTGTCACCCAGGCTGGAGCACAGTGGCGCGATCTCAGCTCACTGCAACCTCCGCCTCCCAGGTTCAAGTGATTCTCCTGCCTCAGCCTCCTGAGTAGCTGGGACTACAGGTGCACGCCACCATGCCTGGCTGATTTTTTGTATTTTTAGTAGAGATGGGGTTTCATCGTGTTAGCCAGGATGGTCTCAATCTCCTGACCTTGTGATCTGCCTGCCTTGGCCTCCCAAAGTGCTGGGATTACAGGCATGAGCCACTGCGCCTCGCTGCATTACCTTACATACAAAATGCAGACTCACTGAGCCTGACAAAGACATGAATGACTATTTTCCCCTCTCCCCTTCATCTGAAAATTGTGTACTTCTCAATATCCTGCCCTTCAAACATGGAAGACCTCAAAACCATCTTTGGAGAAAGGCCTAGACCTGTCTCCTGGGCATGTGTCCTTAACTTTGGCAAATAAACTTCCTAAAATGATTGAACTTGCCAAGGTCATTTTCTCTGATTTATACTATTGAGGACTAATCTCTGCTTTTTTTCTCTTGCCCAAATTCCTATCTATGGGGTCTGGGGAATCATGCCCTATAAACCATAAATTCTCATTCGTTGGGTTTTATTTAACACTATATATCATGACTTACTTTCCAATCTGACTCTGGTATAACATTATGTAACAAAGAAGAAAATAAAAATATTTTACCCCAAAACATTTTTCTTTGCCATGTTTTGAAATGGCCTTGCAAAGCCATCCTTTGTGGGGGGAAAATTTGCATCTGTAAAGAATCTCTATTAACATAACTAGATCTTTTTCTTCCAGGCCTTCCCAATCCTGAAGAGATTAACTGAGAGTCTAGCACCTCTTTAAAGGTCCAAATAGGAAACATGTGTCATGTATTGTCTCTAAGGGCAGCCACTTTGAGAGTTCAAATGAACCTGTCTCCACAATCTTTTCTCTTAACCTGAATATTTTCTTTCTGTTAATCCCAGGTCTTTAGACAAACTTGACCAATTGTCAACCAGAAAATGTTTAAATTTAGCTATAACCTGGAAGCATCCCCCTGTCCTTTGAATTGTCCCGCCCTTCTGGACCAAACCAATGTATTTCTCAAACGTATTTGATTGATGTCTCATGCCTCCCTAAAATGTATAAAACCAAGCTGCATTCCAACCACCTTGGGCACATGTTCTCTGGACCTCCGGAGGCAGTGTCCTGGGCCATGGTCACTCATATTTGGCTCAGAACAAATCTCTTCAAGTATTTCACAGAGTTTGACTCTTTTCATCAACAACCTTAATCCAATATGACTGGTGTCCTTATGAGAAGAGAAAGAGATAGCAGGGAGACACAGGTCCAGAGGAAAGGCCACGTGATGACACAGAGAGAAGGTGGCTATCTACAAACTAGGGAGAGAGGTCTTAGACAAAAACCAGCCCTGCCGACATCTTGATCTCAGGCTTCCAGCCTCCAAAACTGTGAGACAACAGATTTCTGGTGTTTAAGCCACCCAGTTTGTGGTGCTTGTTAAGGCAGCCCTGGAAAGCGAATACAGTATCCCATCAGAAACATTCCTTCTCCCCGCCCCCCTCATTATTTAAACTAGCTCAAGTTTCTTTCCGGTACTTGCAACCAGAACCCCAACTAAGAATCGTGCTTTCTCCTGCAGTCATATAACGTTTCCTTCATTTTTCCCAGTTTCCTTGCTCTAGCTTTTAATTACATTTTCTTATAAGCCCCACATGTGAAGTTTTGTAAACTCAAGTGTCTGAGTCAAGGTCTTTGGTTTAAGTGGAGAAGCTGTGTCAGAAATGGAGGCAAATACTATCCCTTTCTCTATGCCTCTGCTCGACTAGCTGTGTTACCAGAAAGGGGTCCTGATTCAGATCCCAAGAGAGGGTTCTTGGATCTCACGCAAGAAAGAATTCTGGGCAAGTCCACACAATAAAGTGAAAACAAGCTTACTAAGAAAGTAGAGGAATAAAAGAATGGCTACACCTAATGCAGAGCAGCCCCCAGGGCTGCTGGTTTCCCATTTTTATGTTTTTTTCTTGATGATATCCTAAACAAAGGGTGGATTATTCATGCCTTTCCTTTTTAGACCATATAGGGTAACTTCCTGGCATTGCCATGACATTTGTAAATTGTCCTGGCACTGGTGGGAGTGTAGCAGTGAGGACCATCAGAGGTCACTCTGATTGCCATCTTGGTGTTGGTGGGATTTGGCTGGCTTCTTTACTGCAACCTATTTTATCAGCAAGGTCTTTATGACCTGTATCTTGTGCCAACTGTCAGGCCTCTGAGCCCAAGCTAAGCCATCATATCCCCTGTGACCTGCACGTACACATCCAGATGGCCAGTTCCTGCCTTAACTGATGACATTCCACCACAAAAGAAATGAAAATGGCCTGTTCCTGCCTTAACTGATGACATTATCTTGTGAAATTCCTTCTCCTGGCTCATCCTGGCTCAAGAGCTCCCCTACTGAGCACCTTGTGACCCCCACTCCTGCCCGCCAGAGAACCCCCCTTTGACTGTAATTTTCCTTTACCTACCCAAATCCTACAAAATGGCCCCACCCCCATCTCCCTTCGCTGACTCTTTTCGGACTCAGCCCACCTGCACCCAGGTGAAATAAACAGCTTTATTGCTCACAGAAAGCCTGTTTGGTGGTCTCTTCACACGGACGTGAGTGAAATTTGGTGCCATGACTAGGATCGGGGGACCTCCCTTGGGAGATCAATCCCCTGTCCTCCTGCTCTTTGCTCTGTGAGAAAGATCCACCTACAACCTCAGGTCCTCAGACCGACCAGCCCAAGAAACATCTCACCAATTTCAAGTCCGGTAAGCGGCCTCTTTTTACTCTCTTCTCCAACCTCCCTCACTATCCCTCAACCTCTTTCTCCTTTCAATCTTGGCACCACACTTCAATCTCTCCCTTCTCTTAATTTCAATTCCTTTCATTTTCTGGTAGAGACAAAGGAGACACATTTTATCCATGGACCCAAAACTCCGGTGCTGGTCATGGACTAGGGAAGGCAGCCTTCCCTTCGTGTTTAATCATTGCAGGGATGCCTGTATGATTATTCACCCAGGTTTCAGAGGTGTCAGACCACGCAGGGACGCCTGCCTTGGTACTTCACCCTTAGCGGCAAGTCCCACTTTTCTGGGGGAGGGGCAGGAAACCTAATCCCCTATCTCTGTGCCCCAGTCCTTATTTCTGCACCCCAACCTCTTATATCTGCGCCCCAACCCCTTATTTCCATGCCCCAACCCCTTCTCTGCTTTTATGGAGGGCAAGAACTCCCCACCCCTTCTCCGCTTTTATGGAGGGCAAGAACCCCCCACCCCTTCTCCGTGTCTCTACTCTTTTCTCTAGGCTTGCCTCCTTCACTATGGGCAAGCTTCCACCTTCCATTCCTCCTTCTTCTCCCTTAGCCTGTGTTCTTAAGAACTTAAAACCTCTTCAACCCTCACCTGACCTAAAATCTAAGTGTCTTATTTTCTTCTGCAATGCTGCTTGACCCCAATACACACTCAACAGTAGTTCCAAATAGCTGGAAAATGGCACTTTCAATTTTTCCATCCTACAAGGTCTAAATAATTCTGTCGTAAAATAGGCAAACGGTCTGAGGTGCCTGACGTCCAGGCATTCTTTTACACATCAGTCCCTCCCTAGTCTCTGTTCCCAATGCAACTTGTCCCAAATCTTCCTTCTTTCCCTCCTACCTGTCCCCTCAGTCCCAACCCCAAGTGTCCCTGAGTCTTTCTAATCTTCCTTTTCTACAGACCCATCTGACCTCTCCCCTCCTTGCCAGGCTGAGCTAGGTCCCAATTCTTCCTCAGCCTCCGCTCCTCCACCCTATAATCCTTTTATCACCTCCCCTCCTCACACCCGGTCCAGCTTACAGTTTTGTTCCGTGACTAGCCCTCCCCCACCTGCCCAGCAATTTACTCTTAAAAAGGTGCCTGGAGCTAAAGGCATAGTCAAGGTTAATGCTCCTTTTTCTTTATCCCAAATCAGATAGCGTTTAGGCTCCTTTTCATCAAATATAAAAATCCAGCCTAGTTCATGGCTCATTTGGCAGCAACCCTGAGATGCTTTACAGCCCTAGACCCTAAAAGGTCAAAAGGATGTCTTATTCTCAATATACATTGTATTACCCAATCTGCTCCCGACATTAAATAAAACTCCAAAAATTAAATTCTGGCCCTCAAACCCCACAACACGACTTAATTAACCTCGCCTTCAAGGTGTACAATAATAGAGTAGAGGCAGCCAAGTAGCAACATATTTCTGAGTTGCAATTCCTTGCCTCCACTGTGAGACAAACCCCAGCCACATCTCCAGCACACAAGAACTTCCAAACGCCTAAAGCACAGTGGCCAGGCATTCCTCCAGAACCGCCTCCCCCAGGAGCTTGCTACAAGTGCCAGAAATCTGGCCACAAGGCCAAGGAATGCCTGCAGCCCAGGATACCTCCTAAGCCATGTCCCATCTGTGTGGGACCCCACTGGAAACTGGTCTGTTCAACTTACCTGGCAGCCACTCCCAGAGACCCTGGAACTCTGGCCCAAGGCTCTCTGACTGGCTCCTTCTCAGATCTTCTTGGCTTAGTGGCTGAAGACGGACACTGCCCGATTGCCTTGGAAGCCCTGTAGACCATCTCAGACACTGAGCTTTAGGTAACTCTCACAGTGAAGGGTAAGTCCATCCCCTTCTTAATCAATATGGAGGCTACCCACTCCACATTACCTTCTTTTCAAGGGCCTGTTCCCTTGCCTTCATAACTGTTGTGGGTATTGAAAGCCAGGCTTCTAAACCTCTTAAAACTCCCCAACTCTGGTGCCAACTTAGACAATACTCTTTTAAGCACTCCTTTTTAATTATCCCCACCTGCCCAGTTCCCTTATTAGGCCGAGACACTTTAACTAAATTATCTGCTTCCCTGACTATTCCTGGATTACAGCTACATCTCGTTGCCGCCCTTCTTCCCAATCCAAAGCCTCCTTTGTGTTCTCCTCTTGTATGCCCCCACCTTAACCCACAAGTATAAGATACCTCTACTCCCTCCTTTGCGACCGATCATGCACCCCTTACCATCTCATTAAAACCTAATCACCCTTACCCCGCTCAATGGCAATATCCCATCCCACAGCATGCTTTGAAAGGATTAAAGCCTGTTATCACCTGCCTGCTACAGCATGGCCTTTTAAAGCCTATAAACTCTCCTTACAATTCCTCCATTTTACCTGTCCTAAAACCAGACAAGGCTTACAAGTTAGTTCAGGATCTATGCCTTGCCAACCAAATCGTTTTGCCTATCCACCCCATGGTGCCAAAACCATATACTCTCCTATCCTCAATACCACCCTCCACAACCCATTATTCTGTTCTGGATCTCAAACATGCTTTCTTTACTATTCCTTTGCACCCTTCATCCCAGCCTCTCTTTGCTTTCACTTGGACTGACCCTGACACCCATCAGGCTCAGCAAATTACCTGGGCTGTACTGCTGCAAAGCTTCACAGACAGCCCCCATTACTTCAGTCAAGCCCAAATGTCTTCCTTATCTGTTACCTATCTCAGCATAATTCTCATAAAAACACACGTGCTCTCCCTGCTGATCATGTCCAACTAATCTCTCAAACCCCAACCCCTTCTACAAAACAACTCCTTTCCTTCCTGGGCATGGTTGAATACTTTTGCCTTTGGATACCTGGTTTTGCCATCCTAACAAAACCATTATATAAACTCACAAAAGGAAACCTAGCTGACCCCATAGATCCTAAATCCTTTCCCCACTCCTCTTTCTGTTCCTTCAAGACAGCTTTAGAGACTGCCCCCATCCTATCTCTCCCTGACTCATCCCAACCCTTTTTATTACACACAGCCGAAGTGCAGGGCTGTGCAGTTGGAATTCTTACACAAGGACCGGAATCGCGTCCTGTAGCCTTTTTGTCCAAACAACTTGACCTTACTGTTTTAGGCTGGCCATCATGTCTCCGTGCAGTGGCTGCTGCCGCCCTAATACTTTTAGAGGCCCTTAAAATCTCAAACTATGCTCAACTCACTCTCTAGAGCTCTCATAATTTCCAAAATCTATTTTCTTCCTCACACCTGACACATATACTTTCTGCTCCCCGGCTCCTTCAGCTGTACTCACTCTTTGTTAAGTCTCCCACAATTACCATTGTTCCTGGCCCGGACTTCAATCCGGCCTCCCACATTATTCCTGATACCACACCTGACCCCCATGACTGCATCTCTGATCCACCTGACCTTCACCCCATTTCCCCACATTTCCTTCTTCCCTGTTTCTCACCCTGATCACACTTGGTTTATTGATGGCAGTTCCATCAGGCCTAATCGCCACACACCAGCAAAGGCAGGCTATGCTATAGTATAAGCCACTAACCCGCCTCTTAGAACCTCTCATTTCCTTTCCATCGTGGAAATCTGTCCTCAAGGAAATAACTTCTCAGTGTTCCATCTGCTATTCTACTACTCCTCAGGGATTCTTCAGGCCCCCTCGCTTCCCTACACATCAAGCTCAGGGATTTGCCCCCTCCCAGGACTGGCAAATTAGCTTTACTCAACATGCCCCGAGTCAGGAAACTAAAATACCTCTTGGTCTAGGTAGACACTTTCACTGGATAGGTAGAGGCCTTTCCCACAGGGTCTAAGAAGGCCACCACGGTCATTTCTTCCCTTCTGTCAGACATAATTCCTCGGTTTGGCCTTCCCACCTCTATACAGTCCAACAGCAGACCGGCCTTTATTAGTCAAATCAGCCAAGCATTTTTTCAGGCTCTTGGTATTCAGTGAAACCTTTATATCCCTTACAGTCCTCAGTCTTCAAGAAAGGTAGAACAGACTAATGGTCTTTTAAAAACACACCTCACCAAGCTCAGCCACCAACTTAAAAAGGACTAGACAATACTTTTACCACTTTCCCTTCTCACAATTCAGGCCTGTCCTTGGAGTGCTACAGGGTGCAGCCCATTTAAGCTCCTGTGTGGATGCTCCTTTTTATCAGGCCTCAGTCTCATTCCAGACACCAGACCAACTTGGACTGTGCCCCAAAAAACTTGTCATCCCTACTATCTTCTGTCTAGTCATACTCCTATTCACCGTTCTCAACTACTCATACATGCCCTGCTCTTGTTTACACTGCCGGTTTACACTGTTTCTCCAAGCCATCACAGCTGATATCTCCTTGTGCTATCCCCAAACTGCCACTGTTAACTCTTAAATAAATAATCTTTGCTGGCAGGACTATGCTGAATCTCCTTAGGCACTCTCTAATTAGATGTCCTGGGTCCTCCCAATTATTAGTCCTTTAATACCTGTTTTTCTCCTTCTCTTATTCCATTTAGTTTTTCAATTCATACAAAACCGTACCCAGGCCATGACCAATAATTCTAAATGACAAATATTTCTTCTAACAGTCCCACAATATCACCCCTTACCACAAAATCTTCCTTCAGCTTAACCTCTCCCACTCTAGGTTCCCACGCCGCCCCTAATCCGGCTCAAAGCAGCCCTGACAAACATCGCCCATTATCTCTCCATACCATCCCCTCAAAATTTTCGCCGTCCCAACACTTTACCACTATTTCATTTTATTTTTCTTATTAATATAAGAAGACAGGAATGTCAGGCCTCTGAGCCCAAGCTAAGCCATCATATCCCCTGTGACCTGCACGTACACATCCAGATGGCCAGTTCCTGCCTTAACTGATGACATTCCACCACAAAAGAAATGAAAATGGCCTGTTCCTGCCTTAACTGATGACATTAACTTGTGAAATTCCTTCTCCTGGCTCATCCTGGCTCAAAAGCTTCCCTACTGAGCGCCTTGTGACCCCCACTCCTGTCCGCCAGAGAACAACCCCCCTTTGACTGTAATTTTCCTTTACCTACCCAAATCCTATAAAATGGCCCCACCCCTATCTCCCTTTGCTGACTCTCTTTTTGGACTCAGCCCGCCTGCACCCGGGTGAAATAAACAGCTTTATTGCTCACACAAAGCCTGTTTGGTGGTCTCTTCACACGGACGCCAGTGAAACCGACCTCCTATCTCATCCTGTGACTTAGAATGCCTAACCTCCTAAGAATGCAGCCCAGTAGGTCTCAGCCTCACTTTACTCCGCCCCTATTCAAATGGGGTTGCTTTGGTTGGAATGCCTCTGACAGCTGTGCAGCCTTGCAGGGCTTATTGATACGTCTGGATATTGTGATTGGATAAGTATCAATCTTTACCTCGTTGCAAAATAGGAAATACCTGTCTGAAAGAGCTCAACGTTACATTACCTTCTTAATGGGGACCATAAGGCGGTCAAGAAGAAAAAAATGAGTTTTGAGGGAGGTAAAAATCCCTTAAGTTTTTAAATGCGTAAAGCACAGATAGACATAAAGCACACAAATCAATATATGGAATAGCTGTGGTTTTAGTTTCATGGGTGGCAGATCAAGAAAAAAAATGCCTAGAAAGGCTCTGTAGGGGGCTGAAACATTTTAAAAATGGTTGAGAAACACTGAACTGTATGTTTGGTGTAGCGCTACTACTCCTTTTTGAAAGACATTGCTTTCAGGGCCTTTACATAGTGATGCTAATGTGGACAATTTTACAAATTGTCAAGTAGAAAATTATCCTTTGGCCAGGCACAGTGGCTCACTCCTGTAATCCCAGCACTTTGGGAGGCCAAGGCAGGTGGATCACTTGAGGTCAGGAGTTCAAGACCAGCCTGGTCAACATGGTGAAACCCTGTTTCTACTAAAAAAACAAAAATTAGCTGGGTGTGGTGGTGTGCACCTGTAGTCTCAGCTACTCAGGAGGCTGAGGCTGGAGAACTGCTTGAACCCGGGAGGTGGTGGCTCAGTGAGCTGAGATCACACCACTGCACTCCAGCCTGGGCAACAGGGTGAGACCCTGTCTCAGAAAAAAAAAAAAAAAAAAAAACCAGAAAAGATAAAAGCTATCCTTCTACACAAAGTGTAATCAAGCCGACAAAGCCATCTAGTCTTGATGACTGAAGGGCAAAGTTAAAAAAGAAGGAACTTACGAGGGTAGGGCCAATGGATGCCCACACCATAGCATTCCCTCTGCCTTTCTTTTTCTTTTTTTGGTGGGAAGGGGACAGGGTCTCACTCTGTCATCCAGGCTGGAGTGCAGTGGCACAATCATGGTTCACTGCAGTCTCAACCTCCTGGGCTCAAAGGATCCTCCCACCTCAGCCCCTAACCTTCCCTCTCCCAGTAGCGGGGACCACAGATGCATGCCACCATGCCTGGCTAATTTTTGTATTTTTTGTAGAGACATGGTTTTGTGCCGAGACTAGCTCGGTCGGGGAGACCCTAACCCAGCGGTGCTAGAGGAATTAAAGACACACACACAGAAATATAGAGGTGTGAAGTGGGAAATGAGGGGCCTCACAGCCTTCAGAGCTGACAGCCCCGAACAGAGATTTACCCACATGTTTATTAACAGCAAACCAGTCATTAGCATTGTTTCTATAGATATTAAATTAAGTAAAAGTATCCCTTATGGGTGAAGGGATGGGCCAAATTAAAGCAATAGGTTGGGCTAGTTAACTGCAGCATGTCCTTAAGGCACAGATTGCTCATGCTATTGTTTGTGGCTTAAGAATGCCTTTAAGCGGTTTTCCACCCCCAGCGGGCCAGGTGTTCCTTGCCCTCATTCCCGTAAACCCACAACCTTCCAGCGTGGGCATTAGGGCCATTATAAACATGTTACAGTGCTGCAGAGATTTCGTTTATGGCCAGTTTTGGGGCCAGTTTATGGCCAGATTTTGGAGGGCCAGTTCCCAACAGTTTTGCCACGTTGCCCAGGCTGGTCTCGAACTCCTGGGCTCAAGTGATCTGCCCACCTTGGCCTCCTAAAGTGCTGAGATTAGAGGAGTGAGCCACAGCACCTGCCCCCTCCCTTTTTTTTTTTAATTTGCTGGCAAAGTTACTTTGCAAGATGGAGGCTGAACACACTAGATACAGACATGATTTCCAGCCTCCTGTGCAGCTTATGAAGCATGCGGCCCAGGAATGGGAGCTTCTGGGAAAGGGACTCCTAGCCAATAAAAAGAGTCTCAAGAGATGAAGACTGTCCTTCAGCTGGCTGCTGTCATGTCCCATGTGTTGCCTGGCTCTGCAGCAGCCATCTTGTGGCCATGAGGCCACAAAACCAAGTAGTTAAGGATGGTGAAGTAGAAGGAGTAAGAGACAGGGTCGTTGATACCAGTGATCAGTGAGAAGGACGGTGAACAAGATGAAAGAGCTATGAATAAAATCAACCACATTTTATATTAAAAACAAAGCTAAATTTGGGGAACAAGTTGCCAAGTATACAGAAAAAGGACTAAGTAGAAGTAAGAAGCGCTGATTGATTCTTAGTCCTGATTCTAGTACTCGCCAGATGGATAATTTTGAGCAAGTTATTTAGCTTCTCTAAACATTGGGGGCTATTTATTCTATTTCTCTCAGAGCTTTGTTGGTCTGCATTGTCAACTTGTTCAAACTTGAACTATACTTCCCCAAATCCTCTTCCCTATGTATTATTAATATGTCTACGTTGAGTTGACCAAAAGAAAAAAAAACTGGCGGCATGAAGTTTGGAAGGTAAAAGTGAATCAACAGCCATTACTCTCTGAAGATCATTATGCTTGGATATAGTAAGGGACGGATGCAGAGGTATCAGCAGATCTAGTTTGTCTTCACTTTTTCCCATGCCACTTCTTTCCAACTGTCAGGCTTGTTACCAACAGTGCCCCAGGCCCCCCACGTCTCTGAGACACCAGTCTTCTACAGACTGCCTCACTGGGTTCCTCTTTGCTGTCTCACCACAGCAGCAGGATGTGCCTGCCCTCTCCTGTACTCCCTGGCAAACTCCTACTTCCTCGCTCACACAAGTGACTCAGGAGGACTGGTTGGTGGCTTTACTCAGATCCTCCTACTTTCCCTTTCGTCCCATGGTTCTCAGCTTCTCCCACAATTGTATAAGGTCTTCTTAAACCACAGCCCTATTGCATAATATTCTGGATTCAACCCTGAGTGATACAAGAATCAAATGAAATCATGGATCTAAAGCAATTAGGACAGCATCAGGCACATAAATTATTAGTTATTTTGTTATCATTATCATTGCTTTCATTGCTATTAATGCCACAGGACTTAGAGACCCTGCTTGTCTGATTGCCTCATTCTGCAGAGGAGTAAACTGAGATTCTGCCAGGTGAAATGACTTGCCCAGGGTCATGCAGCTCAATTGTGACCCAGCCAGCATCAGGACTCAGGCCTTCTGATTGCCAGTCTCACCCTTTTTCACAGACTATACCCTGCTGCACAAATGAGCCTGGCATTCTGGTTATCACCCGATCGTTATGATGCTGTGGGCTGCAAATACAAAACCTAAGTCAAACTAAACAATATGGAAGGCTTATTGGCTCATGTAACCAAAATG
Source organism: Homo sapiens (assembly GCF_000001405.40). Lineage (NCBI taxonomy): Eukaryota > Metazoa > Chordata > Mammalia > Primates > Hominidae > Homo > Homo sapiens. The sequence goes on from NC_000003.12 coordinate 72,032,314, forward strand.
TTGAGAGACAAGACAGATTTCAGACTTGTTATCATAATGTCTGCAGGGCTAAGCTTCATTTCCCTAGAGTTCTCTCAACCCTCCTTTCTGCTGTATCCTAGCCCTGCCTCAACTCATAGAAGCAAAAATGGCTTCAGTAGTTCCAGGCCTTACACTTCCAAGCTACAGCTATCCTGAGGAAGAGTCTTTGTAAGCCAAAGAACTGTGATTCAATATGATGGGGCCTGTTTAGTTCACACATCCACCTTCACCCAATCTCTCTGGTGGGAGGTGGTGTGGTGGGATGAAAGGCAGTGATTGGCCTAGTCTGAGTCAGGTGCTACAAACCTAGAGCTGGCAGGATGGGAGGAAGGGGCGGGGAGAGTTCGCTTCCCTAGAATTACACAGAGCCCTAAATAGAAACTGGGGGTGGGGGTGGGGGTGGAGGTGGAAAACTGGAAGTGAATGCTGGGGAAGCAACATTTGCAGAGGGAGTGTTACATTTCTTGCCCTAGTATCTTTTCCCAGTGCTCTTAGTCGGTATTTGGATAAAGCCAGAAGGGCACCGTTTCCAAAAGGAATACACAGTGGTAGGTGATGTATTTAAAAGTAATGGTCACGTGATTAAATATTTATGGCCACTTAGTTTAATGTAAAACACCCATCAACCATTTCTGCTGAGTTTGTCCCATGTCCATGAATCATGGGGGTGGTGGGGGCATTGGGGCTGCGTGTCACTCCCGGTCTATGTCATATGAATTAGCCTAAAAAACTGAGTGCCATCTACCTGCTTGTGGGTAATATCCCACCATACAGAACTGTGGAGTAAGAAATCTGCCAGGTTGTAATAATGTTGTCTTTCTTGATAGCGCAGGCCAAGTAGAGAAGTAGGAAATTTTTCCTTTACCTTGAAATTTGGTTCTTTTTTGTTGGTTTTGTATCATTACAACTAATTTGACATTGTAGGGTAGGAAAAAAATAATTTTCCCTCTAATCTTCTAAGCTCTCAGCTGAGACCCCCTGTAACAAAAGACAGATTAACAAGGGTAAAACAACAGAGTGTTTTAACATTTATACCTCACAAACACATGGGAAATACCCCGAGAAAAATAAGTCACTCTCAAAGAAGTGGCCTAGAACTCTGCCTTACATAGCATCTTCAACTAGAACAAAGTAAAAAGGGCGTTGGGGAGGCAAGTTATGGGGAAGGTGACCAGGAAATGAATGGTAAAAAAAGAAGTTTTGTTTTGCAGAATTTAATTTGGTTCCTTCTCCACTGATAAGAGTTTCTTGGCCAGGTGCAGTGGCTCACGCCTGTAATCCCAGCACTTTGGAAGGCTGAGGCAGATGGATTGCTTGAGCCCAGGAGTTTGAGACCAACCAGCCTGGGCAACATACTGAGACCCCCATCTCTACAAAAAATAAACAAAATTAGCTAAACATTGTGGTGTGCGCCTGTAGTTCTAGCTACTCAGGAGGTCGAGGTGGGAGGATTGCTTGAGCTCAGGAGGTTGAGGCTACAGTAAGCCGTGATTGTGCCACTGCACTCCAGCCTGGGCAACAGAGTGAAACGCTGTCTCAAAAAAAATTTTTTTTTCTTGAGATTTAGTCATCCTTTTTCTGGTACAGAGTGGGAGACACCATTACAAATAGAGACTTCCTTTATAGATGCAAATTTCCCTTACAAAAGGGTAACTTCTACTTCATTTCCAGAGCTTCTCTTTTGTTGCTGTGTTTCTCAAAATAATCAGTTCAAAATAATTCTTATGCCAAGGAGGCATATTTTTGGGTGGCATATTCCAGTCCCCTACAACAAATAAATAACACACACTAACATGCACAAAGTTTAGGTTTTCAGTTGAACGAGTATTGATAATTGTATACACCTGGGTAACCACTAGCCAAAATAAGATACAGAACATTTGCTTCATAGCTGAAAGTTCCTTGATGTGCCTTCTGAGTCAATCCCCAACCCCCGTACTAAGAACCACTATGATTTCTCTCAATGTAGATTAGATTTTTATGTCTTCTTGGATTCTACTTAAATGAATGAGGTAGTATGCACTCTTTTATGTCTGGCTTCTTGTAATCTTTTTGAGATTCACTACATTGCTGTGTGTAGAAGTAGTGTGCTCCTTTTAATTGCTGAGTAGTGTTCCATTGTATGACTCTGCCATAATTTTGTTTATCCACTCCTCAGAGAATGGACATTTAAATTGTTCCCAATTTTGGCTGTTATGGAAAAAATGCTGTACACATTCTTGTATAATTCTTTTTGTGCGATGTTTTTATTGCTCTTGAGAAAATACCCAAGAGTGGACTCGCTGGGTCTTAGGATGGATGGATGTTTAATTGATCAGAAATTGCTAAATAGTTCTCTAAAGTGGTTGTGCCATTTTACAATCCCACCAGCAGGGTATGAATGTCTTGGAACTTGATCCTAATTTCTGATAGAGACTCAATGATGGCATCTTTGGATCTCAAAGGGCCATTTCTTCTCAGGTGAGAAGTGAGGTACTGCATGTGGGAACCCAGAGATGGCAGCTTCTGGGGAACAGCAGTGTACAGTCCTATTATCTTTGATCTGTTCCCACCTCTGATCCATGCCCACCCACCCCTGCTCTGCTCTGTATCGCAGGAGGCTGACCCCTGCAGGCTGTGCTTCTGAGGATCCCTGGTTTGTGGCTCCTGGTTGGGGTGACCAATGGGAGGTGCTGGATTGGGTGTGGTCAATGGGAGATGCTGAGTTGGGTGTGTCCATTGGGAGGTGCTGAGTTGGGTGTGACCAATGGGAGGTGCTGGGTTGGGTGTGGCCAATGGGAAGTGCTGGGTTGGGTATGACCAATGGCAGGTACAGAATTGTGTGTGACCAGTGGAAGATACTGAGTTGGATGTGTCCACTGGGAGGTGCTGAGTTGGGTGTGACCAATGGGAGGTGCTGGGTTGGGTGTGGCCAATGGGAAGTGCTGGGTTGGGTGTGGCCAATGGGAGGTGCTGAGTTGGATGTGGCCAAGGGGAAGCTCTGCGGTGAGTTTGAGAGGTGGGAGGCAGGGAAAAGGAAGAATCTTTCTCCCCCACACTTTCTGTCTCTGGCAGCTTTTCTTGGAGCCATGGTATGTCTTCCCTGGCAGCAGCTTCTGCCACACAGACCTGCCATGGCTTCAGCCTCCTCTGGATGACTCCACCTCCTGAATACAAGTAACACCATCTCTTTTTTTATTTTTTTATTTTTTACCTCTCTATCCTAGTAGTGGTCATGTCTTCCTACTGTGGCAAATCCCTGGGTTACCTCACAGTTCCCTCTTGTTTGCCTCCCAGCCCCTTCCTTCATCTGTGCAATCAGCTCCTTACATTAAATTTCCCTTTGTTCAGATACTTAGAGCAGGTTCTGTTTTTTCTGGTTGGACCTTGACAGATACACACAGCATCAAGGATTAACAGAGACGATTTCAAGGCCAAATCACATCTGAGGGCTGCCAGGCAGATTTATTATCAAATCCTTAAACTGCAAAAATAGGACAACCTTCTTCAGAAACACCATCTGGTACCACACTATTCCTCTAATGTCTAGCCCAAATCCCTGCTGTGATGAAGTTTGCATCTGATAACCAGATAGAACCAAGCCACTCGGCCTCAAGAGCTAACGTGAGCATAGGTGTTAGTGGGTCCATGGGCCATGCCTTAGTACTGGCAGGAGACATTATTATGTTTATGGGAGAAGGAAAGGAAAACGTTGGGAGGAAAAGGGATATTTCTAAGCAGTCACCATAATTGGATGGATTGACCCCAATTTTAGGTTGTCAGGCCACATGCTTCGTTTTCAAGGGAGGAAGTCATCTCTGTCGCTCCTCTGCCTCTTTCTTTGGGACTTAAAACAGTGCCTGCCGTGTAAGGAGATGATAAATACTTACAGAATTGAATTTGTTCATTCACTCATTCATTATGTACTAAGCACCTGGTCAATTGTTGATTGCAAGTGATAGAAACCCAACTCAAATTAGCTTTAACAAAAAAGGAATTATGGTAACCTACATGATTCAAAAGTTCAAGGATATAATAGCTTCAGACATGGCTAAATCCAGGTGCTCAAATGAGGCATCAGGAGTTGTTTGTCCATTTCTCAGCTCTGCTTTCCACTGTGTTGGCTCCATTGCAGACAAACTCTTCCAAGGGAGGGTAGTGAGGAGGTCCTCAGTAGCTCCCCGCTGATATTCTATCAGAACAATAACTGTAGGGGAAAGAGAGAACGTGTCTTTTAATATATTTTTAGCAAAAATCTAGTGCTTGGCATTTACCAATTCTGATTGCCTCGGGTCTCCTGCTTCCCCTTGGCCAGGGCAGAAACGAGGGCACTTTGAATTAAACTCCCCCTGCCCCTCAGACTGTCTGCAACGCGGGAGGGGTGGCTCCCCAAAGGAAAAACAAGAATGCTTTTATCAGCAGAACAACAAATGGATGTTGAACAGGTAGGAACTGCAAATGGCCACTATGGGGACACTGATGTGATAGGCACTGTGGGCGAGGGGCAACAGCAGGGAACCCACCAGTATTTCTGTCCTCGTGGTGCTTATGTTCCAGCAAGGAAGCCTGGTGAGGACCAAGTCATTAGACTCAAGGACGTGAACCTTCCATGGTGGAAGTCCAGGATGCAAGAGGAACAGTCTCCTTGAAATGTGAGTTCACAGGCTGCCATTTGAATACTGTAATAGCCTCAGATTTGGACAGGCTGGAAGCTAGAAAACTGGCTTCATGCCCACATTGGACACTCAGAATTTCAGTGATGTCTTCCAGAAATCTTTGCTGAAGCTACAGTCTAACAGATTGTGGTTTACAAGAGATGCCAGGAGCCTCTGGGAGAATGGACTGTAAACAATTTGGTCACATTGTGGTGGGGGAAGGGTTGAGACAAGGAGTGGAATCTGTGGGGCTGAAGTGCCCTTTGGTTCAGCTTCCAACTTTCAAGTACATTGGAAATTGTGGAATTTTTTCTTTTCTAAAAAGCTTTTAAATTTTGAGATACTTAGTTTCACCTCAAATTGTAAGAAGCAATACAGAGAGATCCATGTTTCCCCAATTTCCCCCAGTGGTAACACAAGATGGCAAAATTTGTGTTAATTGGTAACACAGTTGGTTGAATGATAACATTTCAATCAATCATAGCAAGTTGACATTGATCACTTCATTGTATCTTTACAGAATTCTGGTTGAAGGGATTGATTCTCTTTCCCTCCCTCCCTCCCTCCCTCCTTCCTTCCTTCCTTCCTTCCTTTTCTGTTTCTGTGTTTTTGCTTCTTTCATTTGGCTTGAGTTTGATTCCTCCTTCTGGATAGGTCTTATCTCCCTAATTGGATGTTGGTCTTTGTCAAGTGGCCCTGTGTCTTCTGTGCTTTGCATGGTGCCAGGCGTTGAGTTCAGGGATGGCAAGCCCTGATGCCTTTATTCATACATTGAATACTTGCTTAATGCACACCTACTTTGTGCATAGCGTGAGGGAGACAGTGGTGAATCAAAGAGACACAGCCCTGTCTTCATGGAGCTTATAGTCAGCAAGGGGAAAAAGACTAGAGAAAGAAACAAGTGAGCAACTAAATAAACAAGAGGGCTACAGATTGTAATAAAGGCTGTGATGGAAATGACATGGAGATGCGTTAGGGAGGGAGGTGCACTGTGCTACTTCAGGTGGTCTGGAAGGCTGCTCTGATGGCTGACTTCTCATATAAGATATGTGTAGCTGGAGACTTGATGTTTCACCACCTCCCTTTCAATGCTTGTGACAGCCATCTTTAGTCAATCAATGCGGTAGTACCCCATATGCACTAGAAATATGTTCCCAGACCCCCAGTGGATGCCTGGAACTGTGGAATGTATGGAAGCCTGTATACAGTTTGCACTACTTTCCTTTCCCTTCTTCACAATTTTATGGATAGAAAATCCATTCTTACCATAGATCTTAGCAACCTCAGCATAGGATTTTTTTTTTCTTTCCACAAATTGAGAACTTTCACCATTTCACTTAAAGGAAGCACTTTATGGCTTCTCTTTGGCAATCTGAATCACCAGCATCACTACTCCTGCCCTTTGGGGCCATTATTGAGTAAAGTAAGGGCTCCTTGAACATAAGCACTGTGATGCCATGACAGTTGGCCTGATAACTGAGATGCTCCTAAATGACTAGTGGGCGAGTAGTGTATACAGTGTGGATACTCTGGACAAAGGGAGGATTCAGGTCCCAGGTGGGACAGGGTGGGGAGGAGCAGCATGATATTTCATCACATTACTCAGAACGGCGTACAATTGAAAACTCATGAATTGTTTATTTCTGGAATTTTCCATTGAATATTTTCAGACTAGTTGACTGCAGGTAAGTGAAACAGAGGATAAGCAGGGGACTGCTGTATATACTTTTAGCAGCCACTCGTAAGGAAGTAGATGTGACACATAAGATGAAACTTCTTTGCCTCCTTGACAGAATCATTCCTCAAGGAACATTGGGCAATAATGAACAAATCATTAGGCTGGGTGCGGTGGCTCTGGCCTGTAATCCCAGCACTTTGGGAGGCTGAGGCGGGCAGATCACTTGAGGTCAGGAGTTCGAGGCCAGCCTTGCCAACATGCAAAATCCTGTCTCTACTAAAAATACAAAATAATTAGCCTGGCATTGTGACACATGACTATAATCCCAGCTACTCAGGAGGCTGAGGCAGGAGAATCACTTGAACCCAGGAGGTGGAGGTTGCAGTGAGCCGAGATTGCCCCACTGCACTCCAGCCTGGATGACAGAACAAGACTCCTTCTCAAAACAAACACCACAAATCATCCTCTTGTAAGAAATGTCACAGGCTGGGCGATATGGCAAAAGCCCATCTCTACAAACAAAAACAAAAATTAGCGGGGCATGGTGGCACACGCCTGTAGTCCCAGCTACTCCAGAGGCTGAAGTGGGAGGATCACTAGAGCCCAGGAAGATGAAGCTGCAGTGAGCTGAGATCCACTCCAGCCTGGGCAACAGTGCAAGACCTAGTCTCAAAAAAAAAAAAAAAATGGGTGGGGGGGCGCAGATGTTATGGAACTCATCAGATCAATAAAGAAATAAATCCAAGGAAAGCCTTGAACTTGCCTAAAATTTCATAGCTAGGAAGGGCAGAATAAGGATCAGAATGTAGCTGAACAGACACTAGCATAACCCAGGCATTCTGAAACTTGGGTTGCAAAAACATTACATGGCTTCATATGGTAAAAGCAGATTCCTGCCCTTGCCCCAGAGAGTCAACTGTGGTAGGTCTTGTGGGGGACTCAGGAGGCTGCATTTGCAACAGGCATCCCAGGGGCTTCTGATGTGGGTGATCCACAGACCAGACTCTCATAATCATTAGTCTATGGGCCACCAATTTTGCCTCGTTTCCATAACTAACCAAAGGCTCCTTCTCACGGCTGCATCTAATTTACCCACTTATTCCTGTCCGGAGGTCCAGGGCCCCCAGGTGTCCTGTGCCACTGGAAACTCTAAGTAGGGAGGTGAAATGCTGACCTAGCCCTGTGCGATTTACCTCCTGCTGCCTTCTCCAGCCTCACTGTGCTCCCCATTCTACTTGCTGCAACTCCCCAGCACCGTGCTCCCCATTCTACTTGCTGCAACCTCCCTGGCTGCTTTTCAGTCTCTGGGATACAATGACCTCAACAAGCACCTGCTGTTCCCTGCATCCAGGACATCCTTTTTTCTGTCTCTTTACCCTCTGAGCTCCTACCCACTCTTCAGATCCTAGAGCTTGTCCCTTACGGGGGGAAGACTTTCCTTTTCTTCCTGGCAGGAGCTCCACTAGGCCATAGAATTAATTTTGTTCAATTTAAGGAATGGCACCCCTTTCTTAAGACATTTGGGATGCCACATTCCAGAAAACTGTCATAATAAATATTCAAATTTATAATGTCTATGATGTGACTGGCTCCCCCTAGAGTTGTGCAGTGTACAGCCTGCCCAACCATATGGGAGAGTCCTGTCTTGGTCAGTTTCCATCTCATTGCATCTCTTTGCATTAAGAACTTCCCCCTTGTGGGGGGCACTACTCTCAGTTGCAACCTTAAATTGCAGTATTGATTATTGTCTCTTTACCCTCCCATGGTGTATATAGAGACTCTGTCTGGCTTTATCTATGTTTGGATCCCCAGGACCTAGAGTAGTGCTTTGTTCATACAAATCATTTAGTCAATGCTTGAAAAGCTTTTGCTTCTACACTGCTCTCAAAGTCTCCCTCAAAGAGCTCTTTCTCTGTGTGTCTTTCCTGACCTCCCTATGCTCCCTGGACCCAGGATGTTCCAATTGTAACACATATCACAAAGTATGGCCATTGCCTGTTTTCTTTCCCCTATTTTATTTTAACCCACCCATCCCCTAACACACCAGTAAACTCTAAGCTCCTTTAGAGGAGGGGGCATGCCAATTTGTTCATCTTTTGTCTTCCTCTGACTAGCCTGGTACCTGGCAGTTGCTGAACTGGGTGCTGAATGCCTGGGAGGCGAGAATGCTGCCAGTCTACCCTGAGACTGAGAGGTGTAGGGGGTGATGGCTCTGCTTAGAGGCACCTTGTAGGGTGCCCCTCACTATAAGGACAGCTCCCAGCTCACCCCATAGGGCAGAGACCCCTGTTGTGCCAGCGATTTCTATAATACAAGCCACTTCTCATTCCAACCTCATTGCCTGATATGAGAATGAATTTAGGGTATTGTCTTTCAAAGGATGTCTTTATTCAGTCCCTGCCAGTTTCCTATTCAGTTCCTGCCAATTTCCTACAATACATGGCACCTAACAAGCTTCAAGACCCAGAAGCCAGAGGCAAACAGGTGCCCCAGAATGGGTGGAACTTGCAATCCTGGGTAGCCTGTGAACCCACTTTCCCAGCCTTCACAGTCAGATCCCTGCAGAATAATAAGACCCACAAATCTTTTGTCTGGAAAATTATCTTCCTGTAACACTGGAAGCTGTTACCATGGAAATAAAATAACCTATTAGCCCAAATCTACCAAAACACGGGAGAGGCCCGGCTGCATTTCCGAGGCCCTTCATTAATAAGGAGAAAAGCAGATTAACCTTTAAGAGAATTGACAAGAATGGCCATGACTTGCCGGATTATGATTTTCATGTTGAGTTTATCTGGGCTAATATCTCAGCTTGGAGCAGCCATGCTGAGTGGAAAAGAAAGAAAGACAAGACTCAGTTTGGAAATTCAAATGCCTGCCAGGTTTGGCTGGGCTTAGGTGTGTTTTTGTCTTTTGGTCTTGGCCATCCTGGACTCCTTCCCTCCTATGGATTCCTGGGGATGCCTCCTAACTAGACTAGTACACTGAAGGGAGAGCAATTTTCCTGTCTCCTATTGAGCAGCTGCTGAGAGAGGCACGGAACTGCAGAGGGCTCCTACAGCACAGCCAAGATGCCAAACAGAAGCCGGAGACAGATGGAGCTGAACTCAGCCTGTCCTGGTCTGCCTCCTCCTCCCGAAGTGTCCTCAGTGCCAAATCCAAGACATGCAGGCTGCTGGGAGAGGCAGCAAGGACTTGCCTCTCCCTGTGGCTGGGCACAGAGGTTGCTGGCCCCAAGCAGGGATGCTCCATGATCTCAGCAGTGCCCAGCAGCCCCAGGTACACAGCAACCCAATACCAGGTGGCTAGTAGAGACCTGGTCCTGCACAGTTCACTGCTCCCACACCTGGTCAGCAAGAGCTGTCAGCATCTTAACTACTGGCAGGTGGGATGTGCCAGTGTCTTGACAAGTATCAAGAGAGACTCCATCCCAGGGAAACTGACAATGGCCATCCAAAGCTTGGACAGTGCTTGACCACAGGGCACAGATTACTGGGATTTTTTTCTTCCTTCTCTTTTGATACCTTTTCTTTTTGAAGAAAGGTAGGAGAGTGGCTCTGTGAGCATCAGTTATCATTATTAAAGGCTCTGCTGCCTTGGGGACAGTGTTATGTCTTCCTCAGGTGTCTTTCATTGCCTCTGGTTACCGACACTGGGAAATGGAAGGCACCTGTTCATGTGAGCAGTGGCCTTGTGGTCTGAGACATGAGGTGAGGAAAAAAAAAAGAAGTCACCTATTCATCCTCCCATTCATGTTTAACAGGGTTGTGGTAGGGGCTGAGTGGGACTCTGTTTTCCTTGAATAAGCCCCAGTGGTCAGCCTGGGCTAACTGCCATCATGAATGAGTCCTGGATCTCAGCAGCTTCATGCAAGAGCGGGCTTACTTCTCGCTCCCGTCTCAGTCCAATCAGGGGGTAGGGCAGCTTTCAGAGGTCTAGATTCTTTCCATCTGTGACTCACTGTTCCCAGGGCTTTGGAATGCCTCACTGGATCCTAGCATCTTGCTGAGAGTTGGGAGAGGAGAATGTGGACAACCTAGAGGGGAGGTTCCAGGGGGCAGGCCACCTGCTCTTCTCCCATTGGCTAGGCACATGTCTCTCTCCCAGGGATAGGGGGATGAGAAATGTGGTTGAGCCCAGGCAGAAGAGGAGACTTCAGCAAGAGTCTCTTAACACAAATGGCAGATGCAGAGCTGAGAATAGCAGATACCCACTACCCTGAAGTCACAGTAGAGATTCTGAGTATCAGAGTGAAGGCGGTACTAGCTATTGTGCCACGTAGCATTGCCCAAGGTATGCGTGCAATTCAGATCCTTCAATGTGCTTCACATAAATGAATTTCCTTGAGCAGATATGTTTGGAAAACAATGAAAAAGACATGTTTCCTCCTGGGCATTCACATTGTGTGGTAGCATATGAAGGCTCTGACAAGTCCTGCATTAAAGAAAATCTATCATTATTTAAAACATTTCCCACAAGTACTTGACCAGGGACGTGTCATTATTTTTCTGCTTGAAAATCTAGTAACAGTTCTTAGAATCAATGTTCTAAGGGACATAGTTTAAAAAACAGACCTAGTACAATCCTACCTTTTAGAAAATATGTGTATTTTTGGCACACAAGTGCATGAGGCTCAGAATGAGGATTTGACTTACCCAAGATCAAACAGCTTGCCTCAGGAGGAAGTTGCAGGCCTGCGTTAGGTCCCAAGTAGACTGCTCATTTCCCCAAACCTCTCAAATTAGGTCATGACCCCCAGGAACATGAAACTGGCCAGTATATAAGCTACAGATAAGGTACAGCATGAATACAGCACATCTTCTGAGGCGGGGGCGGGGGGTGCTATTTATCCATTCATTTGGCAAATAAATGAATAAACTGTGCCTCAGTTTTCTTACCTATAAAATGGGGATCATGGAAAGATCATGCATTTAAAAGGACTTAGCCCAGAGCTGGGGACTGTGTCTAAAAATAGACAAGCCTGGCCTCTCTCTTCATAGAAACTGCAGACCATAAAGGAGACAGATAGTTAACTAAAAAAATCATGAATTGTGCAAGTACTAAGCTGAAATTGCTCAAGAGACTGATAGTGACAAGTCAGTAGTGGCTGCTGTGGATGGGATGGTCCCAGAGAAGGTTCTCTGAGGGTGTGATGTTTCCACCAACACCTGAATAATAAGGGGGACTTACTATAGCAAAGCAAAAGAAGAGCCCAGTACAGGCATTGCACATAATAGATGCTCAGTAACTATTAGTTAAATGAATGAATGAACAAATGAATGAGTTGTGGATTGGGGTATAATGTGATATTTTGAGGTTTTCAGATAAAACACCTTGAAGTAATATCATCTTTACAACCTCAAAACACTGAAAGTGTATGTTTTCTCTTCCCACTGCTCTCTGCTGATAGGGTTAATTCAGTAGGAAAGTTCAAGATGTCTGAGAGTAGGTGATCTCAACCTTGGCATGACTGGCATTTGCCTGGGTAGTATGTCTCAGGGATTGTAGGATGTGGCGCAGCATCCTGGCCTCTACCCGTTAGGTGCCAGTAGCCTTCTCCTTGCCCCCTAGTTATGACAACTAAAAACATCACGAGTGGGGGACAAAATTACCCGTAGGTGAGAACCACTGTCCCAGTGTGATTGGACCTATTCATCTTAAACATGGGAAATGTGGACCATAAAATCGCCAAACCTCCTCTCTTTCCTCCTCATATCTGTGGCCTCCCAGAATTTGTGGCCCAATACCACAGGAATGGCCCAAGTCCACATGTCATCATTCAGCACAGCAGCAGCTTTCCTGGCAGAGCGGTCCCAATGAGCCATATGTGTGCTTCTGTCTCCTCTTTCCCATGCCCCAGAAAAGTCCAAGTTAATTTCCAGCCATCCCATTATGACTTCTCCAGAAAGAAAGGAAGTTTCCTGGGTTTGCATTCCAGCAGAATTGCAACCTAAGCTCTTTGTACTTTTTGACATCCTGTTTCTGATTTCCGTGCTGGGCTTAAAGTAGGGAATAAACACTTTTTTGAAAGCTCTGTGCATTCCAGAGAAAATCACCCAGCAGGCTCTAAAGAAGAGAGAGGATGCAGGGACATGCTGGTGGAACGTTCCGTGCTTGCCACTGGGTGTAGAAAGAGAAAGAGCCCCAGGGTGAGCTACATGCAGGGAGTTGGGGGAAGAGAATGTGGACAAACTAGAGGGGAGGGTCCAGGGGGCAGACCACCTGCTCTCTTCCCATTGGCTAGGCACATGCAGAGACATGTGCCTAGCCAATGGGAAGAGAACATTATTATATATAACAGTAATATATAATTACATATAATAATTTATATTATATAATAATTATTATATAATATAGCTATATATAGTTATATATTATATAACTATATATTATAGTTATATATAATATAACTATATATTATAGTTATATATAATATAACCAAATATAATAGTTATATATAATATAACCAAATATAATAGTTATATATAATATAACCAAATATAATAGTTATATATAATATAACCAAATATAATAGTTATATATAATATAACTAAATATAATAGTTATATATAATATAACTAAATATAATAGTTATATATAATATAACTAAATATAATAGTTATATATAATATAACTAAATATAATAGTTATATATAATATAACTAAATATAATAGTTATATATAATATAACTAAATATAATAGTTATATATAATATATAACTATATATAATAGTTATATATAATATAACTATAATATATAGTTATATATAATATAACTATAATATATAGTTATATATAATATAACTATAATATATAGTTATATATAATATAACTATAATATATAGTTATATATAATATAACTATAATATAATATAACTATAATATATAGTTATATATAACTATAATATAATATAACTATAATATATAGTTATATTTAATATAACTATATAGTTATATTATAATATAACTATAATATAGTTATATATAATATAACTATAATATAGTTATATATAATATAACTATAATATATAGTTATATTATATATAACTATAATATATAGTTACATATAATATATATTATTATTATATATAAGCTATATTATATAATAATTATATATAACAACATAACTTATTTTATATTTAAATATAAATATAATATATATTTTAAAATATAAATATAATATATATTTTTAAATATATATATGTTTTTAAAAGTAGGATTGTACTAGGTGTGTTTTTTAAACTGTGTCTCTTAGAACATCGACTCTAAGAAATGTTAGTAGATTATCAACCAGAAAAACGATAGCACATCCCTAGTCAAGTATAGGGGAATGAGAAATGTAGTCTAGCCAAGGTAGGACAGAAGCCTTCAGCAAGAGCCTCTTAACATAAATGCCGGCTACAAAGGTGAGATTAGCAGATGCCCACTACCCTGAAGTCACAGTAGAGATTCTGAGTATCAGAGTGAAGGTGGTCCTAGCTATTGTGCCATCCAGCATTACCCAAGAGAGTGTGGACAACTAGAGAGGATGCGGTTGCCAAAGCAGGAGAGAACATGTTCACAAGATACGGCTCTTCACTTGCTGGGGGTCTCTGGCAAGTCACTTAAACAGAGACTCAGTTTCCTCATTTGTAAAAGGTGAAAGATGCTACTGTTACTCGTGGGTACTGTTTACGTACTGTGCTAAGCACTATGTTTTAATAATTCTTGCCCTATAGGGCTCAATGAGTTATGGTGAGGGTTATATTATATAATAATGGAGATGTAAGGGCTTTGTAAACCGTAAAGCGGTTTAAAAATCCAAGGTCTATTTAGGATCATTACCTACCTCAGATAGTAATATCTACAACAACAACAGCAACAACAAAACAAAAACAAAAACACACACACACACAAACACAAAACACACCCAGGAAACAAATTAACAGAGTGGTTAAGAGCTCAAGGTTCAGAGGCAACTAATCTGAAAGTCCAATTCCAGATGGGCTACACTGACTGTGTGACTTCAGGCCTATAATTCAACCTTCCTGTGCTTCAGTTTTCTCACTGTGAAGTAGAGCAAAGTAGGATTTTGAAGAGAATTTAGGTCAGGCGTGGTGGCTTATGCCTGTAATTCCAGGGCACTGGGGGGCCAAGGTGGGAGGATCGCTTGAGGCCAGGAGTTTGAAACCAGCCTGGGCACTTTAGTGAGACCATGTCTTTACAAAATAAAAATAATAATAAATACGTAATTAGCTGGGGGTGGTGGGACATGCCTGTAGTCCTAGCTACTCCAGAGCCTGAGGTGGGAGGATCTCTTGAGCCCAGGAAGTCGAGGCTACAGTGAGACATGATTGTGCCACTGCACTCCAGCCTGGGCAACAGAGAGAGACCATATCTCTTAAATGAATGAATGAATAAACAAACAAATACATAGAATTTAATGTGATCATGCATTTAAAGCACTCAGCACAGTCTGCCACTTAGTGAGCCTCCACCAATATTTGTGCTTGAAGGCTTGGGTACCAAGGGCCTTCCCCAGCTGGATCTTTAACTAGAAAAGCAGAAAAAGAGTGAATTGAGTGAATTTAACTAGAAAAGCAGAAAAAGAGTGAATTGAGAGTGAATCGAGTTGCAGAAATGGGGGTGCTGAACCTGAACCTGTGGAATGAAGGGAAAAAAGCCCCTACTCATGGCGTTGATTCTGGCTCAGAAGGAAAGGAATAGTAAGACGGGGTCCTTGCGTCTGCTGTGCCAAGTGCGATTGAGTGGGAGAATCCTGCCAGCAACTCTTCTCAAAGCCCACGTCTGTCTCTGCTGCCAGGATGTGCTAATCGCCTGCCTTTTTCCATTTCTCCATGTGTGCCCAGTCTGGAAGAGGCTTAGCCTTGTCCTTGGAGTTCTTCTTGTGTTCTAGGTCAGTCTCCGCCACTGCACATACACACACACACCAGCAATGACCCAAGGAAGGCGGGATACCTCAACCCCAGCCAGCCCCTGCTTCCTGGAAGTGTTGACCACTCATGTCTCTGGAAGGCGCCCTCAAGCTTATGATGACGCAAGAGCAGAGATGTGTTAGTCGTAGCAAACACCTGGCCCTCTGAATCAGGGCTCCTCCAGGTTGGTGTTTTTGGGTGAGTCTTTCTGAATCTTCTTTTTCTGGCGTTATTGACACGACCGTTTGCCAGGTTTCCGATCCTTTCTGGGTTTTTTGTTGTTGTTGTTTTGTTTTTTTGAGATGGAGTCTCGCTCTGTCTCCTAGGCTAGAGTGTAGTAGCACGATCTCGGCTCACTGCAACCTCTGCCTCCCGGGTTCAAGCGATTCTCCTGCCTCAGCCTCCTGAGTAGCTGGGATTACAGGCATGTGCCACCACATCTGGCTAATTTCTGTATTTTCAGTAGAGATGGCGTTTCACCATGTTGGCCAGGCTGGTCTTGAACTCCTGACTTCAAGTGATCCACCCTCCTTGGACTCCCAAAGTGCTGGGATTACAGGCATGAGCCACCATGCCCAGCCTGATCCTTGCTGTTAATCTGAATTTCCCTGGCAGCCCTCTCTGGCTTGGAACCCCTCTGACTGCTCCTAGGTTCAGTCTCCCCACAATCAGACCCCGAGGTGAAGATTTGAGTGCAAGTGGTTTATTTGGGAAGAAGGGCAAATGGGGGAGTGAGGATGTTGAGATGGGGAAGGGAAACAGGCCAGGAGGGGCACTGTCAGGCAAGTTCTTATGGTCAGTTGAGCTCATTCTGAAGAGCTCTGGGACATAGTGTGGAAGGTGCCTTCAAGTTATCCTACCTGGGGGCATGGACGGGGTGTTGGGCCACCCATCTGTATTTTTTGGGGGCTCAGAGGCCAAGGAAAATGCCCAGAAGCAGAGAGACCCAGCAGTGTGCAGTACCTGCTTTCGTGGGTGCAGCTGAGAGCTGAGAGCTTATGGCAGGGCCCCAATACTGCCTGCCCCTCTTCCCAACAACATTTCTCAAATCTCAGGACCCTAGACACAAGCCCAGCCTCTGCTGTGTGAGGGAAGCAGGATGTCAGGGGACCGTGACTCCACCACAGCTTCCCAGAGGGGGAACCAGGTTGCAACTGTTGAAATATTGATGGAACTCTAAAAAATATGTGGAATCCGCTAAGGAAATTGCAAAACATCGGTCACAGTTCTGTTTATTTGGTGCCTCTCTAACCATGGCAAATTTTTCATCAGGAGAGAAAATTAAAACTAAGTAAAACCGTAAGCACTCTCTCTTGGGAGAGGCCCAGAACTCATTTCTCTGCCTGTTCCCAGCCAGCCCCTCAATGCTAACATTGAAATTAAAAAAATAAAATATGCTTGTTTTTTTCAGTCTCAAAGATCTTCCTCCCTCTCTTGTTACACTGGCAGGCTGGTCTGGGAAAGGTGCTGGACGTCGCTTCATCCTGTTCTCCCTGGATGATCTCTGCCAGCTGGTATGAACTGATGCCCTCTGACTGGCTGGCGTGCAACTGGGTTCTCTCCCACCTTGCTGCCTGCATTACCCTGGACAGATGTGCAAGTCCTAGGTGCCCTGGTTTCTTCATCTTTAAGGTGCTGGTAATAATAGAATCTACCTCTTAGGGTTCTGATGAGGATTAAACGAGATGATATAAGCCCATGCCAAGCACGTGCATGCACAGAGTGAGTTCCCAGTAAATATTAGCTCTCATTATTATTAATATCCAGGGCCCCATCTTGAGGGTGGAGGGGTGGGCTATAACCCCCAACTCCTTTTTTAAAAAATAGTTTTAGTTCTGTGGGTCCCACTCAACATTTGTCACTGACTATCCCAATAGGTCCATTAAACATTTATGCAGATAAAACCCTGGTGGCCTGCCCGTGATCTCTGGACCTGCTGGAGTTGCAGGAGAGAACTCTACAGAAGCCTGGCAACATTTTCCCAGGTATCAAGAGAAGGGAGGTAATTCTCAGTCAAGTGCAACTACACCTCAGGGTCAGGTTTTATCCCCATGCTAATCCCAGCATTTGGGAGTCAGTGTTAAGAGGAGCATGGAGAAGGGAGAGATTAATTCCAGCCAAGGGGGTCACTACTTAAACCACATCTGCATTATTCTATTTCTCCTGGGATGTCACACTTTGCTGGGTATTGGCAAATAGATATATTTTTAAAATATACAGATCCATTTCTGGGCCATATAGGATGCTATGTGTAGGTGAACTGTGTGCTGAGAAGAGGGCTGGTAAGAGGTGAGGAAACCACTTAAATTCCTAAAGCATCTAATGCAAGGGGCTCAGGAAATACTAATGAAATTGAATTAATGAGAATATTAGACCATAAGGCTGTGCATATTGGATCAGGCCATTTGGTTGTGCATAATCATATTTTAGCAGCAGGTAACATCTCAAGCTCTCCGGAATTTTAAGCCCCAAATGGAGGTGGAAATGCCCTCCTTTTAGAAAGCTACTGTGAGTGAGAGGAGGATGCCTGAAATCTCAAACCACAGGACTCACAAAAATTGGCATTCGGGAAATCACCAAAGCTCTTCCTGCCCTCCCAGTGCCAGTCCACATCTGGTGTCCTGGATCAGGGACTTCAGGTTGCCCTGTCGATAGCAGCTGTCTCCTGGCACTGGGAATTTAGCAGCCTCCTGTTCATTCGTAATTTTATTTGCTTTGGCCAAGACATCAGAACAGAGGTGTTAGATGTGGTCCCTGTTTAAATGTACCTCACATGGGAGACTGATTAGGAAATCGGAGCAATTCGTGGTTATGAATATTCAAGGTGGAGGAAAAAACAAACAGGGTTTGTGGGGCATGTAACTGAAGACAAATAAATACTCAACCAGAGAATCAGGAATGGAGCCCAGGGATCATGATTGCCTTAGCCATAAGCTATCTGGAAGATCAGGGTGGAGGACTTGTCTGCCATGTAAAATGCTGTGTTCCCAGCACCTAGCACAATGCTGTCACCCAGTGGGTGCTACGTAAAGATTTATCAAATAAACAAAAGAATTGGCCCACAGGTTAGAAACCCCTGCCCTGCAGGTGTGTTTGTTTATCATAAATGAGGTTTTTAAAAAGTTTTTAAGTGCTGTGGTATGCAGAATTCTAAATCTGAACCCCCCACCCCCCAACCCACAAATTCCCATCCCCTGGATATTTAATGAGACATGAGTCTACACACTGCTGGGAAGGGACTTTGCTGATGGGATTAAAGTGGCAAGTCAGTCAACCTTAAATTACAAAAATTATTCAGGTAGGCCTGACCCAATTAGGTGAAACCTTTAAAAGTAGAGTTTTTCCTGTCTGATAGCGGAAGGAAAGTCAGAGAGATTCAAAGCACAAGAAAGCTTGCACGTGCCTTTGCTGCCTTTGAAGACTGGATCATGTGGGAGGATCTTTTCTGGCCAGCAGTAGATAGAGCATGGTGGTTAGGAACGTGGAATTGGAGCCACACTGCCTAGATTCAAATCCCAGCTCTGTCATTTTGCCAGCCGAAAGACCTCGGGTAAGTTATTTCATCTCCCTGTGCCTTGGTTTCCCCATCTGTGAAATGGGGAAAATTACAGTACTTCATCACCAGGTCATGGTGAGAAGCAAGTAAGGTAAAACAAGTAAAGTGCTTAGAACAGTGTCTAGCACACAGTACATGCTTTATAAAACCTGTTATTATTATTTTAAGACATTGCTTTCTTAGAATGTCCCCCAACACCTAGGATCTGGGAAGGCTGTGTCCATAAACCCACAGGGCAACAATCAGCCAAAGCTGCCCCTTTGACACCACCATTCCTGGTTTCTTCATATGCACCCCTCCTGGCTCATTGCATTTCCGGCCTAGCCCTTGTAGGCATTTGGGCTTGCAATCCTTGACCCTAGATTGTTGCCTAGGCAGGCAAGCCAAGACATCATTCATTAGCTGAGTGGGTATAGTCTTCTCCTAAGCCCTCCTCCGTTTTTCTTTGGAAGGATTTAGAGGGCTGGCTAGAGTTTGGCTTGAAAGGATTTGAGCAAAGACACTTGTGGGCCTTTGAACTGAAGATCCCGATGGACGAAGGAAAAGTGGCCCAGGAGGGCTCTTGAGCATCTAATCCATTTGGGGCTGTCATTGCCTCTGTGCTTTGTAAAATAAAGGATAACAAGAACCCTATGAAAGATGCCATCATCCCTCTGGTGGCTCCAAAGCCCAAGCCCACTAGACATTCTGAATTGTGAATGCTGGCTGCTCAAGGGCCCTCTCGCCTCTCTCTTCTGTGGTCCTCGATGATCCCCTGGTCCTGGATCCTTGCCAAGAAGGAAGAGAAAAATGCCTCTCCAAGCCTGAAGTCATCTCCCTATCTCAGGTCCAATTAGCCCAGAGCACTGGGGATGCTGTATGTGTGAGCAGCCAGGGCAGAGAGTGCTTTCCAGCCCACAGGCAGGTGGACCAGGAGGAGGCCAGCATTTGTTTTCAGTCTAAAGGAGAGCCCAGGGTGGGGACCACAGGCAGCTCCCATCCTGCCTCTCAAGGGTAATCTGGGAGGATGAGAAAATGCTCCATGGCTACAATACCTCAGTTTCCCTCCCTTCTTAGACTATGACCTCCCCAGGCTGTGAAGATGAACTGCTGAAAACAAACCAACCACCATCTGGTTTTCAGCCTCAATTTGGAGCAAAAGCAGAGGAGTAGACCAGTTGGCTGCACATCTCCCCAACACCCTCCCACCCTTTTCCCTTTTTCTCTCAGACTTGTTCCTAGAACTCAAGCTTGTGTGTAGTACAAGAATGTTTTGAAATATTTGATGATGTGCTTATTCTTCCTTGCTCTCCCCTTTTAGGATTCTCTCTCTCTCTCTGTCTTCCACAAAGTCTTGCTATTCAAAGTGAGACTGTGAGGCCAGGCGTGGTGGCTCAGGCCTGTAATCCTAGCACTTTGGGAGGCTGAGGCGGATGGATCACTTGAGTCTGGAGTTCGAGACCAGCCTGGCCAAAATGGCGAAACCCCATCTCTATTAAAAATACAAAAAATTACCTGGGCATGGTGGCACACATCTGTAATCCCAGCTACTTGGGAGGCTGAGGCAGGAGAATTCTTGAACCGGAGAAGTGGAGATTGCAGTGAGGTGAAATCATGCCACTGCACTCCAGCCTGGGTGACAGAGTAAGACTCTTGTCTCAAAACAAAACAAAACAAAACAAAACAAAACAAAAAAAACCCAAAGTGGGCTTGAGAGCTTCCTGGGCCACCAGCATTGGCATTGCCTGGGAGTTTGTTAGAAATCTGGAATCTTAGACTTGCTCCACACCTCTTGAGTCAGAAACTGCAGTTGAGTATAGTCATGTGCTGAATAATGATGTTTTGGCCACAGGCCAAACATCTTATCTTCAAATCTTATGACGTCAAATTTTATGACGGTGAGCTCATAAGATTATAATGGAGCTGAAAACTTCCTTCATCTAGTGATGTAGGCACCTTAACGTCGTAGCATTACTCATATATTTTTGGTGATGCTGGTGTAAACAAACTGATATGGTTTGGCTATGTCCCCACCCAAATGTCATCTTGAATTCCCACGTGTTGTGGGAGGGGCTCGGTGGGAGATAAGTAATCGTGGGGGCAGGTCTTTCCCATGCTGTTCTCGTGATAGTGAATAAGTCTTGAGAGATCTGATGGTTTTGAAAAACAGGAGTCTCCCTGCACAAGCTTTCCTTTTGCCTGCTGCCATCCATGTAAGGCATGATTTGCTGCCTTCCACCATGATTGTGAGGCCTCCCCAGACATGTGCAACTGTAAGTCCAATAAACCTCTTTCTTTTGTAAATTGCCCAGTCTTAGATATGTCTTTATCAGTAGCATGAAAATGGACTAATAAACAAATCTACACTGCCAGTCGTATAAAAGGATAGTGTATATGACTATGCTCGGTATAGAATACTTGATAACAGATGACTATATTACTGATTCATGAATTTACTATACTATATTTTTATTGTTATTTAGATTATACTCCTTCTACTTATTAAAAAAAATTAAATGTAAAACAGCCTCAGGCAGGCCATTCAGGAGGTATTCCAGAAGAAGACATTGTCATCATTGGAGATGACAGCTCCATGTGTATTATTGCCCCTGAAGACCTTGAGTGGGACAAGGTGTGGAAAGAGAAGACAGTGATATTGATAATCCTGACCCTGTGTAGGCCTAGGCTAATGTGTGTTTGTGCCTTAGTTTTTGTTGTTGTTGCTGTTGTTTTTATTTTTATTTTTTAAGAAGGAGTCTCATTCTGTTGCCAGGCTGTAGTGCAGCGGTGTGATCTCGGCTCACTGCAACCTCCACCTCCCGGGTTCAGGCAATTCTTCTGCCTCAGCCTCCCGAGTAGCAGGACTACAGGCGCATGCCACCATGCCCAGCTAATTTTTGTATTTTTAGTAGAGATGGGGTTTCACCATGTTGGCCAGGATGATCTTGATCTCTTGACCTCGTGATCTGCCTGCCTCGGCCTCCCAAAGTGCTGGGATTACAGGTGTGAGCCACTGCGCCTGGCCCTGTTTTGTTTTTGTTTTTGTTTTGTTTTATTTTTTTTGAGATGAAATCTTGCTCTGTTGCCCAGGCCGGAGTGCAGTGCACAATCTCAGCTCACTGTAGCCTCCGCTTCCCAGGTTCAAGAGATTCTCGTGCCTCAGCCTCCCAAGTAGCTGGGTTTACAGCTGCACACTACCACACTTAGCTAATTTTTGTATTTTTAGTAGAGACAGCATTTCACCGTTTTGGCCAGGCTGGTCTTGAACTCCTGACCTCAGGTAATCCGCCCACCTTGGCCTCCCAAAATGCTGAGATTATAGGCATGAGCCTCTGTGCCTGGCCTGTGCCTTAGTTTTTAAAAAATCATTTTAAAAATTAAAAAATAGAAAAAAGCTGTATAGAATAAGAATATATGAAGAAAGATTAAAAGAAGTTTTTTTTTTTTATTTTTAGTGGACATGGGATTTCACCATGTTGGTCAGGCTGGTCTTGAACTCCTGACCTCAAATGATCTTCCTGCCTCTGCCTCTCAAAGTGCTGGGATTACAGGTGTGAGCCACCATGCCTTGCCAAGAAAGAAAATATTTTTGTATAGCTGTACAATGTGTTTGTGTTGTAAGCTAAGTGTTAATACATAAGAGTCAAAAAGTTTATAAAATAGTAATAAAAAAGATATAGTAAGCCAAGGGAAAGAAAAATATTCTTTTGTAGATTTAATGTCGCCTAAGCGTCCAATGTGTACAAGGTCTACAGTAGCGTACAATAATGTCCTAGGTCTTCACATTCACTCACTGACTCACTCAGAGCAACTTCCAGTCCTGCAAACTCCATTCATGGTAAGGGCCCTATACGGGTGTCCCATTATAAAATCTTTTAAATTGTGTTTTTACTGTTCCTTTTCTATGCTCAGATATGTTTAGATGCACAAATACTTACCATTGTGTTACAATATCCTACAATATTCAGTACAGTCACATGCCATAGAGGTTTGTAGCCCAGGAGCAATAGGCCATACCATACAGCCTAGGTATGTAGTAGGCTCTGCCATCTAGGTTTATGTAAGAGTTTGGACTCTGCTCTGTGATATTTGTGCAATGACAAAACTACCTGATGACACATTTCTCAGAGTTCATTCCCTCACTGAGCCATGTTTAATTGTATTATCCCTAGGGGATTGATGTGAGCATTAAAATTTGAGAAGCGATCCCTAGGCTGGAGCTCTTCCTCCCTGGCCCAGATGGACAGAGTCACCCACTGCTTTGGGGGAAAGAAGAAAACAAAGCAGGAAGAGGGATGCAAATTCCTGACTACCGAGTTTTTAAAAATCCACTTGCTTAAATTTAAGGCAGAAATCATAGTGCATATACCTGCAGAACACATTTTTTCTCTGCTGTCAGATAAATTAAGACTCCACCCCTGAAGGAGAGAGGAAGAAGAGGGACCATGGAGACAGGAGCTAAGTGAGATCAAGAGGCTCCAGGTCTTGGGAGTGATGCCATTCATCCCAGTGCCACATGGCTGCCCAGTTTGTGCCCAGTTGTCCTCCTCATGGCCATCTGCTAGGGCACACTCATGGTCATGTTGCCAGCCAATCAGACAGAAGGACTGAGGCTCTTCTGCAGCCAGAGAATTTGCTTTAGCCACTGTCTGACCATGCAGACCCATGTGGGCCACAGCACCCCCGGAATAGAGTATGGGGCCCTAGATACCTTCAGAGGTAATGTGACCAAGAGGAAAAGCTCCGTTAGGAACAAGACCTCACCATGTCAAAGACATCCAGCGACGCATTCTACACTTTTGATTTGGTTTCCCCCTTGCATGTCCCATTATGTGAAGAGAAGGCTCTGGAACTTCCAACTTCATCCTTCATGGGAAAAAATGGAAATAATGAAGGTGACTTAATAGCATAATGGCTTGTCACAGCTGGGAATGACCTTAGAGTCATTCAAACCATAAAAAAAGATCTCTTTCTTCCATCTGTCCATCCTTTCTTCTATCTCTTCCTTCCATCTTTCCATCCATCCATGCATCCATCCATCCATCCATCCATCCAGACTTTCATTAATTGGACAAGCGTTTATTGAGTATCTCCTACTAGTCAGGAATCAGGCTAGGCACTGGGGGATCTATTGCTTGGCAAAAGCAGATATAGATCCTACCCTGGAACCCCTGGCCCATTATTGCTTTGTCTCATTCAGCCACTTACCACCTACTGGAAGAAGGGAAACAGAGGATCTCTGAGCTCAGAAAAGTGTGACAGATTAGTTTTCCAAGAGATAAACTGGGAGAAGCATGCCTCCCTTTAAAAAGTCACTTTGCTAGCAATAGCTAACAGTTTTTAAGGTCTTGCTTTATGCTATATGAAGAGAATGCATTAAAGCATCACACTAAGCCCTATTACATAATTTTTCAATCCTCACAACAACTTTTAAGAGTTGGTTCTATCATTAATCCCATTTTACAGATGCAGACACTGAGTCTTGGAAGGTTAAAAGACTTGCCCAACATGATTGAAACTAGTAAGTGGTAGAGCTGGGGTCTGAATCCCAGGCTTTACTTGGGATAGGAAACATGGTGTTGAAATACTGCAAGACAGCCATGACCCTCCAGAGAGCCTGCTTCATATGCACACAAGTAGTGAAGTGGTACAGAACCTGGCTCAGAGGCCCACATTTGGGGATTAATGCTCCAGAGTTGTCACCTTGAAACTCCTAATAATTATACCTTTGATTTTTGGGTTTTGTAAGCCGATTTTGATGGGACTGTGGAGCTGTCCTGCTGCTGCCTTTCCACCTCGTCATCTCCCCAGGATGAGTTCTCCGTCACTCGCTCCTGTGCCCCATAACACCCTGATACTGCTTGGCCTCTCTTTCTCTCTCTCTCTCTCTGCCACTCCCCCAGTGACTACAGCCACCGACACCACCAGGTGTCCCTAAGCATCGTCCAATGATTGATGCTGCCTTCCAGCCCCAAGAGAGGCCTAGGCGCTGGCATGGGAAGAGTGAACTTGGGTGCATGCACTTAGTAGCATCAGGAGCAAGATATGGCTGCACCTCGGCATGCCTGGTACACAGCTTGGCAGGCGCAAGCCTCTGCCCACCTGACCCATACCAGTGTGCCCAGCATGGAGGTTGCAATCCTTGAGGGTTGCCTGTCCACTGTGGGTTGGGGTAGCTGGCCAGTAGGAAGGAGAGAATGGCTTCTCTGCCCTTGGCTGGGGTGCGGGCGTCAGTCTGGTGGCTGCTGGGAGCGGGAGCCTAGCAGGTGGGGCTGAGGGCTGGCATGTACTGCGTCACAGGATTCCCAGTACCTGTGACAGTCACACTGTCTGCGTGAGTATTCCTTTGCCTGAGGAGATGGCACATTAAATAATAAATAAAAACACAGGAGTTGGGGAGAGAAAAGGAACAAGAGACAAAGAGACAGACAGTAGAAGAGTGGACAAAGTTTTCTATTTCAGTTCCTTTGATTGCACCTTTATCCTGATTTATGAACAAGGGGTCCTGTGTTTTTATTTTGCACTGGACCTTACAAATGATGTCACTGGGCCCCAAACCACACCACAGACTGCTGTGCCGGCAGTGAGGGTTCTTCACCCACTAAGCCTCCAAGAGAACCTTTTCTCACTCCTCTCCTAAAAAGGAGAGACTGTTCCTTTAAAAAGACCCCTCCCTACCCCCGCCCCATCTAAATCTCAGTGCTCCAATTTGGAAGTTTCTCTCAGGCTAGGTCTACATGCATTCCATCTGTCTAGCTTCTTCAGGTTCATTCCCTTATATGTTACTTTACTTAGCTTTTAATGCTCATATTTGTTGGGTGCTTGCCATGTTAAACCCTTTACACAGAAAGTCTCATTTAATTCTCACAGCAGCCCTGTGAAATACATGCTACTATTATGCCCGTGTTGCATATGGGAAAACTGAAGCTTGAGAGGCTAAAGGGTTAGCCCAGTGAAAATAAGGACCTTTCTGCAGTCTCTTTGCACATCCTTTGTCTGTTCAGCCCAGCATGCCTTGCACTTGCTACCACCTGTCTTTGCCGACAGTTTCCATTTCATAAAGTAGCCTTTCTTCTCATTCCCTTCTAGGGCCAGACTACCTTCATGGAACTAAAGTTCATGGATTTTCTAGAGTTATTCTTAACACATTTCAGAGGTGCCTGGGATCTGCCCTGTACAAGCTTCCTGGAGTTAGAAGGACTGGCTGCTCGTCCTGGGAAACGCTTTCTGGAAAGAGGAGATACTGGGAACACATAAAAAAAAAAACCGTTGGGAATATATGGCTTGGGTGAGACATTTCAAATATCACCCCTCCATGCCACCAACAGGCAAAGACTTAGTCCCAGCTGCCCAGTTATTTACCAAAGGAAGTCTGCTGCAGGTAGGCACACTGGAGACTTTCTTCTGTAGGCCTTTCATTGCCAGGAGGCACCCAGAGAATGTACAGATTACAAGCCCCATCACCTCAAGCCAATTTGCAGAGGGATTGCTGAATAGAGCTCTCTTTGGAGGCCAAGCCAGGATTACAGTAATTGCAGGCCGGCTGCCGGCTCTCTGGCGGCAGTGCCCGGTGGAGGCTGCCAGCTGGCCCTGCTAATTACCTGTCGCCCAGGATAGGAAGGAGAACATGAGAAAGGACTGACGAGGCCCAGACAGAAGGCACTGGAGCATGGCAGGCTGGCATCTCCAGGATCCAGGCCTCCCAGCCGGCCCCATGGCTATGGCTCTTCTGTTGCAGAGAATGACTTGGCATGTTTCTACCTTGTTCCTCCCAAACAGCTCCCTCGCACAGTCCTGCCTGTCTCCCCTTCAGAGCAATAAACCTCTCTAGAGTTTTCCCTGGGACACTACAGGAATTGCTGAGAGTGGGGTTTTGGGCAGAAGCTCAGAGAAGGCGAGAGAGAGAAACCCTTTCTAGACTAGTGCTGCTCAATTTAACATAAGCCACAAATGTAATTTTAATTTTTTTAGTAGCTATATTAAAAAGAAAAGGTAGGCTGGGCGTGGTGGCTCATGCCTGTAATCCCAGCACTTTGGGAGGCTGAGGCGGGTGGATCATCTGAGGTCAGAAGTTCAAGACCAGCCTGGTCCACATGGTGAAACTGCATCTTTACTAAATATACAAAAAATTAGCTGGGCGTGGTGGCAGTCGCCTGTAATCCCAGCTACTCGGGAGGCTGAGGCAGGAGAATTGCTTGAACCCGGGAGGCGGAGGTTGCAGTGAGCTGAGATCATGTCATTGCGCTCCAGCCTGGGCAACAAGAGCAAAAACTTCGCCTCAAAAAAATAAAAATAAAAATAAAATAAAAAAGAAAAGGTAAAAAGAAACAGGTGATGTTAATTTCAGTAATATGGGTATATTTTATTTAGCCCAATATATCTAAAATATTATTTCAACATGCAATAATGTTTTTAAAGTATTGAGATATTTTACATTATTTTCTTGGTACCAAGTATTGAAAATCCAGTGTGTATTTTACATGTTAGAGCACATGTCCATTAGGACTAGCCCATAGCCACACAGGGCCAGTGACTACCATGTTGGCCAGCACAGCTTCAGATGCGATGGAAAATACAACTCAAAGCTTACCTACAGGCTTTCTTTAGCCATATTTGGGTTTTGTCCCCAAACTTCCAGTCTTTCTTCTGAGCTTGACATTTGCTCTCCAAGTCTTAGATCCCTGCTCCTCCTGCTGCAGGCCAAGGACAACAGCACTGGACATTCACCTTGGACCTTGGTCAAAATGCAGAATTTCAAGTTCCCGCCAGGACCTACTGCACCAGAGTCTGCATTTCACCAAGATCTCCAGGTGACTTGAATAGTCAGTTTGAGAAGCGCTGCTCTAGGCTTCTCCCTCTACCCCTGTCCCTCCTGATTGCATTTGAACTGGTGCACCTGGTCATTCACTTCAATCTTGGGCTCCTTTTTGCCTGGATTCCTTTTTCCATCTTCCAAACCTTTGGCTTTTGCCAGATGTAGATGACACTTGCATTATCTGCTTCTGTCTCTGGGCTGCAGAAAGGCAAAAGTGGAAATTATCAACCACAAGTGAAAATGACAACTTGTCTACCACTTATTTGATACTTTCTATGAGCCAGGCCCCATGCTCAGCACTTTGCATGCATAATCTCACAGAATTCTCACCGGATTTTAGAACCTGGTGCATTATTACATACATTTTAGAAACAAAGCCCAGAGACTAACATCCACACACAGCTAATATCTGGTGGAGTAGAATGAAACCGTGAATCTGCCTGATTGGGAAGCCCATATACTTTGACTAGGTTGAAGTTAAAGTTGTTTTAATGTGGGTGGTGGCAAAGGCGGGTGTATTAGTCTGTTTTCACGCTGCTGATAAAGATATACCTGACACTGGGTAATTTATAAAGAAAAAGAGGTTTCATGGACTCACAGTTCCACATGGCCGGGGAAGAGGCCTCACAGTCATGGTGGAAGGCAAAACGCAGGTCTCACATGGCAGCAGGCAGGAGGGAGCTTGTGCAGGGAAACTCCCCTTTATAAAACCATCAGATCTTGTGAAACTTATTTACTATCATGAGAACAGCATGGGAAAGACCCCCCCCCGCCATGATTCAATTACCTCCCACCAGATCCCTCCCACACCACGTGGGAATTGTGGGAGCTACAATTCAAGATGAGATTTGGGTGGTGATACCACCAAGCCACATCAGTGGGGGTACTTACTCTTGTTCAGAAAGCCTTTCATTCTGATTCGTCCATTTTCCATGGTCTTCCTCACAATGGTAGCTACATACTTTGTTGTTTTTGAACTCCCACCTCACCAACCTGACCTTCTGAAGATAACTTCTCCTTCTAAGGGAAACTTGAAACCATCTCACATGAATGTCCTCAGTTTTCCTCTTCTCAGTCTCAAAATCTCCATGTGTCTGCTTTGCCTTGATTTGGCTTTGTTTCATGGCTTCCCAGGCAACCTTCTGACTTTGGGATTGCAAGCTAGCTTCAACCAGGCACTTTCCTGTGGGGGAGGAGAAATGCTGCTAAGGCTATATTAGTGTTCCTGAGCCTGCCTGGCAGCTGGCATAAATTCACTTACTGTAAGTTCACAATTCGCATTCTGATTTATATCCCAGACTCTTGGGGGCATGGTCAATGTGAGTCTTTAATGTGGCTTTTTAAAACCATATCTCCATGCTGGTCAGCTTACAGAGTTGCATCTCTCCCGGAGAGATTTTGGATGCACATAGATAAAGACCCAGGTGAAGACTCTGCCATGGGGCTCCAGCTGAGCAGTTGGCTGGACAACTTTGCTGTCATTGCTCTTTCTCTCTGTATATGACACAGGGGCTCCCTGACAGAGCTCCTAACACATAGAGTCTTGTATTGTCTTGACTGGATAAACTGGTATTGCCAGCTAGGTTTTAAAGCCCCTAAGGTATGGGCCACAGCCTTTGCTATATAGGACGAATTGGAGGGATGCTTGTGAATGAATACCTAGCTGTGTTAGTTTGGGTTCCTCCAGAAATCATCTGTAAGACAAGGATTAGAGTGGAGACAGTTTGAGATTTGGGAAGGAAGGGGACATTAGGAGGCAGGTCAAGGTGAAGAGAAGGAAGGGATAAAAGTTAATAAAGGGTATGTTTTCAAGCTAGCTACTCCTGTGGGTGACTAGAGCTTAGTCCCACTGAGGAAACTCTAGGATTCAGTGTAGAAATGTGCCTCTGAGGTATCCTGCTCCAAGGGTGAGGGGGCTAGGGTATTTATATACCCAATCCCATTAGTAATTGGTTGAGGGCTGCTCTCGGGGGGGTTCCGTCAGGAAGAGAAACTCCCAGGCAAAAAAACAGAGATGCCAGCAGTTGGAAGTCAGGCCAGTATGCATAAAAGTGGTAAGAATGCGGGGTACAGGAGGGTCCTGACAATGTCTGCCATGGCAGACTAGGTTAATAAACCTCTTGCCATAACCATGTCAAGAGGGAATAAGCTAATTCTTGCCCTTTGACACCTGGCTCTTGAATTCCTTTCAGTCATTTCTGGTGTTCATTTTTAACCAGGTATTACTCGTATTAAAATGTTGGAATGAGCTGAGTCACAGGTGGTTGGCCTAGATGGCAACTTGTTCCAGACCCTGACCTACAAATGCCTTTGGATAGATCCCTGGAAAGGCATGGCTCCAAATCCCTCTCTCTTGGTTTCTGTTGGCTGGCTGGTAGGCATAGCAGTGAAGTCAGGCTCTATGTGAATGTTGGGATCCTATCCCTCTCCTGTCCCATGTGTTCCAACTTGACCAGTCAAGACTGGCTGGGCAGACACACAATCCAACTCAAAACCACCAACATCAAGCAGTTTCTTGGTGTCTCTGTTTTGGGTGCAGAAATGACTTTTGGGGAAAGGAATCTATCCTGGGGGAAAGAGAGTGGAAGAAATTTCTATTATCTGTCTACACCTATCTATGTATCTATTTATGTACTCTATCTATCTATCTCTCTCTCTCTCTCTCTCTATATATATATATATATGTATGTATGTATATCATCACGCTGCTGATAAAGACATACCCAAGGCTAAGCAACCTATAAAAGAAAGAGTTTTAATTGGAATTAAAGTTCCACATGGCTGCGGAAGCCTCACAATCATGATGGAAGCAAGGAGGAGCAAGTCACATCTTACGTGGATGGTGGCTGGCAAAAAATGAGAGAGCTTGTGCAGGGGAATGCCTCTTTTTAAAACCATCAGATCTTGTGAGACTTATTCACTATCACAATAACAGCACAGGAAAGACTTGACTCCATGATTCAATTCCCTCCCACCAGGTCCCTCCCATAACACATGGGAATTCAAGATGAGATTTGGGTGGGGGCACAGCCAAACCATATCATTCTGCCCCTGACCCCTCCCAAATCTCATGTCCTCACATTTCAAAACCAATCATGCCTTCCCAACAGTCCCTCAAAGTCTTAACTCATTTCAGCATTAACTCAAAAGTCCACAGTCCAAAGTGTCATCTGAGACAAGACAAGTCCCTTCCACCGATGAGCCTGTAAATCACAAGCAAATTTGTTACTTCCTAGATACAATGGGGGTACAGGCATTGGGTAAATACAGCCATTCCAAATGGGAGAAATTGGCCAAAACAAAGGGGCTACAGGTCCCATGCAAGTCCAGAATCCAGCAGGGCAGTCAAATATTAAAGCTTCAAAATGATCTCCTTTGACTCCATGTCTCACATCCAAGTCATGCTGATGCAAGAGGTGGGTTCCCATGGTCTTGGGCAGCTCCACTCCTGTGGCTTTGCAGGGTACAGCCTCCCTCCCAGCTGCCTTCATGGGCTGGTGTTGAATTTCTGTGGCTTTTCCAGGCACACGGTGCAAGCTGTCAGTGGATCTACCATTCTGGGGTCTGGAGGACAGTGGTCCTCTTCTCATAACTCCACTAGGCAGTGCCCCAGTGGGGACTCTGTGTGGGGGCTCTGAACCCACATTTCCCTTCCACACTGCCCTAGCAGAGGTTCTCCATGAGGACCCCACCCCTGAAACAAACTTCTGCCTGGGCATCCAGGCATTTCCATACATCTTCTGAAATCTAAGCAGAGATTCCCAAATCTCAACTCTTGACTGCTGTGTACTCACAGCCTCAACACCATGTGGAAGCTGCCAAGGCTTGGGGCTTGGACCCTCTGAAGCCATGGCCTGAGCTCTACGTTGGCCCCTTTCGGCCACAGCTGGAATGGCTGGGATTCAGGGTACCAAGTCCTTAGGCTGCACACAGCATGCCCATGAAACCACTTGTTCCTCCTAGGCCTCAGGGCCTGTGATGGGAGGGGCTGCTGTGAAGACCTCTGACATGCCCTGGAGACATTTTCCCCACTGCTTGGTGATTAACATTCGGCTTCTTGTTACTTATGCAAATTTCGGCAGCCAGCTTGAATTTCTTCTCAGAAAATGGGATTTTCTTTTTTATCCCATTGTCAGGCTGCAAATTTTTTGAACTTTTATGCTCTGCTTCCCTTATAAAACTGAATGCCTTTAACAGCACCCAAGTCACCTCTTGAATGCTTTTCTGCTTAGAAATTTCTTTTGCCAGATACCCTAAATCATCTCTTTCAAGCTCAAAGTTTCACAAATCTCTAAGGCAGGGACAAAATGCTGCCAGTCTCTTTGCTAAAACATAATAAGAGTCACCTTTGCTCCAGTTCCCAACAAATTCCTCATCTCCATCTGAGACCACCTCAGCCTGGATTTCATTGGCCATATCATATCAGCATTCTGGTCAAAGCCATTCAACAAGTCTCTAGCAAGTTCCAAACTTTCCCACATTTTCCTATCTTCTACTGAGCCCTCCAAACTGTTCCAACCTCTGCCTGTTACCCAGTTCCAAAGTCGCTTCCACATTTTCAGGTATCTTTTCAGCAGTGTCCCACTCTACTGGTACCAATTTACTGTATTAGTATGTTTTCATGCTGCTGATAAAGACATACCCAAGGCTGAGCAACTTACAAGAGAAAGAGATTTAATTGGAATTACAGTTCCATGTGGCTGGGGAAGCCTCACAATCATGGTGGAAGGCAAGGAGGAACAAGTCACAACTTATGTGGATGGCAGCTGGCAAAAAATGAGAGAGCTTGTGTAGGGGAACGCCTCTTT
This sequence comes from Homo sapiens, assembly GCF_000001405.40. Classification (NCBI taxonomy): domain Eukaryota; kingdom Metazoa; phylum Chordata; class Mammalia; order Primates; family Hominidae; genus Homo; species Homo sapiens. The sequence continues at coordinate 72,064,720 of NC_000003.12, forward strand.
TTAAAACCATCAGATCTTGTGAGACTTTTCACTATCATGAGAACAGCATGGGGAAGACTTGCCCCCACGATTCAATTCCCTCCCACCAAGTCCCTCCCACAACACGTGAGAATTCAAGATGAGATTTGGGTGGGGACAAAGCCAAACCATATCTATCTATCTATCTATCTATCTATCTATCTATCTATCTATCTATCTATAATCTATCTATCTATCTATAATCTATCTATCTATCTCTCTATCTATCTATAATCTATCTATCTATCTATCTAGTTTTAGAAGGGATATTGCAGGGCAAGGATAGGAGAAATATGTGTCCTGTCAGTGGTGGAGAAATTCTACAGGAGGGGAGGATTTGATAGTTTCAAAGGTTGGCACCTCATTTTGCCAAAATCAACTTAGATGGGTCTGCATTTGGGTCCGTTTTCTTTCTAGGATGTTGATATTAATATCACCCTGTAGGTACATTCCATACACTCCAAGGCCTTTTAATCTTTTTAGTATTCTATGCATTCAAAGGAAAAGAGAGAGGGAGAAAAGAGGGAAAGAAAAGGTAAGAGATACAGAGGGTAAAATTGAAGTTCTGATGAAAATGCAAACATGGCACTTCCCTTTAAAAGAGAATGAGGCAGCAGGTTCATTGGTTTTCCACAGTGCCACAGAGCTCCAGGCCTTTGTTCATTCACAGCTCTTCAGAAACAAGATTCTTTTATTCGAGTGAACTGTTCCTCACTGGATGGATCTCAAATTCCAAGCCAAGTGAATGTGACTATAGGGGAAAGAGTGTTCACTGCAGAAGAATGAAGAGCCCAGTGCAAACCAAGGAGGCTGAGGACATCATTGATTCAATATTTTGTCAACTGTATTGATTTAACTAGGCAGAAGAGGCCCCTTCCCTTATCATTCTGAATCAAGGGCTTGAAGTGAGTTCATTAATTCACTTTTTCACTCCTTCATTTATTCATTCAGTCAGTCTTTATTGAGCATCTACTCTATTATGGATTTAGTGATGAATAACAAAGCCAGGTTGCCTGCCTTCGTAGAGTTTATATTCTAGTGGTGGTGGGAAATAGGAAATAAAGAAGTTAAATAAATGTGGCAATTTCAGATTGTGGCAGGTGCTATGAAGGGAATAAAACAATGGTGCAGTAGATGTTAATCAGTCAGGGTGGTATGTTACATAAAGTGGTGTTCTTATGATCTATTACTGTGTAACAGATCACTTCAAAACTTAATGGTCAAAACAAACATCTCTGCTCCATGGAGTGTCAGCTGGGGAGGCTCAGCTAGGGCTGGCTCATTCACGAGGCTGGCAAGTTGGTGCTGGTTGTGAGCTGAGACTCAGCCTCGACTGCCTGACACCCATGGGTTTTAGTACTTCCCATGTGGCTGCTTGAGCTTCTTTACAGTGTGATTGTTGGGTTCTCAGAGTTAGTATTCCAAGAGGCAAGGTGGAAGCTGCAAATCTTGATATAATCTAGACTTGAACGTCTCCATAGTTTACTTTTGCTGCATGTGACTGTTCAAATGAGTCACTGAGGCCAGCCTAGATGCATGGAGAGGGGAACAGACTCCACAGGTGGTCTGGAGGATCTCTCTGAGGAGATGATTTTGAAACTATTAATGTATCTTGAAGAATGATTTTAGTACCAACTAGGTAAAAAGCACTAGGTAGGGCTTCTAGGCAGAAAGAACAACAAATGCCAAGGCCATGAGGAAGAAAAGAACGTGGCATGACTGCAGGACAGTTTGTTGAAAGGCCACTGTGACTGCAGCACTGTGGGCTGGAGAAGCTTAGTGGTAGATGAGTTGAAAAGATAAGCAGTGACTGGCTGACATAGCCCACATTAAGGAGTGCAGATTTTATTCTAAGTGCGGTGAGAAGCCCTTCAAGGATTTTTAAACAGGAGTGACATGATCTGATTTACTTTTGAGAGTTTACATTGACAGCTATATTAGCTTGCTAGGGCTTCCGTAAAATAATACTACAGACTGGGTGACTTAAACAACAGAAATTTATTTTCTCATAGTCTGGAAGCTGGAAGTCCAAAATCAAGGTGTCGGCAAATATGATTTCTTGGGGCTTCTCTCCTTGGCTTGCAGATGGCCACATTCTCACTGTGTCCTCTCTGTGTGCACACATTTTCTCTGTGTGCATGCATCCCTGGATGTCTTTCTGTGTGTCAAAATCCCTCTGATCACATATGCTGGCTGCTATTTGAGAAGGCCATCCTCTGGCCAGCCTGGTCCTGGAATATTTCTGCACAATCTACCACTGGATGCAATGGTGCATAAAGTGGTTCATCTGTCTAAAGGGGTGTATTAGTCAGTTTTCATGTTGCTCATAAAGATATACCTGAGACTGGGCAATTTACAAAAGAAAGAGGTTTAATTGGACCCACAGTTCCACGTGGCTGGGGAGGCCTTACAATCATCGCAGAAGGCAAGGAAGAGCAAGTCACATCTTATGTGGATGGCAGCAGGTAAAGAGAGCTTGTGGAGGGAAACTCTCCGTTTTAAAAACCATCAGATCTCATGAGACTTATTCACTGTCACAAAAACAGTAGAGGAAAGACCTGCCCCGATGATTCAATTACCTCCCACTGGGCACCTCCCATAACATGTCGGAATTCAAGATGAGATTGGGGTGGGGACACAGCCAAACCATATCAAAGGGCTAAAGAAAAAAATATCCCTTATTTTAACCTCTACTTTCCCCTTACCCTATCCTCATGCAATGGACTACCTAAGAGGTGGGGAAGGGAAGATTTGCCAATTACTACCAAGGGAGTTAAAAACTTGAAAGCAGCAAAAGAGGAGTATTTTTGATGTTCAGGTTTTCTTAAGCAAGGCCACATTGTGCTCAGAATAAATTATACAAGACAGAAGGAGAGAAAAGTTATAGGCTAAATACTATTTATCTAGTAGGGGTGAGGTTGGGAAGATAGAGTTGGAAGAACAATATCATCAGGGTCTTAGGGAGTGAAGTTTCTCTGGCACACACACAAGACAGAACTTTGGTGGTTTAAAATATGTCCAAAAGTGCTTGGCAGTCCTCCTAATTTCCATCCCCGACTTGAGTGTGGGGCTGGACTTACTGATTTACTTCTAACCAGTAGATATAATGAGACTGATCATGTATGACTTCCAAGACTAGATCATAAGACACACTTAAGCTTCCTTCTTTCTTAGGTCACTCATTCTGGGAAAAGCCAGCTGCCATGTCATGAGGATATACCAAACAGTATATGGAGAGGCCATATGGTGAGAAATTGAGGGCTTCCACCAACAGCCATGTGCTCCTCCTGCCCCAGTTAAACCTTCAGTTGACCATAGACCCAGCTGGCATCTTGACTGCAACTACATGAGAGACCCTAAGCCAGAGCCCAGCTATGTCTCAAATTCCTAATTCACAGAAATTGTGGAGATAGTAAATATTTTTTTTGTGTTAAGCCACTAGATTTTAGGGGTAATTTTTTGTGCTACAATAGATCATTATTTGATTATTAGTGGGGGTGGGGAGATAGAACAGGAAGAATCCATCATGAAGATTTTAGGAAGCAAAATTGCTCTAGCACATGACATATAACAGGTATCAACATTTCTTGCCTCTTCTGTCTACTGAATTGAAACAAAATACTGGAGATAATCTACATATTATCTACAGAATTCTCATGGAACCAGAATTTCTGGGTCAAAAGATAACTCAGAGAGTTGAAAAATCTTCATTTTTTCCCATAATAGATAGGGAAACCTAGATTCAGAGAAAATAAGTGATTTTCCCGAAGTTCTTTTATCCAGTTTGGAGGAATCCTGGTTTAAGTTGTAGGCAACAGGCAAATTCGGAAAAGTTATTGATATCAGGAATTTCCAGCTGGCCTAGGTAATAATGTTTTCTGCACATCACCAATACTGAGGGTTCACAAACATATTTACAATAGCCAGGAGACAAAGCTGTCTGTGGAATTACAATTCAGTATCAATATGTAAAACTGATTTGTTGTTTGTTTAAGGAAAATTGTTGCAATCTTTCCTTAAGCAAGTTGTAAGTCCCCAAGACACAGAAAGTGTTGACTCATATTGAGCGGCTTCATGTAAACAATTGGTTTGCCATCTGACAACTCTAGCCTTCAAAAGGCCCTGGAATGCAAAGACTGGTTAAGGAAAACCTCTAGACTGGAGATGTCCCATGGAGGTTCCCCAGCTATTAAGCTTGTTCTTCAGCTCTTGAGAAGATTGCTTTTCTGAAACAATAATTTTTTTGCCATCACTTTCAATGGCAAAAACTACAATTACTTTTACACCAACCTAATAATAAGGGATGGTCTGACTTTATGGAGTCCTAGATCATTTCAATTTGGTGATGTTCAGGCTTTCTTAAGTTCCATGCCTTAAGCACTTTTTTTGAGCCAGCAAATAGACACCTTTATACCAATTTGATACCCAGAAATACTCAGGTAGAAGCTTCTTCAGAGACCTGCTCTAATTTCTCTAACCATCACCATCTTTTTATAAGTAGTAATAAGTAGTAATCTGGAGTTCTATAAACTTGACTTTTATACATCACTGTGCACAACCCAGCTTCTGTCCTCCTCTCCCACTCACTCAGGTACCACTGTGCCCCTTGATCACTCCACTCCAGACACATTGACCTTCCTTTTGTTCCTAAAATAAGACAGATTCTTTCCCATCTGAGATCCTTTCCATCTGCTTTTCTTTCCATCTGGAATATTCTCATCTCATGGCTCTTAGAATGGCAGTTTAATGCTCAGTGTTTCAATGTTCACGTATCAATTCAAATGACCCCACCTCTTAGAGAAGCCTTCCCTGTGTGGGCACCCCTCCCTTTCCCATCTGTGACAGTCAGTTGTATGTGTCAGCATGGCTAGGCTATAGCTCCCAGTTATTCAATGGAGCACTAGTCTAGGTGTTTCTGGGAAGGTATTTTGTGGGTGTGATTAAAGTCCATAATCTTTCAGTAAGGAAAATTATTCTCCATAGTCTGGGTGGACCTGACCTAATCAGTTGAAAGGTCTTAAAACTAGAGTTGAGGTTTCTCTGAGGAAGATGAAATTCTGTCTTTCAACAGCAGATTCAGTTGTGCTCAAGACTTCCAGCCATCCTTCCTGATAGCCAGTTCTACAGATTTCAGACTGGCCTAGCCAGCTCCTATACCTGCTCAAGACAATTCTCTGCAATAAATCTCTTAATATATTCTACTGGTTCTTTTTCTGTGGTGGAGCCCTGTGTGATATAACTCTCCAGTTACACCATTTATTTTCTTAGTGCTCAGGTTGCCTGAGTTAGCTAGTAAAAATACAATATTGCAGCTAGGATGCAATACTTGGGATGTACATACACTAAAAAAATTTTGATGTTTATCTGAAATTCAGATTTAACTGGACATCCTGTATTTCAGGGGTTCCCAACTCCCAGTAAGGAACTGGGCCTCACAGCAGGAGGTGAACAGCGGGTGAGTGAGCAAAGCTCCATCTGTGTTTACAGCCACTCCCCATCGCTTGCTTTACCGCCTGAGCTCCACCTCCTGTCAGATCAGCAGTGGCATTAGATTCTCATAGAAGCACGAACCCTATTGAGAACTGCGTATGTGAGGGATCTAGGTTGCTGGCTCCTTATGAGAATCTAACGCCTGATGATCTGTCACTGTCTCCCATCACCTCAGTTGGGACTGTCTAGTTGCAGGAAAACAAGCTTAGGGCTCCCACTGATTCTGCATTATGGTGAGTTGTAGAATGTACAATATAATCATAATAGAAATAAAGTGCACAGTAAATGTAATGCACTTGAATGATCCCAAAACCATCCCCCTGGGCCCTCACCCTTGGTCTGTGGAAAAATTGTCTTCCACCAAACTGCTCCCTGGTGCCAAAAACTTTGGGGACTGCAGCTGTATTTGATCTGGTGACCCTACGTAGTATTTATCACAATTTTAATTTACCTTATTATTATTATTATTATTGAGACAAAGTCTCACTCTGCCACTCAGGGTGGAGTGCAGTGGCATGATCTTGGCTCACTGCAACCTCTGCCTCCTGGGTTCAAGCAATTCTCATGCCTCAGCCTACCAAGTAGCTGAGATTTGGCTAATATTTTGTATTTTTGGTAGAGGAAGGGGTTTTACCATGTTGGCCATGCAGGTCTCGAACTCCTGGCTTCAAGTGATCCACCCGTCTCGGCCTCCCAAAGTGCTGGGATTATAGGCGTAAGCCACCGCACCCAGCCTGAATTTACCTTACTTCTTGTCCATCTCCCCATCTAGTCTGGAGGTTCCATGAGGATGGGGACCTTATATGTCAATTTCATGGCTATATCCCATTTCCTGAAACAATGTCTGGAAATGAAAAGGTCTTTAGTAGATATTTATTAAGTGAATTAATAAATGAATATATTATGTCACCTGTACAGTTATGCTTTCTGCCTTGAGAGGCCCGAATCACCCTTCACATGCAGAAATTGGGTTTCTGTTTTTCAACAGTTGAATCAGTGCTTCAAACGATGGCATCCGAGTGTGTGGTCTGTTGGCTAAGGGTTCCATTTTTCACATTGCTGTTGTTGTCTGCCCAGTAGAGTGTTGGTTTGTGTGATTATTTGACTATTTTAGGAGCTCATTGCTCTTATTATTTTGTAAAAATGAACGAAAATGGAAAAGCAAAAGTGCTGATAGTGGTGATAAGATTCTTGTCTCATAAACTTAGTATAATCACACCGCAAAATAAATCACAAGACAAGCCAAATGCAGCAGATCTTCAGCCCTGATCAGAAGCGCATAGAACGCAGGCTGCCTGGCTGTCGAATCATGCAAGGAGAAAAAGGAGCAATAATAAGAACATGCGTGAAATCCTAAGGCTCTGTCGCTGAGGACTGGTTACAGTGGAATTAGAAATTTTTTTCTTTCAGCATCTGGAGGCAGTAATCACTTTTAACAAGTGAATCTATTGTTTGATTTGGGGCATTGGCTTTTTGTTCTGCCTGCAATTTAAGGCACAGCTCAAGTGTCACCTCTTCCCTGAAGACTTTCCAGCTCCTTTTCCCCCAGCCCCACCCCTGAGAACTATTTTTTTGTTTTTTCCCCTGTGCTCCCAGGAGTGTGTTGTTTGAAACCATTTTAAGTATGTGTTTTCACTCTCCTTTTAATTTTACTCACCTACTACAATTGTTTCCTCCTTTAAATAGCAAATTCCTTGAAAATAGGAAATGCTTTACACTCCCTTCCTGCAAATATCCCAAACTCCGTTATAGGGAGCTCAGTGCTAGCGTGGAAGTTAATGTGGACTTGATGTTAAAAGCCCGGGTTTAGAACCCAGCTCTGCCCTTTGAAAACTTTGTGCCCTTTGATATACAATTGCATTCCTCTCCAAGGCTCAGTTTCCTCACCTGTCAAATGGGAACACAACTGTCTACTGAGAGGTTTATATGGGTTACTATTGGGGAACAATTGGAACTGTAAAATGCCAGCTCCGTGGAAGGTCTTAATGATGTCTAAGCAGAAACAATGATCAAACATGTTGGTTGAATGAATGTCTTTGTTAGCTCGAAATCTCAAGAGTTGAAAAAGAATATCAAGATATCTCTATATAAGAATACAGAGTTTTTACATAGGCAAGAATGTCTCTGGATTCTGATGGAATAGGCCCCTCCACTCTAATCTCACCCTTCTACCAAGTAGGATTGAATCTATCTGCTCCTGAACAAATTCTGTCCCGACCTGGCCCAATGCCTTAAGCCTTCACCATTACTCCTGTAGGCTGATACATTCTGTTCATTGTCTCTGGGCTGAAATCAGTGGGCCTCCAGACAGGCTTAGTAGGTCAAGTTGGGGTGAAGAAAAAGCAATGCATTTGGGGCCTGGCGGCAAAGCCTTCTACAGCCCTGCCACATACCACCTACTTGACCCCCAACCTCAACATTCTGTAATTCAACCTTTCTTAGCTTCAGTTTTCTCATCTAGGAGTCATGCATGATAAGCACACCCTCTCTCACAAGATTACTAAGGCACAGTTTCTCAACCTCAGCACTATCAACATTCTGGTTAGATAATTCTGTGTGTGTGTGTGTGTGTGTGTGTGTGTGTGTGTGTGTGTGTGTATGTGTGTAGGGAGACTACCCTGTGCATTACAAGATGTTTATCAGCATCTCTATTCTCCAGCTACTAGATGCCAGTAGCACCTTCTACCGGTTGTGACAACCAAAAACATCTCCAAATATTTCCTGGGAAACAAAATTGCCCATAGTCAGGAAACACCACAGTAAGGATTAAAATCAGTAATTCCTATGTGAGCCTTTGTAAATCTGAGAGCCCAATACAAGTGTTAGTTTTAATTATTTTGCTCTGATTTCAGAGAAAATTAAATTTCCCTCTTCTGTGATTCCTTAGCACTTAAAAAATAATAACAGCTAGCAATAATTGAATACTTGTTATGTGGTAGGCTCTGGTATTGTCTTATTTCGCACATAAGAAAACTAAGCCTCTGAGTGGCATGCCCAAGATTACAAGAGTAAGCAGTCAAGGCAAAATTTGAACCCACAATGTTTGTTCAATGAGTCTAAACCCATGCTCTCAACTTGCATTAGTTATTTATTGCTGTATAACAAATTATCACAACTTAGCAGCTTAAAACAGCATACATTTGTTTTCTCACTGTATCTGTAGGTAAGGAATCTGGGCACAACTTAGGAGGTCCTCTGAATAACTACAACCAAGGTTTTGGCCAGGACTGAGGTCTCATTTGAATGCTCAACTGAGCTACTTTCCAGTTCACATGGCTGTTGGCAGAATCCAGTTGTTTTTAGGTTGTAAGACAGAGCCTCAGGTCCCTACTTGCTGTCAGCTGGAGGTCACCCTCAGTTCCTTGCCAGTTGAGCCTCACTGTAGGATAGCTCACAACATGGCAACTTGCTTCAACAAGTCTAGCAAAGGAGAGAGACTGTTAGCAATACGGACATTGCAATTTTATGTAACATAATCATGGAAGTGACACGTTATCACCTTTGCTATATTCTATTGGTTAAAAGCAAGTTGCTTGGCCAACCCACCATCACACAGTGGGATCACAGGGGCAGACATACCAGGAGGTGAGGATCCTTGAGGCCATCTAAGAGTCAGCCTACCAATCCATGCTGTCCTGCTTCCTGCTTAGCCCACTTATTACAAATGTGTAAGCCTCTTTCAGCTACTAGCCCAAGTGCTGTTTTTAGGGTTTTGTTTTTGCTTTGTAGATTGTCTGCATCTTCGCAGGCTGCAATAACAAAATACCATAGAGTAAATAGCTTAAACAACAGACAATTCTTTCTCACATTTCTGGAGGCTGGGAGATTCAGGATCAAGGTGCCTACTGATTCATTTTTCTGATGAGGGCTCTCTTTCTGGCTTGCAGACAGACACCTTCTTGCTGTGTCTTCAGACAGCAGAGAGAGAGAGAGAGAGAGAGAGAGAGAGAGAGAGAGCTCACCCTTCCTCCCCTTGTAACGCCATGAATCTTGTGATGAGGGTTCTATGCTCATGACCTCATCTAAATCTAATTATCTCCCAAAGGTCCCATCCCCAAATACCAGAGAGAGGGATGTTGATTCTTCTAGGATAGGCTATATATATATATAGGATATATATATATATATATATAGAGAGAGAGGATATATATATATATATAGGATATATATATATTTAGGATATATATATATATAGGATATATATATATTTAGGATATATATATATAGGATATATATATATAGGATATATATATATATAGGATATATATATTTAGGATATATATATAGGATATATATATATAGGATATATATATAGGATATATATATAGGATATATATATAGGATATATATATAGGATATATATATAGGATATATATATAGGATATATATATATAGGATATATATATATAGGATATATATATATAGGATATATATATAGGATATATATATATAGGATATATATATATAGGATATATATATATAGGATATATATATATAGGATATATATATATATAGGATATATATATATAGGATATATATATATAGAGAGAGAGGATATATATATATATATATAGAGAGAGAGAGAGAGAGAGGATATATATATATATATATGAGACAGGGTCTTGCTCTGTCACCCACATTGGAGTGCAGTGGCATGATCACTGCTCACTGCAACCTCAACCTCCCTGGCTCAGGCAATCCTTCCCAATTCAGCCTCCTGAGTAGCTGGGACTACAGATACGCACCACCATGCCTGGCTAGTTTTTATATTTTGTGTAGAGATGAGATTTTGCCATGTTGCCCAGGCTGGTCTTGAACTTTTGAGCTCAAGTGATCTACTTGCCTTAGCCTCTGAAAGTGCTAGGATTACAGGTGTGAGCCACCCCATCCAGCCTGGAATAAGCATCTTTTTTATATACCTATCTTGGAACCTAAGCCAAGGCTTGGTACTTGGTAGGTCTCAGAAACTGTAGGCTGAGTGAATGAAAAACACATGCATAGGAACAGAGGAAAAAGTTCCAAGAGATTGGGACCCAGGACTGGTAAACATTAAGGGGGGTTGTGGAGGCACTCTGAAATAAGGAAAATGGAAGTCTGCCTGAGTCAAGCAATATGACAGAAACATGGGCTTTGAAGTTCAATAAACTACACTGTTGAATCAATCTCTGCAAGCAGCATTTTCTCTCTTGCAAGTGGGAATATTGTTGATACCTGCCTCAAAGTGGTGTTGTGAGGACTGGAGAAGGTAATGCATGAAAGTCCCTCACATAGTTTATGTTTAGATCAGTGGATGGCAAAATCTGTATTAGTCTCTTTTGCTGCTATAACAAATGACCACTATCGGAAGAACCAGCCCCAATATTTCAATGTAGGTTCTTTTCTATTTCCCCTAAGTGTTGGCCAGTCTGCGAAATAAAGAGAAAGAGTACAAAAGAGAGAAATTTTATAGCTGGGCCTCCGGGGGTGACATCACATGTCGGCAGGTTCCATGATGCCCCTTGAGCCACAAAACTGCAAGTTTTTATTAAGGACTTCAAAAGGGGAGGGGGTACGAATAGGGAGTGGGTCACAGAGATCACATGCTTCCTAGGGCAATAAAAGATCACAAGACAAGTGGCAGAGCAAGATCACAAGGCCAGGGCGAAATCAGAATTACTGATGAGGTTCCATGTCCTGCTGGGCACACATTGTCATTGATAAACATGTTAACAGGAAACAAGGTTAGAGAGCAGACAACTTGTCTGACTAGAATTTGCCAGGCTGGAATTTCCTAATCCTAGCAAGCCTGAGGGCACTGCAGGAGACCAGGGCGTATTTCATCCCTTATCTTCAACCGCATAAGACAGACACTCCCAGAGCGGCCATTTTACAGACCTTCCCCTGGGAATACATTCCTTTCCCAGGTTTATTCCTTGCTGGGAAAAGAATTCCGCGATATTTCTCCTATTCGCCTTCTGCAAGAAGAGAAATATGACTCTGTTCTGCCTGGCCCCACAGGCAGTCAGATCTTATGGTTATCTCCCTTGTTCCCTGAAAATCACTGTTATCCTGTTCTTTTTTAGGATGCCCAGATTTCATATTGTTCAAACACACATGTTTTACAAACAATTTGTGCAGTTAATGCAATTATCACAGGGTCCTGAGGTGACATATATCTTCAGTTTACGAAGATGATGGGATTAAGAGATTAAAGTAAAGACAGGCATAGGAAATTATAAGAGTATTGATTGGGGAAGTGATAAATGTCTGTGAAATCTTCACAATTTATGTTCTTCTGCCACAGCTTCAGCCGGTCCCTCCATTTGGGGTCCCTGACTTCCCACAGCAGACGACAAACACAGTGGGCTTAAAACAATGTGAATTTATTATCCTATAGTTCTGGAATAAAAATACTGGGCTAAAATCAAGGTGTCAGCCTATCTTCCTTTTGGAGGCTCTAGGGGAAAATCTGCTTCCTTGCTTTGTCCAACTTCTAGAGACTGCCGGCATTCCTTGGCTTGTGGTCCCTTCTTCCAGCTTCAAGGCCAGAAGTGTGGCATCTTCTCTTTTCTCTGACCTCAGCTTCCATCCTTACATCTTCTCTCTCTGATTCTGATGCTTCTGCTGATCTCTCACAAGGACTCTTCTGATTACATTGGGCCCACCAGGATAACCTCCCCATCTCAAGACCCTCAACATAATCACATCTGCAGAATTCCTTTTACAGTGGAAAGTAATATATTCACAGGTTCCAGGGATTAGGATATGGACATCTTTGGAGGGCCATTATTATTATTATTATTTAATTTAAAAAGAGACAGTATCTCACTATATTGCCCAGGCTGGTCTTGAACTCCTGGGCTCGAGTGATCCTCTTTCCTCAGCCTACCAAAGTGTTGGGATTACAGGTGTGAGCCACCGTGCTGGCCTGGAGGCCATTGTTCAACCTGCAAAAATATGCTGTCTGTTCCCAAAGTTTTATGTCTATCTCAACTGCATTGACCCATTCTTAAAAACTCCCAACCCATTACAGCAATCAACCTGAATCCAAAATCTCATCTAAGTCTTATCAGGTCAAAAGTTTCATTTCTCATCACATAAATCATCGAATATAGGCATGGGTGAAGCTCTGGGTATAGTCCAGTGTGTGGCACAATTTCTCTCTATCTGTGGACCTATGAAGCTAGCAAAGAAATTATCTGCTCCCAAAATACAAAATGAAACACACTCCACCAGGGTAACAGCACTCCCATTCAAAACGAGAGAAGAAGGAAAGAAAAAAAAGAGTCCCTGGTCCCAAATGTTTTCTAAATCCAACCAGAAAAACTCCATTAGGTTTCAAGGCATGGCTCTCAGCTCTGCCTTCAGAGCCTATAAGGTCTGCTCTCACAGTCATCTTTCCTTCTTCATAAAGGGTAATACTTGTTTGCAGCTGTAGTTTCACCCACCTGTTTCCTGTCTGTAGAATTTTGGTGATCTGACAACCTTCTTTCATTTTGTTCTCTCTGTCCCTTTCAGGTCAAGCTGGCAGTGTTTTGGGGCACATACCATTCTTAAAAGCCTTGTGAGTTTCCTGCATATGTCACATGGACTCACTCCATTTGACCATCAGGCCAAATCAAACCTATTGCCTCTTTTTGTAAATGAAGTTTTATTGCAACACAGACACACCTACCTGTTCATTTACATATTGTTGATGGCTATTTACATGATATAACAGAGTGAAGGGTTGCAACAGAGACAGTGTGGCTCAAAAGCTGAGACTATTTACTATCTAACCCTTTTCAGAAAATGTTTGCTGATGACTGGCCCAGAGCCAAAACCCAAATAAGTAGTAGCGTTTAAACAAATGACAGGCTTGGGTGGGTTGCAAAAGCGGGGCCGCTTGGAGGTAGTGAATATTTCAGATGTTGTGCGGGAGGTGTGAGGAGAAAAGTGAGAAGCGGTGAGGGACGAAGGAAGAGGAAGTGAGAGCCATGGACTTCAGAAGTAAACTTGAACTTCTTGGCAAGTTACCTTGGAAGCCTGGGGCCAGGGTCATTAAGCAGCAAGATTACCATGAAGGAAAAGAGTGAACCAAAAGAAAGTAAGGGGAGAAATTCAAACTGGGCTCAATTGTGACAGAAAAGAAAAATCACACCTAGAGCAGTACACTGAGTCCCTTAGTATGCAAGAACCACATTGCCTCCTCCTCATCCTCCCTCTGAAAAGAAGCCCGCTGTGCACACCTATGGGACAGCCTTTGCTTAATTCTATGTGCCAGCGGCAGCTTCCCAGTAAGCCTTCTCCCCTTTGCTTTTGCTCCGTGGAAATGAGAACACGCCAAGGGTGACGTTTGTGTGTGGGTTTTGGCGCTTTCACAAAAAGCTTCATTAGCCTTATTTAGAATATGATTGCTCCTTCAATCCCTGTGCATAAATGGATTTCAGGTGACCATGCCTGTCACAGGCCCCTGCTCGCCTGGTTACTGGCTTGAGGTATTCTTTGGTTTAAACAAAGCAGGACAAATAAAGAGCAAAGACCCACTCAGGGCCCTAGATGTTCATAGAAACTGATTTCCCCTTAAAAAAACAGCTCACTGTGGGAGTTGTAAATAGGAAGAAATGAACCATTTAAGAGAGTCTTTGAGACTACTGCCTGTTGGAATGGAACCAGTTTGGGGTTTGGGGTGGAGGTGGCATGTCAAATTTGTGGTTACTTCCTAAACACACACAAACTGTTTCAATATCTGATTTGAATATGCTACAACTGCCCCCTGCCAAAACCCTGCCCAGCAGTCTTTCTCCCCACAAACAGCTAAGCCAAGAACCCCAGGACAATTTGCTGTCTGTGCTGATAGACTATCTGGGGTTTCTAAAGCAGGCGATGTATTCTATTTCAGGAAATCAGACCAAATAAAAATCATTCCAATTAAAAAGTGCCACTGGGCAAGTAGAACAGCAAGTGCCCACCTCACACAAAACAGACCAACCACAAAGTGCAGGCTTTCATATATGTTGTTGATGGCAGAGTCACTGCCTTAGAGCCTCGAGTTTATTCAATGGGATAAAAGTTGCCTGGTAAATTGGGCTGAGAGGATTTTTTCCCAGAAGGCCATCACAAGGCATTTTGATGTACTTATCATTTACAAGAGCCTAGAGGAATCTAAAAGTGATTTTGATTTCAAATACTATAGAACCCAGTTATTATATAGCTTATTAATACTGAGCTTCAAATAACCATCAGATATATTCTGAGACACACACATATGCACACACATACACATACACACACATACACACACACACACCCTCTGTACAGGCTTGTAATATGAGGCCTGTGATGGTGATGTCTCATGTTATTTAGGGAGTCGGGTTCTAAATTTCTACAAAGATGAAAATTGTGTACAGTTAAAGGTGCATTTGGAAAATCCCTTCAAATGCCCACTAGCACAGTGAGGTGCTTGCACCGTGAGAGGTAGGAAGTAAATCTGATTACTTCAGCTCTCACATGCCCCTTGCAGGTGAGGATGGGCAGAACCAACACCATGTCAGCCCTCTTTTTCACTCTTCTTGCTGAGGGCATGGAGATGAATTCACTTTAGTTAACTGTATAGGTTATATAATTTCACCTTGATCAGCTCACCCCCAGGAGGGTTAGTCCTGTCTACAAATACAAAAGCCACTCGTGTCTTTTTTGTAGGAAAAATTCCTCACTACCTGGTAAGGAAGACCCTCCATTGTCTCAGCCACTAAAAACACTCCCAGTGTCTTCCATCCCTTTTTCTTCCCCTTTCTCTCCTAAAAAGACTGACTTTGGCTTTTGAAAATTGGTTAAACCTTCTCTCTCTCCCTCTTTTCTCTCTTTCTCATTAGCATTTCTAAGTGTAATGTTCAAAGCTTCCAATGGGGACAATGCCCTGAAATTTCAGACAGCTCCAAAGGACTCCTTCCCACGCTGATGTAGGCACTTGAGTTTTGAATTAGCAATTTCCCAGCACAACCTGAATTCTAGAAGTTAGGTTACAAGTGGATTGATGAACTTTATTATTCAGACCTTTTCAGTTAAAAGTGCCAGAAACCAACTCAAAGCTTAAGTAAAATGGGGAAGTTTTTTTGACTCATGCGAGTGAAAATTTGAATGTGGTATTAGCCTTGGGATGCTAGTGAATCGAATGACAAGGATCTCTTTTCCCTCCCCTTGCCTTCCTCTTTTCCACTGTCCCTTCCTCCCTCCCCATCTCTTCTTCCTTCCTTTCCCCCTTTCTCCCTCCCCTGCATAGACTTAGCTTCTCTTTTCTCTGTAGGTTGGGGCTGATTCCCTCTTACAAGAGGACTCCATTCATTTATGGGGTTGGGTGAACTGCATCCTTCACTCACATCATCACATCTTAGGGCCGTCCAAGGAAACAGTGATTTCTCTCTTCTGGTGCCCAAAGGTGTGTCAACAAAAAGAGTCAAACTCTGTAAAATATTTGAAGAGATTTATTCTAGCCAAACATGAGTGACCAATGGCCTGTGACACAACCCTCAGGAGATCCTGAGAACATGTGCCCAAGGTGGTTGAGCTACAACTTGGTTTTCTACATTTTAGGGAGACATAAGAAGATCAATCAATACATGTAAGATGTGTATTGGTTCGGTCTGGAATGGCAGGACAACTGGAAGCGGGGGCGCTCACAGGTCATAGGCAGATTCAGAGACTTTTTGATTGGCATTTGGTTGAAAGAGTTATTATCTAAAGACCTGGGATCAACAGAAGGAATGTCTGGGTTGTGATAAGGCATTGTAGACACCAAGGTTTATCATGTAGATGAAGCCTCAGGTGGCAGGCTGCAGACAGAATAGATTGTAAATGTTTCTTATCACACTTAAAACGTCTGTTCTATCAGTCTTAAGGTTGAGTTGATGTTAATGCTGGTCAGGTGAGCCTGAATTCCAAAAGGGGAGGACGGTTTGGTGAAGCATGTCTGACTCCCTCTTCCCATCATGGCCTGAACTAGTTTTTCTGGTTAACTTTGGAATGCCTTGGCCAAGAGATGGGGTCCATCAAAATGGCTGAGGACTTAGAATTTTACTTTTGGTTTATGGATGAATCCCAGAGAAGGATTCTGATAGGCTGGTCTGGTCACAAGCTTCCTTAGCCCAGTCACAGGGTCTGAAGGGAGAAGACACTAGGATTGGGCAGACCTCGATCCCATGGCCAACCTTGTGGCTTACGGGAAGACTGAGGAGTTTAGCAGCCTGACAGACACCATATAGCAGTATGCAGTGTGCCAGGCGTGGTGGCTCATGCCTATAATCCCAAAACTTTGGGAGGCCAAGGTGGGCAGATCTCCTGGAGTCAGGAGTTTGAGGGCCAACAAGGCGAGACCCCGTCTCTACTAAAAATAGAAAAAATAGCTGGGTGTGGTGATGCGTGTCTGTAATTTCAGCTACTCAGGAGGCTGAAGCAGGAGCGTCACTTGAACCCCAGAGGCAGGGGTTGGCCTGAGCTGAGATCACACCACTGCACTCCAGCCTGGGCAACAGAGTGAAACTCTGTCAACAAAAAAAAAAAGAAGAAGAAGAAGTATGCAGTGACAAGGATTTTCCCAAAGAAAGATAAAGGGAGAGTGCAGGTACAAATGTAAAGAAGAAATAAGCACTATGTGGAATAAACCACATATGTTCACCTCAGGGTCCTAAGAAAAATCAGAAAAAAAAAAAACAAAAAAACAAAAAAAAACAACAACAAAAAAACCAGACCATCTCACTCCTACCATCACACATTCAACCAAACATCCTAATGGGCCTGCAGCTCAAGCTGACCTTACCAGCACTGTGTATGATATTACCTTGCAACTAGTAACAGTCTTAGCAACCGGCCCCAAATAGTCATCTCTGAGCAGTGATCCACAACTTGGAGAAGGCATGAAAACGAAGTTTCTCTGATTTGAAAATCTGCTCACTTTGTAAGTCAGGATTTTGCAAGTTTTCTAATTATAGTGGTTTACCCTTAAAGCCAAACAAAACCAAAAAAACCAATGCCATAATTGCGTGCAATGCTTGAAGCAATTACTTTTGGCAGCTCCAGGCACCACCTCCGTTCTCCGTCATCCATCACAGTGTGGACTGAATGTCTGCAGAGCAAGCATTCTGCTGCCATTCCAGACCAAAGGTCATGCTAATGTCTCTGTCTGTTTTTTCTCTCTTTATCTTTCTTCTTCCCTCTTTTAAAGTCTGGTCCCTAGACAAGCAGCATCAGCATCTCCCGGGAACTTACTTGAAATGCAAATTCTTGAACCCCTTCCCAGACCTGCTGAATCTGAAAGAGAAAGTAGAGGTGGCAGCAACCTATATTTTCACAAGCCCTCGAAGTGATCCTGACGCACCCTCACGTTTGCTGAATCCCGCCTTATGTAATGCCCTATTGTCACACTGACCTCAGAGCTATGCACACATATGCTTCCTCTTTTTGTTTCCTGCTCAGAAACTCCCCATGGTCCAGATAATAAATTACATACTCAGTTTAGTCATTCAAAGACCTTGGCAATCTCATTTTCCTAACTTATTGCTAATTAATATATTCATTGTTATGAATCTTATTTATTTATTGAGCATTTAGAATGAGCCAAACACTATGCAAGGTCCTTAATATACCTTGTGTATTAGTCAGTCCAGGTTGCCATAACAAAATACCATAGCCTGGGTGGTTTAAACAACCGGCATTTATTTTCTCACAGTTCTGGAGGCTGGAAGTCTAATATTAAGGTGCTGGCTGATTCTGGTTCCGGTGAAGGCCCTCTTCCTGGCTTGTAGACAGCTGCCTTCTTGTGGTGTCCTTGTATGGTAAAGAGAGAGAACTCTCTCTCTCTCTCTCTCTCTCTGTTTTTTCATCTTCTTATAAAGCCACCAATGCTATCATGGAGGCTCCTTTCCCTTGACCTCATCTAGCCTCAATTACCTCCCGAGAGTCTTATCTCCAAATTCGACACATTGGTGGTTAGTGCGTCAACATATAAATTTGGGGGATATGCAGTTCAGATCATAGTACGTTGATTTATGTAAACCTTCCAACAAGCTGTGAGATAAGAATCACTGAGCCCATTGGCTGTTGAGGAAACTGAAGCTTAGAGAAGCTCGGGAAGCTGCCTAAGACCAAAGTTAGTAGGGGGTGGTGCCAGAGTCTAATCCTGTGGAGGCATTCTTCCTCCCACACAGCATCACTCCCACGACCTGTTCTCTCCGTTATCCATGGCTGCCCAGGTGTCCAGACGTGCCCCTGCCTTCCCTCCTGGACACCTTGCTCAAACCACCCCTAAACCTGGATCTCCTCTCTGCGCTCCTTTGTCTAAATGTATTGAGTCCTGGAAAACAAATCCATCTTCACTGGCTTCCCTGATGAGAATCATTTTCTTTTTCTTTTCTTTCTTTCCTTCTTTTCTCCTTTTTGCAGCAAGTTTTTCATTCCTTTTTTTTCTAACATTATTCTCAGGGCTCCTCTGTCCCTCCAAATTCTCTTTGCTCACCCCAGGCAGTACACGCCTCTCTAAGTTCCTTGCTAACTTCACTTCCAGTAGCTCAAGGGAGATCCCTATGGAGCATTATTGATAACAGTGATTATTAGTGTTTCTAAATATTTTGGAAATGTCCACCACATTCTAGTAACTACAGGTTTCTGCAGACACCCAAAGTCTTTTTTGGAAGGAGCTGATGACCCAGAGTCAGCAGATTGAAACTCAAAGCAAAAGGTTTATTTGGCCAACGGTTTTCAAATCCTTTCTGTCTCTCTCTTTCTCTCCCTTTTTTTTTTCCTTGTCCTTTTTCTTGTTTTTCTGTTTGTTTGTTTTAGGGATAGCAGAATCAAATGAAGCAATGATAGAAAAAGGTAAGTTGGATGGAATAATGAGTGGTGCTCTCACTCCCAGTGGTCAGTTCTGATATCAGTATGACAACAGAGTAGTATATAAAGCAGAGGTTGGCAAACTGTAGCATGCATCACAATGACCTGGAGTGCTTGTGAAAGCACGATTGCTGCTGCACCCATTCCCTTTCAGATTGACAAGAACTGGATGGGGCCCAAGAATATGCATTTCTAGTAAGTTTCCAGGTGATGTCAATACTGCTGGTCCAGGGGCCACACTTTGAGAACCACTGACCTAAAAGGCTTCCTTACCCTTGTTGGAGATTTAGAAATAGATGAGCATATATATGTATCACTGAGATGCTTTGGCTAGGGTATGAGTAAACCCACCTGAATGTAGTTTAGGCAGTAAGGCATCAAAGGAAGTCTGGAGGTAGTATCCATGGATAGCTCAGCCAATGACTGACTTCAATAAGGATTAGCCTCTCCCCGTCTTTCTGTCCTGCCATCCTCATCATGTTGGCTTTGTTCTTGGGCTTGTCTCTTCATTATTCCAGAAAGGCTGAAGGCTGCCACTGTTCCACGTATCACATGTGAACCCAGAAACATCAGCCTGAAGAAGAGATGGGGTTTTCTTCCTTGCGGTTTTTTTTTTTTTTGAGACAGAGTCTTGCTGTGTCTCCCAGGCTAGAGTGCAATGGCATGATCTCGACTCACTGCAACCTCCACCTCCCAGGTTCAAGCAATTCTCCTGCCTCAGTCTCCCAAGTAGCTGGGATTACAGGCTTGTGCCACCATGCCCAGTTAATTTTTGTATTTTTAGTAGAGACGGGATTTCACCATTGACCAGGCCGGTCTTGAACTCGTGACCTCAAGTATTCCACCTGCCTTGGCCTCCCAAAGTGCTGGAATTACAGGCAGGAGCCACCGTGCCTGGCCCATGTATCTTTTTATTCAGGAGGAACAACTCTCCCAGAGGTGCCCAGAGGGTATTCCATTAAATCCCACTCGCTATAATAGTCATGTACCCACAGTTGCTGGCAATGGAATTACCATGATCTGGTGAGTCCAAGTGATATCCCCTTCCTGGGGCTGGGGAGGAGCCCTTTGCCCCTGTCTCCCTGGCCCACCAGCGGATTGTAGGGGAGGAGAGAGAACTGGCAGTGCAGGCTTACAGAGCATTGAAGCAGCAGCAGCTGCAGCTGCATGGGGAGCGACCCCACCTCACTTCCTGGAAGAAGCCAGAGCCACAGCTGTGATGCAGAGACCTGGGGCCTGGCCACACTCCTGGAAAACTGGCACCAGGAGCTGCCACACCTGGGTGGGGGAGAGGCAGGCAGATCCTTTTCTCTGGCCATGCTAGCAGCGTGGGGGTGAGGCCTCCAGGTACTCGTTCACACGTTGGGCATCAGCGGGTCCACGTCTTGCAAGGGTTGAGTGCCCGATGGACTAGGGCCAGGGCCTGGTTGACGGTCAGCCTGTGGGGCCTGGGGTCACTCACAGTTGTGTCTCTTTGTTCTGAACATCCATTCTGAGTCGCAGCCCAGGTACACCTTAGGAAGGGCTGGGTCCCATTACCCTGTCCCTGAACACCACTTATTAAGACAGCTGATGACCCTGGCTCGCCTTGTGATGGAGGCCCCTGGGAGTCAGCAGAGCCGAGCACATAGCACACATCAGGCAGAGCAGGCCAGAGATGGTCAACTCTTGAACTTAGCCAGCTAAAAGAAGGTGGGAAAGGTCCTTGGGGGAGGCAATTGACTGTGTCAGCCACAATCACCTACTCCTCCTTCTCTGCAGATCCCACTAGAGGAGAAAATAGACACAAGGGGGTGAGGGGAAGAAAGTATGGATCAGGGCTTCCTGGCATACTGCATCGAAGGATGCCTGCGGTGGACATCTGCAACTTTTCCTACCCAGTGTCTGCCCCCTCCTTTCTCCTAACAGCACCCAATTTTCCTCTGGGGAACCACTCCACCCCGATTTGGGTGGTCTTGGTGGGTCAAGCAAGGTGCACTGACTTCACCTGTCCTTTCCCATCACCCAAGCTTGGCCAATCTGAGTTTCTATCCTGGGGATTTCAACCTTGAGCAAAACAACACAAGAGCAGAAAACATTTGGAGAGGGCAGGTGTCCTCCCCTCTCTGGAAACAGGAAATAAGCATCCCCCACTTACAATCCTCCTCCTCCTCCTCTCCTCTTTTAGATATAGCATGTGCAGGTGCTCTGTGGGAAACTTTACATGCATGGTCTCAACTAATCCTAGCAACAATCTTACGGGTGACTACCACTACCTCCATTTTACAGATGAAAAACCAAAGCTTCAAGAACTTTAAGGATCACAGAGCTAGTAACTGGTAGATCTTAGATTTGAATTTATACCTACCAGATTACGAAGCCCTGTTTTTCTTGTTCTCCTAGAATATGAGGAGAAAATGAGCCCTCCCCAGGCAGCACTGTGAAATGGCTGAAGGTCTTTTATCTTCTCTGTCCATATACGTGGGAGTCTTAGCGCCTACACTGCTGTCTAATCTAGGCTTGTTAGAGCTGGGCAGTGTTTCACAATCCTCCCAGATAGCTGGCAGTAAGATGTAAATGACACTCATAGGAGCCCTCACGGACAGCTACTTGGAGACAGTCTGTGTGTAATATGGATAGAAAAAGCACTGCTGATAGTATCTGAACCTCTGGATCTGGCAATACCTGAAGTCCAGACTCCTGAACTTCATTTTTGCGTAAGTCAGTTTGAATTGGGTTTTATTGCTTACAACTGAAAAAGTTTTAGCCAGTGTTTCTTAATCACTTTAAAAAATGGAGGAATGTGGAAGTGGCTTCGCTAGGGAAGCTTCCAGCGTGGGGATGGCACAAGCTGGAGGTGGGGCAGCGGTGCCCAGGGCGCCGGCGGGTCCTGGGAGTCCCCGGCGGGAGCAGCAGCCGGCAGCAAGTGCAGCTGCTGGGGAAGCAGTGCCCAGCCCCGTGGTCCAGGATTCACAGCAAAGAGGAGAAAGTGAATTGCAAGCCCAAAACCCAGGACAAACAGGAGATCCCCTTCCAGCTCCGGGAGATTATGAGGAGCCGCTGGGAGATGAAAAATCCGACCGGTAACAAGAAGAGGAAGAAAGCGGCCCAGGTGGGCTTCAGAAAGACACTGGAAAAGGAAGCAAAGGGAGTGGAGCCCGACATTGCCGTCCCCAAGTTCAAGCAGAGGAAGGGGGAGTCCGACTAGGCCTTATCCAGCACATGCTATTCCTCAGCAAGAACCAGGCCACCCAGCAGCCAGAGGTCCAGGCAGCTCCCAAGGAGAAGTCTGAGCTGAAAAAAGCAAAAAAAGTGTTCCAGAAGCGACGACTAGATAAAGTCTGGCAGAAAAAGGAGGAAAAGATGGCAGACAGGCTGGAGCAGGAGTTGCTCCGAGACGCAGTGAAGTTTGGTGAGGTTGTCCTGCAGCACCCAGAGCTGACTACCAGGCCCCGGAGGAGCGTAAGCAAGGACCAGCCTGGCAGGAGATCGCAGATGCTGAGGATGCTTCTGAGCCCCCGAGGTGTATTCCAGCCTCTGACTGCCTCCCTGGCCTACCAGCGGATTGTGGGGGAGGAGAGAGAGTGGGCCATGCAGGCCTACAGATGTTGAAGCAGCAGTGGCGGCTGCATGGGGAGTGAGCCCCTCCCCACTTCCAAGAAGGAGCCAGAGCCACAGCTGTGATGGAGAGACTCGGGGCCTGGCCACGCTCCTGGGAAACTGGCACCAGGAGCTGCCACACCTGGGTGGGGGAGAGGCAGGCAGATCCTTTTCTCTGGCCATGCTAGCATTGTGGGGTGAGGCTTCCAGGTACTCGTTCACACGTTGGGCATCAGCGGGTCCACGTCTTGCAAGGGTTGAGTGCCCGATGGACTAGGGCCAAGGCCTGGTTGACGGTCGGCCTGTGGGGTCACTCACAGTTGCATCTCTTTGTTCTGAACATCCATTCTGAGTCGCAGCCCAGGTACACCTTAGGAAGGGCTGGATCCCATTACCCTGTCCCTGAACACCACCTACCAAGACCGCTCATGAGGCTGGCTCGGTGTGTGACGGAGGCCCCCTGGGAGTCAGCAGAGCTGAGTGCAGTGCACATCAGGCAGAGCAGGCTAGGGGCAGGGAAGACGCACCTGGGGCAGGGCCAGTGGGCACATCTGGACCACCTGCGAGGGCTCTGCAGGGGACCGTAACTACAGGCCAGTTGCGAGTGGTCCCCTGCAGAGGCTACCCACTCAAGGTTTGGTTGGGGTTGAATGTGATGACAGCACATACACCAAGAATGTGGGAACGGGGGCCGGGCGCGGTGGCTCACGCCTGTAATCCCAGCACTTTGGAAGGCTGAGGCGAGTGCATCACCTGAGGTCAGGAATTCCAGACCAGCCTGGCCAATATGGTGAAACCCTGCCTCTACTAAAGATACAAGGAACAAACAAACAAAAAACAGTGTTGTCACCTACATGACAGGGCTCTGAGAGAGCTGGGCAGGCCCAAAGTGGCTTGAGAAAGTAAAGGAAGGATCCTGGCCTGGGCTCAGGGTCACAGAGTGGGGCCCAGGGGGAGTTCCTGCTGAGGGCAGGGCCTTGCCAGGCTTCAGTCTTCATCCCGTGCCAAAGGAGGGAGAGCGCAGGCTGTCAGCATGTCCAGATGAGGGCAGAAGGGAGAGGCTTGAACCCAAGTCAGATCTAGCAATGGAGTCCGCCTGCCCAGCACCATTTGGGAAGTGAGGAGGCTTCTGCCCGGCCGCCCCACAGTCTGGGAAGTGAGGAGCGCCTCTGCCCAGCTTCCGCACCGCCTGGCAAGTGAGGAGCGCTTCTGCCCGGCCGCTGTGCAACCCTCCAGGTGTGAAGTGGCAGCCTTATGTGTGATCTTTCTGCCCTCCCCAAGTTTGTGTTTTCGACATTAAAGTTTACTTTTAAATTAAAAAAAAAAATCACCCCCAAGAATTTTTAGACAATTTTTTTCTTTATTGTCTGTTCCCCTCACCATGAAATTTTAGCACCGCAGATATACTCTGTATCTGTTTATGTACAGTATGTATATCTTTGCTTATACATGAAAAGAGTAATTTTCTTTTCATTCCTTCCAAGAATGAATGTTTTGCCTGGTTGGGATGGTATTGGCCCTGCTGAGATTGCATGGCCTTGACTAATGAAGATGACCCTCAATGATCTTCACCTCCTGGCATTCATGCCTTCCCACATTTAATCAGGGCTAGCCTGTGTAGATGGTATACCATGGTGGAAATGATGATTTGTGACTTTCAAAGCTAAGTCATGAAGGCTTTCTAGCTCCTGTCTTGCTCTCTGCTTGTATGGTTCAGCCTGGGGGAAGCCAACTAGCATGTATGTCATCAGGACACTTAAGCAGCCTCTGCAGGGAAACTGAGGCCTCCTGCCAATAGCCAGCACTAAGCTGCCAGCCGTGTGAGTGGGCCATCTTGGAAGTGGATCCTCCAGCCCCAGTCAAGCCTTCAGATAGATGACTGTAACCTCATGGGAAGTCCAGAGTCTGGACCTCCCAGCCAGGCTGCTGCACAGGAACTGTGAAATGTAATAAATGACTCTTGTTTTAAGCCACTAAGCTTTGCCATGATTTGTTATACAACATTAAGTAACTATTAGGTTGGTGTAAGCGCTCTTCTGCATCATATATATATGGAATGGCTGGGCACTGCCACTCATGCCTGTAATCCCAGCACTTTGGGAGGCCAGGGAAGGAGGATTGCTTGAGCCCAGGAGTTCAAGACCAGCCTGGGCAGCATAGGGAGACCAAAAAAGAAAAAAAAAAAACAAATTAAAAGAAAGAAGAAAGAAAGAAAGGAAGGAAGAAAAAAGAGAAAAGAGTACATATGGAATGTACAAGTGGGGGCTGGGTATTGTATAGGTATGGCATAACAACAAAAGGTTTAGGAAATCTGAGAGATTCTATCAACATAGTGCAAGGCATGTTACAATAAACAGTAAATAGCTTGTTTAAAAAAAAAGCTAGTGAGAGAAATACTCCACCCCCACGTGAATTCAACAAACCTTTGCCATTACGTACTCTGTGGAAGGCACTGTGTGAGATACTTAATATATTAGTGTCCTAGGGCTGCTGTGACAAAGGACCACAAACTGGGTGGCTTAGAACAACAGACATTTATTCTCTCGCAGTTCCTTCCTGGAGGCTGGAAGTCTGGAACCAGGGAGTCAGCAGGGCTGTGCTCTTTCTGAAGGCTCTAGGGGAGATCTGCTCCATGCCTTTTTCTGAGCTTCTGGTTTTGCCAGCAGATCTGGAGTTCCTTGGCTCATGCGAGCATCGTCACTGCAATCTCTGCTTCTGTGTTCTCCCTGTGTGTCTTCACATCATCTTCCTTCTGTGCCAGTCTGTGTCTGTCTCTCTTCTCTTGGATTAGGGCTCACCCTAATGACCTCATTTTAACTTGATTACATCTGCAATGACCCTATTTCTGAATAAAGTCATACAGGTACTGAAGGTTAAGACTTCAGTACCCTTTGGTGGGTACACATTTGAACCCTTAACTAGAGATAGGTGAGAGAATCAGATTCATTCTTGACCTTTTATAATACAAACCATGCTGACTAGAGACCCATGCATAACTAGCAATAACCCACATTGCAAGGGCAAGCACAATTTGGGAATGCCTCATGGGCAGAAGCGCAGTGTCACTAGCCTTCAGAGGATGTGTAGAATTTTGACAGTTGGAAGCAGGGCGGATGACATTCCAAACAGAAGCAGAGTGAGCAAAGGCAAGAAGGCCAGAAGGCAGAGGAACTCTTAAGGGCCGAGGAGCTGCTCTGCAGCTGAGCAGGAGTGAAGATTTGACAGCGAGGTTATTGCCAGGTGCAGGAGGTATTGATTGCTAGTCTAAGGAAGTTGCACTAGATTCTTGGAACAGACACTATCAGTATCTGAGGTCAGGTGAAGGTGGGGAGTACGAGTCTGGGTGAGGCTGCTCCCATTCCTCAAGGGCAAGCCTCAGGAGAAGGCTGCAGATGTGAGCCTTTACCTGCAGCAATGCAGGCAGTGGCTTGGAAATGGGGGTAGAAAAAAGACCCCGTGGGATCTGGGTGGGGCACGCCAGCCTCAGCTACACTAGGGAAAATCCAGGTGCCTAGGTCTTGGAGCAGGTGGAATGAAGGACATAGAGATTTGGAGCCAGGTCTGGGCTGAAGTTGTGTGTCAGGGATTCATCCCAATACAGAAGATGTTAACAGCTGGTAGTGGAGGAGATCACTGAGACAAAGCATGAGGAGTTCAAAGACAAGGGCAGAATGAAGATGGGAGTTGGAAGAAACTGAATTAAGGAGATCAGTGTGCCTGAACTCGTTTAATGAGGCATCTGCAGTCACTAGAAAATTACCACCAAGGGTGAAAGCTAGTGCCTTGGGGAGTTTCAATAAAACTTGTCCCCAAATCTTCAACATGCTTTAGGGGCAGGAAAAAAAATATCACACTGCTCCCACATGGCTGAGGTTCATTTTAATAGGGGGCATTTGAGAGATACAAAGTCCTTACTCAAAAAAGTGACCAGGGTTAGTTGAGAGCTTGGGCTCTGGGGTTGGATGCTTAGATTTGGATTTCAACTTTACCAATGTTTTAAGTGGGAGACTCTTACCAAGTTACTTATTGATTTGAGCCTCAATTTGTTCCTCTGTAAAAGATGAAGAATAACAGTACCTATCTAAAAGAGTTGATAAGGAGATGCACTGGGATACTACATGTAAAGTGCTTAGGACAATACTGTGCTTTTAATAAATGCTGAATAAGTAATTGTCACATTTAGTCATGTACTATGGCCAATGGGGGTGGTATCTGTGGTTGGGCTGGAACTTAGGGCATCTCTCAAGTCACCTCCACAGTGCTAAAGAGCAGGAGCTCTGGAGCCAAACTATCTGATTTCCAATCTCAGCAATGCCACCTGCTAACTCTGAGACCCTGTGCCCTGGTTTTCTTATCTGTAAAATGGGGATGTAAATGGCACCTACTAATCCTGTGGGGTTGTTATGCACATTAAAAGAACCCGTGCATGTGATATGCTCAGAATGGTGCCTGACATGTAGTGAGTGCTCAAGAAGTGCTTATCATAATGATTACTACCCCTGCTATTCCTTCTTCTAAGCTCAGGCACAACAAGGGCCAACCTCACAACGCACACAGCTCCATCCAGTAAGCTAGGATTCCCAAATGGAATGGTCACCAAAGATGTTACACCAGACAATTTGGACCTTAAGCGGAGAAGAAAATAATATATATTATTTGCTGCACGGCTCTAGCTCACATCTCTGCGTGTGGGAGCCCGCATTTATCAGATGGTCTCTAGAGAAACTCCTCACTCTGCAAGGCTCTCAGTTGGGAGTGAAGCCCTGATTTTTACAGTAACTCACATAAACTCTGGGGTCCATGTCATTCAGTCTTTAAGCAATAGCCTGTCAGAAGAAGCACAGAGACAAAGCCTTAAGTTATCTCTGAAGGAGACTGAAGAGGCTCCCGTCCACCCGACCGGCCTTCTTTCTGTGGCTGGCAGCGGCCCTGGAAACTCTGACCCCTTGCTCTTTCTCAATTCTTCATTTTCAACTTTCTACTCCAGCTTTTGCAGACATTCAGGCTTCAGGGTCCCTGTCTTTGAAACCTATTTGTCTTCCTTCCCCCTTCCCAGACCTGTCTCTCTTCTTCATCCCCCTTCCCAGACCTCCTGATGCCACAGCACGAAGTCTTGGAATGGGCTGGCTGAACTGACCCTCATTAGAGGGCCACGAGGAGGAGGAACTGAAAGGTGAAGACAAAATTCCCCTTGGACATAGGGATACATTGGGGGCGAGGGAGGTGGGAGGCCCTTACCGTGCTCTTATCTCAAACCATGCTCTCTGCCTCTCATGGGCACCAGCTACACCCATCTCCTTGCGTGGCCCACGTAGGCTGTGTGCTCTTCCAATCATCTGCCTTTACTTATACAGCTCCCTCTGCCGGAAATGTCCTCCCGCTCTTGTTACATCTCATTCTTCAAGTTTCAGCATAAACATGTCCTTTTCAGAGAAGCCTTTGCAAACCAACCTCTCCAAGTTGCCCCATTCCTCTCCCTGTTTTTCTCTCAGCATTCTCTTAGTTTGTCTTCCCTTTGTAGCATTTACTGTAACTGGTGGTTCTTTCATTTGTTTACTTTTTTTTTCTATCAGCCTCTTTAGAATCCAAGCTCCAAGTTCCATGAAAACAGAGACATTACAGAAGCATCCCCAGGGCTGGGCACTTAGTAGGGCTCTCAGTAAATAGTTATGAATAAACAAATAACGGAATGATTGTTTTACGTCTTCAACTCACGATCAGTGTGACTCTGGAACTCACTTAACCATTCTGGGCTTTATTCACGTCTAAAGGGATGGCAAAATTTGCTCTGACTTCCTCCAGAGGCGGTCATGAGGACCAGCCCCATAAGGCAACCACAAAACACCTCAAAATGCAAAAAGCTTTACTATGTAGAAGTATTAGTGAGCCTTAAAAGCTGAAAGTTTGAAAAGATGTAAACAGCACTGAATGGTGCATGTTGCTGTGTAGTAGGGTACATTTTGTTGGTGCATTCTCTTGTTTTGAGTTTTCACCCTTTTCACCCTGCCCTGACCCACAGTATTTCGGAAGGAGCACACCCAAGGGGTAGCGTGCAAGTAGGCAAATGATCTGCCACTAACTGCTGCCCCTCACCTACTGTCAGCTGCTGTCTACATGGACAGCAGCTTTCCAAGAAAAATATACATCACTCTCTACTGCTGGTCTGGCTTGTCATTATCATATTGTTCAGCTCTAGCCCCATTATACATCCCTCTGACTGCAACTAAACGGTCCACAAGGCGGAAACCTCGCCTGGCCTTCCCAGAAAACAGGCAAGGTTTTGCAGAAGGGTGGAACTCTCTGCTGCCATCTCCACCCCAAAGCAGAAGAAAAACAACCTAAGCCCCCAGCCTGTCACACTACAGCTTGGCTATTATTTAGCTGACTAAATGCCCCCTTTTCATATTTGCACCTGAAGTAACAAATCAATCTCATCTTCTTGCCAAGCGCTCTCCTGCCTTGTGATTAGCAGGCAGTGCTGAGACTGACAGAGAGGTGTGGGGGCCTGGGCTAACCCTCTTGCATCCTGTTCTAGCACCTGAAATTGATCTTGCTTCTTGCATTTCTCCTCTCCTTTCTTCCCCACTCATCTGTTTCCGACCCCACAAACTGCACTTATTTAGGGCTTGGGAAGACATGGCCATGTCCTTGATTTATTTCAAATGAGCGGAAAATCAATAATCTAGATACATCCCCTGTGTGCCTGCTTGAATGTATCTTAATTTTGTCCCATCCAGGGAGGGTAGCACTGTCTGTCTGTATGCCTGCAGCATCCACAGGAAAAAAGACTGGTGGATTACACCACTCCAGAATGTTCTGGAGCAGTACTGTCCAATAAACTTTCAGCAGTGATCAGGCTATTCTCTATCTGTACTGTCCAATATGGTAGCCACCAGCCAGTGACACGTGGCAATTGAGCAGTTGAAATGTATGTCGCTAGTGCAACTGAGGAGCTGAATTTTTAATTTAATTTAAATCTAAATAACCTCCTATGGTTAATGGCTATGGTATTGAACTATGCAGTCCTGGAGCAGGGCTTTTCAAACCTGTGTGAATAGGAATCTTGGTGTTAAAATGCAGATTCTTCTTTTTTTTTTCTTTTTTTGAGACAGAGTTTCATCCTTGTTGCCCAGGCTGGAGTGCAATGGCACAATCTCGGCTCACTGCAACCTCTGCCTCCCGGGTTCAAGCGATTCTCCTGCCTCAGCCTCCCGAGGAGCTGGGATTACAGGCATGCACCACCACGCCCGATTTATTTTCTGTTTTTAGTAGAGACGGAGTTTCTCCATGTTGGTCAGGCTGGTCTTGAGCTCCCAACCTCAGGTGATCCGTCCACCTCGGAATCCACACAAGTTTGAAAAGCCCTGCTCCAGAACTTCACGGTCGAATACCATAGCCACTAACCACATGAGGTTATATAAAAAGGAATGAGATCATGTCCTTTGCAGGGACATGGATGAAGCTAGAAGCCATCATCCTCAGCAGACTAACACAGGAAGAGAAAACCAAACACTGCATATTCTCACTCATAAGTGGGAGTTGAACATTGAGAACACATGGACACAGAGAGGGAAATAGCACACACTAGGGCCTGTTGAGGGGTGGAGGGTGAGGGGAGGGAACTTAGAGGACAGGTCAACAGGTGCAGCAAACCACCATGGCACACATATACCTGTGAAACAACCTGCATGTTCTGCACATGTATCCCCCCCCCCCCTTTTTTTTTTAGAAGAAATAAAATAAAAAACAAAACAAACAAAAAAAATAAAACGCAGATTCTGAAACAGTAGATCTGGGAAAGGGCCTGAGATTCTGCATTTTTAACAAGCTTCTCAAGGATGTTGATGCTACCAATCCCTGCTCCAGCCTTTGAGTAGCTGGGGACTGGACTGTTGGTTCTCAAACTTGATTGCACACTGGGCTTCCCCGGGGAGCTTTAAAAAATACTGATGCTTGGGTCCCGCCTGAGTGACTCTGATGTAATTGGTGAGGGTGCAGCCTGGGCATCTGGATTTTTTTAAAAGTCCCAAGAGGATTCTAGTCAGCAGCCTTGGCCACTCACACTGCATTGCAAATGACCTAGTTAATGCTTTTTAAAATAACCCGTCATTGCAGAGAACAGAGCACTAGCTTTATACTAATCTCTGAAGGGATCTTATTGGTTCATGGCCAAACCTTCAGGGAGTTTAGACTGATTTTGCCCATCCTGACTAGAATGGAAGCAAGCTTTTTAAGGTCGATCCAATCAGAGCATGTGCAGCTCTGGAGATGGGGTGGGGTGGGGAGTTGGGAGGTCTGTAAGAATCATCCCAGGAGATATCCAGCCTATATCTGCCAGCTCTATCCTATCCCCAACCTGGGATTCTATGTCACTACAAAGCCGTACCTGTGCCAACCCCTCCTAGTCCTTCTACCAGAGACTAAAAGCCACACGGATTTCAGACCTTAGGCTTCTGGATCAAAGTTCCTGCATTTGAACTCTAATTCTGCTGCTCATTAGGTTTGTAACTTGTACAAGTTACCTATACTATCTGGGCCTTGATTCTCTCATCTGTAAAATGGGAATACGTATAGTACCTTTCTCCCAGACTTGTGTGAAGGTTGGCCTAGTTCCCAGCACTGTGTGACAGTTCTAAGTGTCATCTTTGTCATTAATCCCTCCCCACATATCTTTTCCATCCTCTGTGCTCGAATCCCACTGAACTTCTAGTTGTTGTTTTTTTTTTTTCTTTTTTTTTGAGATGGAGTCTCGCTCTGTTGCCCAGGCTGGAGTGCAGTGGCGTGATCTCAGCTCACTGCAAGCTCCACCTCCTGGGTTCAGGCTATTCTCCTGCCTCAGCCTCCCAAGTAGCTGGAACTACAGGTGCCTGCCATCACTCCTGGCTAATTTTTTTTGTATTTTTAGTAGAGACAGGGTTTCACTCTATTAGCCAGGATGGTCTTGATCTCTTGACCTCGTGATCTGCCTGCCTCAGCCTCCCAAAGTGCTGGGATTACAGGTGTGAGCCACCACACCCGGCCTCCTTTTAGTTTCTTAATTAAGCCCACCATGCTCCTGTTCACCCAGCACCCTGGCATATGCTGGTGTTTCCTGCACGATTTCCCTCTCCTTTAGGCTTACTTGATGCCTCCCAACTTTCCTTAGATCAGCCCAACTATCACTTCCCTTGGAAACTCTCTTTTCTCTAATCCTTCTCAGCCCACGCTTATTACCACTTAGTGTGGTCAATGTTTAATCATTCAATACACATTGTTTGAGCACCTACTATATCCCATGCATTGTTTTCTACTCTGGGAATTTTGTTCTCTGCAGAGAACAATAAAAGATTTTATGAAAAGAAAAATCTGTATTCTTATGAAGCTTACATTCTGGGAGGGATGGTCCATAAACAGAGAAGTATGCTAGAGAGAAAAAAAGAGCAGGAATGTTGACAGAGTGAGTGGCCAAGAAGGCCACAAGTGAAGAGGGATGATTGTGAAAAGGCCTAGAGGAAGTATGGAGGAAGCCAGGCAGACACCTTGCAGGGACAAGCATTCCAGGCAGAGGGAACAGCAAGTGCAAAGGCAAAATTGCAACATCACATTTTGTGTAATCATTGGATTAATCTTTAATGCATCAACACAGATCACAAACTCTATGGCAGAGGGCAGGAATCATACTTTTTTGTTCTTAGCACCCAGCTCCTTGGCATGTAGTTAGGCACTAAATATATGTGGAATGAATCCACTCACTGGGCATTCTGGAATTTCTAGAGAATGTATGCTGGGGATGGGGGTGGGGAGTGGTTTGTATTCACTCAAGAATCTTTCATCAGTATCAATACCTGTCACCTGTTGAAAATAACTGTGTCAGGAGAAAAATCTCTTGAAATGGAATACTATTCTTTTCTTTTTCAAATTTCCTTTAAATGATCTCCCTTC
Source organism: Homo sapiens (assembly GCF_000001405.40). NCBI lineage: Eukaryota > Metazoa > Chordata > Mammalia > Primates > Hominidae > Homo > Homo sapiens. The sequence goes on from NC_000003.12 coordinate 72,097,570, forward strand.
TACCCAGCCAGAGGGATCCATCACACTGGAGAGGATTAGGACTGTGTGGCAGGAATGCAGAGAGGAAGAAAGAGCTGATGTTCAGATTTCAACTCCTGAAATAGGCACTCGAAGCCCATTTCCGAGAATTCAATAGGCATGAAAGGCAGTGCTTCTGATGTACAAAACTGGTGTTTGTGAAAGGAAAACATTTAATAGCTTTATAGAAATGGGTTTTTTCTTCCTCCATATGAAAAGGTAAGGCTGTGAAAGAGGAGGACACACATGTATCTATAAGAAATAGATTCAAAAGCAAGTAGATGCCGTAGGGAACCCAGACCAGCTGGGAGAGAGAAAGGTTGGAGGGGTTGGAGGGGTTGGAGAAGGGGGAGCTGCAGGGCCCTGGAAGGTCTCTCTGAAGCAAGGCTTTAAGCAGTGAGCAGTGGCCTAGACCACTTTATCAGTCAGCATCCCCACCAACTGCTCAACCAAAGAGACTTCAGTGGGGGGAACTATTGACAAAGGTGTGGGCAGGGGAAAGGAACCAGCAAGGGAGGTTGAGGCACTCAGACACCAGCAACCATGGGAAGCCCTTATGTTCCTCAGCCTGAAGGGACAAGGGGAGCAGGGCCATAACTCTGATCCCAGGAGGAGCTGGCAGCGCTACTGCCTGAGCCATGGTGCTGAGGCAGGGAGGGAATGGGAAAGGATTAACCCCACCTACCTCTTCTCCCACCCTCAGAACTCCCGAGGGCTCCTCCCCAAGACCAAGGCACCTAATGTATGGCAGGTCCTTTGGGATGCCCCACACCATGCCCCCTGGGTCTGCTTCTCATAAAGCTCAGACTCTCGCAACAGCATGCCACCTCAAGTGCACCCACTTTCTGCTCAGGATCGTCCTTGAAGACAGGGAGCCCTCTCAGCCAGTGCATATGTGAAGCCCAGAAATGCAGGGCAGTGAAAGCCCTCACAGGCAGCTCCGGTTCTGTGGGGCCTGGGAGCTGATGGACAGATACTGCCCAGTGAATGGCTCCAGGCATCTTGTACCCATCTCAGAGGTCCTAGCAGAATCTTTGTCTCAGACAACATACCCTTAAATTGACTCTCCCTGCTTTCCTGTCCTCTTTCCCTGCTCCCTCGCTCCGAGTCCTGAGACCAGCTCTGCCACAGGTTGGGTTCTCTGCAAGGAGACTCTGAGATGGAATATGGGGTGCAAGGTGTTTATCAGGGAATCAATGCCTGTGAAAGGAATGGGGAGGAAGTAGATTTGGGCAGAGGGAGAAGCTGAGATGTGATGCAGGGATGCAGGATCAGCCAAGCCTTGGGCAGCCCATCAGGTTGCTGGGAGCATGTCCTGAGTCTCCCATGGGATGAATGGCCAGGCTTCTGTGCCCCCATGCAGATGAGGATGTGGGCAGCCTAGGAGGGCGTGTTCCATGCTGTCTCTGTAGTTGAGGCAAATCCTGAAGGAGCCAACAGGGGGGCAATCAGTCCCTCCTGGAAGGGGGGCCTGCATGGGGAGCTCCACATTCACCATAAGCTCCCCAAGAAACAGGCTGCCCTCACATCCTTTCTGGGGCTCTGCTTTTGGGAGAGCCCAGATAAAGACACTGGGTGAGGTACTGCCAGGGTCAGCGTCCCAGGGCACAGAGAGGATAGAGAAGGGCAGAGAACAGATTTGGGGCTTGAGGGCAGCACATCCATTCAACAAGCACAGCTGACATCCAGTGCTGGAGGCCCAGAGGTGCCCAGTGTGTGCAAGACTGCCCTCCTGCCTCCTCACTGAGTGGACACCCTCCCCCTCTTCCAGCACTCAGAGGACCCCGCCCAGGAAAGCCTTCCTGCTTTTACTAGGGAGGAACAGAAACTGCTTGATCTCCCCGACAAGCGCCACCTGAGCTAGAGGGGAGTAAAATCTACCCTCATTTGGGGACCGTCTCATTTACATCTTTTACAACGTTAAACAGAAGAAAGCATCACTTAGCAGGTGCCCACCCTGATATCCAGCACCACCCTTTGCATTTGCTGTGATTACCTCCTTTAACACAGGTGGAAAATGTGACTCAGAGAGGTTAAGTAACTTACCCAAAGTCACACAGCCAAAACCCAACAGAGCCAGGATTTAGAGACATTCTGATTGACTTCATATTCCATGTAGATGGCACTATGAGGCACTGTCTCAGAAAGTTTTCTGCACACGTATTCCCCCATCCTACTCCCCAAGGCAAAGCAGAAGGCTGGGCTCTGGGTTTTTCTGGCTTGGGATGCCTTAATCAGACCTCCAGCCCAAGCCAGTTTTCAGCGGCTTCTCCCGCGTTCCCAGCCTGTCTTCAATCACGCCGCAGCAGCCCCTACCTTGTTCATCACCGGCTTTCCTTCTCGTGCCTCCTCTAATTTTGCTCCATATCCTTTATGATGAACCATTGCATGGAGGGTGATTTACAACCTCCACTCTCATCTGCCTAGGGTTTAAAAAAAAAAAAATAGAAGAATTAAATTGGATCAAGCGCTCCAAGATCCTGTCTCTGACTTCAGCCTCTCTCGTTTACCCAGTGATGCATCACGCTGTGTTCTAATGGCTTCCTAATGGGCAACTTAATCTGTCATTAAACCCACTCACCAAGCGCCCCTTGCCAGACTCCTCGGCCATTGGTCTGCTTGCTGAGCCACGGCGTCTGTGGGGTGGCCCCGTCCTCAGATTGGCAGGGGTTCTAAAAGGAAGCGTATCCTTTCGTCTGGGGTCCCAGGCTCAAATGCCGACGGGGCCAGAGAGGTAAGAAAGGTGAGCAGGGCTGGGGGCTGGGACTCTGCGGCCGTCTAACGGGCAGCCCCTGCTCGGCCCCCCTCATCGCTGACTTATGGGGATCTGGGCCCAGAACTTCCCATTTCTTGACACAAGTCGGAGATGTAGAAGTGTATGTATAATCTTCCCCTTTTAAAAATGTCAGCATCTATTTAAAAACATTTTTTTTAAACACTGGGCAGGCCAAATAAAACATGGCAGCCGGCAGCTTTGGTCCCCACTGTCAACTCCTTCTCAGAGAGACCCCGAGATACCCCCCTGTGCTGCTCCCAGTCCCGGAGATTTCCTACAGCTCTGCTCAGCACGGGTAAGAGAATAATAAATCGGTCACTTCACTATCCAATTAGCAGCTGTTGCTCCCCGCTGGAGGAAGAAAACAAACAGGAAGACCCTGCCCTGTTTTGTTTAGGATCAAACTCGCCTCTGTACCACCTACCGGAGGGACTCTGGGGTTTGAGTTCTGGGGACAAGCGCGTGCCCCTGCCTCCGAATGAGCTCCTTTTACGTGTGAGTCCTGGGCACAAAACCACAGCCACCACAAGCCGCGGATGCTTCCCCAGCGGGCCCCGCGAAGGGAAACTCCGTGCAGGGGCAAAGCTGAGTTTTGCAACCAGTGAGCGGGAGCCCGGGGGGCGTGGCCAGGCTGAGGGGATGCGTTGTCCTGGTAACCCGTAACTTCCAGAACCATCCATCCTCTGGGGACTTCCTCTATGGGGCTGAAGGGCTTTCTTTCAGTCTCTCCTCAAGCCCTGTCAACATCACAGCAACATATTCCCTTAAATTCCTGAAAAGGTGCCACACTTGAGAGGCAGTGTAGAGTGTGAACCCTGGAGCCAGACCACACAGGATTAGGTGAAAGGCACTTAGCTTCCGCGGGAGCTGGAGCAAGACATTTAACCCCTCCAGCCTCAGTTTTCTTATCTGTCAAGTGGAGATCATAGTTGTGCTGACCCTGAAGGTGAAGATTAAATCAGTTAACATACGTAGCACATCCCCTGTAGTTCCTAGGGCAGGGTAAGTGCTATGTAAGTGTCAGGAATGGTAATAATAATTTGGGGGAGCATCCGCTGTCCTCTTAGCTCTGAGAGATAGAGGCTCATCAATCTATGGGATCTCACATTAAGACATAGTTGAGCTGTCTCTGGGATGCCAAACTCCTAGAGTTTATCACTTCCCCCCTCTCCATGTATTGTATCCTCTCCCCTCCATCAACTCTTTGGAACTGTGGAAAGTTCTACCCCTTTCCAAACCCAACTCCAACGATACTCCTTCATACCACACACAATGTTCTTCACCCTCCTCTGAACTCATTTTATGCTCTATTGGCACACACACAAGAGCACTTATCACCATTTGCCTTAGACAGTAGCTATGTGTGGATACGATTTATCTCACTGGAGACCGTGACCTCATCTTATTTTTTATATCCCCCGTCGCACTGTGTCTTCGACATAATAGGTGTTAAGTCAATATTTGCTAAAGATATGTTAAGTGAATAAATGAATTAGATTCCCTGAAACAACCAGGGAGATTCACCTGGAGGAAGTCTGAAGTTTGAGAGCTTAGAACTCTCAGAATGGACTTGAACTTGGCCAAGGAAATCTCAGGGGCTATCAATAATAAGCAATAATTATAATAAATAAGAAAATACTAGCATTTATTGTGTGTCTGCTGACTGCCAGATGCTGCTCTAAACTATTGACACGGACTATTTTCTGGAATTTTCACACCTGTCTGGTGAGGTTTGTTCTACTTTTGTCATCTCACAATCCCAGCCAAGGATGCTGCAGTTTAGGGGAGTGGAGTAATGTTCCTAAGACACAGCTGGCCAGTGGCAGAGTACGGATTTGAACCAGGTAATTTGGTTCCCATGGAAGCAAATATTTGAGCGCATACACTTAATTAGGGAAGTGGCCCTAGGGAGCACTGGTAGGGGGATGAGGAAGTGAAACGGAGGGAAGGAAGTAGAGTGAGAGTTTGTTCACAAGCAGGTCATCTCTGTGTGCAATGAAGCTCATTCCCACTGGGGACTACGGGGAGACTGCAGAATAGAACCTGCCTCAGAGCCATCATCCCAGAGGCTAGGGAGCATGGGCATTTACCCAATTCCCTTCATCTTTGGTTGGGGCTGCTCTTGGGGACAACCCCAGGCACTTCCAGCCTGGCCAGTGCATGGACTGAGCATGCTCCTGTGGCCAGAGACAGCCCCAGACAGAGTGACAGGTTTCTTCAGTAAGAAGCTGGTGTTGCGTACAGCAATGGTGAATGCCAAAGGCAGGAGATAGGGGGCCAACACCATCTTCTACATCAGGGGGCTGGTTCCAGAGGCATTCCTCTTTCCACCAGCCCGCAGTCCAGCTCTGCTCACAAACAGATTCCTTCCTTCCCTCCCTCCCTCCCTCCCTCCCTCTCTCTCTCTCTCTCTCTCTTTCTTTCCTTCTTTCACAGAGTTTCACTCTGTCACCCAGGCTGGAGGGCAGTAGTGCGATTTTGTCTGCCTCCCGGGTTCAAGCAATTCTTGTGCCTCAGCCTCCCGAGTAGCTGGGATTGCAGGTGCCCCGCCACCATGCCCAGCTAATTTGTGTATTTTTAGTAGAGACAAGGTTTTGCCATGTTGTCCAGGCTGGTCTCGACCTCCTGAGCTCAAGCAATCCACCCATCTCGGCCTCACAAAGTGCTGGGATTACAGGCATGAGCCACCATGCCTGGCCCAGAAAGCCCACACTTTCTGATGTTCTTGTCTGGGCAGCAGATGCCTCCTCTAGGCGCACTTTAGCCTATTTTTAGTCTCATTATTGTTTCCATAGCCTTGGTGTCCTATTTTGTACTCCTTAACACACACATATATATCACAAACATAAACTTCTACGGGGCAAGACCTCCCTTCTGGAGGAAGTAAGCAAAGCCTGGAAGGTTGAAGCACCTTGATGAGAACCACCTGGATGGCTCATGGCAGCGCAGTGGCCAGGCCTTAGCATCCAGAGAGTCAGACATGAGTTTTGTTTTATTTTTATGTATTTGTTTATTTGGGGGGTAAAAATATTGTCCTGTTGAACAGCCTGATGAATATTAGAAATGAGCTCTTATTGGTGAAATTTAAAAAATTCTCAAGACACATGGATGGGCTTAAACCTTTTGGAGCTGTGCCACATAGACATGCAGGTAGGTAGGCTGCTTCCCTAATACTGTTCTGTTTTTTTAGACGGAGTCTTGTTCTGTCACCCAGGCTGGAGTGCAGTGGCACAATCTCCGCTCACTGAACCTCTGCCTCCCGGGTTCAAGCGATTCTCATGCCTCTGCTTCCCGAGTAGCTGGAATTACAGGTGCACCACCACACCAGCTAATTTTTGTATTTTTAGTAGAGATGGGGTTTCACCATGTTGGCCAGGCTGGTCTTGAGCTCCTGACCTCAGGTGATCTGCCCGCCTCGGCCTCCCAAAATGCTAGGATTAAAGGCGTGAGCCACTGCGCCCAGCCCCTAATACTATTCTGGCACATGGGTCATGGAAGAATAGAGAATAGCCCACCACGAAGCCCCATGCCCACTTCATTTCCCCTCCTGACTTTGCAGACAGCCCTCCTGCAGGCAGTATAGGCCAGAAGTGAAGAACTTGGAGAACAAACAGACCTGGGTCCAAATCCTGGTTGGATCTGCTATGAAGACCTTGGGTGAGTTATGAAATCACTCTGAGGTTTGGGCTTCTCACTAATAAAATGGGTATAAACAACACTATCTACCTGATAGGTTTGTTGTGGGCATTAAATAAAGTACATGCACATAACACCAGGTACTGAGCCCAGCTGGAGACTGACCAGAGACAATTTGGTAGAGGACAACCCCAGGTTCTTTTGCAGTACGTGCAGAGCAGCCAGTGAAGAGGTTTGAGGTGCCAAGGGTTTGCCACTCTCTACATGGCTTTGTTTCTGAGCTTTAAAGAAAGGGACTCTCTACCACACACAGGAGGGCTTATCAATTATTACTGTTTTAGCAAGCAGGCACAAAAACAGTTCACATGGCCTATTTTGCTGATTTTCTTAGGGTAAAGTCTACAGACTCCCCTGCATTCTTCTATCATGTTCATGAAAACATGTGGCATGTCTCTCCAGGATTTAAGCCAATCCATATATTGTGAATGCCTTAATTTCACCAATGAGAGCCCATTTCTAATGTGCATTGAGCTGGTCAACAGGCCAATACTTACACAGAGACATGCACACTCTCATATCTGACATTCTGGGTGCTAGTTAACAAAGCTTTCATTGTTACTCAAGAGGTGGGAAACAAGGACTTGCAGCAGTCAGCTCTAGAATAAGCTGTCTGGTCTTCCTTGAACCATTCATTCTTTCATTCTTTTTTTTTTGAGATAGAGTCTCACTCTGTCACCCAGGCTGGAGTGCAGTGGCACAACCTCAGCTCACTGCAACCTCCGCCTCCCGGGTTCAAATGATTCTCCTGCCTCAGCCTCCCAAGTAGCTGGGACTACAGGCGGGCACCACCAAGCCCAGCTAATTTTTTTTTTTTTTTGTATATTTGTAGAGATGGGGTTTCACCATGTTAGGCAGGCTGGTCTTGAACTCCTGACCTCAAGAGATCTGCCCACCTCAGCCTCCCAAAGTAGTGGGATTACAGGCATGAGTGTGGCTCGACTGGACAATTCATTCTTGACTGGGCTGCTCATCATTACCGGGTTATAGATTAAGCAAAATCAATATCACACTACCTATGCTGAAGGACTTTAAAGGAAAGCAGAAACATCCTAAGCCCAGAAGACAATTAGCATTCAGTAACTGATAGCTCTTACTGTCGGGACAGGGCCATACCATATCACCACCTCTACTTGACCCTGACTCTCCAAACTGGATCTACTTTTATGAGGCACAGGCTAAATTGGTGAAAAAGCAAGCAACTGTACAATCTTCACTCAATTAGCACTTGCTGAGGCTGAAATAAAGAAGGTTTGTATTTCCTATGCAGCATGATTAGGAAAAAGGAGGAGTGGGGGGCGGAGGCTGTGATGAGCTACCGAAATCATCCTTAAGGAGAGAGGCACCTAGGCCCCCAGCTTCTGGGAGAGCTGCCTGCTGACAGCCCTCAGTTGTCAGCACCCTAGAGGATTGCCTTGGTGGAAGAGAGCTGCCTCATTGCCACTGTCACGCCTCCTTCCATGGAAGCCTGCATCTAATGACTGATTGACAAAAGGGTGTGGAGTCCCGAGCCTCTCAGCCTCAACTTGGATGACTCAGAAAGATATTCCCAGCAAAGAATTCCGTGTCGAGTGGGCTGAGACCTTCCTCATGACTACATTGTAGCTCAGTTTCTCCCTCTGCCCAATTTGACTTCCTTCCCTTCCCAATTCTCCAGATGTTGATTCCATGAGAACTCCCTAATAAACCTCCTGCTCACTAATCTCCATCTTAGAGTGTGCTTTCTGGGGAATCTACCCTGCAAAAAGGAGGGAAGGGAAAAGTTGAGCTTGTAGGGGAGGAACATGTTTTTCTCGACCCTAGTCGGATCCCTGGCTTCATCTGAAAATTAAATTGACAAAGGTTAACAGAAGAAGAGCATGTAATTTATTTCATACAAGTTTTATGTGACACAGCAGCCTTTATAGGAAAATGAAGATTCCCCAAAAAAACAGTTAAACAGTTACCAGTTTGGGTAAGAGTGGAAAATGGAAAACCATGATAGGAAAAAAGGATGTGGGCTACGAATAGTGAGCTGGGGACACTTAGCAAGGCCTGTTCATGTGGATTCCTCTCAGGGTTCCTCTGTCTTCAGAGAGAAGGATGCTCCTTGCTCCCGGTACAGGGAGGGGACCTCTCACATGAGGGGCTTATGACCTGCTTCCGGGAAGGTCAGAGAGTCCTTGCTGCACCTGCTCTTTCTCAAATTCCTTCAGCTTTAAATATTCAATATGCCAAGGTGCCATATGTTGGAGTAGCGTGTTCTGAAGCTCCTGAAGCTTCAGCACAATGTATGTTATTCAGAATTCAGATCTGGGGCTCATGGAGGGCCAAGGATTGTGATTGTCTTAATAGCAGTGTGAGGACCACCTTTGAAGCCAGGTCCCCAAGGGTCAGCACATAGAGGATTTTATGTTTCCAAGCTTTTTCCAGTTAATAGCTAGCAGATGCCAGATTCAAACCTCAAGACAACTTGCCCCTGGAACCTGTCCCTTCTCAGTCTTCTTTCAAATATCTTCCAATAAACCAAGTGCTCAGGAACGAGGCTTCCAATGCAAATGGATTCTTCCATGCTCAGAGTAAAGCCGGGCTTTGGAGAGCCTTACAGCTCACTGGTTCAGACCTGATACTGTCAGATGAGGACACCAAGGCCTGGAATGGAGTATGGACAAATCCAAGGTCTAAATGACTTTGTGGTGGAGCTGGGACACAGCCCCAGACCTCCCAGCTTTGTCTTGAATTTTCTGATTTATTCAGCTCCATCACATGGGAGTGGTGGGGCAAGGATACTCAAAATCCCACCAGCCTGGGCAAAGGCCCTTTCAACAGTAATAACACCTTTTAGTGAGCATTTGCTCTGTGGCAGGAGTCAGATTACACTCTTTGGCTTGTTTAAACCGTAATCTCATTGAATTTTTACAATTATCCAATACAAATAGATATTATACCCATTTTATAGAAGATGAATCAGACTCAGAGAGGTAACATATCCAACAAACTGGTGGCCAGATTGAACATGAGGTCAATTTCACTTTATCTTATTTTTTGAGACAAGGTCTCCCTCTGTTACCCAGGCTGGAGTGCAGTGGCACAATCATAGCTCAATGCAGCCTCAACCTCCAGGTTCAAGCAATCCTCCTACTTCAGTCTCCCAAGTAGCTGGGACTACAGGAGCACGCCACCATGCTTAGCTAATTTTTTTATATTTTTTTATAGAGACGGGGTCTCACTATGTTGTTCAGGCTGGTCTTAACTTCTGGGCGCCAGCGATCCTCCTGCCTTGGCCTCCCAAAGTGCTGGGATTATAGGCGTGAGCCGCCACACCCACCGAGCCTGACTTCACTTTAGAGTTCCTCCTCTTCTCCACTGTAATTTACAGTCCTTAGTCTTTTTTTCTAACCCACTAAAGACTTTAGTCTCCTTGCTGGCCTTTCACCCCTCTGCTCCCTGTCACAACTACAAAAGAGGGGAAATGATGTGTCTTGTAAACGAGTGTTTAGGACTTGCGGTAGCCCTTGAGATCAACATGTCTTGGATTCAAATCTTGACTCACTGCTTGCTAGCTCTGTCCCCTGTCTGAACCTCCAATTCTTCATTGGCACAATAAGCAGAAAACCTGTGATTATAAACCTTTCTATCCTGCTGGAGAAAAGGCTAGGCTCCTAGTTAGAGACCTTTCAGGCAATTCTGTTCCAATAAGTCCTCACTCATGGAGTTAGGAGTAAGGATGGTCTCAGGGTTGATAATGACTGCAGCAGTGGGAAGGGTGAAGGAGCAGGCAGGAAGGTGACATTCGAAATATTCAACCAACTAATCACCATTGGCCTTGGCTCAGTTTTCCCATCTGTACAATGCGAATGAAGCTAACAGATCTGCCTCCTGAGGGTGTGATGAGACTTGAGTGAGATAATGCCTGGGAAGTGCCAAGGCCAGGGCCCGGTACGTCACACATGATCAATGAATGGTTCTATTATTATCATCATCCCAGAGCTAGTGCCTTACAAGTCCTGAGTGTCGCCCTCGGATCATGCCAAGAAACAGAAACATGAGCTATAGGCCAGCAGGAGAATCTAGACTCTAGGTCCTCAGATTTTTTTTTGAGATGGAGTCTTGCTCTGTCATCCAGGTTGGAGTGCAGTGGCGCAATCTCGGCTCACTGCAAGCTCCACCTCCCGGGTTCACGCCATTCTCCTGCCTCAGCCTCCTGAGTAGCTGGGACTACAGGCACCCACCACCACGTCCGGCTAATTTTTTGTATTTTTAGTAGAGACAAGGTTTCACCGTGTTAGCCAGGATGGTCTTGATCTCCTGACCTAGTGATCCACCCGCCTCGGCCTCCCAAAGTGCTGGGATTGCAGGAGTGAGCCACCGCTCCCGGACGTTTCTCAGATTTTAGCATGCGTCGGAGTCACTTGGATACAGAGTCACCTTCATGGGTGCATGTTCAGTGTAGTCACACAGGGCTCCATGCGCAGAGGGCTCTCTGCTTGGCTTAGTGCCATGCAGTCACTGTCTTGAAAGTCTGAATTTCTGAATAAGGGATTGTGTATTTTCATTTTGCAGTAGCCCCTAAAAATTATGTAACCAGTGTTGTCTGGAGAACTTATTACAGCATAGATAACTGGCCCACCTCCAGATTTCTGATGTGGTAGTTCTGGAAGGTGGGCCCCTCAGATGTGCATTTCTGACAAGTTCACAGGTTGTGCTGGCACTGCTGGTCCATGGGCCACATTTTGAGAACCTGTATTGAGACTGTTGTTGTGAACACTGCTTATACATTACAATTACCTGGAGAACCTAAAAAAAAGGCAAAATGCCTGGGATCTACCTTCACCCAATCAAATGGAATTGCTGTGAGTGCATTCTTGGCTTCAGTTGGTTTAAAAGCTCACCAGGTGGTTCTAATGCACAGCGGGGGCTGCAAACCACAGGGTGCGAGCAGAGAATCCTTGAACTTCCCTCAGGAAAAGAGTCCCCTGTGGGCATTACTTACCCACACAAACACCCCACCCTGTCCTAGAACCAGTGCTTTGGGGAATCTCCAGAGATGGGACAAGGAGGCTGTATGTTCAACAAGCACCTCAGATGATCCTTGTCCTGCCACGATTCAGGAAAAACTGGTGCCTCCCACCATCCGGCCTACCACAAGTCCTAAACGCTCATTTGCAAGACACATCATTTTTCCCCTTTTGTAGTTTTGAGAGGGAGAAGAGGGGCGAAAGACCAGCAAGGAGACTAAGGTCCCCAGTGGGATAGAAAAAGAGACTAAAGGACTGTAAATTTCACTGGGGAAGAGGGAAAAAAGTGAAGTCAGGCTGAGTGTGGTGGCTCACACCTGTAATCCCAGCACTTTCGGAGGCCAAGGCAGGAGGATCGCTTGAACCCAGGAGTTGGACAGAGAACAGAGCTAGCAACTGGCGCCTGTACTTCTCAATCTTCCACGCACACAGGAAACACCTGGGATCTTGTTAGGCAGCAGATTCTGGTTCAGGAGGCCTGGAGTGGAGTCTAAGAATTTAGATTTCTCACCTGCTCCCAGAAATGCCACTGGTGCAGCGACCACAGTTTGAGAAACAAGAAGGTGATAGGGTGACTAAAATTTTGGTGAAGCAATCGCTGGTTGTCCTGTGAGAAAAGAAGCTGGTAAAAAAGGCCGTGTGCCCCAGCTTCTGTTTGTGTGTGAAGTGTTCATTTCACCTTGAGGAAGCCAGATATTAGGGCTCATTCTCAAAGTGGAGTCTGAGAAGTTCCAGTCATGCTATGGATAAGGAACTTGGCACGTGGCCGACACTTATCCCGCAGAAGAGTTTTTTTTTTTTTTCTAATTTTAAAATCTATTTATTTATATTCTGAGACTGGGTTATGAGACTGGCTAATTTCTGTATTTTTGGCAGACATAGGGTTTTCACTATGTTGCCAAGGCTGCTCTTGAACACCTGGGCTCAAGCGATCCACCCGCCTTGGGTGGATTCCCAAAGTGCTGGGATCACAAGCGTGAGGCACTGCACCCGGCCCTAGAGTAGTCCTTTTGCTTGGCCCATCAGAACATGGACCAGAGCCGTGGTTTCTGTTCCCGGTCCTCACACTGGCTGATGGTGAAACTCCAGACAAGGCCACTTCTCCTCTCTGAGCCTCCATCTGTGTACTGGTGAGATTGGCAGGATGTCTATTGGTCTACTTCACAGCTGCTTCTGGACGTCTCACTGTGAAGGTCCTTTGGATAACAAGACTCCACACTAAATATTGTTCTTGTTATTTCTAGATATTGGCAGGTTCCTTCTTCCCCTCTTCCCAATTTTCCTTCACTTCCAGGTGACATGCGTCATGCCCCTGGAATGCTTACTCTCAGTCAATCCGCACACCTCTATAAGCACTCCAAAACTTTTTTTTTTGTTTGTTTTTTGAGATGGATTCTGGCTCTGTCACCCAGGCTGGAGTGCAGTGGCATGATCTCGGCTCATTGCAACCTCTGCCTCCTGGGTTCAAGCTATTCTCATGCCTCAGCCTCCTGAGTAGCTGGGATTACTGGTGTGTGCCACCACGCCTGGCTAATTTTTGTATTTTTATAGAGACGGGGTTTTGCCATGTTGGTCAGGTTGGTCTCAAACTCCTGGCCTCAGGTGATCCACCTGCCTCAGCCTCCCAAAATGCAGATTACAGGCATGAGACACTGGGCCTGGCCTCCACTCCAGAAACTTTTATAAGCTGGATGAATGAAAAGTGTAAACAGGGAAGAGGTGGCAAGGATGGATGGCAAGTGAGGGGTGCAGAGACGGGTTCCTTACGAGAACTCTCCAGATTGTGGAAACCAAGACAGCCCATGCATTGAGTAGGTGGAAGGCAGAGCACCCAGGTGAAGGGACAGGCACATGAACATGTGAACTCTATTTAGGGGACAGCAGGGACCCAGGTCGGTAGGACGGGACATGGGAATGGATAATTCTAGGATCTTTTAGAACTGCAAGGCCCCTAACCAACCTATTCGTGCAGGGAAACAGAGGCTCTAAGTGAGGACATGTATCAGTAAAGCATCTTCAGTTACAGGTAATAGAAACAACAGTCCCAAGGAAGCCCGAAGCCTCGCCTAAGCTGGAGGTGGTTTTTTGGCAATTGAAATGACAAGCGCCTCGCCCACCTGTAGGCAGAGCAGTCGCCAGAAAACCTCCTTTGCCAGAGCACTGTCATAAATTAATCTTTAATTTCCACCGCTGGGTCTGTGGCACAGCTAATCACGACCACTAATTGCATGACAAGCTTCTCCCTTTTCTTTTTATGTTTCCATATTAGCCTGTTTAGTATGCTTTGTGTCTGTTTATTTTATAGTCAGAAATACTTTTAATAGCCTAGTAAATTGAAAATGGACTTTACTACCATCTGACTTTACCAGAGGTTTACAACCACTCAATTAATGGTATCAGTAATCTTCCTTCATAATTAGATGGTTAGTAGCTTTGTCAGGCACTGCTGTTAACTAAATTAGTACTCAGCATCCACCTAATCATAGTTTTGGGGGGCTCCAAATGGGAAACTTGCCAGCTTGGGGGCTGCCAGGATAGAGTGCCACGATTAGCTGGCTGTAAATACCGCCTGCAACTATATGGTTTAATATGGTGATAACGGGCATTTGTAGCTTACATAAATCTGAGCATTCCTGCTGACAGAGGAGAAATGGTTTTCCTTGGTTGCTAGGAAATAGAGTTAGTTCCTGGGTCTCGCATGCTTCATTGGCTTCTCCCGGCAGCTGATGGATTCTCTACATGAGGGGAGAACAGCCCTTAGCCACCCAGAGTGAAGGTAGAAAGTATCAAATCCAGTTCCCCCCATGCACACACCAAGTGAGTCTACTCTGTGCGAGGTGATGCCTGTAGGATAGAGGCAGAAGGAGGATGAAGTTAGATCTGTGCAGCATTGATGGTCTGAAGGCTGATTTTTAATGTCTGAAAACAATCACAATCTCTCATATGCCCAAGAATTTCTGCCAACTGTCATACTTTGAAAGGAGACAGATTGTTTAAGTGCATGAGAAATTGGCAACTGGTAACATATTACCCAAGTGGTCCTATTTCCATATATTTACAGTAATTACATCCCCCAAATATATTTCAGTATTTAACAAAAATTTAAGTTCCTTTAAAAAATAAATGTTCCTTGTTAGAAATAGTTTAACAACCCAAATATTTTCCATAATTAAAATGCAAAGAAGACTGTATTTTCATAATGCAGGCACATTTGAGTGAAACTTCAGTAATTATCCAATCAGATTTCTGACACTCTCCTGAGTGTCCAGAGAGTAGATCCCAAACACTGACTAATGCTGCCATTCTATTTTTAAAACCTATATATCTGCCAGCTTTCTAAAACTTCTGAATTCTGACAACACTTGAAATTTGATTGAATAGTAGGTTCTTGAGACATCAAGAGGTGCTCAGCAGAGGTTTAAAAAAAGGGTCTTGTGGGAACAGGGAAAAACATATAGACCTATTTGGGCTGAGGGTGAGCAATGGTTTACCTGACTTTAATCGGGAAGTCAGTATTGTAGAAGGAAAATGAGACTGGAGTTCAGATACTGCTGCTGCTCGTCACTAGCTGTGTGACCCTAGGCAACTTACTTAACCTCTCTGGGCCTGTTTCCTTCCTTGTAAAATGGGGATACTCTTTCTTCATAGAATTGTAGTAAGGATTGAAGGCAATGACAGAATGTAAAACACTTGGCAAACTGAGGGTTCGCTGCAGATCTGCAATAAATATTAGCTTCACTTCTTCCTTCTTTTCTCATTCCTTAAAACTCCCTACCCAGACTCCTTTTCTTTTTGTTCAGTTCAGCAAATGCTAGGTTCTACAGAAGACACCCCAAATAAGGTCCTATTTCCAGAGGCCTTCAGTCTCCTGGACTTTTAACTCCCTGCCCACCCCCCAACCCTGCCCAAATATCATAGTTGGAGGAGGAAATGTCTTTTCTAAAAGCTGTTTAAGGAGTCTATGAAGCTTCTGTTATGTGGACCTTCCTGAAATTTCCTCTGAAAGGCCTCCATACAATACCACTAGAGTAAACATAAAAGCAGAAATCAATTCCGTGGCTGAGGAGACTTAAAGTGATTTGAATTGTGAGCAGTTGACTGGTATTTATCCAGTCCTAGCAAAATGAGAATTATCTTGGTGGACACAACCTTTTCCATCACCAAAGGACTGATCTTTAATATTTAAGAAAAAAATTACTCTCTGGTCTTTATGGCAGTGTGGATGATAGAGGCAACAAAACATCCTGCTATTTGTAAGACAGTAAGGAAGGTCAGGAAGGTGTGAGGCTGGTTGGGAGGTAGCCTGGAGAGGTGGGCTCCGTGAGTCACTGTGAGGGGGTTACACTTTATCCTAAGGTCAATGGACAGCACTAAAGGTATGAGAAGCCACAAGGTCAGAGATGTGACACAGTGACAGAGTAGGATGCAAGGACTAAGTTGGGCGGAGTTCAAAACTAAGGCTACGGACAGGGGGAGAATCCACCAGGGTCATCTTTTATAAGGTGCCTGCTGCATGGGGTGGGGGTAGCAGCTGACAGCACCACAGGACCAGATAGCTTAGGAGTGGGAGTAAATTGCCTGTAAACTCTGATGGGTATACCACTGTATCAGGCTGAACTGAGGAATGAGGCTGTATATGTGTAATTTATGTACCTGTTTGAATCCTGGGCTCTCAAATAAATTTAGCTCCTGGCCAACAGCCTGAGCACATGTGTTGGGCTGGAGGACTGCCATGGAGGACAACCAGAGTGGAAATTGAGAATGGATGACGTGAAGTGCAATTGCTCTTTGGAGAAAAGCCACAGCCTACCTCCACCTCCCACCCAACAAGGTTTGGGGAGGTGATATCAGACAAGAGTTCTTGGGACAGAGCTTAGTTTCCCTCTAAAGTTACCTTGGTTTTTTTTCCAAGATCACATCTAAAAACTGCGTGAACTTGGGGAAATTAATCTCTCTATAGCCTCAGTTTCCTTATTATAGAATGACAGTGATGAAACTACCTACCTTGTAGGTTGTCATAAGAATTAAATAACTCAATATATATGTGAAACACTTAGAACATAATCTGGTACTTAGTAAACAGTTGTTCAGGATTAGCTGCTGTTATTACTATCACAGTGACTTCATGTAGCCATTGGACACTGTTCGTTCAACAACCATTAAGTGCCCATCTTCTATAGGTTAGATGCCAGGGATACAAAGATAAACCATGCGTAATATTTATTCTCTAGGAACTCCCCAATATTTTCATTTTAAACTGGAGCCTTAAATAATTTAACACAAAAATGAAGGAGAAACTTGAGAATTTCTTGCATTTTGGTAAAGCCAAGGAATGTATTGTGAGAGAAGACTTTTAGACAGGCAATTGTTGCTTTTTTGCCCCAAGTCCAAGGAATTTCACTTTATCCTCCCATCAACCCAATGAGATAGGAACTATTATTGCTGCTCCTGTTTTATAGACCAAAAAATAATACATTGCTTTTAGTTACACAACCAATAGTTACACAACTAATAAGAGGCAGAGGTAGGATTTGAACCTATTATCCAACTCTGATGCTCAATCTCTAACCCACGGTATGTCATATTGTCTCTTAGGGTAATAAATGTGGGTGCAAGGCAAGTAGAAGCTGATGTAAATTGCAGCAAGACTAATTAAGGAAGGTATTTTTGAGAGCAGGGACCAAGACAAATGGGAGAGAGAGGGTCAGCCACGGAAAACCGTGACATCCTCCATAAGTTTAATATATTTTGTCTGGAGGCAAGAATTCAATTCAATAATTTCTCCATATACAATACTGACTGAAAACCCGTTGGACACATGCCATTCTGCTTCTGCAGGGCCTGGAGTTAAGACATGTTCCTTGCTATGTTTGACCGGCCCTGGAAATCTTACAGTGCAAGGACACCTTCTTGCCAAATACTAAAGGAATGGAATGTTCTCCCTACAACTCACTGGACAGCTCTGGCCATTGGGCAAGCTTTAAAATGCCAGCCATTGGAATGGTAATGAAGTGAGGTGCTTAAAAGCTTAGATCCTGGGGGTTCCGGTTGGTTGCAAGAAGGGACAGTACCCCCTTTCCCACCGGGGTGATTGGAAATGTGTGAAGGTGGTTCTGGTTGTCCCAGTGACTGGGAGTTTCCATTGGCATTTAGCGGGCAGGGGCCAAGGTTGAAGAATATCCCATAATTTCCATGAAAGTCCAGCTCCAAATAAACTTAGTAACCCCACTGAGACTTTTTCACATTCCAAACTCTCCCCATAGTCGCTACCTGGCCTTGTGACTGTGTTGATCAGCAGCAGACCCACTCTGACTATAGGGATGGAGACACAGAGCTACGTTTTTACCACTCCTGGACTCACTTTCCACCTAGAGCGAGATCAACCTCTTAGCCTCCGTATAAGTCCACCAGGGCTACAACAACAAAGTACCACAGGCTGGGTGGATTACACAAGGAACATTGATTTTCTCACAGTTCTGGAGGCAGGGAAGTTCAAGCTCAAGGTTGGTTCCCAGTAAGGGCCCTCTGGCTCTCTTCCTGGCTTGTAGGCGGCCATTATCTCTCTGCGTGCTCACAAAACCTCTTTGTGCATGCAGAGTAGGACAGGAAGAGAGGGAGAGAGGTGTGTCACTCTCTGGTGTATCTTCTTTTAAGGACACTAATCCTTAAATGAAGCTCCTGTCCTCATGACCTCATCTAACCCCAGTTGCCTCCCAGAGGCCCCACCTCCAAATGCCATCAATGATGGGGGATACATTTAAATCCATAGACGCCTCACTGGGAAGTCTGCATAATGGCTATTTGAATCCTGGAGAAAGGGCAAATTACTCTATACTTGCTTCGTGCAAAGTCAAGAGCTCAGGCTAAAGCGCATTTAACCGTAGGCCTCAGCCACAGAAGCAAATCGAGACCTTTTAGGAGAGAGGTATTGACAGCAAAAAGTCAGGCTCAGAGAATTATTCAGAAACAACTAAAATGAGATGTCACTGGCATAAATTCTGATGGCTTTTCATCATGCAGTGTTAGCAGGACCACCTGAAGATCTAGCCCTGCAGTGCTGCTCATTTGCTTTCTAATTATTAAAAAGCTTCAAATGATGAATTTAAGAGCTTTTATTATGGGATTTCATGAAGTTTTTATTTGAGAAGAATGGGGTTTGGGTAGAGATTTCCAAAATCTATGGCTAGTGATGTCTTTTGAAGACTGCTGCTACGTTCTCAAAACTGAGGGCAGGGACTGTTTCTGTCTCCCTAGTTGGCCGTCGTATCCTGCAGATGAGTCTTGTCAATGAAACACAAGATTCTGCACCAAGAGAAGTGGCTCTTTTCTCTTTTTGAAACCCATGCCCCGTGATCTTACATTAACTTGGGTGTCTGCCCACATCTGTCAGAATTCTTTTGTTTTCAAATGACAGAGCCTCCATTCACATTTTCGTCAGCAGGAAATATAACGAATTGGCATGTCACAGAAAATCCAGAGGTACTTTGGCTTCGGGTACACCTGAATCCAGACATTTCAGCAGAGCTATCAGTGGGTACTAGTGCCTCTCTGCTTCTTTCCATCCCTCAGCTTTAATTTCATCGACACTGGTTTCATTCTCAGGGCAGGAGGACTGCCAGGTGTCCAGCTTGGCGCGGTGCTTAGTTTTTGTGATCTCAGGAGCAAGTGCATCCTCCTAGATAGTGCTAACAAACGTTCCAGGGAAAACTGTGGTTGATCCAGGTTGCATTGGAGCCCTGAACTGATCACTGTGTTGGAGGTGACAGTGCTTGAATCAGGTGTAAACTCCTAGGTCTTTTCTACCTAACCCTTACAACCTGAAATGAGGCTTGGGGAAGATGCTGTTAGGCCCCACCCATTAGCCCTGACACTCACTATTCCCGCATGCCTGGCTTCCTAGTGGAAGTACCCATGACTTGACCCAGGGGCTTCCTCTGGACAGAGGAGTAGGTGGCACTCATGCACAGGGCAGGGCAGAGGGTCAGGAAACAGCTGTCAATCAATGACATGTAGGAATTGATGGAAAAAGACTCCAGCTTCCTCAAAACCACCTCCCAGGTGGAACAACTCAAATATATGCTCTACCCTGCCTTCCAGAGGTCCCCAGCACAACTGAGCTCTAGTTGCCCACAGTGGCAACCTGCTCCCCAATACACCCTCTGATTGGCTTCTGTCTCTTCCCTGTTTCACTCTCCCACTCCTCTGCTGTGCATCCTGCAATTGTCTTCCAAATAAACTACTTGTAGTCAAATCCTTGTCGTCTGTATCTTCTGAAGGAATCCCAACTAAGTCAGGGATGCTGGGTTCTCAAGAAGTTTATGTCCACCAAACTGTCTGCAGGTGGGCCCTGCCATCATAGAGAGCACTTCTTACCTTAGGGCTGGGGTCCATGTTATTTTTAAAAGTATATATCTGAGAAGCATATGCCAAGATGGGATTAAATGTATACAGATTTTATTATAAAAAACACTCATGAGAGAAAATCGAGAAGGGGCTGGAAGAGGTTGGGAGAGCTGTCAGACTACAGTGCAGGTCTAACTCTGTGTAAAGGAGAGAGGGAAGGAAGGTCGAGCAGATGTGCTCTAGAATGTGTGTAGTCCAAAGTTCACCAAGATGACTCGCTAAATTCAGCCATCAAAGGAGCTCACATCTCCCAGAAATGGGCCTGCCTCAGTTTTCCCACTTGGTCGTTGGCTGGGAGCAGCCTGTGGGGAGTGTGGCTTTGGTGCAAATGCAGGGATGGATCCAAGAGCACAGCAGCCAGGGCACTTGGCCAGTTAGGCTCCCTGTAGTCTGCAGGGCACATTCTCATGGGGGCCACACATATTATAAGAATTCCCACACATTCTCAGACTAAGGTGTTTGCCTCACCTTTCTGAGCCTCAGAAAGCTTGTTGTGGGGCTCAAATAAGACCATATCTGTGAAAGCCAGTATTTAAAAAAATAGAATATGTGGCTGGGCATGGTGGCTCACTCTTGTGATCCTAGAGCCTTGAGAGGCCAAGGCAGGAAGATCACTCAAGGCCAGGGTATGAGATCAGCCTGGTGACATAGCAAGACCCTCGCTCTACAAAAATAAAAAAAAATTAGCAGGGTGTGGTGGCATGTGCCTATAGTCCCAGCTACTCAGGAGGATGAGGTAGGAGGATCAGTTGAGCCCAGGAGTTTGAGGCTG
This sequence comes from Homo sapiens, assembly GCF_000001405.40. Taxonomy (NCBI): domain Eukaryota; kingdom Metazoa; phylum Chordata; class Mammalia; order Primates; family Hominidae; genus Homo; species Homo sapiens. Next base: position 72,118,229 of record NC_000003.12, read on the forward strand.
CAGTGAGCTATGATGGCATCACTGCACTCCAGCCTGGGTGACAGAGCAAAATCCTGTCTTAAAATACATACATGTATATGTATGTGTTTGTATATATATGTGTGTGTGTGTATATATACATATATATATATGAATATGTAATGAGAGCCAGTGGGATTCAGGCCCCAGGGACAACAGAAGCTTGTGGCATTAATGCTCCTGTAACAGAGAATTCTGGTCTGTGGGCAAAAAGGCAGTGAGCAAAGCCCTGTTTGGATTCAGTGTCTCTCCTGCCTTCTGCAAGCCATAAAAGGCAACACATTCTAAGTGTGGCAAAAATTTCCCATGCATTTTTTTTTTTTTTTACCAGCGCTATGTACATTTGAAAGTAAATCTGATCAGATTAATCTCAGAACCATTAAAACTGCTTAAAATCTGATCTTATAGAAGCTGTTTCAAAAATCTCCAATATCTTTTTGTGCATTTCTTTAGAGACAGAGTTGCCATTGTTTGCTAAGGGTAAGTGGAGTACATTTGGAATTCCCTCCCCTATCAGGAAGTTGTGCTTCCTGCCTGCAGAGCACTTCTCATTCCCAAGCCTGCTAGAGAGGTCCTCATAACTGCTCAGATAGTCTAGATCAGGGGTTGGAAAACTATGGCCTGTGGGCCAAATCTGGCCTGCTGCCTCTGTTTATAAAAAAAAGTTTTATTGGAAGGCAGCTACACTCATTTGCTTATATATTGTCCATAGCTTTATGTATATGTTTGTATATGTTTATACATATGTCTATGGCTTGTACTACAGCAGAGTTGAGTAGCTGCAATATAGACCACATGATCTACAAAGTCTAAAATGTTTACTACCTAGTCCTTTAAGAAAAAGTTTACTGAACCCTGGTCTAGATAATTTCCAAAAGGCAATAAATAGGAGGGAAAGAAAGAGAATATAGGACAGGATAGAAGAAAAAAAAGAATATACAGTTAAAACATTTCTTAACCCTCATAGCAATGTAATAAGGCTGACATGAAATAGGAGGAAATTGAAGCAAAGGCAGATAAATGGCTGGCTCAAGGTCATACAGTCAGCAGATAATGGAGCTAGGATTTGAACCCATTTCTCTTTGACTCCAAAGCTCAGGATTTTCAACTTAGTCTGTTTGTAGAAGTCACTGTGTCAACAAGGAGTGGCCCCAACATGATTTCTTACCCCAGTTGTGATGGTTAACTTTGTGCCAACTTAACTGAGGCATGGGATGCCCAGATAGCTGTTTAAATATTTCTGCATGTGTCTGCGAAGGTGTTTCTGGATGAGATGAGCATTTGAATTGGTCGAACTGAGTAAAGGAGATCACTTTAACCAATGTCGGCGCTATCTTGCAGTCAGTTGAGGCAGAAGAAGGGTGAATTTGTTCTCTCTACTTGAGCTAGGACATCCATCTTCTTCTACACTCATCATCATCAGTGCTCCTGGTTTGGGGGTCTTTGAGACTTTCAGGCCTTCAGGACTCAGATGGAGACTTACACCATCAACTCTCTGGTTCTCGGGCCTTCCAACTTCACCACCGGCTCTCCTAGGTCTCCAGCTTGCAGACGGCAGATGGTGGGACTTCCCAGCCTCCATAACTGCATGAGCCAATACCTTATAATAAATCTCTCTCTATATATCACCTATTAGTTCTATTTCTCTAGAGAACCCAGACTAATATACTAGTCAAATAAAAATATTCTTTAATATGGACATTTTCTCAATATTATGTAAAATTTGAATGATAGCACTTTTAACTCTAAGAAAAGCTGTCTGCTTGCTGTATAAACAATGCTCGAAAATAAGCCCATCATTGCTGTGATCTAATAAAGTCAACACTGTAGATCACTTACGAAGGAGTTGGAACTGTGATTCATAAAGACTACATCACCTGTAACTAGGGCCATCTCTAAAAAAAAAAATCATTAAATGAATAAACTTTGCCTCAAAGGTCCTCATCTCTCCTTTTGGAAGGTCTCACAAATTACTCAATATTCCTAGGTCTCAGTTTTCTCATCTGTTAAATGGGAATAATTAGAGTACCTTGCTCATAGGGTTGTTTTGAGGATTAAATGAGATCATCTACATAGAGTCTTGCTGTGGGCCGGGACATAGCGGGAGCTCAATAAGTGTTATCACCTTCAGTCCCGAGCTGTCCCAGGTAATGTCCACCAGGACTTGCTTTTTATCATAACATTCTCACATTTAGTGTTTTAGCTTCTGAAGCAAAACTTAAAAATTCTATGTTCTGTTCTCCCAAAGCTTCAATCTGTTTTCCACAAGCTATCCCAGGGGATGTGGGGAGGGAGATGAATGTATAGTCATTATTTCTAAAGACATATTATTCTCCCAGGGAAGACATTTAATAATGTACATGGGCCTGAAAGTTCACCAGTTCTTCACACCCAAAATGTCCCAAGGAGAATTCCTACTCTTTCCCCGTAACCTGCTCTCTCCACCCCACCCCTAGGTGCCCAGTGATATCACCACTCACCTGGGCTTGGACTGGGGAAGTGGCCCTTGACCATGCCCTCACTCATTCACCAGGTTCAGCCCCTTCCAAAGCCCTGCCTCTCTTCTCTTTCTGTGCCCCAAATTCCTGCCATTTTCTTGTATGAACTGTCATTCTCCATTTTCTAACTAGTAATCTCTAGTTTCCTCCTTTTTCCAATTAACCTGACCCAGACCTGTCAGATCCAATTCTGGCCAAGTCACTTCCTGTGCAGAAATCGTCCATGTTTCCCCAGGGCAAAAGTCCAAATACCTCAACCTGGTACCCAGGGTTCCTGCACTGTGGCCCCAGCTTCCCTGGCTGGCCTTAACTCCATTGCCCATACTATGGTCAAGGGTGGTGTTTAAATACAGTCATGCATTGCTGTAGGGATATGTTCTGAGAAATGTGTTCTTAGGCAATTTTGACACTGCAGTCAGTTGTAACGCAATGGTATGTACTTGTGTACCTAAACTTGGAAAAGGTACAGTAAAAGTATGGTATAGAAGATGACAAAGAGTCCACCTGCATAGGGCCCTGACCATAAATAGAGCTTGCAGAACTGGAAGTTGCTGTGGGTCAGTGAGTGAATGTGAAAGTCTAGAACATTACTGTACACTACAGTAGACCTTATAAACACTGTACACCTGGGTGACACTAAGTTTATAAAAAATAAAATAATTGCACTGATACTATGACAGCTGTGATCTCACTAGATAACAGGAATTTTCAGCTCCATTATAATCTTATGGGACCACTGCTGTATATGTGATCTGTCGTTGACCTAAATGTCTCTATGTAGTGCTTGATTGTATCTGAGAACCAGCCACAGGCACTGACCAACAGATAGGAAGTCAGCGGTGCCAGGCAGTACCCTTTCAGTTCCTGGTTCAGGAGAAGGTCTGATGGAGGATTCCTGGGGGAACAACGCTCTCTACCAACTATAACAGCACATTTCAACCCCTGATGAATATCAGACCTCCCTGTGGACAAACAGAAATATTGGATACTTTCTTACCATGCCCTTTACACTCCTCTCTGTGCTTTTAAACCTGGCCCTTTCTTCATAGACCATCTTAATTGCCACTTTTCTCACACAATGCCATAGAGAAGTCACCTTTCTCTGTTATTGTGAATTCCCATAGCGTGTCCCTAATGTACCTCTCTTAGGACACAGAACTTTTACATTACATTAGAGCTATTAGCATACATGTTGTATTTGCTTCTAGGATGATAACTTAGATCTACAAACTGACAACTCACAGGCTCAACTCAGCTTGCAGTGACTGGTGAAACCTGAAAGTATATATTTTTTAATGATAAATTTCAGACTTCGGATTTCAAAACTCTGTCTTTCTGGCTTCTTCTGAAGCACTGGCAAGCCTGGCCCCACTGGGCCTGTCTGCTCTGGTAGTTACAGTGGGCTAGGTCTGCGAAGCGGGTGCCCCACGCCCAGCTCCCAGAAGGGAAGCCAGCTCTTCGTTTCTCCACAATTCCCGCATGGCCTGTTTCACTCCTGCCGGATCCCTGTCAGCAGTGGAGTTTGCAGCCCTGCTGTAACAACTTTGAGGGCAGAAAGCATTCCTTACTAATCTTGGTTTGGTGTGATGATTAAAAGCACAGATATTGGGCCCAAACTATTTAGGGTCCTATTTAGTGCTGATGCTCACTAGCGTGTGGGCCTCGGCAAGGTACTTATCCTTTCCTTGATCCGGCTTTCTCTTCTGTAAAATGAGGATAACAACATTGTAGTGCCTACTTGATAGTATTCTTGTGATGATTAAATGAGCTAATACATATAAGGTGCTTAAAACAGTGCCTGGTAGGTAGCTAGCCATCCAATGTCAGCTTCATCTACTAGTTGCAGTAGAGATGATAGAATATTCCTCACAGAACCTAGCATACATAGTAGGTATACAAACACATTTACTAAATGAATGAACAAATTACATATCATTTACAAAGTCCTCACAGAAACTGGGCTAACCCAGATGGCAGCCTGATATAATGGAATGCTCATCAATGTGGCTATCCTGGATCAATCAGTTGAGGGTCAAGAGGACATGATTCGGCTGTTTCAACTTTAACCTATCACAGGCTGGGAGCGGTGGCTCATGCCTGTAACCCCAGCATTTTGGGAGGTGGAGGTGGGTGGATTGCTTGAGCTTAGGAGTTTGAGACCAGCCTGGGCAACATGGCAAAAGCCCTTCTCTACAAAAATAAATAAATAAATAAAATTAGCTGGGTGCGGTGGTGAACCTGTAGTCCCAGCTACTCAGGAGGCTGAGGAGAGAGAACTACTCGAGCGCAGGAGGTTGAGGCTGCAGTGAGCTGTGGTTGCACCACTGCACTCCAGCCTGGGTGACAAAGTGAGACCCTGTTTAAAAAAAAAACTTTAGCCTGTGAAAAGATATCTATATATGTATCCAAGGGAAAACAACAAAACAAAACATCAGGTTGAATGGTGGAGATTGTACGCTAATTATCCAAGTACACAATTCTCAAAGTTCCAATAAGATTGTCTGAATTCCAGTCAAGGTCCTCCAAAACTTCTAACCAGAGGTGTTTGGGGACAATACGGCAGAAGAAAGGGGATGGTGTGGTCATAGCGTGGAAGTGAAGTGCTCCTGCAGAGACGTTCATTATTTCCACTGAGGTTGTATGTTCATTGGAATGGCTAGAGGAGGTTCGTTGATGGAAATTATGGGAGAATCAACTTTTTCTTCCTTGTACAAGACCTCTTCCAGGTACAACTCTCAGTCTACATCAATGACCATATACTAGTTGAAGGGACTAAGCAGTGATGAAGATAATAGCCACATTCCAATGCAGAGAAAACAGACATTCACTTCTAGAAACATCTAACTCTTCGCAATGTCTCTCAAAAAGAAAACGCCATGGAACATAGTTGAGTACTCTTGGCCCTTATCCCTGAACCTATGGTGAGGGATTCTAATTCAAAAGTGATTTGCATCCCTATGGTGGATACCTTATGGATGACGTTTAACTGAGCCTAAACCAGAGGAAAAGTACTCAGTAAAAGAAACTTTATCACCCTCACGAAAGGCCAACAGCTGGAAGATATTTTGTACCTATTCTAATTAAGGTAGATGCTTTGCTTTTCTTCTGGAATTCCTGCAGGAATGACCACGGGGAGAATGATGTCAGTAGATCATCATCTCCAGGCCAAGAGTTGTTCCTTCCAAAAACAAGACCCCAGAACTCCATCTAGAAGGGATCAGCCAAGACTTGGGCACCTTCGCCTGCAGGCCACAGTTCAGTTGTGTTAGAGGAGAGGTAAGCTGTGATGATTTTGAAAGCCGAGATCTGACGTGGCCTTAAATTCATGTGATAACAAGTTTCCAGTCCTGGATTTGGAAGATCTCCAAGGAAACTTCTTTCCAGAGCATCAAACGAAGCCAAGAGAGATTACGACATCTGGGACCAGCACTGAACATTTGAAGGTGATGATTGTTTAGGCAAGTGATTTACTGGTGACCTGCAGGGAAAACAAAGTCAAGCAGAGAAGGGGACTGACGTGGCAGGCAGAAGCAGCCAGTGAAAGCTGGTGGTATGAATCATCAGTGGCCCCGAGCCAAAATAAGTACCTAAGAGTGAAGTAGAAGAGATTGGTGGAGGGGACAGGAGACCTGTGTTCTGGTCCCAACTTGGCCACTTATTTTCTGTGACCTTATATGAGAGGCTTTGCTGTTGAACTTTTTTTGTCTCCCTCTATAGCATAGAAGAGGAAGATTAGGTCTCAACATTCAAATCTCAAAAGCCTTCAGGGACCAGGCTGGAAACATCTATCATGAAGGAGATTGGGTGAGACAATAAAGAGGCAGGGAATGTGGGTGATTGCGGCTAACCAAAAGAGTATCCACTGCTGGGTATGGTAGGTCGCACCTGTAGTCCCAGTTACTTGGGAGACTGAGGTGGGAGGCTTGCTTGAGGCCAGCAGTTCAAGACCAGCCTGGACAACATAGCAAGACCTTGTCTTTAAAAAAGTAAAAAAAATATATATATATTAGCAGGATGTGGTCTCATGTGCCTCGAGTCCCAGCTACTTGGGAGGCTGAAGTCTGGGGGATCGCTTGAGCCCAGGAGTTTGAGGCTGCAGTGAGCTATGATTGTGCCACTGCATTCCAGCCAGGGTGACAGAGCAAGACCCTGTCTCCAGGAAAAAGTAAAAATGTAAAAAAGAGTGTCCACTCCTGGCTAAAATCTTTCAGGTGCATTATTGCTAAAGTGCTGCATGATGAATGTGCCTCTGTTCTGACTTGGCCTGCAGACTGTTATCTTATTCATCCATGGGAACCGAATGATGCCCAGGGCCACATATGGCCCTAAGCTTTTGGGTATCTGTGATCCTAAAATGGGTCCATTTCACTCTTAAATACTAAGGACATGGGGCTGTAGCTTGTTTGGATGAAGAGCATGGGCTCTGCAGTAATGTGGGGTTGAGTCTTCTGCTCTGTCACTAACTAGGGGCCCATGTTCCACTGTTTGTGCTTCCAAAATTCAACAACTTTGAAAACCAAAAGATTTTCTGTAGGTTTACAGTCATTTGGTGGCAAAACTGACCTGAATTATTTAGAAAGATCATTTATACCAGAGGTTGACAATTTTTTTTTCCCGTAAAGGGCCAGATAGTATTTTTGGCACTCAGCTCTACCCTTGCAGCAGGGAAGCAGCCATAAGAAGTGGGCATGGCTGTGTTCCCATAAAACCTGATCTACATAAACAGGTGGGATTTGGCCCACAGGGTGTAGTTTGCTGACTTCTGAAGTATACTATTTAGCACAAACAATTCAGACATTTTGCTATAGAAATATTAATGATTCTGATTATTGGGTGCTGTCCCAGATACCTCTGGGGTTATGGTAGACAGACTAATGGTCCCCAAAGATGTTTGGGTCCTAATCCCTAAAACCTGTGGATGTGTTACCTTACATGGCAATGGGAACTTTGCAGATGTGATTAAATGGAGGACCTTGAAGATGCAGAGGTGATCCTACTTTCTCTGGGTGATCACACCTTCCCCAGTGTAATCACATAGGTCCTTCTAGGAGGGGATGCAGAGTCAGAAACACACAAAGTTCAGATGCACAGGAGACGCTATGACAGTGGCAGAGGTTAGAGAAATGGAAGTTTGAAGATGCTGCGCTCCTGGCTTTGAAGATGGAGGGAGAGGTGTGAGCCAGGGAAAACACGCAGCCTCTAGAACCTGGAGAAGGCGAGGAAACAGATCCTCCCCTAGGGCCTTCAGGAGGAACACAGCCCTGCTCTCCTTGAGTTTAGACCTTCTGACCTTCAGAACTGTAAGACAATAAATCTGTATTAAGTCATTAAGTTTGTGGTAATTTTAACAGTAATAATAGAAACTAACACAGAGGTATAGTGACATATATGGTACATGCACTAAATTTCCTTTCTAAAACCTAAGATTTATGAATATGAAAACTTGTGAGCTGAAAGCTTTGGGTCAGATACTGGCTTGTGGATTTGTAGTGGCATGATCTTGAGCAAGATCATTCAGCTCCTTAAATCTCAGTTTCCCCATCAATACAGTGGGTATACAATCTTATCTTCCCTTATAAAGTCATTGAGGAGAGGATGGTGATGTTCCTTCCAGATTCCCCTTCAAGAAAGATGTGCGCAAACTGCAGTAGGCGCTCTTGGTAGGGAGTCTGCCTTTGGTATCAGCCCAGTAGGGGTTATCTCAGCTGTAGAACACCCTGAGGGGAATCATATCTATGTCAGCTCAGAGTTGAGTATATAGGGCCTGCCATTTCCAAAATGCTGAGAACCAAGAGTCAGAATTTCCAGTTATCAGCAAACACTTCAGTCTAAACTTTAAAAATTGGGGAAGCTTGGTGGGTATTTCAAAATAGTTTGCTAAAGTCGTAGGAAATGCCCAGTCTTCCAGTATTTGGGTGGAGTTGTCCCTCTTGGTGTCCCTATACCCTTCTCACACTTAGTAAATAGTCTCTTTATTAAAATCTCCCCAAGTTCCCCAATTTAAGTCTGTCATTTGCTTCCTGCTGCAACCCCACTAATGTCAGTAACAATGAACTTTATTAAACATTTGCTGTAAGTCCTGCAAGCGCAGTGTCATTTACTCCTCGTGAGAATTCCGTGAAATGAGTGTTACTAGTCCAACTTATGGAAGATGAATCTAAAGCTTAAAGAAATTACAATCACAGAGTTAGAAAATAACAAACGAGGAACTGAATCCCTACTGAATCCCTACTCCAGCTGTTTGAGTGCAAACTCTGATCTTAAGCACTATGCCATGCCACTGTGATGGATCATCAAACCTCCATTTCCGCAAAACTCGGCAGATCACTGAAATATTTTTAGAAACTGTTTTTCCCCCCAGCACCAAATAATGATACAAACAGATTAGTATCTGGTCTACACCGGATAAAAAATGATCAGTGTTATTGCTGACAATTTTCAGATGCACTCACTCCAAGCAGCCTTTCTTCATCTTTTTCTGAGAGGCTAAAAAAAAGTTTTGAATCTGTGAGATCTATAAGTGGTGGAGTGTGAGTGGGAGGGTGGGAGCAAGAGAGAGAGAGAGAATGAAAAAGGTCTAGACAGGCAGGTCATGCTTAAATATCAAATCACTCCCAGCCACGCTTTGGTCTTCAATAAGAGGGTGGCGGATGTACACATTGTGAGTGCTGACCTTTGAAATCGAGAGCCAGCTTTTATAGACAGGATCTCAGCTCAGTCCAGCAGAGTGAGAGGCTACGTGCACTAGGGAATGAAATTTTTGTCTGCCAAATTAGACCAGCCAGAGACCCTTTATCTTTAAACTGGTGGTTCTATCAACCATAGTCCCCACTTAGTGCAGTCATAGATCTTTGTGGCCTCACATTTCCTTTTCAAAGCCTTCTTGAATATCTTGCACATACAGATGACCTTTAGACTCCATTTAGCAAGTTCTTAAATCTACCCTCATCCCACTGGGATCTGGGTTGGAATAGTGTGAACTTTCCCATTAATTTCAGTGCAACTCATTGTCTCCATGAGGCTTCTCTGTTGCAGGCAACAGAATCCAACTCTGGCTAATCTAAGCAAAGAGAAACTTATTGAAAATACATTAAGGGCTTGTGAAATTCTGGGGAGACTTGCACAATTTTTAGGGACTAGGTTTGACATGGATAGGAACTAAGGAAGCTTCACAGTATCAAGGAAGCAGAGAAGAGGGCTCCTCTCTGGAACCTGAAAGTCTGATCCAAATGCCTCTGACTCCACCATGAAAGGCTTCTAGCCAGTTCCTCCTTTTGTACTGGGCATGACTCAAAAAGTGTACAGAGAAAGTGCCTGGGTGACTCAGCTGAGGCCTTATTCGCTCTCTCCCACCTCTTCCCAACTCCTTTCACCAACCAGAGTGGAGAACAGGGGATCTGGCTTTCCCAATTCAAAGTGGTAACCAAGAATTGCCCTCTGCAGAAGATGCTGTCAATACCCGTGTGTATCCTCTTGGCCTCCCCCGGAAGTTGCCTCTAGGTTTGCCTCTACACACATTGGTCATCTCTGTGGCCAGTGGGCTACCCTCAACCCACGAGGGCCAGGATTTGGAAGATCAATAGCCCAGCATCCTTCACCCTCAGGAAGAAGTTCTGAAGTGTGTTCCACACAGTCTCTCAGTGCGACTGAGCCAAGTTGCCCACAGCAGTAATCTGTGCATTAATGTCAATAAGGGACATTGGCTTCCTCCATTCCACGTTGCACTTCTTAGTGCTTCCTGAGCTCTCCTCCCAAATAAACCATTTGCACCTAAATCTCTGTCCCAAGATCTGCTTTAGGGGAACCCGTACTAAAATGTCTTAACCAGGCTCTATGCAAAAGGGTAGAGTCAAGTCCCCAATAAGCAACTGGGCTGTTATGAGGTAAAGGGAATTGATGATGAACAACCACAAATGTCAAATAATCACGCATCCATTAAAATGATAGCAACAAAAAATTTTAAAAAGATTTTTAAAAGGGGGAAAACCTACTTAAAACTTTTATTTTGCTACCTTGTTTTAAGATAAATAGAATAAGATCTTCCAGTTGTATGATCATGTCTTTTAGAAGTACTTGTATTAGTTATCTGTCACTGTATAAAATACTGTTCCAAAACATGGTGATTTAAAACCATAAACATCTATTATCTCACAGTTTTTGTGGGTCAGTTATTTGGGGACAGCTTTGTCAGGAGGGTCTAGCATGGGGGCTCTTGTGAGATTAGAGAAAAGATGTCAGCTGGGGCTGAGGTCACCTGAAGTCTGGAAGATCTGCTTCCAAGCTGGTGTTCTCACATGGCTGTTGGCAGGAGGCCTCAGTTTCTCACCACATGGGCCTCCCTAAAGGAATGCTTGAGTGTCCTCCTGACACGGCAGATGGTGGCCCCGAGTGAGTGATCCAGGAAGAGCAGGAGGATGGAAGCTGTCTTTTGAGATCTAGCTTCTGAAGTCACATTATTCATTTCTGCAGAATCCAATTGTTTACACAAGTCAGCCCTATTCCAAGTAGAAGAGGACTCCATATGAGTGTAAATATCAGGAGGTGGTGAGTACTGGGGACCATTTAGAGGCTGGCACAGTACTCATCTTCTTCTACATCAGTCAGCTATTTTTGATGTCTTTATGAAACTGACTAATGAACAATTCTACTGTGGAGTTGAGTCAGGGACCCCCAACCCACATCTACTAGGTCCACAACTAGATGCTTAGGGTAACAGTTTACTACGTAGCCAACATGTTCTCTGTTGTGAAAGTAAGGACATCAGTGCAGTGTATTTAACTTGTGCATGTGATTCTGGCCTTGAGTCTGAGAATAACCAAGTTGCCAGAGTTGGAACCAAAATGTGACTTGTGCTGGATAGACTTGTGTCTGGACAGACAGTCTCTCCCCTGCCAATTTTCTACCTCCTCCTCCACAGTGAACAGATCCTAAACTCTAGCGTGAAGTAAACAAAAGAGAGAAAATTCCTTTGTAAGCCCACCAGAACCTAATAAAAACAGAGCCATATGCTGCAGAACCCAATCCGGAAATTCCAGCTTAACATAAAAAATATAAAATACCGTCCTCAATGTGCCAAGCTTTTATAAAGAAGATGAGTGACTCTGCCAACCCAAATAAGAGGGAAGGCCAAATGAGTTAAAGTGCCAAGCACATTTTAGAACTACCCTGCCCCCTCCAAATCATAAATCCAATGTTAGTAGGGCCTGTGGAGAAGGGCCTGGAAGATTATCTTTCATGGCATTCTTTTTATTCACCAGGGCTTCATGTGCGTGAGTCTTAGATTGTACTGACCCGGAGCTCAAAGGGAGAATAACATTGTTACCTGAGAAATCAGCCCCTAAAAATAGACTGTAACAAGAGCATTTCTCTTCATGAGAAATGGAAATTACAGGGATATTTTGAAAAGCATGGAAATTTATACAATAGCAGTATCCTATGCATTGATTTAAAGAGTGGGGCATTTCACTGCAAATTTGGGACATAAGTACACTGATTCAGATGACAAAATGCCAGACTTAAACAGCGCTAGACAGCTCTTTTGCAGAAATGTTAATTGCATGTGCTCTCTGATTCCCTAACGCAATCACTGGACTTGCAACCGTGTGGCTGCTTGGTCCAAAAAACTGGGAGGCACCTTGACATTTCTCACTCACACACTCACACTCCGTTTCTAATTTATTATCAAGGTTTTTATATGCCATATCTTTCTCAATTTTGTCCACATCTCTCTGTCTCCACCACCCCACTCAGGCCTCTTGCTGGAGAGCTGCAGACACCCCCACATTCTTATTCCTGCTTCTATTCTTGCCACACCCCTCCTCCGCAGAAGTTATCATTAGTTTCTTCTCTGACTGACACACTCAAAATAAAAGTGTAAGAAGTGTGGAGGTTAGAAATCCAGGGCTGGCATGGCATTCTTTCACATCACCAGAGACCCAGCCTTCTTCATTCTTGTGTTCTACTGTGTGGCTTCTGTGCCAAGGTCACCTCATGTATCAAAATGGCTGCTAGAGCTCCGGCCATTACATTTGAGTTGCAGCTAGCAGGAATGAGGAAAAGGGTTGAAGAAAATCATGCCTCCTTTTTAAAAGGACACTTCCCAGAATCATACACACAAACCTTTACATTGCGTTGGCTATAACTTAGTTGCATGACCACACCTGGTGGCAAGGGAGGTTAAGGAATTTAGTCTTTATTCCAGTCATGAGCCCAGTAAAAATCAGGGCTGCTATTACTAAAGAAAAGGATAGAGCAGATATTAGGGTGCTACAAGTAGTTTCTGCTTCACCTCTTCCATATCCCCTCAGTCAGAACATGTTCTTTATATGCCCTATGAGGACAAGCTCATAGAGGTCCCATAGGCCATGGTAAATAGTTTAGTTTTATTGGACGATGGGAAGCCACTGTGGAGTTTTAAGCATGCAAATGATGTGACCTGATGTGCGTCTTTAAAAGTTCACCTTGGCTACTCTGGAGCACCAGGTGTAGTCAGGCACACATAAGGCAGGAAGACCATCCAGGAGGCCAGTATAGTGCTCCAAGGGAGAGGTGATAAAAGTGGTAGCAATAGCAGTGCTGAGAAGTGGTTGAGCTTGAGCCATACTGTGGTTATAGAGCCAACAAAACTTGTTGATAATTTGGAATGTGGGTATGATCAAATGAAGTGTGGTCAGGATGGTCCCTGGATTTTAGACAGGGATGCCATACCATTCATTGAGGATGAACTGGCTAGGAGAGGAGCACACCGAAGAAGGGAAAAATCAGAAGTTCTTTTTTGGAGGAGTTAGCAGTGCCTAGCAGGTATCTAAGTGAAGACATCAGGTAGACAGTTGGTAGAGGAGTCTGGTGTGCAAGGGCAGGGCCAGGGCTGGAGGTATATATATTTTTGGATTCCTGAGCACATGGATGATATCGAAAGCCATAGAACTGGGTGAGATCACCTATGGAGAATATCAATGCAAGAAGAGGAGGGGAGGAAAGGAAAGAAGAGAGGCTAAGGACAAAAACCTTGATGTATTCTAATACGTACAACTCTGGGACATAGGACATGGATCACTCAAAAACTCAGTTTCCTGAACTATAAAATGGGAATGTGTCTGGAAAAGTGCATGGGCCTTCATATAATTCTTTGCAAATGAAAGATAGTCCTTGCTTCTGCATCAAAATATAAGCAGTATACTTTGAAACAACTGATTACCTTTATCCAGTCAACTGGAATGTTTTATAGCCAGCTGTCATAAAAAATAAGTTGTGGTTTCGTTGTGTTTAACATAACTCTGCTTGTCTTTGCTTTGGTTTTCAGTATCAGTTTATGTGTTTAGACATAGCCCATGAACCACCATATAAATGTAAAATTTGTTATTAAAAGTGTACATAAAACCTCCTTCATAGTTCTCTTGTTTTATGTAACAAATAACATCCCAAAACACCCTTGGGAAAAGGATTTGGAAGATAAACATCTAAAAGTAGAAAAAAATGTTCTGTTTTGTTTTTTACATTGCTGGCCACCATATTAAATTTGTTCAGGTATATCATGATAAAAATAATAAAAAGGAAAATGGCTAACATTTCTTAAACACCTACCATATATGGGACATGGTAATTATTATTATGTACATCATCTTATTTGATTTTTTTTTCCGGCTATGGTAAGAGGTGGGTATTACTATATGCAGGTTACAGTAGGAAAAACTGAGGCCCAGAGATCTTGAGTAACTTTTCAAGCTAGAAAGTATCAGAGCCGGTTTATAAATCCAGGTTAAGTTGGCCCTGAAATGCATGCACTGAACTTTCATTCTACTGTCTCATAGTTATGATCTCTGTTGCTTCTGTATCATATCAGTTTCCTTTTTCTGCTGTAACACGTTATTACAAACTTAGTGACTTAATACCAATTTGTTATCTTACAATGCTGTAGTTCAGAAGTCCAAACATGGTTGTTATGGGCTAAAATGAAGGTATCAACCAGGTGCATCCCTTCTGGAGGCTCGGGAGGGAATCCATTCCTTGTCTTTTTCAGCTTTGAGGGCGTGCCCACATTCCTTCCAACAATTATGTCACTCTGGCCTCATCACATCTCCCCCTCTGACTCTGGCCGTCCTGCCTCCATTGGATAAGGATAGCTGTGACTACATTGAGTCCGCTGGGATAATCCAGGCTCCTCTCCCCATCTCAACATCCTTAACTTAGCCACATCTGCAAAGTCCCTTTTGCCATGGAAGGAAATATATTCACAAGTCCTGGGTATAGGATGTGAACATCTTTGGGGGAGTATCATTCTGTCTACCGCACTTACCTGACTTCTCTTGCATGTTCCCATCTTTCTCTTTAACGAGGAAATTGTGATAGAGCATTTGAGGACTCCACGCAGTGGTGAGTCCCCTTTTGGGGCCTTTGCCCACCTGTATCTGTCAGATAGTGTTCTGGCCTGGGAAACATGGGCCCTGGGCAGTGTGGGGTCCCCTGCCTCCCAGTGAACTGGTCTCTGCCATTCATTTATCTTCTTTAGGTTGGACACGGGGAATGTGGGGGAAATGGGCACCCCCCATTCTACAGGCTGGAGATGGGGTTGCTTCTATTTTCAAACAGCTCCTCCCATCCCCATGCCTTTTTCCCAAGGTCATAAGCCCTGAGCGGAAGAAGAAAGCTGAGAGGAGTCTGACGGGTGAACGGCAGCTTTCAGTGGTGGCATTCAGCCCTTTGTTGTCTCTGACTTTTCCAGCCACAGCCCACATTCCCAATAACATGGCCCAGCTCCAACCACAGCCAGCTCCTCACCAGCCCTGAACGGACCCTGCCCTTTCACTTATCACTGCATATGCACACTGACCTCCCACTAAGTGCCCTGGACTCCTTTGCTGGCTGAGAATTGACTTATCTTTGAAGATGGCCCACATATCACATCCTTCAGAAAACCTAAACTGATTCCCCTGGTCAGAGTTAATAGGACTGCCCTCTGGGCTCCCAGTCACTTTGCTCATACCCATTTTTAGACAGAAACCCTGCAGCTGCAAGTGCCCACGCCCAACAGGAACTTACTGACTTATGTAGCTGACGTTCAGGAGTGGATCTTGCTTCAGGTATAGCTGGATCCAGGGTCTCAGCCAATTTCGTCAGCTTCCTGAGTTTCCTCTGTCCTTCTCTCTACATCTCCCTACATCTTAGCTCTGTCCTTTTCCATATGCCCACCCATGCAGCTTGAGACAGTGACTGCTATCCTCACCTAATTCCAGTTTTACAAACCCAGTGGAAAACAAGGCCCTCTCTCCCTCACACAAATGCCAGTCCTAAGGAGGAATCGTTTGCCCTGTTGTTCCCCTGCCCATCACTAAACACATCACTTTGTCCAGAGAGGATAAAATTATCTGTCATTGGCCACTCTGGGTCATATTTCCAACCTTGCATGGAGAAGACAGGGCACTTCGGGTCAGCTCCAGTGGGACTCACGGTGTTGGAGAGGGGATCCCCAAAGGGCCATGCTAAACAGACCAAAATCACAGTGTCTTTGTCCTACACAGCTGGGGTAGCACTTACCACTTTGTATTTTCCTTCATCTCTTTAAACCATTAGCTACTAGTTATCATCACTTCAATTCTGTAACTTGAATTCATACGTTTCATTCATTTGACAAATACTGACCAAATGCCTACTGTGTGCTAGACTGAGGGGCACGAAATTAGGCTGTGTCTTACTCCTCACGGCAACACTGTGGGCTGGGCATTTTCATTACCCCCACACAGGGATGACATAGTGTTATGGGTTGAATGGTGTACCCCCAAATTCATATGTCAAAATCCTAGCCTCCAGTATCTCAGAATGTGACTGTATTTGAAAATAGAATCTTTACAGAGGTAATCAAGTCAACATGAGGTCCTTAAGGTACGCCCTAATCCAGTATGACTGGTGTTCCTATCAAAAGGGGAAATTTGGACACAGAGACATGCATAAAGGAAGAAAAGGTGAAGATGTCCATCTACAAGTCAAGGAGAGAGGCCTAGAGTAGATCCTTCCCTCACAGTCCTCAGAAGGAACCAACTTTGTGGATGCTTTGACCTTAGACTCCCAACCTCCAGAACTGTGAGAGAAGAACTTTCAGTTGTTTAAGCTACCCAGTTTGTGGTACTTTGTTAGGGAAGCCCTAGAAAACTAATATACATAGATATACTATGTATTTGCCTATGTGCATTGCATGTGCACACACACACATACACAGGTGCACATGCACACACACATATTATTCCATTTTTTTAAAAAAGCCCCTAAAAAATAAAATGATCATGAATGCTTAGCAAAGAAATCAACTAAATTTCATTTATAGTCATCACCACCCACCCCTTCTCTCCACAACTAGAATAAAAGGGCTTCATTAAAGGAAGTAAGAACAAAAAACTTTCTTGTCTCTCACCTTCTACATAAAAGGTTTACTCAGGGGAAATCACCATTTGAAAGCCAGTTTTATCTGGGTCTTACTTAGAAACAGCCTTACCAGAATGCAGAAGTGGAGCGAGAGAAGAGGAGAAAGACCGTCTTTAAGCCACATGTCTGTTGCTGCTCACAAGGGAGACCGTTGGGAGAGCCAGGAGCTGAACAGGCAGAGAGACCCACGAGCGTTGCCAACCATCTCGTTCTGCCTGGGACTAAGGGATTCCTGGGATCTGGAACTTTCAGTGCTGAAAATTGGATAGTCCTAGGCACACCAGATGGCTGGTGTCCCTCCAGTCCTTTGCCCCACAGGGTGGCAGGTTCCAAGGAGAGGCTGTGGAGCGGACAGCCTGTGCTGGGACCCCAGTCCCTGCCTCCTCGCTGGGCAGAAGATTCACCTGTCTGAGCCTCAGTTTCCTTAGCTTGAAGATGGGGATAATAAGAATAATACCTTACCCTGTAAAGGTGTTGAGAGGCGTGGCAGTAGCCCCTGGATGTTCCTGAGGTGAGCAGTTCGGGCTGAACTCAGACTCACCTGCTTTGCCTGGAAGCATCTTTCTGTATTTTGCTTTAGGGCTTTCTGTGCTGAGGCAGCTTGCTTGGCCAGTGCAGAAAGCACAGGCCAGGACAGCAGAGGAGCTAATGCCCCCGAGGGTAACCTTCTACCAATTAGGCTTAGAAGCAGTGAATCAGTGCTTAGACCTCCCTGACGTTCGGGAACATCTGTTGGAGGCATTCTCTATGCTTCTCAAGGCCCCACTGCAGCTGGCTTTGGGGTCTGGAGCAGCAATTTTGAGAAGCCCCCTTATATGAGCCTGACAGTCATCCACTCCACACTCCTGCTTCCTAGAGTGACCTCTCAAGTAAATCCCCTGTATCCAAGCCCTTGTTGCAGGCTCAGGCTTCAGGGGAAACCAAACTTCGGATAATTAAAAGTCACAACCAGGTTTAGCAAATGTCAAGCAGCCATTTCAAAAATGCCCATTGTGGTTATTTGTCTGGGGTTTAGAGTTCACGGGTGCTGGGAAACCCTGCTTTTAAGGTGGGCCATCTCAGGGACCCAGAGGCTGCCAATATACTTTAGTAACAGCCCTAAGAAAGTGGATCGAGTCCACCTGTAGATAGATGTCACTTGGCTAAGCTGAAATTTGTTCAAAATGGAAAATGCCTGGAAGAGTTTGGGGTATTTCTTCAAGTTGGATGAAAGCGTTTCACCCTCCCAACTGTATAAAATTGTGGGTGCCTAAAATTATAACCATTCTCCCCACCATTGGTTTTTATGTCCTCAAAGCAATGAGATAAAGGAACAACAAAAAGTCTGTACGATAGCCAAACACAATCGTGTGATTTTTCCAGGGCACTAAAGGGTGGTTAGGGTACCTTCCCAATGCTCACTTAGCTTGTAAACAAATAGCTTTAGGCAAGCGACCTTGTCACAGAAATGTTTCTGAGATTTGCAATGAGACAAGTCTTTTGACATTAAAGCCCGAAGTACACAGGGAGATGAAAATGACAGCAGGGTCTGGATTCAAAAGAAATGACGATGGTGTTCCACAACATGCCATCTGAATATAAGCCGTTTCCCATAAGGATTTCCGCCCAACATTTCTCCAGATATGGATCAAGAGTATTTGAGATCCAAGGGCTGGAAGTGTGGCTCGACTCCTGTTAGGTATTGGTTGAAGGCGAGCTATGCCTAGGTTCTCTAAGGCTATGGATGGAGATCCAGCTCTAAAGGGGTTGCCAAGGACCCAGAAGGGTCTGAAACACAGGGAGTTAACCACAGGGGATCATCTACTTCTAGATGTCTTGAAAAAGACAAGGAAGAATAATAGAGGTAAGGAAGAATAATAGAGGTGAGGAATTGGGATCCTTAAACAGCACTTCTCAAACTTTCATGTTTATTTGAATCCCCTGGGGCTCTTGTTAAGATGTTGATTCTGATTCAGTAGGCCCAGCATTGGGCCTGAGATTCAGCATTTCCCATAAGTTCCCAGGTGATGTTCTTGGTTCACAGACCACACTTTGAGGAGCAAAGCTTAAAAGACAGGGGCTGTAAAACGGACTTGAATAGCAAAGACATCGGAGCAGAAGTTTTGTGCCCCGCTGCAAGCTTGTTAAAGTTTCTCCTCAAATCACCACTCTGGGTATGTGTGGGGCAGAGATTGAGAAAGGCTGAGAGAGGATCTGAGGGAAGAAGGAAGAGAGAGGGGGAGGGAGAGGGAAAGAAGAGAGGCTGGGAAAGACCATATGTGATTACTTCTACTTCAGTGAAATCAGAGAACAGAGCTAATTTCTCCAGATACTACTATGATTTCTGTACTGAAAGATTCTTTAATTAAATAAACACATTCTTAAAGACCATTTCCTTCGTAGCTGTCAGCACCCAGTCCTCGTTACCAAGATAATCAGGGACTGTGAGTCCTGGAGGGGCCCCTAGAGATCACTTATCCAATTCTTCCAATTTCCCCCAAATTTAGGACTTGAAAAGCAAACTGCAGAAGGATTAGACTACCGATGAAGGCCTTCTAAATGAAGCCATTTGGAGAGGTGTCTCAACCTGTCCATATTGGGGCATAAAAATCTGAGCCATTTCTATCTTTGCAATTGCTGCTATGAACAGTGCAGCGTGGACATTCACCCTCATCCCATCCCTGCATCTCCAAATGGTAAAGGATTCCTTAACTGACTTTTAATCCTATTCTGTAACTTCCCACCTCTAGTGATCATTAACATGGTCTCACTTTGGATCTTAAGGCTCAGCTCTATTCATTTTAAAGCTTCAATCTCATATTTGATTGAAAGTTTGCCTACTTTTTGCCAGGGAGATGGCCCCAGAGGTGGTTCTCCCCACAAAGCCCCAGCCCTCGGCTGATGGGGAGAGAGACAGAAAACTGACTTCCTCTTCTCTTCTGCAGCCCAGGGCTGGCGTGGATGTCTCCTTTTTCTTTATCATCATTTCCAGGCTCTCTGTAGGGCAATTCCCAAAGGCTTATTCTTGGTGAAGCGTATTTGTGGAGCTTTTAAAATAGGCCCATAGACTCTTTAGTTTCCCTCTCCGTGAACATAAGCCAGGCTTAGTGATTCATTTCTAACAAACAGAATGTGGCAGAAGTTATGCAGTGTGGCTTCTGACTTAGGTTAGAAAATGTGATCCAAATTCCACCTGGCTCGGTCTCCTGGAGTATTTGCCTTTGGGACCAGCCACCATGCTGTGCAGAAGCCAAGCATGGAAAGGCCATGTGTAGGTATTTTAGGCAACAGCTCCAGCCAAGGTTCCCCCAAGGGCCGGCATTCACCACCAGACACGTGAGTGAGAGGCCCCAGCTCTTGGCCTTGGAGCCACTCAAGCTGATAATGAGTGATCAGGGAGGAGCTGTCTTGCTGAGAACGGCCCAATCTGCATATTCATGAGCAGAATGATGAGTTGTTTTGTTAAGCTACCAAGTATTGGGATGGTTTGGTACCCAGCATTAAATAACCACAACAAAAATGGTTGGTTCTTTGGAAAACCCACTGGGGATCTCCCTACTGCACAGAGCCTAGACACAGGTGATCTGGTTCAGGCTCAATTTCCTCTTGCCCCACCCCTGGGTTCTGCTCTGAGCCATCAGCTTCATGGCAGGCCTTAGTATCAAGGTCCCTGTGCCCAGAGGGTGGCGCTCCTGGTGGGAACAGCCCAGCTACCTTCACTGGTATCCGCTGACCCATGGAAGACTGGCGTACCCTTGCTAGGCCCCTAGGTGGGCCTTTAGGCAACCCCACCCCTCCTAGAGTCACAGTCTCATCTCCTTCATCTCCTTCCTGCCCCTCTCTCCAAACCCAGGAGCTCCTGGACTAGAGTTTGACAACTTTGGGCCAAAGAGACTATCACCATTCCCTGACATGCTCCACGTGCACCATCTTTTAAGAGGTGGGATATGCAAAGGGGAGAGGAGGTTGCTGCCCCACACGCTGCAGTGGGCCCACGAGGTTACTGCCCTTCTCTCTCTACCCAGCTTCTCTTCCATCCATGGGTGGGAATAGAGGGGGCTGATGGCATTGGGGACTCAGCCAAAATGTCACCACCCACAAACCCTGCAGGGAAGTGGTTGGTCCAGGCAGTTGGTGGTTCTCAGAATTTGGATTGAGGAATACTTAACAGTATGGCTGCAACATGTCTTGTGCAGTTTGGGCACTGCCCAACTCCCAGGGCAGGGGTCTGCAACTTTTTACCGTACTGGGTCAGACAGTAAATATTTTGGGCTTCTCAGACCATGTAAGATCTGCCTCAATTATACTGTGTTGTTTTAGCAAGAAAGCAGCTATATACAATACATAAATGGATGAGTATAATTGTGTTTCAATAAAACTTTATTCACTAAAACAGACAATGAGGAGATTTGGCCCCAGGATTATAGTGTGCCATCCTTCATTCTAGGGGATTCCATTCACAAAGCACAATGCACACAGTCTTAAGCTGTGGCTCTGCTTAGCACTGTGTGCTCTTTGGGCCTCGATTCTGGGAAAACAGGAACAATCCAGATGAGTGCCTGACACCATCCTGGAGGAGTGTTTTCAAGGAGGCAGTAGAATCCTCTGGGATGAGTCTAGAATATTCCTTTCACCTTCGGGAAATCTTTTGGGCATTCTACTCTTTCATTCATGAAAAGAGTCATTTTGAGCAGGTGCTCTGTGTCAAGCATTGGGCCCAGTGCTGGGAATATAACGGAGAACAAGACAGGCACAGTTCTGGTCTTTATGGAACCCGCAGAATTGTGGAGAAGAGAGACTTTGAACAAATAATTACAAATGGAATAAATCTTACAAAAGGGGAGGCTCAGGGGCTATGGGAGCTCTTGTGGGGAAGCTAAGCCCATCTGAGGAGTCAGGAGATAGCTGTGGTCTAAAGTGTAGTCCCCAACAATTTTGGCACCAGGGACCAGTATGTGGAAGACAATTTTTCCACAGACCAAGGTGAGAGGGATGGTTTGGGATGATTCAAGCCGATTGCATTTATTGTGTACTTTATTTATATTATTATTACACTGCAATATATAATGAAATAATGATACAGCTCACCATAATGTAGAATCAGTGGGAGCTTGGAGTTTGTTTTCCTGCAACTACATGGTCCCATCTTGGGGTGATAGGGTGATGGGAAACAGTGACAGATCATCAGGCATTAGATTCTTATAAGGAACATGCAACCTAGATCCCTTGTAAGCATAGTTCACCATAGGGTTCACACTCCTATGAGAATCTAATGCCACCACTGATCTGACAGGAGGCAGAGCTCAGGTTGCAATGTGAGTGATGGAGATTGGCTGTAAATACAGACGAAGCTTCGCTCACTTGCCCGCGGTTCATCTCCTGCTGTACAGCCCAGTTCCTAACAGACCACAGACCTAACAGGTCAGAGTTTGTGGACCCCAGTCTAAAGGATGAAAAGGAGGTAACCAGGCAAACAGTGGAGGGATGTGTGTTGCAGGCAGACGGGCCAGGATGTGTAAAGGGAGAGCACAGCACTGTGACAGAGGGTGAGCTTGCGACCTCGTATTCCATGGCTAAGTCTCTCCTCACTCTACTTTTGACCTTTTGTAGATCACCAAGATCAAGATCATAACCTGGCATCTCTCATCAAGCTGGTGAATCTGTACTGCTTGGTCGCATAGTTTAAAAACTTTTGAACTATTTGCCAATATTAGAAAGTCAAGATATCTCAAATAAAATCTGTATCTCTGGCTTCTCTTATAAAAAAAATCCCAGCACCTAGGTCTAATCCCTGCCAAGTGGCAATTGGCTTGGGGCTGCTGGCGGCTGCCCCCTTAGATGGGGCATGTGCTCCCCCTTTTGTCCCAGTCCCCATCGCTCCCAATTGCTTTATATCGGGTCTGATTCACTCATTTGCATTACTTGTCTGGCCAATGCAGACATTTGAATTTGTGACTTTCTGATCCAGGCAAATCTCATAATGCACAGAAATGGATTCAAGACAGTAGGAAAGGGAGATCTGACCACATTCTCCAAAAACAAATGTGCACTGTCGTAAAGGTGAATTATGCTTTCCTGAAAAATCCAGTCACCAAATAGACAATTCCCCAAGGCATGCTCCTGAAATGCAAGCTGGACACTGACAAAGGACATCTCTTTTCAGCCCTGTCATAGTCTTGTTGTGTTGCTATAACAGAATACCTGAGACTGGATGATTTATAAAGAAAAGAGTTTCATTTAGCTCATGGTTCTGGAGACTGGGAAGTCCAAGAAGAATGGTGCCAGCATCTGGTTGGCTTTTGGTGAGGGCCTTGTGCTATGTTGTAACACAGCAGGGAAGCTGAAGGGGAAGTGGTGTGCAAAAGAGAGCAAATACAAGACTCAGCCTTGCTGCTGACTTGCCTTACTGCCACTCTGGCAGTAACTAATTCAATCCCTCCAGAGAGACTGCATTAATCCCTTCATGTGAATGTACTTCTCATGACCCAACACCTCTTAAAGATCCCACCACCTCACAACACCGTCATGTTGGGGACAAAGCCTCAATGTGAGTTTTGTTGGGGACAAGCCATACTCAGACCATAGCAGGCCTCTTGCAGAAACTCTGACAGTGTTTGAGGACAGCACAGAAGGGCTCCAGAGAAAGAGGGCTGAGCTAGCGATAGGCTCCAAAGGAGGCTTTTGTTTTGTTTTTTCCCCTCAGGCTCTTCTTCTCCAGAAAATCATTTCAGGGGATGAATTTTTCTCCAAGGAGGAGTTTTTCAAAGTATGTGCCAAATAATACTAGATCTAAATGATACTGAAAGATGTTTCAGACACAAACAGCCTGAATGTTGGAGAAAGCAGGTGTTTTAGGTCTGGTTCCCAAGTAGCTGACCCTGAGCTGAGGACTCATGTGCAAAGGAAGAACTGATCCTGGGCAATGTCCCATAGAGGATAGTGTTAGGCTGGTCCCACAGGGGAACTATCAACTCTGAAAAATGTCTCAGAGCTGCCCCACCTAGGACAACATATTGTTCACTAGTGGATGGTTGTCCCTAGGGGAAGTAAATTTTGGAGCACTTTTATGAAAGCACGCAGAAACCAGGGGTGGGGCAGAAACAGAAACTAGAGATCTGTGTCTATCTGAGTGGAGCCCTGCCATTGTCTGCTACCTCCAGCAATTCTAAATGAATTACAAATTTGAAAGTGTTTTTTTTTGTCTGCAGAACTTTTCAGAGCTTTTAATGTGATCATTGCAATCTCTAAGGAAAGGATAGCACATGTAGCAACTCCCCAACTCAACTAACTATGAGGCTGTCTTTTTTCCAGAATGCCTACAGATCTCAGTTTGGGGAACCCCTGCTCTTAGCGGCCCATATGATGGAGAATGGAGAGCAGAAAAAGCTTTCTCGTGGCCTCAGCTGAACACTGCCCTGGAGTCCTTTGGAAGCCAAGAGGAACCCAGCCAGACTGGGCTCCAGGCCTTACAGGGGCATTCCCAGCTCACCACCACCTCTTGACTCCTGCCCCCAGGTGATCAGTGTAGGCTACCAACAGAACTGACAAACAGCCTCATACCAACAGAGTTGGGCACTTCCAGGGCCCCCCAAGAGCTTCCCAAGCATGGCCCTTATGAACTTATTTTCACTCTTACAGCACTCAATATCCTTCTCTGACTTCTAGAGTCAGCCATCCTGGCCAACCTTTCCAACATGATCCAACTTAACTCCCCATTTTCATCTCTCACAACTCCACTCTGAGCCTCCTGCACCCCCACCAGAGTTGCCTACTCTCTCCCAAACTAAATATGTTTTTTAATATATTTTTGTTTTTCTTTTTTTTTTAATGATTCTTCATCATTCAACTTGAACCTAACTAAATATGTTTGTGAGCTAAATTTCTTATAAGAGATGGTGGCTTGGTTTTCTTGGTTGACTCCTGTAGCGTTTCTAATTTTTCAGGTTGATTTTTGTCTTAATCTGCCAGACCAGGTTGGGAGCTTCTGATCACTGACATCTACATTTTCTTTCTGACCAACATGGGTTGAGTGCAGGCATTTGGCCCAGCCAAGGAACTGAAGGATGAGCCAGTGAGGAACCGTGTGAGAAGAGCCCTTTGCTCTGTGAACCACAGCATGGGCCATCTCTCAGATGCCCGGCCCCTGCATGTTCTGTCTGAATTGTACACATCTTGAGATGAGCTGCATTTATCCTTGCTTATGTGAGACGGTTAATGGCACTCAAGAAATCATCACGAGTTTAAAACTCATTCTAGAGAAAACACGGCTCTGACATGGTAGCGCCCTTGGGATAAGTCCACCCACCAATGTTTACCAAGGCCCTTCCATGTGCCGGCCACTAGCGCTGACTCAGATCACCACTTCTGGAGTCCAGTCACTAGAGCTGACTCAGCCCACCACTCCTGTGGTTTGAATTTTGCCTCTAACTCTTGCTGAGTGTGGACCTTGGTCAATGCACTTTAGCCTAAGCTTCAGTTTCCTCACCTGTAAAATGGGAACAATAAATAACTTTTACATCAAGGTGATATATGAATGAAACATACACTTAAGGCACTTAGCATTGTGCCTGAACCGTAGTAAGTGCTTAATAGATGTCTCTCTCAATACAATAATACAATACAATACAATAATAATAATAAAGAGTAGATAGTACAATTCAGCCTTCAATCACTTTAAAATTGTCCTATGGCTAGTCCAGGGAAAAGTTATTTTGGGAACCCTTTCTTCTGCCTCCTGTTTTCTTCCACATTCCTCCTTCCCCCTCTCATTCCCTTCCACATTCTTTCCTCCCTTATTCCCTTCCAATCTCCCAAAGTTCTCGGTGTGCTTATGAATCTCAGGGGGAGCTCTCTAAATGTAGATTATTGGGCCCCAAACCCAGACATTTTGATTCAGTGTGTCTAGAGAGCGGCTCTGGGTCTGTATTTGTAATAGACCACCTAGATACCTCTGTTGTGGGTGGTGCAGGGACTAGAATGTGCTGGTAAATGTTTAACAAGGACTTGGGCCCTGGGAGAGGGCTGGCTGGTTTGTAGCATTTGCCAGTTTCCGGGGGTGTAAATACTCCCACCATGGCCAATTTCAAGCTATCCATGTGATGTCACTGAATGTTGAGTTGGGAAGAGATGTTCCGTAACACACCATTATGTAGTATTAGATACAAAAGCATAGGTAAAAGGAATGAGAAATAGAATAATTAGGAAATGATAAGTATTTTTAGTATAATTTATTTAATTGTAATTTTCTGTAATTTAGTATTTAATGTTGCGTTTCACAACTGGCTCACACAATTCCTAAATACTTAACAATTGGCTCTTGAAAGTTGGTACAGGCAGATGCCAGCACACCATAACAAGGCTGCTGCTTGAAGAACCCTGCCCTTGATAATTGAATGAACACTCTGTTCTCTCTCACCGTAGTGAAATGCACATACTTGCACATTTTCACTCAAATTCTTGGAGACTTTAAAAATAGCCCAAAGCTCATGATGGATTTGGAGGACCTCCTGTCTCCCTGATTCCCTCCTGCGCTGTGACAGTGTCTTGAGGGTTTGTGGGAAGGATGATGGAAGGATCAATATTTTGGGGGAAAAGGAATTTTGCAGATCCTTCCCTTTTCCTCCTCCTCAAGCTCCGCCACCTTTGCCCTGTGCCGCAAACCGATCAAGGGTGCCACTACTACAAGCTTAAAAAGCACCCTACCCCTGTCAAACCCAAGCTCTTAATCTCCCACTGGAGCTGTGGGGCCACCCAGCTGGTGCTATCTTATCAGAGGCTGGTGACAGCCACAGGATTCAAAAGAGGAAGCGGAGGTGTCTTATCTGCCTTGCTCGTATCCGGCTGGAAGCCGAGCTGTTCTTTCTCAGTGAAGGGCAGAGTCTCATGTCACTGCCCTTGGTTGGGAACAAGGGAGAACAAAGGTCATTGCCCTTTGCAGACTCAAAGGCTTAGAGGGTCATGAAGCAGGCAAGGGCACTGGGACAAAGAAAGGCTCCATGCTTTAATCATTAGTAAATTAAATCCCTGCGTGGTAGATACACCTATTATCCTCATGGAAGAAGAAATGGAGGCTCAGAAAATTAACTTGCCTCAGGTGGCGCAGTGAGACATCAGGATTTAAATGCAAGTCTGTCCAATTCAGGGATCAAGCTCTTAATGTTTCGGCTATTGCCCTTACTTAATCTTTCCAACAGCCCTTGTCCCCATTTTACAGATGAGGAGATGGGGATCATCACTGAAACTCTCAGAGCTCCAGGAGGGGCCAGTCAGAACTCTACAGGCCTCTCTCTGAAGCATAATAACACACCAGCAAAGGGCTGCATCCTTTATAAGACAGTGCATTTCTGTGGGGGGCAGAAGGAAGAGAAGGAGGAAGGGAGAGAGATAGGCAAGACAGGGATCTAGAATAATCATTGTACACAAGAGGCGCAGGCATGAACAGCACATGCAGACTGGCAGGCAGGCTCCTGCTTATGCTGAGGCTGGGGAAACTTGGAAGGGGAGGGAAGACATCAGAGCAGTAATAACTCCCAGCCGCAGCTGCCAAGCTCCCAGGATTTCTAGAGATGAGGTCATGAGAAGCTGCTCTCTTTTGTTCTCACGGCAACCAGGCCTACCCCCTTCCCACTCTCCAGCCCCAGTTGTACTAGGAATTGGTGTGGGAGGTGGGTAGGAATGTCAAACAGAGGCGGTGACAGTGGCTGCGGTTACCATCACTGTCCTTCAATATTCAGATGGTACCCAGAGGTAACCATGGCAACCGGCCGTGGGAGCAGTCGTTGAGGAAGATGTTTATCCCACCCAGTGGGCAGGGCTGAGGGATGGGCAGGCCACACCAGGGCACCCAGCCCCAAGGAGACAGCTCCGTGTCCACTGCAGCCTTGCTTGTGGAGGTTTTCACCTCTTACTCCAGGCTTCTGGGGGTGCAAATCCCCATTCTAACACATGGGCAAAACTTGGCCAAGTTCTTAACTCCTCTGAGCCGTGGACCCCTCATCTGTTCACAGTAAGCATGTGATGATGATGACGCCACGATTGTTATTATTCAAAGAATGAGCTGTAGGACTCTTCAATGAATGAGTCAGATGGACCTGGCTAGGAACCTGTGTAACTGAGACAAGCAGCTCTCCTCTCTGGGCCCCAGTTCTTTATCTGTAAAAGGTGAACCCCACAGGCATTTTACATGACTGCCATGGTACCTACACAGCTGAGTATGTGTCTTGGTTTGTGTTTCCCTGAAAACAGAACTGGAAATGGGGTTTGGGTGCAGGTAGTTTACTTGGGAGGTGATTCCCACAAGTGGGAGAATGGGAGAGTGATGTGGGGGCCACGGATACGGGAAGCCAATAATGAGCAGGTGACCACTGTGGGCACCTGGGGCTCAAGCTCACTGTGGACCCCGGGCGAATTGTGTAGAACGTGCCTCTGGATTGTCCCACAAGGGGTGGGGACATTGGGGGATTTAACAACTGCCATCCCATAGTAGGAAGAGAGGCCAATGCTTGGGGTAAGAGACAGGCACTGTCGCAGGTAAGTTCAGAGGTGGGCAACGGAAGACGGTGTGGGGTGCGAGAGAAGCCATTATAGAAGGAAACACTGGGTCCTTTCCATAAAACAGCATCTTGGTCTCCCTCAGCCTCCTGCTGCTCACACACATACGTGCTTGCTTTCTAGAGGCCACTCCTGTTTCCATGAGACTAGTGCATTAATTTAACTTATTTATCTTTTTAAACTTTAGGTTCAAGGTACATGTGCAGGTTTGCTATATAGGTAAATTGTGTGTCACAGGGGTTTGGAGTACAGATTATTTAATCACCCAGGTAATGTGCATGGTACTCAATAGGTAGATTTTCTATCCTCACCCTCCTCCCCTCCTCCACCCTCAAGTAGGCGCTGGTGTCTGTTGTTCCCTTCTTTGTGTCCATGTGTATTCAATGTTTAGCTCCCACTTATAAGTGAGAACATGCGATATGTAAATTAATTCAGCCTCTGTAGAAGGCAGTTTGGCAGTTTCTCAAAGAACTTAGAACAGGAAACAGGTAATTGAATGGTCGATTACCATTTGACCCAGAAATCCTATGATTCGGTATATATCCAAAGGAATACAAATCATTCTAACACAAAGACACATGCACACATATGTTCATCGTAGCATGATTTACAATCGCAAAGACATGGAGTCAACCTGAATGCCCATCAAAACTAGACTGGATAAAGAAAATGTGGTCCATACACACCATGGAATACTACATGGCCGTAAAAAAAGAAGGAAATCATGTCTTTTGCAACAAGATGGATGTAGCTGGAGGCCATTATCCTAAATGAATTAACGCAGGAACAGAAAACCAAATACGGCATTGGCCTCCATCAGCCTTGATTATGAGGACCTTGTCTGTCCTTTGTATTAGCTGTGAGCCCCTGGGCAAGTGCCTTGATGCCTCTACACCTCTGTTTGTTCATCTGTAACAGGGAACAATAACAGTACTTACCTCACAGGGCTGTGATGAGAATTAAATAAGATAATGTGCAAATGTGGGATGAGCAGAATATTTCCATAAAGGGCCAGATGGTAACTATTTTAAGCTTTGTGAATGATCTTTGTTGCAACTATTCAACTCTGCCACTGTACCATGAAGGCAGCCATGACTATATGTAAATAAATGAATGGGTGTAGCTGGGTTCTAATAAAACTTTACTCACCAAAACAGGAAGCAGCCAGATTTGGCCCATGAGCCCTAGTTTGCTAATCTCTGGTATAAAGCCCAACACGCAGTACCTGGCACATAGTAGGTACTCAGTGGAAGCAAGCCACAGTTATTATTGCCACAGCTTGGAAAGCGCACAAGCCGAAGGCTCTCCAGAGCTTAGCTAAGTTTCTACTTCTTCCCCTTCTATGCCACTTAACCATTCAAAGCATGAATCTGTGTCCTAGTCCTTGCTACTCAGAGCATGGCGGTCCATGTACCAGCAGCCTCACCAGACCTGTGAGTTTTTCAGAAATGCAGAATCTTAGGCCTCATCTCAAATCAACTGCATCAGAACCTGCATTTGAACAAGATCCCCAGGTGATATCTGTGCACATGACAGCTGGAGAGACACTGTCCTCTTTCATCACCTGCCTGCCCTTCCCAATCAGAGAGCACATTGCCTGGCCCACACTTGGAGCCAGTTTCTCTGGGATTGCTCATTACCCCACTCTTCTCTCCATCCACTCTAAGTCGCTTTTCACCTCCATCCCTGGCACACTTCACAACTGGAGGCCCAAAGCCCTATCTTTATTCAGCGTAATTCTCACATGTAGTCCCCTGGATTCCACCCACACAGATGTCCTCAGAGCCTCTGCTCAGTTCTAATCACCCCACACCCTGCTCCTGAAATGATCTCTCCATTCCAGCTGCACAGGCAGCCATGCCCCCAGGTGTCCCAGCCAGGTTCCTTGTCTCTTCATTCTCCTCTCCTCCTTTCTCTGTGCTTCCTCTACCCTAGGCACCCCCATGAAAAAATTTTCCAACTCAAGCATTGTATTAGTTCCTTCTTGCATTGCTATAAAGAAATGCCTAAGACTGGGCAATTTATGAACAAAAGAGGTTTAAGTGGCTCACGGTTCTGCAGGCTGTGCAGGAAGCATGATGCTGGCATCTGCTTGGTTTCTGGGGAAGCCACAGGAAACTTACAACTGTGGCCAGAAGGCGAAGGGGGAGCAGGCATGTCACATGGCCAGAGCAGAAGCAAGAGAAAGGGAGCGGGGGGGGGGACGTGCCACACACTTTTAAATGACCAGATCTCGTGAGAACTCAGGATCGCGAGGACAGTACCTAAGGGATGGTTCTAAACCACTCATAAGAAATCCGCCCCCATGATTTAATCACTTCCCAGCAGGCCCCACCTCCAACATTGGGGATTAGATTTCAACATGAGATTTGGTCAGGGACACACATCCAAACTACATCAAGCATCCTGCCTGCCAGGGGATAATCCAGCCCCATGCTGCCTATTACTGCAGCCATTTACCACTGGTGGCTCATCTGAATTAAGATATGCTTAAAGCGTAAAATACACTCCAGATTTCAAATATTTAGTAAGGAAAAGAGAATGTAAAATATTCGTTAATAATTTTGTACTATCAATGATATGTTGAAATGGCATTTCAGATATACTAGGTAAAAAACTTAAAAAAAAATATTTCACCTATTTCTTTTTCCCTTTTTAATGTGGCTATTAGATAATTTAAAGTTACACATGTGGCTTCCATTATAGTTGTATTGGACAGCGCTGGTCTGGCAGGATACTGTATGGATTAAGAAGGCAGGTACCAGAGTCCAACTGCCTGTGTTCTGTTCATGAAAGAATGATTCTGAGACTTATTTAAAAGGTAAGGCAGGGTTTATTTAAGACTATCACAGTAGGGGTACTGCAATAGGGGAGGGAGATGGGGATCAACTCTGAATACAGAAAGGACAGGTGGGGGATTATAGTCAGTGAGCAGAGTAAGGAGAGTCAGTGGATGAAAAATTGCGAAGAGGAGACACCCAGGGTTGGGGAATTCTTGCTAAACTGACCTAACAGGATTCTTGCTAAAGGCAGGTCAAGGACTTATACATTAAAGGTGGGGGATGAGGAAATTGATCAGATTTCAAGGGTGATCAGAGATCAAAGGTGAAGACATTTTGCTAAACTGACTTGACATGATTTTTGCTGTGCAGGACTGGGGCCATATTTGAGGCCTAGTCGAATAGAGGGCTCAGAGGAGACGAACTAAGTTTGGGCGAGGAGAGAGTGTTTGTCAGTTTGAATCCCAGCTCTGCCGCTGTCTGGCTGTGGGTTCTTGTTGAAACTGGACAACCACTCTGTGCTCAGTTCCCTTCTCTAGAAAATGGTGATCATAAAAGTACGCACTTGGAGTATTGCTGTGAGGGTCACAGGAGATGATGTGTGCTAAGTTCTTGGCCCCTTGCCTGGCATGTAATTATCACTCAATAAATACAAGCATTTGTTATTATTTCCATAAATATTTGGGAGGACTGATTCTGAAACCTCCAGGGATCCCGAATTTGGAGCACTGGAAATGCTAACACAGATTCCCGGTTTCCTCCCACTTCACATGTCTTGTAAAGCTCCATGAGCACCCAGTGCCATTCTCCTACCACAAGTTGATGGTTATTTCTATATCCGCTGAAAGTTTCTCTTCAACCACATGACCATTTTTTGCCAAGAAACAGAACTTCCACCGTGTCGCAAGTTCCACAAAGCTAAGGTACTGGTGCTCCCCAGCTACGAGACCCAGTTCCCCTCCATAGTTCCAGATGCACACCATCCAAATTCATGCTTCATTCAAATGGCGCATGACTGTGGATCATGGACCTCTGGGTCATTCACAAATCCTGGAACTTCAGAGGTAATTTGGGAAGGCCAAGGTCAGCCCACTTAAAACAGTTCTCTCTCTTTCTCTCCCAATTTGAAATTCCTACTAACCCCAGAGTGAGCAAGTTACAAGGGAACATTTGTTGTGAGAAGACATGGCAGGCCAGGACCATTGGCCAATGTTGGGCCATTCAACATGTGTCATTGTTGGAAATGGGACAGATAGTCTAATTCTCTAGTGAGGAGATTTAGAATTATGTGGAGATAGGAGAAATTCATTTCTTTGCCAGTAATCTAGCTCATCCTGTTAGAAAAGCCTTAAAAGTGCATCGTAACAGAGACAGCTGAGTCTGACACCCAGCCCTGCATGGGTAAAGTCAGCTCCATTTATTGGACCTAGATGTAAATTTTGGTAAATAGGCTCTTATCTTTCAGGGAGGGTTTTCTGAGAGACCCTTTGCCCAGCAGAGACCTCGGGGAAACCAAAGATGGCAAAGAACTATCCACTCTGTTCTCTGGCCCTATCTCTCCCAACTTCCACCTTTGCTCAGGTAGGTGGAACCTTCATGTAAATGGTTCCCTGCTTATAATGCACATTGGAATTGCCCAGAACGTCTGTTCAAAATGCAGGCTCCAGGGTCCAATGTCCAGGTTGAGAAAGCTGATATAGCACCCAGGGATCTGCAAGTTAATTTTTAAAAGAAAGTCACATGGGGCAGTAATTCTAGCAAACCTTCCTCCTAGGCCGCTGCAGAGCTGTAGAAACCCAGTTGCACAGGGCTTTATGCCTGGCAAGGGCACCCCTTGCTGTGTGCATCCCAGAGGAGGCACGTCTGAAGTCTGCAGAGGAAGCTTCTATCTTCCCTTCCAACGAATTCCTGCTCAGGCCAGCAAGGAAGAGAGTTTGAGTTGTTTATGGGGTAAGAACAAGAAATCTGTTCTGATTGCACTTCACAAAACTGCTTTACACAATTGTGACTTGCTTTACCATTGTCATTTACTGTGGTGATCCAAATGAATCAGCCCCAGTCTCTGGTTTCATTCCGCCCCTTAAGCCTTCCCAGGATTTAGTGCTCCTGAGTCCCTTTCCACTAGGCCAGCAGGCCTGGATCCCTGCCGCTAGGTGCACTGTGGAACATTTGGAGAGCTTCTGTTATAATGCCAGTGCCCAAGCTCCACCCTGAATCATGGAAGTCAGAATTGCGAGGGAGGAGTGGGGCCCAATGTAATGCTTTCTAGCCACTCCCTGGGTGCTACTGATGGTAGTCAGAGTTAACATTTGTGCTAGGTTTTCTAGCCTGGCTGCACATTGGACTCCCCAGAGCAGCTTTAAAAATCCAGATGATGCCCAGTTCCCACACCCAAAGAGACTACATTAGTTAGTTTAACATTTTTTCCCCAGCAATGGAGTGTTTCTAAAATCTTGCTCAAAGTTGAGAGCTGCTATTTAGGCCCTTCTCTTCTACAAGGAAAGTCCTAGCACAAACTCGTCCTGGAGTCATTATTAACTCAAACATCTTCAGGTTCCCTTGGGGGCCTAAGAGAGAAGGTTTGGCTCCCAGACGCCACGATGCCCAGGAATAGAGGGCTCTCGCACTCAACTGGGGGCTATGTACATGTTTGTTGACAAATGGAACTTTGCTCAGCCTGAGAGCAAACCCCGTAGTTCAGTGGGTTTGCAGACTTGCAGTGCTACTCAAAGTGTGGTCCCTGGACTAGCGGCACCAGCATCAGGGAAACTTGTTAGAAATGCAGATCTTCGGGCGCCACTTTGGACCTACTGAATCAGGGGTGCTTGTCGGTGTGGGGCCCAGCAATCTGTGTTTAGTAAGCTCTCAGGGTTATGTTGGTGCATGCATGCTCTAGTTTGAGAAGCACTCCCGTAGTGTGCAGAGGAATCACCTAAGAAGCGATATTAAATGTAAGATTCCTGCACTTCCCTGCAGAGAGGCTGATCCTGGAGGTCTGAAGTAGGACCCAGGAATCTGTTCTATTAGTCAGCACCCCAGGATAAAAATGGTTCCAGGGTCACACCTAGAAAAGTCTAGTAGAAGCCATTTGCCCGCAAAGGACAATGCTCCATCTGGCCACGCATCCCACAGCCTGCGAGGCCTCCAGTCTTCCCTCCCAGGCTCACACCCCCACTCACAAAGCTTCTGGAGTATTAAGCCCTTTCCACTCCCCAGCCTTCCCTGGAAAATGGGCTAAACCAATCCACAGGGGGTGAAGGGCAGAACCGGTGTCCCAGCACCAGGGTTCTGTTGCAGCTTCAGAAGCCTGTATTTGTGGACAGAGCTCTTCCGAAGGTTCCAGGAGGATGAAAACATCCAGTGACTCCCAGATGTTGCTGGGCTGGATATATTTATTTCTAATAATGCTCCTGGCTCCACGCTTCCAGATGGACAGTCCCAAAGAGAATGGTTTGTTTCCTTTCGTCTTCCTCCACGATGCATTTTACGATTGCAGAGGGTCCTGCTTGCCATGTGTTTGCTTCTAATCTGTAAGTGCTTTTCCACGGGCTTGGCTCTTGGCAGTTCCCATATTTACCGAGGAGAGCACACGCCGTCAGAGGCTGGCTCCCGTCCAGCCTCCTCCAGAGTTCAGTGTTTGGAGGTTGGCAGCAGATGAAGAAGCATGGCCTCTCTGTCGCCGGCTCAAACTTTCAGGGCGTTTTGCCCCTCGCACTCAATTTCTGTTATCTTTGAGGGGCTTGCCTTTTAATTTGTTTCTCCGGCAGCCATGCTAATAAATGGGCCACGGCTGAAGAGCTGTCTGAGAAACAATAGCTGCTCAGTTCCATCAGCCAATTTGTCTCAGGCACCGTTTGTTATGAATCCTCCAAGCCCATTAACCCCTGAACCTGGGAGATGCTATCTCCCCAGGGATGAATTACCTTTATTTCCAGACATGTGTTTGCTCATTTAGTACCCTATTCATAAAAGCAGCCCTGTTTTGGCACTGTTTTCCAGAAATGAAAGGGAAGGACACATCATTTGGGAAGAGTGGCTGGCCATAGCCTAAGAATGATGGCTGACATTTACTGAGCAGTGACTCTGGGCCAGGCACAATGCTAAGTGCTTTTTCGGACATTGCTTTTCAGTCCTTGCCACAGTCCCGAGTCCTGGACAAAATCATGAAGTGCATTTTGCACAGGGAGCAGCTGAAGCACAGAGGGGTTAAATGACTTACCCAAGAGCACTCAGCTGTAAGTGGTGAAGCTGAGAGTTGAACCCTGGTACCTGTTTATTTTAAGTCAACTCTCTCACCAGCTGGCCGAGCTCCTCCCCTTGAGCTCTTCCCACTTGGGCTGGGGACAAGGAGGGACATTTGGGTCACAGGAAAGAGTTCATTGGCCTCTAATGATCATTACCAATGGATTTCACTTTCGGAAAAGAGGTTTGTTGACAAAAGTGCCACATCTGACTATTTTGAATTTGAGTGCTTATTTTAATCCTGAAGTTTAAGTTACACACACTGTTTTATTCATGTGAGTGAAAGGACAGAAAATTGTACTTAATACTGCACAGATCTGTCACCATTCAGCTTGAATTGATATCTACCCATATCTACTCTTGAAAGTGGTAGGATGCAACCAGGTCTCCTGATGGCTTTGGGCGGTGCTTGTTCTGAAAATCTTAGAAGACAGAAGTGATTCATCTTCTAGAATTAGATTTCTTATTGAAGTTGAGTTAGTCTGCATAACAAAACTAAAATACCATTGTTTAAAACACAGTCAATTCCCTTACACCAGGATTTTTTCTTTAGCAGTGTTCTCGAGCTTAACACTTTAGAATCACCAGATAAATTTAAAAGAAATCATGATGCCTAGGCTGCGCCCCAAAAGACCAGTTATATCTGGATCTCTGGGAGTGACATCCAGGCATGAGCATTTTTCAAAGATCCCCAGGTTATTCCAATATACAGTGTGGCTGAGAACCAGAACTCTGACATAAAGCAGCTCCTAACAATTCCATGATAATGGTGCCACAAAGTCAACCCAGGTTCTTTCCATCTTTCTGCACTTCCACCCTCACCCTCAGCACCTGGCATTCATTATCAAGTTTATCACATGGTCCAGTAGAGCTGCTGAAGCTCCAGCCATCACATCCAGATTCCAGGTGGGAGGAAGACAGAAGGAAGGGAAGAACTAAATGATGTAATGCCTAGCCGTGATGGCCTAAATTGTGTCCCTCCTAAATTCATATATTGAAGACCTAACCCCCAAGGACCCTATATTGGAGATAGGGATTTTAAGAGGTAATTAAGGCTAAATGAGGTCATTAATGGTGGGATCCTAATCTGATAGGATTGGTGGCCTCAGAAAAAGAGCAAAAGGATCTTTCTCCTCCTCTCTCTCTCTCTCTCTCCCTCTCTCCCCCTCCCTCTCTCTCTCTCCCTCTCCCTCTCCTGCTTCTCTCCATGCCCCCACTTTCTCCCTCTCTCTGTTCCCTTCCCCTGTGTGAAGACATGGAGAAAAGCAAACCAGGAAGCAAGAAGCAAGCCCTGACCAGCACCTGACCATGCTGGTACCCTGATCTTACACTTCCAGCCTCCAGAACCATGAGAAACTAAATTTCTGTTGTGTAAGCTTCCCAGTCTGTGGCATTCTTTTATGGCAGCCCTAGCGGACTAAGACAGCGGCTGAAGTCTTAGTGGCTGAAGTCAGCCTCCTTTCATCATTCTTCCCAGAAGTTCCAGTGGCACTGCTGTTTATACGTCATTAGCCAGACATCACCTGGCCACCACTACCTGAAAAAGGGGTGGGTGAATGTTGTCTCTTTGCTGGGTTCATCACCATCTTTAATAAAATCAGGCTTCTATGACCAAGGAAGAAGGGACAAAAAGCATTTAGGTGGCAACCAGCAGTCTCTGGTTTCAATGCCTTGATGAAAAAGGGAGATGGGGTGCAGGGGTTTGGGAGATGAGAGTGAGCAAATGAGAGCTATGAGAGCGCCTAGGAGAGGGCACTTTGGAAACAAGGAAATTAAGCTCTGGTAAGCTCTACCACATGTTAGGGAGTGCCAGGAACAGACGGCAGGATTTCTGCGTGGGAGTTTCCATGGGACCCGGCCTCCCCACCGCCTCTCCACCACATCACATCTGTTGTTAAAGAGGCCCCAGTGTAGAGTCCAGCTGTTGGAAGAGCAGCCCTTCTATCGGCTTGGCCTTGCAATCACAAATCAGTTTGCTCAGAGGTCCCTGGACAAGCACAGTGACTCAGACAAGCAGCGTGTTTTTTCAGGCTTTGTCACACACAGGGAATGAACTCTTTGGCAGCCCTCTTCTGAGCCAGCATAGGAAGGGCTTGGGAAAGCTGGAGAAATCCGAGGTGCACAGACATCTGGCATTGCCCGGAAATACAGACCAGGAGCCTGTCTTTGTTCAGTGAGCAACTATTTGAGGATTTACAGCGTGCTGATGTGTGTGCTGAGAGGACAGATGAGGTCCGTGCTCTCACAGAGCTTATGTTCCAGAGGGATGAACAACAAACAGTTGAACAAATAAGATAATTTCAGATGGGGCAATGGGGAAAAGACGGGGCCACATTAGATAAGAGTCAGATGGTTCTCAGGGAAGCAAGAGGTTTTGTTGTTGTTGTTGTTTTGTTTGTTTTTGAGACAGTCTGCTCTGTTGCCCAGGCTGGAGTGCGATGGCACAGTCTCGGCTCACTGCGACCTCCACCTTCTGGGTTCAAGCGATTCTCCTGCCTCAGCCTCTTGAGTAGCTGGGATTACAGGTGCCTGCCACCACACCCGGCTAATTTCTGTATTTTTAGTAG
Source organism: Homo sapiens (assembly GCF_000001405.40). Lineage (NCBI taxonomy): Eukaryota > Metazoa > Chordata > Mammalia > Primates > Hominidae > Homo > Homo sapiens. Next base: position 72,156,278 of record NC_000003.12, read on the forward strand.
AGACGGGGTTTTGCCATATTGGCCAGGCTGATCTTGAACTCCTGGCCTCAAGTGATCCAACTGCCTAAGCCTCTCAAAGTGCTGGGATTACAGGTGTGAGCCACTGGGCCCGGTCAGCAAGAGTTAATTGATGAAAAAGAACCCAGATGTGGAGAGAACTGGTGGGGGAGGTGGCGGGGGAAGAATGTTCCCAGGGAGGAGTGAAGGGAAAGAGGTTGGAGTGTTTGGGGAGTAGAAAGGAAACTGGGGGGTTGTGGGGCAGTGTGGACAAAGAGTGGGCAGAACGTGGGGTCAGAGAGGAGGCAGGGACTGGGTCATGGAGGGGTGGAGACAGTATGGAAAGACTGAATTTTCATTTAAGGGCAATGGAGAGCTACTGGGCAAATTTAAGCCAGGGAGAGACAACCGCTGCTTACTTTTTAAAGATCACTCTAGCTGCCATGTGGATAGTGCATGGCAGTATCTGGCTGTTTATCAGAAATATTTGCCAGCCTCTGGACTGGAAGGGAACACAGTTGATGGGGATATATGTTGGTTGGGGAGACACTGGGCCAACCAGATATATTGGTAGTTTGGGTGCGGGGGAAAGGGAATGATGGAATTCAAATTTTAGGCTTTTGGCTTGAGGATCTTGGTGAATGACAGTGTCATTTACTGAGATGAGAAGATCATGTTTGAGAAGGAAAACCGAGAAGTCTTTTGGACATGCTATTTGGAGATGCCTGATAGCATAGGGACAGGCAGAGCACAGAGCATCTCTCTGTACATGGGTCCATCTGGGTTCTCATGCCATTCAGAGGACTCAGTGGCTATTCAGAAGTTACTCCACAAGGGAGCCAGCCTTCTCACATGGGGGAACATGATCCCCGGGAGAGTCAGGAATCAAGGGGACAGACACTAAGATGGACCCACAGCAGAGCCCTTGTGAAGCTCAGAAGAATCAAGAGAGCCAGGGGACATGATATGCACTAGCTTTGAATTTGGCCAGAAGGGCCAACCAGTGGCTAGCGTGGCATTAACACCCCTTTACTAATGAGTTGAATTAGTGGCAGCATTATATATATGTGTCTACTTAAAGGGTATGAATTGAGAGACTTTAGGTTCCCTTCTCACCCCCAAAATTGTTTTCCTATCTGAGCTGGATACCTTTATCTCAGATCCCTTCATAATCACCCAGTTTTTTCAGTTGCATCATATGAGGCCAGTAATAAGACACAAGTGGTGTCATTCATTCTTCTGCATATCAAGTTAGAAGCCTCAGAATTATCTTCTTTCTCTCTCTCGGTTGTATCTTCTAAATGTCTCGCATATCATCAGGCTTCACTCTTCTAGCCTGGATCAACGTAATAGCTGCCTAACTGGTCACCTGATTGATGGCAGTTGGTCCTCACCTGGTTTCCACAGTGACTGCCAGGACACACATCTCATTGTAATGGACAATGATGGTTTTGTCTGCCAAGAAGGGCAACTGTCTTCTATCAGCCCCTCTCTGCATGGCATGTGGCTTTTGATGGGGCTGCTGATCCTGGGCCTCTGGCCCCGGCCACAAGTGGGCAGATGACTGGTGTGGGCTAATCAGAGAATGCCACCATTCCAGCTCCAGAGATTTAGTCAGTTACTGACATGCCAGGAGTAGAGAGCTTGCCCTTTCCCCCTGAAGTTCAACATTTCTGTAGGTTGGTGCAAAAGTTATTGTGGTTTTGCTATCACCTTCAAAGGCAAAAACCACAATTACTTTTACACCAACCTAATAGCTGATTGAGCCAATAGCTAAGAGATTAACCAGGCAAAAAAAGAAAGGAAAAGTGCCCCAGGCAGAGGACACAGCTCGTGCAAAGGCCTGGTGGCAAAAGGGAGCATGGAGCACACCAGGCATGAAGAGGAGGCCAGCACAGCTGCAGTGGGAATGAAGAGGGCCACAGGGAGCAGGTGGCATGACGTCTGTTCACAGCGGCAGAAGCAGTAATGGTGACAGTGCAGCAAACATTTAAAAATGGACCCATATGCTGGGCATTGTCCTAACCGCTTTACAGGCAGTCACCCGTTTAAACCTACAGTAATGCAATGAGGTAGGTATCATTAGCATTCCAATTTGACCTATGAGGGAAGTAAGACAAAAACAGGTACTTTTCTGAAGTTCTATATAGTGCATGAGATGAGATGGAGAGAGAGAGACAGGAAGGAGCAAATACAGCATGTGATGAACAGTGACAAATTATTCACAGACCAGTCACTAGCCCCAAGCACACACCCCATGACACTGGGCAGTGTCACCAGTTGGTTTGGCCAGAAGAGCTCATGGCTGACACGCTTTTCCCCACCAAAGCCATGGGTAATGTTGGCATTAACCAGCACTCCCCACCAAGATGCTTTTGGTAGAGGTGCACCCCCGCACCCCCTCTGTAGATTTACCCTACCTCCTCTGGAGAACCAAATAGGCACTACCATGAGGTCAGAGTCCTCAGAGCATTGAGGGGAAGCATTCATTACCCATCGGCTCCATAAAGCACTGAAGTGGGGCAGCCAAGTGCCTGACCCGTAATTGGAGACTCAGCCCCGTAGCCCGCTCTGCCCCCATGCAGAGCAGGTTCCTGGATTCACTTCCCATTCCTTCTGCTGCTTTTCCACATGGCTGGATTTATTTTCAAAACAATTTATAGTTACATTAAATATTAAAGGCACTTTGCAGGTGGTGTTTACTGTTTGAAAAGTTAACAAATGTATGTTGTGCCGTATGAAATGGCAAAAACCAATTTGGAGCGCTTGATGGCTTGGGCTGGGTGATAGCAACGTGACAACTATTTCCATATTTTAATGAGGCAGCTTCTTCAGAGCAGCGCTGTTACGTGATTGGGTGAGAGGGTCACACAGTGCAGACTAAGCGCGAGTGCCAGGGATAGAAAGGCCACCGCTAGCCTCAGCGCTGCTCCCCGTAGCTGTTTGTGAAGCCCAGGGCTACATGGTGGCCTATTTTATGATAATAACTTCACAGTCCTGTAGTTCTTATGGGGCCTTCACCCTGTGCCTGGTGCTGTGATGAGCACTCTCTGTTCTTCTATGATAGACTTATCCATTCCTTCTAGACTCGTTTATGGAACGCACACGCTGTGCCAGGCATTGTGCACAGAGAGACCCAGTTCCTGCCCTCTTGGAGTTTATATGACATGAGCTGAAGACAGACAAGAAGCAAGTAAGTAGACTCAAAAATAAGGGAGTTGTAGATTGTCATTAGCAGCTGAAGGAAATAAGTGAATGTAGTGACAAGGATTAACGGGAGATGGGGCAGGGTTGGTGAAGAAGGCCTCTCTGAGAAGGTGCCATTTAAGCTGAAGCCTAAAAGATAGCAGCTCAGCTGTGGGGAGAGCCAAGGGCATTCCAGGCAGATGGAACCGTAAGTGCAAAGGCCCTGAGGCAGAAAACAGCCCAGCAATTGACAGCAGGCTGGAGCCATCCTAGAGCCCCTAGCACAGAAGAGAGGGTGGCTGATATTAGAAATCTGCATTTTACAGATAAGAAATCCACAGCTTAGAGAGGTTAATTTTTCTAACTGAGGTTACCTAGCCAATTAATGCAGAGTTTCTGATTGGGTAGGTCTGAGGTGAAGCCTGCATATTTGCATTTCTAACAAGCTCCCAAGTGATGCTGATGGCTGTTGTCTGCAGACCACACTGCTTGACACTGAGGCTAATTCAGATTGTGTGCTGTTGTCATAAGAAGGAAACAGAAGCCATACGCAATGACATCCCTAGTTCTGACCTGTGCCAGACACTGATGTTTGTGCTTATATATATTATAGATAGTGTATTTTCAAAGCAACCCTTTGAGGTAGGTATTATTTTTATCTGCATATCTCTATTTCTACAGATAGAGAAACTGAGGCACAGAGAGGCAAAGCACTTTTCCTAAATTTGCACAGCTGGTGGGTGACCAAGCTGGAATTTGAACCTAGCACCCGGCCTCTCGGGTCTGCCATCCTGCCCCTCTGAGGGAAGCACTTCTGATCTCCATGTCTCTGGTGCCATTCACTCAAGTAATTACTAATTAAATTTCATAACTAACCCTGCAGTCGGCCGCCTCCCTGGTCTTTGTGGCACTGAGTTTGCAAGTCCTGCCTTACTCTGAAGGTTCCTTTTGTTTTCCTGCTCTCCTTCCCTGATTAGTTCAAGCACATATTCAAAGGAGCACACATTCCCTGAGCTCCTTCTGACTGATGGGTGTTGTCACAGGCTTCTGGAGAGAGCTTGTCTGCAATGACTTCTCCGTGGATAATGGACGTCGACTTGGCTGCATTTCTCACGCCTTCCCCTTGTGTTTAGCAATCTCACATTTTTGGAGATGTTGTTGGAGCATCTGTGATGAACCAGGGGCTGGAATGAGAGCTTTGCAAACCCTCGAACCTGTGCTTTTGGGGAGGTGTTATCAGTCCTACTCTATAGATGGAGAAACTGACATGCAGAGAGGCAAAGAAAATTGTTCTGGGTCTCATAACTGACAAGGGATGGTGCCAGGATCTAATCCCACGGTTGGATTAGTAGATCCTGAGCCCTATCTACTTCATATACTCTCTGGCCCCATCAGGATTATCTGTAATGAGAGGCTCAGGAGGCCCAGGGTCAGGACCACATAGCTGGTGTCAGAAGGGTCCAGGACAGGGGGTCCATCGCAACAGGAGAATAAGCAGATCGTGGAAGGTCAGGCATGGAAGCCACACAGCACTCAGCCTTCTAAATCCTCCTATGTGCGTCTTTTGATAGACGGGGAAACTGAGCCCCCTGGGGTGGGAAAGGTTCATTTCTAATTAATTACTCTTCTCTCTCTCTCTTTTTTTTTTTTTTAATAATTTCAACTTTAGATGGAGGGGGTACACGTGCAGGTTTGTTACCTGGGTATATTGCATGATGCTGAGGTTTGGGGTACAATTCATCCCATCACCCCCATACTGAGCATAGTACCCACAGTTAGTTTTTCAAACCTTGTCCTCCTCCCTCTCTGCTCTAGTACTCTCCAGTGTCTATTGCTGCCATCTTTATGTCCATGAGTGCCCGATGTTTAGCTTCTACTTATAAGTGAGAACATGCGGTATTTGGTTTTCTGTTCCTGCATTAATTTGCTTAGGATAATGGCCTTCAGCTGCATCCATGTTGCTGCAAAGGACATAATTTTGTTCATTTTTTATGGCTGTGTAGTATTCCACAATGTATACGTACCACATTTTCTTTATCCAGTCCACCATTGATGGGCATTTAACTTGATTCCATGTCTTTGCTATTGTGAATAGTGCTGCAATGAACATTCAAGTGCATGTATCTTTTTGGTAGAATAATTTCTTTTGGATATATACCCAGTAATGGGATTGCTGGGTTGAATGGTAGCTCTGTGTTAAGTTCTTTGAGAATTTCTCTTCTTTATAATACATTAATCCAGGCTTTCTCCACCTTGGCACTATTGACATTTTGGGCCAAATAATTCTTTGTTTTAGAAGACTGTCCTACACCCTGTAAGATGGCTAGTGGCAACCCTGACCTCTACCCACCAGAGGCCAGTTGCACCTCCCTGGCCCCTGGCCAGGTTGTAACAACTAGCAATGTCTTCAGATTGGAGGCTGGTTGAAAACCCCTGCATTCATCTGACCAGGCCCCTTGCTGGCTTACAATTCTTCAAGTTTCCCATAGTTTTTCTGGATAAAAGCAAAACTCCTTTGCTGGATCTATAAAACCTTCAATGATATGGCCCTGCTAATATAATTCAAGACACTTGTCTCTAGCCAGCACCCTCCCCAACGCCCAGAGAAAAAAATAATAGCTGACAAATACTGAGTACTTCCTAAGTGCGAGGCATTGTTCTAAGTATAAGTGCACTCCAAGGGTCACCATCTGTATGTCATAGCTGAGAAAATTGAAGTCTCTAGAGTTTAAGAAATGTGCGCAGGGCCACATGGTTAGCCCCTGGCAGATCTCCAGTTTGAATCCTGGCATTCTGACCTTGCCCCCAGCCCCTTTGCTTAACATACATAATAGGAACGATCGTTGCTCGAGCTTCTATCAATGCCGTTCCCTGAGGATGAAGCCCCACCCTGCTTCTCTGCACCGCTGACTCCTCTCACCCTCACTGTTCCCGGACAGTGGAGACAGCGTCTCTTTCGTTGCTCATCAAATCCTATGCCTGGCACAGCCCCAAGCTCAGCCAGTGTTTGTAACTCACCGGGTGTGTCAGCCCAGGACTCACCTCTCCTGGCAGGGCTGTCTTCATAAGGGATGATTTGCTTGACCAAAACAAACTCACTTGCGCTAACTTAAACACAGGGAAAGCAATCCTGAGGAGTTAGGTTATCTTGCAGGTCACAAGGACAAGAATTCATCTGGGTATCCTCTAGTTTAAGACTAGAAATTCCTCACAACAGACTGGTGCTGGGAATTGGAAAGCTGGCAGGAAGCAAATGGGCTCTTCCTCCTCTCTCTTTGGGTTCTTAAGGAGCACTTTTCTCCTTCTCTGCTTCATTTGCCTGCTTTTTGCTGTAGACCAGCCCCCAGCTCTCTGTTTGCACACCAGAACATGTGACTCCCAAATGCCTCCCCAGCACGGCCACCCCAACCACCCCAGCACAGGCAGCTCCAGCCCAAGTCTATGCACCTTAAAGGTTTAGTCCACGAAGCGACTTGATTTGTAAGTCTGAGCCCTAAGGCCAGGTCACTGGGAGGGAAATCCCATTGGCCCTGCTTGGTCAGGGGGTCACAACCTGGCTACAGATGACTCACTGGGGACTCTGGGAATAATCTCTCTCAAAAGGTAAAGTGGACAGGGACAGAGAAGATGATTAAGAAAGGAATAGAAATCCAGGGGAGGCCAGGCGCGGTAGCTCACACCTGTAATCCCAGCACTTTGGGAGGCGAGATGGGCAGATCACTTGAGGTCAGGAGTTCGAGACCAGCCTGGCCAGCGTGGTGAAACCCCCATCTCTACTAAAAATACAAAAATTAGCTGGGTGTGGTGGTACATGCCTGTAATCCCAGCTAGTGGGGAGACTGACTCAGGAGAATAGTTTGAACCCGGGAGGCAGAGGTTGCAGTGAGCCAAGATCACGCTACTGCACTCCAGCCTGGGCAACAGAGCGAGACTCCATCTAAAAAAAAAAAAAAAAAAAAAAAGAAGAAAGAAAGAAAGGCAGGGGAAAATTGAAAATTATGACAGAGGAAACAATGAGGTGAAAGAAAGGCCCAGTGTCTCAGATCGCCCTGGCTGTCCCCTGAGTTGAGGACACATCTCTTTCCTCCTTCTAAGAAGAGGCCTTGTCACTTTGTTCTTGCTGGCAGAGCTGGAAAGGCTTGAAGGAGACCACCCAGTGAGGTCACCACACAGTCCTCTTTGCTGCCCCCCATCCTCCCTGCTTTATGGTACCCAAGTCAGGGCTGCTGACCAACCACTGAGTGTCTTGACAAGTCTCAGAGAAGAGATGGACAAGGTACAAAAGTCCTCCGGCTGTTCGGCTGGGAATGGGCTCCCTAATTATGTTCTCAGCCCATACGCCCTGTGGCCACAGCTTCCAGTTAACTAGCAGCAGCCAGAGGGGTGGGGCAGGGGCAGACAGACCAGGTTCCAGGTAATTGTGGCCAAGCCGGAGCTGAACACAGAATGTGGAGGGTGTGCTGGCTTCTGGACACCCCAGATTATGGCTCTGGTGTTGTGTCTATATGATGCAACCAGGGTGTGTATCTTCCCCCCAGGGAAAGGCCCTCCCCACTCCAACCACCACCACAGGTGGTGTGGAGAACTTGCTAGATGCACGCAGTATCTTCTTCCTCCTTCTCAGGGGCCCTGCTGAGCCCAGAAGACCTAATTATATTTAGCGGGTTGCAGTTTAGGACTTGCGGTTAGGCAGGAAAGTGTGTGATTCTCCAAGTGTGGTTCCCCCTAATACCTGCATCTGAATCCCCTGGGGAGCTTATAAAAATGCAGCTTTCTGGGCCCCACCTTTGACCTATAGAATCAGAATCTCTGGATTGGTGGGGCCCAGGAGTCTGTACTTTAATAAACTTACTCTCTCCCCTCTGCTGCACATCAATCGTGTGCACACCAGTGATTCTGTTGTACTCAAAAGTTTAAGGACCGAAAATCACTGGCACAGTGGTTAAAAGCTTGGTGTCTAAACTTGGAGCCTGACTCTCTTATTAGCTGGCCCTGTGGCCAAATTAGTTACGATGCTTCATCTCAGTTCCCTCACCTGTAAAATGGGCATAAACACAGCATGCATGTCATAGAGTTACTGGAAGCACTCAGTGCCCTTAGCTGTAAATAGTGAGCACTGCCTAATGATAGCTGTCATGCTTTGTTGTGGTGGAGGACAGAGAGGATATGAAAGCTGTGAAGGCCAAAGACTAGAAGCCAACCCAGACTTAAGTCTAGAGCTGGCGGACTGGGGTGCCAGGGAAGAATGATCTCTGAGCAGAGCACAGCAAAGATGAGATGTCATCCAGGGCAAGGCCCAGAGGAGGTCACGTGCTGTAAAGTCCCTGCAGTGAGACAGCATGGGGCACCTAGGGACGAGAGCCAGACACAGTCAAGGGCAAGAAAGACAGGTAGGCAGGAGCCAGACTGGGAGAGGCCTGGTAGACCAAGGCGTGGGCACTTGATCCTGTGAATGATGAAGGGTCATGTAGGTTACATTTGCACACTGTTACACCTTTAGACACGGGCACCTGAGGTTCTTGCTTAGGGTGTGATTTATAGGGCTCTACCCTGGAGCCCACTGCCTCCCCGACAACCTGGTTGAGGAGTGGTGATACCTAAGGATTCGCCACCTGGAACCTACATCCACTTCTTTATGCATCATGCTTTACATACTTGGAACTCCTGCTCCAAACATCCTGAGCCTACCTTTAGGGTCTGTGCACACCTCTTTCTCTTGTCCCTCTTCCTTCTCCAGGGAGGCTGCTACAGCTTTTGTCCAGCAGGCCAATCTGAGAGGCAACCGTGTGTGTACAGGAGGGGTGGGCAACTCTTGGACTTGCAGTCTGTGGGGTCCACATGCGTGGGGCTGGAGATGGGCCTTGCACCCTCCTTTGTGCTCTTCTCCCAGGTTGCAGTAGGTATCGGGGCAGGACTGCTGCAGATTTGCTCTCTGGCTTGCCAGAAGGGAATGGACTAGGCGAGGCCTCCAGACTCAAGGCCTGCAGACCTGTTATGAGCCTGTTGCCAAAATCCCAGCCAAAGAAAATGGTGGCTTCTGGCTAAGTTGTGGTGGCTAGGAGTGGGGGAAGGTGACTGATTCAAGAACTATTCAGTAGGTGGCCTCATACTGTTCCCTGTCTTGTCTTTGACTGCTCATGGGAACCAATCCACCATTCCACAGGGAGGAGGAGAAAGTAATTTGAAGCTAGCAGGGTTAGATGCAGAAACAATAGGCTTATCCAGACTATACAGAAAAAGGTAAAAGAAAAAAAAATCAGTGACACACAAAAGCTAATACAATATTACCTCACTTGCAGAAGAGCATTGCTGAAAGACAGGACCTCTGGTGCATGGCAAAGACTGAAGAAGAGAGAAGTTGGGGAGGGAAGCTTTGAGTTTATGTGAGACTAAGGCTAGGTAGCAATCTCATGCCTTCTCATTGCTGCCAATGAAAAAATTTTAGCTTGCCATCAAAAAACAGAATTTCTGGAAAACTTATATCCTCCACTATGTGCTTGACAGCTTCCCCATGTTTGAAGACTCTTCTGATAAGATCAGTGTGGATATGAACACATGCGACCTTTTGATATTATGTAACAAAATGTGTCAACATTTGGTAGATCTGCAGAACTCTGTGAACCAATATTTTCCAAATAGTTGATATAATGTTATAGAATCACACATGGGTAAAAGGTCCATTTAAAACACAACATAGACAGATTGATTTTAATATGATAAAATATAAAAGCTCACTGATAGGTTTTCAGATTTCATGTTGCATCTAACCAGTACAAAAACTACCACTTGTTGAGTTTTGGTATAGTATCACAAAGGAATAGCCACAGTTATCTGAAGAGGGTATTAAAATCGTCCTTTCGTTTCCAACTGTGTGAAGCTGAATTTTTAAATACATTTTAACCAAAACAACGCATCCCAATAGATTGAATGAAGAACATATATGGGAATCTGGCTGTCTTCAATTAAGACAGAAGCTGAGGCCAGGCATGGTGACTCAAGCCTGTAATCCCAACACCACCTTGGGAGGCTGAGGTGGGAGGATTACTTGAGCCCAGGAGTTCAAGAACAGCCTGGGCAACATAGTGAGTCCTTGTCTCTGCTAAAAAAAAAAAAAAAAAAAAAAAAAAATTGTGTGGTGTGCACCTGTAGTCCCAAATACTTGGGAGGCTGAGGCAGGAGGATGATCGCTTGAGCCCAGGAGATCGAGGCTGCAGTAAGCCGTGATCGTGCCAGTGTACTCCAGCCTGGGTGACAGAGCAAGACCTTGCCTCAAAAAGAAGAAAAAAGAAAAGATTAGATTGGCAAAAATGTAAAAACAATACAACTTTATTTTACTAACTTTTAAGAAAATATAGTTATTTTTCATAAAAATATGATACACATGTTAACATATAAGGGGTTTATTATTGTTATTCTAATGAGTTAATAAATATTTTAAATACATATTTTTAAAAACATTCTTTGGGCTCATGTAGTTTTAAAGGTATAGGGTTCTGAGGCCAAAGTGTGAGAACATCCATTCAAACTATTTCTTGGAAAAATCTCACTTTTTCACTTAAAACGGTATCAAGGATATCTGTTCAAATATAATATCTAATAATATAAATAATGCTACCTTTTTAGTACTTAGAGTATGCCCAGAAATTGTGCTAAGCAGTTTGCAAGCATCAACTCATTTCCATTTACTCTTTACAAAAGAACCTGTGTGAGGTAGGTACATGTACCCCAATCTGCAGATGAAGGCACAGAGAGGTTAAACTGCTTGCCCAAGGATACACAGCTACTTAGGTGATCCAGCCAGTTTTGAACTCAGACACTCTGACTCTAGAGCCCGCATGTTTCGTAGTAACCAAAAGTATGGAAGTCCCAAGATGTCTGTGAATAAATATACCTTGAGTAGGTTTTAAGGACTAAAGTGGTATATAGGGCTTTGCTTAGGAAAAATTGCAACATAAATTTGGGTAGGTGATTTATGTAGCCATGAATCTTTCTCACCATAAGTAATCTGTGGTCTTGGTGTACCTGTTGTGTTTTTGCACAGGCCTTCTAGCACCCCCCAAAAAACTGAAAGACCAGAGAAGATTAGCTGTTCACCTGCACACTCTTTTGAGACTCTCGGTGAATACCAAGGGTTTCCCTGCCAAACTGTGAAGAATGCCTTCTCTAACCCACTTCAATCCACCTTCTGTCTTCTTATCTGCTGTTTCATAACCCCATAGTTTTCCTGTAGCCATGTATCCCAATTGGTAATGATCTGTTTGTCAACTGGATTGCTCAGATCCCTGCTCCCCGACTAGATCACGTCAGGTCTAGTTGCTCCTTGAGAACAGGGAACCTGGCTGTTTGCATTCATCCTTGTGTCCTCTGAACCTAGGACAGTGCCCAGTACACTGTAGCTCTCGTAAATGCTGGTTGAGTGAATGACTGTGAAGTAGATACTCTCAGAGCTCTGCACCTAACCCCTTCACTGTTTCTGTGCACACCAGCTCCTGAGGGACTCTGTTTCCTACCAGTCTGTCCCTGCACTTCTTCATTAGGGGCTGCTCTCAGGCAGCTAGAGCCTTGCTGCACCAGTCAAGTGCTGGCGATGCCTGAAAATGTATGCCCCTCTGGGGACAGCCCTTAACCAGTGACAGGTGGTGAGAATTGCAAGTAGAAATACTTCGTCATATCACCCCTCATCAGGACACCCAAGATGCACCCCGTTTCCGAAGGTTCCCTGCAAGATTGAATCTAAAGTACCCTTCCTGGCAGGGGTCTCCAACCCCCAGGCCATGGACCAGTACCTGTCCATGGCTTGTTAGGAACCAGGCCGCACAGCCGGAGGTGAGGCTGGTGAGAGAGTTAATTTTCACCTGTATTTACGGCCACTCCCCAACACTTGCATTACCACCTGAGCTCCACCTCCTGTCAGATCAGCAGCAGCATTAGATCCTCACAGGAGCGCAAACCCTATTGTGAACTGCACATGCAAGGAATCTAGGTTGCCCGCTCCTTATGACAATCTAATGCTGGATGATCTGTCACTATCTCTCATCACCCCAAGATGGGACTGTCTAATTGCAAGAAAACAAGCTCAGGACTCCCGCTGATTCTATATTATGGTGAGTTGTATAATTATTTCTTTATATATTGCAATGTAATAATAATAGAAATAAAGTGCACAATAAATGTAATGTGCTTGAATTGTCCCAAAACCATCTCCTCACCCTCCTGGTCCACGGAAAAATTGCCTTCCATGAAACTGGTCCTTGGTGCGAAAAAGGTTGGGGACCGTTGCTTCATGGGACTTGGCTTGCCACTATACCCCTGCTTGCTCCCTTCCCCTTCCCATCTGACTTCCCCACCACCCTGTGTTTTTCCCTGCAACACTTCCTCATACAGCAGGCATATCTTTGCCTCTGGGTCTGCTCCTGGGAAACTAGACCTAAGACAGTTTGGAACTGTGTCTCCCTATGAGGCGTCACCCCTCATGCCTTATAGACACTTCATGTTTGTTGAATGAATGATACCAGGATCTCATTTGTAATCCTAGAGCACTCGGGCAAGATTTAAGGAGTGGAATGGCTAAGAAAGACACTGTTCCAACAATATTCTCTAGAAACCTTGATAATGAAGACCTCTGGGAGAGTGGTATCACCAGTGGAAGGCTGGAGCTGGTTCCTTCTGGCTTGTGGGAGCCAATTGTTCCACATTCTGGAATTTCATAGGCCACTTGTTAGATGCTAAGGAGCTTGAAATTGGCCATGGTAGGAGTATTTACACCACAGAAATTGGCAGATGCTCCAAATCACAGCTATTCCCATCCCTCCTCTACCTTCAGGGAGCCAGTTTACTCCACACCACTGGACATAACCCTTCAGGGTTAACAGGGAAAACCTGTATGATAAATAAAATATAGCATATTGGCTAAAACTATGGGTTCTGTAGCCAGAGAGACCTGGGTTCAACTGTATTGTCATTTATTGATTCTATGACTTTGGCAAGATACTTGATTTCTCTGTTCCTATATTTTCTTCATCTATAAAGCAGGGCTAACACCATTCATCTCTTGACATAATACATATGGTCCTAATGCCTCATGTGTAGAAGCAGCTCCATGAATGCTGGCTATTATTATGTTAGAACCAAGAGACATATAGCAAGGCCTGGAATATGGTCTTGGAGACTACTGTCATGGTGCCCCCAGGTCAGCAGACTTCACCTCACTGCTTTATTTTTTAATTGTCAGCCCAGCCCTGTCAGGTCACCTTGGCCAAAAGCTGTGGTCTGGTGACCTCTTAAGAGGATGAATTGCTGGTCTCAGCTGAATGCTTATCACGTAGAAACACAAGGCACCAGATGTTGGCTCATTCTACAGATCTCTCGAAGAAAGAATGAGCACTGGGACTCTGTCTCTGTGGCTGCCTTCTAGAAAAGACAATCCACTGGAGGCAGATTTGTTAGCAGGAGCTGTGCCCAGATGGCTGGAAATCACATTGCCTCTAAGACCAAGACCCACGGTCCTGGGGCACTACAGTGACACAATCCCATCAGAGGTGGCACCAATGAAGCAATACATTTCCTGAATCAAATGCAATTGATTAGCTAAACTTGAGCAACCTGAGAATGGTGTAGACAAAGCTGCCAGTGCCCTGCCCATGTCTCCTGGGGACCAGCTCACACCTGCTGGCTTCCTTTCTGCCACTGCTGCCTTCCACTCTGGCCACCGTCAACTCTGCACAGGATACTTGTCCCTAGGAGTAGCTGGCAGCCCAAGATTGATGGGAGTTGGTGGCTAAATCCCCAGCTTCCTCACAACTTAGGTAAGACAACGCAAGGGTGCACTCTACAATGTCTCTCAGTACTAGTAGACTAGTTACTAGTAGTGGGATGAGTCCAACTGTCCACAAGAGTGACCTGCTCATGACACACCCTGATGGACTGCCTTCCCTTCCCTTCCTCACCTCCCCACTCCCCTACTAGTACCTCCTGGTTCACTTCCCAAATAAAGTACAGGCCCTCACAGCTTGGTTTCAGAGTCTGCATCCAAAGACAATAGATGCCAATTATTCAACACCTACCATGTGCTTTCCTCTGTGGAAAGGTCATAAAGGGGGTGGGTCAGGGTCAGTTCAGAGAAAGAATGAGCCAAGCTAAGAGTGACAAAGGGGGCTGGGATTTCTTCTGAGACAGAGTCTTACTCTGTTGCCCAGGCTGGAGTGCAGTGGCATGATCTTCGGCTCACTGCAACCTCCACCTCCCGGGTTCAAGCAATTCGCATGCCTCAGCATCCTGAGTAGCTGGAACTACGGGCATGCATCACCATGCCCAGCTAATTTTTGTATTTTTAGTAGAGACGGGGTTTCACCATGTTGGCCAGGCTGGTCTCAAACTCCTGACCTCAAGTGATCCGCCTGCCTCGGCCTCTCAAAGTGCTGGGATTACAGGTGTGGGCTAGGATTTCAGATGAAGGATTGTTCATCTTCAGCTGGCCTTCCATCCTTCTTGGGTTTTGACATGCAATGCATATGTCAACCTTATAAACATTTACTGCAAGTGTTTTACAAGACCCAGAATTATGGGTTTGCTGAAGAAGCCCAGAGAAAATGGAGCAGACCTTTAAAATGAAGTTTCTGGACTGGCCTTTTCCATGAATAATAATAAAAGACAGCATTTATGAGGCTCTTACTTTTTGTCAGATACTGTGACCAAGGGCATGATCTTATTCAGTTGCCAAAACAATGCTATGTGGCAGGTCCTACTATGTTTCATTTTGTGGTTGAAAAAACTGAGTCTCAGAGAGATTAAGTCATTTGTCCAAAGATGTCCAGACAGGTAGATGGTGCAGCCAGGAATCCCATGGTCACCGGTGTGCCAGGCCCGGAGTGTGATTAAGATGTATAGATCAAAGCCTCCCTCTTCCTCTATCCCACTGGACTACCAGATCCAGGGAATGGCGCATTTCTCTGATTGGTTCTGTTTTTAACAAGGTGCTGATGCTCATTGTGGAACACTGCAAAATACCCCCTCCTTTCTTGACCTTTCTGTCTCTGCAACAGCCTCATGTGTTCATCATAGGCACATCAGGTGGAAGGGAATGAAAGCCACTGTGACAAACAAGACAAAGAAAGCCCAGCATTGCCAGTGGCCTGGGACCTGAAAACAAGTCATTGTGTGTTAATTCTTCATGGAAGAAAACTAAAGGTCGTGTGTGTCAGTGTGAATGCTGGCTGTGAAATTAATGCTTTGGCCAAATGACTCAGTCGAGACAGAAACATGATTTTGTTCGCGCTGGTGTGAGCCAACATCTCAAAAAAAAAAAAAAAAAAAATGCTGCTTGGAATCAGTGGAATCTTCGAAGGCCAGGCCTTTCAGTTTCCACTGCTCCTAACCAAGCTACTTCGGTCTCTCTGATTGCTGCCCTGCAAAGACCAGACAGAACTCACTTTTCTCCATCTTTCCACAGGTGTAAGAGCTACCAGAGGGAGGAAAGTGGAAGCTACCAGACGGAGGAAGCATAAACCAGGTCCTGATCCCTGATTAATTGAGAATCAGCCAGCTTGGGAAGGGGATGGCTGCGCAAGCCCACAGAACGCAGACTCCCAGAGGAGGCAGGGGTAGGAAAGCTCTTGGCCGTGGCCTGATTGTCTGGGAGACGGGAGTCAAGATGGCTTGGTTTCAACAAACTGGCTTTGATTACTTGGCGTTTGGCTCTGTGCTCTCTGGCCAGGTCAGCCTGACCCACGGTTGTCACCCCAGAGGACTGTGAAATAACAAGTGCAGTTAACTGGCCACTGCTGATCTGCGCCTAGAAGACAACGTCTCAGTTGTTAAGGCTTTTGTTGGCCTGCTCAGGAAGCGATTCTTTTTGCCTGCAAATTATTGTAGGTTCCTGAGGGAACCGTGCCAGTCCTTGCCCTTTAGCTGCTCTGCTCTGTGCTGGGCTTGTGGGGTGAGAGAGGAGACAGAATAGGGAGAAGGAGGAGAGGGGAGGCTGTACCTTGTAGGTGGATATTTTAAGGCTCTAATGTTAGCTGTGGTTGGAATTGACCAAGGGAGGCACTAGCAAGAGGTTGGAGGGCCGGAAGAGGAAAGAAACCAGAGTTTCTCTCCAACTCCTCTCTCTCTTTCTCTGCCTCAGATGGTCAAAATTTTAAGGAGACAGAATCCAACAGGGCTGGGATTAGGATGAAGTGAGTGAGGCTGAGCTGTGCAAATACGAGGTCAGATCCTGACCTTGTTCATCATGGAATTTTTGCATTAATGTTGATATTTTTTAAATATTGTGTTGAAATATTTATCTTGATTACTGAGCTTTTTGACATTTCCTTAGACTTTATCCCAAAGCAAGAGCCTTGCTTGTTTCACCCTGGTCCTGGCCTTGCCTTCCAGTGTGTCGGACACATTTACGCACAGAGAAAAATAGGCAATCCAAATGGTCCAACTCTATTGGATATTCTCTATGCTGCTTTCATTCACTCAATAATGTGTAGCTGAGCACTTTTCTGTGTCAATGAATATAGTTCCACATTATCCTGGGCTTGAAGGATGTGTTATCAAATATTTTACTAACCCCCCACTGATGCATCTAGCAGGATCTGTCCATGCCCTGCCCATATCTCTAACATTTCTATGTGCTCCAGCCAAACTCCACTGCCAGCTCTGCATTTCTGAGTGGAAAGTCTCGTTTCAGATCTGCAGAATGCCATGCTGCCTATCATTTCAGCAGGGGAAACTGCCATAGAATTAACATCTGCCAGGAATAGCTCTTGACCAATGACTAAGGGGGGACTGGTGTGTAAATACCCCAGCTCCCTTGCCCATTGGGTGGGACAACTCAGGTGTGTGCTGTACACTATATCCCAGAGCTCTCTCCATGGGTACAAGCTCCAGTTGCCCACAGTAGTGCTTGGCTTAATTACCTGCCTTGATTGGCTGCCTGTCCTTCTCCATATCACTTTTCCTTTCCCTCCTGGGGCTGTCTACAACCCCAACCCAGTAACAACTGCACTTGAATCTTTGTCTCAGGATCTGCTTCCGTTAAGATGGACATTCCGATTATTTTGAATTTTTCAGTGTTAACATGTTCACCACCCATATGGATTTTGGCATATTAATAGCTGCCACCCCCTCCTTTGGGGATGTGGTCCATACAAAGCAAGGGTAACAGAAGAAGGTAAAGTAGAGAAAAGAGACAGAAACTCTGAAATGCTACCATGCATCTCAGAGTTATGTCCTATAAAATGAGCCTTTTCAGTATGTGCTGTGGCATCAAAAGTGTTGAGAAGCATTGTTCTCACTGGTCAGGCTGTGCCTTCACCTCTGTAGCTCCAATGAGTGACACATAGTAGATAATGGATAAATATGTGTTGCATGAATAAAGGGAGGAGTAATTGGTTCATGCTCTGAGCCTCTGCCAAGCTGAGTATATGAGACCTTTTGATTTACCTGAGCAATTGAGCATCTGTGCCTCAGGACTCTCTAGTTCTACCATCAAGACAGAGAATGGTGTGATACTCAGGTTAACAAGGTGAGTCCAGGAGTGTTGCCCTGGAGGCATAAAACAGGGGCCCAGCCTTTGGAGATAAAGCATGCTCTGGTCCTAAATGGCAGCAGGAGAAGAATCTTCCCAAAGTGAGAGTCAGGCCACAATACCTCCCCTGGGAGGACGTCTGTGCCTGTGTATGTTGGAGAGAGAAGGAGCTTTTTCATCCCAAGTGAGTAGAGAGGTTACATCCTCTGACTGCTTCCCCCTCTCTCTGTCTTTCTCTCTCTCCTGCTGTGAAGGCCAAGTATGACTTCACAGAATCCCTAAGCTCCATAAATCAGTTCTAGATCCATCCCTTGCAGCTGTAATGAAAGCAGGATTTTAATAAAAACTGGATACTTCTACTGTTTCAATTGCTATCAGTTGACTCTAGAAGCATTTTTCTAAGATGAGGAAGGAAATCTAGTTATTCCAAGAGCCGACAAGGGAAGGCTGTAACTTTTCCGGAAATGTCCTCATAGAAGCCCTGGCTTTTGAGTACATAACACTCTCTCCCCCACCACCACCCAGCTGCCAACCCAGATCAAGGTTGACTTTGTTCACATAGTCTTTGTAAATGGCTTGTCCCAGACAGTGACCCATCTGATCATGTCTGAGCTACCCCACCTCTTTTCCCCTGTCTCCTCCCCACACTGAAGATTCCTGCTCTGTCCTGTAATTCCCTTGGAGAACAGATGCTCCCATTCCAGAACCACCGATACTGCTGGGAGTTTGTATTTCAAGGGACAGCAGCCCCTTTGGGAGGAGCCGAAATGGTGGTCAGCCTTCCACTGTCACTTTGAAAGGTATAACATTTTATTCCCTGAGTTTGTATGCCTCCATTTTGACTCATCTTCTCTTCATTTCTGTCAGCATATTTATCTGTACTTCTGTCCACAGTTAAATCTTTGCCCATAAGGAGTTCACCTTGGAAATGACAGCGTGACCTGACTTCACACTAAACATCCTAGACCATGCACACAGACGGTCCTTTTACCTGGGACTGATAAGGAAAGCCAAGCTTAGGATTTGTGTCATATGAAGGCTTATTCTCAGCAGCCTGGCTCCTTGATCTCGCCCAAAGGCAACTTTTTAGCTTCCCATAAATCATTCATTTATCTGCATTACATCATCTTTGCAGGACAACTGCATAGAAGTAACCTCCCAACCCAGCTGACCAATCTGCGCAGGTAGCAAGCGCTCCCTGCATAACTTCTTAGTGGCCTCCCTTCAGGATTGGTTCCCTACCCACTTGTATTAGTCAGCTATTACCAAAATAATGCTATGTAACAATCATCCTCAACATTTGGTGGCTTAAAATAACTATCGATTCTCTCCACTGACTGTACGGTTCAGCTAGCTCCAGGCTGAGGATCGACCTCAATCTGCTTCACTTGCTAACCAGAGTATACTCTTTTCATGGCGAATAGTGGGGATGCCAGAGACCAAGTTGAATTGCACACTTCAAGCCTCTGCTTATGTTGTAGTTGCTTCTGTTCATTGACTCAAGCAAGTCACAAGGACAAGCCTCAAGTTGGTGGGGCAGAGGAAGTATCCTCTTCCCTAAATGGGCAGGGAGAAGAGTGAACGTTTGCTGAACAATAAGATTATCAATCACACTACCCCTCTAGCCTCATCTTGAGCCCTCTACCCCTTAATTCCTGTTTAGCCAGTCAAAATGTACTGGGCAGTCTCTAGCCTCAGGACCTTTGCATATGCTGTTCTCTCTGCCTGGAAGTCTCTTTCTCTTCCTAGTCCTCAATTACTCCTTCTGATTCTTCAGATTTATGTCTCCTTACTTCCGCAGAGAATTCTGCCCTAATCCCAAGACCAGGTTGAGCCTACACTCTGTACCAGGCACTGCCCTTAGTCACTGCCCAGCTTCCAGGAAGCCGCTCCATTCATAGCACTCTGAGAAAGCTTCCCATTTTCATGCTTTTGCTCCCTCTATCTGTGATCTCCTGTCTTGTTGTTGTTGTTGTTGTTGTTGCTGTTGCTGTTGAGACAGTATCTTGTTCTGTTGCCCAGGCTGGAGTGCAGTGGCACAGTCATGGCTTACCATAGCCTCAACTTCCTGGGCTTATGATCCTCCCACCTCAGCCTCCTGGGTATCTGTGACTACAGGTGCATATCATCATTCCTGGCTCATTTTTGCATTTTTTATAGAGACGGTGTCTCACCACATTGTCCAGGCTGCTCTTGAATTTCTGGGCTCAAGCAATTCACCCACCTCAGCCTCCCAAAGTGCTGGGATTACAGGCATGAGCCACCGCGCCCGGCCCATCTGTCTTACCTTTATCCATTTGGCTCCTTTGTATAATTCATAGCTCAGCCTAAACATGACTTTCCCTGAGCACCTAAAGTAACACATTACACTCTGCATAACACTTAAACAATTGACTTTTTTTGTCTTAGTCATTGGATAGTTCCACCAGCAGGTATACCCCAGTAAAGAAAGTTCTTGTCTAATTTGCCCAACCCTGTATCACCAGAGCCTGGCACACTGCTTGGCCCATGGTAGGAACTCAAATCTTTTAAAAGCGAATTGCAAATTTGGTAGTAGTGCTTCAGCAGCCCTTGTGTCTGTGAGGCTGACCTCTGCAATGTCTGGGGTCAGATCCGTCCGTTTGCGGTCACACCTCTTTTCGTAAGACAGGCCCAAGTGGTTAGTTACCTGGCTCACCATGAATATGTGTTAAGCCTCTGAAAGGCGCTCTCAAGGTTGAGTTCCCACTGGCGCAGATGTCTGTGCAAGTGGTTAGGTGACCCAGTAAGAGAGGGGAAGTGAGACAAGGAAGGGAGAAAAAGCCCTACAGGGTGTGTCTGTGGGGAACTGGGGTCCGCAGCATGGGGAGTAAAACACACCTTAGCTATCCCCATGGAGGGGCACTGGACCTGGGGTGTGTGTCCACCAGGCATGGCTGAGGGCAGCTGGGGACTGGAGGGGTAACACCCTGGAACTTCTGGCCTGGCTTGTACCAGGGGCTGGGCTGGCTGGGGCAGCCAGAGAGGACCCTCAGGCAAAGCCAGCAGTTGTTGGAAACCGTTAGGGTGGGATCAGCCTGCCCAGGAGTGAGGGGCAGCTGCCACAGGCAGAGCCTGTTGGGATCTGTGACAGAGACCGGTGGAATGAATGAGCTGACATCAGGGAGAGGACAGTGGGGTGAGGAGCAGGGCGGTCAGGCGTGGGGAGAGACAGGGGCCATGCCGAGGCCAGCTTTTACAGCCGCGCCTGGAGCAGCTCAGGGGTCTTAGGAGGGAGAGGTCCTTCCGACTGACGATGACTCATCCCAGGGGTGGGCCTAGGAGGATCCCGAGCCCAGAGTCCAGGCTCAAAGCCATCGGCAGTTACTTGGCAATTTATTCCCGGTTTCTCAGAGGTAACAGCCAACGCAGGAACAGTGTGTTGCTCCCTTTAAAAAGGCTTAGAACATTCCGGAAAGAGACCTAAATTTAATAGCAGGAGAGAGGGAGGAGGGGAAGTGGTTGCAGAGCCTGGAGGGAAGCCAGGAATCCTGCCTCCTCCTCCCCAGCCGCAGAGGACATGCGGACATGTGTGGGCAGGTCCCTTCTGACCCATGGCAGGTCCCTGTTGATGGTCAGGCTGGGGATCGTGCAGGCCTTTTTGTTATCCCGGGGTCTCCTTCTGAGCTATGCTAACACTGTGCAGTGCCTATAACCAAGAAGAAAAAGGAAAGAAACAGAGGAAACTCAAAGCAGCCAGCCTCTCTGACTTGTGAGCAGCTTGGGTAAAGGACCGGTGGCTGAGCCAATTTTTAATCACAGCTCACCTGCCTAGTACCGCCCGTGAGACCAGTGACCACCGAAGCCGGGCGAGGGCCCACGCCTCCCCTCGCCGTGGTTTCTGTGGTTAACTCCGCTGCACTGAACACCTCCCCTCCTCCCCTCTTCACTTCTGCGTGTGCGCCGCGTCCAGACCGACGGCCCTAAGGCTGCTTTAACCCAAGCACTGCCGGTCCGTGGAGGTCCCCATGGACACCCTCACTGCACAGGGGTTAGGACCTTGCCTCTGGGGCCAGATGGTCTGCGTTCAGAACCTGGCTGTGCCAACCACTGGGTCCCAGTTTCTCCGAGCCCCGCTCAGTGAGAGTGTCTTCCCATAACGGGGGTGAGCCTCACGTCACCCCGTTCATCTGGGGCCCAGGGAAAGCACGGTGGTCTGTTTCAGCACTGGAGGAAACAATGTCTGTGTTGACCTCATGGAGAGATGGCTGTCCTCTCCAGGGAGGTCCCTTCCCAGAGAATTTTGAAAGGCAGTTTGACTGTTAGCAATTTTTGGTTTAGACACAACTTTAGAATCTTTTCTCCTGTGTTTCAAGTGACTTCCATCGGTGTGGTTTCTCCAGGGGTGATCCCAGGGACACCAGCTTGAGAATCACCTGGGGAAGGGGTAGGGTGGGGGGAGGAGGGGGCTTATCAAATGCAGTTCCTTGGGACCAGCCCGTTCTTTGCTTCTCTCAGAACCCCTGTGAGTAGATGGATAATCAACCTCCTTTTACCATAGATGAAACTGAGGCTCGGAGAAGTTAGGGGACATGCCCGAGATGATTTAATTAAATAATGACAGGCATATCTTCAACTGCTGCAGCCCCTGCCCTGGTCACAGGCTCCCTGTGGACCCCACCTGCTAAACATAAACAAACCCATAGTGCAGCAGCCACAACTCAAGCTGGGAGGCCTTTGTGGAGGTTGATTTTTATCTCCCCGCAGTCAGGCACAAGTGAGAATTTCATAAATAGTTCTAACAAAGCTGCCTTTCACAGCCAGCTCTTTGCACTGTAAAAAATAATAATAATAAAATAAAAACCTGATTTCAGAAACCATGTCCCCAGGCTTCATTGTTTCTTTCTGTTTTTCAACTCTTTGACATTTTACTCACAGGGGAACTTTCTCAAACACTTCATGCATCCATTCAACAAAATTTATTGAGCACCTTCTATGTGTCAGGGGCCATACAAGGTGATAGAATCAACTGCTGTGAGTAAGATGAAGGTCTTGCCTTTATGAAGCTTCTACTCAAGAAAACAAAAAGGGAAAGTGTCAGGGGAAATGAGAGCTAATAAGTAACATTAGGCAGGTGATAGGGTTTAGGACATGTTACCCCAAAATAGAGCATCTTGGCATCTGAGAAAACCAGCAGAAGCGGGAAGGTCTCTTTGACCCCAACCCTTCTCCCCTGAAGCACACCATCAAACATCATAGAATCCTCTGACCTTCTGCTGAAGTCGGTCATAAGAGCCTCATGTGGAATACAGTGGAATACTACTCATGTGGGCAGTGCCTACGTCATAAGCAGAGGAAAGGAGAGTATATGAAGCAGGAACTCAGCAAAGAATCTGAACAAACAGGCCCCCAGGTTATTATCAGTAGATCACACCCCCTTTGTCCAATCGCACTGCTCCAGGACTATCCACCTCTTCATGAAACTTAGCGTAAAAATACACAGGTTTCCCCGTTGTTGTTTTTTGCGGTCTTTCACTTCTAAAGGGACCCATGTCATATAAAACTATATTAAATAAATTTCTATGCTTTTCTCTTGTGAAAAGAAATCTTTCCTCCCCTGCACAAGGTAAGTAAGATAGAGTGTGAAGGTGGAGAGGTGTCATTTATTTTAACTCTAAAAGATAGGGACTTTTACAAAACATAACCTCAATGCCATTATCACACTTAAAAAATAACCAGGACTCCTTAATATGCAATCATGTCCCATCAGTGTTCACACCTCCCCATTGTCACGAATATTTTTGCATGCTATGAACCTTACTTAAATTCAGGTTCTAACAAATCTCTTTCAGTCTTTAGGTTCTTACCCATTTCCTTTCTTCGTTTTTGTTTCTTGCAGGTTTTTGTTGAAATGGCCAGGTCATTTGTCCCCTAGAATATCCTGTGGTATGGATTTTGCAGATTGCATGCCCATGCCATCATTTCTTCTGTTAGGAGGTGCCATTGTATGCAGAATGTGACATCTGAACAGAGGCTGGAATGAAAGACAAGGGCGGGAGCCATGCAGAAATCTGAGAGTAAGAGGGTCCCGTTCAGCTTTCATTTTTTCTTAGCTTTACTGCTCATAGTTGTGACCTCTGAAACCTCCTTCTTTTTTCATGTAAGTTCCCCTTCCCGACTATTACAAGTAACTCAGCTGGCCGGGTGTGGTGGCTCACGCCTGTAATCCCAGCACTTTGGGAGACCGAGGCAGGCAGGAGTTCGAGATCAGACCAACATGGCGAAACCCTGTCTCTAATTAAAAAAAAAAAAATTAGCCAGGCATGGTGGCATGCAGCTGTAATCCCAGCTACTTGGGAGGCTGAGGCAGGAGAATCGCTTGAACCCAGGAGGCGGAGGTTGCAGTGAGCCAAGATCACGCCAATGCACTCCAGCCTGGGTGACAGACTGAGACTCTGTCTCAAACAAACAAACAAACAAACAAACAACAACGACAACAAGTAACCCAGCTGCCTTCATCAATCTACAGTGAAATATGTGTGGTTAAAAGCCCTTGGCCTTAAAAACTGGAAACAACCTGAATTTCTATCAGCAGAACAAATCAATCAAGTGCAGTATATTTCTACAGTGGAATACTACTCAGCAATGAAAAATGAATGAGCTACTAATTCAAGCACTATACACATGGGTAAATCTCAAAAACAAGTTGAGTGAAAGAGGCTGGATACAAAACAGCACACACTGTAGGCTGCCACCTATGAAGTTCAAGGACAGGCAAAACTACTCTGAGCAGCACTTTCTTTGGGAGTGATAGTGACTGGAAAAGGGGCATAAGAGAACCTTCTGGAAGGCAAGGGATGCTCCATAGCTTGAGCTGGGTGGTGGTTGCATAGGTGTACACATAGGTAATAGTTCCTTACACTTAAGATGTCCGTATCTTCCTATATGTAAGTTATACCTGAATTTCAATAAAAAATTAAAATCAGGTGGACTTTGGATTCAGGCAGACCCAGCCACTAGTTAACTGTTTAACCTTTATCAGTTCTCCCATCTGCTTAGGTCCTCAGTTTCTTCAGCATAAAATGGAATAAATACAACCTACTTCATTAGTATTGCATGCAAAGCACTTCACACAGTGTCTGGCACATAGGAAGCCCTAAAAAATAGCTATTATTCCTTAATAACATTCTTACTAATATCTACTCAGCTCCCAACCCATGGCAAACTCAGGGTGCAACCTCAAACCAGCAGACTCAACATTTGTCTCAGCTCCACGCGACATGTGTCTATTAGGCTCACCAAAGGACTCATATTTGTAACTTGTTCTTTAATGATATGCACATTACCTCCTGCTGCTATTCTTTTAACATGTTGCTTTGATTTGATCTAATTGGAGCCACAGCGTGGTTAATCACAACATTTAGTGGGAAGTTTGAAGAAGCCAATGGGTCCCTCATGTGTGTTGGGCTGCAACGCCGGCCCCTGCCAGGTCTTCCTGGAGCCTGGAGACAAGAGACTTATTGGGGAAACATACTATCCATCTGGAATCCTTTCTCAGAGGACCTTCTTGGCAAAGCTGCTGCCAAACATATGCAACTGGTTTTTCAAGAAATTGCAGTTTATTGGGGCTGGGAAGTAATCTCAAAATTGACTTCTTCCCATCCATTTCCTTTCTTTGTGTTTGATTCTAGCGGTTTCTGTTGGAGCGACAGGTCATTTGTCACGTCTGGATGTTGCTGCCTTCATCTCTGCTCAGCTGAATTCCCACTTTCCTTTGGGTAATGTCTCCCTTGGTGACATCTTGGTTCAATTCTGGAACTTTTCAGACACTTTGAGTTACTAGAAAAAGCCCATTCCAAGAAATGAGACTTAGTGCTTTTGTAAACGTGTTTAAGTATAAAAGACATGTAGAAAAGTACACAGATTACAATTATACAGGTCAATGAATTTGCATGAAATGAACACATCTGTGCAAACTCAGATCGATAAATTAAACATGATCACAATCTTAGAAACCTTCCTCTAATCATCCCCTCACAAGCTACCTGCTGTCTTGACTTCTAACACCATAGATTTGTTTTGCTTCTCTCTGAACTTGGTATGAATGAAATCAAATAATGTGTCAACCTAACTTCATTGGCCAGCACCTTTGTCTCTTTGCCTCTTTGCCTAGGGGCTTCCTCTGAGGATTGGAGCCCACTCTGCCACAGCTAGCAGCAGGCTGAAATTAACCAGGGAATTACCACCTTTCAAGACCAGGAGGCAATCAATGGCTCTCCAGAGTTGTTGAATCAGTATCCCAGCCCCTATGAGGAATATCTCAGAAGGCATGGTCTCTATTGACTGTCAGATGTCCCCAGTAGGACTAAGCTCCTATTGTCTGCAGTGATACTTTGCTCTGTGACACACTCTGAAGAGTGTGTCTTCCTCCCTTCCCTGACTCACTTCCCCATTTCTCCTATCAATGTTTCCTGGAATCCCCTCCTAAACACACTAATTGCAGTAAATGCCTTGTCTCAGAGCCTGCATCTAAGGGAACTGTAACTAAGACAACCCATGATTGTCTTCCAATTCCTTTTGCTTGACCTCAGAAAGCACAGTCCCCTTCCTTTCCCCAGTGGGGTTAGAATAGCTTTAAAAAAAAAAAAAAGAGGCAGAAGCAGGGTGAGGAGGAAGAGAAAGAGGAATAAAAGGAGAAGGAAAGGAAGAAGGAGAAGGAAAAGAAAGAGCTGAAGGAAGATGAAAGAGATGAAGGAGAAGGAGAATTATACTCCCTCCACGGCTATAGGACTCTCCCCTCTCATTTTGTTCTTTTAATCTGATAGCTTATGGAAAGCTAATGATGATTAGTTGGAATCGGGCCCATTCTGCCAACCTCATCGGGCCTGAGGACAGTGTGCTGCCTCCTTGTTCTCCCCAACCCCAGCGGTGGTGCAGAAATCTCCCTAGCTCTGTGCCACTGTCAGCCAGTCTGAGACAATGGGAGAAAATGCCACTTAGTCTCCTGTTATACATTTTCAAGGCTGGTCTTAGCCTCCAGTCTTTCAGGCTTCCCCCAGACACCAAGAATTTACATCCTCATCATTCTTCATCTTCCACTTGGGACCCTTCACTGGGGCTTAGATTCTTCCAGCGTGCCCCTTCCCAGTCCTGGATGACTGCCTTCTAAAAACAGAACCGCTCTTGGCACACCTAGCAAAGCAAGGAGCTGCAAATCGCTCCACTAATGGACTCCACTGGGATTTCAGAGGCAAACTCCCATTGTAAGATTTCTGTGTCAGAAACTTCCACCAAACTCCTGCGTATTCCTCTTGCTGTCAAGCAGGAAAGGCCAAGATTCTAGAATATGCAGTTTTCAAGTTCATGTCTGCCTCCACAAGGCACTCTTGGAGACTGTAATGTGCTCACTGATTGGGCACATTTTCAGTATAAGTTGATTTGCAGGTGGCTGGGACTGCAGCATCAGGCAGAGCCCTCCCCAGAATCCTTGACACAGGGGGCTGAGGTTGGGCCTCTGGGTTCAAAATCCTCTAAAAGCTGTTGGCAAAATGTGTGTATTTGCTCACCTGCGTTGTTCTGAGGAATAGTTTTGTAGATTTCCACAACTCCTCAAAGTGGCCTAGGACCCTATATTATTTGCAAACTATGCATCCGACAAATGTCCAATGTCTAGAATCCGTAAGGAACTCACACAAATTCACAAGCAAAAAAAAAAAAAAAAATTAAGAAGTGGGCAAAGGACATGAACAGACACTTTTCAAAAGAAGACATGCGTGCCGCCAACAAGCATATGAAAAAATGCTCAATAACACTAATCATTAGAGAAATACAAACCAAAACCACAATGAGATACCACCTCACATCAGTCAGAATGGTTATTATTAAAAAGTCAAAAAATAATAGATGCTGGTGAGGTTGTGGAGAACCTTATACACAGCTGATGGGAATGTAAATTAATTCAGACATTGTGGAAAGCAGTAAAACAGAATAACCAGGTGACTCAGCAATCCCATTATTGGGTATATACCCAAAGAAATATAAACCCTTCTACCATAAAGACACATGCATACGTATGTTCATTGCAGCACAATAGCAAAGACATGGAATCAACCTAAATGCCCATCAGTGTAGATCCAGTGGACTGGTTAAAGAAAATGTGGTACATACACACCATGGAATACTATGCAGCTATAAAAAAAGAACAGGATCATGTCCTTTGCAGCCACATGGATGAAGCTGGAAGCCATTATCCTCAGTAAACTAACGCAGGAACAAAAAACCAAATACCACATGTTCTTACTTATAAGTGGGAGCTAAATCATGAGAACTCATGGTCACATGGGGGGAATAACACACACTGGGGCCTATCAGAAGGTGGAGGATAGGAAAAGGAGAGGATCAGAAAAAATATCTATCGGGTACTATGCTTAGTACCTGGGTGATGAAATAATCTGTACACAAAACCTCTACGACGCACAGTTTACCTATATAACAAAACCTGCACATGTACCCCTGAACCTAAAATAAAAGTTAAAAAAAAAATAACTCCCTATTGGTAAGAGAGCTGATTATTTGAAAACTGAGTAACCCTCCTAGGCTCCTGTGATCCCACTTCAACTTTACCAAATAGACAC
Organism: Homo sapiens; assembly: GCF_000001405.40. Lineage (NCBI taxonomy): Eukaryota > Metazoa > Chordata > Mammalia > Primates > Hominidae > Homo > Homo sapiens. Next base: position 72,184,568 of record NC_000003.12, read on the forward strand.
AGGTAACCCAATTATGGCCAATTAGCCTTGGGGCTGGGCCCTAGACCATGATGCACCCCATTAAATAAACCTAACTCCAGAAGACCTTGAGGAGTGATGCAAATCTCCTCCTCCAAGAACATTTGAATCACACCCCGGAACGTAGGCTACATTTCCTCTTCACACATTTCTTTTCTCAAATTCTCACTCATGGAAGCAGCTACTTCCCCCAAATCTCCTTTCTCTGCCTCTTCCTAAAGTCCCCCTCTTGCCCCTTCCTCTCACCTCATGCACCTCTTTTTTTCCAGGTAGCTTGAGCCTTTCCTAACTCAAGTCTACTTTGCCTCTCTCAGCTTCTTACCACTGTCCCCTCCACTCATTAACCTGGGCAGCTCAAGGAAGGAGCTATGGAGCCAAGCAACACAGGCATAGAAGTCCAGAAGGTAGCGGAGGCGCAACAGCTCCAAAAGCTACGTCCAAATTGCTTTGTTGGTATCACATTGGGTAGACAAAAATGAAACCAAGGCAAAAGTTACCCTTTATTTTATTTTTATTTTTTTTGAGATAGGGTCTCACTCTGTCACCCAGGCTGGAGTGCAGTGATGTGATCACAGGTTATGGCAGCCTCAACCTCCCAGGCTCAAGCAATCCTCCCACCTCAGCCTCCCAAGTAGCTGGGACCACAGGCACACACCACCATGCCCAGCTAAATTTTTTTTTTTTTAGATGGAGTTTCACTCTGTCACCCAGGCTGGAGTGCAGTGGCGCGATCTCCGCTCACTGCAAGCTCTGCCTCCCAGGTTCACGCCATTCTCCTGCCTCAGCCTCCTGAGTAGCTGGGACTACAGGCGCCCGCCACCACGCCCAGATATTTTTTTTTTTTGTATTTTTTAGTAGAAACGGGGTTTCATCATGTTGCCCAGGCTGGTCTCAAACTCTTGGGCTCAAGTGACCCTCCTGTCTTGGCCTCCCAAACTGCTGGGATTATAGGCATGAGCCACCACCCCTGGCAGTAGTTACCTTTAAACTTAAACTGTATTATGTAAAAAAAATGAAGTAGGGCTGTTTGAACTGACATAGATATCTAAGATATATTAAGCAGGGAGGACCAGGGCATACAGAAAAGTATTACTTCCTTAAGAGTAAGCCACCTGGGACACAAAATTTAAGGGTGTGCTCGTTGTCAGGGTTGTGCAAACCATGTCCCTGTGCTAACATGAGCCTGAGAGTGGGTGCCTCCTTAAATTCTGCACCCTTGGCCTGGCCCTGATATGAAAAGAAAACAGTAAAGCAGAACCATCTTACACATGTGTAGTATGATCTCGTATGTAAACACTACACATGTGTATTAAATATATAGAAATCTCTGAAGGGATCACACCCAACGTGTTGATAGGGTTTCATTCTGAGATGTGGCATTGGAGGGAAGAGAGAAGGGCTTCCCTCTTAACTGTACCCACTTCTGTACTGTTTTAAATTACAAAATAACAATTATATATGGCTCTTATAATTTTAGACAAGCCAGAAAATAAATAGAATAGTAAACCATATTACATGTAGAAGGGTCTACAAAAAATATATACACAGACTGTTAGGATTTTTTCTGTGGTCAGATGCAAATTGTGAAAACTGAGACATGTTGACGATTCTTTTTCCACTGATTTCAAAGCACCCTCAGTCCGCATGGCAGCCGCCACCTCTGATTCATCTAGTTTGAGGTCTGTTCATGCAGCAGATGGAAGTTAGCATGCCCTTGGGATGACACAGCAAGGGTGGAGTGTGATAACGTTTCCCTTTCTCTCCTCTAAAGTGAGGGTGAAGGCAACAATCAGCTGCCCCTTCCCGCGGGGCAGCACTGTGATGGGAAAGAGTGAGGCAGAAGAGGCTGGGACTGCCCCACTGCAAATGTCTGGCTGGCCTGGGAAGGCTCTCAGCCATCCATGAAGAAGCCTACAAATTAGAATTGTTTTTCCAGACTCTAAACTTTCTAAGCAGTGATATTTATCCACCTATCTTATCCAAGTTTTTCAGTGAAATGTTTAAAATGTACACATTACTCCAAGCAGAGCAGAAGAATATAACTGACTTCATTGTTTTCCTTCCTGGCATCCTCTGCATGTCCCTCGACCCTGGCTCTTCCTGCCTGACTCAGGAGTTCTGCATCATTGGCACTGTTTCCATCTTTCTTGGAATCAGACAGGAGATATACCAAGCCTGTTGCCCAAGGGTTTCTTATCAACACCCCAAAGAATTGTGAGCTTACTGGAGAGTCCCTAGAGCAGTGGTTCCCATCTAAGGGGAATTTGCACCCCAGGGGACACTTGGCAATGTCTGGAGACACTTTTGGTTGTCACATCTTAGGAGGAACTCTTGGTATCTTGTGGGTGGAAACCAGGGATGCTGCTATAAGCAACCTCCAATGCACGGGGAAGCCCCCACAACACAGAATTATCTGGTCCAAAATGTCAATAGTGCTGAGATTGAGAAACCTTGCCCTAGAGCCTCACTACTCAAAAAAGAGTCCATGGACCGGCAGCATCGGCATTTCCTGGGAGCTAGTTGGAAATGCAGAATCCCAGGCCCCACACAAACCCCAAGTTGAGATAGAGCAGAAGATGAATAACCCCCATGTCGATCAGGATGGGCTAGTCAGTAAACCCTTCCTGTAGAGGGCGATAGTAGGTACTTCAGGCTTTGAGGGCCAGATGATCTCTGTTGCAACTACTCAACTATGCCTTTGTAGTGTGGCAGCAGCCCTACATGGTAAGTAAACAAATGCACATGGCTGTGCTCCAATCATTTGGCCAGCATCACTTTGCTGACCCCTGGACAAAGTCCATCTGTGGAAACAAATGATCCCCCAAATAGTGAAGATTATTTCTCATGCACACTGCATGTCCATCATAAGTTGTCTGAGGGCCCTGCACCATGCCAGCCCTGGGCAGGAACCCAGGGTCCCAGCTTCCACCATCACAACCTTCACTGATCATCAGGGAGGGAAAATACATAGCAGGCACGGCACATGCGGTGCACAGACCAAGCATGCGTTTGCTCCTGGAGCTTCCACCTGGAAATACCACCCACCTCTCTCACATTTTATTGGCCAAAGCAAGTCATGTGGCTGTGCCTAAATTCAAGAAGGTGGGGACATATTCCCAGAAGGATGGCAATGCCTAATGACTACCTGGATCTCCTCTCCTCAGAAATCCCAGCCCTACCATAGGCTTAATTCATCCCATCTATGAATTCCATTAACTGTCTGGATAGACTTGAGCAGAGTTGCATCTCAGATTAGGCATGAACCACTTAGTGGTAAATGCATCTCTTCCTCATGCCTCTGTAAGGAATAACAGTGCAAGTATACATTGATGCGATTGTCTGTACTGTGCCAGGCACTGAGCACTTAATATATTTCATTTCTTTCCAATCTCACAACAGTTCTAGGAGGTGAATGTCATCTGCCTTTTACAAATAAGAAAACCCGAGACCGAGCGATGATGTAGCTTGTCCAAGGCCACCAGCTGGTAGATGGTAGAGTTAGGATTCAAGTTCAGGTCTGTCTGACCTCAAAGCCTGTACATTTTAACATCATCATTTTTTTTTTTTTTTTGAGATACAGTTTCACTCTGTCACCCAGGCTGGAGTGCAGTGACGCCATCTCGGCTGACCGCAACCTCGACCTCCCAGGTTCAAGCAATTCTCGTGCCTCAACCTCCCAAGTAGCTGAGATTACAGGCATGAACCACTACGCCCTGCTAATTTTTTGTATTATTAGTAGAGATGAGGTTTTGTCATGTTGGCCAGGCTGGTCTCAAACTCGTGACCTCAAATGATCCGCCTGCCTCGGCCTCCCAAAGTGCTAGGATTACAGATGTGAGCCACTGCACCTGGCCTTTACTTTTTTACTTTTAATCTTCACAATAATCTGATGGGGTATGTATCATTAGACCCATTTTACTGATGAGGAAAAGGGGCCAAGAAGTTAATTAATGTGTGTCCAAGCTCAGATATTCAATGGTAGAATCAAGATTCCAACCCAGATCTATTGACACCGAAGACTGTGCTTCTAACAGTTTCTAGCACTGGGACATCTGTTCTGTAAGTGAGGCCCTAGGGCATGTAGGTGCCTTGCCCATATCCTTGAGTCTTACTACTTCAGAGGGCATCAGCTGACTGTCAACTGTTAGGACTTCTGTCTCTTTGCTTGAGGGCTTTCTCAGAAGTCACACAAGGAAGTCATCTCTGTCTGTGCTCAGGGAAATTCAGAAGAGCTGAGAGATCACCACCAGAGAACCAGCACCCTGCCCCTACCCAAACTTTCAACCAAAGATTGGCAGAGTAGGTGTGAAACATCCCGGCTCCCTTGCCTCCTGGGCCCAATAACTCTGCATGTACTCTACACTGGTTCCCAGAGGCCACAGTAACTATGTCACCTTCAGTAGCAGCTGACTCAATCACATACTCATTATTGGCTGTTATCTTGGATTGTCAGATTTCACAAATAAAAATTACAGGATCCCCAGTTAACTTTGAATTTCACATAAAACTGATATTTTTGGTAGTGTAAGTATGCTCCAGGCAATATTTGGGTCACATACTAAAAAATGTATTCTTTATTTGTCTGAAAAATATTGCATAGGACATGCTTATGTTAAAAAATTATTCATTGTGTGACTTTCTAATTTAACAGGCTTCCTGTATTTTACCGGGTAACCCTACAGCCAGTCCTTTCCTAGGTCATAGCCTCACTTCCCTACCTCCATCTCCAACTACACTGCTTATATTTGAATCCTTGTCTCAAAGTCTGTGCTAGGAGGAGCTCAAACTAAGATGTAGGGTGACATAAGGAGCCAAACATGTCTGCACACAAAGAGATTTACTGATGCTTAAGGGCCATCTGGACCCCACTGGAGCCAGGACAATGGGGCCACCAGCCAAACTCTACAAGAACCATTTCGAATTCAGCATATATGAAAGAGAGAAGGCTTTCTTCTCATATTGCCACTACTACTACAGCTGGAGGCTTACTGTGGGCGGTAGTTCTTTATCTTCTCATTATATGCTCTTCCGGTAAGCATTGAAAGACATAGACATTTCTAGGCACTTCTTATCTGGGATTTCCTCTACTGCATTCAGCACCAATAGATCAGACAAATACTCAGGATGACATAGTCCCTGCATGGACCAGATCCTGCTGCCAACTGAATACCCATCCCACCCACCATCTTCTTTCTTAACATACCTTGATTTTGTTCACCTCCTTCAGAGCAGCTGCATTCTTCAGGAGAAGCTGAGCTATCCACAGAGAGTGACTCTTTTTCAGTGCAAATCAACCATGATAATGCCATTGCCTCTGCCAATATGTGATTTAGAAATGGATATGAGATGCACTGCTGGCCCGGGGGACATGAGAGGCCATATGGGAAACACCTAAAAAGAGCCTTCTTTATTGTGACCCTTGAGCTCCTAAGAGGCACGAGTAGTGGATGCTAGCTGTACAACCCAGATCCTCTTTCAAGACAAGCACTTTCCCCGTACCTGCCATGAGTGCTTTATCTGAGGTCACCCCACCACCACCTACTCAGCGTCAGCACACATCCAGTGACTAGTCAATGCAGAGGTACAAAGGTCCAGCCTCTTGCCACGGTTTTGGAAACTCTGAAGCTCCATTCCAGCTCCAGAGGGCCCTATGAGTTCAGCTGAGGCCTCTGTTGCAGCCGCATCGTAGCTCAACTCCTCATTTTGGCCAGCCTTGCCTCTCTCACTCCCTAACAGCTGTTGTTCCTAAGAACATTCTCCAACAACCTCCCTGCACACAAATTTCCATTTCAAGGAACTGGTGTTAAGACAACATATGAGGAGCAAGTTCCCTTGTTCACAAGCAGATGTTGCTTTCCACACATGCAACTACAGTGGCCATCTTGGGACCATGAGGGGAACCAGCCTAAGAAGATAAGTCCATGCTCTGAGGACAACAGAACAAAAAGATAGAAAGAACCTGGGTCTTCAATGATGTCATTGAGCCACTAAATTAACCAACTCTAGAACTGCCCTACTTCTAGGATTCTGGTTATGCCAACTAATAGAAGTTCTTTGTCTTAAAACCTCTTCAAGTTGAATCTTATGTTGTTTGCAGCCCAAATCATTTTATATTATATACTACATATCAGTAGGAGGCAAAGGGAAATACTTCAAGCCAAGGAGGCACCCAGAACAGCATGGATTCCAAAATCCAGCACTTAGGTGACTTGCCAGAGTACTCCAAGTCCAGATGCAGTCCCCTCCCCTCATCCTTTTTTTTTTGTGTTTTTTTTTTTGAGACGGAGTCTCACTCTGTTGCCCCGGCTGGAGTGCAGTGGTGCAATCTCGGCTCACTGCTAGCTCCACCTCCTGGGTTCACGCCATTCTCCTGCCTCAGCCTCCCGAGTAGCTGGGATTACAGGTGCCCGCCACCATGCCCGGCTACAGTCCCCTCATCCTAACCACTGTGACACTTGTCCAGATGCAGTCCTCTCATCCTAATCACTGTGACATTCCCTCTCCTTTTTATACCACTGTTGTCCAGCAAAGCCAGAGGCTAAGAAGTGTGCAATTCTTTGCACAACTCTGAGAAAGAAGAAATCCCTAGATAATATTTTGACACCTTGTAATTCATGGAATAGCCATGCCTCTATTTCACTTTCTCCTTCTTTTCTTGTTACTTAGAAAGAAAATAGCAGAGAAACATGTCAGGCCAGGAAAGGCTAAATCATCCCAAGCGATGTCAACCTCATAAAATTATGAAATACTGTAGGATGCTCAAAAAATATTTATACAGTTTTTCCCCCTCTTGTGATGAAGTAAGTTATTGAGCTGCATTTCCAGGCCTTGCGACATCTCAGTAGCCCTGTCTCAAAAGTCAGGCGTGCCTTTGGCACACAAGCTGTTGTCAGTGAGCTAAAGATTATACAATCTGTGTATTAGGTACCTAAATACACAATTCAAGCATGTGGCCATTTTGGCCTGAGTCTTTATTTTCATCAGTTATATAGAAGATTGGAAGTTAAGATCAAGGGCTCTGGAATCAAACAGCCTAGAGTTAAGTGCTAGACTGTGGACAAATTATTTAACTATTCTGTACTTGTTTCAACATCATCTATATAATGGAAAAACTAATAGTACCAGTCAGCTTGGACTAAGTTATGCTGCAGTAACAAACAACGTTAAAATCTCAGTGGCTTGGCAACAACAAAAGTTCATTGCTTATTAGAGACACATGTCCACTGTTGGCTGTGGCTCAATTCCATGTGATCTTCATCCTGTAATGCAGATTGACATAGAAGTCTGTATTTGGGATACTGTCAATCTCATGGCAGAGAAAAAGAGATCCTGGCAGAACCACACAATGATTGTTAAAGCTTCTGCTTGGAAGTGGCACACATCAACTCTACCCATGCTTTATAGCCCAAAACTTGTCACACAGCAAGACTAAAGCCATGGGATAGAAAGTATAATTCTCTCACATGGAGAAGATGCCAGTGTTTTGAACAATAATACATTCTACCACACAAGCATACAGGATTGTTCTGAGAATTGAAGGTAAGGGGAAGACAGTAAGTTTTCAAAAAGTTAGCTATTATGAATATTAGTACCATCATTTTAAGTTCTAAGTTACTAACTGGGATAAGAAAGTTTTTATAAATAGGTTCTTCTATTCAGTAGTCATTTAGATTAAGCTTTTGAAAGTACTAACTGTAGGTAGCATGTTGATTTTGAGGTTCTGTGAATCAGTAACCAAGTAAATAAGGTTTATTTGACTGTAAAATGGGAATAAAAGTAATGTCTGCCATGTGAAGATTAAATGAGATGCCTGCAAATTCTTTGTCACTTTTCCCATTGAAAGTGAGTCTAATTCTCCTCCCCTGGAATCTGAGCTGGCTTTAGTGACCCACTTGACCAACAGAATGTGGCAGAAGTAATGCACTGGGGCTTCTGAGGCTCGGTCATAGAAGCCTTGCAGCTTTAGTCTAGCCCTCTTAGAACCTCTTAGAACCTTAGAACACTTGTTCTTGGAGCCATGAGCTGCCACATAAGCGAGAGAGGGATCCAGCTGACTCCAGTCTTCTGGCCTTCTGTGCCAAAGTGCCAGATATTTGAGTAGAGCCATCGTGAATCCATCAAACTAGCCTGTCAGTTTAACACCACCAAACAACCTCGGTTGATCCCTTGTAGAGCACAAGAATCACCCTGCTGAGCCCTGCCTGAATTCCTGGCTCACAAAATCATAAGATAGAATAAAATGGTTGTTTTAGCCACTAACTTTTAGGAGAGTTTGCTATTTAGCAATAGATAACCAGAACACATGCAAGCCCTTAGCAAAATACCTGACTCATAGTTGGTTGGGAAATTAATTGCTAATATCATTAGGTCTTGGGTAGACTCACAACTTACCTTCCCCCATTTAGTTTGGAATGCCCGTGACTTAAATCTGAGGAAAGGATGGTAAAGACACAACTTTAGTCAAATATTTCAGTCTCCTTGACATTTTCCTAAATGTCCATAAGGGAAGCCATAAACACGTAAGACAATGAGCCTAGGACTTTCAGGAATCCCCTGACTTCCCTTGGGTTCATTGGATACACATATGCCTAAATCTTTCAAGAAAGCTAAAATTCAATATTTTAAAATTCCTTAAAATTTCAGATAAAATTGACACAACTACATGGTGTCTTATGTTTTACCTGATGGTTCTGTGTATCCCTCAGCTTTGTACTCATTTTAAGAAGCAAGGACCCAGATTCTAGAGTTGGAAAGTTGCCACATTCAAGAATAGATGAGCATGGATGTCTGGGCTGGTGCTGTCTCTTTTGTTGTTGTTATTATTGTCATTGTCTTGTTTATTTTCTCAGCATAGGGACTTGGCCATTTTAGGTGGAGGTTGAAACAGATAAATGCTATAAGTTCCCCAAATTTCACTCTTTTTCCACCTGGGGACACAGCTAGACCATATTTCCTGCAGTTAGATGGGACCATGTGACTGAGGTGTGGCCAGTGGAATGTGAGCAGCAGAGATGGACAGCCCTTCAGGGCCTGGTCCCTGAAAAAACTCCTGTGTGACACTTCACTTTTTCTTCCCTCATCTGGAACACAGTCCCAGGAAGGACTCTGTGGCCCTAAAAGATGGTAGAACCCTAACAGAGAAGAAGCCTGGGTCCCTGAGTAACTGAGTGGAGCAGATCTCCATTTTGATCCCTACCATGCTGACCAGCATTGGGCTGTGACCTTAGTGAGAAATAAGCCATGATTACAGTAAGCCCCTGAGATGAGGGGTTGTTTTGTTCTAGCAGTGAGGCTGTCTTAAGGAATACAAAGATACGGGGCGGGGAACACATTGTGGCTTTCCCCTCTCTCCAACATGCGCAAGCCGAGGAGCCGCAGTGCCTCTGTTGGAGAGTTTACTGACAATAGTTACACTGCCTGTCACAACTCCCAGAAGAAAGGAAACAGTGGCTGAGAGGGCTGCCCCTACCCTCCCCAGTCTCCTAAGGGTATAAAGCATGAATCTTTTCTTCGCTCTTTCTCTCTGCAGGGGAACAGTGGGAAGATATCTAGCACATCATGTTCTGCTGGCTCCAGTGACAAGTCGATGAAATTCTATCACTCGTCCGACAGGAGACCTCAGAAGTGACTAATTTAATCCCTGAGGCCTCTTTAGAAGGAGAATCCTCAACTTTCTCGGCAACTCCTCCCTTTGCTCAGCCTGGTTTCCATGAAGCAAGATAGTCAGTCACACTCAAATCAGCTCAGCAGGGAGCAGATATTCTTAGAGTGATTCTTCCCTAATTTGGCTGACTGAATTGAATAGCTATTTATTAGAGTTCTAAAATGGTGCCTTTTGCGTAACACGGCCTTCACGCCATCCCCTGGAAATCACTCTGTCGAGAATGTAGGAAGGGGAAGATGCATCTGCCTTGAGCGAGGCAGGATAAGCCAGTTCCCGGGGCCAGGCCAGACTGGGAGGCAAAGAAATCAGCATCTATTACAAACTTCTTCAGCCTCAGGACTTGGATGTCCTTGGCCCCTATTCCCCAAGACCAGTTTAATGTAGTGGTGGGTGACTCAGAAAGGAGACAGCCCAGATCTGGAGGTCACACAGACCTAGGCAGACTTAGGTTTGACTCCCACAGCTAGCACCTGCTACCAGCTGTGTGATCTAGGGATGTAACTCAACCTTTCTGAGCTCCTGTTTCTAGAATATGGAGGTGGATAAAATCTAACTCGTAGAGTTCTTAAAAATGGGTAAATAAGGGCTGAGCACGGTGGCTCACGCCTATAATCCCAGCAGTTTGGGTGGCCAAGACGGGTGGATCACTTGAGGTCAGGAGTTCAAGACCAGCCTTGCCAACATGGCAAAACCCCACCTCTACAAAAAATACAAAAATTAGCCAGGCATGGTGGCATGCACCTGTAGTCCCCAGCTACTCGGGAGGCTGAAGTGGGAGGATCGCTTAAGCCCAGAAGGTTGAGAGGTTGAAGCTGCAGTGAGCTGTGATGGCACCACTGCACTCTAGCCTGGGTGACAGAGTAAGACCTTGTCTCAATCAATCAATCAATCAATGAAACAATTAGTGAAATGCCTGACTTCATTGTAACTCTCCCTCACTCACCTTCTGGAATCTTCAAAGTCACTAAATTCAAGTCCAAATTCTTGAAATTGACCTTGCCATCTGTATTAGCATTCTCTAGAGGGGCAGAACTAATGGAATATATATATATATATGAGTTTATTAAATGTTAACTCACATGATCACAAGGTCCACAATAGGTCATCTGCAGGCTGAGGAGTAAGGAGAGCCAGTCCGAGTCCCCAGACTGAAGAACTTGGAGTCTGATGTTCAGGGACAGGAAGCATCCAGCAGGGAGAAAGATGTGGGCTGAGAGGCTAGGCCAGTCTAACCTTTTCACGTTTTTCTGCCTGCATTATATTCGCTGGCAGCTGATTAGATGGTGCCCATCCAGATTAAGGGTGGGTCTGCCTTCCCCAGCCCATTGACTCAAATGTTAATCTCCTTTGGCAACACCCTCACAGACATACCCAGGATTAAGACTTTGCATCCTTCAGTCTAATCAAGTTGACACTCAATATTAACCATCACATCATCTTACTGCTCCTCGGTGGCCATTAATGTGAAATTTGCAGGGAAAACAAGCTAGAAAAATAAGCTTGAGATTTCAGAGCAGTAGCCATAGTGGACCTGGTAGCTGAATCTTCACAGAACCTTAGAGAAGAATAGGGAATAGCACCTCTATCTAACACTTAAATGGGCTCCTGTATGACCCCAAGTCTCCCAACCACCTATGTCAATCTCTACCCTGCACTACGGAACAGGAAAAAATTGGAGGCTGGCTGGCAGACCACACCACACTCTCCTGCCATACCTGAAACACATCATCAGATCATCCAGTAGCCAGGGATTACAAATACATGGCATGCATCTCACTACTCTCCAGTCCTGTATCTGTGGCAGACAGCATTAATCAATCACAGCCCTCTTCCCCACTGAGCCCAGACAAGGCAGCAGAAGTCTTTCCCACATAGCACTCCAGGCAGAGACCACCAATCGATCAGAGATGTTGTGTAGGTGCAAACCCATTTATGAAGCCATAGACATTTGCCCTCTGGAGTGGCCTAACCCCAGAGGGTGAACAGGCAGCCAGAGAGATCCAGTAAGGAGGAAACCAAGATGGATCGTTGAGCTTTCAAGTACTCACAAGAACTCATTGTATGAGTGCTAACAAAATCTGGATGTGGTGATGCAGTTAGCCATGGAATCCAAGTTTGGAGGGCTAGTCCCCGAATCATGATTTCTGCACTTTCTAGGTATTGCTTTGCTGGGCATTTTCTTCCCTATGGCAATGAGGTTTCCTCAGGAGCATGAGCAAAACACACAGAGAGGGCGGTCATCTTCACACAGTTCTGAGCATCGTCAGCCAATCCTCTAACTAAACACTGGTGTCAGCAAGACCCGTTAACCAGAGCTCATCCCACCCCTAGAACTGTTAACAAGACAATGACATACAGTGCAGGGTGTTAAATCTTCTAAGGCAGGAATCCTTGTCTTCAGCGAATGGCCATGAATCAACTAAACAGGATATGCCAGGATGTTTAAGATGGCCATATATTTATTTATGAGTGAATGACCATTTCGGTATTTCTGCCAGTTACCTTTATGGTTTTTATGAGATTTGGATAACATTTATTTATTGCCCATACTGTTTTCCATTCACAATGGAGCTTTGTTTGACATTTAGAGACATTTTAAATGTTTTTTACTGGTTTCTCTGGCATGAATAAAGGGAGCTTTTTTCTTTGGGTTTCTGCAAGGAACTCATGCAAAGCTAATTTGGATGATAAAATGATACCATTTCAAACATCTTCATGCTCGGATTATATTATTTGAACCTTTTCATAGGAAGAGATTAATTATGTGGTTTGCATCACTAACCTTATAATTTTAATAACAAGGCTGGTCAGATGAAGGGCCAAAATATATCTTTTACAGCAGAATATGTTACATCATGAAAATATCTTCTGTTCCTACTCTTGGACTGTGCTTATGTGCTTGCTGGCAAGCCAAGAGGTAAATTTGTTTAATTGTTTCTAGAATAGGCACTATATACCCAAGACAAAGCTACACTATTTATTATTGTTGTTAACTACAATATGCATAGCTCCCATTTATTGAAAGTTTATTATTATGCCCCGACTGTATGCATAATCTCATTGCAACCCAGGGAAGTGAGAACCAGTGTTCCCTGTTTTCTGGGTGAGGAAACTGAGGCTCAATATTGGTAAGTAGCATGCCCCGATTCCCCCAGCGGGTACATCATAGAGGCAGGACTCACGGGCAAATTTGTCTAACGCAAAGATGTATCTGTCTCCAGCTCTACTCTGCTGTCGTTGCGATTCAGGCTTTCAAGATCCCCCTCCCAAATTATGTTATGTGGTCAAATCCATGAAAAAAAAAATCCAATTGGCTGCCAAATATAATGTAGACATAACAAAAAGCTAATTAACTGAAACTCTTATTTTCTAGCCTATCCTTGTGGTTTTAGGGAAAAGTAATCTGAGCCCTGGAGCTGGTGACCCACTGGTTTGAAGGGGCCCAGGGGCTGTGTTGTCCACTCAGAGGAGCCAGGGTACAGAGCCTCACTTCTTCCCTCCTTTTTGCCAAGTGCTCTAATCTCCTGCCATGATGTCTTCTGTCTGGCTGTCTACCAAACCGTCAGGAGAGCATCACTCCCGCCATCACAGTAATTATCATAAGCATCACAAACCACTCCAGCAGCCGCAGCAATAGCTTGCTTTATGGTGCACCTACTGCCTGCCAGCCAGGCCCTGAGTGCCACATCATAGATGTGCCTGCTTTCATTTTATTCTCCCAACATCCCTGGAAGGTGGGGGAAATACTCTGCCCATTTTACATGCTGGGACACTGAGGTTTCACTTGGATCTGTCCAAAGTCACACAATGTGTATGAGCTGGGGACTGGAATCCAGGCTGCTAACTCTAGGGACTAGGCACTTAGCCATTGTGAGAGGCTGAGAGACCCTTCACCAAAGGGACAAAGGAACACACCCAGGACAAACTCAACTGGTGGTCCCAAAGCTGCAACAAGAACCAGGGCTCTCTCTTCACCCTAGAACTTTCTGCACTGCCATACTGCTTCCATTCTTCCTCCCCAGTTGTTCCCCAGCAAACAGGCATGGACGGTTGGCCACTATATACCAGGAACTGTGCGATATGCTGATGGGAAACAACAATAAAACAAAAATTGGAAATAAGTCATGGTTCCTGTTCTGAGGGAATCCAATGTCAGACTTCCCTGTGTTAGATTCCTGTCATCCACGCCATTAGCTTTGTAAACTTGGGCAACTTACTGCATCTATCTGAGCCTCAGTTTCCTCAACTGCAAAATGGGATAATATTACTATATGGCTTTTTTTTTTTTTTTTTTTTTTTTTTGGAGACAGGGTCTCGCTCTGTCACCCAGGCTGGAGTGCAGTGGCTTGGTCACTCAACCTCCAAGGCTCAAGTTATCCTCCGGCCTCAGCCTCCCAAGTAGCTGGGACTACAGTTGCATGCCACCATGCCCAGCTAATTTTTATTGTTGAGTTTTAGTAGAGATGAGGTCTTGCTATGTTGCCCAAGCTGATCTTGAACTCCTAAGCTCTAGTGATCTTCCTAACTCGGCCTCCTAAAGTGCTGTGATTATAGGTGTGAGCCACTGTGCCTAGTGTTACCTGCTTTAAAAGGTTACTCTGAGGATAAAAAGAAATATACCAGGGCTTGTTTAAATGGGTTAAGGTATGTAAAACACCTGGCACCTTCCCTGGATATTTTTAAGCTCTCAAAAAATGAGGGCAGCTATTTGTTCGTGTCCCTTGAGTGTGAACCTAGGGACTTGCTTCTAACAAATACAATGCAGCAAACACTATGGGACATATAATTACACTCACAAGTTGGCATCCAAGTGCCAATCTAGATTAATAAGAGGCAAATTCCAAAGGAGGGAGTTGAGATGTGAATTGGAATGGTCTGGGATGCTTTCACAGAGGAAACATGGTTTGACAGTTCTTGAAAGTTGGGCACCTCGAATTTAGATAATGAGTAATAATTTTAAAAATGTATAGCTATCATTTCCTACCTACTAGACACTTGACAGATGGCACTCTATTGCTTATAACTCCATATGTTTATAGACTGTATTTAACAGCTATGAAGAAATTGAAGCTCAGAGAGGTGAAGTGACTTGAACAAGATCAGACGACCACAAAATAATTGGACCAGGAGTCAATCCCCACCTGTTTGACTCTTTGGCCTGCTCTTCTCTCTTCTGTAAAGGTCTTTGGGGATAGCCCAAATAGTGGTCCAGTGGGAAAAGCTGCCCCTGTGTCTGGTGGTGAGTGGGGTGCAGTTCTTACTACTGTGACTGGTGCTGAAAACAAGGTCTTCACCTGTTGTACATGGTCCATGCACAGAATTCAGGAGGTCTGTGAACTTTGGTGGAAATACAAATTATATCTTCCTTTTCCTTAACATTTACCTGACATTTAGCACTGCCTTCCATTTTGAATCTAGGCAATAAACCACAGTACTGTTAGCAGTGCCTGTGGCTTTTTCAGCAATAGATCACTTGGCGAACGCCCCACAGCAACAAGGGGAATAACCTGGCTCCAGAGTCAAAGTCTGCTCTGCTTTACTCAGATGCACATGTTAATTCACAACACTACCACCCTGTGTCTTAATTGCTTGCTCACTTGATCAACTTCTCGTCTAGATTGGATTACTTCTGAGGCCAGAAACTCCCTCTCATTCATCTCTAAATTAGTATTTCAGCAAGAGCCTGGCACAGAGTAGAGGTTGATAAATGTTTGTTGCCTGTGGTAGCCAGCCTTCTGCAATGGTCCCTCGTGAGCCCTGAATGTCTGAGGCAGGTCTCAGTCAAGTTAGGAAGTTTATTTTGCCAAAGTTAAGAACGGGCTCCTGTGACACAGCCTCAGGAGGTCCTGATGACATGTGTCCAAGGTGGTCCAAGCACAGCCTGGGTTTATCAATTTTAGGGAGACAGGAGACATCAATCAATATATGTAAGATGAACATTGGTTTGGTCCAGAAAGGTGGGACAACTCAAAGCAAAGGTGGGACAACTCAAAGTGGGGAAGGGCTTCCAGGTCATAGGTAGATAAGAGACAAATGGTTGCATTCTTTTGAGTTTCTGCCTAGCCTTTCCAAAGGAGACAATCAGATATGATCTACTGAGCAGAGGGATGACTTTGAATAGCATGGGAGGCATGTTTGCCCTAAGCAGATCCCAGCTTGACTTTTCCCTTTAGCTTTGTGACTTTGGGGCCCCAAGATTTATTTTCCTTTCACACCCTAATGACCCTACCTCCTGTTATTCATATCCTTGGCAGTGTTATTCATGTCAGGAGTAATCTTTGACCCTTGAGTGTGGACCAAGGGACTTGCTTCTAGCAAATAGAATGAAGCAAACATGATGAGATGCCATTTCCGAAATCAGATTGCAAAAGCTGGGACTTCTCTCTGACATTCTCTTTCTGACTTTTCTTGTCTTTTTGCCCTGATGGAGAGGGCTCCCTGGCAATGAACCAAGGGAAGCCTCTGACCAACAGCCAGTGAGGAACTAAGGTGCTTAGTCTAATAACTCAGGAGGGGTTCTACCAAAAATCACTGAGTGACTTGGAGGTGGATCCTACCCCAGCTGTGCCATCAGATGAGACCACAGTCCCTAAGCCAGCATCTTGATTACAATGTATAAGACACCCTGGGCTGGAGGACCCAACCAAACCATGACCAGATTCCTAGCCCACAGCAACTGTAACGTAGTAAATGTGTGTTGTTTTTAAGCTGACAAATTTGGGGATAGCTTGGCATACAAGATTAGATAACCAATATCTTGCTTACCAGAAGAAAGGAGAAAGGGGAGAAAAGGTGAGAGAGAGAGAAAGTGCAAAAGAGCTCTCTGCTGTGACCTCCCCTGTGGCCATAATCTGGGGGTCATTTCATACTTCTTAACACCATAACCCCATACTCTAGTTTCTCCCTGGTTCCCCTTAACACTAGTAACTGTAGCACAACCTTGTCTGTGGCAGCACATGACTTAGGTCTCTAAGGTTGAGTGAATTTCCCGCCACGGGCCATACCATGCTCAGTGACTCAATCCAAAATTTTATTGTAACCAATATACCTTGCTTCATCAGGACAGAGGCCAAAATTGATTAGTTTTCTTTTTAAACCAATTTTTTTTTTTTTTTTTTTTTTTTTTAGAGACAGAATCTCACTATGTTGCCCAGGCTGGTTTCAAACTCCTGGCCTCAAGTGCTTCTCCTGCCTTCCAAAGTGCTGGAATTATAGACATGAGCCACCACACCTGGCCAAAACATTTTTATTTTTATTTTAGAGCTGGATCCTCACTCTGTGAGACCAGGCTGGAGTACAGTGGTGTTATCGTAGCTCAGCTGCACCTTCGAACTCCTGGGCTCAAGCAGTCCTCCTTCCTCAGCCTCCTACATAGCTAGGACTACAAGTCTGCACCACCATGCCTTGCTAACTTTTAAAAAATCTTTCGTAGAGGGGGTTCTTGCTATGTTGCTCAGGCTGGTCTAGAACTCCTGGCCTCAAGCAATCCTCCCACTTGAGCTGTGGGATTATAGGCATGAACCACAGTGCCTGGTTAGTGTTCTTTTAATACTCAGGTAATGAATCCAAATCCATCCTGTGACGTGCACAAAACTGATTTTGTTATCGTTCACTGGATTCCCAGTAATTTCTAAAACTCAGCAGTGGGGACAGTTGGTCCACAAAATCACATGAACATGGTCAGTTGCCTCAGCACCATCCTCACTCAGTCTCTCAGGACCCTACACCATCTACCTGCGGGGAAAGTGGATTTGCACCCACCCACCCTCCATCCATGCCCAGCTACTTACACAGCTCCACTTTAAGCCCATGGACCCTAAAGCCGCTGCCAGAGCCCAGCTTCCAATGGGTTTTTTTAATTGAAGTAGAAGTGCCTGCTAAGAGACCTCCCAAAGATCCCCTGCCTTCAGCCCAGACAAGTCTTCTTCTCATTGACAACAACACTCGTTCTGTGGGCTGTAGTGGCTTTATTTGCATAGCCTCATTTCCTCTGTTCTAATGCACCAATTGTGGGAATGCATACTGCAAATTTAGTAGTAGAATTTTGTGGAGGAAAAAAATCTATCATATTGAATATATATGTTGATTTTTTATGATATCAAATTTATTGAGGTGTTTATATGTAGTTTATATATAGTTTATAAACTATAAAATGCACCCATTCTAACTGTACATTTCAATTAGTTTGGTTAGTTTATACCCCTGTATAGCCATGACCACAATTAAGACATGGAACATTTCTGTTACCCCAGAAAGTTCCCTTGTGTCTCATTCCAGATAATTCCCTCCACCCCTGTCCCTGGGAAACTCCTGATCTGCTTTCTGTCATTTAGATTGAATTTGTGTTTTCTAGAGTTTTCTATATGGAATGCCATAATATGTCTGCTTTTGTGTCTAGATTCTTTCGCTCAGCATAAGGTTTGAGATTCATCTGCAGGGTCAAATAGAAGGTATCAAGCATGACCATAGTTCATTCCTTTTCATTGCTGAATAGTATTCCTGTCTCTTTGTTTTGATATGTTGCTTTTCTTTTGCATTTTCCAACTTTATTAAAGAATAATTAACATATACTAAATTGCATATAAAATGTGTACAATCTAACCAGTTTTAACATATGCGTATATCCATGATGTGCACACAGACTTTTATGAATCAGAACTATAACAAAACAGTGCAGCTTAGATCATTGAAATATTAGGTTGAATAACTCTTTTATTCAAGTCCTTTCCAGAACTCTGGGTTAGTATTTGCCTTGCATTTGGCAAACCAAAGAATCATTGATTATTTTCCTCCAAAACACATCTGCTCTAAGGAGACTTGCTACCTCTGAGGAAGAACATTTTAGTCTCTCTGCTGCAAAACAAACAAACAAAAAACCTAAAACAAAAAGCAATGCTTATAGTGCATCTCACTACATTTGATATTTCTATGAAAGGACTCTGAACTGCAGTGACATGAACGTAACCCAAACTGGCTCAAGAAGAAAAAAGCAGGGAGACGGGCAGGATTTATTGACTAACATAGATGAAAGCGTGAGGGCTTCAGGCATAGCTGTATCCAGGAGCTAAAACATCATCAGGACTCCGTCTCTCTTCCTCTTTTTCCCTCTCTCTAGAGGCTGCTTTCCTCCCTGTTAGCTTCATTTTCTCCATGTGGTGGACTGTGGCAGAAGCCACTTTGGATGTTTACCTTGGGGGAAATTGAATGCAGGGAATTGGTTACAGAGATGATGGAGCTGCTGAGAAGACAGCATGGCCATGTTGAATAACCCAGGGATTAGTGATAGGAGGAAGGCACTGCCTCCTTTATATCAGAGAGACAAAGAGGGAAGGATGGTGTAACTGGAACCCAGGGGTTTGGGGATACCTGAGAGAAGCTGGAGCCAGAGTAGGGCAGCCTGGTGGGGCACTGGAGCCGCAGAGGAACTGCAGCTGCTGCCGGAGATGCCTCCCAAGGCCAGCAGGGAGAGGGAGGAATAGCCCCGCTTCTCTCTACTTTCACCCTCAGCCTCCCCCAGTGCCTTTCTTGGCCCAACCCAGCTGGAAGCCAGATGGCAAGAATGCCCAGGAAATGCAGGCTGCAGGGGTTAGCCCCAGGGATACCAACAAGACAGAGGAAGAGGAAGGAAGTGGGAGACACAGTCTGAGGGCAGGAGACCCACCCCAGCACAATCCCCTTGGAAAGTGAGCTTGTGAATGGTTCCAACAGAAGTCTGGGAACAGAGTCTGATGTGTACAGGTGTGGTTATCAGGCCCCCTCCAGAGGTAGGAGGCTGGCAGAGGATGGGGAACCAGCAACACAGACACCAAGCAGAGCCGGAGAGACCCAAAGCAAAGTCAAAGTGCTCTTCCCTGACATGGATGTGGGGCTGACAAACACCGGTGTCCACCACATGCTGCTCCAGTTGGACACGTGCTAGAGGCCACACAATTGCAAATGGCCCAGCTCAGGCTGTTTCCACAGAGGAGAACTTCAAGTTTGCTGTGATGCCAAACCATGGCCAAGGTCAAGACCTTACTGATACATTTCTGGTCCCTGGGAAAGCAAGAAGGGGAAGAAAACGATGAAGCAGCACTATTTCTGCCCCTTCCAATGAGGCGCCCTGATTCCCAAGCCTGGAGTTTGCAGCATGAGGCCCAGGGCCCAGGTGGGAAGAGTGGCTTAACATCCAGGCCCCGGGAAATGCAAAAAGCAAATGACTCACTGGTCTTCAATAGCACATTACCTTCTAAAGGAGACACTTTGCAACCCAAATATCGAGGCCAGAGGATTTCCTACGAGTCTTTTATGATCTCTAAAAATTTCAAGAGAGAGAATTGGTGAGCAACTGGGCTCTGTCACTGTCGGGCTCGCTGATTGAACGTGCCTTTAATGGAGTCTCCGGCAGCCATAAAAATGTATGAAAACAGCCTTCTGGCCACAAGCAAGCCTGATAGATGGGGCAGTGACACTCAGGAAAAGCCAGATGGCCTGGGCTTGTCCTCATGCCTGTTGAAGAGGATACATCTTGGTCTCTTAAGATAGAACTTGTGTTTGGAGACACATTAGGCATTCGACATACAATTTCTCCACAGGGGAAGATACATACACACACACACACACACACACACACACACACACACACACACACACATATGCACACACAATCAAAACATTGCATGAGGATAGCTTTACATGACAGTGTACCCCAGTAGTTAAAGGCTTGGGCACCGTAGTGAGTTAAATAGTGTTCCTCTCCCAAAAAAATTTCTGTCCACCCAGGACCACAGAATGTGACCTTATTTGGAAATAGAGTCTCTGTAGATGTCATTTTCCATACCATTTTAAAGTCTGTTTGTTCCACTACACACTGAGGATATTAATAATGATACCCACAGACAAAATGAGCAGAGGATAAAGAGCATGTATGATCATCTAATAAATGCACAAGCTATGTGTCGACTGTTGTTACTACGTATGAGAAAAAAGAGAAAGAGGGAAGGAAGGAGGGAGGAAAAAGGGGAGGAAGGAAGGAAGCTATTAAAAGCTGGCTAATTCACATCATAACCCTGAAATAATAGAAGAGCATCCTAAAAGAGATCTCGCTTAGCAGACAAGTTGCCTTCCTTCTCCATAACCCTCTAATTATAGCACTTCAGAGCCCTCTTAACTTAAATCTCCTAGAGAAGGGTGCACATGCTCATGACATTCTTTCCTGCCTTCTGCTGTGATGAAGCTGCACCGCTAGCTTAGCCCTAGACACCCCCTGTCCCAGTCAGATGGTCACCTGATGGTGCAAGCCGGCCAGAAAGTTCAGGAGTCCAATTCAACACTCAGATATGAAAATGCACAGAACCCCTTTATTCCTGACATGGGCATATGGTACAAATCATTTGGCATGCACTAAATCATTAGAATACTCGTTTATTTTGGAACGTATATGAAGTGAGCAGAATAAGGCATGTACTGTTTTCAAGAGAACTCATTTCCTCTGCTGGGGGCAAAAGACCGCTCTTGGCAAGGTATTCTTTGAAAGTAAATTATCTTCAGAGGAAAGCACGTGCTGTTCTAAAGGAGAACGTAGCTCCCTACAGATTCTCAAGTTCAAGGGGTGTCTGTGTAGGTGCATGCACACATATATGTATTACATGCAACAACAATTAATATATGTATTACATGCAACAATTAATGGTTGGAAAACCATTAATCATATTTATTTAAAATTGAAAAGACATATATATTCAAAATAACAGTTTTAATAAGTTCGAAAGTTTTGCTCACACATAAATAAGAGAAATCCAGAGACAGATAGTTTAGTGATAGTATGGTGGCTCCATGGTGTCATCAGATATGCAGGCTCATGTCTTTATGCTTTGTTAAACTCAAAGTGAGTGTCTTCCTTCTTTAGAGTAACCCTCTGGCCCAAGATGGCTGCTGGAGCCTCAGCTACTACATGTGGATTCCAGGCCAGAAGTAGAGGGAGGGGAAAACAAAGGAGTATACCTTCCGGGGATATCAGCTTTTTTGTATCATCTTCCTGAGGTCCTGTGCATTTCCATAGTCACATATATGCCCCTAACCGTAAGTAAAACTTGAATGTTCTCTTTTTATTGGATGCCTTTCTATCTCAAATAAAATTAAGATTCTGTTACTCAGGAAGCTCGTGGCCTCTGCCGTGACATGAAAAACTAAAAGTAAACTTGACCAAGTCATTTGTGTATGGGATAAGGTCTAGAACAGAGATTGGCTATCATTTGGAGGACAAAATTAATCACATTTCTTTGCCTCTATTTGTAAACTGATTAGACATATTCAAGAGTTTCAATGCAAATTTGAAAACAATTACACATCTAGAGAAATACATGCCTTTGTGGACTTTACCTTATAATAGACTTCCTCAACTTTTGAAATAATGCTCTAATTACACCCCTATTTATTGATATTTATTTACTGGAGGGCAATGGAAGACAAGAACACCATTTCTGTTAAAATCATCTCATTGGTGCCACACCTGTCCCTAGACAGTTTGCATGAAATAGATATAAAGCCATTGAGTCAGTGACAACCAGAAGTACTGGGAATCTTTCACAAAGAATTCAGGAATGGGACCCCCTAATCTTTTCCTGCAGATATAAAGCTATTGAGTCAGTGACAACCAGAAGCACTGGGAATCTTTCATAAGGAATTCGGGAATGGGCCCCCCTAATCTTTTCTTGCTGCTTCTGTGAGGACACAAGTCAGATTTATTAAAGCCAATAGAAAGCAGACCTGTGCATCCTTCTAGAGCAGAGAATAGTTTTGCATTTCACAAAATACTCCACCAAGACAGGATTCCAGAGGCAAGTTCATTTGGAATACACTTAGTTCAGATAACACAGTTTCTTGGTATTTTTCATGTTTTGACTGCAGGTCTTCTCAGGCCTTAAATGTTTGGGCGTGTTGTGAATCTCCAAGACTGAGCCACAAGATGCAGCATTTTCCTAATGACCTCAGGCCCTTTTTGAATGGGCACTTTTGGGAATCAGCGTTCTGCAAAGCATACCTTGGGAAGCCACAGAGAGCTTTTCCCTGAAGCAGGGTTTCTCAACCTGTACGTTGTTGGCATTTGGGGCAGGATAATTCTTAGTTGTGGGCGGCTGTCCTGTGCATTGGAGGGTATTTACCAGCATCCCTGGCCTCTGCTCACCAGATGCCAATAGCAATTCCTCCCCCACCCTGTTGTGACAACCAAAAGTGTCCCCAGGTATTGCCAAATGTTCCCTGCTGGCAAAATGGCCCTCAGATGAGAACCTTTACTCTAGGGAAATTTCTAGAATCAAGAAAATACATTGCAATGATAGGAGAGACCACTCTCTCAGGTATGAATATTCAGCTGACTGTTAGAGTCCTTGGCAATAAGATTGTTATTTTTTAAAAGAGACAGTATTACTGGTGAAGATTCATTTCAAAAATGGAAATGAAAATAAAAGTTGCTGTTTCTATGATAACTAAGTCAAAAACTTATGGAAATTTATGGAACAAGTGCGTAAATTAAACTTGCTTTAAAAATGTGGAGTCCGGATGCGGTGGCTCACGCCTGTAATCCCAGCATTTTGGGAGGCCAAGGTGGGCAGATCACCTGAGGTCAGGAGTTTGAGACCAGCCTGGCCAACATGGTGAAATCTCACCCCTACTAAAAATACAAAAATCATCCAGGTATGGTGGTGGGTGCCTGTAATCCCAGCTACTTGGGAGGCTGAGGCACAAGAATCACTTGAACTGGGGAGGTAGAGTTTGCAGTGAGACGAGATCACGCCACTGCACTCCAGCCTGGGTGACAGAGTAAGACTCTGTCTCAAAAAGAAAACAAAAAAATAAAACAAAAAACAAAAAACAAACAAAGAAATGCTGTGGAGTTAGGTATAGACAAGGTACTGTGTTCTTTAAACAAAATTTAAACAAAATTTAATACCCCCCTCCACCCCCACCAAATTCCACTTTTTACAGTGTTTCAGGAAAACATCTATTGTTGAAAGTCAAACGTGGCATTTTTTGATGCTCTTAAAAATACAGTAGGCATCATCCTACCAATGTCATTCACTAAAATTCTCCTGGTCCAGTCAGGTAAGTGTTAAACTGCAAAAACCCTTCTAGGAGGTGCCACCCCCAGAGTATTTCAGTGGACCTCAGAAAAATCTGAGCCTGGAATATCTTATTGCCCCAGAAAGTAAGGAAGTGCTCAAAGACTGATGGACACATGTCCAAAGAACCAACAGCCAGGCTGATGGGGCTCCTACTGCCCAAATATGGGATACCTTGAACATTAATATAGATAGCAAGCGAGTATAACGCATTGAACAAACTAACGCTTCATGAATTTATGGAAATAAAGAAAGGGAGGGAGGGAGAGAAGAAGGAAGTTGGGGAGAAGGGGAGGAAGGGAGAGAGAGAGGAAAAGTGAAAGCTCTTCCTTACAGTAAAAAGCCAACAGTACAGTTAAAGGTACGATGACATTAGAAAATCACCATTTGACCCATCATAATAATAAATAATTCTGTCAAGAATCATGAGCAAATACTAAAACCAGTGGGTAAAAGTTTGAGGAGTAACAGGATATTTACATGGCCCCAAACTATCTTCTCATAATATAATTGATTGACCAGGGTAAGAAGGAACTTTACAGTGCACAAACCTAACCTCTCAGTCACAGGACAGACCAACATCAAGGGCGGCTTGATAGGACAGACTAGGAAGGCCACACTCTGCACCGTGGTGTTCCTTCCAGAAGTGCAGAAACTGAGTCCATTCATGAGGAGACATCAGACAAACCCAAACTGAGGAATACTGTATGAAATAGCTGGCTTATACACTTCAAAAATATCCAAATTGAGGAATACTTTATGAAATAGCTGGCTTATACACTTCAAAAATATCAGTGTCACAAAACACAAGGAAAGTCAGAGAAACTGTTCCAGATGAAAGAAGATCAAGGAGACATGAGAACCAAAGGCAACACATGATTGGGAGTTTCTGTTATTATAAAAGGACAGTATTGAGATAAGTGAAAAAATCTGAATGAGGTCCGTGGATTAAATAGTAGTATTGCATCAGTGTTAATTGCCTGATGATGATCATTGTACGACTGTGATTATGTTAAGAGAATGTCTTTGTTTTTAGAAAACACCTACTAAAGTAAAGGTATATGTTTGCTATTACTCTCAAAGGTTTGGGAGAGAGGGAAAATATACATGCATGTGTGTGTGTGCATGTGTATTATTACATATAATTAATATATTTAGGGGGAGAGAGAATGAGAGAGGGGATGGGAGTGTCCTGGAGAAAGCAGCTGTGATAAAAATGTTACCACTTACAAAGTTGCAAAGTCTGGTGAAAAGTATAAGGGGGCTCTTTGTACTTTTCTTGCAATTTTCCTTTAAGTCTGAAATGATGTCAATATTAAAGGACTAAAAAGAAAAAGCTCTCTTATCCAGGATCCCTTCCCCCCCACGAATTATCCTTTCTGCTTCATTCCCCCTTTTCCTCCCACCACACCAAAAGTCTTCCAAATCTCCTTCCTCTCTCAAGGGGGTTCTGAGCAATTACCCACCAGCCTTGGTCTCAGTGGCTTATTACAAGTGGATTCCCAGACGCCACCCCCAGAAACTCTGGCTTGGGGCATCTAGAGCCAGTGGTTTTCTACAGATGCCTGAATCTGGACACCCAGGGGTTCTGATTACATTGGCTCATAGTGCACTCTGCGCCTCAGAATGTTAGTTCCCCAGGTGATTGTAGTGGGTAGCCAAGGGTGAACATTCACAGGAATCATCTGAGTATCTTGTTAAAAAACAAATTCTGATTCACTAGGTCTAGGGAAGTGGGAACCTGAGATTCTGCATCTCTGATCATCTCTCTGCGTGGATGATGTGCAGTCCAAACCTTTTAACAGCAACAGTGTCATCGAGAGCAGATTCCAAGTGTTCTTTGCCAACAGACCTTCACCATCTCAAGTTCTGAAAACTTCAAGGGGGCAGACACAGCATCTGTTTTATTCTCTGCTGAATAACCAGCACTCGGTGCTCCATAAATAGTTGTTGAACGCGTGCGTGAATGAGTGAGTGAAAGGCTCCTAGTACCATGCTAATCTCCACTAGTACCTCCCGGCCGCTTAATATTTAAAAATGGTCATGTTTTGCATTAGAATCACTCCCATCAGATTTCAAACAAAAATCAATGGCTTTTGAAACTGAAAACCACTTTGGGGTGAGAAGAGTTGGCAAGATCCCACTCCCCTTCAGGAATGGCCTGGTGCAGGTGCAGATGACTAAAGCGGCCTCTGAGTCAGCTGCTACCCTTCTTCTGCACTTCTCAAATCATTTTCGTATTAGCATATCTCTAAGTGCATATAATTTTCACATCAAAGAGTGTAATTTTTTGCAGAAGTGGAGTAGAGAATAATTTATCCACTGAAGTATCTCAAGCAGCAGTCTTGATAGCATGACATAAAAATTACACAGAAGACAGACATTTAGAAAAATTTGGTGGCAGAATTTGTATTATTTAAGTAGATGTGGAGAAAATTCACCCATCGAAACTGAAAAAATATACACTTTTGGAGTTAAAACAGATTCCTAGTTGAGGGAGGAGAGGGCAGTTTGAGCCGGTATCTCACTTCCTAGCTCACTGAACAGGGAGAGAACCCATGGTCTGGCTTGCCTTCCTGATGGAGTGGTTCCCTAGGACCACAGAATTCACCAGCCCTGCTTGTCCCCATACGCTGGAATTCCAGCTCCCCCGGGTGCAGGAACCTCAGCTTCATCTGAGGGAACCATCCATTTTGAGAAACAGTCTGACGAGGTGAAAGGCACATAAAGAGAACCCCGGCCCTGACTTCAACTCCTCAATGTCGCCTCCCTCGTGCAGCCAGCCTGGCTGGGCACATGCACCCTCTTTTTAATAAAACACATCTCTGCGGTCCCCTCCTTTTGTCCCAATTTCCATGTCTTTGGACACCAGTCTCTCCTCCTGGTCCCCTGTGCCTGAAATCCTCTCAGGGAAACCTGAGTAGACCCTGTACATGGAGCCCTTGGCTACACACACACACACACACACACACACACAGTGCACACACACCTAATACACACACACCCCTAATACATATATACACACATATATACACTTTATATTCAAGAGAAAGAGATGATGTTTGTATCCCCACCCCTAGAAAATGTATCAGGCAAATCTCATAGCTATTTTGGTCATTTTTAGGTATAAAACACTTTAATTCTGATGCATGCAAAAAGTCCAGTTGAGGACACTGCCATGCAGTCGGGAGGAATTGTCTTTTCAATGAATGCTAGTAGGTCTGTTTGGCTATTTCTAAGGGAAAAAAAATGTGTCTTACCCTTCCTTAATTCCAGATGGATGATAGTACTAAATACAAAAGGTAAAACAATAAAGCTCTTAGAAGAGAAAGTAGGAGAGCATCTTTGGGATCTTGGGTAGGCAAAGACTTCTTAAGCAGTATACAGATAGGGACTAACAATAAAAATGACAAGTAATGCTATTCATAATAGTCCCAACATTGAAACTACCCAAATGCCCATCAATGGCAGAAAAGTAAATAATTGTGGTATGTTCACACAACGGAATTTGATACAGAGGTGAGAATGATTATAATTGCACACACACACAAACAACAGGTAATCTCATAAATATCAAGTTATGTGAAAGAAGCAAAACACAAGAGGGAATACCAGCCAGGCACGGTGGCTCATGCCTGTAACCCAGCACTTTGGGAGGCCAAGGCGGATGAATCACTTGAGGTCAGGAGTTCAAGACCAGGCCAACATGGCGAAATCCCATCTCTACGAAAGCACAAAAATTAGCTGAGCATAGTGGCAAGCACCTATAATTCCAGCTACTCGGGAGGCTGAGGCAGGAGCATCGCTTGAACTCAGGGGATGGAGGTTGCAGTGAGACGAGATCATGCCACTGCACTCCAGCCCTGGCAACAGAGTGATTGAGACTCCATCTCAAAACAAAACAAAAGAGGAAATATTGTATGAACCTATTTATGTGAAGTATAAATCAAGCACAACAAGTCTGTGCTATTGTGTTTGGAGACCGTGGTTACTCTTGGGTACTACTGGGTTGATGTGGAGGTAAAAGGGCTTCTCAGAGGCTAGGGTGTCCTGTGTGTCCCTTGGAGTGCTGAGTACACAGATGTGGTCATTTTATGAAAATCCCCCAGTTTGTATACTTCGAATATATGTGAGTTTCTGCATATCTATTAGACTTCAATAAAAAGCTTTCTTAACTAGTATCCAAGTTAAATGAAGATTGACATTTGGCACAATGCTTCTGTCGCTTTTGAATAGGTGCTTTGTTAACGTTTTTATTACTTAACAGAAAAAAAGTGCATGTACATGGTTCAGACACAAAGATTTCAACAGCACAAAAAGTGTACAATGAAACATAAGCCCTTCCTCCACCCCAGACCTACAGTCCCCTTCTTCAGAAGAGCAACTGAAATATTTCTTGTGTATCCTTCCAGAAATTGTATATGCATGTATAGTTACGTGTGTGAATCTGTATTAAGCTACATATGTTTTTTATACAAATAAGAATAAGCACTCTTCACTACACCTTTCTTTCCCCCTTAAAAATATCTTGAAGATAGGTCCATATTATTAATCTCACTATATGAGATTTATAAAAAGAGGTGAGTCTTTATGTATTAGTAAATATGTATTAATATTATCTATTAAATGTGTATGGATTAATAAATACATAAAGACTCACCTCTTTTTGTAAATATCATACAGTGTTTTGTTGTAGAGATCGTATATTCCAGGGTGTGTTAGTCTATTCTTGCACTGCTATAAAGAACTACCTGAGACTGGGTAATTTATAAAGAAAAGAGGTTTAATTGGCTCACAGTTCCACAGGCTATACGCTGGGGAGGCCTCAGGAATCTTTCAATCATGGTGGAAGGGGAAGGGGAAGCAGGCACGTCTTACATGGCTGTAGCAGGAGGAAGAGAGGGAGGGAGGTGCTACATACTTTTAAACAACCGGATTTCTTACTATCATAAGAACAGCAAGGGGCAAGTCCATTCCCATGACCCTACCACCCCCAACTAGGCCCCTCCTCCAACACTGGGGATTACAATTCAACATGAGATAGATTTGGGTGGGGACACACATCCAAACCATATCACTGGGGTTGGCAAATTATGAGCAACATGCCGAATTTGGCCTGCAGCCTGTTTTTGTAAATAAAGTTTTATTGGAACATGGCCATGCCCATTCATTTACATATGGCCTATTGCTGCCTTCTTGCTACTGCAGCAGAGTTGGGCTGCAACAGAAACTGTATGCCTTCATTTCTAATGGCTGCCGTAACACATTGTCACAAACTTAGTGGCTAAAAACAATGCATAATTATCTTATTTCCGGGGGTCAGAGCCAAAATGGGTCTCGCTGGGTTTAAAGGAAGGTATTAGAGGCTGCAAGCCTTTTTGGAGGCTTTTGGGGAGAATCTGTCTTGGCTGCCCGTGTTCCAAGGCTTGTGGCCTCCTTCTGTCTTTCAAGCCAGTGATGGCTAGTCAGGCCTTCCCCACATCACATCGCTCTGCCCTGGAATTTCCTGCTTCACTCTTTCATGTTTAAGGACCCTCATGACTAACTTGGAGCCACTCCAACCATGGAAAATAAAACTTCCTATTTTAAGGCCGGTTGATTAACAAGCTTAGTTTCCTCTGCTACCTTCATTCCCTTTTATCGTGTAACGGACATATTCACAGGTTTTGGGGATTAGGACGTGGACCTCTTTGGAGGAGGCATTATTCTGCCTATCACATATATCACCAGCAAAACCTACAATATTTGCTTTTTGGTCTTTTCCAGAAAAAGTTTGCAGACCTCTGCTCTACGCTGTCCCTAACCAGTAGCTGCAATTAGCTAAATTCTAGCCACCAGCTGCTCTGCTCTCGGCATGGTAATCTACAGCCTCTTGGTCAGTGAGGACTTCATTCTTGGCTCATGTCTCTTCTCACCACTCCCTCTCTACCAGATGTCCTGCTATAGTTCTTGATGACTTCAGTATCTATGTAGATGGTTCTTTCAATATTCTGGCCTCTCCTTTCCCAGGCTATCTCATCTCTAATGATCACAGCCTCCACTCCCCTCAACCACCCACGCCTCTACTCCCCTCAACCACCCATTCCCAGGGCATTAGGCCCCGGACCTCGTCAATATCACTCAGTGCATCTGTACGTCATCTAACTTTCAAACGTCTCCTTCTCCCACAATCACTTCCTGTTTTCCCAACTCACTCCTCTAATATGCAACAGCCATAATCTTTCAGCTCCTCTGGGATCTGCCATCCCTGTAGCACCTTTTCCCTGTGCCCTTCCCCATGTCCCCACTTCCCTCCTTACCCAGCTCAACTATAATCCCTCCCCTGCACTCTCCACGCCCTCTTCCCGTCTTTCGCCATTATCTTTGCTGGTGAATGTCCAAACCTCATGAAATCCAATTCTCCACTCCCTATTTGCTGGAGCCACTGAAGCAACCTGGAAAAAAAAAAAAAAACAACCTTGTACAGCCTCAAAACCACAAGCCTCAGTGTGCCTCCAGGACTGCGGAACCATTTTCCATCCACTTTCTCTTCCTCCTCAAAAACCTCCCACCCCCACAACCCTGTCATAATTCTTGCCTTTATTTTTACTTTGAAAACAGAAGCAACCAAAAAATGCATTCAGAAGCTCCCATTGTCCAATGGTTGCCAGATAAAATCCAGGGTAGCAAGTTAAATTTTCACTTCAGATAAATAGTGAATTATTGTTTAGCATAAGTACATCCCATGTAATGCTCTACAAATTATTTGTTATTTGTCTGAAATTCAAATTTTGCTGAGCGTCTTGTATTTTTATTTACTAAATCTGGAACCCTACTGCCCAGCTCTAACCAACCTACCTGAATCTGTCCCCAAGACTGTGTTCCTAACCTAACCTCACCCTTGGTGATGGCCCCAAGGACTCTCGTAGTTGTTCTCTCTCGTATGTCTTCAAGTTTTCCTTCTAAATGTAGCACCGCGTCAGAACACAAGTGTAGCCTCAATATCTTTATCTTTAAAGTAAACTTTCTTGACCCTCTGCACCCTTTCCAGTGATCACTCCATCTCACTGATGGCTTCTAAGAGAGCAAAGCTCTTATAAGGCGTCATCTACATCTACCATCTCCCCGCCTTTCCTCCTCCCATTTCTTTCCAGAAAGGCTTTGTTGCCTCCACTCACCAAAACTGCTCTTAACAAGGGGCAGTGATTGTCATACGGCTAAATCCAGTATCAATACTCAGTTCTCATCTTACTCAAGCTATCAGCAGCTCTCATCCCAGTGGAATGCTCACCTTATTAAATCAATAGGCTTTATTTTTTAGGGCAGTTTTAGCCTTGCAGTAAATTGAGTGGAAAGTAATGCAGAAAACTCCTTCCTATACAGCCCTCATCCTCCCTCAATATGCACAGCTTTCCCCACGACCAACATCACACACCAGAGCAGTACATTGACTACAGCCAATGAAACTATGTTGACACATCATTATCCCCCAAAGTCTATAGTTCACATTAGGCTTTATTTTTATTGTTGTGTATTCTATGGGTTTGGGCATCTGTGTAATGACAGCTGTTTACCATGGTAGTCTCATACATGTTCACTCATTCTTGAAACAATTTCTTCACATGGCCTCTGGAGTACATGCGGGTGTCTCTCTCTCTCCTACCTCCCTGGCCACTCCTCCTCAGCTTCCTTTATGGGACCCTCTTTGGCCTCCTGACTGCAGTGCCAGTCCTCACACATCTCATTTTTATCCTCACTCATGCTCTTGGAGATAGATGACCTCATTGCTTTAAATTCCAACTATATTCTGATAATCCCCAAATTTCTATTTCTAACCCTGGCCTTTCTTCTAAACTCTAAACTTAGATATCCAAGTGGAGATGTTGTGTCATTATTTAGAGCTTGGTATATAATAGGCATTTCAGAATTAACATGTACAAAAATGAGCAGCCAATTCTATCACCACTCCAGCTTGTTCCTCTCATAATCTTTCCCCTTTAAGCAAATGTCACCTCCATTCTGTCAAGCATTGTGAAGGGTCTGAGATTTTTACCTTACTTGCATACTAACCAGTTAGCCTCCCACAGTTTCATAGATGCTAGTAAAACACAAAATTCCTGGGCCAGAGACAAAGGACCTTATTATTCACAGACATAGTGGTTTCCAGGGCTTCATCTTATTATTATACCATTTCCACAATCCCCAATTCCCATAGGGTAATGTGAAGGAGGCCAAGTGTTACTTGCAGATTCAGTGGGTAGCATTACAGGACAGAGGCCCTGCCTTCGAGAACCCAAATATTTTCTAATTCATAGTCAGCAAGACTGTCCTTTAATTTGAGGGTGTCTCTGTCCATTTTCTGCTGCTATAACAGAATGCCATAGACTGGGTAATTTATAAAAACAGAAGTTCTGGATGCTGGGAAGTCCAAGAGCATGGCACCAGCATCCGGTGAGGGTCATTCCAGGTGGAAGTACAGAAGGTGGAAGCAGGCAGATGAGACAGACAGAGACAATCTGGCCAAACTCATTCTTTTTATCAGGAACTCACTCCTGTGATAACCAACACGTTCCCACATTATCAGCTTTAGTCAACTCATGAGCGAGCTGTCCTCATGACCTAATTAGCTCTTAAAGGCTCCACTTCCCAATACTGTTACACTGGGGATGAAGTCTCAACACATAAAGTGTTGGAGACACATTCAAACCATAAGAGAGAGAGACATTCTTTATCTTCCAAAGCTGTTCCCTATACAAACATCATTTAAAAGATTGTCTGAAACAAAGGCCTTCCGTGCCTCTGCTTACCAGATGTGTGGAAACCTGAGAGTCCCGGGAGAACTGTCTCCTAACATATTCAGTCTTCCCATTGCCTGGGCCAAAACTTCCCAATTCAATCTTGGCTGCTTTCTGTTTCCCACCCCAGCAGCAAATTCTGCTGCCTCCTCACCACCATCCATTCCACTCTACTTCATGCCTCCATCAGCTTTCTCCTAGATGATTGGCCAACGGCAATGATTGCTGCTTCTCTCTCACAAGCCTTCAGTCTTCCCTCAATACAGCCATCAGAGCAATCCTCTTACACTCCAAGTCGAAGCCTGTCCCTCCTCTGCTCAATACCTCCAGTGGCTGCCATCTCACTGAGGATAAAGCCAAAGTCCTTCCCTTCCAGGCTTATGACCACACTTCCCCAGCCCTCCCACTCTCTGATCTTATTTTCCTTCCATTCCTTCTCACTCACTCCTCACTCACTTCCAACCGCAGACCCATACTTTTTAAAAAATTGTTTATTTTGAGACAGGGTCTGGCTCTGTCACCCAGACTGTAGTGCAGTGGCATGATCTCGGCTCACTGCAACCTCCACCTCCTGGGCTCAAGCGAGGTCCCTCCGGCCTCCTTGCTGTTCCTGGAGCTCATTCCCAGCCCATGGCCTTTGCATTCGCTACTCCCTGTCCCTGTAACAGCCTCCTCCCCAGCATTTGCCTGGCTCACTCCCTCAACTCTGTCAGAGTCGTTACTCAAATGTCACCTGACTGGAGGAGCCTCTGGATTTGGTTTGGGTTCTCCCAAAAGCGGACCTACAGACAAGGGCCTGTCTGTTAGCTTATCTGGGAGGTGGCCCAGGCTGCAAAATCAGGAGGTGCCGGAAGTGAGATGGGGGAGGGATAAAAACTCATAATGTTTATGGAAAAATGGGGGCCACTGGGCCTAATCCCACTGGGAACCCTCTGAGAGACCATTTAGAACATACTTCAAAATCAACTCCACAGAGAATGGGAGAAGCTGAGAAGCTGAGAAGCTGGGCCATTCATTCACTGAGTCGCTCCCTGTATTTGTTTGCTAGGGCTGCCATTTAAAAAAATACCACAGACTGGGTGGTTTAAACAACAGAAATGTATTTCCTCACAGTTCTGGAGGCTGGAAGTCAAAGATTAAGGTGTAAGTGGGGTTGGTTTCTTCTGAGGCCTCCCTCCCTGGCTTGCGGATGGCTGTCTTCTCACTGTCTTCTCTCTGTGTCCTCATGTGCCCTTTGCTCTGTGCACAGGCATCCTGGTGTCTCTTCCTTCTCTTATGAAGACACCAGTTGTACTAATTAGGGCCCCACCCTCCTAGCCTCATTTTAACTTAATCACCTCTCAAAAGCTCCTGTCTCCAAATACAGTGACATTCTGAGGTACTGGGGGTTAGGGCTTCAACATACGAAATTGGGGAGGACACAGTTCCACCCATAACACTCCGTCATTGCTTGGTTGTCGCTATTATACCTGCTCATGCAGGGCAAGTTTCATGACAAGGAAGAAAGCCCTTGTACATCAGATTAGAGTGATGCCGGAGCCAGGGATGGGGGAGCTGCCAGCAGGGCCAGAATGACCCCCATAAGGAGTCAAGAGTGGGCAGAGGGGAAATGAGAAGTGAGTCCGCAATGTCGTCCATGTTTCCCTGACCACTCTGTCTAACAGAGCACCTCTCTGTTACTCTCTGGTTCTTCACCTTGCTTTATTTTTCTCCTTTTCTCTTATGACCACTTGATATATTCTATGATGATATTTTTATTGAGATCAAATTTGCATACCATAAAATTCACCCATTTAAAGTGTGCCATTTAGTAGTATATTCACAAAGTTAGACAACCATCACTGCTATCTAATTCCAGGGCCCTTTGATCACCCCAAAGAGGAAGGCTGCACCCATGCCCAGTCACTAACATATTATATTTTACTTTATTTGCTTAGCGACTATGACCCTTGCCACCAGAACATTCTTCTTAAGTGCCAAGACTTTGCCTGACTTGCTCACTGTTCTGTCTCCACTCCCTAAAAAAGGGCCAGGTATATGGCAGTAACTCAAATAAGTATCTCTTGATTTAACATATGAACCAGAAGCCACCTCCCTGAAACTGACTCTAAATTTTGAGACAAGGGAAAAGACCAGGAATCGCAGGTAACTGGTTCATTTCACCTCAAATGAATCTTGTCCTAACAATGCAGCCGGATGCTCAGGGGCTGGTATTCAGGCTCCAGCCTAGAATGGAATGGGGCACCTTTTGAGGGTGCTGGCTCCATAAACTGGGCTAATTTAAAATGTATGGGACTAGGGCCAGGTGCGGTGGCTCACGCCTGTAATCCCAGCACTTTGGGAGGCAGAGGAGGGCAGATCACTTGAGGTCAGGAGTTTGAGACCAGCCTGGCCAACATGGCGAAACCACATCTCTACTAAAAATACAAAGATTAGCTAAGCATGGTGGCTTACACCTGTAATCCCAGCTACTCGAGAGGCTGAGGCAGGAGAATCGTTTGAGCTCAGAAGGTGGAGGTTGCAGTGACTGAGATTGTGCCACTGCACTTCAGCCTGGGTGACAGAGCCTGACCCTGTCTCAAAAAAAAAAAAAAAAAAGAAAGAAAATAAAATGTATGGATCTGTGGTTGGAAAGATTTCTTTTGATGTGTGTTACATCGACTGTGTCATAATTCTTTTCTTGTGTCTTAAATGTTAACACTTGTAAGCTTTAGAGTGAGTTGAAGAGGTAGTGGGTGTTCAGCTTGATACCAGAAAGTATAGCCTTCCATCTCAGCTTGCTCACTTCGGAGTGGTGTGACCTCAAAGCAAGTAACCTCTCTCAGCCTCAGTTTCCTCATCTGTAAAATGGGGCAGGGCGTGAGGAGAAGCCTAACTCATAGAACAGTTTTGAGGATCAAAAGAGCAAAAACACATAGTTCACCCTTGACACATACTAAGTGCTCCTCAACCATTAGCTGTGAGCTCTGAATGAGGTCATGTTCATAATGCCCAGGATATGTCACAAAATAAAGTACATGCAACAAATGACTTGAATGAATTGGTCTCCTCTCTGCTAGACATTCCAAATGATCACTGAATTCTGTGTCTCTGCTCAGGAAAGTGAAACCTTATAATAGTACCTTATCTTTCCAAAAAAAAAAAAAAAAAAAAAAAAAAAATATATATATATATATATATATATATATTCAGCTGGTAAAGATGTTAGCTATGTTTCTTACCTGTTAAGTGAGAGTAATTGATAAAATGAGTGACCATGAGGATTGGAGGAGACAATACATGCTCAGGACACTGTAGGGCTCAATAAATGATAGTTATGAATACCATCTTTATTCCAAGTCTATAGCTTCTTCTCTAAAACCCTGAGGCCCAGAAGCATTTAGGAAATCAGAACTTTCCAGATTTTAGAAAGGGGCATATACATATACTATGTGACTCCCCCAGTGGGATGAGGGCAGCAGTCAGTAATCAAATACATTGATACTTTTGCTGTGAGACATATGAATGGCCACAGAAGTGAACCATGTGGACTGACAAGCAGCATTGCATCAGCACACGTCAGGGTTAGCAGGCAATGATTGGAAGTCAGAACAGGTTTTAACACCAAACAAGTAATTTTATAAACTTTTTCAGTTTTCAGAACTTTTCAGACTTGCATAGAAGGAATGGTAGATTTGTACTTCCATTTTAGAGGCCAAAATATTTTGTTTTCTACTCTCCCCTAAGAGGCAAGGGAAACAAACATCTTTATTTCCCCAAGCATGACACGTTTATATATTTGCAAAGAGAAAAAAAAAATGATTACAATGTTCCAATAAGAATGATATATGCAAAAGAAGGGGGAAAAAAATCCAAACTTGAAACTAATTTCAGCAACAGCGATGGAGTTTTTTCAAAATTCTTTGCTCACAAATTCAAAAACAAAAACTGTCACACTGACGTGTCTTCCCAAATTTGGTTGAAACATCTCTCCTGGTTTTGGAGAGGTCTTCTCTTGAGCACCAGCCAAGAACACATTCTCATGGCCAAGTTAGAGACATAAAAATGCAAATGCAAACACAGAGAGGCCCTTCCAATAACAGCCTGAGCGTGACTCCGGTGGTCTAGACACCTTCTGAGCTACGTCATTAGCCCACTGAGTGAGGCCCCCTCCCTGGCGAGGCCAGTGTCTGTCAGACTCAGAAAACATTTCAATTGTGTGTAAATTCTACCCATTTTATTGAATAGTTCTCAGTCCCTTGTCAAAATAATTAATGTGCATCAAAAATAAAAACACACACAGTTTTTCCTCCACTGGGAGTTGAACATTCCCAGAGAGGAAAGCGCCTGAACTGCAGACGGCGACTGACACGCAGGGCATCTCTGCAATCCTGGGCAGATAACAGGTGTCTTGGAAGATGCTGTTCCTGCTTACAGTTCTGTGCAGCTGAATTCTGCAATATAAATTATTAAAGAATGTGCAGAACATTACACAGTTCATGTACTTAATGATTATAGTTCACAGTCTAGGTCAGATATAATTAGATGTTACATTAAAATAGCTTCGCAGAGCCATTTATTCTGATTTAATTACTTAAAATGATAGCATAATGAGCAATGCTTTCAAGGAAAAAAGTACTCCTTTAAATGGGCTCATTTTAAGTTAATACAAAGAAAATTAATCATTTGAGTAAATGTAGGAGGACAAGTCCATGTCTTAAGTGACATTATTTCCATGTCACAAAAGTAACTTCCCCGTGACAACATGTTGCAAGTAATAGGAAAATAAATTTTTCCCCCCGTGAATATAGATTCCCATTTTCACCATTCTCTTCAAGTCTTATTCTCTTTTACTTAAGCCTTGGTGCAGGCAAAGATGACTTAAAACGCCAGCACTGTGACACACACATCCAAATGAGATCACCTCCAGGGATAGTAAGGAGGTACAAGGAATCCACACCAGTGAGACGGTGGCATTAGGAAATAGTAGTGAGAAGCAGCATCGTGGCACAGCAATTAAGAGAGCAGACCCTGGAATCTGACAGGAACAGGGTCAGATATCAGCTTTGTCCCTTTACCTGTGAGACTGTGGGCAAGTTGTCTAGCCTAGCGGTCCCCAATCTTTTTGGCACCAGGGACCAGTTTTGTGGAAGACAATTTTTCCAGGAACCGCAGAGGGTTGGAGATGGTTTGGGGATGACTCCAGTGCATTACATTTATTGTGCACTTTATTTCTGTTATTATTAAATTGTATAATGAAATAATTCTACAACTTGCTATAATGTAGAATCAGTGGGAGCCCTGAGCTTGTTTTCCTGCAACTAGGCGGTCCGATCTGGGGGTGATGGGAGACAGTGACAGATCATCAGACATTAGATTGTCATAAGGAAAACGCACCTAGATCCCCTCGCATGCACAGTTCACAATAGGGTTTGCGTTCCCATTAGAATCTAATACTGCTGCTGATCTGACAGAAGGCGGAGCTCAGGCAGTATGCGAGTGATGGGGAGCAGCTGCAAATACAGAGGAAGCTTTACTCACTCGCCCACCACTCACCTCCTGCTTTGTGGTCTGGTTCTATTCCAGTCCATTGGGTGGAGGCTGGGGACCCCTGGTTTAGCCTGTCTGGACCTCCATTTCCTCATCTTGAAGCTGGGGATAAAAAGCACCTACCTCAATGCGTGGTTTTGAAAATCAAATGAGATTCAGTGTACAAAGCATTCAGCACATGCCTAGCATGGAGTAGCTAAGAATAATTAATAGCTCTTGTTAGTGTAAATGGAGATAACCAAGATTTTGCTGGCTCCTGACCCCTTCCCTGCATGCACTCCTCAGAGTCTCTAGGCCCCCGTTGCATTTTTCCAGGAGAAATTATAAACGTCTTGAATGGAAAGAATGGGGCCTCCCCAGTGCAATTTCTTTCTTCTGTTTTTAATAACTATAAATGATAAGAGATCCTCATATGAAGTTTTGAGAGTAGTATCAGTTCACTCAAAGAAAATATTCTACAAGGTTTAAAAACATATGGCAATGTTTATCTGCTTTTTTTCTGTCCTGAGTCAGGCTTTGTAGTAAAAACATTTGATGCCGGGCTCAGGGGAATGAGAAAAAAATGTTAAATCAGGAACCTTCCTGTGAATACCTTCTTAAGACAGCTGTAATACTACCCAGGGGATGCTGTATTTATTTGGATCCTGGGACGCTTAGCAAAGGTGATGACAGAAAACACTGGCTTATGGATGCAGGGGGCTGTGGCAGCCAAAATAATGTGTCAAACTTGGCCTTGCACAAGCAAACCCCATCCAAGAGAGAGCTGACACAGTCTCCAAATGTATAACATTCTGGATGAGAAAACCAAAGCCACAGGGTTTGGAGAGCATGGGCTGTCATGGGAATTGCTTGTGTTCAAAATGAGTTTTGCCCCCACTGGGGACAGCACCACATGCTGTGCTGAGTTAAGGAGGAGAGTGATGTAAGAGGGCTATCTTAGTTAGGGTTCCTCCAGAAGCTGACCCTAAAGCAAAAATCCAGGCACAAGTAGTTTACTTGGGAGGTGTCATGGTCAGTTTTATGTGTCACCTTGGCTAGGCTATGGTCCCCAGTTGGTAAATTAAGAACTAATCTAGGTGTTGCTGGAAAGGTATTTTGCAGATGTGATTACCATCTACCATCAGTTGACTTAAAGTAAGGAAATTAGCGTCCATAAGCTCGGTGGGCCTGATCTAATCAGTTGAAAGGCAATAAAAGAAGAGTTTTGGGTTTCCCTGAGGAAGAAGAAATTCCACTTGTAGACTACAGTTCCAGCTTCTGCCCAAGAGTTGTTTCCTGCCTGCCCTGTCTGATGGCCTGACTTACAGATTTTTGGACCCACCTAGACAGCCTCTGTAATTGCATAAGCCAATTCCTTTCAATAAATCATACACACACACACACACACACACACACACACACACACACACACACACATATATGGAGCATTTTCATTTCTTTAATGAAATTTCTTTTTCTCTATTTTTTTAGCTATTTTCTTAGTGGGTTCTC
Organism: Homo sapiens; assembly: GCF_000001405.40. Taxonomy (NCBI): domain Eukaryota; kingdom Metazoa; phylum Chordata; class Mammalia; order Primates; family Hominidae; genus Homo; species Homo sapiens. The sequence goes on from NC_000003.12 coordinate 72,224,143, forward strand.
TAGGACTTACTATATACATCTTAACTTACCATAATTGGCTTTAGATTCATATTAACTTAATTCCAGTGAGATACAGGAAAGCTATTTATATGTACCTCTATTTACTTTTTCCCCTTTCTCGGTTATTATTTTTGTACACATTATAGCCATAAATGTTACAAGCCCAACAATGTATTGTTATAGTTATTACCTTTTATTACATTATGGCTTTTTTAAAAGGTGAGAAAGGGGATGAAGTATATATTTATAGCTTTTATTACATTAGCCTTCTTTCTTATCATTTCTGATTCCCTTCATTTGTCCCTGTGGATTTGAGTTATCATCTGTGATCCTTTCATTAGTCCAATGTAGTTTTGTTCTAACCCAAGCACCTTTAGTGCTGTTATTGGCAAATGTTTTACATTTTTGTAGGTTATGGACTCAACAGTACATCATATACATATCATCTTATGCAGTTGCTTTTTAAATCAGTTAAGAGAAGAAAGGAAAAGAAAGATGCATTTATATTGTCTTTTATAATTACATGATTATATTTGCTGGCGCTCTTTGTTTTTTGTTTGGATTCAAAGTATTATCTGGAGTTACATGCTTTCAGCTGAGGAATTTCCTTTAGTATATCTTATAAAGTGGGTTTGCTAGCAACAAATTCTCTCAATTTTTGTCTATCTGGAAATATCCTTATTTTGTCTTCATTTTTAAAAGATAGCATTGCTGGATAAAAAATTCTTGATTGACAGATTATTTTTCTTTGAGCCCTTTGAATTTGTTATCCCACTGCCTCTGATCCCCCATTGCTTCTGGTGGAAAGTCAGCTGTTAATCTTATTGGTGTTCTTTTGTAAGTGATGAATCATTTTTCTCTTCCTGCTTTCAAGATTTTCTCCTTGTCTTTGGTTTTCATCATTTTTACCATAATGTGTCTGGTTTTGGATCTCTTTGCATTTATCCTATTTGGAGTTAGCTGAGCTTGCTGAATGTGCAATTAAGTTTTCTTTACATTTGGGAAGTTTTGGCCATTATCTCTTCGAACATTTTTTTCCTGATGCTTTGCCTCGTCTACTTTTGGTACTGTCATTATGCATACCATATATTGGTGTACTTAGTAGTGTTGCACATTTCTCTCCATTCATTTTTCTATTCTTTCTCCTTTGTTTTTGGATGGCCTAATTTCTATTAATCTATCTTCAAGTTCACTAATTCTTTCTTCTGTTGGTTTAAATCTACTGGTGAATCTCTCTAGTAAAATTTTTACTTCAGTTGTTGTACTTTTCAAAACCAGAATTTCTATTTTGTTCTTTTTAATAATTTCTATCTCTTTATTGATAGTCTCTATTTGATGTTACATTGTCCTCATACCTTCCTTTACTTCTTTAATCATGGTTTCCTTTAATTCTCTGAACACATATGTAATGCCTGATTTAAAGTTCTTGTTAAATGTAACATCTGGTTACTCTTAAAGGCAGTTTTTGTTGCCATCCCCATCCCTGCCCTCCTACACACACACAAACACACACACACACACACAGGGAGAGAGAGAGAGAAGAATCATACTTTGTTTCTTTGCGTGTCTTATAAATTTTTTGTTGGAAACTGGGCATTTTAGATCAGGTACTGTAGCAACTCTGTGTATTGTCCACCCTCCCTTGGAAGTTGTAATTGTTATTTGCTTGTGTATTTGTTTAGTGACTGGCTAGATTATTTTAGTGAATTATACTTTGCTCTGTAAGTAAAACTTCTGATATCGCTCCTCAGGGATTGCAGTCTGGGGTATGCCTACAGTCACCCTGGGATGACAATAGTGTTGGCAGACTCTTTGACTTTCTCTTTCCTTGACTACTCACAACTGTTAAGCTACACTACTGGCTCTAGTGTTTTCAACATGCCCTAGGGTATAAACTGCTTCACAGGCTGATCCAATCAAAGTCCATTTTCAAGAAATAGTTATTTAGGTCAATGTTTGATATTTTTTCTGACTCCAGGAAGGTTCTTCTTATTTACCTCTTTTCCCTGTTTCTCTCTGGCAAATAAATTGGCCTATAGTCTAGCCCATATCAACAATGAATCTGTTAGTCTCCAAATTGTCTTTCAACACAACCTCCACTGTTTTTGAGAGGACTCTTAGGCTTGAACTTCTTCACACTTTGTGGCTAATCAAGTCAGCTCCTTTGTGGAGATATTTGGAGCTCTCTGTTCTATGGCCTTCTCACCCCAGGCAAAATCTCTATGCCAAGGTTCTAGTACTGAGGGCAGGACCAATGGCACATTTTTATCTGAGTAATAATCCCACTTTAGGAGCTGAAGATTTGGTGGAGGGAGGGGCAGCACCCCCAAGTCACCTTGTCTTATTTCTCTCAGCAGCATGGAACCCCCACTCATGAGCTGGATCAAGAGTGATTAAGGCCCTGGTGTTTTCAGTGGGACTGTGCTTGAGGTAGAGCCTCTGTCCCATGAGTGGGGGCTAGGCAGAGGAAGAGAGCCTCCACCTCTCAGCCTCACTTGCCACCACTTAGCCTCAAAGACAAGGAGCTAGGACAGGATGGGAAACACTGACATCCTGCCCTTCTTGGGCAGATCACTTTCTGACTGGGAGCTAGGAGAAAAAGAAACCCTGTTTTCTTGTATCACTCTGGAATGGAGTTTCTGTTTTGCCAGGCTGAGAGAAGGAAAGGAGGGGAAAGATCTTGATGCAGATATCATAGACTCTTGCTGTTCTTACTGAATATCAGTAGATTTTCTTCAATAAGGGTTTCTTCATTTGCTATGTGCCATTAGGACCATTTCCAGAGATTAAAAGAAAAAAAAAAAACAGTTCTCATCAGTTTCACTGAGGACAGGTCAGCAGATGTCTTCACACCATTATGCCAGAAGTGGAAGCCAGCTGAGTATTTAAATATGAATTTGATTCATAATCCCACTGGAAGAGTGGCAAGAAAAGGGGATTTATTTTGAGGCTTCATTTGAAAGTATATTGCATATCCTGCTTCCACTGCATTGCTAATTCTATGACTTAAGGCAAATTATTTCACCTCTCCTTGTCTTTGATTCCTCATCTATAGAATGGGAATAGTAATTCCTACATTGCAGAGCCATTGTAAGGAATTGAAATTACATATCAAAGCACTTGACACATATTAGGTTTTCAGGAAAATGAAGTGGTTTTTATTATCATTTATTATCATTCAGGAGAGCTCAGAGAGGAAATTGGCTCTAGAAAAAATGGAACTCAGGCTCAGGAACACCCAATAGTGGATCCAACTCAATTTCTCTTTGATCATGAAATTGACCCTTTCAAGATATTAGGGTATTCTCCCTTCCTCTATGCACCCACCTCCACACATACACACACACACACACACACACACACACACACACACACAGAGTACAATTCATTCAAGGGGGAAAAGAAAAACAACAGCTGATTTTCCTCTTTTTAAAGAATCTAGTTTATCAGTTTAACGTACCACAGGAAATCCTCCCACACTTGAAGAAAACTGTTACAAAACAGAGAATGGCAATGACATAGCTCATCAACAAAACGGGAAATTTGGAGGAAAGAGGTCCCCAAAAACAGTGCTAACATGAGCAGGACCTTTCAGCAGTGGTTTTCCAATTGCAGAGTGTAGAATTACTTCTGGGGAATTTTGTTGAAAGGCTGATTCCTGATCTCCGCTTCTTCCTCCCTCAGAGACTCTGATTCTAAACTGGGGCCCTGGAATTGGCATGATGAACAGCCCCCAGGGGATTCTGATGCAAGTGATCTTGCTACTTTGAGAACTCTCCATTGGAAGCTGACTCAAGCATCTGTAATGCCTTCCAGGTTCTTTCTGAACAAAGACATATAAAAGGGTCATACTCTGGGTCCTCGCTGAGAAGACTTTAGGGACTCTTCGATCACTTCAGTTCTTAATTCAAGCTCCCTCTCTCCAGAAAGTCTAAAGGCATCCCAGGGTCCTTCTAGCAAGAGAAGTAAGTAGGCCAGTCCTGTTGTCCTCACATCCATTTCCCACCCTCCCCCAGCTCTGCTTTGTATATCAAGGAAGCTAACTCTGGGGGCTGCATCTCCCAGGTTCCTGGGTGAGCTGTCTTCTAGCTGCCTTTGTTCAACTGGAGGTGTTGGTGGGAAACTGGTGGCAGGACGAAGAGAGAAGTCGGAGGATTTCTCCCTGCACATCCATCCATTCTGCAGCAACACTTCATGCTCCAACTGCTACTGCACAGCCCGCTGTGAACCCTGAGTTCTAGGTGACCCTGGCCACTGGAATCTGGTGACATAACCCCACTTCCTCCCCTAGTCTCTACAGCCTAAGAGTGGCATGGTCTATCCCCTGCTTTCTTAACTCCCCCAATTCTCCATGTTCAATTCCCTGTGTTGTAAATACTTGAAGGGGTATTTCTACCTAGACTCTGATTGAGACAGCAAGTTTGCCAAATACAGGTGAGGTTTCTGGTGAGGAGGGAAATGTACCCTTTGTAGAGAACAGGGAAGAAGGAAGGAACAACTAGAGGTCCTTGCCCTGAAGAACCTTCACTGGTCAACCCCCTATACCCCCCACCTCCAAAAAACAGGGCAGGAATATGATGCAGAGGAGCTAGAATCAAAGGAGAGGGGTGCTATGGTGGGCATGCACTCCCCAAATCTTACATGTTGAAACTAAATCATCAAGGTGATACTGATTTAACAGTATCACCGCCTTTAGGAGGTGATTAGGTCATGATGGATAAGTTTAGTGTCTTGTAAAATAGCTGGAGAGAGCAAGTCTGTTTCTTGCATCTCTCCCACCATGTGAAGACACAGCATTCTTCCTTCTGGAGGAAGCAGTACTCAGGGTGCCATCTTGGAAGCAGAGAGCTATCACCAGACACCAAGCCTGTTGGTGCCTTAATTTCTACTTCCAAGCCTCCAGAAGTGTTAACAATAAATTTCTATCATTAAATTACCTAGCCTATATTACTTTGTTATAGCATCACAAATGGACTAAGACAGGGAGCAAGTACATCCAAAGCAGAACCATTACATCAATGGATTCACTGTAGATCAGGGTTTCTCAACCTCAGCATTATTAACATCTTTGCCAAATAATTCCTTGTTATGCAGAGCTGCCCTGTGCATTGTAGGATGTTGAGCAGCATCCCTGGACTCTACTCATGAGATGCTAGTAGCATACCACCCTGAACCGTGACAACCAAAAATGTCTCTAGACATTGCCAAATGTCCCCTGGGGAGCAGGTCACCCTCTCTCCCCCCGGTTGAAAACCACTGCCCTAGACCCATTCAGCTTCAGGGTTCTTGAGCCCCTAGTAATTCTTCTGCTGCATTAGCCTTGTTGGAGTCCACAAAGTCAGCTTAGAAGAGAAATAAATAATTATTACCACATGCTCTACAAAGAAGTCGCAACTAGGCCAAGTGCTCAGAGCTGTCACCAGAAAGTATGGAGCCCCAACGAGTCCCCCTGCATGCTCCTCATCCTCTGCCTCTCTTTCTCCATTAATCTAGGTGAAATCACATAGAAGCCTGGATTCAGAGGTAGAAGAATGAGGGCTGAAGCAGGGACGGTCTTTCCTTTCTGTCTAAATTCCATGAGGTGGCTGGGAGTTTGGGCTGTTTGTGTAAGAGTCTCAAGTCGTTTAGGTACAATCCACTGTTTGAGGCTGCAGAGTCAAATGCACCTGTCACCTATTCAAAACCTAGTTCTGCACTTGAATGTCAATGGGCAAGTTCTTTAATCCCTGTGAGCCTGAGTTCATATCTGTTAAGTGGGGATAACTCTTTCCTTATTGATGTTTTCTGGGTACTAGGGGAATAGTTGTAAATTGCAAAACACACACACACACACACACACACACATGCGCGCACACACACACACACACAAAGAGACACTCGCTAGATGAAAAGTTGGAAAACCATGGCCCACAGTCAGATCAGGCTCACCTAAGGTTGCCAGATTTACCAAATAAAATATTGGATTTGGCAACCCTACATGTTGGCCACCTGCCTTCATAAATGAAGTTTTATTGGATATTCCTATATCTGTTTACTTCTGTGTTGCCCACGGCTGTTCTTGCTACACAAGGCACAGTGCAGTAGACCATGCAGCCCTCAAGTCTCAACTCTTTAATATCTGGCCCTTTACAGGAAATATTTGCTAACCCCAGCACCACAGGGTCAGTGATGTTTATAACAGTGGTGTGATAGTGCCAGCTTTTAATGAGGCAGCGCCTCCTCTAAATGAGTAGGCAGCGTGGATATGATGGGACTCTGCACCCAGTCAGGTGTCCTCACTTCAAACCCTGGTTGTCCTGTGGAGCACTGGACAAGGCATTTAACCTTGTAGCACCTCAGTTTTCTCCTCTCTAAAATGCTGCACTATTGGAGTTGTCATAGGAAAGTAGAGTGCACTCAGGTTGATTGGTTGTTCTGGGTTTATCTGAAAAACCCAGAGAATCCTCTCATGGGGTCCTGGGAAAAACTGATCAATTAAATGCATATCAAAGGAACACCACAGTGCTAGGTACATGGTAAATACTTATCACATCCTAGCTTACTAAGGAAGTACGATAGCTATTTCTATTACTACCATTACTTCTATTACTACTATTATTACTACCTCTGCTAATCCTTCCCAGCATTATTTGAAGATTAAATGAGATATGAATATAAATGGTCTGGCCCTAGTAAATGCTCAATAAATGCCACTTTTGCTCCCTTCTCCTCTACCCATTTTCTTGGGTCACTGCCCCTCTGTCCACAGCAGGGTCTTGTGTGCCAGCCAGCCCTGGCAGCTTTGCATGAAGAGTGCAATCTGGCAGGCTCTCCCACTCAGAACACAACCCTGGTGCCAACTCCCTGGGCCTTGTCTCCCCCAGGAGTTTCTCATTGCCTCACTCCCTGCACAACAGCACCACTTCCTTCAGTAGCCTTGTCTCCTTCTTTCACTCTCTCAATCACATCTCAGTTCCCCAAGTCACACACTTACAAAATCAGGGGAAGGGAAGAACTCATTCCTGCATCTTGGCCCCTTTCCTGGGATCTGGCTGAGAATCTTGTGCATATGAGGTGCTGGCAGAACCCCATAGAAGATTAGTGTGCTAATGGCCTCATAAAAATGAAACATTTATGGAGAGGGCTTTATTTCACTTTACCTCAGTTCCCCTCTTTTAATGAGGCTGGCTGAACCGTGGGAAGCCTTGGGAGGCAGACAGACAACACAGTTTCCAGTTCCAGACTCTGGTTGTGAGGAGTGAGAAAGAAGTTGTGTTCCCCATCAGGGGGATTGCAGGGCAAGGGGCAGGAGCTGAGGAGCACCAGGGGACAGAGGGTTGGGGTCTCTGGGAGGACTTCATCCTTGACCAAGGACCCTTTATCTCCTCTGCAGAGTAGGAGTTCTTTCAAGAGAATAGCTAGAAGCGTTGGCCAGTCTGTCAGGCTCATGACTCATGTGCCCCTCACCAACAATAGGTCCTTTGACCCACAGTGGATTCGTCTCAGCCAGTGATGAACATGACCCTCACCGGCCTTGGCTTCTAATCCTCACATGAGATGAGCTCACGGCTTGGCCAGAAACACTGGACTAAGTTCTGGCAACACAAGGCTCTTGAGAGAAGCACCTTGTTGCTGCCCAGCCCTCTTCTCCTCTCTTCACCCCTTGGCCCCAAACTGCTTCCTCATCTCCTATCTGCCTCCTCTCCAAAATATAGCCTGGGTGGGTGGATCCCTGGCTTTGATATCAGGTAGATATGGGTTCAAATCCCACCTCTGCTGTCCAACCATGGACAAGCTCATCCTCCTCCCTGGGCGTCATTTCCTCATCTTTAAAATGGCAATGCGGCTGCTGATAACGCTGAAGACATAAAGCAACAGGACTGAGAGACACTCACAGCAAGCATTTGATAAACACGGGCTGTTTCACGATGGCAGGATGACAGGGCTTCAGTGTTGCCTCACCTCTGGGCTGGGACACTTACCAGGAGCTTAGCCTAAGGGACAGGATGAAGTCTTGGTAACGAGTGGTGCTTGAAGGATGTACTCAGGTTCCTCCCTACTATATGCCACTGTCTTCCCTCCTCTTTGCCTCTACTTTAGAATTTAACAGCCACAGACACTGATTGAACACGTGCATATGTGAGGAGCTGAGGCAGACTCGATGCCTGTCCTCCAGGCTCTCCCGGTCTTTCACCTGCCTGCTGAAATGCTGGCTGGGATCGGGAGTCTATCATATGCAAAGATCTAGCTGGACATGATGCATCCCTAAATCCTGCCCATGCTGCTGACCCTCCACTTCATGAGGCTCTGAGAAAGATGCCTTCTCAAGAACAGCAGGAAAATGTTGGCTAAAGCAGGCAGGGGCTCCACCCCTCAAAGCAAAGAATGCTGGTAAACTAGGTCATTGCCCATAGAGAACTGCTTCTTCCTAAGCGGCTGGGCCTAATTATTGTCAGGTCTGCAGCAGGGCCCCACCCCAGAGGCCCCCAGAGGCAGAAGCCCTAAGAGGCTTCCCCATCTCTGCCTAAGGCCATATCTGGAGCAGGGATCGAGGTGGAGTTGGTGGATCTGTGCCTCAGCTTCCTCACTGCTCCGTGCTGTGTCCTGTGCGGTGTCCCAGAGGTCCCCCATGGGATTGAGCCCATTGCCCCCAGCAGTCACCTGCTCATTAACTCACTCTGTATTGATTCCCTCCCTTCCCTCTTCACTTCCTCACTCCCTCACTGTGCCTGTTAGTGAAATGGGAGAAGTTCCCTTATCACCCTGGCAGGACATGTGCGACAGGGCTGTGGCTCTCTTCTTCAGTGCCCCACTGCTCAAACCCCTAGGGGGAGCATGCAGATGGGCAGGTCGTGGGGAGCGTTTTTGGGCTTTAACCCAACAGCAGCGTCTAGGGTTGTTTACAGCTCCCAAAGCCCCAATGGGTGGGTGTTAAAGTGCGCTCTTTCAGCTTTGCCCTCTGCAGGTGGCTCGTGTTAATCAGCTCAATTAGACCCTCTGCCTTATCACAAGGACAGAGGGCTTTCTGTATCCCAGGTCTTGCTCTAGTGTACCAGAAAAATCAGATCACATGTGGGCTTGGGGATGGGTGCAAGGTTTTATTGAGTGGTGGAAGTAGCTCTCAGCAGATGGATGGGGAGCCAGAAAGGGGATGGAGTGGGAAGGTGGTCTTCTCCTGGAGTTGGACCTCCCAGCAGTTAGACTTTCCTCCGACCACCCCCTGCTGAATTCCATGTCCTCCCGCCATCAATGGCCTGCCAGCATCTGCTGGTGTCTGTTAGTATGCTCTTCCGCTCCTCTGTTCCTCTCGACATCCAGTCACTTGTGTGTGTGTCCACTTAAGGTCTCTTGGGTTTATATGGGCACAGGATGGGGGGCGTGGCAGGCCATAGTGGTCTTGGAAAATGCAACATTTGGGCACCACAACAGGAGTGCTTGTCCTCATTATGTCCATGGGCACAGGCCTTTGGGTGGAGCCTTCACCAGCACCCTACCCTTCTCTACCCAGCACTTTCCTGCCCCCTCCTGTATCATTAGGATCACCTCCCACGTGAACTACTTGTACCCAAGCCCTTGCTGCAGGGTCTGTGGTTCATGCAGAGGCCACTCTTTAGAGAAGGGCCTTGTGGGGATATGGACAGCTGCAGCCTCAACTGTCAGCTCCTTCAGAGGCAGCCTCAGCTGCAGAGGTCCTGACCTGAGGTCCTGCTTCACCCAGGCAGCTCACACCTAGTCACTGTGTAAGGCAGGGTGTAAAGGCCAGGCCATTTCAGCCCAGCAAGGGGACAGTGACAGGCGATGCCCACTCCCTGCTCCCTGCCCCTGCTGGTTGGCTGAGCCTGGGGCTTTGTCAGGCCTGTGCTACAGTCTGACTTCTCCCTTTTCCTGATCCTCTTTCCTTCCCCTTCCCTTCAGAAGACTTGATCCCTAATAAACATCTTGCACCCCAAACTCCATCTCAGAGTCTGCATTTGGGGAACCCTGCCCACAAGATTCCCCAAAGCAAACCTGCAACTCAGATCTTACCTCACAATGTAGGTGAGCAAGAGAGGAGAGCAGAAGCCAATGCAACTCCTTAGCTGGTGAAATGCAACCAGAGAAAGAGAGAGAGACAGCCCAATTCCTAGGTAAAAAGAAGGGAAGAAATGGGATTGAGGAGAGAGAAAGAGATGACTGGGCCTCTTCCCACAGAACAACATTCTGGGACCATAACTCTCTGACCACAGGAAAGAGAGAAGCAGGAGAGAGAAAACCATCGATTTGCCTGGGCTTTTGAATGCAATGACCCTGCTACCTGAGGAATGGTGGCCCATGGAAATTCTTCCCTCACAGGTCCCCAGTTCCTCTGCCTTCCTCCCTTTGTCCAGGGAATGGTGCTCCTTCAGCCTGTAAGCAGCAGTTCTGCCAAACCTCATTAACCGGGTCCAGGGAATGAAATTCCACTCTGGCCTCTGCAGTGCAACACTCAGCCAAATTCCCTCCAGAAGCAACTGCATGGCCAACAGAGGAACCTGACTCACTGGAATTTGCTTTCTCAACAATCGTTGCGTTATGAAGAGAATGCCAGGCTTAGCGGGGTAGCTGTGGGAGAGACAGAACTAGAGGGTGTCTGCCCTTGAGGGGCTCTAGAACCTAGCTGCAAACTGACATGGACCCAAAAAACTACAGAGCAAAGCAACAGATGAAAAGTGACACGTAAATAGTTTTTGAAAAAGAAATGCCTATGGGAAACATCTTCAGCTGAAGTAGTCAAGAAGCTTTCAGAAGGAGGAGGTATTTGAGCCAATCAAATATCAGCCCTCTAAGCCAGCGCTGTCCAATGGACACATTATGTGAACTATAATGTAAGCCACATATGTAACTTCAAATTTTTTACTAGCCACACCAAAAAGGGTAAAAAGAAACAGGTGAAATTAGTTTTAATCCTACATTTTACCTGACCCCTGCATAATTCAAAATAGTATTAATGCAATAATTTTAAAAAAGAATTAATTTGATATTTTATGATGTTTTTTATGCTAAGTCTTTGAAATCCGGTGTGTATTTTACACTTATAGCACATCTTAGTTTAGACCAGCCATATTTCAAATGCTTAATAGTCACGTGTGGTTACTGACTACCATACTGCTCAGTGAAACTCTATGTTCTTGTTAGTGAAAGTGTGCTCATGGATAGGGAGTCTCAGTTTATTAGAAATGCAGAACTTCAAGCCCTGGCCCAGACCTCCTGAATCACAATCTGCACTTTAACAAAAAATCCCTGTCAATCTGTTCGAGCTGCTGGAACAAAGTACCTTACACTGGGTAATGTATTAACAACAGAAATTTGTTGCTCACAGTTCTAGAAGCTGAGATGTCCAACATCAAGGCACCAGCGATTCAGTGTCTGATGAGGACCTGGTCTCTGCTTCATAGATGATACTTTGTTGCTGCACCCTCACATGGTGGAAGGGCACAGAGCACACTTGAGCCTTTGTTTTTTTTTTTTTTTTTTTGAGACAGAGTCTTGCTCTGTCACACAGGCTGGAGTGCAGTGGTGCAATCTCAGCTAACTGCAACCTCCACCTCCTGGGTTTAAGCAATCCCTGTGCCTCAGCCTCCTGAATAGCTGGGATTGCAGGCACCTACCACCGTGTCCGGCTAATTTTCGTATTTTTAATAGAGACGGGGTTTCATCACGTTGGCCAGGCTGGTCTCGAACTCCTGACCTCAAGTGATCCGCCCATCTTGGCCTCCCAAAGTGCTGGGATTACAGGCTTGAGCCACCACACCCAGCACTTAAGACTTTTTTTTTATAAAGGCACTAATCTCATTCATGAGAGTGGAGCCCTCATGACCCAGTCACTTCCCAAGGGCCCACCATCTTAACACTATCACATTGGTATTAGGTTCCAACATGTGAATATTAGGGGGACACTAGCATTCAGATCATAGCAATCCCCAAATGAGCTCATGCTAAAATTTGGGAAGCATAGCTCTAAGACTTTTCCCTCCTCTCCACACAACCAGCCAGTCAGTCACCCAGTCCTGTTAAGTTCAACTTTAAAATATCTTTTGGATACATCTCATTTGTTGCCTTGCCTCTGCCACCAACTTGATGTAAGCAACTACTTTCTCACCCTGTTATAGGTCAAAGTGCATCCTCTAAAAAGATGTTGAAGTTCCAACCCCCAGGAACTGTGAATGTGCTCTTCTCTGGAGATATGATCTTTCTTTACAGGTGATCAAGTTAAAATGAGGTCATTAGAGTGGGCCTTAATTCAGTACAACTGTGTTCTTATATAAAGGGAAAATTTGGACCCTGAGAGAGACACACACAGGAAGAAATGCCACATGAAGACGATGGCAGAGATCAGAGCAATGCAGCAGAAGCCAAAGAACACCAAAGATTGCCAGCAAACCACCCGGAGCTGGGAGAGAGGCGTGGAACCGATTCTCCCCCATGGCCCTAGGAAGGAATCGATCCTTCAGTCACCTTGATTTCAGACTTCTAGCCTCCAGAACTGTAAGACAGTAAATTTGTGCGACTCCGAGCCACCCAGTGTATGGTACTTTATTCATGGTATGACAGTCCTAGCAGACTACTACGCACTCAAGTCTCTGTAATAGCTCCCAACACCTCTTCCCTCTTCCACTAGTGCCAACCCTTACCCTGAAACTCTGACCCACAAGGGTGCTCCAATCACAACCAGAGGAACCTTCTCAAAATGAAAATGGGAGCAGATCACTCTCCCCCGCCGCCCTGCCCTTCCATCGCTCTGCATTTCATTTCTAACCAACTCTCAGCTTTTAATACACGTTCCCTCACCTCTGATGATCTTTTCATTCCTCAACAGGCCAAGCTCTTTCCAGTTTTGGGCTCTGGCATATGCTGTTCCTTTCCCAGGAACGCCGATCCCTCTACATCCCAACTTGACTGCCTCTACTTATCTTCCAGGTGTCAATTCCTCAAGCAGCCTTTGTTGATCACCCAGCCCCCGGTATTCTCTCTCCTAACACATTCTCCTGTCCTTGATAAAGTGCCACTCAAAGTGTGGACCTGTTGCTGGGCCACCAACAGATTATTATGTGTCCATGTCAAGATGCGGAATTTGAGTACTTAGAAACTTTTATTGCAGCTTGACATCACTGTGACATCTAAGCAAGTGATCAGGGAACTCCTCTCCTGATACAGGATTTAGACCAGCTCAAATATTGCCCAACTCACATGGTACAAACTACAATTGTCCCTTGGTATCTGTGGAAGATTGGATCCAGGACCCCCATGTATGCCAAAATCCATGCATACTTAAGTCCTGCGGTCAGCCCTAAGGAATCCAAGGATATGAAAACTTTGCCCTCCATGTATGTGGGTTTCACATCCTGCAAATTCTGTATTTTCAATCCATGTTTGGTTGCAAATGTGGAACCTGCCCATACAGAGGGTCAATTGCAGTTACAATAAAAAATCTGGGCGTAAGTGGACCCGCACTGTTCAAACTCGTGTTGTTCATGGGTAAACTGTACACACAAATCATGCACAATAGGACCACGTATCTATCTGTGATCGATGAGAAATGGAAAACAACAGGTCCACAGATATTAGAGAAGCACTGCTTCCTAAGAAACATCACCAGTAATTCTTTTAATTGGTTAGAGGATGTGTGTCTATTACCCACCCCTCCCACAGGGTGAGTTTCACCATGGTGGCAACTGTTCTACTCACCACTGATCTGTCCCCAGGACATCTCCCTGAGTCTGACACAGAGAAGTGTAATAAATACTTGATATGCGAATGAGTGGACTGAATCATAGAAGGTAGGAATGGGGAGAGCATTCTAGGTGGACGAAGGGCCAGAAGCCAACATTTGAAGGTGAGAAACTGCACTGGCAAACCAAACAAAGACTGCCTGCGATATTTTTAAAGCCCAGTGACTTCACATTGAGGAATTCCTCAAATCTTAACATGGGTCCAACAGGACAGATGGAGAATTCCAGAGGAATGGATAGATTCTTTCGATCTCTTGGGCTGCATTCTGTTTTCACAATTGTTTCTGGCAGAACCCTAAAGAAAAACACAAACCAGATGTACAGAGAAATATTTTCTTTGTCAAGAAGAAAAGAAAAAGTGGCTTATCCTGCTCTCACACTGCTGCCCTCAACATAGGCCAGATCTGCAACCTTTACTTTGAACAGCTTAAAGAGGCTCCAGAACTCTTCTCCAACCTCCCATATTTGGGGTAACCAGGAGGCCAGCCCTGGAGTGGCCACTGTCCCCGTGCTTGGGGCTCTCCAAGCTGGAGAAGCAGATGGAAATGTGATTTCTGCTTCTCCCCGAGGAAGGGTGAGCACTGTGGCTGCATAATGAGCCTGCAGCTTAATTGAAATAAATAAAGCTTATGCAAGCAGTTTGCGCAAGCTGCAGAGAACTGTTCATCCTTTCCTTGGATTCTCCGGAACAGACTGTCTCCCGCTAGGGTCTTGCTGGATCCTGGTGGGGCCTTGGCTCCCTGCCCCAGTTGCTAGTGACCCTGACCCAGAAGAGCCAGCTTCTGCCAAAAACAAGAAAGCAAGCCAAGTTTGCCTTCAGCAGCCCTGACAAACCTTGAAGCACCCCCCGTGCTCAAATACCTCATGACTGATTAGATGTCCCCACATCTGAGCTGTCACTCTCCTCTCCCATTACCATCAAAATGCATCCGTCTTGTCGGCCATTCCCAGCTGATGGGAGAACCTTGTCTGCAAGCATGTGATTAGGTATGCCAATGGGAGAACATGCCTTTTCACAGCTTCTCAAAGTGTGGGTCCTAGACAGCAGCATCAGTGTCATCTGGGAACTTGTAAGGATCAAAGTTTCTCAGGCACAACTTCAGACCTCTTGAATCACAAGCTCTATGGGTGGGCCCAGCAGCTGTTTTAAGCAGCCTTCTGGTGATGCTGATGCACACTTAAGCTTAAGAACCACTGTGCTATTTATTACTGGTCCTTAGGTTCTCCCACCCAAACCCCTAAGGGGCCAGGCTGGAGAGCTAAAGGAAGAAACTCGAGAGTTCCTGTCCATCTAGGGAGGAGCTCCAGCCCTCTCCAAGCCACGGGAGTCAGGCAAAAGATGAGCCCAGTTTTACCAGATCTTTCCATTGTTCAAGAGTGGATTAAAATGTGGATTAAAAAAAAAAGTAGAATCTTCCAATTTTTAAACATTGCCTTGCTGTTTTTTTTTTTTTTAGACACAGTGCAGGCCTAGCCATCTCCATGAATGACAATTCCATCCAACCAGTTCTATGGGCCAAGAGTTATTCTTGATTCAAACTTACTCTCACTCCTCACATCCTATCTGTTGGAACATCCTGTTGGTTTCACCTTCAAAATACATCCAGCATCCATCTACTGCTCCCCGCCTCCACTCATCCAAGGCCCTGGGTCAAGCCATCATCTCTTTCTTGGAAAATTGCAAAGCTTGCTGCCTGATCTTCCAGCCCTCACCCTTCGCCATTACACTTGCATCTCAAAGCAGCCAGAGCCATCCTTTAAAAATCTAAGTCAGGTCCTGTTCTGCCTCTGCTCAAACCCTGCAATGGCTACACACCCTGCTCAGCATGAAAACCAAAATCCTGTGAGGCTGTCTGGGACCTAGTCTCACAGTTACTTCGCTGAACATCACCTCCTCTCTCCCTTGATCACTTGGTCCAGATGCACTGAAATTCTTGCTGTTCCTCCACCAGGCAGGCACTCCTCTGCTCCCATCCCCCACCCTCGGTAGGGCGCTCACTCTGGCATTCCCACTGCCTAGAACATTTCTCCTCAGATGGCCTCATGGTGCCTAGAACATCCGTTCTTGGATGGCCTCATGGCTCCCTCCTCCAAGGATTTGTTCCAACATCTCTTTCTCCATGAAGCCCACCCTGGGAGCCCTACTTAATATCCCTTCTCTGGCACTCCCAAACTTCCTGGCCAGGGCTATTGATCTTGGCACTTAATCACAGAGCATACTATCTACATGAATACGTACTTTCCTGTCTGCCTCCATCTGCTAGAGTTGAAGCTCCACAGGGGCAGGAACTTCTGTCTGATTGACTGATGGATCATTACCACCTAGACCAGTACCTGGCATACAGCAGGTACTCAATAATTCAACTCAGTAGGTATTGAATGAATAAATGAATGAATGCAGACTAGATATTACCACCAAGCAGCTCTGTGTTTGTACTTCAACAGAAATTTCTGGAAGCTGTTGCTCCAAGCCCAGATCTAGACTCTACTCAGAGGAATTTCAGCCCCTGTTGCCAGCTGGCCAGAGGGAGACTGAAGGACAGGAAGTATTTCTGAGGCCCTTGAATCAAGAGCCACCTTCCTTTCCTGAATGTCACTTCAATCTTGCCCATGGTTCTAGATCACTGCTCATGCCTCAGGGGAGTTTTTCAGCCAAGAAAGAGGCTCCTTTGCAGCCTGAACAGTAACTACTCTTCAAGCCAAAGTTTCCCAAAGTATATTCTTTGCAATGCTGGTCCCAGGAGATGCTCCAAGAAAAATAAGCTCTAGAAACGTACACATTCTCTTTGTCCTTCTCGGAGCTCACAATACATCTTAGCATTGTAAAGGCTTCAAAAGGTCTGGTAGCAAATGCTTTATAGCTTTTGCTATAAACTTGTTCCCAAGTTCCTCAAATTTATTGGACCACACAACCCTTTCTCCAGGAAAACACCAACTAACTCTCCAGGACACTAAGCCTCAGGCCAAACAGCATCATACTCTTCATCCTTTTGTGCGGCAAGGCTTTTCCTGTCTTACTATATCCCAAGACAGTGTATTCTATTCGTTTTTTTCTCCAGCTGGATACACATGATGGACTTGCTGAGATATGAGACTTCCTCATGATCACACTTCCCAGGTAGCCATGTGCTTCTCTTTGTACTGCTGTCCCCAACCTACAATGTGCTGCCATTTCTTCCTTGCCTGTATCAACCAGAGGTCTTACCATTAAAAGTGACAGAAAAACCAACTCAAGCAGACTTAAGCAAACAAAAAGGGAATTTATGGGTTCATATAGCTGAAAAGTTTAAAGGTAAGTCCAGCTTCAGGCATGGCTGGATCAAGGATAAAACTGTGACATTAGGACTCAATTTTTATCCATCTTCCTGCTCGGCCTTCCACTCCAGAGTCTTCTCTTATGTTGACAGTATGGCTACCAAACTGTCAACCTCACGTCTTCCCAAGTTTAATTCCAGCTGGATAGAAATAAAACATTTTCTGGCAGCTCCCTCAAAAGTTTTGAGTTTTGCTCTGATTGAACCCGCTTAGGATCTATCCCCATCCTTGAACCAATCACTATGGCCAGAGGGATGGGATGCACCGACTGACTTAGGCTCAGGCCCTATATGCCACCCCTGGAGCTGGGCTTAGGGCCCTACCCAGACAAGAAGGACTGAAAATGTGTGAAGGGTGCATCTACCCTGCCACCAACCAAAATTAGTCCTTATTGCTGGAAGCAGGAGGGATGGATGCTGAGAAGACAAACTTCAAATGGGCACTACACAGCCTTTACACACATGCAAACACTGCACCTCCTCCAGGAAGCAGTCCTAGATCCACCAAGCCACATCTAAACATCTCTTTTTAGGAATTAACGTATATACACAAATACCTGTAGAGCATAGTGGAAAGTTTTCAGGTGCACAAGAGGAAGTGGTGGGCAGCAAGAAATATTTAAGATTTGGAGTCTGACAGACTTGAGTTCACTCTTCTGAATGTATGACCATGAACAAGTTAAACCTCTCTCAGTTTCCATTTTCTCATCTATACAGATATGAGACTTTTGATAATTCCTACTCGTGGTAGAAAATGTCACCAATAAAGAAAAGTATAAAGAGTAAACTTGGCCAGGCATGGTGGCTCATGCCTGTAATCCCAGCACTTTGGGAGGCCGAGGCGGGTGGATCACCTAAGGTCAGGAGTTTGAGACCAGCCTGGCCAACACGGTGAAACAGTGTCTCTATCAAAAATACAAAATATGCCAGGAGTGGTGGTGCACACCTGTAGTCCCAGCTACTCAGGAACTGAGGCAGGAGAATCGCTTGAACCCGGGAGGCAGAGGTTGCAGTGAGTCAGATCGCACCACTGCACTCCAACTCCAGCCTAGGTGACAGAGCAAGACTCCATCTCAAAAAAAAAAAAAAAAAAAAAAAGAGTAAACTCAAGTCAGCCATTACCCAGGCTCTTCATGTCTGGATCTTGCCCACCCCCTGCCTCCAGCCCCACACAGCAGGGTCATGTCTCTCCCAGACCTCTCCAGGGACAACTGCTCCCTGGCAGCCTGAGGAAGCATCTTGCTGTCTCACCAGTCCATCAGCAAGGAGGCACTTCTTGCAGTCTACCCTGCAGTCTCAGCTGATACAATAGAAGTCAGCTCCTGTGTTCTCAGCCTGCACATCCCCCACCAAGATGGGAGGCCAGAAACAGAATATTTCTTCTGGCAGCTGCCAGCACTCACATGAACAAGAAAAACTCTGGGAATAAAACAAAAGTAAATACAAGTATTCAGCTTCATCCCATACAAAAGCCCTACTGACTCGCGATTAAAATGGGAGAAAGGATGTCCAGGCACCAAGAATGCAACTTTTTTTTTTTCCTTTTAGGAGGCAACCAATCAAACTGAGAAGAGAGCAGCAAAGACCATGCTCCTTGTGGCAGAGATAAACAATGGAGATGGGAAGGAGAGACAAAAAAGGTAGGGGGAAATGTTAAGGAAAGCAGGGACCGATTTTGTCAACGACAGGGCTCCTATTTTCTGAGAGGGATAAGCAGTCTAGGAGACTGCTCAGAAGCGGTCCAGAAGGGAGGCTCAGAGCATCAAGGAAAGAAGACAAACTCTGGAATTCTCCGCATGAGGGCTTAGATGTACATTCATTCATTCATTCATTCCCTGGTCAACAAATTTGTATTAAGCACATGACACATGCTGAATGTGCCGGGCATGGGTGGACACAAAATGCTCAGGCCCTGCCCTCACTGAGCTTAATCCAAAGGGATAGACAGGCGGTGGGCAAAGCCCTCAAATAAATACACAGCCACAAACTGTAATAAAGGACACTAACCCAGAACACTAAGAAAGAGTATCAGGTGAGCCATTCTCTCTCAGGGTGGTCAGAGAAGGCCCCTCTGATAAGGCAGCTCTTAACCCAAGTCCAGAGAATGAAGAGGAGGCCCCTGAGTCTGTCAAGGCAGAAAGGACCCATGTTCAAGGATGGAAGAAACCACTGGTACTGGAGCTTTATGTGTGATGAGGGGAAAAGAGCCAGGTGGGCTGGGAGGAGGAGGGAGGGTCCAGACTACACAGGGACACCTGGGTGCTTATAGAGCTTAGATTTTAGCCAAAGGACAGAGCCTCTTTTCTAAACCACCCCCCACCAGTGGGGTCCTATTCGTGGCACCTGCATTCATTTGAACAAAAGAAATGCAATTTACTTGAGGTCTCATTTGTTTGGGTAACAGACAGTGCTCATCTTCAGGAGAACAGGGGCCTTTACAGTAACTCCCCCAGCACTCCCAGCCCACAAACCAGGAACTCCTGACTTGGAACATAGTAAGAAACAACCAAGAGACCTCCAACAATCGTGTGGGGAGGAACGAAGGGACAGAGACAAAACAGTGTCAAAAGCCAGCTTTCATGGAAGCCATTGAACAGCCTTCTCCCACCTCCAGGTCCTCACCTGGCCTAGGAAGAAGCCCCACCCTCAGGCAGCCTGAAGCTTTGTTACTCACAGTGTGGCCTGGAAGCACCACCAGGAAGCTTGGCAGAAATGTGGACTGTAGGAGTTTCTCATTGTTCCTGTCACAAATTACCACCAACTTAGTAGCTCCAAACAACATGAATGTGTTCTTTTAAAGTTCTGTAGTTCAGAAGTCTGAAATGGGTCTCACTGGGCAAAAATCAAGGTGTCAGCAGGATCTCAAATCTGCAATCCTAGAGGCTCTGGGGGGAGAATCCACCTCCTTGCTCTCCCCAGCACCTAGAGGCTGCCTGCATCCCTTGGCTCGTGACTTCCTTCCTCCACTTTCAAGGCCAGCAAGAGCAGGTTGAGTCCTTTTCATGCTGACCTCTCTTCCTGCCTCCCTCTCCTCCACATAAGCACCCAGTGATTCCACCAGGCCCACCTGCATAATCCAGGATAATCTCCCCATCTCAAAGTCAGCCACTCAGCTACCTTAATTCCATCTGCAAACTTAACGTCCCTTAACCATGTAAACCAACATATTCACAGGTCCTGGGGATTAGGAAGCGAAAT
This sequence comes from Homo sapiens, assembly GCF_000001405.40. Taxonomy (NCBI): domain Eukaryota; kingdom Metazoa; phylum Chordata; class Mammalia; order Primates; family Hominidae; genus Homo; species Homo sapiens. Next base: position 72,244,382 of record NC_000003.12, read on the forward strand.
CTTTGAGGGGCTGTTATTCTGCCCACCGCATAGATGCAAAGGCCCCACCTGCACCGACTGAATCATCTGCCTTGGAATGAGATGCACAGGTGGCTCAGATGCACATTCAAGTTTGAGAAGCCCTGGCCTCCTTGCCCATCCAGGGCTGACGTCTCCTGGGCTGTACCCAGCACTGCCAGACTGCTGTGTTCAATTAGGCCTCAAGAACCCCTCCCTGAAGTCTGATTATCTCAGCCGGGTTGCCACAGCTGCAAACATTTCCTCTCTCTCCACATGCACTCCCATCCTTCATGGAGAAGGGGGTCTTTTGTCCGGAAGCCTGGACTTGGAGGCAGCCTCTTGTAGGGGGTCTGAGGTTTCTGAAATGTTTCCTTGGGGGAGGAAATGGGATTTGCATCTAGATATGGAACTTGAACACATCAGGGCAGAAGAGCAGAGTTTGCTCGTCTCCCATGGCAGGTCTGAGGATGGCTGGTTTTGGGGAAAGGTCAGCAAAGCTTGGCAACAACTGATTCCCTGCAACTCACTGCAATACAGGCTCCCAGATCTGGCAGGGAGGGGCTCTGGATGTTTTACAGATGAGGAAACTGAGGTTCAGAGAGGATGTGACTTGCTCAAGGTCACACAGGAGTGGAGAAGTTAGGAAAACAGGGAGCTGGGCCAGCGGGGCTATGCCGCACACCCCTGCATCTAGCTGTCATTTGGGGGGGTATTTCTCAACTGAGGGTCACCCCCCACAGGAAGGAGAGAGCAGGGATTAAGATCGCCAGACCTCTGGCTCCATCTGCTCTGAGGGAAAAATGATCACAGCAAATGCCTGGACTCAGCCTGATCCAGCCAGCTCCTCCATTTCCTCCAGACCAGAGCCGCCAGCCAAACTTGGAATTTTCCAAGCAGCCAGTTCAGCCATGGAAGCCCTCCAGGTGTCACCATCTGGGTCCAGCGACTCCAGGGCCCCAGTGGGAGGAAGAAGCACGTGCACTCACTGGGAACGCTGACCCAGAGCATTTCCTTCCTGCAGTAGACTCATCCCAGCCCGGCAAGAGTTCAGAACCAGCAGCCAGTTCCTGGCACACTGCCAGAGCCCCAGACAGATGCCAGGAATGACACTTCTTGGAGGTGCCCACTTCCAGGCAGAGCGCTTCTTTTGCCTGTCCCAGAGCCATCCCTTGCCCCAGCCCCACTGAGGAGCTGACATTTGGAAGCATCCCTCCACACCCCAGCAATGCTCAACCTCCCTTTGCTGCTGAAAAACATCTGGCCGGCTTGGCACCTAAGCTGGGTAAAAATAGCATGCCATCTTGTGAGCAGGCACCATGCCATTACAGCAGATGGAGACCTGCACTGCCAGCCAAGAGACTGCTGAATGGCAACAGACGCATTTGCAAGGGACAGGATTCACAGCTGGAAGGGTCAGAGGGCGGAAGTCAGGACCCTAGTGAGAGGGGCAGGAGGTGAAACGAGAGGGCCAGAGATTGGGGCAGGACCCCTCTGCCCTTCACAGGTGGGACCAGGCAGGGGAAGAGAGAAAATACCCTTGAACGCTAGAAGGCTGCAGAGCACACTAGTGAAGTCCTGGCTTTGAGGCCAGATGAACACACATTTAAATCTTACCTCTACCTTTACCAGCTATGTGACCCTGGGCCGGCTGTTTAACCTCTCCGAGTCTTAGTGTAAAATATACTCTGTAGGGTTCTGAGAAAGATAGTCCATCATTGTTTCTTTGCATATGCATTTTAGTGAGTGTCTCCCATGTGCCAGGCAGGCCCTGTGTTAGGTGTGGGATGTGGTGGTGAGCATGGGCCACCAACTTTTCTTCCAGCATGGGAGACAGACGTGAATTAAAAAAATGACACGAATAAAAGTAAAATGTCAACAGAGATAGATAGGTACTTCAAGCAGAAGGTTTGTGGTGCAATCAGAGCACATAATAAGGGCATGGGGGGAGCAGGGGTGACCAAGTCAAGGAAGATGTTCCCCAAGGAAGGGACAATTAAGATCCAAAGGATGAGTAGGGAATTATGTAGGGAAAAATGAGAGAAGGTATGTTAAGTCCTTAGCACAGTGCCTGGGATCTGATAAGTGTTGGTAAGTGGAATAGATTATTCATGAACACTTACTGAAAATAAAATCATAACCATAGCAATCTCTTCCACCAAGGGGTTACAGTGCAAGGCTTGGGCCTTTGGTGCCGTGAAGAGTCATGTCACAAGAGAGTCTGACCCGTGTCAACTGGCAAGGGAGCCAGAGGCGAATGGATGTTAGAAATAAAAACTCATAAAAATATCTCAAGCCTCTGGTGAGGCCCATTTGCAGGCCTCAGATACTGCAGTTCAAGCAACAAACCTCCTGAGAGGTTTGGACAGGTTGGCCAAGGCCCAGCCAGCTTTGCAGGCATGCTTTCTCCCCCTTTCTACAGGCAGCCTGCGCAAAAGCCGGGACCTTGCCTGCTCAAGCCTCCATTGCCCTGGCCCGAGCATGGCACAGGCTCCCTTTCTGTCCCCATTGACTGCAGGCCCTTGGCTGCCGCACACTGAACCTCACCCTTGGGGCAGAGCCAGCTTGTAGGGTGAGCAGGAGGCAGATTTCCCTCTTGGAATACAGACTGCCTTTGGATGAATATACAGACTCGAAGGGAGAGATGCTGGGAAGCAGGGTGAGGTCCCTTATGAAATGTCGGTCCCCAAACTCTGAGAGATGCCATGCTGTGTGGAGTCAAAGGTGACCCCTTCCTCACTGGCTGGAATGCCCACCAGCCAACAAGCAAACCATGCAGAAGCCTCCTGCGACCTGAATATCAGGCACATCATGTGCCTGTGTCCCTCAAAGAGGGATGAGGCAGAGGAAAGTAGCCAAGGGGTTGCTGCATTGAACGCCCCTGGTGCCCTGCCTTCCACCCTCCCCACCCACGCTTTGCCTCCAGCCGATGCTGCAGCCATCACGTGTGCCCACATCTCTCACTTTTCACACTGGGGATTCCCGGCTGCCATTTCATGCAGGAACGCACTCTGCTATTCTGCTGCCTGCCCAAACCCAACACACCAAACCCAACACATCATGGGCAATCTTTGACCCATGGAGGGCAGGAGCCAGTATACAATTACTTCCCTCTCTGTTCTTCAGCTAGACAATTCTTAGGACTCTTCTACGTGGCTTCTCAGAGGGTCCTGGCAGCCCTGAGCCCCATGGTCCACAGTGATGATCGGCTCAATAACATATTCTGCATTGCTTTCTTTCCTGCCCTGTCTCCAGTCTGTGAGGACAACATAAACTACCTGCATGCAAGCCTTTGTTCTGTAGCTCTGCTTTCTTGGGGTAACCCAAGCCAAGGCAGTGGTCTTCCTGCTGTCTCCCCACCAGCTGTCAGGAGAACTGGGGCTTACAGTGGCATGTGGGGCAGTTCTGTGGTCAAGAAGCCAGAGAGTTCCTGCCCCCTCCTCTCCTGGCTGGAGACTGAACAGCTGGATGGGATGAACTTCTCTAGTTGTCATGTGGGAAGGGCCCTTAGCCTGATGCCTTCCAAATGAATGTACAATAGAACTCTTCTGCCAATAGAATCATATGGATAGAGTGAATATTTGTTATTTGGGACTGTTGATCATTTATTCCTTTTTCCTAGAGAACCTGGCTTACTTCTTAGAAAAACACCTCATGACTCTTTGTGAGGTCTTGGTTGGAAAGATTTTTGGGTGACCACTGCCCACTTTGGAAGTCCAAGAGGTCATGGCTTCTCTTCCTGCCCCAGAGGCAGGCTCAGCCCACTGAAAGCCTTCTCCCTAGATTCAGTCTTAACAAGAAAGCCAAGGCTAATGGTCTGGCTGGAAGGCAGCCTGCATGATGGCAGCATGCCCACCTGCTGGGGTTCCCAATCCAGCTTTTCAGAACTCTCTTGGCATTGTTTCCTCCAACCCCAAGCCTGGCCCTCCAGCATCTTATTTAATCTTTGAATAACTCTCTCTACCTCTACCGTCCTTTTAATTAGTTTCCTTCTCTGGGTAGGGAAGTCTGTTTCTACAGCTAGCAACCAGTAATGCTTACTGATACTCACAGAACCCTAATATTTAAAATGGATAAAAATAGAGATACTCTATTGAAATGGGGAAGAGTGAGCAAGAGCTCCTCCCTTGAATCATACCCCTAACAATAGCCTCCCTGTTATCTCCAGAGTGCCACCAAGGCCTCAAAGAGCTTAATGTGAAACCCTTGGTCTCATCCCATCCTCTTTGTAGAGGTGAGGAAAGAGAAGCAAGAGAAGTCTGCTGATTTGCCAAGATCTCAGCACTGCTTACTGATGGTGTTCTATTCCCAGAGCCACGGCCTTTCTACCACACCATGGTAGCTGCCTTGCCAGAATATGGGAGACAAGGAGATACCACAGTGAAGCTCAGGGGCCATGCAGAGATCAAGGGAATAAAGTGGTCTCTCCTTTACTTCTCCCAGGTCACTATAAACAGCAACAGCAGGACAGACAGCCTTGGAGGGCTCCTTCATGGCATCAGACCCATTCCCCATCTCTGCTCTTCCAGTCCTCTGGCCTATGTAGGCATACTGGTACCATGACCCCCTCAGGTCATAATGACAGATACACATCTCAAAGTACTCTGCCAGCATTTCCCAAGGCATAGCTCCCAGCATCCTGCACCGACAAGATGCTCTGTAAAAAAAAATGAGTCCCATTGCTTCGCAGCTTTTTGGCTAAGATCAAGTGTGACATCTGTTCTTATCAATGAGACCAACAAGCATATGAGAAAAAGCTCAATATCACTGATCATTAGAGAAATGCAAATCAAAACCATAATGAGGTACCACCTCACACCGGTAAGAATGGCTACTTTTAAAAAGTCAAAAATAACAGATTGGTGAGCTTATGGAGAAAAGGGAATGCTTATACACTGTTGGTGGGAGTGTCAATTACTTCAACCATTGTAGAAAGTAGTGTGGCAATTCCACAAAGACCTAAAAACAGGACTACCATTCAACCCAGTAATCCCTTTGCTGGATATATACCCAAAGGAATATAAATCACTCCATCATAAAGATATGTGCACGCATATGTTCATGGCAGTACTATTCCCAATAGAAAAGACATGGAATCAACCTAAATGCCCATCAATGACAGATTGGATAAAGAAAATGTGGTATATATACACTATGGAATACAATGCAACCATAAAAAGGAATTAGATCGTGACATGGATGGAGCTGGAGGCCATTATCCTTAGCAATACTAACGCAGGAACAGAAAACCAAATACTGCATGTTCTCACTTATAAGTGGGAGCAAAATGATGAGAATCAATGAGCACAAAGAGGGGAACAACAGACACTGGAGCCTACTTGAGGGTGGAGGGTGGGAGGAAGGGGAGAATCAGAAAAAATAACTATTGGCTTAGTACCTGGGTGATGAAATAATCTGTACATCAAACCTCTGTGACACGAGTTTACCTATATTACAAACCTGCACATGTATACCTGAGCCTAAGATAAAAGTTTTAAAAACAACGAGTCCCTTAATAAAATCTCTAATTTTCTAGATCCGAAGATGCACTTTCTTCCTTTTTCACGTATTAATAGTAAATGCAAGGTTGTGTCATGAAGTGAATAAAAACAAGTCCTCTGAAATCTGACTACCTTGGTTTGATTAACAGCTCTGCCACTTACTAGCCATCTGATCTTGGGCAAGGTACTTAACCATTCTGGTCCTCAACTTTCCATCTGTAAACTGGAAATGAAATAAAAGATCCAACTGTGTTAGTTCAAGATGAGATTAGATGTGCAAGAAATTTGTTTGGGGAAACACCTGTGAAAGAGTATGGGGAGAAGCAGGAGGAGGCTGGAAAAGTTGTGAAACCTCTATGTAGACCTAATTCCTACAAAAAAGGAAAGGGAAGGAAGAAAGATTGGGTAGAAATAGCCTTATATTGCAGTGCAGTTCTAAGAAACTTTTGGCAAAGTTTTGAGGAATTTTTGAGTCAAAGTCAACCATCAAAGGAGCCCTGCGTCTCCCTGGAAGGGACCTACATCAGTATTCCTGATGTGCTCAGTTATTGACTGAGAGCAGCCTGTGAAAGCAAGGCCCCTGCCCAGTGTGGAGGTGGATTTAGAATGCAGCAACCAGGGCCCTTGGTCAATTATGCTCTTGCAGTAAGAGATCTGAGAAGTGCATTCTCAGGCCCCTCTTGGCCCCACATCCACCTCAAAAGACAGGATTAAGTCAGTCATTTTATATAAAAGCTCTTAAAATAGTGTCTGGCACATGGTAAGTATTCTGCATATGTTGCCTTAAAACAAATAAACAAAGTTATGAAATCAGGTTGCTTCTTAAAATCAATTTGCACACCTGATGTGATAGTGTTCCTTTTTGGTTTGAACCCTGGAAGGCTATTATTAAAGTGTGGCTGCATCTTACAATCAGCACGTCTTGGGATTGAGGTAATGAATTTGGAAAACTTTGCAAAAGATATTTCTCTCTTGGAGATTTTTATTAGCAGACTAAAGATCCTGAGAAGTCCCCCAACAGATAGACCTATGGACTTTGCTCAACTCCCTGTTTCCCAAACTTCTTTGGCCATAGACCTCTGGTTTGCATAACACTTTCAATAGATTTCTTTTCTTTTTAGTTAAAGAAGTTGGTTTCTGTTGCTTGCACCCAATTCCCAACTGATAAATACATGCAATCTCAGGATATAAAAGAGGCAAAAGTGGAACCGCTCTGGTTGATGAGAAGGAGAACAGAACTGGAATTCCATAGAATACATTTTGCCAAATGCCATGCTTTGCAAAGGCTGGTTGCTGCTATTTCAGATGATTCTCAGGTATTAGGTTCAGAGTAAATGGAGCACAAGGAACAAAGGAAGGATGGGAGATGGGAAAGGAAGAAGAAATGTTTCCTGATCCACCCAGGTCACCCTACCCAACACTGCAGCTTTTTCCACAAGGTGCCTGGAGTATACAACTGAAAAAGCCCTCACCTAACCCAACCTCCTCACTGAGGTCAGCCTGACCAACCTCATTCCATAAGCAGAGCACTTTCTCCTTCCAGTCCCCAAAGAGACATGAGCACCATAGAATAAGAAAAGGTAGAAGATAAACATCTCCCCACTGTAACCAGTGGCTGAGAGCCATGAACAAATACAACAGGAACTTTTCCCTCCATTCCACATTTACCATGTGGATTAATGCCTGCTCCAAGCCAGGCACGGTGCTTAGAGGTCAGGATTCAGGGATGACAAATGTAGACTTCAGCGTTGGGCCCGACGTCTTTTATGCACCATCTCACACTCTTACAGCCCACTTCTGCCAGAGCTGTGGCAACCCAAGAGTGCTTCACTTCATCCACACAAAGTGTTTCTTGCTTTCTTTAGGGCTTCTCTGCTGCAGCGTAGGTGCCCTAGAGACCTGCTTGGCCATTTGCTGCCCCACCCCAGCAACACTTTGGGTACAAACCGCAGGAGCAAATTTAACCTGTGTAGGGAAAAATATTTCCGTCTTCTATGTCTTGAGTAGAGCATGCTGAGGTGCATTCTCCACTGCTCCTCAGAGGGACCCATGCCCACATTGGTGTCGGATTCATTAATGCACCTAAATTGGACTGCAATCCCTGTTGCCCTCTCCCCTAGCCCCCAACACCTTTTCCCAAAAATCACTTCTTCAAAAGAAATTATCTGCATGCAAGCCCTTGTCTTATCCTCTGCTTTTCAAGGGAACATAAGGTAGGACTTTAAAAAAAAAAAACAAAAAAACACTTGTTTTGCATTTGTAGCAATTATAATGTCACATACTTCTATTAATGCAATAACTGGAAATGAAACATGAGTCTAAGGTCATTTTCATGTTAGAGAAGAGAAAAACTGGAGCACAGAGAGATCACTTGCCTTGCTAAATGTCACACAGCTAGGATAAAGCAAGAACCAGGGCTCCCACATCTCCTCCAGAGCTGCTGTTACTAGATGAGTCAATTCAGGGACTGGGAGTCTCAACACACCCTCACAGGTGAACGTTTGGAGTTCCTTTGGCTGGGTTTTGAAGGATGCTTATTAATTAGCTAGATGAAGAATGGAAAAAAGAGAGGGTTGGAATAGGAATTCTGCCTGAGGGAACAGCAGAAGCAGAGGTGCCAGGTGAAAATGATTCAACAGGGTTTATTCTGGAAACTAGTGAGCAGGGGCTTGAAGCACCGTAGGGCCAAGAAGATATACAGGGCATGGTAAGAAATAAAGCAAAACAACATACAGGGCCACGTGGACTAAGCAGTTTGTTGACTTGTGGACACTAGGAATCATGGGGTGAAAAGGTGGGAAGAATGGGTGTATTAGTCTGTTCTCACATTGCTAATGATGATACCAGAGACTGGGTAATTTATAAAAGAAAGAGATTTAATTGACTCACAGTTCCATATGGCTGGGGAGGCTTCACAGTCATGGCAGAAGGCAAACAAGGAGCAAAGTCATGTCTTACAAGGCGGCGGGTAGGAGAGTTTGTGTAGGGAAACTCCCCCTTATAAAGCCATCAGATCTCATGTGACTTATTCACTAACATAAGAACAGCACGGGAAAGACCCCCGCTGTGATTCAATTACCTCTCACCAGGTCCCTCCCATGACACATGGGGATTGTGGGAGCTACAATTCAAGATGAGATTTGGGTGGGAACACAGCCAAACCATATCAGTGGGTAAGGCACACAGGGATAACTTCAGATTTGTGGATTCTGCCCTCAGTCAACTGGCCCATACACAGAGCCTCACCATCACACAACCAAGGTCAAACTGTTTCACCAAGGGCTAAGGACTCCATTCCTGAGCTCAGTCCCCTATTTCTAGCACTCTTGATTACCTTTTTTTATTTTTTAAGAAAAAAAAGATAGTTCTTGTTCTCTTGGGAAGAGATGCATCTTGAATCTCTAACAAATAACTATTTAAGACCAGTGAGGGTCTAGAAAGGAAAGTGATGCCCATAGATGGACTCAGAACCAGCAGTCTACCAACAAGCCTCCTCCCCAGCAGTCTCTTCAAGCTGTGGCCATTTCTGTGAAGGAGGCTGAAGAGTAGCTCTTCACTCCGCAGAATTAATTACTGAGGACCACAGGCCTTGTCTACACTTGGCATAAAGAACAGTTTTTAACAAGTGATTGATTTCACACACACACACTTGCAGAAATCAGTCTCTCAACAGGCAGTCTCCTCCTCCTTTGCTGGTGAGAACATAAACTGGTGCGGGCTCTCTGGAGAGAGATTTGGCAGAATGGATGGAGAACCTTAACAGAGCTCATACCTTTTATTGCTACAATTTCCCTTCTAGGAATTCATGCACAAGAATGCTCATTCTAGCCTCATTCATATTAGGAGAAAATTAAAATCAACCTTGATGTCCAGCAATCAGGACTGAATAAATTATAGCATGTCCATTCAGTGGAAAATAATGCAGCCATTAAGCAAACATAAGGTATGTGGTAGACTGCAAAAATAGCCACAATTATTCCCTTCCCCTTATCCATGCCCCTTATAATGTGACTTTGCCACAATTCCCAAAAAGAGGTAGAGTCTATTTTGCACCTCCTGGCCATGCGAGTCACTTTGGTCAATAGAATATAGAGAAATTGACAGTCAGTGCTCCTGTCTTTAGACCTCAAGAAGCCATGAGCACTCCTGCACTCTCTCTCTCTCTCTCTCTCTCTCTCTCAGACTCTCTCTCTTCCCCCTCCCCACCCACCTTGCCTTCTCACTCTTGCTCTTGTTCCAGCTCTCAAAATCTTGACATTGACATGTGCACAAACCCAGCCTAGCCTACTGGAGGATGAGAGACCCCATGGAGGAGAGCTTAGCAGTCTCAACTGAGGCCATCTTCGATCTGACTCTAACCAGCTAACCCTCAAATACATAAGGGAGTCACCAAGTTCAGCAGAGCCACTCACCTGTCACACTTGATTATAGATACACCAATGAGCTCAGTCAAGATCAGAAGAGCCCTCCAGCTGACCAGAGGTCTCATAAGCAATAGCAAATTCTAAATGTTTTAAAATCAGCAGTTCTCAAAGCATGGTCTGGGATCTGGGAACTCCTGGGGAGTCCCTGAGGCCCTAGTAGAGGATCTGCAAAGTCCAAACTCTTTTGCTAATACTACTAACATGTTATTTGCCTTGTTCACTCTCAAGAGTGTACAGTGGACTTTCCCATAGGTTATATGATGTGTAATAACATTATTGCTGTGACAGTTAATAGAATACATGTGTGTGCATTCTTCATTCTAAAATTATCTCAGCTTTAATTTCCTATACAGTAAATATTGATAGATATAGCTGACCTAGCAAAAGTTCTTTGAGGTCCTTAATGACTTTACAAGTGTAAAAGTGTCCTGAGACCAAAAATGTTTGAGAACCGCTGTAAAACCATTGGGTTTGGGGGTAATTTGTATAAGACGTCTATACAAATATAAGCATGTAATCAAAATGTTAATAGTGATCATCTGTGGATGATGGGATTATGGGAAATGTGTATAGAGATTTTTCCCTTTTTTATACTTTATCTGTATTTTCCAACTTTTTATAAGAAATGTTTTGCTTATATGAGAAATATAGCTTTAAGATAAAGTTGACTGATCTGTATAATCTTTAGAAAGAAGAGAGAAACCTCTCTTGCTCTATGGGAAGGTCGCTCCTGTGGGAAGGTCTTGGCAGAAGGAAATAAACATGTTGAAGGCCATTCTCTGTAGCCCTGGTCACCTCCATCCAGCGAAAGTAGCAAAGGGACCCTGAATTTCCACCTCCTCCACTTCTAGAGGGCAGTTTGGTCAGCTTTCTCTCGCTGTCCTCTTTTCAAATAAGAAAAACAAGGACTCTAGTTCCCAATGTAAGGATCCACTCAGAGAAGCCCCCAAACAAGAAGTGAGCAAGAGCCATTTTCTATTCCTGCCTGTGAAGAACCTCTAGAAGTTGACTGCATTCCAGCAGCAGTTGCCTAGGGAACACCAGTGACAAAAAGGAGCCGTGAGGACACACTAAATAACTTTAGCAACTATTTGCATTTGGCAGATGTAGCCAAGGGCAGGGCCCTGCCTGGCTCCCTGTGGAAGCCGCAGGAGCCCCACAAGGAAGGGGGGGCCACTGGAACAGTCATAGGGGAGCAGGGAGGTGGGTGAAGAAGTGAGGGCCTTAACTCTTTCATTGCCCCTCCCCAAGCCTGCTGGGGCAAGGGTTTGTCCCAGAAGAGATCTCCTGGGCTTTGTGGAAACCCCAGAGAAAGTGCAGCCTCTTCCGGGAACTGGGTCCTCCCACACACCCACAGCCTACAGCCCCCCACCCACCCACCATGCCCCCCAGTCTTGCTTCTGCTTCCGCCACCAGGGAAGGCAGGTGACAGGATGGGCTGTGAGCTCCAGGCTCAGCCTTGCTGTGGCAGCTAATTGGGATGGTTTTTACCTGCCAGGTGAAAAGTCTGCCTGGGGAGGGGCAGTCAGCTCTCTGTCAACCCTGCTTCCTCTCTGTCTGCCAGCTCTCATTAGGACTAAGCCAGTCCCATGGAGCCCCAAGAGGAGAAGAGGCCAATGAGCCAAGCCGTTCCTGCCTGTGGCCTGGAAATCAGAGCTGCTTCGAGCAAGCTCTGCGCGGGCTCTTTAAGGTGAGCCCCAGTGCCTGGGCTTCCCACTCTCTGGGTGGGATGGAGACGAGACCGAAAATAGAAAGCAGCAGAGGCCCAGACCAAGCCTGGCTTTTCTCACTGCCCCCTTCAAAAAGTTCTGCTCAGATCAGATGATATCAGAAATGATTGGCGCCTTTATTTCCCCCCTTTGCTTCTAGTCCCCCACCCCCTTTCCAGTTTGACCACATCTGTAGGCTCTGTTGAAACAGAGCCAACATAAACAAAAACAAACTGAAACCCAGCAGCCAGCGAGGGCGGGATGTGCCACCCATCTGGGCAGGCCACGTGCAGGGCTGAGGACTGCCAAGGCACACCTCCTGCTGGTAAAAGGCACCGTGTGGAGTAATTAACCTCCAGGGCTTGGTGAGTGAAAAGCACCATGTAACCATGCTGGGTAATTGAAGAGGAAGAGAGGAGCGCTCTCCCGAGTGAACATTCAAATGTGTGCAGCTTGCTGGACCCTCTCAAGCAGGATGGCAGTCGGTTGGCCATGCCCCATAATGTGGCTGTCATCATTTGTCTTCCAAATTGTTGCCCAATCAGAATGGCTTCGGGACCCTTCGGCTTCTATGTATGCATATGTATAAAGAGACTTCTTAAAGCCATGCAGGATTTGTTGTTTTATTTTTTAGTGAGAATGTCCAGAGCTGGCGAAAGCAGAAGAGAAATAAACACTCCGGTAGTCTGCTGGTGAGGATGACAACTGGTCGACATTTCTAGAGGCCAGTTCCGGCTCCAACACTGCTTGCGTGTATCTGTGAAAGAGACCCAGGTGCCATGAGGCTAGGAAGGCTGGGATTTCGCAGCTCTTTGCACTGAAACTGCTGTTTCCTTGCTGGTGCTGCTGGAGATGAAAATCCACCATCCTCCAGAAACCCAAATCTCTCCTGGCACCAGCTCCCGGTGGCCAGCAAGTCCTATCATCAACTGGAAGAAATGAATGACATGCTCTCCGCATCACACTCACTTAGAGGGGTCACACAGCAAAGCTGCTTAAGCCCCTGAAGCATTTGAGTTTAGAGATGTCTCCCCTTCAGTTGACAGCTGTGACTTTCCAGAAAACACATATGCCACTGTGAGGTAGGGTAGTTTCTTGTATTCATTATACAGTACCCAGAGCTCCTCCCTGTGCTGTTTATGCTGTCAGATATCTTGTTTACCACGAAAGACACCATCCCCCATCATGGGGGTCCCCGAAACTGGACCACCATCCAAGCTATCTAAATTCATTAGTCCCAGTAGCATATGTCCAAACTCAAATGTGGATGAGTCAGGAGACTTCACTTCTTAGAGGCTGCAAATAGACAACCAGAAAAAGGATTCTCATCTAATTCTGTTCATCTGGTCGTTCAAATTCTGGTTCCTACTCCACCCAAAACACCATTACATGAGCCTGAGAAATGACTGGATTACACAGACAAATACATTCTCAATGCGTTCCTTGGGATTGTGGGATTAAGCTGATTTTCTGCCCTTCGCATCTTTCTTTGCAGTAAAGACTTTCTGCTCTTCCAAGTGATTTTGAGCCTATTATTTCACAAGTGTAGCAGATTGTTTGCAAAAATGGCCAAAACTATTCCACCCTCTGTATCTGCAGTCAGACTTTTCAATGTGACTTTGTTGCTTTTCCCATCAAAAGGTGAAATTTGTTTCTCCACTCCTTGAGTCTGGGCTGGCCTTGTAACTTGCTTTGACCTACAGAATGATGCAGCAGTGGCACCATGACAGGCCTAGGTCTAGGTCTGAAAAGGTTTTGTGTCCTTCTGTCCTGGAGTCCAGAGACTCCCTGGGGTAGCCTGTTAAAGGATGAAAAGCTCATGGAACACAGACACTGTCTCAGCTGGGTCAGCCTGGACCAGCCAGCCCTTAGCAGCCCCGGCAGTTAACCACAGATGGATGAGTGAGCCTAGTCAATGCTGAAGAACCACCCAGCAGAACCCAGCTCAAACGCTGAGTTACACACAGCATCATGAGCTAAATAAATGGTGGTTGTTACAAGCCACTAAGTTTGGGGGGTTCTTTTTATGCAGCAAGAGCTGATACCATGAACTCCCAAACTAAGTGGAAGGGGTGTCCACTTATCCAATTGAGGACTCAGAAAGTGCTGGCACAGAAGGACTGGGTGTTTTATTTATTTATTCATTTATTTACTCAAGGCCTCATAGTCAGGTAGTAACATACTCAGAACTTGAACCCAAGTGCTCCACTGGCCTGTTTCCTCATTTGCATCTCCTCCTGAATGGCAGGTATTTGGGAAGCTTCCAGACAGCAGCTCCTGGAAATCCCTCCTGAGAGAGCCTGCTACATTTTCTCAGGGATCTGTCCAATTTCACCAGCTGCCATCCCACCCCAGCACCCTGCCTGTCTCCAACCCTCGGTCCGCAGCAAACCCACACGCCCACCATCAGCCCCCTCATAACAACCCAGCCAGCACTGCCAGCTCTTTCCATCTGCAGGGTTCCAGCAGCTCCATCGCCAGCCAGCATCGCTCCCTTCCACAGGCAGCAAGAGCAACGAGCCCTAAGAACATGAAAACACTTCTTTTCAGCCACACTGAAAGAGATCAGTGGGTGGGCCCGTCCACTTGTCGGCATCCGTTGGAGATCAAAGCAAACACAAGAGGGAACAGACCCAAAGGAAGGAGGAGGGAAAAGCCCCCCTCAACACACTGCAAACCCAGCCAGTCGTTCTGAGGGGAGATGTGGGAATAATCCTGACCAAAACCCCACCCCTCCCCAAGGAGCCCAGAGAAGAAAGGATGACAAAGAAATAGGAAGGTGGGGGGTGTGGGGTGGGAAGAGGAAGTAGCAGAAGGTACACAGGAAGGGAGGAGGGCTTGGAGGAAGCAACCCACCCTCTGGCAGCTCCCAGAGAGGGCCTTGCTCTATGGGGGCCCTTGGGGAAACAACAGGAGGGCAGGCAGCCCAAGGAGGGGGCAGCTGCACGCAGGTCCTGGCTGTGCACGTGGGCACCGGCTGCCAGCTGGAGGCTGCCCTGGCTTCTGAAGGGAGGGGGTGGTGCTTTTCTCTTCTCTCTAAAGAGTTGGAGAAAACCGAGCCCGGCCCATGAACACGGCCAGGCCCGATTTCCTCCCACCAGGCAAATTCTTTCCTGTGCTTGGGAAACACACCTGGCTAGAATTCTCATCCCATGGGCCAGGAGCTCAGAGCTTTCTGCCCAGTGGATGGTCCCTAGGGGAAATACAACGTTTGGCTAAAGCAAAAGACTCTGATGTCAAAAATCATCAGCGGGAGACACATGGCAAGCACCAAATTGGCTGCTCAGTGTGCCCTGAGTTGGTAGCAGTCACAGGAATGGTAATGGCAATAATAATAAGAGTAATCTAAGGGCCTGGTGTAGCGAGCGCTTATGAGGTGCCTGGCATTATTTTATGGCCCCCTCACAGCAACTCTATGGGGCAGGCATCTGAGACGCTAGCAGCGCCTGGCTCCTTAAACACGGTGCACTCTGGCCCGACTTCACCTGCCAACACCTGCGCTGTTTTGCCAAAGGCTTTCTTCTCACTGGCTCTGCTGCCTCACCTAGCAGGCCAGCAGTCCCCCAGGAATTAATATCACCCCAGAGCAGCCCTCAGCCAATGGGTGATGCAAGATCAATATCCCAGCTCCTCTGCTCTTTGAGTGGGATAACTCACTGTGGGAACTTCAGGGGCGCCCAGTGTACCCAAGGGCGTTAAGCTCCAGTCACCCATTGTGGTGACTTGCTTGATAATACGCCTAGTATTGGCTACCTTCTCCTCCCCATCTCACTTCCCCATGCCCCTTCTAGTGTTTCCTGGGGTCACCTTCCAAATAAACTACTTGTACTGGAATCCTTGTCCCAGGATCAGCTTCTGAGGAAAATACAACCTAAGAGAGGTACGGCTCCATTATAGAGGTGAGAATGTCCAGGCTCAAAGGGTGTTAAGAACTCAGTGTGGTCTGCCTGACCCCAAGTGCTCTTAATGACTATTCTCTACCACGGTTACTTTGATTTTTGTTGAGTCTTTGGAGTGCAAAGTGAACTTTCGTTCAGGCCAGAAAAAGCCCAAAGCTCACACCCCCATTGAGAGGGGCTTCTCGCATGCTGTTCTGGGTTCTCCTGAGCAAACCAGAGCTAGACACAACTGGTTAAGAAGACAAGCTTTGACATCAGAAGACCTGGGTTTTCCTTCTGAAGATGCCACTTATGAGTCTATGGCCTTGGGTGAGTCACTTAACCTCTCTGCATCTGAGTTTCCTTCTCAGTAAAGTGAGGATACAGAGGCTCCCTGGTGAGGTGGAAATTCCAAGGAGTAAGTTCCCAATGACATGAGCGCCTGTGAGAGAGAGGAAAGTATTGCGGGCAGGACAGGGCCAGCCAGGGAGGTGTCCTTGGAACCAGCTTCAGTTAGTTTTGGGCGAGCTGCTTTCCCTTTCCCCTTTTCCCCATTTGGGTGAAATAGGTGTGTGTTGTGTCACTGATGACATGAGACCATGAAAGTGAGACTCTCATACATGAGACAGAACTGCTTCTTCCTTTCTGGTCTTTTTGTATCAAGGATTTGTGTTTAACAGGCTTGATCTAAGTCCCCAGAGATATTTAAATAGAATCAGAATTTTAAAAACCAATCTGATTCCAGAGCACTCCACGCAGCTGCCGGGTGCCCAATTAGCATCCTGAATTGTGCCAGGCAGCCAGCCCAGTGGGTGCTCTGGCCATGAACAGCTTCAGCAAAAGCCTCCCTAGCCGCAGGCCAGGCAGAGCTGGAGGTGCAGCCACGGGGCACTGGCCAGAGGGTGGAGACCACTTCTTGGAGAGAAGACACAGAGCAAAGAGCACTCCAAGTTCAAGGCGAAGCTTTTGGAGCTGGAGCAGTGGTTCTGAAGTGGTGGAGCACAGCTCCCTGGAATGCCTCAGACCCTTCATGAGTGGGCCACCACGCTGGAGACTCCTGTGTGCCCCTCCAGATTCACCTGCCATTTTCCTCTACCCTGCTCTGTGTCCTGGAAGGCCGCCCCGTACGGAGTCCTCTGGCTTCTTCTTAGTACAGTGGTCACCTCTTATCCATGATTTTAGTTACCCACAGTCAACCATGGTCCCAAAATATTAAATGGAAAAAAATCACAGAAATAAAAAATCCATACATTTTCCACTGTGCACCATTCCAAGTAGAATGATGAAATCTTGTACTCTCCCACTTCAGCGCACCTGGGACATGAATCCTTCCTTTGTCCATTGGATCCACGCCGTCTACAATCCCCACCGTCTAGTCACTTAGTAGCCCTCTCGGTGATCAGATCGACTCTCGTGCTATCCCAGTGCCTGTGTTCAAGGAACCCTTATTTTAGTGAATGATGACCCCAAAGTGCAAGAGTATTGATGCTGGCAATTCAGGTATGCCAAAGAGAAACTGTAAAGTGCTTCCTTCAAGTGAAAAGATGAAAGTTCACGACTTAATAAGGAAAGAAAAAGATTGTATGGCGAGGTTGCTAAGATCTGTGGTAAGAATGAATCTTGCATCTGTGAAATTGTGAAGAATGAAAAAGAAATCGTGCTATATATATATATGTGTGTGTGTCTGTGTGTGTGTGTACGGTTCAGTAGTATTCTATGGTTTCAGGCACGCACTAGGGATCTGGGAACATACTCCCCATGGAGAAGAGGGGACTACTGGCAGGAGATTGGTGGGTGGAAAGAGAGAGGCCAGGGTGCTTATTGCATTGCAAGTTGGCAGCATCCCTCCACCCCAGGGCACACTCCTGTCAGGCAGCCTTCTCTCACTCCTCTTTCTGGCTCCTTTCCTTGCCCTGTTAGCCTAAGGGTGAGAACAGCTCCCAGCTGGAAGCCCCAGGGCACTAACCAATCTCTTGTGGTTACCCTAAATCTTCCAATACCCTTGCCACTGGTGCCTTCATTAAACTTTCTTTAATTATGCTGTTTGAGTATATCATCAGTTCCCTGCTGAGACCTAGACACAGTCACCAAACTTGGAACAAAATATAAAGTATATTTTTGCCACAACTAAGTTTATAAACGATGATGGGCATCTGTCTCTGTGCCAAGCTGAGCGGGTCATGTGGTGCATCTGCCAAGACGCCATTTGGTTGCAAATAACAGAAACCCTGATTCATGCTGCTTTAAATAGAAAATGGGGTATTTTCTCACTTAACAGAAGGTCTGAAGGAAGGCAGTCACTGACACTGATTTCAATGATTTCAGGACCAACCTCTGTGATTCTCTAGGCTTTTCTCTTGTGGACACAAGATGGCTGCTTCAGCTCCAGGCACCTCATCCATGCTTAAGTTGGGAATAAGCTGGCCTTATGAAAATATTAGGTTGGTGCAAAAGTAATTGCGATTTTTGCCATTACTTTTAATGGCAAAAACTGCAATTACTTTTGCACCAACCTAAAAGCATCAATCACTTCTGCGCAGGAAAAAGGAAGATTTCCCAAATGCTGCACCAAGAAGACTCACAGGCTATATCTGGGTAGCCCAGCCACTCTGGCTGCAAGGAAAGCGGGAAGAGAACTATACAGCATTCAATCCTCTGGAGGGGGAGGTATAAAGGGAAAGAGAGTCTGGAAACTGTTTGAAGGTAAGGTAACTCTTCAGCAGGGTCTTGCATTGCACCAAAAAATAACAGAGGTACACCTTGCAATGAGCACAAAATAAGAGGCACAAGTGAGGGTGAAGTCAACCTCCCCATCTCCCATTTCTGGTGTTTACTGGCACGAGTGGGACTTTTGCTAGTCAAGGCAGTAAATGATTCTATTCTGCCAGCAGCCCCGTCCCTTCAATTGTGCTGCCAAAAATATTATTATTTTCACAGTCTAATCGGCCCACAAAAAGTTACAGTAATTCATGTTTTCCTGGTGCAGAGAGCCAAATTCCTGACTCGCCCCAGAGTTAAAAGGCACAGTGGCTTAGGGCAAAGGGCAGAATCCTTCAAATTACCAAACTGAAAGGCTTAAAACAGAATCCAAATCAGGGAATGATGCCTCCCACCCCCCTAGCTCCTCATCTCTGCCCTAAGAATGTGTTCATGTCTTCTCAGCCTCCAAAGGTCCCTTGCACTTTAAGCAAGATCATTCTTATTCCCCAATTTTTCCCCCAGCTCTGCTCAAATATGTAAGCATACAATGACTGTTTGGCTGCCTCATCACTGTCAAATGACACTAGACCAGTTGTGATTTTCTTCTTTCTGCTCATCTGTCTCTTCTCATTTTCTTGACAATAAACATGTATGGTGTGTAATCAATTTTTTTAATTTAGTTTTTTTTTAAACAACACTAGGCATCTATCAGAAGGAAAATGAGAATACCACCCTAGCAAATTATACCATTGCCCCCATTTTGCCCGTCCATGGGGGATTAAAGAAATATACTCCCTAAAGGACACAAGTAGCTGCCAATGATTCGCTGAGTCAGATTCAAGAAGCTTTGGAAGGAGTAGTTCAATCTAGTGGCCTTCTCCCCACTCCTTCTGAGCTTCCTGCACAGTCTGGGGAGAGAAAGGTTAATTCCACACTGTGATTGAGGTTTATCAAATATATCAGACTTTCCTCAAACAGTTTTGGAAATGGCCAAGTAATGGAATGACCTTGCCAAGCTCTTTCCCACTGAATTTCGGAGCCTGTGTGTATTTTGATGGAAATATAATCCATATGTTTGCTTCATTTATACATCCTCATCCACACAGCTCTAAGAGCTAGCTGATTGATGTCCAGGGGCTCTTAGAGACTTTTTGGAGAATTTTTTCCTCAAAAAGGAGGAAGCTGACTTCACTGGCAGCAGTAGGAGCTTGCCTGCCAAACATCTGGGAGTGAGTCAAGACACAGAAGCCAAAGGTCTGGAGAAGAAGATGAAAGATCAGGTATCATCCTTCTCCAGGAATAAGGCTCGTGGCTTTTTTCTGTATCCAGTACTGATTGCTATGGTTCAAATGTCCCCTCCAAAACCTCATGTCAAAATTGAATTGCCATTCCAACAGTATTAAGAGTTGGGACATTTAAGAGATCATTAGGTCATGAGGCCTCTGCCCTCACGGATGGATTAATGCAGTTTCCACAGGGGCAGGTTAGTTATCACAGGAGCGTTCTCGAATAAAAGGATGAGTTTCCTCTCCATCACATGTGCACGCTTCCTCACCACGTGAGGCTTTCTGCCACATTATGATGCCACAAGAAGGCCCTCATCAGATGGCCAAGCAGGTGCCACCACCATGCCCTTTGACTTCCAGCCTCTAGACCCATGAGCTAAATAAATGTCTTTTCTTTATAAATTACCCAGTCTGTGGTATTCTGTTACAGCAGCAGAAAATAGACTGTAATACTTAATAAGCGCCTACTATTTACAGGTGCAGTGTTGCTGTGGGGAGCAGAAAAGCTACAAAAATGATTCTCATCTGTGGATTCTCTCCTCAAGGAGCTACCTAGCAGTTACACTGGGGGCAGCAACCTTTCCGTAAAAGGGCAGATAGTAAATAATGTGGCTTTACTGGCCTGGCGGTCTCTGTGGCAACTCCCCAACTCTGCCAGCAAAGCGTGAAAGTTGTCATAGACAATACGTGAACAAAAGAGGATGCCTATGTTTCAATCAAACTTAATTCACAAACACAGGGCTGGGGCAGATTGGCCCACAGACCATAGTGTACCAATCGCTAGTCCAGCTGGAACCATGTGAAATTGTTGGCATTTGATTGTTCCCTACCTCCACAAACAGCAATTTCTTACGGTTTCACCTAATGGTTAGGGAGAGTAAATAAAGTCAGACAACTAATATGAAGAAGAAAGTACACGAGGCCATGATCATGGTAGAGATGATGTTGTTTGTCTGATGCTTCCGAAATGCAGCGAGCTCATGTTTCTAGCCAGGTGACCTCAAACTCATCTCTCTTCCCTACCCTGCCCTAAGTGCGCCACATGGGCCTCCATTTCCAGTGTGAAAGTACAACCACTGGTTCTGCTAAAGTTGCATTAAAACCTAAAATACTTTGTAGGTTTTAATGGTATTCATGGCAGGGAGGAGGATTGACATGGTTGAAGGTGTTTGAGAAGCACAGGAGTAACTGATATCAACCAGGATGGATTCTTGCAGGTCTTACCAAAGCCTTTGACATGATCATCTTCAGAATCTAGGACATCTAAAGAAGGAGATGGAACATGAAGTATTTCCCCAACTGATTTGTTCGAGAAGACCTTTGTTTATGAAAAGCATCCCTCCAGATTGTGGTTCTGTGAGCTATACCATAGGAAATTCTGAACTTTATGTTTCTAAAGAGAACAGTCTTCTCTCATGGCAGACCCTGTTTCTAGGGCCCACGTGATTCTCACGTGACTCTATTAACAAAGTCGGAGTGGGAAAAGATGGTAAGACAAAGATTCTGCCATCAGCCTGACATCTACCCTGGGGAGGAAGGTTTGACCGAGGATGATCCCAGAAGCAGCACTGATTAGATAGCTGCCACTTTCCATTTTCTGCTTTAAGGGATGTAACTTGACACCCAGACTTGAACCTTTCTGGGAGAATTCATGTAATGACATTATGACATCTTGTGGCCACTTAGAGGAACCCACAGTATTCCCACTAGATTTCAATCCTGAAGGACAAAAGCCCCCATTAAAAGACCACCAGCCAATGGAGTCCCAGGAGGACATCTCCCCTTTTCCTGCTCTGTCTTGGCCCACAGGATAAGTTTCTACCAGTTAGTCTCTTGCAATTCGTAGTGTGGTCTTTGTACCAGCAGGACTAGAAGCATCAGCACCAATGCAAATTCTTCAGCCACCCCAAAGCAACAGAGTCAGAATCAGCATTTTAATAAGAGCCCGAGTGAGTGGAATACGCAGTAAAGCTTGAAGAGTGTTGCTTTGGTCTACCTTTCTTTGTGGGTAAATGCCAAGTTTTGCTTCTTTTTTCAGTATTAGGGGAAAGGCAAGCATCAGACGTGGGCAAGCAGAACGTTAAGCTAGAAGCTCTGCTCTGTGGTTTGAACTATGTCACTGTTTCTAGGAATTTACAAGGACCCAAGAACAAGGCCAATAATTTTGTTTGGCTGTTTTTCCTAGTATTTATTGGATATTTTTGCCAGATCACATGTTAAGCATGCTCCATGCACTCTCTCACTTAACTCCCACAGACTTTGAAGTAGAAACTATTACTAGCCCCACTTTCTAGAGGAGGAGACTAAGTCTAAGAGAGGAAGCGAACTTCCAGCTAACCACGTAGATGGTGATCTCTGCTCAGTCCTCAAAACTCACTAGAGTCAGGGGGAGAAAATAAAAAAGCTATAAACAAATAAGACATAAACAGGAGAGGGAACAACAGCAAATAGGAAATGTCAAGAAGTTTACGGGGATGGAGAATGGACAGAAAAGGACAGCCGATTTGGATCTTGGCTTTCTCCTCTCTAATAAGTGCCTGCAGAGACAGCAGCAAATAAGGAGAGATCATGCAGTGCTGAATCTTGGAAGCTTCTGGAACTGGAGGTACCAGGTACCTCTGGAGGCAGGCTGGGAAGGGTGGTTGAAAGTCATTACAAGCTTAACCACTCCCTTCCCCTATCTTCTCCCCAGGCCCACATTACCAGGCAAGTGCCCCAGCTCTGCAGCTGCAAATGCGTAGCTGACTCTCAGCAGATGCTATGCCAAGGATGCTGGTTTAGGGGACACCAGACCCTACTAAGGATAGGAATGAGGAACTGTACTGAAAACAGGGGAGTAAATGAGCGTCAGTCCATTGAAGAGTGAGGCTCAGACCCTTATCTCCAACTCAGCTCCACAGTGCCATCCTCTAGCTCCTCAGCATCCCGTGACTATGGCCCCCAACACACACACACACACACACACACACACACACACACACACACACACACACACTGTCAACCCCAAGCAGACCCTTAGATGCTTCTTCCCCAGGGAGGCTGGCTGAGCCAAAAGCAAAGACCCAAGGAATTTGATATTTGGGGACTGTATTAGTCTTTTCTCATGCCGCTGATAAAGGCATACCTGAGACTGGGTAATTTATAAAGAAGAAGAGATTTAATGGACTCAGTTCCACATGGCTGGAGAGGCCTCACAATCATGGCGGAAGGTGAAAGCCACATCTTACATAGTGGCAGACAAACAGGGAATGAGAATCAAGCAAAAGGGGTTTCCCCTTATAAAACCATCAGATCTCATGAGATTTACTCCTACCATGAGAACACTATGGGGGAAACCACCCCCATGATTCAATTACCTCCCACCAGGTCCCTCCCACAACACGTGGGAATTATGGGAGCTACAATTCAAGGTGAGACTTGGGTGGGGACACAGCCAAACCATATCAGGGACTCTTTGGAAAAAATGCCCACCCACAGGTTTTTCAGACAACTGCATCCCCCTAGACATGTGAACAGTATTTCCACCTTCACAGAAACCAAAACAGACTAAAAGGGAGAAACAGAGAAGCAGAAGAAGGTTTTCAAAAACATCCTCCGGGCGGGTGTGGTGGCTCACGCCTATAATCCCAGCACTTTGGGAGGCCGAGGGGGGTGGATCACAAGGTCAAGACATCGAGACCATCCTGGCCAACATGGTGAAACCCCGTCTCTACTAAAAATACAAAAACAAGTTGGGTGTAGTGGTGTGCACCTGTAGCTACTCGGGAGGCTGAGGCAGGAGAATCACTTGAACCCGGGAGGCGGAGGTTGCAGTGAGCCGAGATTGCACCACTGCACTCCAACCTGGTGACAGAGCGAGACTCCGTCTCAAAAAAAAAAAAATTCCTCAGAAAGAAAAGATAACATATCCTTTAAACAAGAACAGGATACTCTCAGAGACTAATAGAACTGAGCAGGAGAGTCTGGAAATTAAAAACAAGTAGCTGCTGGGTGCAGTGGCTCACGCCTGTAATCCCAGCACTTTGGGAGGCTAAGGCAGGTGGATCACCTGAGATCAGGAGTTCAAGATCAGCCTGACCAACATGGTGAAACCCATCTCTACTAAAAATACAAAAATTAGTCAGGCTTGGTGGTGCAATCCTATAATCCCAGCTACTCGGGAGGCTGAGGCAAGAGAATCACTTGAACCTGGGAGGCGGAGGTTGCAGTGAGCCAAGATTTTGCCACTGCACTCCAGCCTGGGTGACAGAGCAAGACTCCGTCTCAAAAAAATAATAATAACAAAAATAAAAACAAGTAGGTAACCAAAGCAAGACAGCAATGGGGTTGTGCATTCCAGCCCCTGTTTCTTTGTTTCTTCCCCACTCCTGTTTAACAACTGCTCCTCCCAGTCTCCCTCTCAATGTTGTCATCAGTCACCCACTTACAAAGCCCTAGGAGAACGCTATGGGCCGAATTTTTCTCCAAAAATTCACACGGTGAAGTCTTAACTCCCAGTACTTCAGAATGTTTCTGTATTTAGACATAGGGTCTTTAAAGAGGTAGTAAGATTAAATGAGGTCAAATAAGTGGGCCCTAAAGCACGTGACTGTCCGCACTTGGAGATAGGGCCTTCAAAGTAGGGCAGGCCCTAATCCACCTAATCCAATCTGACCAGTGTCCTTATAAGAAAAGGAAAATTGAATGCAGGATGAGAAGGCAGGGGTGCATGCACACAGAGGGGAGATCATGTGAGGACACAGTGAGAAGGTGGCCGAATGCAAGCCAAGATGAGAGGCCTCAAAATGAAACCAAACCTGCAGGCACCTTACTTGGACTTCTGGCCTCCAGAATCATGAGAAATACATTTCTGTTGTGTCAGCCACCCAGTCTATGGCATTTTGTGATAGTAGCCCTAGCACACTAATACAGAGGACTGTATTGTTCAATTAAGGGTGAATTTTCTTGTTGCAGGAGTTGAGAAACAAACCAACCAATCAGAGAACTGACCCTGAAAGAGTAAATCTTTTCCCAGAGAACAGGACTCTCTAGGCATGAGTGAGATACAAATAGTCTTTTCTGCCTCCTCTTCTTCCCAAGAACTGATAAGGTTGAAAGAAAAGAACTCATCCAGGGAGAGAGGGAGTAAAGGATTCTGCTACAACAGCGACACACCAGCATCATCCTGGGAGACCACCTGCTGATGGCCCAGGCCCAGATGTGAGCTCTTCCCAGGCCTGGACACCCCTACTCCCACCTGCTCACCCTCACTAAGCCACAGGTTCTTTCCCATCTTATAACTGCTCCCTGGAACATTCGGCAGCCAGAGTTAGCTAATCCAATCAGTTTAAAGGCGTTTTGCATAAGCCTGATCATAACCCTCACCTGAGCAGTGTTAAAATAAGCAGGCTCCCTGGATCCTCCCCTGGAGATTCTGATTCAGTGGGTTATTTTGAACACATTGTCCAGAAAATTCCAGTGGAGGTGCATTCGGAAAACATTAGACTAATGCCGCTTAGCAGGATGGCCTCTTTTCTGGAACCAGGGCCTTTGAATGGTGGGGCTCTTTGAAACCCATGAGAGTGCCTCTGCAGCACTGCTCTCTGAGTGACCCTGATGTGTGACCCCTGACAGAGCCATTCAGATGAAGGCTAGCGTGGATATATGGTGACCTCCCTGGGCCAGCCTAAGCCACCCTCAGCAAGGACTAAGGAATGGAAATTCCAGGATGCTGGCTGTAGTCACATGGAAAGCAGTACTTTCTGACCATCAGAGCCACTGTGAAACAACAGAATGTGGCCCTTGGGAGGAAGGGAGTTCCCCATACTTGGAGAAACCCAATGATCAAAGGATGAGCTTTGTCAAAGGAAATTGTACCTTTTACTTGACTCAGATGCCCGATAGATGCTTCCTGGAAGGACAAGAGGGTTGTTTAGAGCCTCACTACTCAAAGTGCGGACCACAGGCCAGCAGCATGAGCCTCACTAGGAGCTTTTAAAGACCTCTAACATCAACTTCATGTCCTAAAATTCCAGCCACCTTGATTCAAGGTTAGGCCCTGGCATAAAGACCCTTAAAATCTCCCCAGTTTATTCTAATGTAAAGCCAGGATTAAAAGCCAGAGAGAGCCAGAGACCCCAAGGGTACCATCTAACTAAGATAACAAGAATCTCTGGCTGGGCTGGTGGGGAATAAACTTGTGAGAGAAGGGAAGAAACATTTGTGAAAAGCTGCAGTCTCTTTTTCACTTTCTTTTCTGCTTACTTCAGCAGGAATTTGTCTCCCAGCTGCCAAAAGCAAAATGACTCAGAGAAGTGACATGACCTGCTCAAGGTCACTCCGTGGATGATGCAAGACTAGCAGGCAAGAATATCTTTGGATTCCTGCTCCGGGGCGTGACGACATCCCGGGCCACTGGGGTGGGGCTGCAAAGTATTAAAAAAAAGGAAGAAGACAAGTTTCCCACCCCTAGATACAGCCTGGCAGTTAAAGCAAGTCAAAATCAAAGTACAGCAGACATAGACATTGTAATAAACTTGTCTTGAGTGCTTACGCGTATATGCTAACCACTGCATTTTCTTTATGTGTGTCACATCATTTCATCTCTGGAACAATCTCATGAGAGACTGTTAGGTCCTATTATTAACTCATGTTTTACTCATGAGGACACTGAGGCTCAGAGTGGTGCAGTAATTTGCCCAAGGTAGCACAGCTTGTAGGTATGATAGCAGAGCCGAGATGCAAACTCAAATTCAAGAACCCAAACACCTAAGCACCGTGGACCACTGCTCTTGCCTAAAAACAGGAAGCACAGAGTGAGGGGGACCTCTGTGAAGGCTGACAGACTTAGGAAAGGCTTCCTGGGGGAAGATGCCTTTCTCTGAGCTTGGCTAGAATGGGTCAAAAAAGAGTAGGTGTGCGGGGCAGAGGTGAGGCTGGGGATGGGGAGCAACAGGCATCAAAACTGAGTGCAATCTAGGATTTAAAATTCAGGTATTCATAGCTGGCATGGTGGCAGGTGCCTGTAATCCCAGCTACTCGGGAGCATGAGACATGACACCCACTGGAACAGAGGTTGCAGTGAGCCGAGATTACGCCACTGCCCTCCAGCCTGGGCAACAGAGGGAGACTCCGCCTCAAAAAAAAAATTAAAAATTAAACAAAATCCAGCTATTGGAGGAAAGGGTGGGCTGGTAAGCCCTTTGGCAGAAAGAAGAGGCAGTTTTTGCTCTGAAGCCCTAGAGAAAATGAATTGCTGAAAAGCAGGGATGGAATAAAATGTGTCCCCTTTAGACTGCTGGATGGGTTCTGAGGTCCTGTGAGAGAGGCAGGCAGGGAGACAAGGAGCTGAGGAAGTTGTAGAAGACCCTGGGAGATGCAGGCTTGAGGAGCTTCTTCAAAGAGCCTAACCCCAGCCACCTATGTTGGGCCCAAGCTTGGCGCTGCCCACGAGTTCTGTGGTCTATTTTCATTATCATCCCACTTTACTCTTCTTACTTTGAAGGGAGGCCAGGCTAGAAAGGAAACCAGGCTCAGATGGGGTCAATGTGCTTGTCCAAGGCCACTTAGCTGAGAGGAGCCCAGCCAAGATGGGAACCCGCTTCTGCCTGACCCAACGCCCATCTCACGCGTTGAGGAAATGAGACTTCCTGCAAGGCATGGCAGAGAAAACATGTACTGTTCTCTGCTCCTTCCTGAGAATAACTCACATGCCAGCAAATAAATTTCTAAAAAGTCATAAATAAGCCTGCAAGGTAAAAAAGAAAAGGGAGAAATGCAAGAAGAGATGTCCAAATACATACGTGTGTGTGTGTGTGTGTGTGTGTGTGCATGTATGTATTTGGAGGCTGAAAACAGGTTGGATGAACTAATGTATCAAAGCTGAAAGCTGAACCAAGACAAAGGGGAAACAATGGGAAGCAAAGTGAACTGGGTCCCAGAACCCCAGAAAACCTCAAGAATTCATCAGCTCTGAATAAAAAGTGCTGGGTGGGCTGGAAGCAAGAGGATTGCTTTAAAAATCTTTAAAAATAAAATCTAGATCTCCAGGTTCCTTCCTCAACGCCAGGCAGCAAGGTGACTACCCCTCCTCCAATCCCACAGAAGAAAAGAAGTTTAACTTCTAGCCAGCTTCAGGAAAATAGGCTCTGGATTTGTGGCTTAGGGGCACAATATAGGATAAGTCTCAGCCACCTAATTCAAAGAAGGGGGATTAAATGAACTCAACACACTGAATGATGAGATATCATCCCCCTCCCAAAAAAGCCGGCTCTTATCTTGGATGACCAACTGTCCTGGTTTTCCTGAGACTGATGCATTCTCAGGGTGATGGATTTTCAGTGCTAAGTCCAGGGACGTCCTAGGTAAATCAGAATGAATTGTCACCCTTCTTCTATCCCTCTGAGACCAGAAGATGTCTTTCTGGGGAACATGACCAGCCAAAGTGAAAAGATCTGCAGAGTAAGAGGCAAGAAGCAAAAGCCCTCATGAGATGACAAGGTCCTCATTCTATAACAAAACCACCCACAACTAGGTCCTGCCCCACACACAGACCTTCTACTCAGCAGATCACAGCATGAGCCTGGTGGTTCGGGGCACAGGGCCCCTGGCAATGCCAGCTGGGTGTGGCAGAGCTGTCTGCGCACAGAGGGCATCAACAGCAGAGGCTGCCTCCAGGCACCTGGGACAGAGCATCCATTGTGCGAAACATCCCCACGGATGCCCAGAAATAGTTAGAGGAGACTCTTTGGTGGGGGTGTCACTGTGTGAGTGCTCAGTGACAAGGCTGGCAAGAGAGCAAGGGCTTATGTGGGACAAGAACAAGCTGGCAGCGCTCCTCACAATAGCCGACATCTGGAATCAACCCAAATGCCCATCAACAAGGGAATGAATGAACAGGTTGCAGTCTGTCCATACAATGAAATATTATTCAGCCATGAAATGGAATGAGGTACTGATTCTGCTACAACAAGGATGGACCTCAAAAACATGATGCTGAGGCATAAAATGTTACATATTGTAGGGTTCAATTTACATGAAATATCCAGAATAGGAAAATCCATTCTGCTGGAAAGCAGATTAGCAGTTGCCAGGGTCGAAGAGTAGAGGGATGGAGGAAGGGGGTGACTGCTTCATAGAGACTGACTTTTGGGGTAATTGGAAATGTTCTGGAAATAGACAGAGGTGATGGTTTCTCAACAAGGTGAATGCAGTCAATGCCACTGACCTGTATGCTTTAAAACAGTTAATTTTCTGTTATGTGAATCTAACATACCTCAATTAAAAAGAAAAAAAGATCAATCTGTCAAGAATGGAGAGGCCTATACCACAGACTCACCTAACCCAAGTAAATACCAGCAAGCGTGTCTCAGAATCTGAGAGCTGCTCCCCTGTCTCCCATCCATCCAGGCCCTGCTCTCAGGAGACCCCAGAGACCCCGGGGGAAGACAGGCTTGCTCCCAGCAAGGCAATGGCCAAACTAAGCCCTAAGACTGCCCCCAACCAGAGTGCAACAGGTAGATCTCATGGTAAGTGTTCTCATTACAATAAAATAAAATCTTAAATAAATAAATACATAAGCCCAAAATTAAAGAGGGACACTCACACACACAGAGCTCTGAGTAGTTTCTTCTCTTCCTCCTCTCACCTGACCTGCAGCAGACCCTCAGGGTCCCAGGCACCCTCCCAGCACCTGGTGAGCCCCGCATTTCTCTGGCATACATGAAGACCTGCTGGTTTGCAGAATGTTCTCATGAGAAATTGTCAATACTCGGATGCCACAGACCATGCTTCGTGCAACTGCAGTCAGGTTTGTTTAAGAAACACAATTAGGAAGGAAAAGCACACTTTTTTTCCCTTGTAAGACCTGAGGGAATTGTTGGTATTCAAGCCGGCTCTCTGGAGGCCTCTTCCTCCTCTGAAGGAACATAAATACACTGCATTCCACCCAGCCACAGACAGACCAGGGCCCTATTACAGACCCAGCCCAGGAATGCACAGCCCCCAACAGCCAACAGAGCTGAGCACTGCCCTGCTGGCTCCACACACAGCTCTCAGGAACTCCAGAACTTCCCGAGCACCTTGTCTGGTGGTGCAACACATTTTTCTTTGCAGCAAAATCGCTTTTTCTTTTTTTCAAGGAATTTTACGTTTAAAACCACAAAACAGAAGGGAGGTTTGTAAGTGGAGCTTTTCTGGTTGATGAAGAGGTAAGGGACTCTAACTTCTCTCCTCCTTATCTTCTTATAGTTCACCTAAGGGACTTCGGGTTTCCCCAAGACACTCAGGGTTCCCCAGGGCACAGTTTGCTAACCCCTGATCTGGTCCCATGTCCTCATGTCAATGTATAATTCTCAAAAAAGTAAGAATGTGACTCTTTCACAAATAGTAAATGAGCACATGTCAAGGATCTCTTTAACCTATGAGTGGGGCGACCAGCAGGACGAGAAAACCAGTTCAAAGCCTTACGGGAAAGACCAAAGTAACTGCATTGGAGGACAGAAAGATTGCTGAACTAAGACAGCAAAGTCAGACTCAGAAATGATGAATGTCCTGAGGGTCAATAAAATCGTATTCTTCGAGGGTATCTTTTACACTGGACAGAAATCATTTTCATGACTACTGGACTGAAATCATTTGCAAGTTATCAATCTTCCAGAAATTAGCATCACACTTTCCAGAGTCTGGGCCTGAACCGGTAGTAAAGAGTAAATCACAGAAAAGTATATTCCCCTCCCTTGAGCAGGGTCAGCAAAAGTGCTCGATAAAGGGGCAGACAGTAAATAATCTTCAGCTTTGTGGGCCATATGGTCTCTGTTGCAACCACTCAAATGCAGCCGTGGTTGCAAAATGAAAGCAGCACAGACAATCTGTACGCGAATGGGTGTGGCTGTGTTCCAATAGAACTTTATTTACAAAAACAGGCAGCAGCCAGATTTGGCCCGTGCCCTGAAGAATTAAATTGCCATTGGGCAGGGCCTGTCTGACAGTGCTTTAATGTGGCATTCAAAGGACACGCAGTCATCTTCTTCCTTATTTCAAAGTTTCAGATGCTTTCTCTTAACACATAGATATGGAAACCACAGAGGGGAAGCAACTGGGCCCAGGGGACACGACCATGCTGGGCTTCCAGCCATAAATTCCTTCTGTCTCCTGGTTCTTTGGAAGCCAAGACACGGCTGGTCTTTCCCACCAGGAGGGCAGGCTGGGCTAAGGTTGAAGCAGCAGAGTTCTCACTTCCCCAAAGAACCTACCTTTGGGAATTTCCAAAGGAAATTTCCTTCTCAGCATCTCCAAAGGGGGCCTTTGATTGAATGAAGAATCTTTGCTCTCTTCACCCACAACAGATGCATGAAGACAGAAAAGCACAAACCCTCGGCAGATCAGTGAGCTTTCTCTTGACGTGCTCCACAGTTTAAAATCAAGTCAAACAGGAGACATCTCCACTAGAACAATTAGTCAGAGACAGCGGTTCATTGTCAGGGTTTCTGGCACATTGCTGCGGGAGAAAGTGAGGAAAAGATTTGACATTGGAGCCTTGGAAGTATTTTTTAATTCAACGGGGAATAAAAGCACTTTGTTCCCTTTTCCTTTCAAAATCAGTGCTTCCCCTTCCAACCTATCACAAATGTCTCTCACTGCATTAGAGCTATGCAAAGAGATTTTTAATGGAATGCTGTCACGTGTGTGTGCACTCGGCAAGGCTCTTTCAGCAAGCAATTCATTGTCTTTGGGAGGAAAAAGAAACGAGTGGGTAAAGAAACACGGGGCTGCTTTGAAAAGGTGCTTACATAAGGGTGTGAGGAGGAGAACATGTTGCTCCATTTTACCCAGCCCCTGCTATGGGCAGGACGTGCTTCACACAGATCCTCATCCAACCCTTGCCACCATCTATGAGCTCAGAACCCAGGCACAGAAGCATATATGTGAGGTCCCAGAATCTAACGTAGGGAGTTCTAAGACCTTGATGTCTATTAGCTAACTTCATTCTCACAGCCACATTGTGAGACAGGCACTTTGATCACCATCCCCATTTTACAGAAGAGGGAATGAAGACACAAGGAGGCTGAGCAAACTGCCCAGGGGCCCACAGCTAGCAAGCGACGAGACTAGGATTTGAATCCAAGCAATTAGTCTCCAGGGACCATGTGTTTGACTGTTACACTCACCTGCTTCCAAGAGCTAAAGTCTAACTTTGTCTCCAAACTAACAGGTGCTGGTGAGAAGAGTAAAAATGAAAGTTCCAATGTTTCTGAGGCCCAGGAAAGAATTCCTAAGTCAAACACCTCAAGAAACAGGTTTTATTTTTATTTTTGGTTGATTTCCTCTTAGGAAAATCAACAGGTTCTATTTTTACTTTTGGTTGATTTGCTCTTAGAAAAATCTGTGACTTGCTATGGCACAAGGAGGGGCAGGAGATCAGGTGAAGTTTCTAGTCCAGGCCTCTGGCTCCTGACAAATGGACTTAAAAAGACATTCAGTCATCTCTTATTTATTGAGAAGTTGTGAAAGAGTCAGGAGGCTTCCAAGATGGCCGAATAGGAACAGCTCCCAGCGAGATTGACGCAGAAGACGGGTGATTTCCGTATTTCCAACTGAGCCTCCACTGGTGATACCCAGGCAAACAGGGTCTGGAGTGGACCTCCAGCAAACTCCAACAGACCTGCAGCTGAGGGGCCTGTCGGTTAGAAGGAAAACTAACAAACAGAAAAGAATAGCATCAACATCAACAAAAAGGACATCCACACCAAAAACTCATCCGTAGGTCACCAACATCAAAGACCAAATGTTGATAAAACCACAAAGATGGGGAGAAACTGGAGCAGAAAGGCTAAAAATTCCAAAAACCATAATGCCTCTTCTCCAAAGAAACACAACTCCTCGCCAGCAACAAAGAAGTTGTTGTAGGGTCTGGGCCAGGCTTCCAGGCCATCTTCACAAATCACAGTTTCCCATAATGAAGATGTGCAACATTAGACTCAGGCTTTCCCTGTCAGTGTCAGGGCCCATGACTCAAGCTGGGCCAGTCAGAGCCTTCCCTGAGAACTTTGCTGGCCCTTTAAGGAAATAAGCACACTCTTTTGGCTAATGGGGTACGCTGATTGGCAATTCTGGGTCATCTCTGAGACTCTGTCACTGACAGCCCTGCCAAGAGGGAGAAGGACAGTTTCCAAAAGGGAGAAATGCAAAGCTGCCAGACAAACAGAAATAACAGATGTGCTCTTGGCTCATCGACTCAACATCACTTAATATAAGAACATCCCCGTGCCACCTTCAAAATGAGACATTCAACCTGGCAAAGGCAATAAGATGCTTCTCCCAATTACCTACAACATCCCTAGTGGAGAAGCCCTTCCTTTTGCTGGTTCACGGAGCCCTGATGTTCCGGTGTCTACCTTCCTTCCAGAAGGTAGGTGCTCCCCAAGATTCATCTGGAACCCCAGCACCAGAGAGTGCAACATGATTTGTCTAAGCTACTCATGGTGGTTTCATCCCCTTGCTGGGGATCAGTCTAAGCATGGGCCTGTGACTCCATTCAGGCTGATGACATGTGACAGGGGATGTCTGTTGATGGGCAGCAGAAATACACAGGAAGAGCCCCTCTCTCTTCTTCCACTGGCTGTTGTCAATGTCTACATATGCTTTCTGGAGCTATGGCAGCCACATTGTGGCTGTGAGGAGGAGGTAGTCAACTCACTGAGGTTGGCGAAGCAGAAAGGTGGCAAAACCATGGGTCTTGCTGTGTAGTAAGCTGCTAAATTAACCAATGCTGGAGCCCACCCTACCTCTAGACTACTACTTCAGTGAAATAATGAATTCCTTATTGTTCATGGCACTTGATAGAGTCAGGCTTTTTGTTTCTTGTGGCTCAAAACATTCTAAGCTAGTGCCATCCCATAGAAAACTAGCAAAACCACAAACGCAAGCCATGCATATAATGTTCAATTTATTTCCTTCCTCCCTCCCTCCCTCCTTTCTTTCTTTCTTTTTCTGTCTTTCTTTCTTTCTTTCCTTCTTTCTTTCCTCCTTTCCTCCTTTCCTTCCTTCCTTCCTTCCTTCCTTCCTTCCTTTCTTTCTTTCTCTCTTTCCTTCCTTCCTTCAGGTTTCTCTCCCATCACCCAGGCTGGAATGCAGTGGTGTGCTCTCGGCTCACTGCTACCTCCACCTCCCTGGCTCAAGCAATCCTCCTGCTTCAGCCTCCTGAGTAGCTGGAACTACAGGCACGCGCCACCATACCTGGCTGATTTTTGTATTTTTAGTAGAGATGGGGTTTCACCAAGTTGGCCAGGCTGATCTTGAACTCCTGATCTCAAGTGATCCACCCACCTCGGCCTCCCAAAGTGCTGGGATTACAGGTATGAGCCACTGTGCATGGGCTAATGTTCAATTTTCTGGCAGCCATAGAGGAAAAAGGTAGAATTCATTTTAATGTATTTTATTTAACCCAGTATATCCAATTGTTATTATTTCAACATAAAATCAATACAAAAAGGTATTAATGAGTTAGAGTTTTTTACAACATTCTTTTCTTTCCAACCAAGTCTTTGAAGTCAGTGCATAGTTTATACTCACAGCACATCTCAGTTCCAATGGGCAACATTTCAAAGCTTAATAGCCACGTGTGGTTCTTAGCTACCAGCCCAAACTGACACCCTACACCATCTTTCTCCTGTCTTTTACTCCTCTCTTTAATCCCTCCATGGAGTGTCTCAGGATTGAGACACTGACCTGAAATCTCTGTCACTCAAAGCCATGGCAAGGACTCTCCATCTGCGGCCTGAGTTCCCCTGGCTTCTTTGTATTTCCACAGATGAGCCATGTGCTTTGCTCAGCCCACAGAGCTCATGCAAAGACAGTTGTGGCCTCTCTTGGCCCATAAGGAGCACCCAGTAAGACAGGGCAAAAAGGAGGTGGGGTCAGAAATCATTTTGACATGCAGATGCCACAGGGAGACACCAAAGGGAAGGGGACAAGGAGTAGGAAAAAGCTAGAGGGCATACCCTGCCCTGGGATCATGGAGAGAAGGCAGCCATGAGGGCAGGGAACAAAGTGACTTAAGTTCTGGTGCCTCAGTTTTCTCATCCATATAATGGGCATATTGATAGTATCCACATGATAGGATTCTGAAGAGGATTAGGTGTGTTAATACATTCAAGGTGCTTAGCGCAGTGCATGTTACATAATGTTTGCTAGTATTTTATTATGTTTTAAAAGAGGGGGAAGAAAGAAAGCTAAAAGGTAAGCAAGCTGATCTGCTGGGATACAGTAGGAAGAGAATGGGAGGAGAGTGGAAAAGAGAGAAAAGGAAGGAGGAGAGAAAAGGAAGGAGGAGGGAAGGAAGGAAAGAAGGAAGGAAGAAAGGAAGGAAGGAGGAAAGGAAAGGAAAGGAAGGGAGGAGGAAGAGGGAGGGCAGGAGGAGTGGGGAAGGAGGGAAAGTGAGGGGAGGGAGGGAGAAAGGATCTTTCCATTGCAACAGCTTCAACTTTGCCCAAAGAGGCAAAGCAAAATCCAAACAGGGTTTACAATGTTTACTCACTCAAAGAACATAAAGAAGATCCAGGATGGAGCAGAGCCAGCTCTGTATTAAATTCCCCAGCTTTCCAGCATCCCGGATTCCCCTGCACGGAGCTTCTCCTCTCCTCTAGTAACAGAAAGGACTTTCATCACTTCTATCTCCCCCTTACTCACAGAGAGCTTCTGAGAGAGCGGTGAAGGGTGGGCAAGGGTTTAAAAAAAAAAAAGTGGGAGAGAGCTGGGAGGGTGCTTAGGAATAGGAGGGGAAGGTGCCCAGAGAAAGGGCCCATCAGAAACCTGCGGCCTGAGCCCCGCCAGTGGCCAGCAGGGCCTCCTTCCAGGATGCTGGGTAGGAAAGGCCGCCAGTGTTTGTCTACTTGCCAAAATTCCAAATGCTCCGAGAGCTGGGGCATAGGATTTATGGGGATATTTTCACTCAAGGTGCTACACTGGGGGCTTTCCATCATGAGCCATAGATGGAGGGAGGGACAGAAGGGCACATAGGGGGAAAGGGAGGAGGAGCTAGCCGGAAGGAGGAGGCAGTAGTGGGGAAGGAAGAGGAGGAGGGAGAGGGCAGCAGGAGAGAAGGTTGGAGAGCAGGGAGGAAGGAGGAGGAGGGAAGGAGTAGGAGGGAGAGAAAGAAGAAAGGAGCAGGGAGGAAGGAGGCGAGGTACGACAGGGAGAGGGCATGGAGGGGAGGGGAGGAAGAGCTAACTCTGAATGTAGCCGGAGCCCAGAAGTTTCCAAGTCTCCCTCCTAGCTCCTCTGTCTTCTGTCCCCACCCACCCACTCATTTCCCATATGAATCCTGAACACCCTCTCCTTCAGGAAGGAGCTGCTGTGGAACAGGCATTCAGGAAAGTAGGGTTCCCATGGAGCTGGGACTCCAGTTTCCCCCAATCACTGGCAAGCTCTTGCTCCACTGCAAGTAATCTTGGCAAGCTCTTCTCCACTCTGATGCCCAATTTCCTCACACTTCTTTCCTTCCTTCCCTCCTTCCCTCCCTCCCTTCCTCCCTCCCTCCCTTCTTTCCTTCCTTCCTTCCTTCTTTCCTTCCTTCCTTCCTTCCTTCCTTCCTTTCCTTTCCTTTTGGAATGGAGTCTTACTCTGTTGCCCAGGCTTCAGTGCAGTGGCACAATCATAGTTCATTGCAGCCTCGAACGCCTGGGCTCCAGTGATCCTCCCACCCCAGCCTCCCCAGTAGCTGGGACCACCATCCCCAATTGCCTCGTTTTTAAAGTGGTGGATAGGGGCTGGGCTAGATGAGCTCCTAGCTTTCTCTCAGCTTGTGCTTCTGGAATTTGTTTGACATTTAATAACCAAAATCAACTTTTCCTAGTACCCTATGTAACAAGTTCTATGGCCATCCCCATTTTACAGATGAAGAGAGGAGGCTTGGAGCTAAATTGTCCAAGACTACTTGTCCAGGAGCTGGCAGAACTGAGGTTTGAATCCAACCTGTGCAGCCTTAAAGCTCACCTGTCTCCCTAACCACCACTGGAAAGCCTCTCTAATCCGGAAGTGTGGGCAGACCTATCTGTTTCTCCTTCTACCCTTCCAGAAGCCCAAACGTTAGCCAGGCACATGGCTGCCCAGAATCAAAATGACGTGTGCAACTCTCTGGCAGCTACATATGGCTGTTGACTGTTCTGGCCAACGGGATGTGTAGGGAAGTGAAATGTACAACCATGGGTCATGCCCCAACAAGGAAGGTGCACGCTTCCTCTACCTGCTCTCCCTTTCCTGCCCACACAATGTGAGTCTGGTGATAAACTATCTTGGTAGGGCCAGGACTAGAGGGAGGTCAGGGAGGCACCTAGAGTACAAAATTTACAGAGGCGCTCACTCTTTGGGTTGCAAAATGCAGACCAAGAAGAAAGGCCTGGGTGAATGTTGTTCCCTGTACCTTACTCACTTCATCCTATTCCTGGCCTTGTATTTTGGAGCATATGGAAAGGGCAAGATGCTTAGAATGTGGGAGCCCCTGCATTGTGGAGCAGAGCCCCATCTCAACCACTAACAACTCACTGGGGCTGAAGGTGGGGTGGGTGGGCAGGAAGCATTATGGAGCATGGAGAAGAGACTACTTTGGTCAGCATGTTTTGCACTATCTCCAGCTGCTTCCTCAGCAGGGGCTGAGGGGCCCATGCTCCCCAAATGCATTTTTGTCCCTCCAATCCATTCTCCAAGCTACAGCTGGGAGAATCTTTCCAAAACAAGATGTTTTCCATTGTTCTCAAAATAACACACAAGAATAACAAGCAGAAGAGCATCCCTCACTGGCCCACCAGGTCCTGCCCCATCTGGTCCCTTCCTTCCTCCACGGATCT
Organism: Homo sapiens; assembly: GCF_000001405.40. Classification (NCBI taxonomy): domain Eukaryota; kingdom Metazoa; phylum Chordata; class Mammalia; order Primates; family Hominidae; genus Homo; species Homo sapiens. Next base: position 72,281,699 of record NC_000003.12, read on the forward strand.
CTTGCACCACTCTCTGTGATTAGCCACCAAACACACTCGAGCTCCCTGAAACCCCCACCAGGGCATATGGTGCCTCTCAGCCTGGAACATCCTCCCCATCCCCTCTCGCTTCGCCTCCTTGTTTGTTCCCTGGCCTTCAGATCTTAGCTTAAGTGTCACTTCCTCGAGGACACCTCCCCCCACCCCTGACAGGCCAGCTCCCACCATATGCATGCCTGCAGCCCCCATGTTCTCTCCCCTTATGGCTCTCCTCGCAGATGTTGCTTCTCCCTGGTTTGTGCCATCAAGTCATTATTGTCTCCCTTCAAGACTGTGGGGACACCAAAGCCATTTATTTCTCATTCACCTCGCAATCTTCCAGGTCTAGCACAGTGTCTGGCACCTGATGATGCTCGATAAATGTTTGGCAAATGAGTAAATGAAAGAGGCTGCTATGGTTTGAACGTTTGTCCCCTCCGAAATGCATGTTGAAATTTAATCTCCAATGTGGCAGGATTGGGAGGTGGAGCCTTTAAGAGGTCATGAGAGCTCTGCCCTCAGGAATGGATGAATGGGTTAATGGATTATCATGGCAGTGGGACTGGTGGGTTTATAGGAAGAGGAAGAGAGATTTGGACTAGTACACTCGGTCCCCTCGCCCTGTGATGCCCTGAGCCATCCCAGGACTCTACAGAGTCCCCATCAGCAAGAAGGTCCTCACCAGACGTGGCCCCAGGATCTTGGACTTCTCAGCCTCCATATATATGAGAAATATTTTTTTCTTCATATACTACCCAGTTTCAGATAGTCTGTTAAAAGCAACAAAAGACAGACTAAAACAGAGACCCTGGGACTGTGGGGGCACCTGGGCACAGTGGATGAGGCTAAGGCAGCCAAGAGCAATGCCAGGGCTGAGCTACCAAGAAACAGATCCTCATACAAGTCACACCCTCTGTCTCCGTCTGACTTGGCCTACGATACACTGGTTCTAAGGAGATCAGAAGAATACCTCAGAGCCTACCACGGCCCTCCCTTCCATTCCAAAGTCATGGCTTATTAACTACCTATCTGCTCTGGGCAAGTCACGCCTCAGAGCCTCAGTTTTACCACCTATAAAGTGGGAGAATCCAAGGGATCTGCCAGTCTACTTTTTTTGAGATTATCGTGATTCTCAAAATGAGATAATGTAAAGAAACATGAAACAAATTAAAATTATTTCTATTGCCCCACTGAGAAGTGGGGTCTATTTTCTTCATCCTCGGAACCTGGGCTGCCCCTGTGACTGCTTTCACAAATGGAATATGGAAGAAGTGACTACATGCCAGCTCCAGGCCTCACTTTTAAGAGAACAGCAGCTTCCACTTCCTCTTTGAAACTTAGCCACCTTGCTGTGAGGAAGCCCAAGCAGCCTTGTGGAGGAGCCTACATGAAGGAAAACTGAAGCAGCCCCAGCTGAGCTCACAGCTGGCAGCCAGCACCGGTTTGCCTGCTATGTGAGTGAGCTTTCTTGGAAAAGCCTCTAGTGCCAGTTGAGCTGCCCATCAAACCCTGCCAAAGTTGCAAAACTGTGAGAAGATAGATTAAAAAAAAATTGTTGTTGTTTTAAATCACGAAATTCTTTGGAGAGGAGGGAGAAAATGGGATTTATTGTGCAGCAGTAGATAACCAAAGCAACATTCTTTGGACTTGTGTAGTTCTTACTACTTGCCTATATCTCCAACCCAGGGCAGTACTGTTCCCCTGGGGGTGTTTTGAAAATGAGAGTAGGGCAGGGTGGACATATTTTTGTTTTTTGTTTGTCAGAATGACCAGGTTTGGGGAGTGGGAGAGATTGTGCTACTGGCATTTAGTGCCAACAGGACCAGGGATATTGAATGTTCTACAATGCTTCAGATAGTCACCCACAATGAATTGCCCCACATAAAATGACAATAGTGGTCCCATAGAAAAAAAGTAAGGCCCTGAATGGAAAAAGGGTTTAAAGATAAAGATAGAGATGAAATTAAAAAATATAATAATTCAGGCCAGGAGCAATGTCTCATGCTTGTAATCTCGGTGCTTTGGGAGGCCAAGGTGGGATAATTGCTTAAGGGCATGAGTTCGAGAGCATCCTGGGCAATATGCAAGACACATTACTACAAAATTAAACATTAAAAAAGTGTCCAGGTCTGATGGCACACAGCTGTAGTCCTAGCTACTCAGGAGGCTGAGACAGGAGGATCCCTTGAGTCCAGGAATTCGAGGGTGCAGTGAGCTATAATTGTGCCACTGCACTCCAGCCTGGGCAACAGAGTACAAACCTTGACTCTAATTTTTTTTTTAATTAAAAAAAAATGGTGTAAACGGCTTTCTAAGGAAAGAAAAATAGGATTCATCTCAAAGCCAACTTTGATTGCTCAGAGTGGCTGCCTGGAGGGTTGTACAGAGAATGTGTTTTGGAGATGCACGTGAACTGAGCACAGAAATGGTGCTGTGATGAACTAGTGATGTCTGCCACTGGCAAGGAAAGGGAGAGTGATGGCCTTTAAGTAGGGTGACTATATCCTTTAGCATCCAAACTGGAAGACTTTTAGGAGGAAAGGGGGCACTAATAATAAGTACACTGGGAAAACAGGCATAAGCTGGGACTGTCCCAGTAAAATCAGGACACCTGCTCATCCCATGCCATGGATGTAGTCACTAGTGCACCCTGATATGTAGCTTAGAGGCAACCCAAATAGGGGCTGTCTAGACCTACAAGCCCCTGAGATCCTAAACGTTAATTTTTCTTTTAAGTACTCTGTTTCGGTGTGTGGTTAGGTATGAAGAATTGTTCTAAAGAACGCATTAAAAATTAATTAAAAGAGTTTCCTCTAATATTTAATCTTACCAGCCATGTACTCTGAGTGATGTATTCCCAGTCAGCGTGTCAGGTCCTGAATAATTAAAAGAGAAGGGGAGTGTGATTCAGCCCCTTGAGGAGGCTTTCCAGGGTTTTAGAATCAGCACAGACCCAGGATTGCATCAGCTAAGGAAAAGTTCTGCATTGACCAGCAGGGTCCAGTTCAGTCTCTACTCTAAGGCCGGCTTCACCACAAGGACAGGTACAGTCCAGGCTAATAGAAGCCTCAGAGAGAGACGGAGATGAATTCGGTTCTGCTGAGCCATCAGCCCCCAAGACATCTCATCCTTACCTCCCTTCCCTCCCTGATAAGGAGGGAGAGGCAGCAGTGAATTATGGAAGCCTTCCCAGGGCTCCCCCATGAGTTTAGCGCCTCCATATTTCCTCATCTCCAAGATGCATGCCCCTTCATTTTGTAACATTTCGGAAATCAAGACATGAGTTAAAATCAATGGGGGGATTTAAGGCAGTACTTCTTGGGAGGTGTCACGAAACCTCCCAAGAGCTAAGAGACTTGCTCCCAGCTGTACCCTGGCTCTGCCATTTCCCAACTGGGTGGCCCCAGGCAAACTGCACCTTCTCTGTAAATTGAGGCTATTAATAATAGCACCTAATCGATAATAAATAAAAGGAGGCTTGAGTGCAGTGTCTGGCAGGTAGTAAGATCCCAACATATGTTAGCTATTGTTTCTTCTTGTTTATCTTCTGCATGCTGTTATTAAATGGGTCTAAAAATCCTCTTCAGTGCATCTGCAGTACTCTCAGCCTCAGAAAGAGCTCAAAAGTAATGACTACGGAGCTCAATCTTTGGTGACCACCAGTATGGATTATGGCCTATTTTTGGAGTATTGGGTAGGAGACATTCCTATTTGATAGCAGGACTTGACTCAATATCGTTTCTACTCAGCTAAATGTGGGAAAGATAAAGATCATCTTCCCAACTTCCAACCCTCCTTTTTACCATAATTTGATGCATTCAGCCTAAGACATGAGCTTTCTTTTCTTTTAGCAACGGGCGTTCATCATTAGGGCAGTGGAAAGGGAGAAAAAAGAAGGAGGAGAATTTTCATCTGGGCACCAGTACACAAAATAAGGCTGTCAGCCGTCATGGCAAGTGAAGAAAGTTGCAGGCCCAGTGGTTCCAAGAGATGGTGAAAAAAACAAGTTTTGGATCTATACAGCCCTGAGCCTGCCATCCAGTTCCCCACAGGCTCCCCCCTCTGTCATATGTGGTTGTTGGGATAATCTATTGAAATAATGCATGCAAGCTATGTAAGATACAGCCAGCCTCCTACTAAACCCTCAGTAAATGTTGACTGTTATTTTTGAGATCTAGAAGTCACTCAGACCCATATTGGGCAGGATTGTTAAGGACAAATAACAGAATCTACTCACGCTTGCTTAACCAGAAAAAAAAATAATGTATTAGAGGAGATAAGCTCGCTCACAGCACAGCAACCCGAGGAGGACTATGTACGGAAGGCCACTCTGAAGCTTCACAGCCAGGAGCCATGTCCGGCCACACCGTGGGGACTTCTGAGAAAACACTGCTCTTCTGTCATTGAGGAAAGCTCCTCAGACACACAGAACCACTATCCAGGGCCCCTCTCGACTGCCCCTGAAGGGCAGAATTCCTTGGCCACTGTGCTTGCCAGATGATGGGGTTCCCTTTGTGTGGCCGTGTCCTCGGAGTGCTCACTTCTGAACACTGGGCTCCCGTGGGGCCCTCGAATGTGCAGGCCCTTGCAGGGTCATGTTGTGAAATGCCAGGGAGTCCAGCAATGCATGTCTGCTTCCTTCCATCCTGTTAAGGCTGGACTCAAAACAAGGAAAATTGCCTAAAATGGAGGAAGAGGGTTTCTGAGTGATGGGCAGCCACAAATGACCAATGTCTGCTCCATGCTACTCTGTCCCTTGGGATTTGGGTCAACTCGGCTCAGACCCCTGCACCCAGCCTGCATGATGCCAGGGCCCTTCCCACAATGGCAACAGGTTGCCCACCTTACTTCTCCACCTTTGTGTCTGCTGTGCCTGCTCAGTTTGGACTGTACATGGACCCTGGCCCCTTCACTTGCTTTACAAGAATCCTGCCACCTGCATGAATTGCACAGCTTAGTAACTTTCCAGAAGGCTTGAGGAGTCACCAGGAGAGATTATCCTGCCCACATCTTCTCCCTCGGAGTCCCACCATCTCTCCCCTGGCCTCTGCTCCCTTCTAAAAGCCCAGGCTCCCCACCCATGACCCTCTGCCTCAAATGGCCCCTGAGAAGCAACAGCTTAGCCTTCCCTGAGATTCTGTGGGGAGTAGTCCCACCAGACAGCAGCCTCCCAAGGGCTGTGCCCAAGAATTCTGATTAATGTCATTTCCCCACTCCTGTAAATTGCCGTCTCCATCATCGTTGATGTCATCTTCATCTCCCTAAGATGCTAGAGCTTTTTGCTGGGGGCAGGGACCTTTAGGGTCTTCAAAGTTTCCCAGTTGGTCAAAGACTAGCTACTGGTCCATTTAGCTCAAGGATGCCAGCCTCTGGCTGAAATTGTAATCAGGAAGATAAAGCAGGGGCTGTTTGACTGAGTATCATCCCATGCCTGTCTTTCTCTTGGTTCTCCCCCAAAGCAGACCCCAAGACAAGGCTTGGAGTACAGTTTATTAGGAGGTGATATTAGGAAGCACCAGTAGGAGAGAAGGGAAGGGAAATAAGGATGGAAGGTGACATTAATAAATGAGTTACCACTATGAGCAACTGGAGCTCAATCCCCCTGGACATTCTCTGAGAGGCTGCATAGATTACAACTCAAAATCATCCTGTCCAGAGATAGGGAGGCTGGGTATCCACCCCGCAGCTCGCAGTCCTCACTGACTGAGGGCTGTTCACAGGGCATTCATTCTTGGCACTTGCAGCCTCCTCGGTGCCCTGCTAGGCTTGCTCTGCATTCAGAGAGAACCTTTGGGCAGGGAGACACTGGTGCTTGAGGTAAGAGCCATGCTGTGCACACCAAGCTGCAGGTGACTCCAGGGTGGCCTGGAGAAGAAGTGCAGGCACTGGCGGCCTCTATGATCATTAGCACTGCTTTCATTTGCTCAGGCTGCCATAGCAAAGCACGGTCAGCCCTCTGCATCTGTGGGTTCCACATCTATGGAATCAAGAATATTCAGGGGGAAAAACTACATCTGTACTGAACATGCACAGACTTTTTTTTCCTGTCATTATTCCCTAAACAATATGACATAACAAGTACTTACGTGGCATTTATATTGTATTAGATATTATCAGGAATCTGGAGATGGTTTAAGGTATATAGGAAGGTGTGCATAGTTTATATGCAAATACTATGCCATTTTATATCAAGGACTTGAGTATCCTTGGATTTTGGGTGCACGGGGGTCCTGAAACCAATCCCCCATGGATACCAAGTGATGACTGTACCAAAAACTGGGTGGCTTTAAATGACAGTGTATTCTCTCCCAGTCCTGGAGGCTAGTCCAAAATCAAGGCTTCAGCTGGGCTGTGCTCCCTCTGAAGGCTCTGGGAAAGAATCCACCTTGCCAAGGCAGTTCTTAACAATCATCGGTGTTCCTTGGCTTGTGGCCACATAACTTACCTCTGCCCTCACAGGCCCATCTTCTCTGAGTCTTAGCTCTGTGTGTATCTGGCTCTGTGTCCCAATTTCCCCCTTTAAGAACACCAACCACATTGGAAAGGGCCCATCTCACCCAGTGACCTCAACTAATTACATCTGCAACAATCCTATTTCCAAATAAAGTCCCATTCTCAGGAACTGGGGGTTAAGGCTTCAACATATCTTTTTGGAGGGATGCAATTTGATGCCCACCAGGCACCTTATATGTGTTATATTCTTCAATCGTGACAGCAGCTGTGAGACAGGTGTGCTTCTCCAGGTATCACACAGAGGAAATTGAGGCCCTGAGAGGTGAAGCGACCCTCTTGAGAGCCCCCAGGTAGGAAGCTGCAGAGCTGGAAGCTGAACACAGCTCTGTGACAGGCTGAAGTCCATCATGTGCTCTTCTAAACAGTATTGTCTGCTGTAGCCCACCCTGGCTTTAAGGAGGAGAAAGCCAATGCGCAGGCTCCTAAGCCAGGCTCCTCGAGTTCAAGTCCCACCTCCACTGCTGACTACCATGAGACCCCCACACATTCCTGACCTCCTTTAAGGCTCCCCCTGAAAAATGGGAATCAGAGCAGTGCCTGCACCACAGACTTATGATGAAGATCAATTTAAATAATATATGAAAAATATTTAGTAAGCGTACAGTGAATGTCAGTTGCTGTCATTATCATCACAGTTACATTTAATATTCTGAACATTAAACACCACGAGCCTCTATACAAAGCTCATATTTCCAGGCCACAATTCAGGATCATTTTTGTCTTTCACTCCTTGCTACAGCTGCCCACGAGTGATTCCAGGCAGGGCCATGACGGCTGCTGGGGTGGGCGGTGCCAGCCCTTCTCCCCCATCCCTGCGTGCCCCCCTGCTCGCCCCTGCTTGCTAATGCCCATGTGACATGAGACTCTGAAAGCAGCGATAAAAACAGCAGCTCTTAATCTGCCTGCTGCATGTGGCTTTATCTGAACCCCTCCTCCCTGGGCTGCTGGGGGCTCAAGGGGAGATGGGCAGATTAAGAGCAACGTTTCCGACATGCCCTCCCACCTCCTGCAAACTGGGGCTGCCGCCAGCAGATTTCCTCAAAGCCCAGCGAGGCAGCCGCCGGAGGAATGTGCGGCCTCCTTGGCATGGCAGACATTCAAGGGAGCCCACAAAGGCGCTGTTATGAAAACCCTCTGGAGCACGGGGTAGGATGGGAGCGTTTCATTTGCAATTGGGATTGCACATTTCAAGAACGGGAGCTCGGCAACAGAACGCATGCATGTGAACACACACGGCTCATAATTAATTCATTTCACTTCCTCCTGTTGAAAAAATATTGCAGGAGATGGGGGGTGGAACCACCAGTCTGAGCAGGTAGTTATTTCTGTGCCTGGGGCTCAGCCTGGCTGAGAACCAACCTGTCTAACATGGAAGCTGAAGGGCAAGTAACTCTCGTGCGGGCTCCTGCCCCAGCCGAGGTACAGCCAGCAAGGCGTTCCTGGGTGCCCGGAAGTGGCTTCCCCAGACTGGTCTCCTCCACCTGCATTTTGTGTGGTCTTCTCATTCTTGGACAAGATTGTCTTTTAACTGCTAAAAACTAGAGATAGAGCTAGGAGCTATCACTTAGCCACTGGCACTTCCCAGCAACTCCCCAGGAGTTACAATGCTCAGGACGTATTGGCAAACTTGTAGGAACTACAGGACCCGTGCGAGGTCCTAGATAAGGTGAGGAAAGCCCCACTCCCTTCCCTCAAGCAGCCTACAGTTCAGAGGGAGGAGGCAAGTTAAGTAGGTGTGTGCATGGCCTACTGTGGAAGAACAGAAGGGGAAAGCCAAATCTAGCCTGGCAGTCAGGGAAGGAGAATGGTACATCCACGAGGAAATGGAAAGAATGAACAGGAGTTAGCAGGGAGAATCAAAAGTGCAAAGACCCTACAGCTAAGAACAGCCTGGTACATTCTGGAATATTCTGGAATGGGAGGTTTAAGGGGTGGTGATGGTGCCAGGAGGATTAGAGTTAAAAAAGCAAGGGTTTAAAAACTGACTTTGGTTTCTCTATCTGAGGGGGCACTCACTTAAAATGATAAAGACAGGCTAGGCTCAGTGGCTTACACCTATATTTCCAACACTTTGAGAAGCCAAGGCGGGAAGATCGCTTGAGCCCAGGGGTTTGAGATCAGCCTTGCCAACATGGTGAGACCCCGTTTCTACAAAATTTTAACAATTAGCGGGCATAGCGGCATGCCCCTGCGGTCTCAGCTACTTGGGAGGCTGAGGTAGGAGGATCACTTGAGCCCTGAAGGTCAAGGTTGCAGTGAGCCGTGATCATGTCACTGCACTCTAGCCTGGGCGACAGAGCAAGACCCTATCTCAAAAAAAAAAAAAAAAAAAAAAAAAAAAAAAAAAAAAAGAGGTCCTGATAGCCCAAAATGGTCATGAGTAAATTTTACTTGATAGAAAAAAAAAATGTGTTTTTTTTCATTCTATCACTTACTCATGTAAATAAATGTTTACTGAACATCAGCAACATACCAGGCCCTGTGCTAGTTATTGATTATTCAAAGGTAATTCAGATGTGCTCTTGTCTTCAAGGAGTTCACAGTCTAACAGAAACAGAAGTCATCGCTAAGGTTGTTCGTACACTCAGAGGTCCCAGGCGCCCTATGTGCCCTGTCCCATTTGTTCCTCTGCAGGCTCTGCCTTCTAAGTGGGAGTGGAGGGAAACTTCGGGACGCATTTGTCCTCCACAGTCACTCAGTGCCCTATGTCAAATGCGTGGTGGAGAGGGGACGGGGACATGGAGAGAGGAAGAGACAGAAACAGACAGGCAGACATTGAGACAGAGAGAAGCAAAGATAGGAACGGAAAGAGATAGAAAGACAGTCAGACAGTGGAGAGAAACTGACTAAATAAACAGAGGACCGGGAAAGAGAGGGTGGGAGAGAAAAACAGATAAATGCAGAGAGAGAGAGAGAGAGAGAGAGAGAGGCAGAGGCAGACAGGTAGAGGGACTGGGAGAGAGAAATAGAAGCAAGGTACAGCCTCATTCACAGAAAGAGAAAGAAACAGAGGGAAAATGAAAGACTCCAGACTGAAAGGGGCAGAGGCTGGGAAGGTGACACCCCAGCTGAGTTCTTTCTTTAAAAAAAAATCCAGGGCTCTAGTGCTTGCTAGCTGGGGTCTGGCTTGGCTGGTCTCCAGGTGTCCCTACAGGCACGGCTGAGTCAGAGCCAACACGGTGGGAGAGGCTGGGGCTCTAGACACAGGGTCCTGAGACACCCAGTCCAGGGGAGTGGGAGCCAGCTACAACAGCTCACCCTTCCCCAGGTGTTTTCCTCCCCACCCGTCCCCACACACCTGGCCAAGGCCCTCACTGCAGGGACTGACTGGTGCACCTGAGGAGTTAAGGTTGCCGAGAATCCTCCAGGACTAGCCCCTGCAACTGGTCCCCTGCACAGTCTGGCCAAGGAAGCAGTCTCCAGAGCTGCTGTGTGTGGAGTCCTGTGGGCTGCCTGGGGCCCTCAGCTGTCCGGCCACTGTGTATGGGGCTGTCTTTTGGTGCCAGGCTCTGCATCCTCACAATAAGGCAGGCACTTGTAGCCTATTTTACAGGTAGGGAAACCAAGTCCTGGAGAAGTCAAGGGCTTGTGCAAGATTACACAGCTGGCACACCTAACTAGTAAGTTCACTGCTACCGTGCTAAGCATTTGTCATTCATTATTACGGAAACCCTTGAAGCAGGCTTTAGGAGCGCCATTTTATAGATTAAGAAACTGAAGTCTGAAGAGGTTAGGCAGCATGCTTGGGTGACAGTACCAGTGTCGAAAAGAGCTAGGATGAGAACCTTGGCATGCTCGTCTCAGAAGCTCTGAATCCCTTCCGTACACACCCCTAGCCCCAGGACACACACCTCTTCTCCCTTGAAACCTCAGCATCCAGGACCTAGGAGAAAAACGGATTGCATCTTCTGATGGAGACATGCTATGCCCAGTGGCACTCACCTTCCACAGCACGGCTGCAGCCAGCGATTTGCCCTCAGCCCTATTTCTCTACCCCAAGCTTTCTCAGCCTGGGACCACGAAATCCAAGGAGTCTGTGGATAGAATTCAGAGGGTCAGTGGACTTGGGTGGAATCATTATTTTCACTAACTTCTAACCAAAGTTCAGCATTTGTCTCCATTGTAAATGTGACAAACTACAGTCAGATTAGCAGCGCCTGTGACTGTCACCAGTAGAAATCACAGATAGTTACCTATGGAAGGACAGTTGCTGCAGACGTCTCAGCACATTATGCATGTTCAGCACCACTTCAAGCTTCTGGTAGCTGTGAGACACACTGCCAGACCTTCTCATTTAACGCATTCATAAAGAAGCACATATGTAAAAAAAAAAAAAAAAAAGAAGAAGAAGAAGCATATATGTACATTTCTTTTTAATATCTTGATAATTGCATATTTTTTTTGAGACAGAGTTTCCCCCTGTCACAGGCTGGAGTGCAAGGTGCAATCTCATCTTACTGCAACCCCCACCTCCCAGGCTCAAGCGATTCTTGTGCCTCAGTCCCCCGAGTAGCTGGGATTACAGACGCGTGCCACCACGCTGGCTAATTTTTGTATTTTTAGTAGAGACAGGGTTTCACCATGTTGGCAAGGCTGGTCTTGAGCTTCTGGCCTCAAGTGATCTGCCCACTTCAGCTTCCCAAAGTGCTGGGATTACAGGTTGTGAGCCACCATGCCCAGATGATAATTGTATTTCAAAACTATTTCTTTCCTTAGTACTTTTTTTTTTTTTTTGAGACAGAGTCTTGCTCTGTCATCCAGGCTGGAGTGCAGTGGCATGATCATGGCTCACTGCAGCTTTGACCTCCTGGGCTCAAGTGATCCTCCCACCTCAGCCTCCCAAGTAGCTGGGACTACAGGTGTGCACCACCACACCTGGCTAATTTTATTTTTAATTTTTAATAGAGAAGACGTCTCACTGTTGCCCAGGCTGGTCTCGAACTAGAGAAGATGTCTCGCTCTTGCCCAGGCTGGTCTCGAACTGGGATCAAGCCATCCTCCTGCCTCAGCCTTCCAAAGTTATGGGATTACAGGTGTGAGCCACCATGCCTAGTCTCCTTAGTCTTATTATGTAAAACAAAAAATTTTTTTTTTCTGAGAAGAGTCCAGAGGTTTCGCCAGATGCCCCAGGGGTCCAGGACTTCTGAGTATGCATCTGGGGACCTGGCGGTGCAGAATTGCAGAGGTGATCATTGCTCCCCACCTGCCCTGCCGAATCCCTGGAGTCTAGGCTATGGGTCCATGCCTGTTGGTTCCCTGGCTCAGAAACTGAACCTCTACCAGATATCTGAGAAGTGCAAGCTGGAGCCAGTCAGCACAGATTCTTCTGTGTTACCAGGCACTCCTCTGTGTTACCAGGCACAGCCATGTCAGAGCACATGCTCAGTGTTCGAAGACAGGAACCATCACCCTTGGGTTTGTAGCCAGCCACCCAGAAGTGTTCAAAGCAGACCCTTTTGTTGAAAGCAGAGCCTTCTTACAGTTTAATGAATTCAGAAGGCAGCAAAGTGGGAGGCACTGGTTCTGTACCTTGGCTGCTCATAGAAATTGACTGAGGAACTTTTAAAAGTACTGATGCTTGGATCTCCCCTGGGAGATACTGACTGACTTGATTTGGGGTGATGCCTGGCCGTCAAGATTTTTAAAAATTCACTAGAGGATTCTAATGTGCAGCCTGGGTTTAGAACCTCTGATGTACTGAGAAAAGCCAAGCCCCAGGCTAGCCCTCAGGGCATCAGAGTCCATGTCTATGTTTTAGGCATGTAGAAATCCTGCTGGGTCAATGCTGCAATTTAACTGTGTTCCCCAAAAGTTGATAGGTTGAAAACTTGATCCCCAATGCAGCAGCATTGAGAAGTGCAACATCTGGGAGGTGATTGGGTCATGAGGGCTGTGCTGTCATGAACAGATTAATCCATCCGTGGAGTAATGGATTAATGGGTTATTGAGGGAATGGGTTAGTTATCCCGGGAATGGGTCTGTAATAAAAATCAGTTTGGCCGTCTTTCCTGAGCCCCTCATCTCTCATGAGCCATTTGATGCCCTGCGCCACCTCAGGACTCTGTAGAATCCCATCAGCAAGAAGGCCCTTACCACATGTGATCTTGGACGTTCAGCCTCCAGAACTGTAAGAAACAAATTTCTTTTCTTCATAAATTACCCAGTCTCAGGTATTCAGTTATTGAAACAGAAAACAGACTAAGATAGTCAGTTTCCCCATTTGCAAACATTTGGGATGGGAAGAAGGGAACTATGTTTATTAAGCACCCACCACATGCCAGGCACTTTATCATGCATTTATGTATTTATCATGCTCCATCACTCTGCTAAATCGGCACTGCTCAAACTTTGCTAGATCTTGTTAAAGATTTAGAGATCTTGTTCAAGTACGGATTCTGATTCAGTGTGTTGGGAGTGGGTCCAGAGATCCTGCATTTCCAACAGGCTCCCAAATGATCTGATGCTGCTGTCCAAGGAGCCCACTTTGAATAGCAAATGGCTAATGAGTCTTCATAGCCAGCATCTGTTCTAATTGGTCAGTGCCTGTGCCAGGCCAGTTGGTTAACTATTTAAGCCATCCCCTCTGCCAATTCATGCCCCTATTCCGATGACAGCACCCAGGTTTGCTCTAGGATCTCTGTCCCTCCCCTTGCTCAGCCTTGAGGCTCTTGCAAGACAGATGACCACCCCAGCTCCAGAGAGGGGCCTGATCAATCTAAACTAACCAACACGTCATATCCCTAAGCCAGGTGCTATGGCTCAAGGATGGGCACCTAATTTAACCCAAGCAAATGGAATGCCAAGAGTTTGAAAGTAGAAGCTCCTCTCTCTTCTGTGGGTACTACCAGAGGGGACATTCTTTCTTCTCCAGACTGATGAGGCTTAAGAATTTAAAGGATGTAGCTGCTGTCATTATTTCCTTTCCTGAAGGAAGAGCTCAGAGGTGTGGGCTATAGAAGCCAATGGTGAGGAGCCTAAGGATGAAGGCAGGCAGAGCAGAGAGAAGCCAGGTCCTTGAAGACGTCATTAGAGTGGCTGGATTAAGCCTTGCCTGAAGTTCACACCTGGGCTATCAGCTCAAAGGCCGTTTAATCCCCTTATTGTTTAAAGCCAGGTTGGGTTAGATTCTATGTCTTTTAACATCAATAGTCCTAACACAAGCTCAAGCATTAGAAAGAGCAGAGTTTTAACCTCAGCTCAGTCACTCACTAGCTGTGTGGCCTTGTACAAATCATTTGACCTCTCTGAGCCTGTTTCCTCACCTATCAAATGAAACTAGTAATACCTATCCCAGGATTGCTGTGAGGGTCAGGAGAAACCGCGAGTGTGAAATGCCTGGCATCTGTGCAATAAATGGTAGCTATTATTATAAATACTCATTATTAGTCCTATTTTGGTAGGCCCTCATTCTACAAACTATATATGTCAAAAGTTGTTTCTAGCTATTAGCCAAAAAAAAAAAAAAAATGGTAAATTAACCAAAAGATTGGGAAGGAGGGGCCTCAAGGTTATTAATACTAGAGAGAAGGAAAGGGAGAAAAAGTCAGAACTCCCTCGGTAACTAGAAGAGATGAGGAAGCTTGTCCTGGAAGGGAATGTAAGGCCTGCCCGGGCTGTAATTGATTTGGTCATAACACGCCCAGACCTTGGCTCCATCTGGCAAAGTGTATGGAAGCCACGTTCTGCTTCTCTGGATATTTGATGGTCTGATTGGCTCAGCCTTCCTAATTGTGTTGTATTGACAAATATATTTGTTTGGAACAAGCAAATGTATTGCAGGCAGGAAACAGACCAACTCCAAGAATTTATTTTGCTTTTTGGCACTGCTGCACTGAGTTTAGCATTCATTATGCGCCCATGTAAAACAGTCTCTGGGAACGCTGGCCTGAGTTATCTTTTTAATTATATTTATTTTTTCAGCTGCATTTCGGATCATGAGCAGACTTGCTGGTACTAAACAGGCCTCATTGGGTGAAACCTCCTGCCTCCCTCAAAATCACGTTGTGTGGATTAAATGTTCAAAGACATCAGACAAACCTGTGACGCTGCCATGGGCCATTATCGCTAATGGAAGAGAGATGGGGTTAAGTCAGTCAAATCCCTGCTCTGAGCCCAGAAAAGTCCACAGAAACCAAATCCTGGTCACCAGATTGAAATTGAAATCAGGTTTAAAGAGAGGGATGAGAAGATGAATGGAAGGCAATTTAGAGTGGATCGTTTGGCGATCACCAGGCCCCACTTTTCTTGTACTCAGTCCCCCGACTACCACCACAGGGGCACCTGGCAGCCATATTTGAATATGGCCCTCCTCCTTGATTGGATGAGGGGTGAGCACTGACCCCAGCAGGGCCAGAGTCCCTAATGGAGTTACTAGGAGAGAGACTAAAGGGCAGACAGACAGACTGACCACATGGCAGGTGCTGTAACAAGAGATCTGGGAGATGTAAGCAGCCATCTTGGATGTCATGTGGACAGAAAAGTCACAAAAGCCCGGGAAAGGGAATGAAGCCATCACAGGGGGATGCAGATGGGAGGCAATAGGAAAGATCCTTTTGTTGGTTCTCAGCTTCCTGGTTCCAGTCGCTGAGGCACCCTGCCTACTTAGACTGAATTCTTCCTTTTTGTTCCAGCAAGCTCAAGTTGTTCTCTCACTTACAACCATACAAGGGAAAACTATGCAACCAACCAAACAATGTTGTGGGAGAATATTTATTAACACGAAAAATGTACACAAGAACATTGTTGAGTGCAAAAAGCGTGCTGCTATCCTCCTTTCAGCCGATATTTATCGGGTATCTACAGCATGTCAGACGCTGTGTATTCAATGGTGAGTAAGGTCATGGCCCCTGCCCTTGTCAAGTTTACAGTCTGGTTACAAAATGTCAGAGAAGATTATACTCAGTAAAAAGAAGAAATAAAATAGATTTATAACAATATTCAAAACTGGTGTTGCTCCAAGTGTGATCTGTGGACCACAGCGCATGGGCATCATCTGGGAGCTTGTGAGAAGTGTAGATGCTCAGTCCCACCCCAGACTGACTGGGGGTGGGGCCAAGAAATCTGTGCTTTAACAAGCAGCCTTCCAGATGATGCTGATGCATCCTCAAATTTAAGAACCACTCCTGGGCCAGGCACAGTGATTCACACCTGTAATCCTAGCACTTTGGGAGGCCGAGGCGCGTGGACCACTTCAGGCCAGGAGTTCGAGACCAGCCTGGTCAACATGGTGAAACCCCATCTCTACTAAAAATCCAAAAATTAGCTGGGTGTGGTGGTGCACGCCTGTAATCCCAGCTACTCAGGAGGCTGAGGCATGAGAAGCACTTGAACCCAGGAGGTGGAGGTTGCAGTGAGCCAAGATCCTGCCATTGATTGCACTCCAGCTGACTCTGTCTCAAAAAAAAAAAAAGAACCACTTCAAAGCCTCACCTTCCAAATTAACAAGAATTTCCAGCTTTTCCAGTGTTCCCATTCCTAAATGCTACAACTTCAAAACCACCTAAGGGTGTATGTGTGTGTCAGCAAACATAGCAATCAGCTAGATATAATTTTACATATATTAATTTAATCCTCATAACAACTCTCTAAGATAGACTCTATGTGTCCCCCCACTTTACAAATGAGAAACCTGAGGCACAGAGAGGTGAAGTCACTTGCCCAAAGTCACAAAGAAAATAAGTGGTAGAGATGGGATTCAAACCCAAGCAGTCTGGCTCCAGAATCTGTACTCTTAATCACTAAGTTTAACCACTTGTCAAATAAGCCCTGAGCACCTTTGTCGCCTGGCAGAGAGAGAGAGAAGTTCAGTCACATCTCTCAGACTGGACCATATAGCTGCAGCTTGTTCTATGCCATTCTCTGCCCCTCCCAGATCTGATCAGGTTGTATAAGATCTACAGTTGCTGGCTGGACTCCTAAACTGGGGATACCTCTTTGTCCCTTCAGAACTGTGTACTCCTGCAGTTGAGAAGGGCCCTATAGCAATGTTGCCCAAGCCCCAAAGTGTTAGAATCATTAAATTTTTATGCACGATCTTCCCCATGGGGTACCCACTCCTCTAGGGTGGCTGGATCAGGAAGGTTCTAGTGCCAGCCTCAAACCGTGCTCAGAAGGAACCCTCATCTCCAGCCACCAGGGCCTGGGTGCTGAGTCCTGGCACCTGTGCAGGCTGTGTTTTCTCTTATGGTGAGTGTCTGTTCTGGAATCCTGTGATCCTTTCTGTGTGCTCTGGATTGAGGCCAGCCTAGCCCAGAAGGTGAAGTTGTTTTTATCCTTGACTCCTAAAGTAAAAACAGGGATCACAGATTCTTTTTCTTCCAGGAAACCTCTCAGTCCCTGTTGTGGGGAGAGAGTGATGAGGGAAATATGGATTTATAAAAAGAGAAAGGGATATGTGCGGCTCAACTCACCCGCCAGGAGCAACAATGCTTCAAATGCAAATAGGGACGTTGACTAGGAAGTGACCCCTCCTAACGCCAACCAGCAGTAGTATTTCTAAGCCCAGGCCTGCATCCAGCCAATATGTCTAATTATAGCCTCGGAGGAGCAGGGATAGACACCACTGAGAATTATCCATAAAGTGCCAGCTCAGCTTGTTAACAAACTAGTTCCTGTCTGGTTGGAAAGAGCCATCACTTGAGCCCCATGCAGGCCACCCCATTTGCCCTGGCTCCACCCCCAGGAACCCTAGACCTTCCCACCAGTCAGCAACTACAGGGTTAATGCCTGGCACAGCTGGGAGGCCTCCACTCACCCCAGGGCTACAGCCATCGTCCATTCTGAGGGGCTGGTGTCTAGAGCTGCTGAAGTCTGGAAAGATACACACTAACTTGTTGAAATAATGCTTTTCTGTAAGTATCAGAACATAGATGTCTTTTATTTTCTTCTTTCTGCTTATCCATGTTTTTCAGCTTTTCTACAATAAACATGATTTATTTATGTCATGAAGATTACTTTTTTAAAATATTAAAGAGAATGGCAGGTTTTTAATTTCCTGAGTAGCAGAGTGCCCTTTTTTCCTCTTGCCTCCACCCCAACCATTAGCACTGGCAGTCCCTCACAGATGCAGCAAGTGGGATCACAATGGTGGCAAGAGGCTCCTGAACATGGCCTTGGACATCTTTGGGAAACAAGGCCCACGCCCTGGGGGCTCAGTAAAGAAGCATTGTGCTTCCCTGGCCTTGAGCCCACCTACTGCCCCTGGTCGGCATGACTAACCATCTAATTCTAGAGAAATGGGAACTCATTGAGTGATCTGGCTTCCTCCAGAGAGCAGCCCATTCGTTTCCTGAAGTGACTGGTCCACTGGGAAGAGGGCCAGGATAGACCTTTGAAGTACTCAACAACAAAAGGAGGAGAAAGAAGAGATCGCACAATAGAGCAGCCTGGGGCCGTGATGGGAATGAGAGTTCATGTCCCTGTTAAACAGCAAAGATTAGATCAAAGCTAGCAGATTCATGGCACACACACCATTACCACCCATTTACTGTCCAGAGCAGACATTTCTAATCAATCACAGCATTTATCCTCACCGAGTGCTCCTCAGTGCAGCCCCAGGCAACTTTACCATCCACTGCCAGAGCTGAATCTTATTTGTCACTCTTGGAGTACTTGGGTTGGAGATGCTAACCCTTCAGACAAGACCACTTAGACCCCTGGGTGCAGGGTCATGAGTTTTCCTTGGATCTAGAGTCTGCACCAAACAGTGCCGTAAGGTCTATAGTTGTTAATTCCCTCTGACTTATGGAGATGTCGCTCTTCCTAGTATCAGGGAAACTCCCAACTGGGTGTGGCTCTACCTTCTGCCAGATGGAACACGAGAGGTCATCCCTCATCAAACTCTTTTGAGTCATGGAACCCTTTCTTCAAATCAAAGCTGAGTCAGAAGGCCAATTACAAAACAAATTGAAGCGGAATTACTGTGCTTAAAGAGGAGGTGACAGTCCCAAGCCACAGCCACCAAATGTCACCTCAGCCCCTGCTGCTGAAGGACTGACTTCCCAAGGACTCCTAGGGCTCCATGGGACAGTAAGGATCACTGATCCTATTCAAGTCACAGTATCTTACAAATGGGGAGAGCGAACCCAGAGGGGAGACGTGAACACCCCGAATTCACACAGCCGGCGAGGGAGGAGCAAAGGCAGGAACCCAGGAGTCTCCCAGCTTTTGATCCAAACACAGAACCCAGCATCAGACGTTTGGTCCCTTCTTTCTTGGCATGATGCAGTCTCCCTGAGGGGCTGCCGCTGCCCCCTGATTCGGGTCTTGTCTGTCCACCTGTGACTCCCATTTCTAGAGCTGCAGCCTCAACCTTTCACATTGATCTTGACCTTGACCTCCATCCATTTCTCTCCATCCCCATGGCCATTTCCTTATTTCAAGCCAGTATCAGTTTTCCCCTGGATGTTTGGCAACAGCCTCTTAACTGGCTCCAGTTTCCCCACTCCATTATTCAGAATGTGGCCAACATGATCTTTCTAAAACGCAAATTTGAAACAATCATTCCTTAGCTTGTAATTCTTCAAATGCTTCCCATTGATCTTCAAATGATGTCCAACCTCCTTGCATAGCTTACCAGACCCTTTGTAATCTGACCCATTTACCTCTCTACCCCCATCTTTCATGATTCCCTGACTCAGACTCCTGCAAGATGGAGGAGACTCTGTGTCTGCAGTGAGTGTGTGTGTGTGTGTGTGTGTGTATGTCGGGGTCTAAACTTTTCTGTCTCTAGACCTTTGCACAAGCAGTTCCTTTTGCCTGGAATACTTTCCCCTCCCCTTGGCACCTAGCTAACTACTCCCCATGCTTCAGGACTCCCCTTAGCTGTCACTCTTCCCACTATCCCTTCCTGCCCCCAAGAGTCTGCACAGCAGGACCCTCTTCGAAGCTCCCCACACCTATGCCGCCCCTTCCCACAAACTACCCTGAAAAGCCTTTGCTTAG
This sequence comes from Homo sapiens, assembly GCF_000001405.40. NCBI lineage: Eukaryota > Metazoa > Chordata > Mammalia > Primates > Hominidae > Homo > Homo sapiens. The sequence continues at coordinate 72,301,172 of NC_000003.12, forward strand.
TGTCCGCACTGTCACCCACACTGGACTCAAGATCCTTGGGTCGGGGACTCTCTCTAGTTCAAGGCTGGAGCTTGGGTGGATTGCTCCCATGACACCTTTTCTCTTGTTTGACCTCATGTCATAATCATTGAGTCAGGAAGTTGGGCCCCTGATCTACCAACAGGACACAACCATTTTATGTAGAACAGAGGGTGCATTTGAAAAAAAAAAGGAGAGTGAAAAAAATAAGAGCAAGCCCCGCTGTGAAGGGAATGGCGCTCTATGCCAGGCCCTGACGGTGAGCTCTATACATAGATGTGGGCTCCTTCTGCATCCCTGACGGTGCGAATATTTCTCCAGCCTATCATTTGCCTTTGAACTTTATCTATAGTGTCCTTCCATGTACAAAGAGTAATTAATTTCCCCAATTCGTCTCACTGTTATTCTCAAAGAGCACACACATCCTTTCTCAGCAGACATTACAGATTTATTTATGGGTCCTTCCAAATGGACCATAACATTCCTTGAGGACAGGAGCATTTTATTCACCACAGTGTCCCTAGGGCTTGACACCGTGTCTGGTACATAGTAGGCCTTCAATAAACACTGGATAGGTGGGTGGATGGGAGGTAAGGAGTGAGGGAGAAGAGAGGGAAGAAAGGAGAAGGGGTAAGGCTAGGAAAGATGGGCTGAAAAGGGGAAAGAAGAAAGAAGGAGAGAAAATAAATGCTCAGTAAACACTGGAGGGCAGCTGCTTCTGTTGACCGCAGTCCCTGGCACAAGCCTGGCTCCACCTGGCAGCTGTTGGCCACGGCTCCCAGTCCACATGGCACACCTGCCTGGCAGGCCTGGCTGTGCTTCGCGGTTCAGATGCCCGGCTCCTCCTCAATGCGGGGCACACCTTCACAGACCGTGGCCCATCACACGCTGCCTGGGGCCTCCAAGACCCTTTAAAAGTCTGGCACATGGTAGGCCCTTGATTGAGGTGCAAGGGATGTTAGGGATGGTCTGTGTAGCCTGGAGGAGAGGGGGCCTCTTTCCCCTCCATCTAAAATGGCAGCCTCTCCCCCTTTTTTTCTGCCTTGCTGCTTTTCTCAGCAGCCATCACTGCCACTCTACATTCATTAGAGAGATCAGTATCCCATATCCGAAGTATTTGGGACCAGACTGTTTCAGATTTTGGAATATTCGCATATACATAATGAGATATTTTGGGGATTGGGACCCAAGTCAGCAGCACTTTGAAATCATGTCTAGTCCCCGGAGCACACAAAGTCTAAAATGCATGAACCCCCAGGCACCTCGGAAGCAGCAAACTAGCCAAGATTGCAGATGCTTACAGGGCTTGGAGTGGAAGGGAGGGTTTGTGAGTACAAAAACAGTAAAGGAAATTCACTTGTGTTTCATACACACCGTATACACATAGGATGAAGGAGTAATTTTATGAAACATTTTCAATAATTTTGCATATGAAACAAAGCTTGTGTTGAGTACTTACATGTGGAATTTTCTATTTGTGGCTTCATGTCAGTGCCCCAAAAGTTTCAGATTTTGGACTGCTTCAGATTTTGGAATTTTGAAGTAGGAATGTTCAACCTGTAGTAGAAGGAAGTGATGAAAGCACTCACACTACAGCCAAGCAGACTGGGTTCAAATCCCACCACAGCCCCATGTAAGCTGGGAGACTTTGGTCAAGTTTCTTAATGCTCTGTGTGGCTCAATTTTCTCATGAGAAACAATGATGCCAGCACCTTCCCCATGAAGCTACCGTGATGGTTAAAAGAGTTGGCTAATGTCAAAGGCTTCCAACAGTGCCTGGCATATAGAAAGGGTTCCATAAATGTAATCCCAGCTCTGATGACCATTTCCCAGCCCGGAATGAAGCTCTGTGAGAAGGGGCACCGTGTGCTCTTTGCTGTGCATTCCCAGAGCCTAGAACAAGGTGTTGTGAGCATAGGCACTCACTTTCTTTAAATGGAAGGATTTGAGAGCTGGGAAAAGAAAGGCCTAGAGAGGCAGAGACACTCACCCAAAGTCACACAGCAAATTGGAGGCAGAGTTCCCAACTCCAGTGCACCACACATTTTCCTGGAGAGGGCTGCCAAGGAGCAGCGTGGGAAATTGGGTGAAGGCCAGAGTTGCACCACCCAATATGGTAGCCATGGCCTTGACATGTGGCTAATGTGATTGATGAGCTGAACTGTTCATGTTATTTAATTACATTTTTTTATTACATTTAAACTTAAAAACTCATACTTGATTCAGTGATTGGAAAACTTTTATGAGGGTCTCGATCAACTTGGGTAGGTGAATCTTTTTCAGCTATAAGTTTTGTGAAGTCTAAATGCGGATCAAGTATTCCCATGAAAATTTTAGTATCCAAATTGACATGTGCCATAAAAGTATAAGACACACACCAAACTGGGGAGTCTGGGTATGCAAAGAAAGAACAGAAAATATCTTCTTAAAAACTGTGCACATTGGTTAATGTTAAAAAGATCATATTTGGGATATATTGCTTTAAATAAAGTGTGTTATTAAAATTTCATCTATTACCCTTTGGTTTTTTTTTAATGTGGCTACCAGAAAATTGTAAATAACTTACGTGGCTCACATTGTATTTCTATAGTACAGTGTTGGGCTTAGAGGGACAAGAACTGGGTGAGGAGGAAGGTGGCTCACTGGCTGGGAGGGCTGTCCCCCACTGCTCCAGCACAGAGGAGCTGAGACTCTGGGGTGGGCATGTTTGGGGAGCCCCTGAGCACTGGAGCTGGGCTGCACTACTTGGGAAGCCTGAGCTGAGCTGGATCCAGGTCCCTGCACTCTGACACTTCCCTCGACAGGCAGGGAAGCAGCTCAGGGATTAGCATTAATTCTTTCCCTCGAGGGCAGATGGGGAGAAGGTTAAGTGCAAACTGACGGCAGCTGCCCAATTAAGCCCTGGGAGAGGGATGAGGGCAAAGGAGGAGGCTGGGGAATGTTCTTAGGGATTCCCAGGGAGACAGGAAGCAGCAAGGGCTTCACCGCCTTTATCTCATTTCCCCCTTACCAGTGACGGTTTTCCTACAGGCTCTGCGGGGTGGATTCACTCTTCCCAAACCACATGGCAAGTACGGGGCTGACCTGGGCTCCATTCTCCCAGTCTTTGCTCCAGCTCTTTAAGCAAAATTAGTTGCCTGCTTTTGCTACTGCTCTGGGAAAACACTGGAGGCAAGGAGACTTTGAGGTGAGAGAGGGATTCCACCAAGGCTGAGGGCTGACACTGACTTGATACTCCCCATGTGCCAAGTGCTCGCCGGGCATTACCTCGCTGAATTCTCACCCTGTGCTGTTGGCACTGTTCTCATCACCCCCACTTATAGGCAAGGACATGATGGCCCAGAGAGGTTTAGCACATGGCTCAGGGGCACACAGTTAGGCAGTCAGGAAGCCAGAGATATTTGAACACCAGGTTACCCCATCAGACCTGAACTCTGAAATTAAGCACTATGCCAAGTTGCCTCTTGTCCTAGGAGGCTTCTCACCAAATATCGGATTCGTCAGCAGGGAGGCAGAGGTGGTAGAATGACTTCCTGGAGTCCTCCTCTGATATGTTGGATCCTGAGCTGGAGGAGGAGAAAGAGAAGAGACGTCATGTTCCCCGGGACCAAGTCCTATTGGTCCTAGCTTAGATGCCACCTCCCCCAGGAAACCAGCACTGATTCCTCCCACCTTCCCTTCCAGGCTAGTTACCTGCCCATCCTCCTTGCTGTCTCTGCTTTCCTGATGCCTACATCCATCCACACAAAAATAGCCAACATATGTCCAACATTTTACCCACATTATTTCAATTTACCCTCATAAACATCTAGTAAAGAAGGTACTATTATTACTTCCCTTGGACAGTTGAGAAAACCAAGGCACAGAAAATAAAATGGATTGGTTCATGGTCACCAAGCTCAGAAGTAACTAATAACAACCCAGACGTCTCCTGCCAAAGTGCCTACTCTTAGCAGCCACATTGTCCTTGCTTCCTGTGGCAGCATCCTATTGGTTTATTGGTTTGCTCTTCTCTCTCCTCTACGCTTGCAGGGAAATTCGAAAGACTAAGTCGAGACCTTGCAGGTGTAGCAATCATGAGAGCACCCTGGTTACCGTTTGGAGTCACTGGGTGTCTTGCTCACTACTTAGAAGCCTTGTGCTGCCTTGGAGCAAGTCATCCAGGCTCCGCTGCATTGCTTGATTCACACATTGTCTACTGATTGAGCACCTTCTATGCGCCAGGCACTGAGACCAAGGAGGTCCCCATCCTCATGGAGCTTCCACGCTAGGTAGAGAAACAGAGAGAATCCCAGTACTCAAATAAGGATATAGAGTAATTTCCTGTACTGGCAAGGCCAAGAAAGAGAACTAAAGCAGAAGATGGGGGAGAGAATGACAAGTAGAGGGGGTGGTCTGGAGGGCCCATGTGAGGAGGTGGTGTGAGGACAGGGATATGAAGTGAGGGGCCAGCCACAGGAAGACCTGGAGGAAGGCAGCCAGGAGGAGGAAATGGCAAGGGCAACAGCACTGCGAGGGGAGCATGTTTAGCGTGTCCAAGGAACCAGAGGTCCAGGCAAAATACACATTTGTTCACAGCAGCATTGTTTATAAGAGCCAAAAAGTGGAAATGACCCCAATGCCTACCAACGAATGGATGGATAAAGTGCATACCCATACCACACAATATGATTTGGCCTCTAAAAGGGATAAAGTACTGATTCATGAGACAACGTGGATGGATCTTGAAACATTAGGCCAAGTAAAAGCAGCCAGTCACAAAATGAAAACACATATTGTATGGTTCCATATGTATGAAATGCCCGGAATAGGCAAATCTGTAGAGACAGAGAGTAGATTCATGGTTGCCAGGGGCTGGAGGGGAGGGAGAATGGGAATGACCGCTGATGGGGAATTTGGGGATTATGAAAATATTCTAAACTTTGATTGTGATGATCATTGCACAACTCTGAATATATTATACTAAAACCATTGAGCTGTACATTTTAAATGGGTGAGTTTTATGAGACGTTAATTTTTTTTTTATTTTTTATTTTGGAGACAGGGTCTTGTTGTGTCACCCAGGCTGGAGTACAGGGGCACAATCATAGCTTACTGCATCCTTGACCTCCTGGGCTCAAGAGATCCTCCTGCCTCAGCCTCCTGAGTAGCTGGGACTACAGGTGTGCACCATCATGCCCAGCTAATTTTTTGTAGAGGTGGTGTCTTGCTGTGTTGCCCAGGCTGGCCTCAAACTCCTGGGCTCAAGTGACCCCCACACCTCAGCCTCCCAAAGTGCTGGGATAAAGGCATGAGCCACTATGCCCAGCCTGATGTTATTTATAGCTCAATAGAGCTGGTTTTTCTCTTTTTAAAAAAAAGAAAAAGAAAAGAAAAGAAAAGAAAAGAAAAGAAATGAACAAAAAGAAGCAAGAACAGGCAAGGAAGGCTGGAGGGGAATAGGCAAGGAGAAGACAGAGAAGAGAAGACCAGAGGTTCTTACAGTTTGAGAACTTTGGGTTTCACTCTGTCATTAGAAGCCATTGGGGGTTCTGAGCTGGGAATCTGGTGGTCCAATTTACATGTTTTAAAGATTATTCATTTGCAGAGCAGCATAACGGTTGCTGGATTCCGGGGCCTTGATTCAAATCCCAGCAGAGTCTACATGCCTAGCTATGTGACTGCAGCAAGCTGTATAATCTTTGGGGGCCTCAGTTTCTCAACCATAAAATGGGATGATCATAGCATCTCCCTTCTAGGGAGGCTTAACTGAGTGAATATTCATGAAGCATTTGGAAGAGTGCCTGGTACATAGGCAATGATCCATGAAAGTTAGGTAACTTAAGTCAATAAGAAAGTACTCACTGGATAGTCCCTGTCTTCCTGGGGAGAAAGCGCTGCCAGCCAGGGGCTGCTTTCCGCTTTGCAAAGCTCTAGCCCCTCGCCTGGCTCAATCCAACAAGTAATTGCTCCGAGGCCTCCTTCCAAATGGGCCATAAATCAGAGGCCAGGGTCTCCTGTTACCAGCGGCTGGTGGTGAAGTCCCTCCCCCGGGTAATGGGAAGCAGATGTTGGCAGCCCCTTCTGGCCTCCAGAGGACTGTGTACCTGGGCTGCTCACGTCACAGCAGTTGGAGCAAGAATTTCCATGAGCTTTTAAATCGAAGGTTGTCAAAGAAACGGCCTCCTAGGGCTTCCAGATGTTCTGCGGCGTGTTTCAAGCAGGAGGTGGGCAGCTAATGGGGGCCTTCAGGGGCTGAGAGAGGAAGAGCAGGGTCAGGGATAACACTAGGTTCCTTCCAAGGGGCCTGACCAGCAGGCAAGGTGTGGGGCCTGAGAGGTGGCAAGCTGTCAAGAAAGCAGCACAGGCTTTGCAGCCAGGAGGACCTGGTTCAAATTCTGTTTCTCATTTTCTCAGCCTGTGCCCTGAAGTCAAGGGTAAGTCACCTTTCCAGACCCCAGTTTTCTCGCCTGTGAAATGGGTGTGATGTTACTTATCTCACACATATTTGAAGGTGGGAAGTAGTTTAAGTTAAAGCACAGTGTCTCAGGCATGGTAAATGCTCAAAAAATGAAGGTAGTTATTAGAAGCGAGCTATGCACAGAGCCTTGTTACCCATTAAGTCTTTATTGTCGCTGGACGCTGAGCACTGTGACGGGCAAGGAAGTGTAGTCACCTCACAAGACTTTCTACGTTTCCTAAGGCCAAGGCCTTGATGAGGTCCAGAAAATTCCTTAACAATCTTTCAGCTACAAGTCCATGCACAGTTTGGCTTTAGGTACAATTCAGGGCTCACATGATGTCACCAAGAGGCAGCTCCTCTTTAGCTTCCACTGACTGGTTGTCAGATTTAAGCAAATAAAAATATAAAACGTCAGTTAAACTTTAATTTCAGATAAACAAGAAGTACTTTTCTTAGTATAAGTATGTCCCACTAAATATCTGGAAGATACTTTCTTTTTTTTTTTTTTTTTTTTTTGAGACAAAGTCTCACTCTGTCACCCAGGCTGGAGTGCAGTGGCACAATCTCAGCTCACTGCAACCTCTGCCTCCTGAGTTCAAGCTATTCTCCTGCCTCAGCCTCCTGAGTAGCTGAGATTACAGGCACAGGCCACCATAACCGGCTAATTTTTTGCATTTTTATTAAAAGTAGAAATGGGTTTCACCATATTGGTTAGGCTGGTCTCCAACTCCTAGCCTCAAGTGATCAGCCCACCTCGGCCTCCCAAAGTGCTGGGATTACAGGCATGAGCCACTGTCCCCGGCCCATTTGGGACATACTTGTACTAAAAACATATTCATTGTTGAATTAATTAACAGGGCCACCTGTGTTTTATCTGGCAGCTCACTGGAGTTCGGCCTTAGGCTGGGTCCTCTGGGGTAGCAATAGGGCAGCAAACCTCTCATGGTTCAGACTGGATTATGTGACTATCCTGAGCCAGTCACTGTGGGCAGAAGAACTTAATACATCGGCTGCTATCACCTGGTTTACACACTCCATCCCCAGACTCAGAGTCTGTCTACCTCTAGCTTCTGGGAAGAGGGTGCTTCCCTTAAAGAAAAAGCAAGTACTGTAGATAGTACTGTAGATGCGGTATATGAAAGGAAGGAAAAACAGGATCTACTGTGAGCAGATGCAAGGAGGAGAGATTCTTAAACCAGAGGCAGGGATGTGGGTGTCCCCCAGCTCCAACTAGCGGAGTAAGCCCAGCTGGCCTGGTACCAAGAGATAAAAGTAGATCTTTGAGAAAAAGAACCCCAGGTTGTCCTGGCTGACTCTTTGACAGCATCTCTGGGTAAAACAACCTGCAGGAAGTCCTTCCCTAACTCTCTTCTCTGAGGCTCAGTGTTCTCATCAGCAAAATGAGTATAAGAATTCAAACTTCTGATCAGGCATGTGGTGATTCACGCCTATATTTCCAGCATTTTGGGTGGCCGAGGCAGGTTGCATCACTTGAGTTCCAGAGTTCGATACCCACCTGGGCAACATAACAAGACCTCGCCTCTAAAAAAAAAAAAAAAAGAATTCAAACTTCTTGGGGGGAGTTGTGAAGATTATCTGAGGTTCAACTGACTCCTAACTTGAGACCCAGTTAGTTATTACATAATAGTCACAAATTCAGTTGGCAGCACTCAAAAATTTATTTCCTAAGGGTAGATTTTTTACAAAGTGGGGTTCCAGTCCCAGTAATCTTTCATTCCTTGACAATACCAATTAATTATGATTGCTTGTTGTGGCTTCTCAGCCTCAGCACTGACATTTTGGGCTGGATACTTCTCTGTTGTGGGGGGCTGCCCTGTGCATGGTAGGATGTCTAGCAGCACCCCCAAACCCCACCCACTAGAAGCCAATAGCAGCTGCTTCTTAGCTGTGACAGCAGAAATGTCTTCCAGACATTGCTAAATGTTCCCCTAAGGGGTAAAGTCATTCTCTCCTCTAAGAACCACTGTGATAATAGCATAAAATACAAATATATATTCGTATAAACATGTATTAAGATATTGTGTTGAATGTGTACTGTAAGCCCTATATTATGCATATCCCATTGGGGAAGCTTATCAATGTGGACTGAGCCAGCTGAGGTCTCTTAAAATAAAGTCCGTATAAATTGGAGGGAAGACACCACTTCCTGAAGTAGGCAAGCCCGAGTGTCTTCCTGCCCCTAGGGACTTTCAAACTGCATTAAAAATGAGAATCATCTGTCTCAAAAATGTTTCCTTGTCAAGTTAATTGAATGGAGGAGGAGGTGGGGCAATGCCCAATCACCTCTTCCGCCTCCGTTTTAGCAAAAGCCAAAGGGCTTCTGGGAGCAACATCAGGATTTGTGTAGTGTTGGCGTCTTAAAGTCATGCTTTACTTTTTAACGATTCTTTTTAAGTTATAAAAATAATGCCGACAGCCAAGCCATGGCGGGTGGGAGGGAGGGATGGGGGTGTCCACAGGTAAAGACCAGGAAGATAGCAAAATTCAATTGAAGGCTGTCCTAGACGTTGCATGGAAGCCGCGGTTGCCTCTCACTAGCTGGTGTCCTTGGGCTAGTTACCTAATCTCTGACAGGGCTGACTTCACAAGCCTGTGTCCCAGGCAGTCACTCAGGGCCTGTGATCAGAAGGACACCTCACTTGGTTTAACAGTCTGCTGTGGTTTCAGTCTTGAAGTTCTTAATTTTTAAACCAAAGACCCCACATTTTTATTTTACACTGAATGTCCTAAATCATGCAGCCAATCCTGCTCTCTGAACTCAGTTTTTACATCTGTAAAGTGGGGGTCATGACACCCTCCCATTGCAAGACGACTGTGAGGGTTACACACTAGTCCAGGGGCTGACAGCTCTCAGCACTGCAGTTCCCTGCCCGGCCATCCCAGTGGCTGAAACAACAGTGTTTGCAGTCATTCTCAGGCCCCATCTCAGAAGGAAGTCTTTAACGACGGGCCTGAGACCATGACTCTGAGCTTCCGGAACCTTTGAAATTCTCTCTGTTTATTATTTTTGTGACTACCATCTGTTTCCTGTAGCAATGAACTCTTTAAATGAAAAGGTCTGTGGACTGAGGGGTGGAGCAGGAGGACAGCGGGGAGACTCCACCCTCCAGGGCAGCCTGGCTGGGGAGGAGAGTCCCCAGGGGAGAGTTGGCAGAGCAGAGCAAACAAGCAGCGTCCCCAGAGTGCCTGCAAGGCAGGAAGGAAGATCGCCTTCTCACGTTGCACCCTGTTCAGCTTTCCGAAGAGGGAGACAAAGGTGGAGTTGGAGCCAGTCCTCAGATTCGCGTGACTCCATGGCCCATCTTTTGCCTCCCTCTGCACGCCATGAGCTTCTGTAGTTAAAGGGCTCCTGGGGGCTGCGGCTCACCATCGCCCCACCTCCGCAGGTGGACTCTGGCAGGTTCAAGGAGGTAGAAGTGCTGAGGGACCCTGTCCTCTTGTCCTTTCTATCACTGCTACCCCAGCAGGTGTCCAGGCCCCCACCCCATCTCCACAGTTTGCAGATGGCCTGCGATGCTGAAACAGGAACATCCATGAGGGAGAAGTCGAAGGTGCCAGACAAGCACTCGGGACATGGCTGGAGGTTCCCCTCTGAGCTAGGAGGTCCCACCAGCTGTCCACAGAAAGGACCACCTTTGCAACTCCCATGTGTTGATGCTGTATGGTAACGCAGTAATAAGCTGGAGGGTGTGGAGGTGCTGACTGAGAGCCCTTGGGCATTGTTGGTGGGTGACCCAAGTCCCCTCTCCAGGAGGGGCTGGGCAGTACCTGGAAACTGAGTTTCCTCCAGCCCACATGGCCGCAGGACCTCTCTCCTTTATTGTGTCCCCTCCATCTCTCTTCCTTCCCCACCCAGAAGAAACCTTGCCATCTCCAGGCCCAGAAATTCATCTTGTTCCCAGCTCTCCTCCCCACTTCCGTCACTGATGCCCATCAGTCCTTCTCCTCCCCGCAGGCCTAAGATTTTGCAACTCCAAGGCCAAGAGCTGACATTCTCTTCTCTCCGAGTTGCTGCCTCTCCCGAGGCAATGAGAACAAAATGCACACAGCAGCCAGAATGGAGGAGGGGACGAGGGTAGAGAGAAACACCAGGAATAAAAACCTCATGCCTTCATACTTTCAGAGTCACCCGCCACCCCACTACATGCTCTTGAGGATTTATGGCAAGACCCATGATGATTTTTTTTGCTGATTTGTTTCACAAAAAAAAATTGACCTATGACTGTGGGAATGTGTCACCAAAGGAAAATAATCTCTTAGGTGACAAGATGCTGGAGGAAGGAGAGGTCCCCTTGCCTTGTGCCTCAAGACACCAAACTATCAAAGGAGGCACAGGGAGAGACCCAAAGCCCAACATTACCTGGGCTGGTACTGATTTCTTGAGGCTGAAACCAATCAAGTTTTCTCAGCCCCAGGCCCCTGTTCCTCCACGCTCTGAAGATGACCATCTGAGGCCTTTAGAAAGTCACTTTATGAGACAGTGGTCTCATAACAGTGGTCCATAGGTAGTGGTCACCACAGAGTCTATGATGAAGCCACAGGGGAATTTGTGGGAGTTTTAATGTTCAACAAGAAAGCCTACTTACAGGGAAGTTAGACGTGCTTCCATCCTTTGCTTCTTTCAATGGCAGCATTATTTAGCCAGTACGTTTTAATACCTCCGTTAATTAGCATAAAAAATATTTTGGAAATGTCCTCACCCACCTTGGGAAGGCTCCCAGCCAGGTTACAAGGGGAAGTCTTCTCTTTTCCCCTCAGTAAGCGGGAGCAGCTGCAGATAGACTAACCATCGTCTACCTTCTTGTTGGTGAGAATAACTGTCCAACCAGCAGCACGGAGGCAGTTCTGAGAATGAAGGAGCTTGCTCAATGACTAATCCGGAAAAGAAAGTCCCTCATCCTAATTTAGAAGGTAGCTCCAGTTCGTGGCTTTGCTAAACTGCACCTCCTTTAGTCATTTCATGCCAATTCAACCCCTTTCAACAAACGCATTTTCCAGTTTAGAGCTGGAATGGCCTTGGGAGGTTTTGGAGGCCTGGAGGATGGGAGGGAAGTAGGTGAGGCAAGATTGGGCTTAGAGCTGCCATCAGAGAGCCCCCTGGGATGCTTGTCAAATGTTGATCCTGGGTACAAGACCAAGTCACAGAATTTTTTTGCTGAATGTGTCCCTAAATTAGTAACACTTCAAGTATTCCTCCAGAGTTCCTGCATGGTGCTGCTGGGAGATCCCTGCCACAAACCAGTCAGCTGATCTCAGGTACCTTTTATCTTTTATTTTATTATTATTATTATTTGAGACAGAGTCTCTCTGTTTCCCAGGCTGGAGTGCAGTGGCACAATCATGACTCAGTGCAGCCTCCTGGGCTCCAGTGATCCTCCTGCCTCAGCCTCCCGAGTAGCTGGGACTACAGGTGTACACCATCACAGCCAGCTAATTTTTTTTATTTTTTGTAGAGACAGGTTTTCACCATGTTTCCCAGGCTGATCTTGAACTCCTGAGCTCAAACGATCCTCCCACCTCAGCCTCCCAAAGTGCTGGGATTACAGATCTGTACCAGGCCCTCAGGTACATTTTATAACACTTCAGAGTCTATGTCTCCAGTTATAAACTGGAAATCATACGATTTATCCTCCCTCATAATACAGTGAGTTCCTCCTATCGGAATCATGGGCTGAGGATAAGGACCCATGTCTTAGTTATTTTCTGCAGGGTCCAGTACTGGTACCTATTAGTAATAACAAAAACAATAATAATAATTAAGTATCCTTTCTTGAGGACCCACTGTGAGCCAGGAACTCTGCAAATCACTGATTATACATTCTCTCATTTCATCCCCACAACAAACTCTGGTATGGTTATTATCCCCACTTTACAGATGAGAAAACTGAGGCTCAGGGAGAGGAAATCTAACCTACCCAACTTTTAATACTTTATCCTAGTTCATTTGCTCTCACTTCTCTCCCTTCCTCAAACCTTCTCCCTCTAGCAAAAGGGAAGTACAATCTAGTATATGAAAAGACTTTCCATAAATGCAAACTCAAATAAATTGTATCTAGAGCGTCTGCAGCTTCCTCTCCTTCCCCAGGATCATTGGCTATTTGTTTATTCAGGAAATAATGATCACAAGTCTCTTCTACAAAGCACTGGTCTAAATGCCGAGGATAAAATAAAGAGCAAAAATAATCCCTGTCCAGCTCTCAGGAGCTTACGGCCTAGGAATATAGTCAAACCTCTGGGCATCTCTATAAGTAAGTGATGCTCTCCACTCCACCCCACCGCTTCCTCACTCATTCTTCAACATTTTTGAATTATTGAACTTCTATTGAGTTACACTGCAAGTAACAGGAGACTCACATATCAATGGCCACCTAAAACGCTAAAGAGAGGGGTTTTATTTTTCTTATAAGACATAATGTCCACAAGTAAATAATAACTAAAAGGTGTCAGAACAGAGAGAAGTCCTGGTGGCTCTCTAGGCTTTTGCCTCATGTACACAGAAGGCTGCCACAGCTCTAGCCATTAAGCCTGTATTCTATGCAAAAGGAAAGTGGGGAGATCCTGAGAAAAAGGGGCCATATCTGATGAGTCGGTCTCCATTTGGGGGCTTTTCTGGAAATCTCTTGCAACAATGTAGACTTACGCTTCCATAACAGACACTGTTGGGGCCTGCCCTATCCACATCCCCTTGACATTCATCATCTGGGCTCTACAGAACCTTCCTTCTACAGACTCCTTTCTTCAGCCCCAGTAGCTTGCTCAGGTTGCCACACAGAGAGGCCAGAATTAATTCTGCCCAGAAGCAGCATCAACCAATGACAGACAGCAGTTGGTGGGCAAACACCCCAGCTTTCTGGCCCTCAGGTGGGAAAATTGGGGACCTGTTGTACACTAGCTCTCAAAGGTTCCCAGCAGGATCTGGCCCCAGTTACCCCCAGCAATAATGTGCTGCTCACTCACACTCTCTGCACTTGGCTTCTCTTCCTTGTCTCATTTCCCCTTCCAGGAATCACCTTCCAAATAAGCTACTTGCCCTTGACTCTTGGCTTCAAGGAGTCTGTTTCTAGGAGCCCAACCTAAGATGACCTGGTGGGACAGAATGCATCACGTGGCCATCTCTGGCTGCAAAGGAGTATGGAAAGTGGGATCTATTTGGTAGCTACATCCCTGCTCCCAGCAACATTGGGGTTCTGTTGGCAAGGAGGGAAGAGGTACTGAATGAGCATCCAACAACCCCTACCATGCCTACTCCATGCTGGGCATAGGGCTTCAGTGGTGACCAGTCATGGCTTCTGCCCTCAAGGGACTTCCAGTCTCGAAGAGGGGCAGCCATTATACAGCTGTGGGCGCTACAAGAGAGTGGTGGGTGCAGCCTTTGAGGAGCGCTCATTCTGAATGAGGCTCTATCCTAAAAGCTTGCATGCATGATGTTAACATGAAACCTCCCAGCACCTTCTGAGGCAAGGACTATTTTTACTATTTTCCTTCTACACCTGAAGAAACTGAGAATCAGGGAGGTTGAGTAACTTTCCCAGGAAGACAGGACTAGTATGTGTCAGAGCTCAAACTTGAAACTCAGTTTGACCCCAGGAGCTAGTGACATCTCAGCAAGGCATGCGAAGACAAGCAGCGTTGAAACAGGTGGAAAACGTGTAAGATTTCAATAGAATAGCACATGCTGAGGCCGGGAGGCTTGAGGCTCCATGAGACCACACAGGCTGGAGAAGACTGTCCAGGCCTCCTCAAGTGACCTGCCCCCAGCAAAAAGGGAAGCACAGCTTGAAAGGAGCTGTTCAGGTCCCCAGAGTTGAACCCTCCTTTAGGGGATATGGGCCACCATTCTCTCTCGCTTAATCGCTCACTCTCTCTCTTACACACACACACACACACACACACACCATCCTATCTTCTCCCCTCCACACTACCCTGCCATGCTCACCACCTCATAGATACCTACTCCAACACACCACTTCACTAGAACCCCAATTCACTACATTGGCTTTATGTTACCTCTACGTCAATTCTGGAATGCGCCACGTTTGCACCAGGAACCCTCCAAGCACGACCTTCAGAATTCAAGAGTCACAGATTAAAATCCCAGCTCAGGGTTAGCTATGGCAAGTCATACAGTCTGTCTGAGCCTTTGTTTTCCCATTTGTAAAATGGGAATTAAAATATCTACCTCACAGGGTTGTTGTAAGAACCTAGTAAGAATGTATCAGTAAAGCACATGATTGGCAGAATGCCACCATTTTTTACTATTACTAATACCAGCACCTTAGAATACCTGACCTTATGTTTTACTGCTCCCCAATATTACCCCAAATTCTGCAGTGTGTATTCCCATGGCCCCTTCTTGCTGCAGCTGTTCCCACCTGCAATGCCTTCCGTTGCCATCTGGGCTTATTCAAGCCATTCCCTCATTAAGGCCCAAGAACCTCCAGCTATTGCTCCTCTGGCTCAGTGGACCCCAAACTTGGCTGCATATTAGAATTGTTTAGGAGCTTTTAAAAACCCCCAGGCATGGGCCACAAACCAGCCAATTGCATCAGAATCCTGAAGATGGGCAGGCCCAGGCATCAGTAGGTCTTCAGGTCCCCCCAGGTGATTTAGATATGCACAACCGGTGCTTTAACACCTGCCTTCTACAGAGGCCTGCAGTTTGGCCCAAATCTGCCCAGTGACTTTCACTGTGTGATAACTGGCTAGTGTGTCATTGCAAACTGGAGTCCCACGAACAATCCCGCACAGCATCCTGCAAGCCCTGAGCCTCCCTTCTACCTCAATCAAGACTTATTTGTCAGGACATTGGTGGACACACAGCAGGCTCATTTATCTCCATCTCTCTTCTCCTCCCCACACCCCTTTCTTCTCAGTGGAGGCCATCACTCAGATCCCCCAGGAGCGGTCCTCTATCTTGTTCACATGCTGCTCTCAGTAGGGACTCCTCAAAGCAAGTCCAAGGGTCCTGTGCTGCTCTCCAGGCAGGCTGCCCCTAACACTGGCAGGGTCAGAGGGCCTTGTGTGTGTTGTGTGCACGCCCAGCGGGTGCCAGCCCAGCCTGCAGCTGGCTCCATCCACCCCAGCCCCGGCAGTAGCTCCTTGGCCTTGCCTCCCGCAGGGTGCATCCTCAGGAAGACCTCGGGGAGAGCAGCGTGCAGGCTGTTGCAGATGGAGTCTATTTTCCAAAGACAGCCCTAGAAGTATCTCCCGTCCCATAGATTCTTCTTACAATGTGACCTTACCCGTCCACCTCAAGAGGAGTAGAGTCTCTAACTCCACCTCTTGAATCCAGATGAACTTTTGTGACTGCCTCAGGCCATAAAGCACGGGGAAGTGACACTGTGTGACTTCCAAGGCTAGGTCATAAAAGGTGGCTCAGCTTCCTCCTGGTCCTCCCTCTTTGAACCCTGTTGCCAGGCTGTGAGGAAGCACTAGCCGCATGGAGGTGCCACGTGCAGGTGCTCTGGCCACAGTTCAGCCAGAGTGTCAGCCCCAGCCAGATCAACTGCAGATGTGAGTGATTCCAGCCCAGCCACCCTCTGACAGGACCTCAGGAGAGGCGCAAGGAAGAGCCTCTCCACTGACCCAGTCAGCCCCCAGAACCCATAGAGGATTGAGAATAATATTGAAATGATTGGTGCTTCCTACCCCTAAGTTTAGGTGGCTTATTACACAGCAACAGGTAACTGACGCGCAGGTCCTGAAAGTGGACTCGAGGCCTTTGGGTCAGGAAATTCAGGGGTCTCTAGGCCCAGCAGATCCTCCACCTGGTGGAAAGGAGGCATGGCTATAGGAGGACCTGAGTGAGGCCTTCTGAAGTGCAGGGCCCAGCAAAGACCTAGTGGTCTGGATCCAAGGGTGCACCCAAACATCCACCTCGAAAGAGGTTCAGGGGTGACAATCCAGATTGTGGTTCTCCAAGCTGAAGTCGCAGTCCTGCCTCCTGCGTGGTGGAGGTAGAGCACAGTGTGAGCGAGCTGGGCTTAGCAGTTACAGCAGTGCTGTCACCCGAACACATGTTTGACTTGGCTCCGGCTGTGTTTTTTTTTTTTAGAAAAGGAATGTGTTGCCAACATTGAAAAATTAGAAGACTTCAAATAAAAACCTGTAGATGTATAAATATGTGTTTCCCCCCCGATTGTAGAAACAAACATGCTAAGATTTTCTTTTGAAAATCAGACAAGCTGGCCCCACAGGGCACACATTTCTTTGCAGCAACAACTAGCTGGAGGTGGGCAATAGATGGTGTGTTCCATCCCCGTGGCCCCAATCCCCACCCCTCCCTAGTCCCTTAAACTTACCAGATTTTACTCATCGAATTAAACCACCCAGCCCCTGTAGGCATTTGATTTTAGGAGTCCCAAGATACATTCGCTCAGCTGTGCACCCAGATCCCTTCCTCCGAGCTGTATGATTTTTAGCCAAGTTACTTACTTTTCTCTGCCTCTGTTTTCTACCCTGTAAAACTGTGATACTCCTGCCTTGGGGCACTGGGGATGAGAACTAAAGTTAAAATGCATGGGATGGCCGGACGGTGGCTCATGCCTGTAATTCCAGCACTTTGGGAGGCTGAGGAGGGCAGATGGCTTGAGCTCAGGAGTTTGAGACCGGCCTGGGCAACAGGGCGAAACCCTGTCTCTACTAAATAAATACACAAATTAGCCAGGTATGGTAGCATGTGCCTATAGTCCCAGCTACTCGGGAGGCTGAGATGGGAGGATCACCTGAGCCTGGGAGGTCGAAGCTATAGTGAGCCGTGATCGGGCCACCGCACTCCAGCCTGGGTGATCAAGTGAAACCCTGTCTCAAATAAATAAATAAATAAATAAATGCATGGGAAAGACTTATCCCAGCATTTGGCATATCGTAAGTACTTTATAAATAGTTGCTATTATCATCACTGCAGTTATTTTTGCTATTTGAGTCCTTGGGCCTAATTCCCTGCCTGCTATCTCGCTCAGCCCACACAAGCTGTCTCCCAACACCCTGCTCTGCAAATCTATCCCCTGGGCCCAGGAAAGCCACAGGGACGGAAGCAGCCCTGAGCTGCAGCCTTGCCTTTGAATGTAAATATTAGCGTTGGCCCAGCCTGGGATTGCTGGAGGCAGAAGAGTGAGCATGCTGGAGTCTCAAATGGCACATCTGCTGGGAGCGGCCAGGCACCAGGCCCAGCCCAGCCTGGCCCCCAGCGCTCCGGGTTGCTTACAGGATGGTCGGAGCTGGGGAGAACTCAGTTGGCAATATTTGCAACCCCGTCCCACACCCTGCGACCAGGAAGGGTCAATCTGAGCATCTCCTTGAAGCCCCCAGGCCCAGGTTCTCTGGTTGCAGCAGAACAAGAGCTGAGGCTGGGATTTAGGGTGTTGGCTTTGAAGATGATCACACCAGAGTCTGGGACAGCAGAGCCAAGGCTTCCCTCGGGGAGAACAAGTCCAGGAAGGAGGCAACTGGCTTCTGCAAGTCAAGCTGAGTGACTTGCTTCAGCTGTAATTATCTGATTATTTCAGGCAAAAGCAAAAAACCAAAAGCCGAAGGCTTTGGATCCAGCTGCTGAGTTTCAGCTATTTGTCACTGGCAGCAGCCAGACACCCACCCTGGCTCCTCACAGCTGTTGAGTATGGACAGGGAGGGTTATTGTCATACCTGGGGCTCTAACAGGCACAAAGAGTGAGGTGCAGTCATGTCCTCTTATCTTCTCTTTCAACGGTAAGACTTCAGCAAATTTCCTGAGTACTGGGCCCTGGATATGACTCAGCAGCCATCTCCTCTGCTTCTCCTTGAGGGAGGTGGTGGCTACAAGGGTGGCCTTGGGGGTTAAGTCAGGCCTGGGCTGCATTCTTGCCCTGCTACTTACTAGCTGTGTCATCTTGGGCAAATGTCTTAACTTCTCTGTACCTCAATTTCCCTACCTGTAAAATGGGGATAATAGTACTTACCCTACAAGTTGTTTGGAGGGTGAAATGAGACGCTCTTGTACCAATTAGGCAGGGCTTTGTGCCTGGCACCTGGTAAATCACTGACCAGCCTGTGAATAATCAGTCATGTCCCCACATTACTTCAGTCAATGTCCACCTCTCCCACAACACAGCAGTCACACCACGTGTACATAATGGAATACTATGAAGCAGTTAAAAAGGAATGGGCCCCCCACCTTTGTTATTATGTGGGAGGATTTCTTAGCAGAGGCTGGGATGAAGCAGGTCCTTCGGGATGGGCTAGTGGACATCCAGGGATGACTGATGAGTACAGCTTTCTCGGCTCATCTGGCCCCTGTGGGTGGGCAGCCACTGCAGGCTGATGCACAGATGCTCATAATCTTGGCTGGATATGAAGACCTCAATAACCCCAGGCCCCCACCATGAAGCCACCCCCTGGTCCCAACTCAAGCATCACCCCCAATATCCGTGGACACAGTAAGTTTCTACCAGGGAATGGGGGAGAATCCTCGACTCAATTTGCTGCCAAACCAGGCAAGTGCTCCAACTTGACAGAATTATCAGCAGTGAGCGAACAGTGACAGATGAACCGAGAGGCGAGTGGGGACAGCCAGCCTGCAGATCTGTTTCCCAGCCCCGAGATTCCATCTGGGCTCCCCCGCAACAAAACAGGAATTTATCTGCAAAGGTGTCTGCAGGGCCTTGTGTGGGAGTCAATTTTATACCCCTCAACCTTTTGTGAGCAGCTGAGGAACGAGGCGGGAGACCCAGGCGACAAACCCCTTATCACTGCCCTGAGCGTCTTCTCACCCAACAAGGCTCCCACGTAACCCAATTCTAGATGCCACTGGAGGACCTTGAGGGGAAAAGGAGGTCTGGAAATGTGGTTCTTTAGTAAAAGGGATTGGCTATCTTAGGGGGTGAATGGAAAATAGTCAACTTCAACCCAATGAGAAAGTATTCTTTCTGCCAGCATTCTGTCTTATGAGTCTCCCCGGCCAGCCTTGTGCCCCCGCAGCCCTCTAGGGACGGGAACTTCTTGTGTGGGAGCCACTGGTCCTGCTGGGGAAGGCTCCTAAGATGATAAGACTGGAAGGCTTTCTCTCAAGTCAGCATTGTGTGGCTGCAGAAAAGCCAGGTGGTACCCACACATGTGTAGCTATGGGAGCTGTTTGACCTCTGGAGCTATCACACTGTGCAAGGGATAGGGGTTGGGGAGGGGGCCGGCAATAAAGGCCTTCCTAGCCCCCTCATTGACACTCTGTATGAGCTGCTAAGTGACCGGGAAGCTCAATGCCTGGACAGTCCACCCATCAATTGGACTGGTGGGACTCCAGCTGGAGTCCATCTAAAGATCACCGTCCATATGTCTTCCATGGAATGTTTCAGAAAGCTGGTCTCCTGGAAGTAGAACCCTAGGTCAAAGGGCATATCATTAAACATTCTGACAGACACTAAGAGCTCTACCAGTTTTCACTTGTGTCAGGCGACTTTTACTGTGTAACAACCTTGAACTCTCAGCTGGAGAGAACAACAAGCACTTATTTTCTCACTTACTTGCCTGCTGTTTGGCTGGGGTTCAGCTGATCTAGGCTGGACATGGCTGGGCTGGGCTCCAGACTGTGTCTCTCAGGCTTCTTGGACCAATAGCTCCCTGGGGAGTGTTACTCTCGCGATGAAAGTAGAAGCCAAAGAGGGACAAGTGGGAACTTTCAAGGCCTCTTCAGGCCTAAAGTCAGAACTGGTGCCCCTCACTCCTGCCCTCATTCTGTTGGGCAAAGCAAGTCACGGGGCCAAGCTGGATGTCAACTGGATGGGAGGTACACCCCTCCCATGGAGGCTGGGGTAGGGGAGGAGTGAACACTTGCTGAACCACAGTCTACACACCTCCCTATTGTGTGTGTGTCTGCTTATGCTCACAGACATGTACAAAGAGGTATGTACAAAATTGCTCATTGCAACACAGTTTTTGATATCGAAATTTAGGGGGGAAAACAAATATCCATTCACAGGGAGTGATTAAGGAAGCCACGCTGCGTGAGTACAATGGAATACTATGCAGCAATTTAAAAGGAGTGGGATCTACCTCCATTAACCGATATGGAAAGATTCCCCCAAGATATGATATGTGAGAAAAGCAAGTCACAGAATATATAGTATAATCTTTGGCAGTGGGGGTTAAAACACCCCTGCTGGTGTGTGTGTGTGTGTGCATGTGTGTGTGTGTGTGTGTGTGTGTGTACAGAAGGAAGACTGGGAGGAGGGCTATAGGCAATTTTATCTATGGGGAGGACTTCCTGAATTATTTTCATCTTTTACAATGGGAATATGTTTCTATATTATATGTGAAGTTAATTTTATTATTATCATTATTATTTGAATACCAGAATAAAAAATAAGAAAATACCATTGTTAGGGGCTTGAGACCCTATTAGATGCAAATGTTTTAGGAACTCAAGAATGCTTGAATCCTGCCAAACCAAGGCCACTCCTCCCCTACTCCTGTCCCACCAAGTCCTTCTGAGAGACAACCTCACCTGAGAGATCAGGGGAAGGAAACTAACCGTGGTCCTTTTATGATGAGCCCGGCTAGCTGCCAGGCAAGCAGAACCCGTAGGTGGGTGACTGAGCTGAAGCTCAAGGCTCAGGCCCACAACCCATGGAGTTGTGTCCAGTCCACTAAGCCCTGGTCTATGTCCAGCTCTCTCTGGGCCTGATAAGACCAGAGTGCCAGAGCTGCCTATAAGAATCAAGAAAGAGAGAGGACAAGATGACCCTGAGAGCCCCAAGAAGACAGGCCCCACCTCAGCCTCGCTATCCAGCCCCTGGGAGGTAAGAGAGAGAAAAGGGAGCCACACTCACAGGGTCTTATCAATACAGAGTGACCCAACCCAGGACACCAGGCTCCCTGTTGGCCTTCCCTCCTCCTCAGGAGAGATGAGAAAGGAGATAGGGAAGGGCAGAGTCATTGCCTATGTAGTCGTGATGTTTCTTCCAAACCTCTAGAGTTGCATAATCCAATATGGCAGCTGCTAGTCCCATGAGGCTATTTTAGTTAAAATTCAATAAAATAACAGATCCAGCCCCTCGGTCACAGTAACCACATTTCACGTGCTCAGCAGCCACGTGGTTACTGTACTGGGCGGCACAGATGGAGAAGGTGGCTGTGCATGAGGAAAGCACTGCTGGGCGGTGCTGCTTCCAGCTCTCACAGTCGCTCTCAGGTGGACGGACCAAGGAGCTCACCCCAGGCCTTGCACCTGGAACAGGAGTTGGGGGTGGGAGTGATGAACCTTATTCTTCTGTTTTGAACATCATTAACCTTTCATTTCACAAAGTCTGTGATTCACAACATCGCAGGAGGCCACCGGAAGGTGTCAGCAGCTCCATCTCCCTTCAAATGGGATTGGTGGGGAATGGGCCTCACACTGGCTGAGCAGTCCTCAACCACTCCCTTCTAGGGTAGCTCTGCTCTGAAGCAAAGACACTTTCCTTCCTTCTTCCTTACTGTCCCTTGTAAATAAGGTGGTATCTTAGTATGTTTAGGCTGCTATAACAAAATACCATAGACTGGGTGGCTTGAAAACAACAGAAATTTGTTTCTCACAGTTCCAGCGGCTGGAAGTCCAAGATCGAGGCATTGACAGGTCCAGTGTCTGATGAGGACTCTCTTCCTGGTTCATAGACGACATTTTTTTTGCTGTGTCCTCACAGAGTGGAAGGGACAAGGGAGCTCTCTGGGGTCTCTTTCTTTTATAAGGGCACTAATCCCAGTCATGGGGAGCTCCACTCCCTTAACCTAATCACCCCCCAAAGACACCACCTCCTAAAACCATCACCTTCGGGGTTAGGAATTCAGCACTTGAATTTGGGAGGAACACAAACATTCAGCCATAGCAGGTGGAAACTTTCTGATGGCTCTGAAAAGATGGCTTCTGCCCCTACCATTGCACAGACTTGTTCTGTGTTGCTCTGTAGGCCAAATTTCCATTCTCAAACTCGTGGCCTTCTGTGATACCCAGCACTCCAACCCACTCTCTCCCAAAACCTCCTACCTCCTGTGATTTCCTTCAGAGAGCAAACCCTGCAGCCATGGCCCCAGGGCTCTGCCCCAGCTTCTTCCTTGTTCCTCTTACCCCAGAGTTTGCCAGCTGATTGCCCATGGGCTGCATTCAGCTCACAGAGGTGGCTTATTTGGCCCATACAGTGCTTTTGCAAAGTTTGAATGAACTGCCTCAAAAAAATCCCAGTAAATTTCACATGAAAATTCAGATTTCTGGCTTCCCTCAATGAACCAGAAGCTCTTGCAAGCCTGGGCCTGTCTCCCACATGACAACACACTGACACTGACAGAAACTGGGAGATGTCCCTGTCTCTCTTGGCAGTGACACTCGCACTTTCTTTTGCCATAGGCCCTGCTGCTCCCTGACGCAACCCACTTGACCGTGTGGGCACTGGAGTGAGGAACTCTGTTTTCTCTGTCTGTTCCCAGCCGCTTCACCTTACCACTCTCTGGGGGTTTCCAGGGTTCTTCCACGCTGGACTTTTCACCATGCCTCCCGCCTGCATTTCTATCAGGGACCTAATCCTCACATGGACATCCAGAAACACCTCACGCTTCTCCCATACCAACCTGCCACCTTCCTCTTCCCTTGCAGCCGGCTCCTCCCACCCTGTCTCCACACTCCCACACAGGCCAAAACACCCAGAACATCCTCATGCCTCCCCACCAGATACCACAGCGCTGCCCACTCCATCTCCACAGCACAGTCTGTCCTCACCTGGAGTAGCCCATCAACTTCCTAACTGGCCTCCCTAATAACAACAGCCAACATCCCTTCATTCACTCAGCAACTGTTTAGTGAGCACCTATTATGTGCCAGGCACTATGCTAGGGGCAGTGAGCAAAACTGACAAAAATCTCTGTCCTGGTGAGGCTTCCATTCTAGTGGAGAGAGTCGGGAAACAAGGTGAATAAGAAAAAAGATATTGATGTGTTTTACAGCAACAGGTGCTATGAAGAAAAAACCAAAAAGAGGGAAAGATAGAGACAAGGGAGCATCATTTTAAATAGGTGGTGAGAAGTAGCCTCAATAAGAAGATGACATTTGAGCCATGATCTGAAAGAGCTGAAAGTAAGCCATTTGGTCAGCAACAGGAAAAGCAATTCGAGCCAAGGGAATAGCAACTGGAAACCTCAAGGTAGTATGAATATGTGCCCAGGATGTTCAAGGGGCAGCGAGGAACTCGGTGTGGCTGGAGTGGAGTAAACCAGGCCAGGGTGGGTGAGTTGGGAGATGAGTCAGGGAGGTAAGCATTGGAGAGGGAGTTGCAGAGAGTGTAGGGCATTGGAAATCACTTGAAGCAAGAATTTTGGTTTTTGTGCTCAGAGACATGGGCTGTCACAAGAGGGTTTTGGGCAGAGGCGAGAGATGATCTGACTTGCATTGTAAGGGGATCTCTCTGGGTGTTGTGTTGAGAAGAGACTAAAAGGGCCAGGACTGAGATAGGGAGAGCAGTCAGGAAACTGCTGTGGTAATGCAGGCTCCCACCAGTATGTAGCAGTGAAGGGACAGGGGGAGGGAGGGAGAAGGCATAGCTTTCTGGACCTAAAAGAAAGTAGCACCAGACAGGTCTGCAGACACCTTATATGTGAGATACGAGAGAAAGGGAGGAATTTGAGCATAATGCCAAGATTTATGGCTAAGCATCTGCAAGGATGGAGTTGCCATTAACTAAGATGGTGAACTTGCCATGTCCCAAGCACTGAACACAAGTGCTTTACTTGAATTTTTAAATTAATTCTCCAAGCCTACAAGGGTGAGTCTAGTGCCTTGCCAGTCCATGCAATGGATAGACTAAATCTGCAAGACCATGAAGGCAGGGCGGGATGCTCTATGGGCTGAGCTCATGGCTCCTGAACCAGCCTGTCTGGCTCCAATCTTGTTTCCATTCTTCTCCAGCTCCTTGATACAGGGCAGCTGATTTCACCATCGTATCAGTTATGGATGTATAATAAACCACCCAAACATAGCAAGAATCATTCTATTATGATCACTCCTGGTTCTGGGGGCTGGCTGGGCTCAGCTGGGTGGTTGGCCCTCAGAGTCATTCATGCAGTTGTAGTCAGGCAGGGGCTGGGGCGAGAGTCATCTCCAAGGCTTCCTGACCTACATGTCTGCTGCCTGGGCTGGAAAGACTCAAACTGCTGAGACTAGAGTGGCTGGGGCTCCTTGGGGCTCTTTCTCTCTCTGTGTGTGATCTCCCTACGTGGTCTCTCCAGCATGATGGCTTCAAGGCAGCCTGGCTTCTTCCATGGTGGCTCAGGTCTCCAAAGGCACATGTCTCAAGAGAGACAGAGCTAGGTAGAAGCTGTATCACCATTTTAATCTAGTCTCAGAGGTCACGTGTGCCATCTATACCTCATTCTAATTCCTTGCAATCAAGTCACAGATCCCAGCCCATACTCAAGGGGAAGGGAATTAGGCTTTACTTCTTGAAGGACGTATCACAGGATTTGCAGGCATGTTTTAAAACCACTGTAACAACTTCTGTCCCTCAGTTTCCACATCTGTAAAATGAGGAAAATGATGATAATACAGTCTACCTCAAAGGGCTGTTGCAAGGATGACATGAGATAATTCAGGTGAAGTATTTATATAATGTTCTATACATAGTAAGTACTTGCAACACACACACACACACACACACGGTTAATCACTTCATGTAGACCAAAATCAAGTAACTTTCTT
Source organism: Homo sapiens (assembly GCF_000001405.40). Classification (NCBI taxonomy): domain Eukaryota; kingdom Metazoa; phylum Chordata; class Mammalia; order Primates; family Hominidae; genus Homo; species Homo sapiens. The sequence continues at coordinate 72,326,341 of NC_000003.12, forward strand.
TTTAATTAATATATCATAGTTGTACATATTTGGGGATCACATGTGATATTTTGATACAAGCATACAGTTTGTAATGATCAAATCGGGATGATTGGGATATCCATCACCTGAGGCATTTATCTTGTTTTTGTGTTGGGGAAAAATCAAGTAACTTTCAAGTCAACAATCTACCTTTCCTTAACTCTTCAGATATCCTCCTGGGTTTTGGCTTAATCTTTCTGGATTCTTTGCAGGTGCCAGCCAACCCTGGAAGGGACTCCCAGCTGAGCAGCACCTGGCTGGGCCTGGGAGTTGGGCCTCCAGGTTTTGCTCTGCACCTGGCAGGTTGGGGTTAATTCACTTCTGGCTTGTTAGTGAATTCAATTGCTGAGAGCGAGCACAGGTCTCCAGCTTCCAGCCAAGCTCCCCTGCTCCCCTTCCAAGGAGCCATGTCAGAAAAGGGAAATAATTAGTCATTAAAACAAATGCTCAGGAACATGACAAACGTCAAGCCCCAATCTCATAGCTGGGTGATATCCTGACATTTAAAACAGTTCCACAGCCTCCTCCTGATGCTCAAGATGCATCATCCATCTGGTTTCCAAAGTCACAGCTGGTGGCCCAGAAAACCCTCAGGCTGTCCTGCTGAGTGCAGACCCAGCATGCCCTAGGGTTCTGTCGATAACTTATTCTTTGCCATTTATCTGGCAGAAATGGCATCACACAGATTGTCCTGTGCTAACAATGTCGAAGTCATGGGTCTGCCTCCCAACCCACTTATCTATCCCTCCATCCACCAATCTACCCACCCATCCTCCATCTATTCAACCACCCATCCGTCTATATACCAGCCTACTCATCCACCAATTTATCTGTCCACCAACCCACTCACCCATTGCCTCCATCTATTCACTATCCACCCATCTATATGTCAACCTACCCATCCACCCATTCATCCATCCACTCACCAACCCACTCGCTCATTGCCTCCATCTACTCACCTATCCATCCATCTATTGCCAACCTATCCATCCATTCATCCGTCACCTTCATCTATTCGCCTATTCATCCATCTATATACCAGTTTACCCACCCATTGCCTCTATGTATTCACTATCCTCCCATCTATATGCCACATACCCATCCATCCATCCATTTATCCATCTACCCATCCATCCATCCACTCACCAACCCACCCGTCCCTTACCTCTATTCACATATTCATCCATCTATATACCAATCCACCCATTGCCTCCGCCTACCCACCTAGTCATCCATCTATATACCAACTTACCCTTCCATTCTTCCATCCTTTCACCAACCCACCTGTCCATTACCTCCACCTATTCACCTATTCATCCATCTATATACCAAGCCACCCATTGTTTCTGTCTACTTAGCTATCCATCTATCTATATACCAACCTATCCATCCACCCATCCATGCATCCATCCATCCACTCACCAATGCATCTACCCATTACCTCCACCTATTCACCTATTTATCCATCTATATACCAATCTACGTATCCATTGATCCAGCTATCCTATCCATCCACCTACCAATCCAACCCATCTATCATCTACCAGCCAACCCATCCATTCACCCAGTGAGGCAACAGACACTTAATGAGCACCTACCAACAATTCATGTATTCATTCATTTATCCAGAAAATATTTATTAAGAGCTACTATTAATTCATTCACTCAGCCAACCAGCATGTATAGAGAATTTAATATCTCATTCATTTATTCAGCATTGAGCACCTACTATTTATGTATTCACTTAATAGTAATTAGGCAACAAACATTTACTGATTTATTCAGTGAACATTTGCGCAGTCATTATTTAGTCAATCAGCCAGCAAGCTGGCATTTAGTGAGCATTTACTAGTGCCAGACCCTGTTCCAGGCACTTGGGATACTGTGATTATTAGGACAAAGTCCATGCCTTTTAGCAACGAACAGTCTAAGCAAGAAGACAGACCCATCAATAGAAAACTGTTCTGCAAGGCTGTTAGTGCAGGAGACCTCCAAGAAGGTGTATGAAATCCAGTCTGGAAGCTTTAGGGAAGGCTTCCTATGGGAGTCAACAGGTGAACTGTAACTCACCTGTAGGTGTGAAATTAAACCACCTGAAATCCCAGCTCTGTTTTCTAGCTCTGTAATTTAGGGGTGTGACTTTCTATCTGAATGTCAGTTTCCTCATCTGTAAAGTGGGGATAACAACAGTGCTTACCATATAGAATTGTGAATAAGTGCTAGCTCTTACTATTTCTACTTAAAGCAAGGGTAGCAGTTAGTCAAGGGAGAAGTAGCGGGGAGGGCACTCCAGCCAGCAAGACCAAAGCAAAGCAAAGCAAAGGCCAAAGGCCACAAAATTGTGAGTGCAGGACCAGGGTATGGGGAGACTAAAAGTAGTTTAGGGTTGCTGCAAGCAGCGATAAGAGAGGGAAGAGAAGAGAAAAAAGGGGCTAGGGAAAAAGAAGAAAGGGGCGGGGGTCACAGCACCTAGGATGGCAGTTTTCAAAGGTTGCTCCTGGAGCACAGCATCTAGGATGGCAGTTCTCAAAGGTTGCTCCTGGAGCACAGCATCAGCATCACACAAGGACTTGCTGGAAATGCAGATTCTTGAGCCCAGCCCCAGACCTGCTGGAGGAGAAATTCCAGGGCCAGCGTCCAGCATCCAGTGTGTTAAGAAGCCCTCCGCGTTACTGTAATGCCCTCAAGTTTGGGTCTCTTGGGACTGGTCCAGGGTGCTGGAAGTTATTCTATATTCGGAGGAGGAACTTGGGAGGAGTCCAGAAAGGCTTCCTTGGGGGATATTTGTCAACAGATTTACCTTTACTCCCAAATAATAAAATAGCTTTAGTTGCAAGGAGTTGGTGAGGGAACCAAGTGGGCAGGGAGCATGGGTACCTGAGAGAAAAACCCATCTCTCTTGCTGGCAAAGACATGCCTTGCCTGCTCGCTGGGAAAGGGATGGGGACACGGTGTCCAGGTATGAGAAAGCCCTTGCCTCCAAGACCGTTGCTCCTGAAGGGAAGGGGCAGCTTCTGGCTCTGAGCCCGGAGCACCAGGCCTGGGGTCTGCCAGTTCTGAGGGTGCTATTGCCCTCTCTGCCCCCCCGCCCTCCGTCTGTCACACTGGAGGATGTCACAGGAAACAATGTGCCCCTGCGAGGGCCCGGCTGCATTGGCAGCGGCCTGGCTTCAGGCATCACAATGACTCTCATTTCCTAGGAAACAGGGAGTCGCACTTGCACCTTTGCTGGGAGCCTCCGCATTTGGAGCTGTCACGTGACTCGGGGAGCTATTTTTAGCCTCCCCAGCCCTGTGTTGTAGGAAGAATGATTTGATGAAAATACTAAACTCATTAAAAGCCTGGGGGATGGGGAGGGAAAGAAGGGCTGCCAGAGTGGGGAGGCTACAGCCTCCAAGATTCCAACCCAGGCTGAGCAGCACAGAGGTAAAGACAGCAGGGACCTGGTATTTCCACGGGCACCGTGCCCTGGGGAGCTGGGGCAGTAGGGACTATTAACTCTAATACCCGGTACTGCTGGTCAGTACTATGGGCCAAGCGCTATGCACAATACTTTACTGCATCTGCCCCACAATACTCCTAGAAAAGAAGAGCCAACAACATTCCATTTTGCAGACGAGAAAACTGAGGCCCAGAGGAGTTAAAGAAGTTGCTCAAAGTCATTAGCTAAGAAGCTGGGAATTCCTAGGGCTCAAACCCAAGCCATCTGACCCAGGAGTTTGCCCTTTACCCATCCTGCTGCAGGAAACCCCATCTGTACCCACTCACTGTTCAAAACAGAGGCACAGGACGAGCATCAGCAGCATGTGACCCAAGCAGTCAAACAGGACCCCACACTTAGAAGGACCCTATGCTTAGTTAATGCTCAGCTGTCACCGACTTGAAATTCTCAATGATTTTTTAACAGGGGTCCCTGCATTCTCACTTTGCACTGGGCCCTGCAAATGATGCCGCTTGTGCTGCTGGAGAACCCTCCTGCCCTCTTTGCAAGTTCCTCTGATCTGCACGCTCAACTAGTTTCTCAATTTTTCTTCCTCCTGTTCAGAATCAAGGGGCACTTTCTTTGTATTGTGTTCACAGCTGAGATTCAGGTTCTGAAGTCACCCAGGCTTGGGTTCCAATCCCAGCTCTGCCGCTTTGTAGCTGTGCACTCCCAGGAATCGCCTTCACTTTTCTGAGCCTGCGTTTCCTTGTCTGTAAAAACGAAGACAGTACCCAGCACTTTGGGAGGCCGAGGCGGGCGGATCACGAGGTCAGGAGATCGAGACCATCCCGGCTAAAACGGTGAAACCCCGTCTCTACTAAAAATACAAAAAAAAAATTAGCCGGGCGTAGTGGCGGGCGCCTGTCGTCCCAGCTACTTGGGAGGCTGAGGCAGGAGAATGGCGTGAACCCGGGAGGCGGAGCTTGCAGTGAGCCGAGATCCCGCCACTGCACTCCAGCCTGGGCGACAGAGCGAGACTCCGTCTCAAAAAAAAAAAAAAAAAAAAAAAAAAAAACGAAGACAGTAATAGTTTCTACCTCTTTCCTTGCTGCAGGGATGAAATATGATTTTTTTTCTGTGTGGCAATCACTAACCCCAGGCCCAGGTACACAGTAGATACTCCACTGGGGCTCAGTTGTTACTGCGCGTAAAGAAAGCTAAGATGTCAAGTCAGCTGAGTGGACCCCAATGTCTAGACCAATAGCATGTGATTCCCAAGGATCCCCAAAAGCTCAGATCCTCCAAGAACAAACCCAAGAAAGCCCCAGGTTTCAAGCTGACGTAGGGAGACAGTCTTTACCTTCACTCTATCATTTATCAAATGTGTCCATAGCTAATGTCACGTTCACATGAGCCCTGTGAAACTGGCATTAAAACTGCCTTCATTTTATAGACGCAGAAGAACGAACCTGGAGACTTGCCAAGGTCACAGCCAGAAGTGGCACAGCCAAGATTAGTACCAAAGCCTAACTTCAAGTCTAGTGGGAATGTCAGCTTCCCCCATGCTAGGCAGGCAGCTTGTCCCTTTATCCCACAGAGAAAGGCGACTTTGGCTTCCACCCCAGCCTCTTCCTCCAAAGACTCAGAGCCCGGCCTAGGGTTGCAAGCAGCAGTGGTGTGGACAAACAACAGGCCAGTGGCCTCTGGACACCTGTACAGAGAACCCCTTCCTTGCTCCCTTAGCCAAAAATGCTTGAAGTGGCCTCATCCAAACCAGCTCCTTCAAGCTCTGACCACCCATTTCCCCGCTGCAACCTCAGAGGTTCAGCTTGCTCTCCAGGCAGGATCCCCCTGCTATAGAGGGACTGGGGAGAAAATGCTGGTGAAGGTGGCAGTGGGAGAAGGTGCTTCAGACAGAGACCAGAGGGTTAGCACGGGCGCTTCAGAACGCAGGAGAGGAAGAAGGATTACAGGGAGATTGTTTTCAGAATCATATTTTGCCTTCCAAGGACATCCAGAATCAGAGAGCTGCCAGAGCCCAAGTCGAGTCTGTTGGTGCCTTACCTATACCCCATCAGCCCTTACTGCTCCCTGACACCCACAGGGTTCTTGGGCAAGTACCTCCACCCCTCTGTGCATGGCGCCCTCTGTCCAGGAGCGTGCTTGGCCAGGGGAGGACATGGAATTAGCGCCCCAGGAGCAGCCGCAGGGATACACAGGGGGAACTGGAGGCTAAGCACCCAGCTTCCTCCATCCTCAGGGGGAACATTCTAAGACATGTCCCCAACTGTCTCCCAGGGTCCCTGATGAGATGGAGTCCCCGTCACCCACAGCAGTAACCTGCTTATTAATGTTCCCTGCTTCCCACATCCTCCCAGAGTTTCCTGGGGTCACCTCCCACACGAACTACTGGTCCTCAAATCTTCACCTCAGAGTCTGCTTCCAAGGGAATCCAGCCTAACACAGAAGTCATTCATTCATTCGTTCATGCATTCATTCATGCTTCAGATCCTCATTGCCTATCTGTCATTGTATGAGCATAAAAAGTTAGTTCCGTGGGCCTCAGTTTCCATCTCTAGAAAATGAGATTTGTTATTCAGGCAACAAACATTTATGGAGCAATGGAGGAACTCCACGTGCCAAGCCTCTGACACCAGCTCCATCTCAGACATCTCTGGATATGAATAAAACAGATGCCTTTACTGAAGGTGTCCCATGCGCCAGACCCCATGCAAAGACCTCCATGGGCATTCTCTTCCTTCCTACTCACAATGACCCAGTAAAGTCGCTATTATTAGACCCCTCTCACAGGCAGGGAATTGAACTCTCAGGGAGGATAAGTGTTTTTCCAAGGTGACAGAACAGTCAGTAAGTGGCAAAGCCAAGATCCCAAGCAAGGTCTCTGGGAATCTTCAGCCTGGTAAACCTTGACCTAACCACCAAGCTGCACAAATGCTCATTCTCCCCTTGAACCACCAGCTGGTGCAGAGCCTCGAGGAGCCAGGTTCCTCTCACCAGCCATGCAACCGCTGTCATGTTTTCATCCAATGGCTAATGGCTATCCATGACTCAGCCTTAAGTGGAGGAGTTAAGATGAAAAGGGCTCAGGCTCAAGAGTCAATTCCCCATTCCTACCCTTACTCATTCTGTGACCTTGGGTAAGTCAGTTCACCTCTCTGAACCTCAGACTCTTCATCTGTAAAATGGGGTGGTGGTGAGGGTTGGGTCTTTGTATTCTGATTATAAACTAATGCCCTTTGACTATTATTATAGAATTGAACTCAGACCCAGCGGGGCACGGTGGCTCACACCTATAATCCCCCACTTTGGGAGGCCGAGGCATGCGGATCGCCTGAGATCAGCCTGGCCAACATGGTGAAACCCCGTCTCTACTAAAAATACAAAAATTAGCTGGGCATGGTGGTACACAGCTGTAATCCCAGCTACTCGGGAGGCTGAGGCAGGAGAATCACTTGAACCCAGGAGCCGGAGGTTGCAGGGAGCCGAGATCATGTCTCTGCACTCCAGCCTGGGTAAGAGCAAAACCCTGTCTCAAAAAAGAAAAAAGAAACTCAGACCCAATCTGTCAGACTCTAAACCCTATATTTAAAGAAATACCGCCACCACCACACACACACGTTTACCTACATACCAATCTAGATGAAGTTATTGGTAAAGGCAGTATCTAACTATCTTTCTAGAAGTTTCCAGAAGTGTCTGAAAATTAATGGGATGGACTCTGAATGCTTTTCCCATAGAAACAGTGTTCCCAGCCTGCAAAAGCTTCTTTAAGCCACCATGTGCCTAACGGCTGGCTCAGAGCCCCACATCAGCCTCACCCCACCACCAGCTAGATCTTCTTATATGAGAAAAGACTGGGTACAAAAGGCAAACTTCACAAGGCCAAGAACACTATAAGCACTAAGTTCAGGGGACTCCAAAGGAGGAGGGAGAAGGGGTGGGCAGGACCTTCTAGACAGCAGTGACTAGTGATGTCCATCTGAGTAACAGAAGGCTCTGGAGGGAAGGAAGGTCTGACTCTGTCACTGCCTAGCTGGGTGACCTTGGGCAAGTTACCTCTCTGAACCTCAATTTCCTAATCCGTGGAATGAGATAACAATACCACCAGCAGCAGGCGGTTGTTGTGGGGATTAGATGGGATAATCTGTGTAAAGGCCTCAGCTCACCACCTATGCCTGGTTAAGTGGTAACTCTTGTTGCCTAAGTCAGTGAAGGATGCGGCAAATCATGTTTTCCAAAATACATAACTTCGGCACTCTTCCACCAGAAGACAGAACTTGGGTTCTCTCCCTGGAATCTGGGCAGGCTTGTGATTACAATGGAAGTGACACTACGCAACTTCCAAGGCCCGGTCACAAAAGATAATGCAACTTCTGCCTGGTTCTCTTGGGATGCTCACTCTTGGGACCCAGCCACCATACTGTGAGGAAGCCCACACAGCCCATGGAGAAAATCCTACACATGGAGAAAATCCAAGGTCCCCAACCCACAGCTCCAGGCTGAGCTCCCAGCCGACCAACAGACCTACTTGCTAGCCGCAGCCACATGAGCGAGCCATCTTGAAATTGTATCCTCCAACCCAGTGGAGCTGCCTCAGCTTCTGTCACATGGGAACTGAGAAAAGCCCTCCTCTCCATGCCCTGCCCAAATTGCAGATTTATGAACAAAATATATGATGTTGTTGTAAGCCACTGAGCTTGGAGGTGGTCTGTTTGCAGCAGTAGATAACTGATTCAGAGAGGATAAGGGGCTGCCCAAGGTCACACAGCCGCTCAGTGGAACCCAGTCTTGAGCCAAAGTCCCCAGCATCCTGGGGTAATTCTCCCTTTCACAATCCCTATTTAACAGACAGAAAAGCAGGGCTCAGAGAAGTTAAGGAAATACACTTAGCTTAGAAGTTAAGGTCACGAAGCAAGTGTTCTGGTTTAATTGTGCTCTTTCTCTCAAAGATGTGTTGAACTCCTAAACTCCAGAACCTCAGAATGTGACCTTATTTGGAGATAGGCTCTTACGGAAGTAATCGAGTTAACATAAAATGATTAGAATGGGCCCTAATCCAATATAACTGGTGTCCTTATACAAAGGGGAAATGGACAGAGACAGACATGCACAGAGGAAGACAGTGAGAAGACACCAGGAGAATGCAATGTACAAGCTAAAGAACGCCTGAGGCTACTAGACGCTAGGGGAGAGGCATTCTGGGAAGGCTTCTTGGAGGAAGTGACGCCTAAGTCCTGAAGGATGCATAGGAGTTAGCTGAGAGATGATGGGAGGGAAGCATATTCTCTGTAGAGGGGGCAGCTTGGGGTTCCGGGAGTCCTGCTGTAAGGACTGAGAAGCTCGCAGGCAGTAGCTGGAATGGTGTGCGTGGCAAAGGCCTGGGCTGGAGCAGTGCCCGGAGGCAGGATGAGGATGGCCTTTGTTAATTCAGCAGGCAGGCCGTTTGGATGTCATCCGAGGGCAGTGGGGAGCCATCTGCCTTTTTCTTCTGAGCCTTGTCACCCCAGCGGGTGTCCTCTAAGAGCATTTCACACTGTGGCCTGGCCCTCCTCCTTGGAGCCTGGAAGTGAGAGAAATGGTGGGTTTGTGCTCAGCAGGAGAGGAGCTGTCTTTGCAAAGCCCCCTCGGGTCTGGGAATTAAGGGCTTCTGCTGCCGACTTCCACCCTGCAGCCCTTCAAAAAGTGTCATCACTGCCAAGTGCAATTCCAAATAAAGAGACGCCTTCGCAGAGCCACCTGCGGGTTGAGGGAAAGCTGGAAGGCTGGGGGGCATCACTGCGAGGCCCTCGAGGGCTGCTCACAGGAATCTCTCCTAGGGGGTGGCCCCAAGCTGGAGTCCTCTCGCCACCAGCCCCAGAGGCACTGGGTGGAATCCTTATGTTGTTACTGTTAATAGAAAGGGTTTCTGGATAAAGACACCCTCCTCCTACCTCCTAAGGAGCCCAGGGCCTGTAGAGATTGTCATTAAGATTGCTGTTATCGACAGCAAGGTCCACATGATGTGGAGATTTGGATGCTGTTCTTCTGCGGCCTCCCCTACGCCCATAAAAGATAGCTTCTCTGTGTTTCCCAAAGCCTTCTCATACATTCCTTTCAGATATGAATTCCTCAGCCAAACCAGAGCTTTGGAAGTGTCCCTGGGGCCTCCCTAGTCTGAGGAGTGCCTCCACCCACCCACCCCAGCTTCTGGAGTGCCTGTGCTTCCACCAACATCCACTCAACTCTTCACCAATGCAAAGTCAATGAATGTTGTCAACAAACATGTCAGGTAACCAGTACAAGATAGAGCAGAAGCTGGGAACCTGGGATAACTGGGGCATGGAAAACACCTCCCCACCCTCCCCAAAGGCCCCAAAGATGCACATGTGGCTTTCAGTACCAGGGCAGGTACCATGCCACCCTATGGGCCTCAGGAAGTCAGCCAGTTCTGGCTCTTCCACTCACTACCTGCAGCTTTGGGCATATTACTCTAACTCCCAGAACCTCAGTTTATTCCTCTGTAAAATGGGTATAGTACGGGCACCGACATCATGGGGCTACTGTGAGGGTGCAGGGTGATAATGTCAACAGAGCACCCAGCGTGGTATTGGGCACTTAGGAGCCCTCGGTGACTGGAAGCTGCAATAGGGCAGGGGGTCATGGAGCCAGGTGAGAGAAGGGGCATGGAAAGAAGCTTCTAGAACCCCCTGTGGCCTGGCCACCAAATTGCCTGGTGGGAACAAATGAGCCCCAAGTCGGCAGTCACAGGAGCTACCAGATGCTGCCCTGAGCCCTCTCCACGTGTTCTTCGTTTCATCATTACCCAGACCCAAGCAGGTGGGCTCTGTTATCCTCTCTATTTTAAAGAAGAGGAAGCTGAGGCTCCTAAACCCCAATTAATGTGCCCAATGTGATCACAAGGCTAGTAAGTGGTGGAGTCCAGGTGCCAGAAAGAGGTCCAGAGAGCACCTCTGCCTAGAGTGTGGCCCGCTCGAGCAGAAAGCAGCCCCAGTCAGCCTGAGATGAACAGCTCTCCCCTCGGGCTTAGAACTCCCAGCTGCTTCTCTGAGCTGGACTCCTGCCAGTGTTCACCCAGGTAACGGAATTGCCTGGGGAGCCCTGCTTGACTCCAGGGAAGCCGGCGGGGGGGGCCCCCAGGCAGAGAAATGAAGTGAGCAAGACACCTCCCGTCCCCAGCCTTCCCCCGCTCATCCCTCTCCTCCAGAGGAGCTGGAAGGAGGAGTTCCTGCAGAAAGAGTCCACACCCAGGAGGACACTGTGCTCGGGCTTATGCCAGGAGGCCGCCCCCTACCCCAGCAAGGGCGGCGACAGGAGGCGGAAACCCTGGGAGCAGAGGGGGAGGGGCCGGCCCAAGGAGTGTCTGAGCGCCTTCTCCCAGGCTGCCTGGAACAGGATGTTCCAAAACGAGGAGGCTAGCCAAGAAGCAGGGCGTGTGTGCGTGTCTGTGTAGCGTATGTGTGTGTGTGCGTGGTGTGCATACGTGCATGTGGTATATGCATGTGTGCATGTGTGGTGTGTGTGCCCTGTGTTGTAAGTGCACGTGCACGTGGGAGGGTGTGGTGTGCGAGGGCTATGTGTGAGTGTGGTGTCTGTGTGTGACGTGTGGCATATGTGATGTATGTGGTGTGTGTGGGTGTGTATATGCATGTGGTATGTGCACATGCACACGGTGTCTGGTGTGTGGCGGGGAGTGTTTGTGTATGTGTGGTGTGTGTGTATGTGTGGTGGGTGTGGGTCTGTATGTGTGTGATGTGTGTGGGTGTGTATGTGTGTATATGTGGTGTGTGGGTGTACGTGTGTGGTGTGTGGGTATGTGTGTGGTATGTGTGGTGGTTTGTGACTGGTGTGTGTATGTGTGTGGTGGGAGTGTTTGTGATTGTGTGGTGTGTGTGTGGGGGGGAGGGACTGGCACTGTGGAACACCAGGACAGGATCTGAGTGTGGGTGGGTTAGGTTCACCTATGTAGAGCAAGGCGGAAGTGACGAGGAAGTGGAGGAGCAAGAGGAGAGGGAGGAAAAGGAAGGGGGAAGCGAGGGAGGCAAAAGGAGGAGGCCAGCGATTGCAGGGGTATCTCATACTCTCACTCTCCCCTACCTGGGGACAGCAGGGGTGTTGGAAAGGGCACTGGGGGTCCCTGCTCTGAGAAAACCCTCATGGGGCATCCAGGTGGTGGACTGGAAAACTGTCCCAAGGGTCTTCTGCCCTCTCTCCATGGCCGTCAGCCCCATGGCCTCTCTGGCTGACAAGTGGGTTCCCCTGAACTCATATGTCAACTTAATTGCCTCCCCCTGCCCCTATCCTTCCTGATGAATAGGAGTAGCTGGCTGACTGGGGACCACTTATTCTGGACATTGCTGAAGAGGGTCAAGGCATGCTTTCGGTTTGATCTAGGGTTTCTGTCAGTGATCGCTAGTGATTCATGTGATACTGTAAGAAGTCAGTCAGGGCCTTGGTGTTGACAAGGTTAGATGATTGATTGACTGACTGACTGACTGACTGACTGACTGACTGATGGTCACTGTGGGTTTCACTGTAGCTGGCTGGCTGTGATCTGGACTGACCAGGCCATGGACTGTGGGAGCTTGTGACTATGACTGGGCCAACTGCAACTGGGCTGATGGATTCAGTGGATTGAACATGACTGGTGAGGAGACAGGTTGACAAGGAGACCAACTCATTGACCACATGCATGATGGACTGACTGGCCAGTTGATGACAATGGGTTTGGTGTATGGTTGACTGGTTGGTTGTTTAATTCAAACTGACTGGATAACTAGGCAGCTTACTATGACTGACTATTGTGACTGCCTGCCTGGCTGACTGAGGGAATAACTGAGTCAGTGTGACTGGCAGGCTGATTCAGACTGACTGGATGTCTGGATGACTATGATCTCCTAACTGATAGCCGTCAGTGATGATCTTGACTGACTGACTAGCCGGCTCTGGGATTGGCTGTCTCTTCCAGACTGACTTGGTAACCGTGGGTCTGACTGTGACCCCTGCGTCTTGACTGACCGCCTTGATTGCATGCCTGACATTTTGAGATCAACTGACTGGCTGGTTGCCTGGTGTTTCATTGTGGCTGTGGCACAGCCTACGGCTACCTGTGACTAACCATGAAACTGACTACACCCAACTCACAGGACAGACCGGGTGGACTGACCACCTGCCTTAGTCATGGAAAACTGACTCTGGCTGACTCAACTGCCAGAGACTGACTGAGATGAACAGGCCAGCCAAGAGACAGCTGGGTGACTCGTGGTGAGTGGCTTTGTCTGACTGGATGGCTGTGACAATGTAACTGAGTCTGGCTGTGAGACAATAACCTGTGGATTGACTGACTTGAATGTGTTGACTGGGTGGCTGAATCTGATTGGCTATGTGGGTGACTGATGACTCCTGGCTGACTGGCTAACCCTGCCTTGACTGACTGATTGATGGGCTGACAGATCGAGTTTGACCAGGCAGCAGGAGACCTGCTGACCACGGCTGTGACTCACTGTGTGAGCGGCCATGTCTGACTGTGTAACACAATCTGACCAAGAGACAATGACTAATTGACTGACCAACTGACTGAGATTGGCTGGGTGTCTGACTGACCAGCTGTGACTGCAACTCCTGATGTGAGTGGGCGTTGACTGGGTGGCCCTGACTCGTATAGGCAAGTCTGGCTGTGAGACAACAGCTAACTCCCTGACTGGCCCAGTGTGCCAACTGGCTGACTGCTTGAGGCTGGCCAACAGACCAGCTGACCGTGCCTGGGACTCACGGTGTGCGTGGCCATGCCTCACTGTGTGGCCCTGGCTGTGTCTCGGAGTCTGACTGTGAGACAAGGGCAGACTGACTGACTTTCCTGGCCAACTGCCTCCAGGTAGCCTGTCAACACAGTCCCTACCCTTCCCAAAACCATTAAAGTGCTGCAGTGGGAGCTGGCCCAGCCTGAGGGGACAGAGCAGCTTCTGTGGAGCAGCAGGGACAGGAAGAGGGAAGCAGGAGCCGCTGGAGGGAGAAGAGGAGTAGGCCCTGCCCAGGAATGGGCCACACGGAAAGTTCTCCACCTCACCCTGGCGGGGGCTGGGTCACAGGCACACGTTCTTGGAGCTGTGTTTTGGCTCTAGTCTTATAGCTCCTTTGTTTGGGGGTGAGGGGGGAGGGGAGCTGGGGGAACCTATAAACATATTGAGCCAATAACTCACCTACAGGACTCCAATTATAGGGCTGGGGGAGAGAGGATAGCTGGGTGGGGGTGGGGCGGGCCACGGGCAGCCATTTATGGGGCTTGGATTGGGGCCAAACGCTGCCCTAGAAAATCCAGGTCTTGGAATGCAGGGCTGGAGAAGTCTTAGGAAGGAGCAATGTGTCTGTCAGTCACACCTCTGTTACCGCCACCATTTTATAGCTGGGGAAACAGAGGCCCACAGCCCTCAAGAGCCCAGGGCATTTCCCACACCCGGCCCCCCCTGGGGCTGTCCCCCAGAGCCCGGGCAGGTGGTGAGCCTCAGCCCTCCCTTACTCTCCCGCAAGATGCTGGGCAGCAGAATTTGGGGGGCAGGGTCGATGACCTTGGGCAAGTTACTCCATCTCTCTGAGCCTCAGTTGCTTCATCAGTTAAACAGCTGTTTCTGATAGAAGCCACTTGGCAGAACTCGGATTGGGTGCCCAGATGCCTCTGCCACCACCTGTGTGGTCTCCAGCAGGGAGCTTTGCATTTTGCGCCTCGGTGTCCCCATTCACAAATGGGAACGGGCTCAAGAAAGGCACTTACTTCATAAGCTTGTCATGAGGAGGAAAAACACAATCCACATGAAGACTTCAGCTCGGTGCCTGGCACCTAGTAAACAACCCAGAAATGTGAACCTGCACAATGATTAATCCTCATCTCTTGGGAGGCATTAGGATTAATCAAGATCTTTGACGCGCATGTACTTGGGAAGCCATGACGTTCAGCCCCAAAGTGTTGGGAGGCACAGGGGCACAGCCTGGTAATGGTGCCACCGATGAGCCCAGCTGGGCCCTCCGCAGCCACCCTGAAATGCCACCTGCTTCCCCAAAGGATCTTACAGACCCTCTGGGAGGCACCAGCTGCTCCTGATACCACAGCCACTGGGGCCTGGTCCCCAGGGACAGGGAGGTGAAAACAGGAGGAAATTTTCTGGGGTTCCCCCAGGTAAGAGCCAAGGGCCCAGGTGTCACACATAGGCCTTGGTGGGGACAGGAGCCTCTTCCAGGAACGCCCAGAGTCTCAGGCCCTCCAGAAGCTGAAGAAAAAGCCAGACTCTTCTCTGAAGCTGAGAAGAGTAAGGGCAGCCAGAAAGGCAGAATTTCCCCAGGAGGCTGAGAACCTGGGTGTGGGCCCAGGAAAATCCCTCCCACGGTAACACTGCTGTCCTGTTCTCAGAGGGCTGCTGGGGAGGTGAGCTCATTTGACCTTCACAGCCACTTATAACTGTAAATTACAACACGCCAGGTAATAAAGCATCCCCAAGGTCATAGCCAAGGAACTTCAGGGCCACCTCCTGATGCATTCCTTCCTCATTCATTCCTTCAGCAAGTTTTTATGAGCATTTCTTCTGTTGAACCAGGCAGAAACAACAGTGATGAGGGCCCGGTCTCTGGCTCTAGAGGTGTGTAGTCGGGAGGACAGCACAGCAGAGGCTTAAGACCTCAGATTCAGGAGCCAGGCAGACCCACTCTTGAATCCCAGCTCACATGTTTACTAGATCTGCAACCATGGGCCAGTGGCTTTTCTCCTCCGAGCCTCAATTTTCCTATCTGTAAAATGGGAATAGTTATGGCACCAATCTTACTGGGTCATGGTGAGGATTTAACAAAATATTCAATAAATGCTTAGAAAATATGTTCCAGGGAGCTGTGAGTGTGTCCCTTCTGCCCCATAATTCCTTCCTCATCTGTAAAGTGGGCATACGGCCCTACCCTACGGGGTCACTGTGAAGAATGAATGAGCACTTAGCACTGTTGCTACCACCTCACACAGCTCTAGTGGGTGCTGTTCACACCAGGGTTGATCAGTCATGGCCTGTGCAGCTCTTCACAGTGGCCCTGTCTGGCAAACAGTAAGGGCCCCATAAACGGTGAGCTATTTGTCTTACTCTTAGAGGGGAATGCAAAGTAGAAAACAAGTATTTAAATGCTAAGAGTGTGCAAGGGCTCAGTTAGGGTATAAATCCAGAAGCAGGAGCTCCACTTACTTGGTTAGGGTGATGAGGAAGGGAAAGAAAGGGTCAGAGCCATCTGGGGCTTAGCCAAAGGATGGATGGGGCCAGATGGGGGAGCTCCTGGCAGAAGGGAGGGCCTGTGCAGAGGCCTGGAGGCAGGAGAGAGTGGAGCCTCCAGGGGTACCTCGGACCTGCCAGAGGGGCTGGAGCTGGACTCCCAGGGGTAGCCTGGTTCTCAGGCCATCTCCAAGCCAGCTCTCCCTCCTCAGGCAGAGCTGCCAGGCTTCCTGTCCCCTAATTCTACAGGGCCTCAGTCAGGGACTCTCACGGTCCTGTTTCACAAAAGAAGAAAGGCATTCTTGGACTAGTTTCCTATTGCTGCTGGAACAAGTTGCCACAAACTCGATGGCTTAAAACAGATTGATTCTCTTAGAGTTATGGAGGTCTGAAGTCTAGCATCAGCGTGACAGCAGGTCTGCATTCCGAAGGTCTTCCTTCTGAAGGCCTCAGGGGAGAAACCATCCCCTTTGTCTCTTCCAACTTCTGGAGGCTGCCTGTGTTCCCAGGCTCATGGTCCCTTCCTCGGATCCCTCCAACCTCTTGCTTCCCTTGTCACATTGCCTTCTGTCCCTCCAGTCTCCTGCCTCCTTCTTAGAAGGACCTTCGTGATCCCCCCTGGACGATCGTCTCTTCTCAAGATCCTGAGCTTAATCACATCTGCAAAGTGCCCCCTGCCTCAGGGCCTTTGTGTGTGCTGTTCCCTCCACCCGAAATGCTTTTCCCCGAGACATACACATGGCTCATTTCTTCGCCTCCGTCAGGGAGCTGCTCATATGAAACCCCTCGCCCCATGCTTGACTTTTCTCCATCCACTCATCACGAACTGGTGTATTAGAAATTGATGTTTTTATTTATTTTCTGTCTCCCCACAGGTATATTATAAACTGCAGAAAGACTGGGACTTTATCTATCTTGTTGACTACAGCCTCCTCAGCACCTAAATCAGTATCTAGTATCTAGCAAGAACTCAAAATAAATAATGAGTGAACAAATGGGGCTACTGAAACTCAGAGAGGGGATGTGACTTGTCCAAGGTCACAAATTATAAAGTGGCAAAACCAGGGATTTGAACCCAGGTAGGCCTGACTCCAAAGCCTTAATGGTTTGGCTCAATGACGCCTGTCAGCCTCTTAAAATTTACTTATGTGGGTACCAGGCCTTCAGGCCCTTCCCTCTGCCTTCTCCTGGTGGAGGATGTGGGCTCCTCTGTGACTCACACTAAGAAATAACACTGAGAGAAATCGTAATAGTTTCTCTTGGCCCAGAGCATTAGATTTTACAAGAGACTGAGGGCACTGCGAGAGCAGAGAGCCCACCTGTTTCACTTGGCATTGTCTAATCAGTACTAGACACATAGTTGGCACATAGTTGGTGCTCATGAAATCTTTGTTAATAAATGATGAATGACTCTCACTTGATTGCACAGAGAAGATCTGCTCTATATGTATCTATTCACCTATTCATCTATCATATGTCTAGCCATCCATCCATCCATCTTCTATCTCTCTGTCTGTCTATCCATTCTTCTGCCCATCCATCCATCCATCCACCCACCCATCTATCTATCTTATCTGTCTGTTTCTATTTTGTAGCAGTTCCTAGACTCACAACGTTTACCCAACCGTGGGATATTCAACTGGAAGAACACAGAATTCTGAACAAGGTTCCCCTTCTTCCCAAACTGTACCATGGAGGTCTTTGCTCTGGGAGAGCAGGCTTAGGAGACAGTGAACTTTAGGAACCCCCATTTTTCTACTCGAAAGTCCTAGCCTCATTCCCTGCTTCTGTGCCCATCCCTCTTGCCTCTGTCCCTCTTGGTTTTGTGATCGGTCCCACCCAGAAATGCCTTAGGACTAGGCCTCTCCCACCTCCCCTGATGCACCTGGTCTCAGAGGTCAGGGAACATAACAGTGACCCTGAGGACACAGAGGTGAGGAAAAGGCCCCAGGTTACCCTTCCTGCCTTTCAGCCTGAGCTGTGCCCTCTAAATCAGCCAGAACATGTAGACAAATGTGGTCTCTTAGACTCCCCCATACACCTACCCACATTTTCCCCACCCACGTCTCTCTTCTGTACCTACCTCTTCCTTCCCCAGGTGAGATTTTTGAGAAAAACTGAACCTTATCCTTCTCTATAGTTTCCTTCCTACCAAGTTACTGGAAAGAGAAGTCTTGAAACCCCCCCGTGTTGGGAGAGGAAAAAAAGCAAGAAGAAGGTGTAAACAAAGATTAATTAAACCTCATATGCAACCCAGAGGAACAGCCTAGGGCAGCTGCTGCAGCTGGAAAGATATTCCCCAAAGGGGGACAGGATGACAGGAGGGCCACTTGGGCTGGCAGACAGGATGTGGCAGACGCTACATTGAAGAATAAAGTTTCAGGACAAATCTTGCCTTTGAGCAAGATTTGAGGAAGATATGTTGGCACACCCAAGGAGGAAGCTCTAATTCATGTCACTGTAGGATTCATTCAACTCCATACACAGACATTCCAACCCACCACTGAAGTACTACAATGACCAGCATTGGTGAACTATACTCACTCCAAGTCTTTGCTTTATAATTGTGATGATCATCCCAGCTGGATGTAATAATAATTAGTGCAGCCACTAGTGTTGTTATGGCCACTGAGAGTCGACCACCTACTACGGGCCAGGGCTCCGCGCTCAGAACTTTATTTCTATTAACACTCAGAAATTTCACAACATCTCTATGAGGTAAGATGTGCCTGTTCTACAGATGAGAAAACTGAGGCACAGAGTTAAGTCACTTGCCCTGGACCACAAGACTCTTCTCATTTCCACTTTACAACAGAGGTCAGCAAAGCACAGCCCCGCAGGCCAGGCCAGCCACTGCCTGTTTTTATAAAGTTTTATTGGCACACAGCCATGCCTGGTTGCTCATGTATTACCTCTGGCTGCTTTGGGGCTACAACAGCAGAGTAGTTACCGCAGAGACTATATGGCCCCCAAAGCCAAAAATATTTTCTTTCTTTCTTTTTTAATTGAGACAAGGTCTGGCTCTATCACTCAGGCTGGAGTGCAGTGGCATGATCTCAGCTCACTGCAACCTTCGCTTCCAAGGCTCAAGCCATCCTCCCACCTTAGCCTCCTGAGCAGCTGGGACTACAGGCACTCACCACCACGTCTGGCTTATTTTTGTATTTTTTTAGAGACAAAAAATGCAGGTTGCCCAGGCTAGTCTCAAACTCGTGAGCTCAAGTGATCCACCCGCCTTGGCCTCCCAAAGTGCGGGTATTACAGGCATGATCCACAGTGCCCGGCCAAAAGCCAAAAATATTTTCCATCTGCACCTTTAGAGAGAAAGGTTTCTGACCACTGCCCTAGAATTTATTCTCTGCCGGTCCCCAAAGGGATCTTTAAAAATGCTGACTCAAGTCATGGCACAACGTGTTTAAAATCTTTTGAATAAAATCCAAATTCCTTCCCACAGCCCAGGAGGCCAGTAGGATTCAGTACCTCTCCCACTCTCACCCCCACTGAGTACATTCCAGCACTGGACATTTTTCCATTTATGAGCTGGGCTCTTTCTAACCTCAGGGCCTTTGTGCATGCTGCTCCCTCTGTCTGGAATGCTTTTCCTCCAGCTCTAGGTCTCAGCTCAAATACCACTTCCTCTGAGAGGCTTTGCCTGACACTCTCCATCCCCACACCCAGTCTATTTCCTTTCTAGCAGTGATCACAGTTTTTGTCATTGTTTTATCTGTCTAATCTCTCTGGGCTGCAAGCTCCTGGCGCTGTGTTCCTGCTGCTCTATCACATAGTAGGTGATCTATGAATATCTGCCAAGTGAATGCAGCACTGGCATCCAGGCTATGGGACTCCCAAGTCACATGCCTGATGCAGACCCTCCTCTCCTCTCTTTCTTCCCCGCACTGCATTCAGAAAGCAATATTCATCAAAGTCTACGGAGGAACTAGATAACTCCAAAGAGGTGGATAAGCAGGCCTCCGCCCTCAACAAATTCCCTGAGGACCAAATCCTCCCAGTTCAGCCCCTTTCCTCCTTCTTCAGAAATGGATGACCAGAGCAAACAGGCCCCCACAATGGCTGCCTGGGAGCAAGCCGCTTCCCCAGAAAGACTCTTGCTGCTCCACACCCGGGCCCCGTCAAAGATGCCCCCAGTCCTCATCCCCCAAGGGGCCTCAGGACATAGCGAGGCTTCCCTGGAGAGGGCAGCACTGCAGAACAGGGATTGGTGCCGAATAGGGACCAGATCCAGGTATAGTGGGTTGAACGGTGGCCACCAAAAAGACATGTGTAAGTCCTAACCCCTGAAGCCTGTGAATGTGACCTGATTACATTTGAAAAAAGGTATTTGCAGATGTAATTAAATTAAGGATCTCAAGATGAGATCATCTTAGATTACCTGTGTGGGTCTTAAATCCAATGACAAGCATCCTTTTAAGAAAGGGAAGAGGTGAAGATACCAACACAGAGGAGAAGGCCATGTGAAAACAGAGGCAGATATATTGGAGTGATGGGGCCACAGCCATGGAAAGCCTGGAGCCAGAATCTGGAAGAGGCTGGGAAGCATTCTCCCCCAGCGCCTTCGAAGGGAGCGTGGCCCTGCTGACAACTTGGTCAGACTTCCGGCCTCCAGAACTGTAAAAGAATACTTTTCTGTTGTTGTAAGCCACCAGTTTGTAGTTAATTTGTTATGACAGCTACAGGAAACGAATACACAGGGGAAGAGCGAACTCACCTCTTGCTTCAGCCCATGAAGAGCATGCTTCTGAGAACCACAGAATTTTCTGCTGGAAGGAACAGCAGAGCTGAGTCACCCGACATTGCCTAAATCCCAGCATCCCGGCCCCACCTGACTGCTGTTTCTACTTCCACTCACCACCCTGCTGCTCTTCCCTTAGCATTTGCCTTCTAACTGACTTAACTTTTTCTTACTCAAATGTATTTACAGGCTGGGAGCCATGGTTCATGTCTGTAATCCCAGCATTTTAGGAGGCCGAGATGAGCGGATCACTTGAGGCCAGGAGTTTGAGACCAGCCTGGCCAACATAGTGAAACGCAGCCTCTACTAAAATTAAAAAAATTAGCCTGGTGTGGGGGCTATGAATATTTGTTGAGTGTAATCCCTGCTACTCAGGAGGCTGAGGCACGAGAATCACTTGAACCCAGGAGGCTGAGGTTGCAGTGAGCCAAGGTCGCGCCACTACACTCCAGCCTGAGCAACAGAGCGAGACTCTATGTCAAAAAAAAAAGCCATATAAAATATTTACAAATAGAACTTTATGTCACTTATCAGAGGGAGAAGCAGCACCGCATGCATTCATTCACTCCATCCTCTTATTCTGTCAACGAAACATTTATGAAGCACTGACTGTGAATGGGGCAGTATTTAAGGCTCTGGAAACACAGTAGGGATGAAGCAGACAAAAAAACCCCGTCCTTGTGGAGCTTGCATTCTCGTGCAGAAGGGGCTGGGAATAGCTGCTGACTTGTCTATAGCTATGAAGATTAAAAATATTCCTTGGGGCCAGTCATGATGGCTCATGCCTGTAATCCCAGCACTTTGGGAGGTCAAGGTGGGAGGGTCACTTGAACCTAGGAGGTCAAGGCTGCAGTGAGCCATGTTCATGCCACTGCACTCCAGCCTGGCAACAGAGCAAGACCCTGTCTCCAAAAAAAAAAAAATTTCCTTGGTTGGTATGTCCCCTGATTGTGACCCCCACGTGGGGCAGTGCTCCCAGGGAGGGAGTTGAGGGCAGAAGCAGCATGGAGGCAAAGGCCAGGGTTTGAATTCTGGGCGTGCCACTTGCTGCTCTGTGCCCTGGGAACCTGAGATTTCCCTCCAAGAAAGCTGAAGGAGTCTCTAGGGCCCCCGGTCTCCTGCCACTAAGGGCCTGCAGTTCTGTGAAGGGGAAAAGCTCCTCCGCCAGGGGCAGGGCGGGGCCGGTCTGCAGGGCGAGCACAGCCGCATTCCAAGGTACAGAGCTGCTGGGCCCAGAGGTGGCCTGGAGAGAAGGCGAGAGCTGGCGAGAGGGACGTTCTGGGAGAGAAGGCGCAGCCTGCCAGAGCTCGGAGCCCGTGCCAACCCCGGCCTCCTGTGAGCAACAGGAAGGGGAGGTCGCGTGACTTGTGGGATCTGTGGGCAAAGAAACTGTGAGGCTGGACTTTCGCCCAGGGCAGACAGGAAGCCTGCTTCTGAATCCTCGAGTTAGCATACGCATCAGCCATTCACCAGACCCAGACAACCCGTTTTATATGGTTTACCCTCACAACCACCTCAAAGGCAGCATGACTATTCCCATTTGACAGATGCGGAGATCAAGACTCCTCAAGGGCACACAGCTCTAAGTGGCAGGGCCAGGATTTGAACCCAAGTCTGATCTCAACCATCTTACTTACCTTTGCCTCTATTTCTGAATTAGTAAGGTGTTGTTTGGTTGCAAGGGACAAATATCCAATTCAAACTGGCTTATCCCCAACCCCTACCCCAAAAAGAAATTTGTTGTAGTTTAGGGCTTTCAGGCACAGCTGGATCCAGATGCTCAATGTTCTCTCAATGTTGCCTCATCCTTTGGCCCTGTTTGCCTCTGTGTGAGCTTCACTTTATGGTATGAGAGGTACCAAATATGGCTACCAGAGGCTCCCAGCTTATATACTAGAAGCTTCACAGACTCACCAGAAATGTGAATCCCTGTTCTAATAGCCCTAGTATAAGTCACTGGCCCAGTTTGGGTGAGATGACCAGCCCAGAGACAGTCATATGGACAAGGATTTGCAGCAGTATTTCCATTGGCCAGGAATGGATCAGGTGTCCACCCCTGACGTTGGCAGGCCAGGGCAGTAACCTCTCACCCTCAAATCACAGGGACCGAGAATGAGGAGAGGTGATTCTCTAAGAGGAGATTGGGAATTACCAGCTGAATGGAGGCTTCACAAGCAGAACTGGTGGACATCCCCTACAGCCTCTCTGTGTTTCTCCCTTTAGTCTTTAGTAAAGTTTTTTTCTTTTTTTCTTTTTTTTGTTTTGTTTTGTTTTGGGAAAATTTCCAACCTCATTCTCATGGAAAGAAGAGGCAAAAGTTTTTAAGGCAAGGTGGTCTTGCAGTAAGCTGCCATTGTGTGGAGATGGGACTGCAGAGGAAGTGGGTTGTGCATCTGCTTTGTACAGTGATGGAATGCTTGGCTTCTTTTGGCCAACAGAATGTAAGTGAATGTGAGGTGAGCAGAGGTTTTAAATGTGCTTGCTGGTTTGGCTGGGTCTTTTGTACTTCTGCCATTCCCCATAAGACATCCTCTGTGAAACCTCTGATTCCAGAATGAAGCACATGGAACATTCCTGATCCTAACCCAAAGCCTAGAGCAGATCTACCCCCAGATGACCCACAGACCCAAGAGCAAGACAAAGAAAGAGTGTTGGTTGTGAGCCCCTGAGATTTTGTGGGGGTGCTTGTCATGCAGCATATCACAGTGCAAAATCTGACTAACACACTTTGAAAGTCTAGGGGTTCTTCCATTGAGGGAGGCCACTACTCTTGGAAGTAAACAGTCTGTCAGGAAGTGGGTCCTCTGAGCCGTGGCCACTCTATATTCTTCCCAAGATGCCCTAGGAACACAGAAGGGCTCAACCACCATATTTCAACCCCCACCCAGCAGAGTCTCCAGAAGGAATTTCAGCATCTTTTCTGGAGCAATCTGCCCTACCCTGCATCCTGAGTCTCCCGGGATCTTTACCAGCTGCGTGGCCATAAGCAAGTTAATTGCCCTCTTTCAGCCTTAGTTTCTTCACCTGTAAAAGGGAATGATACTAATCCTTAGCTTTTGGAGGAACTAATGGACAGAATGCATGTAAAACACACATTTATAGCACCTGGCACATGATAAATAGTTCAAAAAATGTTAGGTTTATAATTATTTGTTTTTGAAATTGCTGGAAGAGCAAAAATGCATTTGACTGTTCAGTCTGCTCCTCTAAGCCTTGGGAACACCATGCAATTGGTGTGTCTGTTCTCCGGAGCAGACAAACCCCCGGGTGCCTAAACTCAGAAGAGGCATTTGGGCCACTGAAGAAGCAAATTTTGATTGGTTTTGTTTTGGTTTGTTGGGGTTTTTTTCTCCCTCAATTTTTGGCTTCTGTTTTAGTTACTTGAAATCACACAGCCGATTTATTTATTTTGATTGCTCTTCACACAAGTAAAAATAAAACAAAGAAGTGCGAACAGTGACAGCCTTTGCTACAACTTTACTCAGGACAAAGAACCGTGGCTAGAAGAAAAGTCACAATTCCATTAAGTGGGAAAACACTGAACTCTCACGCTTCGTTTCCATCGGAAATTTACTATGAGGTGGGATTTTCATGCCAATTGACAAACCAGCGCCCAGTTCAGACTCCTTCAGGCTCTGCCTTCCTCAGCCTCCTGTCCCCTACTGTGCAGTGTGGAACTTGGAACGAAAATAGTGATCATTCTTAAATTATTATAATAGAAGAACAGCCACGTATTGGGCGCTGACCAGGTACCAAGCACCATGCTCAGTGCTTGATGTGCTAAGTGCTTCATTTAGTTCTCACCACATTGCTGGGAGGCTGCTATGCGTTCTCTCTCAGCCGAGGAAACTGCCACTCAGAGAATGTAAATAATGTGTCCACAGCTAGATGTGGGGAAGATCTGGGACTTGAACCCAGCTCTACTTCCAAAGCTTGTGCCCGAAACCCTATTTTGGGCCACAGTGCATGGTCCATTGTCCCGAGGACTCTGAGGTCCTGAGTCCTCAGAGGAGGCTGGGTAAGTGACAATCATGTGCGGAACCCCAGAAGGCAGCTCAGCTCCAGGGCCTGCCTTCTTCTATTTATGCATGATCTGTCCCAGCCTGTGAATTGGCCCCGTGGCTCCCCGCATGTCCTGGAAGAGGTGGATCACAAAGCTGCAGCTCCTTCAGGCCCCTCTCTGGCCACATCCAGGAAAGAAAGGAAGAACCTTCTGCCCTCACAGCAAACTGCCCAGTTCCAGCCTTGGAGGCAGGCAGCCTTCTCCACTGCCAAGGGCACTGAGTTAGGAGTGGCACAGCCACGTCTGACCTCTTCCCGGCCGTGTGGCCTAATCTCCCTGAGCCCCAGTTTCCCCATGTATAAAGCAGTGGCATAAACTTGTCTCAGTGGTTTCCAGACATTGTCAGTCAAGGAAAGCACTGATGAAAGCGCTCGCAGGTCTCTGTGTGTGCAAAACCAATGAAAGAGCAGCTGTTCCAGACAAAAGAGGCCTGGGTCTTGGCGCCCCTCAGTCTCCGTAGGGAGCAGTCACGATACTCCTGACCTAGCCCATCCCGGAGGCCCCACCCAGCTCTGACTTTCTGTGAATCTTGGATCTTGACACACGTCCCACCAGAAAGGTTTTTCTTCCCAAATGTGCTCATCAAAACTCTTGGGGTGCAAGAGACAAAAACTCAATTCGAACCAAGTTAAGCAAAAAGAGAAAGGTATGGGCAAGGTCCCTAAAATTCCATCTTGTCTTTTCTCAAAATCGAGCTGATCTTTGTAACGAGGAAAGCAGACGCTGTCACTCCCTGGCTTAAGGCCTTTCTTACATGGCTTTCCTTCTTAAATGGACCTGGGGAAAGGTGTGAATGCCTTACTTTAGCCTGTAAGTACGCGCACATTCTGGTCCCTGATTCTCACACCAACCCCATTTTGAGCCGTTCCTGCCTCTGGGCCTTTGCACATGCTATGCCCCCTACCTGAGATGACTGTCCCCTATCTCTTCCATATCCAGCTCTTTCTCACCATTCACGCTTCCGCTCAAATGGCAGCCCTTCACAGTAGCCTTTCTTGTCCACCCCAACTTAATTAGCCCACCCTTTTTACCCCCAATCACTCCTTAGCCCCTCACCTGGCGTTATTTTCTTATCATACTCTGTAATAGTCTTATCTATTTGCTTACTTATTTACTGTCTGTCTCCTCGTTAGAATGTCCATCGCATAAGGCAGTTTGCATTGCTTCCTGCAGTATTCCTGACATCTAACACCACTCTTGCCCATGTCCAAGTGCCCCATAAATGATTGTCGAATGAAGGAGTAGATGATTGACAGTGACGCTCCATGTTTTATCAAGTTCAGACTCCTCAGATTCAACATGTACCTATAAACTGGATCCTCTTGCTTCTCTCAGTGAGAAGCCACACCGCCCAGCCACATCTGTAAGCCTGTCCATCCCTGGCACCTCCCTCCCATCTGCACGTCCTGCCAATCTACCCCTAATTTCTCAAAGCCATCCACCCCTCTCCATCTTCTCCACTCCCTTCGAGACCAAGCTCCCATCTCTCTCTTGGGGCACCTGCAGCAGCCTCCCTGAGATCTCCAGAATCCCTTCTTGCCCACTTCCAACCTGATTGCCCCAGTGCTACCCTGAGAGTGTCACCCTTTGCTGATAAGTTATCAGTTTGACCATCTGATACATTCCAAAGAAGCTCAGATGCCTTCCCACGGGCTGCAGGCTCCATATGGCCTGGCCTCCCGCTGCCCCTTGCAGCTCAGAGCACTTATCACAGTTGGTTCATACATTTACACTGTGAACACTGGATCGAGTCTCTCCCCTACCTCACTATACACTCCATCGGGGGAGTGACCTTGTCTGGCTTTGCTGCATTCCTGGCATTTGGTGGATGTTTGCTTGATAAATATGGGTAAATGAATAAATAAATAAATGCTGCTGAATACCTATATATGCCAGATATTAAGCTAACATGGAAATAAATTATTTCATTTTTTTCAACAATCTTATGAGGATGAATGATTGAACAAATGAATGAATGAACTATAAACTAACAAGGGAGGAGTCACCATCCAAAAGCACACAGGAGGCCAGACATGGTGGCTCACACCTGTAATCCCAGCATTTTGGGAGGCCAAGGCGGGCGGATCACTTGAGCCCAGGAGTTTGAGGCAGGTGGATCACTTGAGGCCAGACTGGCCAACATAGTGAAACCCCATGTCTACTAAAAATACAATAATTAGCCGGGCTTGGTGGTGCACGCCTGTAGTTCCAGCTACTTGGGAGGCTGAGGAAGGAGAATTGCTTGAACCCAGGACGCAGAGGTTGCAGTGAGCAGAAATTGCAGCCTGGCGACAGAGTGAGTGAGACTCCATCCCCC
The DNA here is from genome assembly GCF_000001405.40 of Homo sapiens. Taxonomy (NCBI): domain Eukaryota; kingdom Metazoa; phylum Chordata; class Mammalia; order Primates; family Hominidae; genus Homo; species Homo sapiens. The sequence continues at coordinate 72,353,170 of NC_000003.12, forward strand.
AAAAAAGATATACAGGAGCCAGGAGGGCATGTAAACAAGTGAGAGGAGAAGCGCCGGTGTAAGATACTCACAAATGGATGGTACCATGGCAAAACGAAGTGCCATGGCATCTGTTATGGACTGAATTACACCCCCCCAAAATTCACATGCTGAAGTCCTAACCCCTGGTATCTCAGAATGCAACCTTATTTGAAGATGGGGACTTTACAGGGATAATCAAGTTAACGTGAGGTCATTACAGTGGGCCCCGATCCAGTGTGACTAATGTCCTTATAAAAAAGGGAAATTCAAGCACAGACGTGTACAGAAGGAAGACAGTGTGAAGATACAGGGAGAAGATGGCCATCTACAAGCCAAGGAGAGAGGCACAGAATAGATCCATCCCCTACAGCCCTCAGAAGAAACCAAGTCTGCCCATGCCTTGATCTCAGACTTCCAGCCTCCAGAAGCACGAGACAATTTCAGTTGTTTACTCCACCCAGTTTGTGGTACTTTGTTACGGCAGCCCCAGGGAACAAATACAGCATCCAAAGGCATCCACGTTCAAAAGCGTTTTTCAACCCTGGCTAGGCCAAATAAGATTTGTCTGGAGGCCACGTTCTGCCCGAGAGGGCGCAGGTGGCAACCCCTGCAGCCTGGAGAGTTCTCAGAGCACACCCTGTCCACCAGGGAATTGGCACTGTGGGAGGCTGAGGTCAAACAGATCAAATGGGAATTCAATTATGGTTTGGAGACGAGTCCGTGAGGTCACAGATTAAATGAGGGCAGGGACTGCAGCCTGGGCCTCGCTGTGGTGTTCATGCTCCGGGCTCCAGAAGCTGCACTCCTGCCTGTCACAGAGCCGGACGAGGCCCAGCCTGCTTGTCACATAGAGAAGAAACCGAAATTTAAAAGATAGATAGGTCAGATCAGTTTATATGTGGCTGTGGACTAATACCCCCAGCATATGGCAACCAATACTCTGCGAGGCACATTGGAACTCCTGTAATCAAGTATCTGTTAATTATTAAAATTGAATCTATTTTTCTACCCTTTATTTAGTTGAGAAATCTCACATTACACAGAAAGGTTAATTACAAACCGACTTCAAGAACCCTTTGTTGGAAGCTTCTGTTTCAGTTTCTCCAAGATGAGTCCTTGAACTCCATATTTGGGAATGCAGACACAGGCTGGCTTAGCAAAATCGCTTCCTCATGCTAGCAGACCCCAGATATAGCAAACCTCTCAGATGGCTCCATGGAGCTGGGATTAACCAGAAACCACTTCAAAACACCCATAACCATCTAAAATGTGGTTTTGTTGCTTTTTCCATTTAGAAAAAAGACCACCATCTTTTCAGCATGTTGTCCTGGTTGCAAAAGTAAGAGGGTCTCAAGTTCTGGGACCCCAATGGGAGACATACAATATTCCAGCAGCTACACCAATTAGGTCTGCTTGCTCCCAGCTTTGGGGAAGGTAAATGGCCTATTACTTGGCGGATAATGCATACCACATGGCATTCTTTAGCCTCAAGGAAGCCTCAGAGGCCTCATATTTCTAGAGATAACTGGAATGGCAGAGTGCAGAGCAAGCCTCCAGTACCAAGGCTGAGCTTCTTCCCCACCATAAGCTCTACCAAAGAGCCATGGTCCCATCACATCCTTCCCAGATTCAGTTCTCTCCAGCAATGCTTGGAAACTTCTTGCAGTAGGTGGAGGTAGTACTGGTTTATGTCTACCTGACTACTTTCTGCTTCCTCTGCCCTCTTTAACTCCATGTGTCTCCACGTGGTCTCAACAGGTTGTTACTATGGTGCCCAGACCCTGGGCATCATGGGTCCATGCCCCAGACTGTGCCAATCATAGGGCAACTGTGTCCCTCTGTTTGGTTCAGGGATGGGCACATAAACCACATTCCCTGGGATTCAAAGCTAGTGTGTAAAAATAGTCCTTCTCTCTTTTTTTTTTTCTTACATTTTTGTGCTATAGGGATATAGATTCACGCTTCTAAGAACCAACTGTCTGGCCTGATGGAATATTCCTGGCTGCAGCTGGATCACAAAATAAAAAATAATAATGATAATAGCAAAGACTTATTTAGTATTTACTGTGCCTAACACTATTTTAAGCACATTACACATATTACCTCACTGAATCCCACAAGCCTCCTCCTCCTCCTCAACACTCTTATCACCACCCATTCTATGTAGATGAATAAACTGGGGCATAGAAAGGCTAAGCCACTTGCCCAAGGTCACATAAGAAGTAAGATTCAAACCTAGGTGTCTGACTTGAGAGTCTTTACTCTTAACCATTACCAGAGAGTGAGCAAGGGAAAGAGAAAGGGATGACATCAATTAAGCCCCTGGATCCAGCCATGCATGAAGCTACCCCTGGATTTCTCAGGTAACACAAGCCAATTCATTCCCTCCAAGCTGCTTTGTTTTATTGTGTCTTACAACCAAAAGAGTCTTGCTTAATACATACTTCTAACATGTCCTTCCTGTGTGGAAGATAGGCTAAAAGCATCTTAGTGTTTCCTATAGTCCATTTAGCACAGAGCTCCTATAAACACAAAACCCCTTCCTGTGGTTCTATCAGTAATTTCATTCTGCAGACTATGAAACTATGAGGCCCAAAGAAGTTAAGCTACTTGTCCAAAACTATAGAGCAAACAAGCGGCAGATGTTCCAGAATCCATTCAGGTCTACCTGATTCACTGTCCATAATCTTCCTTCTAAAGCTATAGTGTCCTTATGCTAATTTTAATGCATAGCCCAACTACTTTAAAAATTAACATAAAGGATGCCGGGCGCGGTGGCTCACGCCTGTAATCCCAGCACTTTGGGAAGCCGAGGCAGGTGGATCATGAGGTCAGGAGATCGAGACCATCCTGGCTAACGCAGTGAAACCCCGTCTCTAGTAAAAATACAAAAAAAAAAAAAAATTAGCCGGGGGTGGTGGCGGGCACCTGTAGTCCCAGCTACTCACGAGGCTGAGGCAGGAGAATGGCATGAACCTGGGAGGCAGAGCTTGCAGTGAGCCGAGATTGCGCCACTGCACTCCAGCCTGGGAAACAGAGCGAGACTCTGTCTCAAAAAAAAGAAAAAAAAAAAAAAAAACTAACATAAAGGGCTGTGGTAGGAACACAGAAGCCAGGACAGTTAAAATTAGGCTTAGAAAATAACATCAGCACCATAGCAAAAGGGAAAAAATTTTAATTAAAAAAACAGACTAATTTATATATGATTCTCATACCACGCAATTCAACCATTTAAAGTGGACTAGACAATTTTTTTTATATTCATGTCAGAATATACAACCATCACCAAAATCAATTTCAGAACATTTTCATCACCCTCCCCAAAGAAACTCTGTGCCAATTAGCAGTAACTCTATGTTGCTGTCCAAATCCCTCCCCAACCCTAAACTACCGCTAATCTACTTTCTGTCTCTACAGATTTGTCTGTTCTGGACATTTCATGTCAATAGAATCATGCAATATGTGAGCTGTGTGTCTGGATTCTTATACTTAGAATTGTTTCAAGGTTCATCATGTTGTGGCATGTATCAGTACTTTGTTTCTTTTTATTCCCAACATTGGAATTTATATGATACATTACATTGAATGTATCCATTGATCAGTTGAGGGATATCTGAGTTGTTTTCACTTTTTGGCTATTATAAATAATTCTGCCATGAATATTTGTGTGCAAGTTTTCATGTTTTTATGCCTTGGTTATATACCCAGACATTTCTGGGTTCCACGGTAAGTCTATATTTAACATTTTGAGGAATTTCCAGACTATTTTCCAAAGTGGCTGCCCCATTTTACATTCTCACCAGCAATGTGTCATGGTTCCAGTTTCTCTACATCTTCAACAACACTTGTTATTGTTATTATTATCTGTCTTTTGCATTTCCCTGATAGCTAATGAGGTTGAGCATCTTTTCATGTTCTTATTGGCCATTCGTATGTAATTTTTTAGAGAACTGTCTATTCAGATCTTTGGTTCAATTTTTAACTGGGTTGTCTTTTTGTTTTTTGTTTTTTTGAGACAGGGTCTCACTATGTTTCCTAGGCTAGAGTGCAGAAGCGATACAGCTTTGAACTCCTGGCCTAAAGTCATCCTCCCACCTCAGCCTCCCAAGTACCTGGGACTACAGGTGCACACCACTACTTAGGATGTCTGGCCCATCTAATTAGATTGTCTTTTTATTATTGAATTGTAAGAGTTCGTTATATGTTCTATAAGCAAATCCCTTAACATATGATTTGCAAATATTTTCTCCCATTTCATGAGTTATCTTTTCAGTTTCTTGATTGTATCCTTTAAAACACAAAAGTTTTACATTTTAATGGAGTCCAATTTATCAATGCTTATTTAGTTGCTTTTGTTTTGGTATAATGTAAAAAAAAACATTGCCAATCTAAGGTCATGAAGATTCATCCTTGTTTTCTTCTAAGAGTTGTTTTTTTTTTTTTTTCCTTTTTGACAGGGTCTCACTCTGTCACACAGGCTGGAGTTCAATGTGATCACAGCTCACTGCAGCCTCAACCCCCTGGGCTTAAGTGATCCTCCCACCTCAGCCTCCCAAGTAGCTGGGACCACCGGTGTGTGCCACCACACCTGGCTAATTTATTTATTTTTATTTTTTGTAGAGATGGGGCCTCCCTATGTTGCCCAGGCTGTTCTAAGACTTTTATAGTTTTAGCTCCGACATTTAGGATCTTGATCCATTTTGAGTTCATATTTTATACCATGTGAAATAGAGATCTGTCTTTATTCTTTTGCATGTGGATATTCAATTGTCCCAGCACCATTTGTGGAAAATATTATTCTTTCCCTATTGCACTGTTTTGGTAACCTCATGAAAAATCAATTGACCATAAATGTGAGAATTTATTTCTGGACTCTCAATTCTATTCCATTGATCTATATGTCTATGTCAGTACCAAGATTGCCTTGTTTACTGTTGCTTTGTAGTAAGTTTTCAAATCAGAAAGTGTGAGCCCCTTAATTTTCTTTTTGTTTTTTTTTAAGATTGTTTTGGCTATTCTGAGTCCCTTGTATTTCCATATGACTATTGGGATCAGCTTGTCAATTTCTGCAAAGAAGTCAGTGAATAGGGACTGTGTTGAGTCTGTAGAGCAATTCAAAGAAGTCCTGCCATCTTACCGATATTAAATCTTTTGGTTGGTGAATATGCGGTGTCTTTCTATTTATTTAGGTCTTTTAAAAATTTCTTTCAACAATGTTTTATAGTTTTCAAAGCATAGGTTTTGCACTTTTAAATTTTATTTTATTTTATTTTTAAAGGGATACTCAACCTGAATTTATTTCATTTATAGAAATAATATGTATTATACATGTATTTATAAAAATGACAATATATGCCTATAAGATCTGTATGCTGAAAACTACAAACACTGATGAAAGAAATCAAAGACCTAAAGCAATGGGGAGACATACTATGTTCACGGATCAGAAGATTCTACAGAGTAAAAATGTCAGTATTACCCAAATTGATAAATAGATTTAACACAATTCCAGCAGGATTTCTGTTGTTGCTGATGTAGACAAGTTAATTCTAAAATTTGTATGGAAAGGCAAAGAAACTAGAATAATCAGAACAATTTTTGCAAAGAAGAGTAAAATTGGAGGAAGATAATCAAAATGATGTGGCATTGGTGAAAGGAACGACTCATATATCAGATAGAGAGTAAGGAGTCCAAAAACAGGCCCACACAAAGGAGGTTTTGCACTTCCTTGTTAAACTTATTCTTAAGTATTTTGTTCTTTCTGATGCTATTGTAAAATGGAATTGTTTTCTTAATTTCATTTTCAGATTTTTCACTGTAAGTGTATAGAAATACAAGTGATTTTTGTATATTGGTCTTTTATCTTGCAACCTTGCAGAACTTGTTCATTAGCTATAATAGGTATTTAGCAGATTGCTTAGGATATTCCATATATAAGATCATGTCATCTGCAAATAGAGATAATTTTACTTCTTCCTTTCCATCTGCATGCCTTTAATGTCATTTTTTTGCCTAATTATTGGATTCCTGGCTAGACGTCCCAGTACAAGGTTGTACAGAAGTGGCAAGAGCACTTCTTGTCTTGTCTCATTCCTGATCTCAGGGGAAGGCATTCAATCTCTCATCCCTAAGGGGGATGCCAACTGTAGGTTTTTCATAGGTGCCCTTTATCACATTAAGAAAGTTTCCTTCTAGTCCTCATTTGTTCAGTGTTTTTTTTAATCATAAAAGTAAATGTTAGTTTTAAAAAGAGACCTTAGGATCTGCAGGCAAAGATGAACCCTTGAACACAGGTCATTTTGTTCCCTCTTGGAACCACTAAAAGTAGAGTAAAGGATTTATTTTTTTCTTTACTGAAAAACAAACAAACAAACAAAAACCCCACAGGACTGGGAGAATGGAGAGAAGACAACAAGAAAATATTTTAAGCTGAAAATAGATGGGTAGGCAGGCACTGCCTTGAGAAAGCCAAATCCTAAGCCAAGTTGTAAAAACTGAGAATCAATGGAATCCTCCAGAGCTCAGGAATTTGTTGTTGCTCTTGTAATTCCAGAAGTGGAGGTGAATGGTGGGGAGGACTAAATAAGGAGTGGGTTAAAGCTGTTAAAGGAGTAGATGGTTTCCCAGATCTGCTCCTTAGGCCCAGCCCTCACTCCAGGCTGTAGGAAACTGTCCTCCCCAATCCACTCTAGGTGAGGCTTTGCCCTCTGGAAAGGGTGACACAGACGTCCCCAGGGCAGGATGTGTGACTTCACATAATGGAGACTGAGACTCCAGACTGCTGTCCAGGCAGGAGACTGGAAGGGCTGACTAGGCCAAGGGGGAAGACCTAAGACATTTATATTTGGGTTTCCCCAAAACAGAGCCCACCACATCCCTCTAAGTTTAATGCCCTCTGCTCTTGGCTTGGTGTTTTCACCTTTATTGTCCTCCACACTTCTTTTCTTTTTCTTTTTTTGATACAGTGTCTCGTTCTATGGCCCAGGCTGGAGTGCAGTGGTGCCATCATGGCTCACTGCAGCCTCAACCTCCCAGGCTAAAGCAATCCCCTCACCTCAACTTTCTGAGTAGCTGGGACTACCAGCGTGCACCACCACACCCAACTAATTTTTAAATTTTTTGTAGAGACAAGCTCTCATTACGTTGCCCAGACCAGTCTCGAACTCCCAGCCTCAAGCAATCCTCCCACTTTCACCTCCCAAAGTGCTGGGATTACAGGCATGAGCCACTGTGCCTGGCCCTCCTCCACTGTTAAATAGGAGATTTAGGAGATTTAGACACACCTGAGAAAATCCTCTAACAGGACAGACATGAAACAAGGAACTTGACAACAGAGACCAGTCTGGGAAAAGAAAGCTTTGAATATTTGCATCATTAATCTTCTCAGAGAAATGAAAGAATATATTGCAGGTATGAAATAAGAAGAGGATGTAACAGGGCCAGGAGTGGTGGCTCACCCCTGTTATCCCAGCACTTCGGGAGGCCAAGGTGGGTGGATCACTTGAGGTCAGGAGATCGAGACCAGCCTGGCCAATATGGTAAAACCCTATCTCTAATTAAAAAAAAAAAAAAAAAAAAAGAGAGAGAAAGAAAGAGAGAGAGAAGTAGAGGTGACCAAAAGGATATGTAAAAATGAATGGCTCTTGGAAATTTGAAACATGATGGAAGAATGGAAGAACTTAATAGTAAGAACTAGAGGCAACAATGAAGTATATTAGTTTGCCAGGGCTGCCATAACACATGTGGAAAGAAAAACTTTAGGCAAATCACATTTAATGGAGTTTAATTGAGTAAAGAACAATTTGAGAATTGGGCAGCTCCTTGAACCAGAATACGTTCAGAGACACTCTGGGGCTGCCACATGATAGGGTAATATTTATGGAGAGAAAAAGGAAAGTGAGGTACAGGAAATGGAAGTGAGGCACAGAAACAGCTGAATTGGCTATAGCTGGGCGTTTGACTTATTTGAACATGGTTTGAAGAGCTGGCAGCCTGTGATTGGCCAAAACTCTGTGACTAGTACAAGAGTAGGTTAGAGTCTGTTTCCACAACCAGTTGGGTTACAGTTCACTGTGTGCCGAGAAACCTCTAGGTTGAACTTGAAATATGTAAGCAGGCAGCTTTGGGCTAAAGTAGAGGCTAAGCTTAATACAAGGTACCACAAACTGAGTGGTTTAAACAACAGAAATGTATCATCTCACTTTTCTGAAGCCTAGAAGGGGAAATTGGCAGTGTTGGTTCCTCCTGGGGCTGTGAGAGCCATCTGTGCCCTGCTCCTCTCTTAGTTCCCGGTGGGTTGCTGGCACTCTTGAGCATTCCTTGGCTTGTAGATTTATTGTCAGATCTGTCTTTATACGGTGTTCTCCCTGTGTGTGTGTTTGTCTCTGTATCGAGATTTTCCCTTTGTATAAGGATACAGTCATATTGGATTAGGGACCTGCCCTAATAATGATCTCATCTTAACCTGATCATCTGCAAAGACCCTATTTTCAAATAAGGTCACATTCATAGGCAATGGGGTTAGGACTTCAACATCTTCTGGAGAGACACAATGCAACCCATAACACGAAGAAATCTCTTTCCAAGAAGAACAAAAGCATAAAGAGATACACAAGACAACACAACACAAGACAGAAATTGTAAGAAAATTAGAGGAGATACAATACCTGAATAGCTGGAGGTCTAGGAAGAAGACAGAAAAAAATGAAGAGAAGGAAGTCGTTAGTGAAATATTTCAAGGAAATTTCCCAACACTGAAGGATTGAAAGGGCCCATTGGGTATTTGGCACAGTGGTGAAAAGGGACCCACACCAAAGAGCATAGTCATGAAACCTCGGTATACTGAAGACACAGAGAAGATTCTTTAAGTTTCCAGAGAGAAAACAATCTCCATGCACAGAATCAGGAATCAGAGGGCTTTGATTTTCTCATCAGTGTCACCAGTTGTGAGGAAGGAAAGCCACTTCCTCCTGGGAGATTATGCCAGTCAAGCTATCAGTCAAATGTAAAGGAAGAATAAAGACTTCATTAGTCTTGAAAGGTCTCAAAGAATGTACCTCCCACACACACATCCTTTCTCAGGAAGCTACTGCACGATGAGCTCCACCAAAATGAGGGAGTAAGAAAAGAAGGAGAAAGACAGAGCCTGCAGGAAGTAGGAGATACAACACTGAAGAGAAGGAAGGGAGTCCCAGGATGACGGTCAAGGAGATCCCGCTATGAAAGCAGGGCCCCCCAGCCTGGATGGAGCAGGTCAGGACACTCTGCTCTGGGAGACATGTCTCCAAAAAGCTGAAACTCCTATAATACCTGAAGCCAGTGAATCTGCTGAGAAGAAATAAGACTACTGGATGAATGTGCTGGGAGTCTCCACCATGGCCCACCTCATCCATTTTCTGCCTTTCTTTGGTCAGCGGTCTCTGTGGATTGAAACTCCTGGCTCCCTTACCTGGGTTCTGACTGAATTTGGCTAATGGGAGGCACTGAGAAGACATGGGAGCGGAAGAAAAGAGAGAGGCCAAGTGTATTCCATGCCTCTCCCTGACTGCTTTGATGCCACCTGGTAAGGTTTGGATTTGTGTCCCCACCCAAATCTCATGTCAAATTGTAATCTCCAACATTGGAGGAGGGGCCTGATGGGAGGTGACTGGATCATCGGGGTGGACATCCCCCTTGCTGTTCTTGTGATAGTGAGTGAGTTCTTATGAGAACTGGTTGTTTAAAGGTGTGTAGCACCTCCTCCTTCATTCTCTTCCTCCCGCTCCGCCATGGTAGGATGTGCCTCCTTCCTCTTCACCTTCTGCCGTGATTGTAAGTTTCCTGAGGTCTCCCCCGCCATGCTTCCTGTACAGCATGCAGAACTGAGAGCCAATTAAAACTCTTTTCCTTATACATTACCCGGTCTCAGGTAGGTCCTTACAACAATATGGGAACAAACTAATAAACCGCCATTTCAGCAGTGGCTATGTCATCCCTCCCCAAACACAGCTCCTACGGGCATCTCCTCTACAGCTCAATCTCCTAGGCTCCAGGAACACTATTTCCTTCCCTTGCCCTTCAGGCCTGGCACTGTCAACAGCTTCCTACTGTTGCTGAAGTCCTGGGGTGCCTCTCCATCCTCGTCCACACCTCTCTCAACAGCCCCTTCATTTACAAACCCTTGGATTAAAACCTCTGTGTGAAATGCTGCGTCCAACCAGGACTCCAACTCACCCTGCCTGTGTTTGTGGTAGAAGTGATGATAAAGAAGCAAACAAAAAAATAATCATAAACTCTAGGAAAACAAAAATTGTGTAGGAAAGGAAAAACAATCGTGGTTTTACCATAAAACACCACTGTGATGATGTGCACTAATAAAGTCAAAACAATAGAAATAATGAATATTGATTGAGCCAAATACAGTATAATAATATTGAGAGTTGGGCAGGGGGTGAGAGAAAAGTCTGCTTACATAGGATGAGGATGGGCAGAAGGAATAAGGGCTAAAATCTTATCTTCCATAGTGGAAAGTCAAGAGATAACACTTAAGATGGAAAACACAGCAAGGAGCTCTAGGCATGATTCTTAAGAGATGTGGAAACGAGTACCAAAGAAATCATGATACAGAACAGAAAATGTTCCTCTGAAGAAGGGGAGAAGGGAAGAGGGTAGGGCTGGGGATTGGGGCTGCTGTTTTCCTTTTTCTTTCTTTCTTTTATTTTGAGACAGGGTCTCGCTGTTACCCAGGCTGGAGTGCAGTGGCTCAGTCTCAGCTCACTGCAGCCTCTACCCCCTGAGCTCAAATGATCCTCCCACCTCAGCCTCCTGAGTAGCTGGGACGACATGTGCACTCCACCATGTGTGACTAATTTTTTAATTTTTTTTGCAGAGATGGGGGTCCCACTATGTTGCTCAGGCTGGGCTCAAGCAATGTTCCTGCCTCAGCCTCCCAAAGTGCTGAGATTACAGGTGTGAGCCACCACACCCGGCCAGTTTTTCTTAATGTATTGTGATGCTTGGGCTGTCATAACAAAATACCAAAGACTAGGTGGCTTAAACAACAGATATTTATTTCTCACTGTTCTGGAGGCTGACCATCTAAGATCATGGTGCCAGCAGGGCGGGTCCCTCCTGAGGCCTCTCTCCCTGGCTTTCAGATCATTGTCTTCATGCTGTGTCCTCACATGGCCATTCCTCTGTATCTCTTCCTCTTCTTACAAGGACACCAGTCCTATTAGGTTAGGGCCCTGCCCTTGTAACTTCATTTAACCTTGATCACTTCTTTAAAGGCTCTGTGTCCAAATACAGGTTTAGGGCTTCAACATCAACATATGAATTTGGTGGTGGTAGCTGGGGTGGCGAGGACATGATCCAATCCATTACACTTAGCATGCTGTGTGGATCTAGGAAATTCTTCAAGCTGTATGTTAAGCAAGGTACATCCAGGGAGCATGAACTATGTGTTAAAAGCATCCTGATATAAAGGCCAGTACTGGGGGCATAAAGAGGCAGGCCCCGAGTTTGGCTAATGGTAGACATTTGTTAAACACACCCATTTTACTAGTCTTGTCTTTTGCCCATCACAAAGACTCCCGGAGTCCAAGTGCCTCTACCTGGTTTTGATTTTCTTCCAATTTTAACAATGTGGCAAGAATGGAAAACCAGATTTTTTTGTTCAGCGTGTCTCCTTGACTGCAGAGTGTTGAGTACAGTGAAATTGAGGAAGCTGGGTTAGGTTTAATTCCTGCTCGTTTTTGATTAATTTCTGTTTGCATTCTTGTATCCCAATAACATGGTGTGGTAGATCGATTAATGCTCAGAATGTGTGTTTTCTCTTCCTCTGGCACCCTTCTCATGGGATCCCAGTCTTCTGTGGTCAGGAGTGATCATGTACTTCTTAGCCTAGTAAAATGTGAGCAAAAGTGATGCGTGTCACCTCTAAACAGAGGTTGAAGAGCCAGTGCACGGTTTGCTATCCCTTCTGCCCCAAGGTTGACAATAATATCCCAGAGAGAGGTTGCTCCATCAGCTTGGGTTCCAGAGTAATGCACAGGGACACTGGCATGGGTGAGAAACAAGCCTTTGTTGTTAGCCTTGGAGATTTGAGGTCATTTGTTACAGGAGCAAAACACAGCCTCAGCTGATTGATTCTGGTGGGCATATCTTCCATTCGAAGCAGCCCAACAGTGCCCCATTAACTTATGTGGCCATCACATTCTCTGCATTATACAGATTTTTTTTCAAGGAGGAAGCCATTTAGCAGAAGAGAAGTGAGAGCCATACCAAGATTATCTGGATCCTTTTTAGCTCGCAGTAGCACTTCCACTTAAGACCATGGAAGCATTCTAGACTCTAATAAAAATTACAAACCTGGCCAGGCACAGTGGCTCACGTCTGTAATCCCAGCACTGGGATGCAGAGGCAGGCAGATCACTTGAAGTCAGGAGTTCGAGACCAGCTTGGCCAACATGGTGAAACCCTGTCTCTACTAAAAATACAAAAATTGGCAAGGCATGGTGGCAGGCACCTGTAATCCCGGCTACTTGGGAGGCTGAGGCAGGAGAATCGCTTGAACCCGGGAGGCAGACTGCGGTCACCCATTGCACTCCAGCCTAGGCAACGGAGAGAGACTCTGTTTAAAAAAAAAAATTACAAACACTGCCTCCAATAAAAATGCACATTTGCTATCACACACACACACACACACACACACACACAATTTTTGTGAAAATTTTCAAGGAACTCATGTCACAGACCTTCTGAAGCCATTCATGAATCCTTCCTTTAAGATCTAACTTCACTCTCATCTTTAAAACCTCCCCAGCAGCAGAGACTAAGTCGGCTAGCTGAAACCTAACATAGCACTTAAGACAATTTCTGCTAGAAGACAGGGACTGTATTATTCAGCTCTGGATCAATATGGTAATTGGTACAAAGCAGGCAGTCAAGAAATATATATTGGATTAAACACAGCAGCTCTACGAAAAAAGGTATTAATATGACCTCATTGTATAGGAAAAATCCTCGAGGTCATCTAGTTATTAAGTGATAGGTGGATTTGGACCCCAAATCCACTGACCTTAAACCCTTGCATTGTCCGTAGTTCCAAGCTACTCAAACCCAGGGCTACAGGAGGCTTCAGGAGAAGTGTGGCCTATTTTTTTCTGGGGGGAGGGGAGCAGCAGTTTTACTAGAAATTTTTAAAATCAGTTAATATTAACTTCATCTGCATATAACAGAAAGAAAACTCAAAAGTAATAGTGCCTTAAATAAAAGAGAACTTTATTTATGACATCTATGAGAGGTCAAATGCTAGCCAGGGCCAACCTGGAACAGCAACTCCATGGGTTCACCTGGGACCCGGGCTTCTGTCGTTCAGCTCTTGCTATACTTAACATGTGACTTCCATCCTTAATGTTTCCCTTATGGTCTAAGATCACTGGTAGAGTTCCAGGCATCACATTCAAGTTCCAAGCTGGAAAGCTAGAGGATGCTTGTCTCTCCACTTCCACCCCCATCTTTCGAGAACACTTCCCAGAAGAGACACATGGCACTTCAGCTTGCTTCACATTGGCTAGAAAATGGTCACATGGCCATGCTTAGCTTTGTAAGGGAGGCTGGGAAATGTTGTCTTCATCCTAGAAGGCAATCAGCCCGGCTAATCACTGGGATTCCATTATGAAAAAGGAAGGGAAGAAAAGACCAGGTGTGATGGCTCATGCCTGTAATCCCAGCACTTTGGGAGGCCGAGGCATGGGGATCACCTGAGGTGAGGAGTTTGAGACCGGCCTGGCCAACATGGTGAAACCCCATCTCTACTGAAAATACAAAAATTAGCCGGCCGTGGTGGCAGGCACCTGTAATCCCAGCTACTCAGGAGGCTGAGGCAGGAGAATTGCTTGAACCTGGGAGGCAGAGGTTGCAGTTAGCCGAGATCATGTCATTGCACTCCAGCCTGGGCAACAAGAGCAAGACTTCGTCTCAAAAAAAAAAAAAAAAAAAAAAAAAAAAAAAGAAAGAGAAGGGGAAGGAAGGAGATTGAGAAGCAATTTAAATTCTCTACCATGTAGTTATTGAGAGATGTCATTGCTTTTATATTCAAATACAAGCTCTTCTTGTCAGACAAATCTGGTGTTCAGCCTGGCTGTGCACTAAGAGAGCAGCTAAGCGGAGGCACACAAAACTCAGGTAATAAAATGTTACGCCTTTCAAAGTGACAGTGGAAGGCTGACTGCCATCTTGGCTCCCCTCCTCCCGAAGGGCCTGCTGCTGCTTGAGATGCAAACTCCCAGCAGGATGGCTGGCCCTGGAATGGGAGCACCTGTTCCCCAAGAGGACAGTGAGGTAGGACAGGGAGGAGCTGGAGAAAGGGGTGAGGGTATTGACTAGGTCACTATCTTGCAACTATGTCCTTTGATCAAAACAGCAGCAGAGGCTAGACGCAGTGGCTCATGCCTATAATCGCAGCACTTTGGGAGGCCAAGGTGGGTAGATTACCTGAGGTCAGGAGTTTGAGACCAGCCTGGCCAACATGATGAAACCCCGTCTCTACTAAAAATACAAAAAATTAGTGGGGCATGACGGCTCACACCTGTAATCCCAGCTACTTGGGAGGCTGAGGCAGGAGAATCATTTGAAGCTGGGAGGTAGAGGTTGCAGTAAGCCAAGATCGTGCCATCGCACTCCAGCCTAGGCAACGAGAGCGAAACTCTGTCTCAAAAACAAAACAAAACAAAAATGGCAGCACAGTCAATGCTGGTCCTCCATTGGCTTCTTGGGGTGCTGAGGTGATTGATTCTCACGCTTTTTAGAGGCCTTCAGGAGTATGTGTGAAAGACAGCCGCTGGCTCGATCTGCCAACTGCCAGAAACTAGCAAATGTACATGGAATCTGAAACAAACAAACAAACAAAAAACCCTGCCCATGGGAGGGCCTGGGAACTCATACTTTGTCAATATATACCTCCCCCTCATTCCGACCCTCCCCAAACTAGGCACTCTGTGGAGTGCGAGGTAGGAAGGTAGCAGGCTTTTTCAAACTTTCCAGCCAAAGCACCATCAGGGCAGAAGAGTATACTAAGAAAAGGAAATTTCTGAGTTCTTCCCTTTTGTTCTTAGAATACATGTTGAATTTGCATTTCACCTAACTCCATAATTTGGGCAGTGAGATCATCTACTGACCTTCTGCTGTGTGCCAGGTGGTGTGCCACCTTCCCTCTCTTCCCCCTGGGGAGGGCCAGCCTTTTCCAGGAAGGCAAGGGTAGGCACTGATGAAGGAATTACCCTGGCTCAGGCAGAGCAAGTCCAAGGCTGGGCTCGCCAAGTCCCAACACACCTTCTGGCAGCAGAGTCTATTAAGCAAAATCTTCAGATGTCTGGGTCGCGGGGCAGCCGGGGATTTTCGAAAGCACTGAAGTGAATGGTCATGTCAAGAGGCTGCCAGCCTCTCACCTGCTGTCAGGAAGAAAGGCTTCTGGTGTCCAGGGAATCAAGAACGACTCACTTAAGCAGGAGTGTGACTAAGATGAGAGCAGATTCAAGAGCGCTACTGACAGCCGGAGTACACTGTTAGATCTCTCCCAGAAAATGATGGACGAGAAACCCACAAGGCAGGGAGTGTGGCTCCCTGCCACGGTGCTGGGCCAGGCCATGCTGTTGGCATGCAGATGCTCCGGGAGCATTTTCTGGTCTGCGGTTAGGATGCCAGAACCTTCCCTCTTCTGCAGTTGGGATTGCATTTGATGGCTCTGAATGGTCCTATCTGTAACCACTAGGCTCCTGAACATGAAATGAGCTGTCACTTTGCAAAGCTACATTGGTTCCCAATGTGGTCCCTATGGTGGGAAATAGCAGGTTGCAGGACATCTGAGTTAGTACCCAGGTGGAGCAGGGAACTGTCATTTTCTGGGCATCTACCAGGAGCCAGGACCTCATCAGCTCACTAAATCCTTACAACTGTCTTAGCATTCTACAGAGAAAAAAAAACAGAGGTTCAGAGAGGTTTAATGATGCGCTCAAGGTCACAGACGCAATTTGTACCTAGTATGTCTTACCTGCAACTCCCTTGCTCTGTTCACTTAAGCTTTCACCCAAGCTATATAAGTTGGTGGAAGGTAGGTCAAATTTTTTTAAGTTTTTAAAACACCATAGTAAAGAAAGTTAAATGGGTCTCTTTCCTGTAGCACTTCTGAGAGCCTTTGTTACGCTAATGATCACTGTGAAACTTCAAGAAGGCGTCTATGTTAAACAGTTATTGCCAAACACATTTGGCCAAAGCTAGGCATCTGGCCTACTTGATGTTTCAAGGAACACGCTTTGGGGCAAGCTGTGCATTCGGTCTCTTGAAAACTAAAAGCCAGAGCTCTACATTAGACAGCCTTGATTCAAACCTTGACTCCCCCACTTACTAGCTGGGTAACCTTCCTGTGCCCAAGTGTCCTCATTTGTAAAGCAGGGAGTTAGGATTCCTGCAATCCACAACGATTTATTGAGTTTTTACTAAGTCTCCAGACATGGAGGGCTGTAACAGTGCTTACCTCATAGAACGTGACTAAGATGGGAGTATATTGCAGGGGTTAGCACATTTTTTGTAGAAAGGGCCAGAGTGTAAACATTTTAGGCCCTGGGCCACACGGTCTCTGTTGCAATGACTCCATTCTGCTATCGTAGTGGGGAAAACAGCCAGCCATAGACAATAGATAAATGAATAAGTGTGCTGTGTTCCAATAAAACTTTATTGACAAACACTAAAATTTGAATTTCATATAATTTTCACATCACAATTATTCTTCAAAAATCATTTAATAATCATTAAGATTATTTATTTATTTTTATTTTTTTTGAGATGGAATCTCGCTCTGTTGCCAGGCTGGAGTGCCATGGCATGATCTCGGCTCACTGCAATGTCCGCCTCCTGAGTTCAAGTGATTCGCCTACCTCAGCCTCCTGAGTAGTTGGGATTACAGGTGCACGCCACCACACCCAGCTAATTTTTTGTATTTTTAGTAGAGATGGGGTTTCACCACGTTGGCCAGGCTGGTCTTGAACTCTCGACCTCAAGAGATCCGCCTGCCTTGGCCTCCCAAAGTGTTGAGATTACAGGTGTGAGCCACTGCGCCCGGCCTAAATTATTATTCTTTAAATATTTTTTTCAACCATTAAAACAATGTAAAAGTAATTCTTAGCTAGAGGGCTGTACAAAGACAGGCATTGGGATGGATTAGGCCCATGGGCTGTAGTTGCCAACGCCTGCTATATTCAATAGAGTCACTGTGAAGATGAAACGTGTCTACATAAGGCATAAAACAGTACCAATAAAATGTGCCATTCTTTCTACTTCGATAAGTTTTGCTGTGATGATACCAATCCATGTTGCATAGAACTAATGAATAACTGGCCAGGCATGGTGGCTCACGCCTGTAATCCCAGCACTTTGGGAGGCTGAGGCGGGAGGATCACTTGAGGTCAGGAGTTCGAGACCAGCCTGCCCAACATGGTGAAACCCTGTCTCTGCTAAATCCAAAAAATTAGCTGGGCGTGGTGGCACATACCTTTAATCCCACCTATTTGGAGGGCTGAGGCAGGAGAATCCCTTGTACCCAGGAGGTGGAGGTTGCCGTGAGCCAAGATTGCCCCATTGCACTCCAGCCTGGGCAACAAGAGCAAAACTCCGTCTCAGAAAACAAGAAAAACAAAAAAACCAAAAAACAAACCACTAATGAATAACGGTCAGAGGGCTGGGAACATAAACAAAGGTTGTAGAGTGAACTGTTGGTCCCACCACTTCTACTCACATGTGTCCCCATTTCCAGTTCACTCAGTCTCATCTAGGCCTAAGCTCCCACTCGGGATTTATCAATCTCTGCAGAAGAGGGGCGAGCCCAGCTGGGGTGTTGGCATTCCTGCCTCTGCTCAGCAGCCCACCAAAGTGGTCCCCATCTTGCCGGCCAGCACAGGCCACACGCGACACCACGACACGATTAATGGCATTAACAGCGCCGGAGGCCGCTGATTGTTCTAAGATGAATGGAAGCCACTTGCAATTCTCCCTCTTATTCCCCTATTAGTTTGCTGCCTTCGTGTGCATTGTCAGGGTGATTTCTACAAGCAGGAGTTGCTTGGAACTTCACAGTACAATTTATTAGAGGTTTCTGCCTCTTGGGAATGCCTTGGATTCACACATTTTCTAGATTGCTATAATTCCAACCAATAAGATAACTCTATTGGAGACTTCTCCAAACGGGTACAAATTCCTTTTAATGTGAAGAGGCAATGAATACAATTTATAAATCTGCCTGGCTCCCAGACACCGAGTGCTCCTCATTCTGGGGCTGCTGTGATGGCCGAATTACTCAGGCTGAAAAAATGATTCTCATCTAGAATTCACACCATGAGTGTGTTTGTGGCAGATCTAGGGGTTTGTACCTCAAACTTCTCTGTGCAAGAAGCCTGTGGCATTTATGCACCACATGAAAAGAATCCCATTCTCAATTAAGAAGATATACATGTGTGTACGTTATACGTGTTATTTACGCACAATCCAGCAACTAATGCTTAGTAAGCTTCTACAGTGTGATCACAGCAGATGCCGTGCACATCTCTACTTCTTCCATCAAGTTTCAACTTTTACCTTTTCAATAATAACAGGACAGTAAACGTCATTTTTAAAAAATCGAATGTTTAATGATGAAAGGCCGTATTCATTACAACACTGTTTGTAGACATAGAAACGTCAAGCAGGTGTCAAAAATCCCACTGGACTTTATTTACATGCAGGCTTTAACCAACTTTGCTCTTTGTTTTAGTACAGGAAAATTCATGAATTAAAACTTGAAAACACAATAAAACAATCACAAAACAAATTATCTTCATTTCCGGTGTCATCAGTGAAGCATCAGAATGAAAGTTCAAATAAAGTTTTTGCTTCCCGTTGTTAAAAACATGGTAACACACAACCCACCTCTGGGAGCACTGCGCCATGATTCCTTGGAGCAGAGAACACAGTAGGAGCACATACACCTCTAATCCCTACTTGACAACTGAGGGAAATGGCCCGGTCAGCTGACTTGCCCAAGGACACCCAGGCAGTCAGAGGTAGGAGTCTCACCTAGTTCTGTGGTTTCCAGGAATCATATCCATGTGGTGTTCTACTCTGTTATTTGAGAGCCCCCGGTTGACAGAACCAGTAGGACAGCTTGGGCAAGTAGGTCCCGGTCTGGCCTGTAGGGTAAGACACTGGCAGGCCTTCAGGTCTGGGGTTCAGGGCTGCATTTAAAGTTACAGTGCTCATCACTGGCCTCACTAAGAATCCCCTGGTCTGACCCTGTTTTGAACAGGAAGTTGAACTCTTTGAAGAGTTGGGTGTTGGATATTTAGTTTTCTTCCTTCCTGACTCCTCCGAGCTTCTCAGCTGGCCTTCTTGGATTCATGCAGTTCCACAATTGAAGTGTTGATTAAAAACTGCCTTGAAGGGTTTCCCAGTTATTTGGGGTGGGTTTCGTCCAGGGAAGGAATGGCAAATGGGTTGCACTTCAGGAAGACGTGCTAACAATGAGCTCTAATGAGGATTCTGAGTCTGGATTCAGCTGGAAAGAAGCGCTGTGACTGATTAGTGATGTCTGGCACAAGCTGGAGGTGGGTAGGGGGACGGTTGGGGTCAATGTCACTTACTCTAGGTCTAGGTCAAGAGCATGTGTAGGAATGGGCCAATTTCAGCCTGTGCCCTCCCCTCCACAAATTCTTCCCTGTTATAACCAGCACTGCACTGATGCACAATTGGGACTGTATAAATGCTTAGGGACTCGATGCCTTACAGTAAGCCCCCACCCAGCCTTGTAGTTAATGCCTGGAGAGAGGCACTATCAGGCAGAACATCACACCTGCATGTCTACCTTCACTCCGCAGGCTTCCAGACACATCCTAGGATCCTGTCTGAGAAAACCAGAGCCCTCCTGCAGTATCTAGTTGTCTATGTCCATTGTCCTCTCCTGACAGAAGCCCTAAAGACAGGCCGTGGGCTTCCTTCAGTGGTTAGCAAACAGAACCTTCTCGAGTTTTGATCCTAACACAAAGATAGCTCTAACCTTCCTTGCTATGGTTTGAAGGGTTAGGAGTGGCCTTCCAGAACCGCTGGGAGGTCAGGGGCGTGCTAGACCAAGGGCCTCCTGGACGTCCCTTATGTTCTCTTCACTGCCCAAGGTGGAGTCTGGCTGGTTTCCATTTCCACGCCGTAGGGCTATGAAATCAGAGAGCACAAGCCTGGGCCCTTGCTGGCTGAAGTCGTCATTCCACCCTTGATCAAGAATAATTGAGCAAGAGCTGCTTCCATGATCCTGTCACACTCTAGCCATGGGATTTCTCAATGGGGATCTGGACACTTGGTGTTAACACTAGAGTTTGGCTGAGGATTAGAGAAAACCTTTTTGCCTCCCTTTCCGTCCACACAACTGGAAAGAAACGACTCTTCCTTGTGCCTCCCCTGTAAAGACCAAGTGCTTGCTTTGGTCCACACCTGGTATGGGAGACAATTCCCATCCTCCTCCAAAGGATGGTACCAGTGCCACCAGCAGTGGGGGCCCTCACAGTGAACTCCTCAGGCACAAAAGCAAGCAGAGGGGCATGGGGTTAGCAGATCGCACGTCTGTATCCAAAATGGCCTGTGGGAAACATGAGAGACCCCATCCAATCCCTGTCCTTCAACCCTTCCAGATCCTTTCCAAGACTTCTGAGGGGCCAAACTTGGGTCACGTTCAGTACTAAAAAATGAGGACGAAGAATGGAACTTGCTGTTTTATCAGAACAGACCCATTTTCAACTCAACATCCTGCGCTATTTACACTCTCTTCCTTCCAGTGCTAGTTCAGGTGCAGACCCAGGACAAAATAATCGGGGATGGATCTTGACATGTTTTAAGTGGTTTCTTAATTCTTTGGAAGGTTATAGACTGGTATGCCTCAGCACCTGCAGCAGCAGGCAGGAGTCTCCCTCGCATGGGGCAATAAGTGAGCTTGTGTGGCTTTTAGGTTAGTAACACACTTTATTCACATCTCTGAGACATAGTTGACCTAAATCCAGTTGGCCAGAAACAGGGGTTGTCTTTTGAGGATTTTCAGTCCTCAATTAGCATATTTTAGCATCATCTCCATTTTCTTTCCTTAAATCCCATTTCCTTCCTTTACATCATTGCAATCTATCTCAAAGGTTACACTTAGGAGACAGTTCATTTTCTTTCAAATTTTGGTGATTCTTTTGCCCCATTATGTCTCCTTTTGCATCTTTGAGGTATGTACTTAAGATACCCAGCTATTTCAGCTTCTGATAAACAAGTTCTAAAATACAAAGTGAGCTTCCTATTCACATTGGAAATATTCCACAGATTAAAAATTAACTATTATTCTAAAGGCTAAAATCTATACACACAAAAATAAAGATTTCCAATGTAAATTTTACTATTTTATTTGTGAAAAAACTACAAGCAGAATTCATAAATAGACATTTCTATTTAAAGCAGGAAAATGATAAAGTGGCTTCTAATAACATAGTCGTGCACATGCCAGTAACAGGAATATATTAACATCTTTTATTTGCTAGACAAAGAGCAGTGTCCAATATAAATTTCCCCCAAAACATTTAAGACCTGTGAATTTTTGACCAGTTCACAAAACCACCAACTGACACTTTAGCATGAAGAAAAAAACAAACCTAACAGACTGTCAGCTCTAAAGACATTACAGAGCAGAAACTTCCAAAAGCGTTATACAAGCTGTCTTTCTGGGCAAATGAAAAATATAGCTCGTATAATACATTAACAAAAATTCACAAGATAAGATTGTTTTGACATACTTAACAAGCATTCTCTATTTGTCTCCAACAAACAAAGCTAAGGAAATAATGTAACCATCTTTACACAGTAAATTAAGGTTACAAGTCATACACAAGAACAGAACTGCTTGCGCATTAAAAACTGTTCAGCTCCATTGTCATACTCTAAATGTTGGCTCTTAAACCATTTTCGGTTACATACAAGCAAAGGTTATTATATATTCAGCAATTAATAAATTTTCAATAATTTAAGATACGGTAGCTTAAAAAAGTAGACTGAGAATGGTCTTGATAAGGCAGGTGAAACATCTTAGTGGAACTAAACTCACAGAAGCTTCTGCCAATGTTTTTAAATATCCAGATTGAAACTGAAAGGTTTTGATTAGAATATTGTGTGGGTGTCAAGATGTCTTTTTTTTTGTAACTGCATGACTCAAGCAGAGCAAGTCAGGTAAGCTCTGTGTGCGCGCACACGCACGAGTGTGAAAGATTGCGTGGTATTAAAACAAATGGAAACTTGCAAGCGTAACACTGTGCTTTTTGTTTGTTTAACCTGCTTTCTGTGCCACTGAATACCAAGTATTTCTGGTCCTCTTTTAATGTATATCTTTATAATCTACACTAGTGTTTTTACACGCTGCCTACTAATTGTAGGGCATACTGCAGACACAGGAAGTTACAGGAATTCCATTTCCAGAATACATGCCTGAGGGATGTCATCAATTTCCAAAATTAAAAGTCTATAAAGTACCTACTACCTCACTACCCAACAGAATACACCACAGCAGCTAAAGGGCTGGCCCTGTAACATCTGATTGCTTAGATAACTCCCACTGTTAGCTGCGGTTTCTACAAAGATGGTAATTTCATGCCACTTGTTCTAAAGCAATCTTCTTCCCCTTCCTTCACCCCTCCCCATTCTTTAATTTATCACGGAGGCAAAACTGAAAAACCAAAACATTGGCATGAATGAATTAGCAGCCTATGAGTAGCTGGTTAATCAGCTTTTTCCACTAATCTATGGGGTCCAATCACTTTACATGAAACTAGTTTTTGAAAAAGTACACAGTGTGTCTGAACAAAGTGCATACCAACAGTTATTGGTTCAATAAGCAGTGCAACCTACATGAGTTTGGTGGCATTTAAGTTTTTTCAAAAAGTTAAAAACAGCAATTTCTTAAACCTCTGGAAAATAAATATGGCTGACTAATTTACCCTCCCTGAGACCCTTAATAAAAGGAATATTAAAACTTTAGAAGGAATGTCTTTGCAATATCCCACCAATATTAAAATGTGGATTTAAAATTCATAGTCAAATCACTATGTATTATATATTCTGATGCTTATAGAAAGCATCTGATTTCCTTTGGTTCATTAATAAATACTTTAAAAATGTATTTAAAAAGATAAGCAAAGCTTGCATCCCAGACACAAGCATTATTTTAAAAAGGGGGGAACATTGTCCATGCATTTGAGAATAGGACCACAGCAACAAATGGCACTGCTTTATAATCTATACCTTTGAGAAAAGAATTTAAATTATGGTACATTAGTGACTACAGAATAGTTTTAATGTAAATGTGAAAGGAACCTTTCCTGTTGGCTACTCAATTCAAGCTGTTAATTTTTTTATTTGTTGCCTCCACAGACAGAAATTACTGCTATTATTAAGCAAACCAGGTTTTTAACACCAAAATGTGGTGCTTCATTACAAATCAGGCTGCCCTCCCGTGAGTCCCTAAAGGTCAAATAAAGAGAGGTAACCTCAAATTCTCATGCTTGAAATGTCTCTGAAGTACTACAAACTCTGTATCTAAATGTAAAAGTCAAATAGAAGAGAGACCCCACATCCAAACAAAAGCAAAACAAAATTTTAAAAAATTATTTTAATAAGGAGAGGTGGAATCTTATTAGTGGTCTTTGATTATTTTTTTTTTTTTTTTTTTTGCAAGACAGTAAAAAGAGTGAAGAGAATGAAATAGAACAGTTTACTCAAGCTATCTTTATGTCCAGGAAGAAAAAAGATTACATGCTGCTCGCAGTAAGTACGAGCTTTCCCTGCAACTCTGGCTGCAGGCGCGCAAGCCGTTCACCACTGGAGTTCCTACCACAGCAGGGGATTGAGAAATGTCTCCAAACACTGAAAAGCTCCATGTCAGGACTGGATGTGTGGTTGATAACCTTTGTTCAGTAAAACAAATCATAGTAGGTTTTGAGAAGGAAAAAAAGAATGCTCACAACTGAATCGGTAGAGTGAAGGTTTATCAGACAAAGGGACATGAGGCAAACAAATTTTAATTACAGAAACCACCACTGCAATGTCATGTAGAAAGGAGAAACAAGGGACTAGCTTCCTGGATGGACCAAAAATACAGTTTATAGACTGTTTCAATCCTAAAACTAAGACAATTTCTAGATTTACCTCAGACATGAGTAGAGGTCTGGAAAATGGATGGAATTCAAGTTACAGAATACCATATTTTCATGAGTGCTTATGTAAGAACAGCAAATGATAACATGTAACCGTAATTTACACGAATACTTGGCATTCTGGAGCTACTTTAGTTACTTTTGAATGATCAAAGCCCTGCCCAACTAAACCACTTGTGATTTGTCAGTTATTCCATTGCAAATGCAGGCTATCTGGAGCAGTCTTTAAATTTGAGATCACATTGTTTAAAAAATATATATTTTTATATCGTCCAGTACTCTTTAGACAGATGAGAGAGTCAAGTTCCCACATGGATTGGAACATACTTCATATAAGACTGATTTTAATTAAATTTCAGCACTTTCATAGAAGGGACTGTCCCAGATCTGTAACTGTTCAATGTTGTATTCACTTCACAGTGTATCAAGCACCAGCGTTGCCATGGATTGGTTTCAAATAACCCTTTATATATAATTTTATATTTATATATATATAGTTATATCAAAACTGATAGTACATAGTATAACTGGAAGAAAGAACTAAACTTAAAAGGATATGCTGAAAGGATGGAGTTTGTGAACACAATAAATAAAAGTTCCCTCCCCCTCCCAGCCCTCCCCACCGGCAACAAAACAAAAACAAAAAACCAGTTGTAATGTACATGGAAAATTGTGCACAGCAGATTTTTTTTTTTTTATAAAAAGTAGATTCAGGAGCACATCCAATTATAAATGATTGTTAGGAAAATCATATAAAACAATGGAATACATAAAAGTGTCAAGAGTAATCGTCAGGGTGCGAAATTCCTTGGTGGCCAGATGCCCATGGCAAGCAGAAATTATCCTGGCAGCATCACTAAGAGGTCGATGTCCACAGAAGATTCTCCAGGGATGCAAGCAGCATGGGCAGGTGGAGGTTTTGAATTTCATACCCTGATTCATAGTTTTCACAATTCCATGTGCAATTTCAGAAAGATTCATCATTGACTGCTGACATGTCGCCCTTTGGCGTGGAGGAACGGGAGGAGCCCTTGTCTGTGCTCTCTGACCCCGAGCTGCTCTGGTTCTGCTGTTCTGACCCTGCACTGGAGGTCACTGTGGATGAGGATGTCGATGAGGAGCGAGTCTTTTCCTTAAAGTCTGTGATAATGACGGTGACGTTGCCCACAGTTACTGCCAACTGCTGTGCAGTGCTCCTGTCCACGTTTTTCAGCCGGGGCCTAGAAGCAACACCACAGGGGAAGAGCCAATTAAGTAAGTTATGGATCAAAAACAGCTTCTGGCAGAATATCATCAATACGCACAAGACTTCATGACACTGTGGCAATGAATCCGAACTGCCTACCACACATGCCAAAGCCGACTACAGAGTGTGCTACTCAGTTTTAGCAATAATCCAACAAGCACGGATAGCAAAGCTTGGGACCAATGTAAAATTACTATTATCTGTTTCCTGTTCTGGCCACAGTATTTAAAAAAGAGAAAAAGTCACCAGCCCCACCCATACTTAGCTCTTCACCTTCTTAGCCTACAAACCCAAGGCACAAAACCACCCTGGATTCATGATTACGATTAAGTAAATCAGAGCAGTGATTTAGTATGTCATTCTAGTTTCCAAGTACCTTGAGGTGTGATTTGTTTCGCTGGTCTTTGTTGTAGCATTTGCAGACTGTATGCTGTTTGCTTCACTAGGAGGATCTTTCAGAATGTCAGACTTTGGTCTAAATGAGGGAGATACAAAACAAACAAACAAACAAAAAAAACAGGCATTTAGAAGATATCTTGAATTCACTTGCAAAGTAATATCCTGTACTTAGTTAACCAGAAACTTACTTGGTTTTCTTGTTGGTATTTTTCTTGGTAACACTAGGACTAATTTCCTTGTCTTTCTCAGGTTTCTCTTTGTCCTGCTTTTCAACTTTCTCCTTCTTCTCCTTTTTAGGGGGTGGTGGGGTGGCATACTGTTGTGCCACTTGTTGTGCCACCAGCTGAGAATTGATCCGAGGTTTTCTGAAATGTTCAAAAAATATATATCACTATTTGCTTTATAAAGTTTTTAAACATTTTTATCTGGTCTCACATTCCTTGGGTATTTTATTACTGATATCTGCCAACTCAAAACTAAATTATAAGGTTCATGTTATTTCTGCATTATTTTGTATGGATTATTTAGTATGGATACTAAACTTTTCCTTTTTCAAAGGAAATGATACATTCACATGTGATAACACTAACATACACATCCCTGTGCAGTAAAATAGTTTTTGAGCCAATAAAACATGACAGTGTTTCTAAGAGTGCTGAGAACACTACTTCTTTCAAGCCGTCAAGATTATACTGACTGACAGCTTTCAAGTACTCCTGCTGCAGAGGGTTAATCTCATTTTATTAAATGGACACTGGTAATCCCTTGAAAAGAGAATGAAATTAGAAGTGTGACATTCACTCCTCAATCTAATTATTCCAACTTGTTCTGTTCCCCTGCAGCTCTGTGATTGGCACAGACAACACATAGAGAGCAACAAAGGTAACTATGGCTCATACTAGCTCCCAAGGGAGTGAAGACTGAAAGTCACTGTAAAAAAATCATACACAAGTGACACATTCATTGTGCCATAAACCATTATGTCTGTGCCAATCTCCAACTGACACTGGCTCTTAGCACTATTGTTCACAAATTCTAAGAGATGCCAAACACTTTCACAATGCATGACCATTCACAGCCCTAAATGAGAAAGGGAGACAGGAATGCCTATGCTTTATTTCTAAATAATATTAACTCTCCAAGACATTCCCATCTAGATAGACATTTACAATATAATAAACTCTCCAAGTTTAAGATGGAAAACAAATATACGAATGGTTCATTAACAAAGTAAAACAACTGGCTGCCACAATGTAATAGTCCCCTTCAGAACCGATAGCTCCCTCTCCAATTCCCCAGGATGGAGAAAGGGACTGGAGAAAAATAACTGGACAGACCAAGTCTGACTCATCAATGGGAGAGTCAGCGGTGGAGGATTAGAAAACAAAAATCTAAAAACAAAACCCAAAACAAAGCTGCTGCATTCTTACCTAATGCTGCTATTCTTTTTTGTTTTGAGACAGTCTCACTCTGTTGCCCAGGCTGGAATGCAGTGGCACGATCTTGGCTCACTACAACCTCCACCTTCCAGGTTTGAGCGATTCTCCTGATTCAGCCTCCTGAGTAGCTTGGTTGGACTGCAGGCGCCTGCCACCATACCTGGCTATTTTTGTATTTTTAGTAAAGACGGGGTTTCACCATGTTGGCCAGGCTGGTCTCGAACTCCCGATCCACCCGCCTCGGCCTCCCAAAGTGCTTGGGGGTAATATGGTGTGAGCCACTGCACCTGGCCAATGTTGCTATTCTTTACCAGGAAACAAAATGAGAGTCACTAGGTGCATGATATGTTGGCTCCCTAAGCTAAGTGTGGTTACTGGAGCACCTCTTGGGCAGTGGCTATGATACAGCTGACAGGTGACGCAGGAGAGGTAGGGACAGATGCTTATGCCATGACAGTATCAAAGTTAATCTGAGCATTGAACTGGGTATATTCTGAGTGTTTCAGTACTGGTCGTGGCCTCTAGCAATACAAGTTTTGGTCATGGGATGGCATACCACGAAACCTTGTATTACCTGAGCCTGGATCACAAGTGACAAGGGATGGATTCAAACACATGTGAAAGCACCCTGGAGAAGGGGCATGTACTTACTCTAGGCCCCTCTCTTCCAAGAAACACACAGGACCCCCTAGGTGAAAGGTGACTTTCCCTTTTTCACAGATTCTAACAGCAGCAGTAGCCATTCTAACACATTTTACTCCTTTTAAAGAGGAAGTATGATTGTGTTAATACTTAAAAAAAAATGACCGCTACAAAACATTGCACATGCACTCACTGGGGCCACAGATTAGATGTCTAGAGGGATTACCAAACAGTTTAAATTAGTGCTAAAATAAACTACCATACATTAACCAATATTTAGGTGTTAAAATGAAATAATGTAGCCAGAGTTAATAATGTGAATAAACCACTCAAACTTTATGGGAAACTACACCCTGATGAAGAGTTTCAATTAAGCCAGTATGGGTACTTTACGCCAGAGAAATCTGATCCAAGAACAAGAGAGGACAGCTGAACACCAATTTAAGACTATCCTAAACACAGAGAGAATCAAAGGTAAGCCACGTGCTTGGCCCCAGAGAAATCTCAGCCTAATCACCAGGCCCATCCAATCTTGAGACGGAGGAGCCTACCTTACTCCAGGACAACCTATAAAAGTTGTCACTTAACACATTACACTGTAACTGTCAATCAACTGTGTACTACTCCACAGCAAAGACCACATTTAATCATCTTTGTCATCGTGGCATTAAGCAGTGCTAGGTACTCAATAAAATTATCTACTGGATGAATAAATGAACACTGCAGAGAAAGACAAAGTAGGATGCAAATTGAGAAAAGGGCCCAAGCTTTGGAAATCGAGGTCGCTGGTGACTTTTAGGAGAGCAGGCTATGTGGGATGAGGGCGGCAAGAATTAAGAGCCTGAAGGTTGTCAGACGAAGAGCACAGGAGCTCTTCCTTACCTCAGAACTGTGGTGCTGAATTAAGAGATTGCTCTGCTTATTACCCAAGCAAACTGAGAAGAATTTCTGTAGGAAATAGGGTCTTGGATGATGCTGTACAATCAAAAAGGGAGAACGATAGAGGGCATGCAAGACAGAGAGGTTAAATCACTGGTCAAAGGGAGAGAAAGAACACAATCAAACAGAAGTCCTGGGGAAAGAAATGGGGACACTTTCTGCTGAGACATAAGAGAGATGCTAGGTAAAGATAAAGTGACATTTTTACTAGAAAGATGACAATCTGAGGACGTTCTCTCAGTTGGCCTCTCCCTTCACAGGGAGGCAGGCAATATGGCAGAGGTAGTGTAGGGGTCGTGAGCAGAATTTGGAAATGAGAAATCAGAAAAGAGATTAAATGAACCACGGAGATCGAAAGCAGTGCCTGGTTTGGACAGTATAGGAGAAAAGAGAGCAAGTGATGAACAGAGAGAGAAAAGGAAATTTACTCGCATCTCACAAATTACCCTTAATAGCATGAATATAGTATGCCTAAAAGAAGCAGGTCTCCACTACCCAGAGATCATGCTTATCCAAAATGACTTATTCCCTAAAACACGGCCCGTCTGCCAGGACTATTTATTGGCACACTGTAGACAACATGTAAGGTGCCCTCTGGATGGTTCTGCCACTGCTATCATTCAACAGTTCAGCAAATGCACGCTCAGAATTCTTCAGTGCATGCAACACAATCTGGTATCTACAGGATGAAGTCTGTATGTACAAAAGGTAAATTTCAGCCATAAGTCCTCCTAAAATGCAACATATAAGCACAACTGGGTGAATGTCTCACTTGCTCCTAAGAAAATGTTTGACTAGTACGGTGAAGCGTTTCTCCCTCTGTTGGTCAACAAACCAAAACTTCACAAATGAAAAGGCCGCAAGACTATTTGGGATCTGGTTATTACCAAGAAAAATGGGGCATCTGCTAAACTACCTGTGTTGTTTGAAAACTGCTGCTGTGTTCTGAATGTCTTCTATGTGTCCTTAAATGACAACCTAACTCTTAAACCATCACTTGCCCCCCTTCCCCACCCAAACCCCTCAACAACAGGTGAGCATTTATCATCTTAATTAGCATAACTGCTTTTTCAAACTAGTTCTCCCAATAAATGCCACAGTACTCCTAGAGTTGGGGGGCAGGGGATGAGGTAGGGAAATTCACCTTTTGGAAGGCGAAGGAAAAGAAAAATACAAGGGCGACCAGGCTGAGCCCTCCCATATAAAGATACTGCACCATCAGAGCTGTTCTGGCAGCTCTTGAAATCTGTCCCCTCCCCACTTCTGGGCTAATACTCTCTTCGCTGCGTGGCAAGTGGAAGAATGAGAAAGTCCAATTTCCATTGAGAGCTATGCACACTCCCACATTCCACTCCTGGGATGCTGTGCCAGGCTCTCCAGGTTGGTTAAACTTTACAAATGTACCCAACATGGGAGACAGGTAGAACCTTTTCAAAGCTATCACAGGACAGGCACATCAAGAAGTCAGAGTCAGCACAACCTCCCCTCAAGGAGGAACTGTCATCTCCATTTTACAAATTAGGAAGACTGAGGAGCAGAAAGAGTTAAGAAATTCATCCAAGGTTCAGCTCCATCTGAACTCTTCATGGACTCCTCTTATCTTCAGGTATCCTTAAACACTCTACAGGTATGCCTTTGAAGAGTACAGCCTTGCGTGTGTGTCAGGGGTGGCAATGTGAGATGAAAAGGGTGATGAGGGTACTAGGGGTTGAAAAACTCAGGTCCCCAAGTTACAGTTTAGCTGGACTCCTCCCTGAGAACACCACTGCCACCTGTTAGCCTCACCGTGCCTTACTCCGGCAAGAAGGGGACTACTTGGTTGTCCTTAAGAAAAGAAAAGGGGGCAGAGGGAACAGGCAAGAATGTTTTCCTTGCTTTCCACTGCCTTCAGAACATTCTCTGTAAGGAATGAACACCCATATTATGATATTTAACACTGCTGATGAGTGAGAAACAGTGACTTCCCACAAATTCGCATTGCTTAATGAAGTCTTCTAAGTGTCATACAACACACTGTAAATAGCACTCATTTAATGGGCAAAACTTTCAACATGTTGTGGCAAGTCATTTCTTCAATACGAAGCTGACAGTCTGAGTCTCCGAGATCATTCAAGTTTCCCCAACTAACGTTAAATAAGCAGTTAAACACCTTCACAATACAGTGGTAAATATTAGATCAGAGCCCATGGCCTACAACTTTTGGTGTCTAAGTCTCAAATTAAAACCAATCAATCATCACCACCGCCACCACCAATCTCCAAAAAAAAAAAAAAAAAAAGACCAGAGATTCAAGATAGTAAACACAGTTTCCCTCATAAATTTAGCAAACAAGCTTTTTGTATCTTCTTCACGACTATATTTTCTTATGACAAGGGTGTCTTCTTGAAATATTATTTTACAGGTTTATTGTTGCCATTTTAGTAGCATGTAAGTGAAAATGTGCTATGAAACTTCAATAATAGACATCATCAGGAAAATATTTATTTGCATTTAAACAGCTAACATTTTAGAAAAGAGTCCATTCTATAAAAAGTGAAGCAGATCTTTATCTGGGGCATTCTTAGTGTCTGGAAAGGAAAAACTTCAGAGAGTTCAAATGTACACGAGCACAAATGAGAACAGAAAACAAGACACCTTTTCTGGATTGCTTTGGTATGTGTACCGATACCACTTTCAGGGAGCACAGGCAAAACAGTTATTTTTTAAAGAGGCATTTCCCCCGTGTACTACTCTTGTTTTCCTTTTCCTCTTGTGCAACCTGAGATCTTACTGCTCATTTCTCATATACTTCTCTGGATCTCAGCTACCACAACGAGCAACGAGATGACAAAGCCATCTTCTTGTGATTCAGGCAATAAAGAGCAAGAAGAGTCTCTAATAAATTGTATCTTTTCCTTGATTATGTGTCCAGCTTTTCATAAACTATCAATCATGTGTCCATTGTGCTCACTTTTAATTCCACCTGGCATTTCACTTTTCGATTAAAATACCCACAGGTTGTGGAACTAAGGCAATAAACCCATCCATCTCAAACAAAAGGTACTTTACAATTAAGACAGTTCCTTACAACCTACAAAATGTCTTCATCAAATCAGCTTACATCGAGCCCTTGAGTTCTTCATATGCTGCTTTTATGTTCCCCCTAACCCTTCCTTGCCTTGGCAATCTATTAGTCTAAGAATTAGCAACTTCAAAGAATTTAGCAACTCTGGGCAAGTCACTCCACTGAATGTACTCTTTATCAGGACTCTTTATGACAGGTCACATTATGATACTGTAATTAAAAGGAGCCTTCTCACATGACCTGTTTTCCTGTCCCTACATCCAGAAGGTCATATACATGTACACTGTACAGACATACACATGTGCACTGGATTGGCTAGGACAGATTTTACCCCATCCAATAATGACTGAATTTTTATATTACTGATGTCCCAAAATGCATATATCCCAGGTTGGAACCTACCGAAGTATACAACTCGGCTGTTATTCTTTAACACCTGCTGACTAAAACATTCTAAAAACAAAATAGGAATGGTAGTAAAATCCAACTGCAGGAAACTAGGTGGGCCACATGTGTGAAAATGCTTTATAAACTGAACACAACTTTTTTTTTCTTTGCAAAAGTACCTTGTTAAAGACATACTGAGGCTAAATCTTTGTCTGGACTTGTCTACGATAATGTATTCCAAGTTGTAAATAACCAAATTGCAAATATGTTTGTGGAATACAATCCATTTTTAAGTTGGGCAACATATGTATTTACTTCTAAGGAAAGCAGTGTTAAAGTGTGAAAGCACCTGAGTTGTTTTATCCCAACAGCACTGTCCAGTAAACAGTATTGGTCTCTGGCTTTGATGATTAATAAAATTTGTTTTCTGTTCACTTAACCCATACAGTCTGTTCCATTGTATTTTTTATATACCAAGGAACCTATATGACCTCATGACTTGACTGAAGCCAACCATCATTATAATATGGATAATTAAAAACTCAACTGTCACTTTACCAGGATCATACATTGCAGGACATTATTAATTTCCCTCTGCTTCCCAAACAGTATTGTTTTTTTGTAGTTCTTTTTTTTCTTAAATAGTACTTTCCTCTTTCATGTAAACACTTTTCTTCAATTTCTCAAATCCTTCGACCCATCTACAAGGAGCTACTAGGTGACCTGAAGGGGGTCTTAGTCCCATTCTAGGTTACTCTTTCCCACACACATCCTTGACTCAAGAGAATCACTCTGCTCTGTATTAGAGAACTAAAACTTCCCTCAAATTTGATCCTATCAGAATTTCAAAACTCAAGTCATCCCCTTTCTCCCTGATCTTTCCTTCTGTCATCTTCACAGGTAATAGGGAAACGGAGTAGTATAAAGGAAGAGTATAGACTTTGGAGTTAAGACAGCCTTTGGACTTTATCCACACCTGCTACTGAGCTAAGGTAAATTACCTGAAATGAGAATGAGGCCACACCTATTTTCACAGGGCTGAGGTCAGGATGAAATGAGGACAAAATTAGGTACCATTCACTTAGCTCTTGCAACAGGACATGTAGAGAGATATTCCACAAGACAATTCCCTGTACAAGTAATACATACATTCCAAAGCACTACTTTTCCAGCCGTAGATGTGTCTGCCACCCTTCTTCAGATACTGGAAGGCAAATGGAAAGATTTACAAGTGAAAGGAGCTGGTAAGTCTGCGCCCTGGGAAATGGTTCTAGAGACATAAATCCTTCGCATATGTTAGCATCCTAAAGTTAATTATGCTGTCTAACAGCAACAGCAGCACTAAGGAGCCTCACTAACATAGCTGCCAGTTTTTCTGCGTATTTCGGAGAGAATTTTGGTTTTGCAGAAATCCCTTTTAAAAGAGGATGCCTTTAGGGAAGGCCACTGAACTTCAATTGTAAAATATCCACACATGGTGTTACACAAACTCTCACCAGATACTGCTTGGTTAGAAATAACTGGCTCCACACGACTAACAGGTATCTTTACCTTAATAAACAGCAGATTCTGAAATGTTCTCCTTCACCTTAAATTTTCATTTTGGATATTAAAATGTCTCTTATGCCCTGAAAACAGACTTTAACTACCTGAGCACCAATAGGTGAAAGCACCGTAACTTTTCTGCAACTCAGGAACATATATTCAATAAATAAAAAGAACTAAAAGTGGTTCTGATTTTTGGAAACAAAAGACCTATTTTATAAACCAATCTGGCAGCAACAGACAGTTATCTCAGCCCAGTGGGTCTCAAAGTATTGATCCAGAGACTCTTGGGTGTCCCCAAGACCCTTCCAGGAGGATCTACAAGACAAAACTATTTCCACAATAATTTTAAAACATTACTTGCCTTTTCATTTTCCTTTCTTCAAGAGTTTACAATGCAGCTTTCCAAAGCAATGACATCTGACGTCATTGGTCTGAGAGCTTGTATATTTCCATGTTTTAAACATTTCTTAGTTCTAATTTCTGATACGGGAAGTATCTATATATATAACTAAGATGAACAAAAGCTCCTTGGGGTCATTAATACTCTTAGGAAATGTAAGGGATCTTCTGACCAAAACGCTTGCAAACGGCCACCGCAGCACCATGCCCAATACTGGACTGTGCAAGTCTACTGCATCGCGGGCAAAGAAAGAGACAGTCTTGAGAAGGTAACTTCTCAGGCTTAAATTTTTCCTCAAAAAAACAAAACAAAAAAAAGAAGGTGAAAAGGAGCATTGACTCGAATTGCTGGAAACATTTTGAGAATAAAGAAAAATCTTAAACTTATTTAAAACTAGAACAACTCTCTAAAAATGGGCTTCGAGTACTTAAGCCATAGACTATAATGCTGGCTTCCTTCCATTTCCTCTCTCTTGTGGTGCCTATAACAAATTTTATTCGTGGTTATTCAAATATTTTAAGTAAATGTCCCATAATAAATAAGCCCTTCAGCTCTCCCTCAGCCCTTCTCCAAAGAACATGCCCACTGACAAAGAATGTGTTAGTTCAATTTATCACGTAAAGAAAAAGATTTCCTAAATTGTTTTGAAAATGGACTTTTGTTTGAAAATGGTTACATTTCTTTTTGATACCTCCATTCCATATTTTCAACATAAACTTTCTTCTATGGTAAAAGACTTTTTTTGCTTGCTGATTATCTGGTTTAGTAGTGCTGTAGGATCACTGTCCCATTTGAGGCAGTGTGAGCACCACGGCAGCTGCTGGTACTGCAACTACAAGAGAGGTAGAGGCAAACCTCTCCTCACCTGCCTCCTTGGAAGGAGCAAAGCCTACCTGGACACCCAACCCTACTCTCTGCGTCAGAGATGTAACATTTCTTGTGCCATCTCCTCTCCCATCTCAACTCTATCTCTGGCATTTTGGCTTATGCGATCTCCTCTCCATCTCAGTTTCACCTTTAGCATTTTGACTTACGTTTTCAAACTCATGCAACAGACTTCTCCCAGTGCCTACTAAATGTAGAGGCACAGTGCTGTGTATTCTGGATGTGTGTGGATACACGCTCATTTTCCAAGGGGCCGATGGGATAATAACACAAGAGACTCCAACAGCCCAGACCTCTGGCGAGGTCCTTTGTCTTACATGGGGTCTGCCCTGTCACACAAGCTGGGACACAGGCCTTTAGTGGTAGAGATATCTAGACCTCCCCTTTTCACTTTCATATTATCTTGGAACCCTAAGTCTGTGACTTTGGATGAGTTAGATAATCTCTCCAAACTTCAAGTTCTTTGTTGATAAAAGGATTAGAGTAAGTGATCTCTAAGGTTCCTTTAGCTCAGACACTTGTATTGAGTATTTAATAAAGACACTTAAATAAAGTATTTGTTCTTGAGGTGCAGGCAAGTTTGCAGTTTATGTTCTTAGTAACTCATTCAAGTCCGAAATAAACATCATGCTTTTACAAACCTTCTAAAACTACATACTGTTGGTTTAGTGACTTAGACATGACTGCTCCTTCCCCGCCACCCACCAAAAAAGATACACAAATGTACCTTCTAAACCATGTCAATGATTAAGATGAATCCCAGAAACTAAGAATCTCTAAGCAAATGCTATTTTCAGATGCAAATAAATTTGACAAATCAAGTCTTTCTCCAAGAAACATTACACTAAAGCAATCCAATCTGCTCTGCAAATTACTTTAAAGCTGTCAAAGATCCTATTTAAAATGCATTTAACGATTCTGAAATTACAGTTCATGTCACAAACATGGGTACTTCCAAAACACAAAAGAATTAGTAATTCATCAAAGAAAGAAGCTACTAGATAAGCCACAGTCTAACAAATACTAAACTAGCTGCCCTCCTCAGGTGTGAGTTTCCTCACCTATCAAATTAAGATTCCAACTAAACTAAGGTAAACTTTTAAGGTTTCCCTCAAATCTAACCTTTAAAACAAAACAAAAACTTAAGTAATACAAAATAACAGCCCTGACAAATTCATTCATGGTCAAGAGATCTATTATAATTACTGGTTATTAAAACTTTATTGGTTTTAATACTTTAAAATGTTATTACTGGTTATTAAAAATTACATTACTGGTTATTAAAAACTTTCTTGAAGCCCATTATCACTTCAGAAGACTCTCAACACTTCACTAACTGCAGTGTTCACAATCTGAGCATTATTGATTATTTTGGGCCCCTTAGTTCTTTGTTGTGGGGGCCGTGCTATGCATTGGCGAATGTTTAGCAGCCCACTAGACGCCAGCAGTACCACACTCTCTCAAGTTGTGACACCCAAATTTGCTTCTAGACATTGCCAAATGTTCCCTGGAAGGAAAAAATCACTCCCAGGTGAGAATCACTGGGCTAATGTCTAACGTTAACTACAGGAATACAATATAAGGGAGTAGAAATTTTTGCAAATATGGGAGGGCAATCTAAAACAAAGAGAACTTCTCTCATCAGTTTTATCAAAAGATGCCTGCCCAAGACATCTGCAATGTGTTCATTGTTCTGACTGGTAGGCCAGGCTATAAAAGGGTAGGACATAGGGAGAGGAATCCCAAGAACACTGAGTATACTGATACTATGTTATCTCTGTATTGAGATGTGTGATCACTCTTCTCCTGCCAGATGGAAAGACAATTTGATGGTCCCTATACAATTACAACTGTGACAATACCATCTATACCTCAAACATTTCTGGTAATCATGGTCTTTATTTCCAGTAACGGAAGGAAATGGCTTTTGAGTAAGGGAAGAAAAGTTTTAGGGTATCTTTATTTACTTGGTCAAATGGCTGAAAAATCAGATATTAATAAAGGTGAAGACGACTCTAAAATTACTGGTATCTATTACTAGAGACACTAGCACTGAGTCTGATAATTCCTTCAACTCCATAAATATGGTTTTGTTTTTCTGGGGGCTGGGAGGGCACAGATTGGCACAGGTAGATGACAATTCGTACGTCAATTTAAATAGTGATCTCTGAACTTAAAATGTTGGTCATATTTTTTTACATATGGATGAAATATTTATCAGAATAACCAGAAAACATTTGCATAAGAATAGAAACTTGAATAAAGAAGAGAATCTTTGAGGCTGTCAGTAGTCACGTATCACATCCTAACACACTCAAGCATGCACATCTTAGTGCCTAAGAAATTAATCATGCAAGTATCAAAGTCCACTCTAACTAAAGAAAACATTTGTCGGAAAATCTTAATCAATTCTTTCATTCTGTACTCTTTTCATTTTGAAGGACCAGAGTGGTGTTAATAACTACTTCTACATAAAAATTCTGCACAGCTCCCACTCATGAGTACTTTTCTTACCTAAGCAAAATTCTCCAAAGAACTTTCCAAACAAGTGTGGTGAAATGATGTTAAAAAAAAAATGTATCAGAATGTGTATCATCTAATGTCTTCAGCATCAGTTAGTTAAGACGATTACGTTCAGAACACACCGCTGGGAATACTCTAGTATGTGAATTCTCCCCCCACCCTCATTCTTCACATGCCAAGGAAACCTCAGAAAGGACTCTCTAATCTCCTATCCCCACCTTTCATTTTCATTGTCTTCCTCCATGCTAGTTCAGGACCTAAATATCTTCCTATGTCCATAAGATCCTATCTGGTCTTTTCTAGTCCTCCCTCTAGCTATCATACATGATGCTAAAGACCAAAGGGCCTAAAGAGAAAAGGTGAATTCCCTTTCCTCTGCTTAAAACTCTGCCGCAGCCTGCTGCTAACAGAATGAAATCCTAACTCCCTAGCATGATATATAGACTCTTCACAAGTTTCTTCAGACATTTCTCTCAGCTTGCTTTTTCTCCACACTCACTGTCCCAGGTCTCTCATTCATAGGAACTCAAGCCACACTAAACTTTATCTTATCTTTTTCAGAAGATACCTTTTACTACTTGTTTTATTTGCTTATCTATTCCTTAGCTTCTGCAATGCCCTTTTTCTCCATACTTCTTCTGTAAAACCCATACCTGCTTTAAGACCCAGCTCAAATGCCGCTTCTTTCCCAACTTCTCCTGGCAAATAAGTTTGTGGTCAGGTTTTCAGTGTTCCCAAACCACCCTGACATACGTCCACCACTTAAAGTTCTACATTATAATTTACCACCCTGCTTGTCTATGTCTCCCTACTAGATGATTAACATCTCTGAGACAGTACCGATCTTTTCAATGTTATGTATACTCCCCAAACTTGCATCAAAATAATAATTTCCTGCCAGTAGGTCAGCTAATGCTGGCTACAAGAGTGTATGTCCTCTGTACAATGCAGTGCAGACAGCAGATGCTACATCAGCATGTTGCATAACATTGTATTATAATGATGTACTTAACTGTCTCTCTCTGGGCCTCAGAACTGAGCTCTTTAGGGATATTATATATATGAGAGAGAGATCTCAATGTATATGATACATGAGAGAGAGAGAGACCTCAATGAATATAAAGATCTACCCAGAGATAGAACTGCTCCCCGTTAAAAGAGGGAAAGAAGTAAGAAAATTAACAGGTAATGAATGTTTCCTATGAGGAAGCACTGTGCTGAGCATTCTACATACATTACTTCTCACTATCCTCATGACTTCTTGAAGTTATTAAATAAACCAAACACCCAACAGTAAAAACGAGACTAGCACAAGCAGAGTTTAACCCAAGTTTCTGCTCTTTCCACTAAACAGTGAGAAAGAAAGGAGATGAACAGAAGCCAGTAAAAGAGGGGAAAACGAAGAGAATGAGATACCATTTTAAAAGGGAGAGAAGCTTTTCAAGGAAAGAATGGTCAATAATATTAAAAATAATCTTAAAAGCTATAGCAAATAAGGCCTGAGGACAAGCCTCTGAACCTGGCAATCAGGAAGGTATCCTTCCAAAGCGTTTCTTTTCCAATTCCTTCACCAGATTACATACATGCCCCTTAACCCTCCACCTTTCCTCCTACCTCAAATAGTCCAACTATCAAAACATGTCCCACCTATACTGGTATGAAAAAAGCTACTTTTGCAATCTGCTCCACAATGCCTATGATTTTAAAAAATCTTAGAACAAGGAACTAGAACAAACTTCACAAGAAGTTGAATCTAGTCCTTCAGGAATGCTCTTTGTCTTTTTCTCTTTCTCTATCAAAACAGAAAAGGTCTATAGCTAGTAAAAACTGAGTCCCCAGAGCATGGCATAATATGCCTGCTTATTTAACCTCAGAGAAACTACATTATCACAAGCCCAAGTATTGTGGCATCAAGTGAGATTCTCACACTACTAGCAAGATCTCCAATTACAGACTTACCTAAAATCGTAGCTTTAAAAAACAGGTATTTTGAAAATTGGGATTGTATACTGCATACATGAAAGTACCTGCATGAGTGTAATCATTCTGACACAACAGCTTTTCAATTTAGTATTCCACTCCAAATTATCTGCCTTTGGCATCAGTGTAATCCAATTTTTATCCCTTGTAAAAAGTTTCCAACAAGGTGAGGATTCTGTATGTTCCATAAATGACTCTGAAATGTCTTTATTTGAGGGGGGTGGGAGGGAAGCCAGGTGTGATGGCTCACACCTGTAATACTAGCACTTTGAGAGGCTGAGGCGGACCAATTACTTGACCCCCAAGTTCAAGATCAGCCTGGGCAACATGGGAAGACCCCAACTCTACCAAAATGCAAAAAAATTAGCTGGGTGTGGTGGCACGCACCTGCAGTTCCAGTTACTCAGGAGGCTGTGGTGGGCAAATTGCTTGAGCCCAGAAGCTCAAGGATGCAGCGAGCTGTGATCATGCACCACGACACTCTAACCTGTGCGACAGCGCAAGACCCTGTTGGGAGGGAGGGAGATACCTCCCCACAGAAGGAAGGGAGGGAGAGAGGGAGGGGACACCTCCCTCCCCACCAAACTAAACTGCTGTAAGTATACTTTCTGCAAAGACTTGCTGAAAATGATTCACTAATTTGCAAAGAGAAAACAGATTTTTCGAATGCCTTTTAGAAGTAGAAATTTTAGATGCTTTAACTAATTTTGGACTTACAGAAAAGTTGCAAAAATAGTAGGGCTCTCATATACCCCTCACCCAGTTCCCCCTAATGTTACCATCTTATATAAACACAGAATGATCAAAACTGGAACACTAACATCTGTACAATTCCGTTAACTAAACCACAGACCTTTCCTGAATCTCACCTGTTTTCCCACTGATGACCTTTTTCTGTTTCAGGATCCTATCTAGGTCTCACATCACATTCTGTTGTTATTTCTCATTTTCTGGGCTCCTTGTGATAGTTTTCTGGCCTTTGTCCTTTATGAACCTGAAACTCTTGAGGACTGGTCAGTTATTTTGCAGAAATGCTCCTTAATTTGGGTCTGTCTGATGTTTTCTCATTATCAGAATGAAGGTCGTGCCTTTTTACAACACCACGGCAATATGTGCCCTCCTCAGTGTATCACACCAAAGGGTTCATGATGTTGCTATGTTTCTCCACCTTAAAGTTATTGTCTTTCAAATAAATACTTTGGCAGAGATATTGAGACTATATAAATAAGCTCTTTCTCCTGAAACTTTAAGCTACTAATTTTAGCGTCCAAACGTGATTTGGCAAAAATCTCTTAACTTTTTGTTGGTAGTGGTGGTATTTTTGTCCTAATAGTGATTTTCTAGTTCCCGCTTTCCTTTTATAATTATTAAGTGGAATTTTTCTTTAAGAGCTGTCTCTACTCTCCCATATATTTACTCAATTATTTATATCAATATGAATTCATGGATACTTATTTTATCCTATAGGTTAAAATAGAAAACTGTCATTATATATTTTTTTGCTCAAATTGTTCCAGCTTTGGCCATCAGGAGCTCCTCCTTTGGGCTGTCTCCTATTTTCTCTCTCTCTCTCTTTTTTTTTTTTTTTTTTTAAATAAAAAGAGACGGGGTCTCACTCTACTGAGCAGGCTGAAATGCAATGGAGTGATCATAGCTCACTGCAGCCTCAAATATCCAGGCTCAAGTGAACCTCCCACCTCAGCCTTCTGAGTAGCTGGGATTACATACAGGCACATGACACCACGCCTGGCTTATTAACTAATTAATTGTAGGGATAGGGTCTTACTGTGTTGCCCAGGCTGGTTTTGAACTCCTGGGCTCAAGTGATCTGCCCACCTCAGCCTCCCGAAGTGCTGGGTTAACAGGTGTGAGCCACTGCACCCAATCCCTATTTCCTTTTGACAAGCCCCAATCCTTTCTCGAACTCTTAAAAATCTAGATGATTTTTAGGAACAGATGTTTCTTGGACTTCTTCACATTCCTAAGCACTGTACTCAAAACCATTACGGGCCACCTAGAGAAGGATTACAATATTCTAACTAGTAAGTGACGCAAAGTGATATATCATTACACCCTATCCCAATTAGCCTTATATTCCAGACAGCATAACCAACACCAAAAGTTAGGTGGGGGAGCTCTGAATATCATTATGACTATATTTTGTTGGAGTTTTAAACTAATTTGTATCACTAATCGAATACCTCAGATAATGAGAAACTGCTGTGTTCTAAAGACAAACTTGAGCATCAAACAATTTGTGGCCAAAAGTAGAACTATCAGGAGAAATAACGATAGATTCATTAGTTAAACAAAGTGTTCTCTAAAACATTAAGTATGTTTTTCTGGGATAGTGGGGAAGGGAGGTGAAAATATTTCGGTCTCTGAAAGAAACTGGAGCTATCCTGCCCAGGAATAAGGATTTAAGAGCCAAAGCTTCATCTTCCAAAGAAGACCCAAACAGCCTGTAGTAGAGGAAAGCAGCAAAGAATCCCATTACTTCTGACCCTATCCAGCCCTCCCTACAGCTGGAATAGAACTAAAGACTAGTGGTACCTCCAAAATTACACCCTGCTTGTTTACAGGTGAATGATTACCTGCCATCCAAACAAAAATAAAAACAAAAAACGTGAAGAAGAACAGGTGCTGCAGTTTACTGACATGGCCAATGCTTGCACAGGGTAAATTTTAATGAGGTACAATCTATATACAATAAAGTGTACAGTTTTAAGAAGTTTTGACAAATGTATACAGCTATTAATCATCACCCCTCATCCTCTTCGGTGCCGCTTCTAGACAATCCCCATTCCCAGCTCCAGGAGGCCACTGATGTTTTCTGTAACTACGGATTCCATTTGTCTTTCCTGGAATTTCACATAAATGGAATTATACACTATATACTCTTCTTTATGTGTAAGGCTACTTTCATTGCAGAGTATTTCTGAGAATCATCCATGTTGTTATGTGTTTTGTTTATCCAGGCTCCTGCTGATGGATATTTGGGCTTTTTCCAGCTTGCCACTATTATAAATAAAGCTGAGATGAACATTCATTAACAAGTCTTTGTGCAGACATATGTTTTCATTTATCTTGGCTAAAATGCCTATGGCAAGTATATGTTTAACTTTATGGCAAGATATATATTCAATTATATAATAAACTGCCAAACTCTTTTTCAAAGGGATTGTACTATTTTACATTCCCTCCAGCAAAGTATGAGCATTCCAATTGCTCCATATCCTCAACAACACTTCGTTCTGTCAGTCTTTTTAATCTGAGCCATTAACGTGGGTGTATAGTAGCATCCCAATGTGATTTTAATTTGTAATTCCCCAATGACTAATGGTGTTGAGCCAGTTTTTTGCCCAGAATGCACTTTTATACAAGTGCACTGTTAAGCTGATGGCTTAACAAAAACAATAAGTCCGTACAGTATTTATGAAGATCAAGAGGCCTGCCAATATACAAACTGTTGATGCTGGGTGATGAACAGGGAGATTATTTCTATTCTTGTGTTTCAGTTATATCCATTTTTAAAAGTTAAAAATAAACTAGAAGCCCACGCAGTTTCATGGCCAAAGAATGTCTTAATTGAGGTACAAGAACTCAGAAGAGAATGAAAGTAAAGACAGCTACTTGTCTAATTTTGGAGCAGAGTAATAGAGTAAAGCATTTTTTACTCTAAGCTAAACAGCTTTATAAGAAGGTACAATCAACCATCTCTTAAA
Source organism: Homo sapiens (assembly GCF_000001405.40). Taxonomy (NCBI): domain Eukaryota; kingdom Metazoa; phylum Chordata; class Mammalia; order Primates; family Hominidae; genus Homo; species Homo sapiens. The sequence continues at coordinate 72,396,595 of NC_000003.12, forward strand.
AATGAAGCACTGACCTAGATGAGTAAGAGTGTATGCACTGCATAAAGGTTTGTAGAATCGGTGAATTGGAAGTAAACACAGTAGACAAGCGACGTCTACTGGAAAGGAGAGCAGGATGGATATGCTGCACTTTGGATGAGACAACCAAAATCTGAAGGGGTTCAGAGAACTGGAATAATAGATTCTGAGATCAGACAAGATTTCACAGCATAGTAATATTTATAGAGCTCATCTGCTCGCTTTTTTTTTTTTTTAAGACAGGCTCTTGCTCTGTCACCCAGACTGAAGTGCAGTGGTGTGATCATAGCTCACCGTAGCCCTGAACTCCTGGGCTCAAGCAATCCTCCCTCAGTCTCCAGAGTAGCTGAGAGTACAGGTGCGTACCACCGTTTCCAGTTTTGTTTTGTTTTGTTTTTTATAGTCAGAATCTTGCTTTGTTGCTCAGGCTGGTCTCAAACTCCTGGCTTTAAGCAATCCGCCAGCCTTGGCCTCCCAAGGTGCTGGGACCCCCAGGATGAGACACGTGATCAGCCCTTGCATTTCTTAATCTGAATGTAACGCCAGTGAAAAGAGTAACAGATGTTAAGAAAATGGAATTTTAGCCCTGGCTCTTTTATCAATTTGCAGATGACTTTTAAGAACGAACCACAGCCTTCAGCCTGTTTTCCCAACTGCTAAAACAAAGAAAATACCTGTCCTACATTCTCATCAATATGACTGAGAAAAAAAGGTTTGGAATCAGTACAACAAACACTTGGAAGAAAAAGTATACAAGTGCTATTTTTGTTTTTCTTACACACTTGTATATACATATTAATAAGGCAAATTCAAGTTTTAAAAACTTTGGTCTTAGTGAAATCAGAAGAATATATTTTCCCCCAAGTTTCAGACACATATATACCTCAGAATGTGGATGCTACAGAAAAAATATTCCAAAAGAAAAAAAAAAAAAGCCTTAACTGCCACACTACATTTATTGAGCACCACCACTGATTCTAGTTTTTAAAAACTGTATTCTATTAGACCCTGTATCATTTAATATTACACGGAAAAGAATTTTTTCTTCTTTTGATTACTTTAGGTTGCTATTATGGTGAGATTCCCTGGAGAAGTATTCAGAGCTGCCCTACCCAATACAGCTCCTGCCACTGTTTTGATGGTTTACAGCAATGACAGTGTCCCACCTGTTACTCTAGCAGCTGTCCATGGTTCCTACTGTTACTGTGTCTTCCACAACAGCACCCAGCCCTCATTATGGGAAACAAACGCATTTAAAGCAACATACTAGAATTGAGAATATAATTGTTTCAGAACCAGACCACAATTTTGAGTTCCATCCATGACCAATAATAAAGCATCTTCTCCAAGTGTCCTTTAAAGAGACTCACCCTCTTAAATAAGGTATTCCTGCATTAAATGTATCAGTCATAAAAAGCACGTTTAAAACTTCCTCCTATGGCCGGGCATGGTGGCTCATGCCTGTAATCCCAGCACTTTGGGAGACTCAGGCAGGCAAATCACCTGAGGTCAGGGGTTCGAGACCAGCCTGGAGAACATGGTGAAATCCCGTCTCTACTAAAAATACAAAAATTAGCTGGGCATGGTGGTGTGCACCTGTAATCCCAGCTACTCCGGAGGCGAGGCAGGAGAATCGCTTGAACCCGGGAGACGGAGGTTGCAGTGAGCCGAGATCGCGCCACTGTACTCCAGCCTGGGCGACAGAGCAAGACTCTGTCTCAAAAAAAAAAAAAAAAAAAAAAAAAAAGAAAAGAAAACCAACTTCCTTTTATACTTATTTTTAATAAGCAACCCACAACACCATGTTATTTCCAGTATGTTTCCACATCCCCAAACATAACATTTAGTAAGGAAAAACTTCAAGAAGACTCAAACACATCAATATTTCTTATATGAAGTATTATCTCATGGGAACAACAAATACAGTCACCCAGGGCTAAAATTGTTCCCTTTCAAACGAGAGCTAGGAAATATATTTGGGATTGGTAGGGATATGGGTCAGGACATATCAGGACTAACCACTGAAACCTTAATCCTAAAAGAGGTGTTGCCTATCCAACAAATGACCCATCTTCTCTGAAGGAATTAGCAAATTCAACTAAGAATATTTCCAAAAGCACAAAACTCAAAATAAGCCTTCGCACAGAAAAAATACTCAATAATTTTCAATTTAACTGATCTGTTTGCATAATAACAATTAACTTTATTCAACCTTCTCAAATATTTAAGATCATGACAAACCCCCGGCTGACAAGGTTTTGGCAGAACTGAACAAACTGTCCCACAGATTAACTATGAGCATGTTTAAAACGAAGTGGTAAGTGCCTGATTGTGGGGGAGGGTACAGCATATGGTGATTTCCCCCTCTGAATTTTTGAGTTCCACACTCAGACCAACAGCTGCAATGACTAGACTGGACAGTGGTGCTGCCAACCAAAATCTTCCTTGTGCAGATTGGTTCCAGGACCCCCACGGGTACCAAAATCTGTGGGTGCTCAAGTCCCTTATGTAAAATGGCATATTTGCATTTAACCTATGCACATCCTCCTATATACCTTTTAATCTCTAGATTACTAATAATGCTTAATACAATGTAAATGCTATGGAAATAATTATCAAACTGTATTATTTTTAATTGTTGTATTGTTATTTTTATTGGTTTTATTCTCTTGAATATATTTTCAACAAGTGGTTGGTTGAATCTGAGGAGTGAAACTTGGGATACAAAGGACTATATGTTGAAACTTTAACCTACTCAGAAGTAAGTACACATACAAATGTCTGCATGCAATTTCAGGGGCCTTGTGGATCTCAAATAATAAACGTCTGGTCCAGCATATTCCCGTTTACAAAAGACAAACAACAAGGATGACTGGCTAATATTCCATGCGGGACCTGCAGAATCTCAGGTGGTACATTTAATGTCTGATTTTTAATTTTTCTCAAGTTATCAACTACGAGAACTAAAAAACATAGTATTTACATTGGATTATGCCTTGACGAGTATTCGAAAACATAGCTAAATTGACTGAAAATGACCATACACAAATGTCGTCTACCTCTTTTCTACAGACACTTTCATCTACACAGTGACACAATCATGGAGCAATTTAATATCTACATCCAAGAACTTTCCCTCTCCACCCCGGCCCCGTCAATGCTTTTTATTGCAGAAGAATTAACAGAGTTTATATTTTGTTTTTACTTGCTTATATATTCTTAAATTGAGTTTTTGCGTATGTATTTAATTCCCTAACTAAATCTTAAGTACCTCATAAAGTTTTCACTCTTTCTTTTAAAACCCAAGCCTCTGGAAATAATATTTTGAAGAGTAAGGAAGAGTGTCAACACCTGGTATTGCAGGATCAATCACTTCTGTATTTCTTTCCTCTGATGACACTTGACCAGTAGACTGATTTTAAAATCCACAGTTTAAGGTCTTCTCAGAATAGAGATGCTCTGGGATATGTTCTAATAGGAGGGAATAAGTCTTTGTATATTAATCAATCTCCTTCATAGATAAATCCATTGGGCCAATTTGGAAACATGAAAATTAAGAGTCCAGAGATATCTCAAGCAAACCTTTGAGTTGATGGAGGTAGACTACAATGGGGTGGCTTGGGTGAGATGCATTCCACAGGCTCGTACAGCGAAGTCATCCATATAAAATTCACATGTGTATGTATGTACATACATATGTGCGTTTGTAATGAAATAATCCCAGTTCAGGGCAAAAGCAGACCCCAAAAGTAGAGATATGGCCTCTCCTAGGGGCCTCCAAATGAAATCCTAACCCACCTGATGACAGTGGGGAGTCTATTCTTTCCCACCAATCAACTTTCCTTCCAGCTAACACAGCATCCCAGTGTTACCCTACCCCAACATCATCCCAGACACACCAGCATAGACTCGCCCTTCAGACAGGTACGTGTGCGCACATGCACACACACACAAACCTGCCTATGCCCCTCAAGCAATCTATCCCCACACAAGTGCACACACCCCTCAAATGCACATGCCTTCAAACACATGCATACACACACCAAGATACCAACAAAAAATACACACACCATCCAAATAAACACGCCTAATTTCACCCAAAATATACATGCTCATGTGCCTCCCTTCTGCTGCTTGCCTAGAAAGGTCACCAAGACTTACTATATGTAAACCAACCATACTCCTAAAAAAATACAATCCATTAATACCTTCCAATGCATATATACTACAGCCCACTGCCGCTGCCACTGCCACCACTACCACTGAAATAGACTGCAGTGGCTCTAAAATTTGTCCATAAACTTTTTGATACTCCTCCCTTAAAAGAAGAAAATAGGGAGCCTAATTCTCTTCTCCTTGACTGTGGGGCTGGAGTTAGAGAATCACAGCTAACAGAATATGAGGTTCTGAGTGACTTCTGAGTTAGAATATAAAAGAAATCCTGGCTTCCGCCTTGCTCTCCCTTGGGTCACTGGTAGAGGCCAGCAGTCACATCATGAGGACACTCATAAAGCCTTATGGAGAGGTTCATATGGTCAACAATTAAGACCTGCCTGCCAAGAACCAGCAAGGAACTGAGGTCTTCAGCAGTCATGTAAGTGAGTCATCTTGAAAAGCAGATCCTCTAGCTCCAGTCAAGCCTTCAGATGACTGCAGCCCCAGCTAACATTTTGTTATAGCTTCATTAGGAACTCTGAGCCAGAACCATCCAGCTAAGCTACTCCCAGATTCCTGACTCTCAAAAATCTGTGAGATAATATTTAAGTGGCTATTTTCAGGGTAATGTGTTACACACCAACAGACAATGAATAGATACATATGCACTTTCCACACCCTCAAACATTCCTGGCCTCAGGTGATCCACCCACCTCGGCCTCCCAAAGTGCTGGGATTACAAGCATGAGGAATTGTGCCTGGCCTTGTATGGTATTCCTTTAGACCAGGGATCAACAATTTTTTTCTGTAAAGGGTCTGATAATAACTCTTTTAGGCCAAAAAACAAAATCAAGAATATTAAGTAGACACATACATAACAACCATTTAAAACTGTGAAAACCATCCTGAGCTCCCAGACCCTAAAAATACAGAGGGTAGGGCAACTAGAGTCTAGATGACAAGAGCTACAAGGAATGGCAAACCTTGCTTTTTCATGAGAGTAAGGTTTGCTATTCTCAAGTTAACAATACTCGGTATCCACTCAACCACACAGCCCTAAAGAATAAAGACATACAATCCTGTCAAACTGGAAAAATGCACATTTCTTTCAGTTAGGATATTAGGGAAAAGGGACTTACTGTGATCCAAATGTTTGTGTCCTCCCCGCCCCCACAACTCATATGTTGAAATCCTAATCCCCAAGGTGATGATACTAGGTAGTGGGGCCTTTGGAAGGTAGTTAAGTCAGAGCTCTCATGAATGGGATTAGTGCTCTTCTAGAGAGAGACCCCTCTCCCCTTACAGCATGTAAGAACAGCCAAAAAGTTGTGATGAACCACGTACTGAATCAATCTGCCAGCACCTTGATCTTGGACTTCGAAGCCTTCAGAACTGTGAGAAATAAATTCCTGTTGCTTATAAACTATCCAGTCCATGATATTTTGTTATAGCAGCCTGAACGGATTAAGACAGGGCTGGCGGTGGTAATGTTCCTAGCAAATATCTATCATTAAGCAAGTAAGGGGTCTGAGTAGCAAGGCTGACATATTGGTGACCCACATAAGCAAACAAGTATACAATTTACCTTTTTGACTACTGCCATTATCACATCCTTTGGTTACAGGCTTCATGTTAAAAAAAAAAAAAAGCGCACAGCACTGTAAACTCAATTTATTCGAACCAATAGATGCTTGAGATGAAGTTAATCTGATTAAATTAGCCCTCATAACAATAAGGCGGTGAAGTGACCAACGTCTAGCCCTCATGCATAGTAACTAGCTGTGCCATCCTTGCCCCGTCATTTGTTTTCTCTGGCATTCAGACTCTTCATGATGGGGCTATAATTTATTATATCTGAAACCTTTGAATGACAAGAAGAAATTTTGGTCTGGAAAATGCGCCACTGCTTAGGTTCTCATGTTAGGAAAATTTTTCTTTCCAAGAACCCAGTGAAATGTTTTCTGAAGTTAATGCCAGTACCCCTGTTTAATTTGTCTTAAAACAGTGTTTCGTCTCTGTCTCTAAAATTATAGACCCATTAATCTTCTCGGTAGAATTCTTTTTTCCCCAATAAAAGCTTCCCATTAAATGTCCTTTTCTCCAGTGAAAATATCACTGAAAGCCTTGAAATCAGTCTAGTGGGCCAATCTATGATCCTGAATATCCCCATAGGAAAAATAACAGGATCAAGCTACATGTGCCACAAATGGATGCTGGGTGCTCGGTGTGAAATTATACAGTCTTGAACTCGCTTGGCTATACTTGGTGGCTGAGAGCATTATCCTATATTTGGCATCTGATAACAGGTAAGGATCCAGCTTGAATCTAACTACAATATGCATTGATAAATTGTTTAAAGTCTTCAAAATTTCCCACATATTTAGTCTAAAGCTGTGCATGTACTTTACATAGGGTCCATACTAAAGTAAAATTCTTTAAAAACTGAAAAATATTAAGTACCTTAGGAAAACTCCATGTTTTAAGAAATCGTAATTTTTAAAATTTAGTTTTTAGTAAATTTAGCACTGTACCATGGCTAATCAACTCCCTTCCAATAAACGTATTCTATATATTACTTTAATGTAGGTTTAAGACAAGGATAGAAAACACCTGTATGTTTCAAAGTACAGAGTAGAAATGAAACAAATATTTTAAATGTGCTTACTAGTAGAAAATTGGGACTAGGAAAAAGAACAAATATACAACATACAACATGTTTGCTATGGTTGGATGAACTCCAGGTAGCTCTGATGAAAAAGGACAGAAGAGGGGGATGAATTAAGGATGGGGGCGGGGCACAGGAGAAGCCAGCAAAGCAAATAAGTTTCTTAGGATAAGACAAGACAGGGTCCCTGCATGTTTGACACTCTCCCAGGTTTAACAGCCTCTGATTAGCTCCATTTGATCCTTCAGGAAAGACAGTCTTGGGGAAAAGGGATGATATTGCCTCTAATCTTCCTTAAATGCAAATTTTTTTTTGCCATTTTTGGGAAGAAGCTGGATAGAAAGCAGCAGAGGAAGCATTTTCTAAGGGGTCTAGATATTAGAAACCAGGTATAGAGATAGGTGCTGAAGTATGGCAAAAATTAAGGAACTTAAATCAGGTCAGACCATCCTACCCCATTGTGGGGTAAATAGTAGAGACAGCTGAAGGCAAAGCCATTAGGTATCTGGAGGGACTACCTCAGCACATGTACCAATACTAAACTGACTCCCCAAAGTTGTGCATCACAGGTCATTTAAGGTAACCTTTGCATGGAAAATTTTCCAACCAGGTGCCCACCAGGATCACAGAAGCCTTCAAGATACTGCCACGGATATTCTGGCTTTGACAATGCTTTCGGATGAGCTTAGCCACTAAATAGGCTTAGGCTTCCTGCAAGGCTAGTTATTAGCAAAGAACAGTGATAAATCCCCATGCATCTTACTCCCAGGACAATTAAAAACAGGAATAATTATCGAAAAAATTAAAAAACACCAATCATGATTACCATTTTTCTTTGTATTAGGATCTGTTTTCTTTTAAGCTGTGGGGTAAGTCCATACAATAAATAGTGGGCAACCATGTTCTGCTGCCCCTTCCCATTTAGAATTATTTAGTCAGATTTCTTCTACCAGTAGTCCACCTTATCTGTAGAGGATATGTTCCAAGTCCCCCAGTGAATGCCTGAAACTTCAGACAGTACTGAACCCCCACATATTACGTTTTTACCTACACTTACATACTTATGATAAACTTTAATTTATAAATCAGACACAGTGAGACTAACAATATTAAAACAGAACAATTATAACAATATACTGTATTAAAAATTATGTGAACATGGTATATGTTGCTCTCTCTTCCTACCTCAAAATATCTTACTGTACTCACCTATTTTCTGATAGAAGTTGACAGTGGGTAACTAACTGGTAAATGAAATCACAGCTACTGGGGACTACTGTATTTTAAAGATGAAATGCAAATACTAAGTGATTTGCCAAAAGTTTAGTGTCTGCTAACTTCTGGGTACAGTAGTCTTTTTTTTTTTTTTATCTTGTAACACTGCCTTCCTTATAAAATTCATATAAATATCTTGGGATTAATGTTCATAAATACATGAAAATATGTTTCTAAAATATTAAAAATCTGCCCTAGGATTCATCTGCTATTAATGAACAATCAAAAGAACGAACAAGTAGTCTGCCTGCCAATTTAGAACTTTAAAAAGGTTTGGATTATCCTAATTTTTTTTTTAAAAAAAGATCAACCCAAAGAAATTCAAACTACTTAAATTTTGCTACAATAAGCATTAACTATCATTTGATAACAATTCCTCTAAAAAATAACCACCCTTTATAAACACTGGCTATTTATTTCTCCTCCACAAGGTTTCCCACACTGACTTTACCATTCATCTTTAGTAATTTCCAAAAAGCCCAGAGATAACAAATACCCAAGCATAAATAAATGCTCTCCCTCCTAAACCCATAGGCAACACGGTAGAAAATGGGGCCCCAGATTCCTCAAAACTACACTCCAGGAAGCCAAGATAAAACCCATATCCTACTCATGTCTCACACACAGTATTTCCAGTTCCTTCCTTACCGTTCCCACTTTAGCCTCTACCCTAAAGTTAAATTCATCTTTTACCAGTACTGCTTTAATCCCTCCTCTAAGACCCTCAATGTCTTTCAACTAAAACCTAAACCCCTCAATTTGATACCAATTTAATGTTTGCCTTTCCCAAGCAACATCCCTATACCCTAAACAAATAGGTCTGGTTACCTTACCTATTTTCCCACCATTTCTCACCCCCAAACCTGACAACCATTACCCTCTTCCCTATTTCTACCTCCAATTTACAGCTTTCCCTGACTATTCCTGTCCATTACAATTTCTCCAGCCCCAGAAGCTTTTACATTATTGCACTGCTCTCCTATTCTGTTCTACAGACACATACAACTAATTGAATTTCTGTCTAGTTACCTTGCACTTTTCATTTATTCATTCATTCAACATCTGCTGTATCTCAGGCACTGAGGAGATGCTAGAAATAAAAGTGGATAAGAATAGGCAGATCCAAAAAGCTTGGTCTAATAAGGGAGCCAAACAAGCAAATAATCACACACATGGATAGAAAATTGCAAATGAGGGAAGTGTTCCAAAGGACAGGAACATCAAGGACTTTTTCAAAAATTGTGGCCACGTCTGGGCCAGCGGTGGGGTAAGGGGGTGGCCACGCATGGGTGGTCTCAGCCAGGAAAAACATGGAAAACGACCCTGTGGTAGGAAGAAAAATCATACGTTAGTTAACACTAAAAGAAGACTAGGGTGGCTAAGCTGAAGAGACTGGGCTGACAAGACCGGGCTGACAACACAAGGCAGGAACTGAAGGCAAGGAGCCAGATCAGCACTGTTACTTAGGGATCACGTATGTACTCAGCTACTATGAACCCCTATACCATACTATTGTACTATCTAACTGGAAACTTAAAATTCACTTGAAGATTAAACAAAATACACACACACTACTAAAAAATAAGCAGCTTGGGAGACAAAGCCACCAGATCACATCACTGATTCTCAACCATGCTTGTCCTGGAGATCAGTGGCTCAAAAATCTGACTGCACATTAGATCAGCTGGGGAGCCTTTAAAGAACAATGATGCTCTGGTCCAGCCTAAACTATGTCACAAATGGAGACTTGTCACCCTGACACAAGTGTCATATGGAGCCTTTGAATGAATTAATTAAAAGAAAATCAAAGTCTGCTTAGTAAATGCCTTCAGCCTCTAAAACTCCTAAGTTCAAACAGGTGAAATGCTGTTTACTTAACAGAGACACTGACTTAATGGGTAGGAGATGGGCCCACCTAAACAAAGGTATTTTAAATAGATCCCCCGAGGAGATTCTAGAAATGTGAAATCCCAGTAGAGAACTACTTGCCTTAGGGACAACTCTCTTAACAAGCTTCTCAGAAAATAGCATTTTGTTTCTCACAGCCCTTCCTCAAAACACTAGACATTCCCCCACCTCATTCCTCCTAGATTTAACCCAACTCCTGCTGTCTCCTCCTACTCCCTGAGTAGCTAAATCTCAGGAACCACATCATTCTTTTCACACCCTTTCAAATGAGCAAGTTTGTATCAAAAATGCAGTAGGGAGTGCAGTATTGGGCTGGAATAATAAAGCTACCCTGAAAGTAAGCAATTTGGTCTTGAATACTCTAATCAAAACTCTATTCTGTAGGAGATGGTGTAAAATCCATAAAGTGCCAGAAAAAAAATGAGATGAGTGATTTCTGTCCAACAAAGAAGCTTCTCCCCACTCTCAAGAAAGGAAAAAAGGAAAGGGAAACTACTGAACCCAGGTTTACTTGTGTGTGTCCCAGGTAAAGTTTTTGAGAATCTGACAGACAAGGACAGACGCAGTGTCCCAAGAGGCTCGAAGAGAGGAGCTGCATTCAAAACTACTAAAGTTACTGGCATATTACAGTTAAGAATTCAAATGCAAGTCACGTATAGGTCAACTCCTTAGCTATTAAAATTGCCTAAATACAAATAGAGACACCTTGGATAAAAAGCCTGTGCTTTGTTATATAGGAAAATTGATAGCCAGTGTTAATTATCTGTACCAATAGGACTCTGCCCCCAATACTGGTTATATACACAGGTTAGTGTATATAATAATTCAAAACTAAACTCACCTTATGAATAGTTTTAGATTTCACTGGTTACTTGAGCTTATCTGTGCATCTGTTTTTGCTATCAGGCTGTTGCACATCTTTGATAACAAACGTTTACATTAAAGCATAAGGAGACTTTAACCATTAAGCAGGCAGTTTTACGCATGAAAAAAATCAAGACTTGTTTACCAAAATTTATCTCAAAAGTAAAAAATGCAATGTAATGTTCACTTCACTATTTTAAAAACAGATCCATTCCGAGGGCCAATTACAATTGCCACAATGAGAAAAATTAGTTCTCTCAAAGAACTAAGGTGAATCTGGGCCAAATGTAAATTACACCATCCTGGCACTATTGTTTGAAGTCACTTTCCACCGAAACAGTCTCCCATCAATGCCAGAAGTGTCTTTCAACACCTATCCCACTTACTGTCCATAAACTTTCCACAGCTACACTTGTACAGTCTTCACTGACCACGGTATACAGAGACAGATGTGAGAACAGGTTATTGGGCATCTTAACGCTTATACCACCTGTTAGCTAACAGTTGCACACCTGGCCTCTTGACTGAACTCTGTAACACGTGAATTTGTCAGCCTGACACAGATGCCATACGGAGCCTTAAATGAATGAACAGAAAAACAATGCTTAGCAAATGCCTTCAGTCTCCAAAACTTCTAAGTTCAAATATACATGAAATGCTTCTTTAAATCTGCGAAGAACATTACATCCCACCTTTTGATGACATAATTTAAAACACATTTTATTCATATATTTATTTCCTTCCCAAACACAGTTACACTTTGAAAAAAAGGATGACTTACATATGTCTTCCAATAGAAATCTTTGTTTTAACAACAGTAAATTCTTAGAAATGTGTTCTGCTCCACCATCACCATTAAAGCAATGGTATGACTTTATATTAAAGTATTAACTTATAAATCAATCTCTGCGCTGAAATAATGCTAAATTGCTTTATCGTACATCAGGCATCTTTTTCAAATACATTCCTTTTCATGCAGTACATATAAGTTATTTCTATAAACTCAGCAATTTAATACTTCTAAACCATTTCCTCCACTTTATTTCATCCAATTGATACAGCTTAAAATACTAAACTACCACTTCTTCCTAAAACTTTTTTTTAAAGTAATAACCCTGTTTATACTGGTTTGAGTTCAATTGCAAGTTAGAAGTTATTACAATTTCCCTTTTGGAGATTATGAGCTAAACCTATGAACACCAAAAAACATTCAGAGCATACAAAGCAAAAATATTTGATGCATGTGCCTATAGTCTGGATGTGGTCTGTCTCCACCAAAACTCATGTTGAAATCTGATTTCCAATGTGCCGGTGTTAGAGGGTGGGGCCTAGTCAGAGGTGTTTAGGTCATGGGAGGGATACCTAATAAATAGACTATGCCATCTTGTGGGAGTGAGTTCTTGCTCTCACAGGATTGGATTCATTACTCGAAGAGTGGGTTGTTCCTTCTTGCACATGCTGGCTTCCTTCCATTTTCTGCCATGAACTGAAGGAGCGAGCACAAGACCCGCAACCAAAGGGGCTGCCCAATGTTGGACTCTCCAACCTCAGAATCATGAGCCAAATAAAATTCTTTTCTTTATAAATTATCCAGTCTCAGGTATTGTTACAGCAACACAAAATGTACTAAGATGCACACTAGAGAGTACAGTCAGTGGATTCACAGTGGATGAACTGGCAAAGCAGTTATAGCAGTATGTTGCAATAAATCATGACTTTCTATAGAAGAAGCTGAACACTTCTTGATATCGTAAGAATCTACCTGATTTAAATCTCTGGGGCTGAGGGGAGGAAGCTGACAAGATGCTGTAAGGCATTTCAGAAATAAATGTAATTACGAAGAAGGTTTGCAGGTAGGAATTAAAAACTTAAGTGACTCGCTCTATCTGTTCTACAGAAGGTAAAGAAGTGTGAGAGAAAAAAGTGTTGTCCATTCAATAAATGTAGCTTTGAAATGTAAAACAGATATAATGTGTACAGCCAAATATTTGAATAAAAGCTTTATTTTCATTACTTCTTTGGGTGGTTAATATGGTTAAATTACTCACTGACGTGGGAAGTTAAATTACTACACACAGTTCTTAGTTTTACTTTCAAGAAAATTCAACTGTTACTTTCCTCTGCAAATTCAGAGCTTTCACAATACACTGCCACTACTCATTCATCAGTTGATCTTTTAAAAATAGGTAATAAGCATTATCAATTGTGACCCTTCTTCACAGTATGACCAATGTTCAATGTAACAGAACAAACTTAAAAGTCTGACTAAATCCTTCAGTAAATAATTAAAACAAAAACAAGTAACTGTTTCCAAAAGAAGGAAAACCAGCTTCACCTTTGTGTTCCGCTGTTTGGTGCCCTTTGAATGTTTCGTTCTGGGTTTTTGTTTTTTGTTGCTTTTTGAGACGGACTCTCCCCCTGTCACCTAGGCTGGAGTGCAGTGGCATCATCTTGGCTCACTGCAACCTCCACCTCCCGGGTTTAAGCGATTCTCCTGCCTCAGCCTCCTGAGTTGCTGGGACTACAGGAACCCGCCACCACAACTGGCTACTTTTTTTGTATTTTTAGTAGAGACGGGGTTTCACCAACATGTATGCCAGGCTGGTCTTGAACTCCAGAACTCAGGTGATCCGCCTGCCTCAGCCTTCTAAAGTGCTGGGATTACAGACATGAGCCGTCGTGCCCGGCCACTGCCATTATTAATACTGCAAAACTTTACTGTAAAATGCCTACCTTATACAGCAAACGTGTATCAACAACTCATTCAACATTCAACCAACATACATTAGGTGTTGACAAACCTAACAGTCCCTGCCCTCCAGGGATGGATAGAGATAGGAATGGTGAGGCAATTCTGTAAAATATTGTTTTTAAATGTGATAGATAATGATTTTAAGTGCAGGTACTGCGGCACAAAAGAGGGAATACCAACCTTGTGCTGGCAGTTGACTAAGGGCTACACAAAGGAAGTGACTCTTCAAGTTCAGTGAACTAGGTGAACAAAGGGAACATCCCTAACAGAGAAGAAAACCTATGTAAGGTGAGAGACAAATAAAAAGTACAGGAATTCCAAATAATTTGAGCAGCCAAAGCACATTACTGCCTGTGAAAGAAAGGACTACAGGCGGTTCACTAACTATTTGGGTTACTGAAAAGCCAAAAGCATATGCCAGGTTATGTCTTAAAGTACTAAGAACAACTCTGCAGGCAGTTTTGTTTTACATTTGTAAATCTGAATGAGAAATAATATCACAGTGTACTCTCTAGGTCCATGGCCTTTCTCAGTCTGAACCACAGAACACCCAAAAAATGACATGAGTGATTATTTTCTCAATTCTTCCAACTATCTATTACAACTAGTACCATTTTGAATGCATAGGGGAAAAGGTAACTGTCTACAATGGAAGTCTTGGAGCAGGAGGGCTAATTCTCTCAGAGCTGGTTAAGAAAGGCTGATGGGTATAAGAACTCTTTGCAGTTACCCAAATACTGAACACACAGAACTCTATCTGAGGTTTGTGCTCTTATCTGAAAGCTAGTAAACAGTAAGGAACTTTCACTGTGGTTACAAAAGAAGTAAGGTACGCTATTTTCCACAATCTATAAAAATGTGCAAATAATTTAACTGTTAAGCCTTATCAAATAATTACTTATCTTTTACTCTAAGCTATTTAGAAATTTTAAAGTATATTATAAACCATACAGACATCTCAGAGTACAAACCTAAGGACATTTTACACACATATAAGGAGAAAGAGAAATCAACTTTAGCCCAGAGAACAAATTGTAAACAAACAAATAGCAAAGATTAAGGATGAGTCAGCCAATTCATAAATCTGTTACAAGAAGCCATCTCAATGTTTATCTATGGAAACCAATGTTTAAAAAAAGAAAAAAAAGGATCCCCCATATCCCATGAAGCCATTTCATCAGTGACAAGAACTACAGATGCACCTTAGATGTGCTAACAGCCACGATCTGCAGGGAGGTGAACAGTAAAGTTGGTTTATTCTTATCAGACTCGAAAGATTCAGAAGGGTTCCAAACAATCCTCTTTCGCAGCTATACTAATGATGAGAATAAGAGACAAGAGATACTACCTTTATATTGCACCAAATGAGATTCCATTATTTGTTAGCAGGTTTAACTTTTTATACACATTTTATGCCCACATGAAGTAGAGCAGCCTAGAGCTGAGGTAGTAGCACAAGTCTCCCAGTCATATCAGCATTCCTTCCCCAAATGCCCTCCCTCCCCACTCCCAAAGACACTAATAAACAAAAGTGTCAAAGAATACTCTTCAAAAACAGAAAAGCAAAAAGCATAATTAGTGCTGAATCTTGTAAGGAAAACCTAATTAAACCACACAGTGAAAATGCAGCTAATGAGGGCAAAACTTGTTATGCTTGGGGAAGAATTAAAGAAGGAAATCAAGTCCAGTCACCTGTTATCCACATTTCTTCAACAGCCTGCAAAACATGCTTCCTGATTTGTAACTGAGGGAAAACATCCAAATCAGCTTGGGCAATCCATTCAGTTTATTAGGCTATGCTTGATAAGAGGACAAAATCAGACTACCTACATAGCTACATGTAGCTCTTTGCTAACTAACTGTAGCCTAACCAAAAGACTGTGGTTAACTCAGTAGTACCTATCATCACCAGAGAAGACTTGAAAACACTCAAAATCCATTTCAGGCAAGCTCCAAGATAATGTATGTTTAAAAGATTATAACATGCTTATTAAAACACCGTCCTTATTTTCCATATTAGCACTTCTGTGCATCAACTATGCTGGAAAAACATTGTGTTAAGTTAATGTCTGCATGAAGCAGGTGCTTCATATGTTACATCAATCTCCACATAACTGTGTAAAATACAAAATAAAAGAGATACCTTCCAAAAAGGCACAACTAATTCTCTGATGGGAATAATCTTGCAGCAGAGCTTATATGTTAATCCACCAGCACTCCAAGTCACTCACTTTCTCCCTCACAGAGTTTTCATTTAAGAAGCTTCGCAGTAAAGCACCAATGAAATCCCTATTAACTTCTTCCCCATCTTACCACCAGTTTAGGGAAGTCAATTTTACTTTTTAAGCAAGAAAAATTTTTATCTTTTGCAGGCAAAAAATACATATGAATTGGAAAATGTATACTCCTACTATCTGAATGTTTGTGTCCCCTCCATAATTCATGTTGAAAATCCCAACGCAACAGCGTTTGAGGTGACAGCATTAAGCGGCAGGGCCTCTAAGACATGATTAGGCCATTCTGGCTGTGCCCTATGGATAGGATCAGTCCCTTCTAAAAGGGGGACCGGGAGCACTGTAATCCCAGCACTTTGGAAAGGCCAAGGTGGGAGGATCACTTGGGTCCATGAATTCAAGAGCAGCCTGGGCAACACAGGGAGATGCTATCTCTATAAAAAATAAAATAAAATAAAAAGAGGGGCTGGAGGGAACTAGCAAGGCCTTTCTGCCCTTCCACCTTCTGCCATGTGAGGACACAGCAACAAAGCTGGAAGTAGAGAGCAGCCCTCACCAGACACAATATGCTGGCATCTCGATCTTGGACTTCCCAACCTCCAGAACTGTGAGAAATAAATTTCTACTATTTTTTGTAAATTAATTAGTCGGTGGCTTGATTACTTGTTCTTCAAGAAAACAACCTGAGCAGGCCTAGGCTGAGAGTATCTATTACTTTTCACTACAAAGTAATACAATGAAAACTTCTCACAGATTTGTAATACAGTAATCTCCTTTTATCTGAGACTTTGCTTTCTGAAGTTAACCGTGGTCCAAAAATATTAAATGGAAAATTCCAGAAATAAACAATTCTTAAGTTGTGAATTGCATGCTGCTCTGAACAGCGTGATAAAATCCCTCACTGTTCCACTCTGTCCCACAAGGGATATGAATCACCCCTTTGTTCAAGATATCCATGTTGTAGACACCATCCTGCCTGTCAATACCCATTTCAGTTTGACTGTGGTAGTATCCGTCTTGTGTTTAAGTCACCCTTATTTGACTTACTCATGACCCAAAATGCAAGAGTAGTGAGGTTATTTTTGTTAATCTCTTAACTGTACTTAACGTATAATTAAACTTTTATCACAGGAATGTATGCATAGGAAAAAAACACAGTTTATCTAGGGTTCAGTTCTATCCACAATTTCAGGCATCCACTGGGTGGTCTTAAAATTTATCTCCCACTAATGGGGCGGGGGGTCGGTGGGGAAGACTAGTATACATCCAGAAGGTTCAGAACAGAAATACAGATACAGTAAATGGTTTTTTCGTTTTGGGATAAGAAAGCTAAAAACCAAGAATCAAGGCAGTATCCCAACATGGTTTTAGAAACCAACTAAAAAAGGCTCATGAAGTATATACCTCATTGTTTCAGTGCTAAAATTACCTTCTTGAAAAATACACTTCTGTATAAGTAAATTATAAACTGAACTCTTAGTCTATTCAGGGGGCTTAAAATGCCTGATACGGGGTAATTTATAAATAACAGAAATTTACTCCTCACATTTTGGAGCCTTGGAAGTCCCAAATCAAGGCACCAGCGTTATCTGGTATCTGGTAAAGCCCATTCCTCAACTGTTTACAACTCAATAAATAAGACAGACAACCCAATGTTTAAAATGGTAAAATATATGAATAGATGACACTTGACCAAAGAAGATCTACAAATAGCTAATGACAAGAAATGGTGCTAAATATCGTTAGTCATTTGAGAGATGCAAATTTTAAAAATCACAATGAGGTTTCACAATACACCAACTCAAAAGGCTATAATTAAAAAAATACCAAGTGTTGGTGAGAATACAGATAAACTGGAACCCTCATATGTTGGTGGTAATATAAAATTACCACTTTGGAAAACAGTGTGGCAGTTTCTTTAAAAGTTAAAACATCTCGTTACTATACAACTCAGCAATCTATTCCTACATATCCACTCCAAAAAAAAAAATATATGTGTGTGTGTGTGTGTGTGTGTGTGTGTGTGTGTGTGCGCAAAGACTGCTACAGAGGTACTTACAGCAGCTTTATTCACAACAGCAACAAACTGCAAGCACTCTTAATGTCCACCAACTAGCCAATATAGAGTTCATTAGTTACGTTTCCAGCTACATGTGGTTTATCCATGCAATGGAATACTACATAGCAATAAAAAGGAATTAAGTACTGATGATGCAACAAACAAGGTAGACAAATCCTAACTCATTATATTAAGTGAAAGAAGCCAGACATAAACAAAAGACTACATATTGTATAATTCCACTGACATAAAATTTCTATGAAGACAAAAAGCAGATCAATGGTTGCCTAAGGAGAGTGGACGGACTGCAAACAGGCATGAGGTAACTTTTTGGGAATGATGTAAATGTTCTAAAACTGAACTTCAGTAATGGTTGCACAACTATAAATTCACTGAAAGTCACTGAACTGTTTGAAGGGCAACATGTATGGTATGTAAATTACATGGCAATAAAACTTAGAATCCAATATTCTAACCTTTTCAATATAGAGGCTAATACAATTTTCAAAATATTCTCACATTTTATTATTTGCCAACAGACAATAGGTTATGTTTTCAAACATAAATTGCAAATAAGATAAAAAGAAGAGAGCAGCAGTTTCTCATTTAAGACATGATGTTTAGAATCTAATTTCTAACATAGTACACACACTGTAGTGTCAACATTCTTGTAATCTCAAACAATGCTGAGTGAAAAAAACAAGATCCAAAAGGATATGTACAGTATATCACTTAAGTAACTATACCAAACAAAAAAGGTATAGAATGATGATGGACTGATACAAACAAGAACAATAGGAAAATATGCATAAGAATGCTGTATACCTACTTCAGTGACAGTGGTTAGAAAAGGCACTAAGGGAGATGAAGAGAAGAGGCATTTGGTCTTTTAAAGCAACGCTAAATGTTCATTGTTTTAAAAATTCAATTAAAACTAAAGCAAATATTAGGTGGTGAGCATATATGGGTATCTTATATCACTGTGTATGCTTTTCTATTCGTTTGAAGCATTACGGTTTTTTCTTTTCTTAAGTTTTAAAAGGGGTAGCATATAAAACCAAAAAAAAAAAAAACCAGATAAATATTCTCTGTATTGGAAACAAAAGGGAAAACATGTCAAGTCTTACAGAAATTAAAAGGATAATAAAAGAGGAATACAAACAATTCTGTAAATATTAAGGTTGACAGCTTAAATGCAATGTGATCTCTAATTTTTCCAAACTGCCAAAGTTCACTTAAGAATAAATAGATAATTGAGAGGTTGCAGCAGGATTGCCTGAACCCAGGAGTCCGACACCAGCCTGAACAATATAGTGAGATCTTGTCTACACTTAAAAAAACAAAATAAAATAAAAATTAGGCTGGGCATGGTGGCTCACACCTGTAATCCCAGCACTTTGGGAGGCCAAAGCAGGTGGACTGCTTGAGCCCAGTTCAAGACCAGCCTGGGAAACGTGTCAAAACCCCGTCTCTACAAAAAATACAAAAATTAACTGGACATGACAGCATGTGCCTTTCTTTGGTCCCAGCTACTCAGGAGGTCAAGATGGAAGGATCGCTTGAGCCTGGGAGTTTGAGGTCGCACTTGACGAGGTATGACTGCACCACTGCACTCTAGCCTGGGCAACAGAGCAAGACCCGTTCTCAAAAAGGAATAACTGGATAACATAAAGGAACAAACAGATAGGTCTATATCTATTAAACTGGGCTGGGCACAGTGGCTCACACCTGTAATCCCAGCTCTTTGGAAGGTCAAGGAGGGAGGATCGTTTGAGCCCAGGAGTTTGAGGCCAGCCTAGACAACACAGGGAGACTCTGCCTCTACAAGAAATTTTTCTTAAAAATGCGCCAGGCACGGTAGCACATACCTATGTTACCAGCTACTTGGAAAGCTGAGGTGAGAGGATCACCTGAGCCTGGGAGGTCGAGGCTTCAGTGAGCCATGATCACACTCAGCCTAGGAGACAGAGTGAGACCCTGTCTCAAATAACTGGTGTGTGCTTCAAAACGTTCAACAGTTAAACCAAACACCCCTCCCTCTTCCCACCAAGGTAACCTTTCTTTTCTTTTTTTTTTTTTTTTTAGATCGAGTTTCATTCTTCTTGCCCAGGCTGGAGTGCAATGGTGCAACCTTGGCTCACCGCAACCTCTGCCTCCCGGGTTCACGTGATTCTCCTGCCTCGGCTTCCCGAGTAGCTGGGATTACAGGCATGCGCCAACACGCCTGGCTAATTTACACAATGTGTGTGTCTTTGGGGTTGAAGGGGTGGACAAGACACATTTCTCACCTCAATGTTACAAGCATTACCAGAACATCAGAACTAGACAAAGACAATATAAAGTAACCACAGATCACACAGATCAATCGCCCTCAAGAACATGGACCCAATTTATTAGTAAATTGAATCCAGCAATATATTAAAAAAATATGATGACCAAGTGGGTCGGGCAAAGATGGTTCGATATTTGAAAAACTAGTAATTCACCATGTCGACAGATTAAAGAAAAACTATATGATCATCTCAATAGATGCAGTAAAAACATTAATAAAATTCAACATCCATTCATAGTAATTTTTAAAACTCAGCAAACTAAGACTTTTTGGTCAAAACTAGCTGGTGATCCTCACCTATGCACTAAAAGAATAAAATAAATACATACAACCCATACAGACTGAAAAGAAAAAATAAAACCGTCTTTACTGACAGTTTACATGATTGTCTATGCAGAAAATCCCAAAGAACATACAAAAAATTACTAGAATAAAATAAGTGAAGCTAAGCAAGCAAAGGATACAAAGTCAATATACAAAAATCATTTTTATTTCTGCATATTAGCAATGAACAATTAAAAGATTAAAGAAAAAATATCACTTAAAACAACATCCAAAAATCATTAAATACTCCAGGATAAATTTAACAAAATATGTACTATAAGATCTGTTACGTACGCTGCAATCTCAAATTTTTGGACTCCATAGGGAGATATACCACATGTGTGGGCTTTAAAACTCAATACTGACTTTAAGAAGTCAAAATAATATATAATTGTGCCCAAAATAATCTATGTTATGTTGTCCAATACAATAGCCACTAGTGACATGTGTCTACATTTGAATTTAAATAAATTAAAATGAAATAAACTTTAAAATTCATTTCTCCAATTACACAAGCAACATTTTATGTAGTCAATAGCCATAGACAGCTAGTGACTACCACACACTGGACAGTGTAAATACACAACATTTCCATCATTACAGATAATCCTATTGAAGAGTACTGATCTACACATTCAATGCAATGCTGTCAAAATTCCAGCAAGTTTCATAGAAACTGACAAGCTGACTCTAAAATTTACATGGAAAAAGAGAACACCTAGAAGTCAAAACAATTTTGGAAAAAAAGTACCAAATTGAAGAGCTGATGCTACCTGATTTCATGATTTACCTATTTACAATTTTTAAGACAGCGTGGTATTGGCAAAAAGTCAGACACTTAAGAGTCAATGGAACACAGTCCAGAAATAAACTCACACATATATATTAATAGTAATCAGGATTTTTACAAATATGCCAATCAACTCAATGGAGAAGAGAGTCTTTCAACAAATGGTGCAGAAAAAAATGGGGCATCCATTCATCAAAATTAAGAACCTCGATCCATATCTTTCTCCATACAGAAGAACTAAAAAAGCATAAGCCTTTAAGGAGAAAAATTGATATACTGGATTTCATAAAAATCAAACATTTCTGCTCTTCAAAAGACACCATTAAGAAAATGGAAAGTCAAAATCAAAAGAAAATGAAATGGAAAGTCACAGACTCAGCAAAAATAGTTGCAAAACAAATACCTAATTAAAAACTATTACTCAGAATATACAGAAAACTCTAGAAACTCAGTAATAAGAAAGCAACACAATCTAGAAATTGTGGCAAAAAATCTGAACTCACTTCATCAAAGAAATATATAGATGACTCACATAAGCACAGGACAGATGCTTATTATTAGTCATCAAGGAAATGAAAATTAAAACTACATTATTTTTTCTTGATTGTCATCATAGGACTTAAATTCATCAAAATTCACAGAACCTATACAGCAAAAAGGGTTACTCTTACTATATTATCATACCTCAATCAATTTAACTTTAAAAAAGATTTCTCAAAATTACAACATTTTGGTTTTCCATTAGAAAATTCCTCTTGAACGCCAGAAGATACTTCCGGAAGATACATGTACTTCCTGAACTCTGCAAGATAAGCTGACTGGATGTTCCATATTACTAGATGATCTGTTTCTAATGCATGGGAATGTACAACCAATCAGATAAGCTTCAAAAAGGATAAAGACATGTAAAGCATTCCACTTCAGCCAAAATGCTCCAGGTACTCCATAATTATCTACAAAGACCGTCGAATAACCAATATGAGAGGATTCTAAAAACAAAGGAAATCTTACAAAGGGAAAGGAAGCGCTAGGGATGTGATACAGATGGTAACTTAAAATCACCAACCCACACTCATACATACTGCCCGCTAGGGGGAAATAAGGTGGGCACAAGAACAGAAACGTATGTCAAGAGAAAGCACGTTCACATCCCAAAGCCCATCGTACCAAATAAAAAAGTTGGTCAAGCTAACCGCTGTTTGAGAACAGCAAGCCAACCCAAATCACAGACTTCCTAAAGTAACATAATTGGAAGTCTGAGATAGTTATCATTGTTTGTGGACTATAACAAAAAAGAGTTTCACGGAAGTGTTTGTATGGAGAAATGAAAGAGCTGGAAATTGAATAGTTTTTATTTCATTATGAAATACACATGAGTCTACCATAGTTCTGAAAGACAGGGAAGGATGGATAAGGGGAGAAAGGAAGGGGCATGAGGCATACCATTTCTTTCTCTATCTTAGAGGTAAAGGAATCTAAAATATAGAGCACAGCAGCAGTCACACTCACAGGGTCCAGAGGAGTATCCCTGGTCATCTCCCTAGTACTTGGTTTGTCAGAGAGGTGGTGTAATTTGATGGGAAGACCCAAGGGTAGACCAAGAGTCCAGTGCAGGCTCTATTACTATTAATGTGCTCCATAACCTTGTGCCAATCACTGGCTTTTAGTTAAAGCTTGGGCAATATCTCTAAAACCTGTCTTAAAGAAATTTTTCCAAAGAGAAAGATACAGTAGCAACCAAGGGCAATCTAAAGGATTCTAGCTCTTCTTGGCCAGATAGGCTATGGCATATTTCTTAATATGAATGAGGATTTAACATTCTCATTTTATAAAATTCTATAGATTTCCCAGTAGGATATAAGCTTTAAATAAGGTGGCAAAATGCTGTTCAGCAAACCCCAAGCCCAACAACCATGAAGAAAACTATACCAAGGCTGTTTATAATCAAAATGCTAAAAAACCAGTGATTAAGTGAAATCTTAAAAGCAGTCAGAGAAACCAAGACTTATTTTAAAGAACAAAGATAAAAACGATAGAATGATAATCAAATACTGGCCGGGCATGGTGGCTCACGCCTGTAATCCCAGCACTTTGGGAGGTGGGCAGAGCACTTGAGGTTGGGTTCAAGACCAGCCTGGCCAATGTGGTGAAACTCCATCTCTACTAAAAATACAAAAATCAGCCGGGCGTGGTGGTGCATGCCTGTAGTCCCAGCTACTCACTGAGGCATGAGAATTGCTTGAACCCAGGAGAGGGAGGTTGCAGTGAGGAGAGATCACGCCACTGCACTCCAGCCTGGGTGACAGAGTGAGACTGTCACACACACACACACACACAAAAATGATAATCAAATATTATGTAACCCAGGAGACAATGGAGTAACATCTTTTAAGACAACTAAAAGAAACAAACCGAACCTGGAAATTCTATACACATTGAAAATATGTTTTGAAACAAGGGCAAGAAATGGGAAACCACTGTTAGTGGGAATGTAAAATGCTACAGCCACTTTGGAGAACAGTGGGGCAGTTCCTCAAAAGGTTAAAGGCAGTTCTTATTTGACTCAGCAATTCCACTGCTAGGTATATATCCAAGAGGACATACATCCACACAAATATGTATGTATACAAATGTTCACAATAACATTATTAATAATAATCAAAAGGTAGAAAGCAAATGTCCATCAACTGATGAATGGATAAGAAAATGTGGCACGTCTACACAATGGAATACCATTCAGCCATAAACAAGAACGAAGTACTGATACACACACTACAACATAAATGAACCTGGAAAACTATGCTACTGAAAGAAGACAGTCACAAAAGACCAAACATTGTATGATTCCATTTATACAAAATTCTAAGATACAGCAAATCTTTAGAGACAGATACTATTTTAAAGGCTCCCTAGGGCTGGGAGTTGGGGAAGGCTGGAGGGTGACCGCTAAAAGGTACAGGATTCCTTGTTGGGGAGAGAGGGTAACAAAATATGGCAAAGGTTCATACTTTGTGAATGTACTAACCACCATAAATTCCACACTTTAAATGGATGAACTGTATAATATGTGAATTATACCTTAATAAAGCTGTTACCAGAAAAATGGCAAAACAAAAAATTTGCAACTTTTTTTAAAAGTAATCACCAGCAGACCTGTACTATAAGAATATTAAACAAAGTCCCTTAGGTAGAAAAAAAAATATTACTGGATGAAAATGTGGATCTATTCAAAGGAATGAAGAGCACAAGAAATGATAAAAATGTGGGAAATTTTCTTTTTTTTAAATATTTGAACAATAACGGACTACTTAAAGTAAAAATTATTACAACACTGTGGGGAGGGTTACAACATATGCAGAAGTAAATGTATTACAATAGCAGCACAAAGGCCAGAAGGAAAAAAGGAGCTTTGATAAAGTTGTTAGACTGTATGTGAAGATGTGTAATACCACTTAAAGGCAAACTGATTTGAGTTAAAGATGTATACTAACGCAACTAAAATAACTGGCCAGGAGCAGTGGCACATCCCTGTAATCCCAGCACTTCGGGAGGCCACGGCGGGTGGATCGTCTGAGCTCAGGAGTTAAAGACTAGCCTGAGCAACATGACAAAATCCTGTCTCTACAAAAAAAAAAAACACAAAACATTAGCCAGGTGTGGTGGCATGTGCCTGTAATCCCTGCTACTCAGGAAGCTGAGGTGGGCAGACTGCTTGAGCCCAGGAGGTCCAAGCTGCAGTGAACCCAGATTGCCTTACTTCACACCAGCCTGGGAAACACAGCAAGAGCTTGTCTCAAAATAAATAAATAAATAAAATAACTACAGTTATAGCTAGTAAGTTAATAAAAGACATAAATTATATTTTAAAAAACAACTAAAGCCAAAAATAAAGTAGAAACAAAGTGCAAGATGGTAGATTTAAAACTCATCATGTCAATAATCACATTAAATACAAATGGTCTACAAACCACAATTAAAAGGCAGAGATTATGATATCTGATTAGAAAAACAAAACCCAACTACATACTGCCTATAAGGAACTCATTTCAAATACAAAGACACAAATACAGTAAAGGGATGCCATGCTAACACTATTCGAAACAAAGCTGGAGTGGTTACACTAATATTGGCCAAAGTACATTTCAGAGCAAATACTATTACGAGGGACAAAGTGGGTTAACTTCAGAATGGAAAAGGGGTCAATTCATCAAGACATAATTGTAAATGTTTATGCACCAAAGTAACAAAGCTGAACATCACTTAATTAGAAAGCAAAAACGGAAGGGTATCTGGAAAATCCTCACGTATCTAGTAACTAAATGACAGTTCTAAATAACCCATAAGATAAAAAAAAAAAAGAAAAATTAGAAAGCATCTGAAACTGAATGAAAATGAAAACACAAAAATATCAAAATTTGTGGGTTACAACTAAAGCAGAACTTGAGGGAAAAAACTTCAGCGCCAAACACCCATATTGAAAAAAAAGAAAAGTTTCAAACCAAGGAGCAAAGTATACACCTTAAGAAACTAAAAACAGAAGAGCAAATGAAACTCAACATAAACAAAAGAAAGAAAATAATAAAGATCACATGAGAAATCAATGAAATACAAAACAAAAACAAAAAGTGAAATCATAAGCTTGTTGAGATCAATAAAATCTTGATAATCCAGACTCATCGAAAGACAAAGACACAAATTACCAATGAAAACAAGAAGTGACATCTCTACAGATTCTACAGGTATAGATAAGGAAATCTCATGAACACTATTTCAATAAAACAAACAAATTCCTAAGTTCCTTGGAAGGTACAAACTGCCAAAGCTCACTCAAGAATAAATCAATAATCTGAATACCCTTATGTATTTTAAATAAATTGAATCTGTAGTAAAACCTCCCCAGAAAGAAAATCCTAGACCAGATGGTTTCACTAGTAAATTCTACCAAGCATTTAAGAAAATAATAATTTCAGGCCGGGCGCGGTGGCTCACGCCTGTAATCCGAGTACTTTGGGAGGCTGAGGCGGGTGGATTATGAGGTCAAGAGATCAAGACCATCCTGGCTAACATGGTAAAACCCCGTCTCTACTAAAAATACAAAAAATTAGCCAGGCGTGGTGGCGGGTGCCTGTAGCTCCAGCTACTTGGGAGGCTGAGGCAGGAGAATCACTTGAACCTAGGAGGCGGAGGTTGCAGGGAGCCGAGATTGCACCACTGCACTCCAGCCTGGAGATGGAGTGAGACTCCGTCTCAAAAAAAAAAAAAAGGAAAAAAAAAATTTCAATTCTTCACACACTCTTCCAGAAAAGTGAAGAGGGCAGTACATTTTCCAACTCATTCTATGAGACCCACATTACCGTGAATCCAAAACCAGACAAATAGCCTAGAAGGTAAAAAATAAGTACAGACCAATGTCATTCATGACGACAGATGCAAATTTTCTTAACAAAATAATCCAACATGGATTATTCATCATGAAAATACATCATGACAAAGTAAGATTTAATCTGGGAATGCCAAGTTGGTCTAGGATTCCTACAATCAAAAATCAACCAATGTAATCCAGCATTATATGGAAAACTGTATGACTGTCTTACTAAATGCAGGAGAAAAAGATATTTGACAAAATCCAACTTCTGTTCCTTAATAAATACGCTCAGTGGGCTGGGCACGATGGCTCCCACCTGTAATGCCAGCACGTTGAGAGGCCGAAGCCAGATGGCATGATGGCTTGAGGCCAGTTCCAGACCAGTGTAGTCAATACAGTGAGATCCCATCTCCACCCCCCTGGCCCCCCAAACAATTAGCCAGGCATAGTGGTGCATTAGTCCCAGCCACTCAAGAGGCTGAGGCAGGAGGACAGGTTGAGCCCAGGAGTTTGAGGCCACAGTGACCTGTGACTGCACCACTGCACACCAGCCTGGGCCACAGAGCAAGACCCAGACTAAGGAAAAAAAACCCTCAGCAAATTAATACAGAAAGGAATTCCCTAAACCTATTTAAATGTTTACTACAGCTAACATTACACTTACTAATACAAGAACGTCCACTCTCAAAACTTCCATTCAACACTGTATTGGAAGTTTTAGCTAGCACAACAGGCAAGCGAAAGAAATAAAAGGTGTCCACATTGGAAGGAAAGTAAAAATTGTCTCAATTCAAAGACAAAATTGTCTATGGAGAAAATTCTACAGAATCTACAAAAAAAAGTTCCTAGAACCTATTAAGTTTAGCCAAGTTACAGGAAACAAGATATACAAAAATAATCTGTATATAAACTACCTGGAAACAACCAGAAATTGGCATTTTAATAGTAACATTTACACAGTATCGAAAATATGAAATAGTGATAAATCTAACAAATGAGACTGAAAACTACAAAACACTGCTGAAGGAAAACCTAAATAAATGCAGAGATACCTATGTTCACGGATTGGAATACTGAGTCCAATGTTTTGGATTTTCAGTTTTTCCCAAATGTATCTATATCTGCAATGCATCCTAATAGAAATGCCAGCAGCATCCCTTTTATGTCGAAATTGACAAGCTAATTATAACATTTTAAAGGAGATGCAAAGGATGTAGAATATCCAAAATAACTCTAAAAAGAATTGAAGGTCTTACACTTCTCCTAATTTTCAAGACTTATAAAGCTACATTATTTAAGTAATAGTACTGGTGTAAAGAAAGATCAATGAAACAAAATGAAGAGACTCACACATATACAGCCCATTGATTTTCAAAGATACAAAGGCACTTCAATAAGGGTAATTTTTTTCAATAAATGGTGCCAGGACAATTAGATAGCAGTACGTTTAAAAAAAAAAATGAACTTACCTCACCCTTAGAAATATGTATTCAAATATTACCTCGAAATGGATCCAAGTACTTAATATAAGAGCTAAAATTATAAACCTTCTAAAGGTAAAGCTATGAGAAAATCTTAGTGTTCTTGGGTTTGGTAATGATTTTTTTAACTATCACACAAAAAGCAAAAGTTAAGTGTGCTCTTCAAAAGACACTCTCAAAATATATACATGAATCTAGGATAAAGGACAATTCAGTAATGCCAAACAACCAAATTGAAAAATGAGTAAACAATATGAAGACATTTAAAAAATATACAGGGGGCCACCAGGCCCAGTGGCTCATATCTGCAGTCCCAGCACTTTGGGAGACCAAGGCAGACGAATCCCTTGAGGCCAGGAGTTTGAGACCAGCCTGGCCAACATGGCGAAACCCCATCTCTACTAAAAATACAAAAATTAGCCAGACATGGTCACGCATGCCTGTAGACACAGCTACTCGGGAGGCTGAGGTGGGAGAATCGCTTGAACCCAGAAGGCAGGGGTTGCAGTAAGCCAAGATTGCGCCACGGCACTCCAGCCTGGGCGACAGAGTGAGACTCCGTCTCAAAATAAGCAAATAAATAAATAAAAATACAGGTGGCAAATAAGCACGTGAGAACAGGCTCAACATCACTAGTTATTAGGGAAACAGAAGATAAAACCACAATGAGCTACTTTACCACTAGACACCTGCCACCAGCCTAAAATTAAACAGACTGACCATATCAAGGCTGGCAAGGATATGAAGAAACTGGAGTTCATACAGTGCTGGTAGGATTTCAAGTGATACAACCACTTTGAGAAACAGCTTGTTTCTTAAAAAGTTAAAAATACCCAGCAATTCCACTCCTAGGTATTTACTCAAGAGAAGTAAAAGCATATGTCCACACAAAGACTTGTTTAGGGATGCATACAACAGCTCTATCTGTAAGAGCTAGAAACTGCAAAAAACTCAAATGTCCCTCAACAGGTGAACGGACAGTTAAATTGCAGATTGTTCACCCAATGGAATATTATTCAGCAATAACAAAATAAACACTGATTAATCTCAAATAACCATGATAACTGAAAGAAGGCAAACCAAAAAAAAAAAAAAAAACGCATACACTATTATCTTTATATAAAATTCAAGAAAATGCAAACTAATCTATAGTGACAGAAAGCAGATTAGTGGCTGCCTGTGACAAAGGAACAGGAAGGAGGAATTACCAAAAGGCAGGAGAAATCTTTTAGGGGTGACAGATGTGATCATTATCTTCACAGTGGTAGTTTCCCAGGTAATATTTTAAAAGTAAAGTTACTTACATGCCAATTACACTTTAATAAAGCTGAAAAATTTTAAATAAGGATGGCAAATGCTGTGTTTTTATGCTGGCTGCAGTATAATACTTGTTGGATTTTCTTAAATACAGAGACTAAATAATTCAAAATTACACATTAGTCTACAGCATTTACTTTAGACAAGTTTTACCAGGAGATAAAATCCAACTGTTTAATATTATTTGATGATGTAGTATAGAAATGCAACAAATAAATTCTATTTTTGTACAACAAAGTATTTTACCACTAACTTGTATTTTCAAAATGCTCTATCTTCATTCCTGGGTAATTTTAACTGGCAACAGATTGTAACATTGTAGCAGTAAATTCAGTATGAATATCATCATTACCATTACACACACAAACACAAAAAATACACCTCATAAATTAAAACATGTATCTCTTCAGAAACAACCCATGTTGCCAGTTTCACCAAGGCATGAAGTAGTTTTCGTGATGACTGGAAGAGATAATCAACCTAGCATATTTACACTGGAACACAGCTTCATATATTTTGAATATATTTCCCATATTCCCAACAATAAAGTAATCCTACTCTTCCTATCTTCACACCAGTATCTGGTCCAAAGTCTTTCTTATCTACCACAAGATAGAGAAGAAACAAAGCCTGAGTTTACTCAAAAGTCAACTATCTAGTTAGTTCTTTCTTCCTTCATGTCATCTGAAAGTTTCTGTGGGCAGGATATAGGGAGAAGTATGACTTGTTTCACTACTTTTGAGTCTCTGAATCTTCAAAGGCCAGAGGTAAGGAAAGAAAAGCAAATCAACTTTATTTGCCAGAAGTCTTTTTTTGGTTTAATTTTAGGGCTTGGGTGGGTTTTTGTTTTTGATTGAGGGGGGGCGCATCTTTGAGGGAGAAAATAATGAAAAGTTTAATGATTAAAATAAATTAGTGTTTAGATGAGGAACTTTCCAATCATATAAGACAACTGAAAACTGGCAGCTACACTAATTGTTCTGCATTCATCACTCTCACATTGCTTTTGCAGTAAAGCAGCAGAGACCAACAAGCCTTGTTTCCTCTGATTCTAAACAGCCTGTGACAAGAATCAGATATGTGTTCATTCATATACGTAGAAGAAATATTGCACAACTCAATGCAAATATTCACTAACCTGAAGGTCAAATTATGTCCTCCATCACAGAAATATAGAAGAATTTTGGTTTATCTATACACTAAAGATATTATGACTCTAAAGAACAAGCCATCAGTCAAAAAGCCCACTTTCTTAGAGGAAAAAATATATAAACACAAGAACACCACAAGTATCACTCTCTTATAGATGAAATTTACAGCCAGGCGTGGTAGCTCATGCCTGCAATCCCAGCTCTTTGGGAGACTGAGGCAGGTGGATCACCTGAGGTCGGGAGTTTGAGATCGGCCTGACCAAAATGCAGAAACCCCATCTCTACTAAAAATACAAAATTAGCCAGGCATGGTGGCGCGTGTTTGTAATCCCAGCTACCTGGGAGGCTGAGGCAGAAGAATCGCTTGAACCAGGAGGCGGAGGTTGCGGTGAGCTGAGATCCTGCCATTGCCCTCCAGCCTGGGCAACAAAAGTGAAACTTCGTCTCAAAAAAAAAAGAAATGAAATGAAATCTACAATCCCGATAGGTTTACTCAGTTATATGGAGGAAGTCAGAAGGTCAGCTCTTATCTCTTTCCTCTAAAGTCTGATTCATTAGCAGATTAGAAAAAGTTAAAATGACAAGGGAACTACACAAAAATATCCAAGATGTATTTGTCATTGTGTTAGTTTGTAGGGTTTTTCCACTTCACCACACTGCCTATTAACCGAGAAGTTAAGAGAATACAAACTACTGTAAGTATGAATTTTGCTTTATAGACAAGATAGCTGAATAGGAATTACAAATAAATCTCTCATTCCTAAAGCATTATTTAATATAAAACTCTATTGCCTGGATAAATGATAGCGGAATAGGAATAGATAATTAGGTGGTATTTACTTGACAAGATCATTAAACTGAGAACAAAAACTTCCAGGGATACCTAAGCTAAAAAGTACACTTTAAAAGATTGTATTGGCCACCAAGAAAAACAACGCATTATCTTTACACCAAAGTTCTCTGAGCATGTTATGAGGGTAATAAAATTAATTCTGAAAATACATCTTTCAAAACCACAAAAGGATCAAAATTATTCATGGCATTACCAGTTGATTTAACTATTAGGATTAAATCTAATATTAAATTAGCAAAAATCCCCCAATCTAGGGATCAATCTAGTCACTGTGTACTAAATTTATTCACTTCTATATAGATCATTTCCTAATTCTAATTTTTTTTAAACTAGGTACTGAAGATTACAGAAGTTTCTACATAACATCTATGGAGAAACTAACTTTGTAGTTGAGCATTAGTCTCCACACATACTGTGCCCCAAAAATTAAGTGCTTACTAATGTCTAATAAATTAACTTAAAACATAAAAAAAAAATTTTAATCAAAACATTCCAATTCATCAGGAAAAATGTCTTCTCTCATAAAACTTACTAGATAAAAGAGGTCTGAAAATACTAATGAACAATTCAGAGGCTTCATTTATAAAACAGTACCAGCTGAAGAGGAAGATTATCTAGGAGGTGGCTCCTGAAAAAGGAGAGAGAAAATTCCGGTATCTAAATTATTTATCAGTTCAAACAATTATCTAGCCCAAGAGAACTACAACTATTCTGAGTCCTATTCAGCTGCAAAATCTCATGAAGAATACAGACTTCACGATTTTCTCAATTTTCATCCCCTTTGCTTCCTTACACTGTATTCTGACTCTAGACCACTCTAGTCGCTCTGTTTCTGAAACTTTCAGCCAGAGAGTACAGAGCAGAAGAGAACTTCGGAAGGCATTCTATGGGAGCTCTACTAAGAGGGATCACCGTTTTAAAACAGACAGTGCTTCAGAAGAATCCTATTTAGCAATCAACTGTTGTACCTGTTATGAACAGAAAAGCAGGCATGAACTTCAAAGAGAGACAGACAATCAAGGGAATCATCTTAAGAGTAACAAAAGAGATGATGCACAGAGTAAAACTAGAAACTGAAGTGAAAAAGGAAAGTAGTGTAGCAGTATTTCCAAGGCATTTCCCAAAGGTTTTAAATGAATAAACCTATTTGCAGAGGGGGTTAGCCAATATATCACACAATTATTTTAAAAAGTAAACATTTTAAATAAGAAATCAGAAGAACAGACTGCCCTCTAAATACATTTGAAGAACACAAAAGCAGCATAGTAAGACCTTGCCTCTAAAGATTCAACAGGTTACAGTCTCTATCCCTGAGAGCCTCATACGGGGCGGATATGGAGCAGCAAATGTGAACACGAAATTCCAGTACAACATGATTGTGTGGTACGGTAAGTATATCACAAAGTGCTTCAATGATCACAAAAGACAAAAATCAAGGCCCAGCAATGGCTCATGCCTGTAATCCCAGCACTCTGGAAGGCCAAAGTGGGAGGATCATTTGAGGCCAGGAGTTCAAGACCAGCCTGGACAAAATGGGGGAGACCCCCATCTCTCAAAAAAAGAGAAAAAAATTAGCTGGGTATGGTGGCACATGCTTGTAGAGTCCCAACTACTTGGGAGGCTGAGGTGGGAGGATTGCGTAAGCCCAGGAGTTCTGAGGCTACAGTGGGCTTTGATCACACCACTGCACTCCAGCCTGGGCAAAGAAGCAAGATCCTGTCACAGAAAAAAAAAAGAATCAAGGAAGGTTTCCCCAAAGAGTTACCACGAGCTGGGTCTTGAAGCAGAAGCTAGCATTTACCACGGTAGCAAAGAGGTAAGTCTTCAAGCAGTTCTAGAAGTACATGTGGCAGGCAGCACAGTGGCATAAAAGAACATGTTCAGACACTGAACAGTTTGACCAGAAAGTGCATGCTAAGAAGGGCAAGACCTCTTTGGGCAATGAGGCAGTATATCCAGGGTTTTTTAAGCACACTACATGATCTATGTGCTTTCTAGAGATATCTCTAGGCAGCACAACAGACTAGACTTGGCAGAACAGTTTCAAGGCTACTGCAATGGTACAGGTCTGGGCAATACAGGCTTGTAATTAAGAATTGAAATAAAAAATGAAATATAATGAGAACCTAAATTAAGGTAGTCGCAGCAGGGATACTGGACAAATAAAGTCAGCAGAATTTGGTGTCAGACTGAATGCTAGGGATGGGTATCAAAAAATGTTAAGCAGGAAAAACACCCAATGTACACCTGTTCTATTAGAACCAAGCTTTGCTATGGAGCATGATTCAGTATTAACCATTTCAGTAATAAAAACACTTTTCAAAAAAAAAGATGTATCAGTGTCATTCTTTTAATTAATATAACCAAGGTCTAAGTAAGAACAGCCTTAGGGCTGCAGTACACCTGTTTATACTTGAAAACACTAGCCTTCCATACCAGGTGTTCTGTCCTGAAGCCCTCATCTCAGAGATCCTGAAAAGGAGACTGACTGAATCTTGTCTTTGGTCAGTCTGCATTGAGTTTAATTTCTTAGAATGGGGCAAAGATTTGTTAACCCCTGAATGAAGATTTCCAAATTAAAACCTTAATTATAACTTAAATAAGAAAACCGTTCAGCTACACATAAATAACACTACCAAAAATTTTTAAGATAAAGCTTTCCTCTTTAGAAGTCACAAAATGCGGCCAGGCACGGTGGCTCATGCCTGTAATCCCAGCACTTTGGGAGGCCGAGGTAGGTGGATCACCTGAGGTCAGGAGTTTGAGACCAGCCTGGCCAACATGGCAAAACCCCGTCTCTATTAAAAATACAAAATCAGCTGGGCATGGCGGCAGGCGCCTGTAGTCCCAGCTACTCAGGAGGCTGAAGGAGGAGAATCACTTAAACCCGGGAGGTGGAGGTTGCAGTGAGCCGAGATCGCACCACTGCACTCCAGCTTGGGCAACAGAGCGAGACTCCATCAAAAACAAGGAAAGAAAGAAAGAAAGAAAGAAAGAAAGAAAGAAAGAAAGAAAGAAAGAAAGAAAGAAAGAAAGAAAGAAAGAAAGAAAGAGAAAGAAAGAAAGAAAGAAAGAAAGAAAGAAAGAAAGAAAGAAAGAAAGAGAGAAAGAGAGAAAGAGAGAAAGAGAGAAAGAGAGAAAGAGAGAAAGAAAGAAAGGAAAGAAAGGAAAGAAAGAAAGAAAGAAAGAAAGAAAGAAAGAAAGAAAGAAAGAAAGAAAGAAAGAAAGAAAGAAAGAAAAGTCGTCACAAAACGCATGAATATCTATACAACACATTGGGGGAGAATAAATGACAAATTATCTTCTCTATATATTTGTAGACAAGTAACTTGGCACTGTAAAATTTTAAGAGTCATCTTACTGTATGACAAATTGCCCAAACTGACATAACACAGTATTTTAGAACTGGAAAAGACATAGACATCATCTAGTTCTGGCCAGGCTCAGTGGTTCATGCCTGTAATCCCAACACTTTGGGAGGTCAAGACAGAAGGATCACTTGAGGCCAGGAGTTCAAGACCAGCCTGTGCAACATATCAAGACTTCATCTTTACAAAAAAAAAAAAAAATTTAACCAAATTAAATT
The DNA here is from genome assembly GCF_000001405.40 of Homo sapiens. Classification (NCBI taxonomy): domain Eukaryota; kingdom Metazoa; phylum Chordata; class Mammalia; order Primates; family Hominidae; genus Homo; species Homo sapiens. Next base: position 72,431,724 of record NC_000003.12, read on the forward strand.
GTGCCTGGTGGCACAAGCCTGTAGTCCTAGCTACTTGAGACGCTGAAATGGGAAGATTGTTTAAGCCCAGAAGTTCAAGGCTGCAGTGGCCTATGAGCATGCTCCTGCCCTCTAGCCTGGGCAACAGAGCGAGACCCTGTCTTTAAAAAAACATAAAGAAGGAAAGGAAAGACATCGTCCAGTTCCATGAATTTCAGGGAATCTTTTATTTTAATTGCAACCCACGGTTTTAAATCTTAACCTAGTATACACATCTTTACACATATAAAGTTGTATCTTATAATTAAAGCATTTATTTATAACGTAATTGCAGTAGCAGAAACTGTATACAGTGAAATTTTTCAGAAACCCTAGGCATTTGAGATCCCTCTTCCAAAATAGAAATCTTTGAAACTATCATCACTCCCATCCTGAGCACCAAAATGTAACTCCCTTCCTACAAATATGCTTCAGTGGTCCACACCAAAAGTACTTGCCAAGATGAGCTGATAGTTTACTGTCATATATTTTGTCCCATAGTACCCAAGAACAAACTGGATGTCCTGTGACTTCCTCCATATTTTAACTAGAGAAGAAACTGGAAATAAAGCCAGCAACGCATACAGTGAAAACAAAATCTACACATTAGAACACAGAGCCTGAACGACTAATGAAATATGCTCCATCTAACTCTGCCCAGGTAACGAGTGCCTTCCACTGCACCACTGCCCTGGGAAAGTCAATCATTCACAAACTCACTGCCTTTCACTAGTGATTTTAATGGTGGCACGCAGTTCCTTAAAAGAATTGTGTAATTTTCTGAATAAGTGAAGCGACAAACTACACTTCAAAGAATCCGATTTTAAGGCAGTCAGCACAGAATGCATATTCTTGGCCCGTTTTTATAGGTATATGTATCCAAAAGACAGGATGAAGAATACTCAACTTTATAAAGAGAAACACTGCAACAAGCAAAATAAATCATCTAATCTATACAGGCTTATGTTAACTTTTTACATTATAGCTTATCTGAATAGGCTAATAACCTCAGGATAATTCGGAGCAAGGTAACTCCTCAAGTGACATCTTATTGTCCTCCTCTAATTTAAATGGTCCTGGAAAAGATGGCAAAGTTGGAAGGGAAATAATCAAAGGAGTGTAGCTGAAACACTTTAAACATCACATTAAATTTGTCCATTTAATTAAATCACCTGTCTTCTATTCTATTAACTGGGTATGACACCAAGTAAGTTACTTTTCTGAAACTCAGCGTCTTCAATTGTGAAAGTTAGAGTAACAACTATCTCTCAGGATTGCTTTGAGTATTAATTGAAAAAAAAAAAGACACAAAAGTGGCATGCAAAATGTCAAGTACTTATGTAAATATACAGTATCTGAGAATATCATCTTAAGATCTACCTTCTAAATGTTCAAGTGGCTGGTACAATATTTTGCACATGAGTACTCAAATATTTGTGTATTCAATCAGTCATAATTTAAAAGGATCCAAAACTTTAATTGTAAAAAGTAAGGATTATTTCATGTACTGCTTATATATTTACTCACTACTACTACTACTAAGAAATCAGTCACACTTTTAGAATGGTTACTCATTCAATTCAGTACACAATATATGGGAATTTAAAAAATTATCACTGTGTAACATATACTATTTACAGTACATATTTTGTGCCCAGTCCTGTGCCAAGCATGCTACCTACATTGACTCATTTAATCCTTCTAATACCACTATGGAGAAGTTATTATCCCTACCTTATAAATGAAAAACAAAAGCACAAGTTCATGTAACATACCCAAGGTCACAAGGTGAGCAAATGGCAGAGCTGCTGTTACTCAAACTTGGGTCTGACATCAAAGCCCTCACTCCCAACTACTCATCCTCTTCTTCAATATGGTACCCACTAGCCAAAGGTGGCTACTGAGCACTTGAAATGTGGTTAGTCTGAACTAAACTTTGCTGTAACCCTAAAATGTACACTAGATTTTGAAGACTGTCTTTGAAAAAAAGAATGTAAACTATCTCACTGTAATACTGGTTACATGTTAAAAAAAACATTCTGGATATAATTGGTTCGATAAAACATATTCTTAAAATTAATTTCACCTGCTTAATTTACTTTCTTCCTGTGACTACTAGAAAGTTAAAATTACATGTGGCTTACAATATATTTCTTTTGGATAGCACTGATTTAGAACATCACACAAAATGTCTTATATATGAAGAGTACGAAACAATTTTAAATTTACAAATACAATATATTTTAAAGAATACATTCAGATACTTTCCAATCTTAACAGCTGTTTTAATACTAAGTTAGTAGTGTGCCTGATAAAAATTTTAATCCCTTAATGTAAAAACACATTGTCACTTAAATATTCCAAACCAGATTAATTCTAAAAATTTCCTATTAGGAAAACTGCTTTCTTCCAACTATAAAAGTGATACTGACTCATCCACACATACACTACAGAAATGCAAAAAAGAATCCATCATCTCAGAGTTAAGGTTTTTATCAGTCATTCCTTCCAGGTATATGTATTAGTATGAATGGTATGAAATATTAGTTTCATGTAATTTTATCATTTTGTAACTTGTTTTTCTGATTATGAACCTTTTCCTTTATCATCACATATTCTCAACATTTTTAACTATTTTGAAAATAATTATAAATTCACAGGAAGTTGCAAAAATGGTACACAGAGGTCCCATGTAATCTCCACCCAGTTTCCCAACATGTGCACCTTCTTGATAACACAATGACACTGGTAGGTATGCATATAGTTCTATGCCACTTTATCACGTTTAGATTCATGTAATTACCACTACAATCAAGATGCAAACCTACTTCATCACCACAAAGATCTTCCTCTTGCTACCCTTTTACAGTTACATCCATCTCCCTCCCTCCTGCCACTAGTCCTAACTCCTGGCAACCACTAATGTGTTCTCTTATCTCTGTAATTTTGTCATTTCAAGAATGTTAATTCTTGAAATTATCCTATAGTACGAGACCTTTTAAGATTGGCTTTTTTCACTCAGCATAAAGCCCCAGGAGTCCACCCAAGTTATTCTATGTATCCATAGTTTGTTCCTTTTTGTTGCTGAATAGTATTCCATAGTATGAATGTACCATTCACCTACTGAAGAACGTGTGAGTTTTTTCTAGTTTTGGGCTATTACATATAAAGCTGTGGACAGGTTTTTTTTGTGAACATTAGCTTTCATTTCTCTGGCATAAATGCTCAGGAGGCAACTGCTAGGTCATATGGTAAGTATATGTTTCATTTTGTAAGAAACTGCCAAACTATTTTCCAAAGTGGAATGTACGATTTTATATTCTCACCAGCAATGTGTGGCAGATCTGAAAACTTAAAAAAAAAAAAGACAGGTATGGGCTGCGTACGGTGGCTCATGCCTGTACTCCCAACACTTCGGGAGGCCAAGGCAGGCGGATCACGAGGTCAGGAGATGGAGACCATCCTGGCTAACACGGTGAAACCCTGTCTCTACTAAAAATACAAAAAAAGTAGCCGGGTGTGGTGGCGGGCACCTGTAGTCCCAGCTACTTGGGAGGCTGAGGCAGGAGAATGGCGTGAACCCGGGAGGTGGAGCTTGCCGTGAGCCAAGATCGCACCACGGCACTCCAGCCTAGGCAACAGAGAGAGACTCCCTCTCAAAAAAAAAAAAAAACAAATGACAGGTATGAAAACCTACCAAACATTTTTAACAGCTGCAAAATATTCCATCATGGTGGTTCCATAATTTTGGCAATTCCCTAAGGATCCCTATTTAAGTCATTTTCAATTTTTTGTTGTAATAATGACGTAATTCGTAACAGAAATTTTTATAAGCAGGTCAAGCAAATTCCTAGAAGTTATGTTGCTGGATCACAGGGTACAAATATTTCAAAGGCATTTGATACTAACTGCCGTACTGGCAGTCAGAAAATGTAAATCAACTCCCATACTCGCAAAGAGTCTATTAGAATGCCTATCTCTCAGTCTCACTGAAGTTATTTTTTTAATCTTTAAAACTTGATTTGCCAAAAAAAAAAAAGTTATCTTACTTTGTATTCCTTTGAGTAATGGGTAGGCTATACATTTCTCATATTTACTGACTTAATTTGTAGTTATTTTATTACTTATTTGCATTCTTTGCAGGCTTTTTACTGGAATATTGGTTTACTGATTATAAGACCTGGTTCCATCTCTCCGCTGTGCAATGCAAAAAAAAAATAGGATTTTTTTTTTTCTTGAGACCAGGTCTTGCTCTGTCATCCAGGCTGGAGTATAGGAGCGCAGTCATAGATGACTGTAGCCTCGAACTCCTGAGATCAAGGGATCCTCCTGACTCAGCCTCCCAAGTAGCTGGGATTACAGGTATGCACCACCATGCCCAACTAATTTTATTTTTGTAAAGACGGGTTCTCACTTTGTTGCCCAGGCCGGTCTCAAACTCCTAACTGTGAGCAAGCAAGCCTTCTGCTTCAGGTTCCCAAAGTGCTGGAATAACAGGCATGAGCCACCACATCACAGCCAGAAATGAGATTTTTTTTTTTTTTAAACATATCTGAAATCCAATCCTAAGTGCTAATAATGCAAGATAGATGATTTTAGAATGCAAAAAGATAAGAGTTTAATTGATATGGTTCCCTAATTTATAAACACTCCTATACTTTGCACAATGTTTTCATCAATTAAGGCATCACCTCAAATGCCAAAAACATGGTTCCTATAAATGCAGACCACTTACTTCTCTTAAGTTCACTTTGAAAATGTCAACATCTAATTTTCTGAACCTCTGGGAATGGGACTCAGCAATGTGTTGAAGAAGTCTTCTTCCAAGTGATTCTGATAACATGCTAAAGTTTGAGAACCAGCACTCTAAACAAATTTAGAACAAAAATATTACATGTGGGTTCTCTTGTATACATAATTATTCTTTAATGGAAGATTTGGGCAAAGTTAATTATGCTATAGATATTAAGAATCCAATGTTTTGGTTCTTCCCAAAATGAAAATAATCCTGAAATAAATCTGGATTTTATCTTTATTTTCTACAAATAGAACTCTAAAACCATTAAGTGTTCATAAAACTTCTCCCCTAGAAGAAGAAATCAAAATGAACTCTATCAACCAACAGGCCAGAATACACGCCTTTAAAAATCAAACTTACTTTGTTTCATATAACACATAGCATAATTCCCACTACCACAGGGAACCATCGTTTTGAAAATTCAGTGAAATATCATTATTAAAGCAAAGCACCTGGAAAACCGTAGTTACTCAAATACGTGAAGTCCAATGAACAAACTGCTCAATAAATAATTCTGAATGGCAGGATGATGGGTGACATTTGTTTATTTGTTTTTCTGTTTTAATCTAGGGACTAGTCAAGTGACAGGAGTTCTGATTCCTGCAGTTCTTCCCGTTTCCCTGAGTTTAAACATCAACTTTCTCTCATTGGCTACGTGGGCCAATAAATTTTTGGCTTTTTTGACTTAAGGTAGTTTGAGCTAGATTCCTAATTATTGCAATCTTGACTATTTCTGTAGCACTTATGATACTAAACCTGTTTAGTTTTGTAAAAGAAGGGCAAGAACAGTTAAACCACATAGCTACACAAGAAATCTGATTTGTTCTTAGAAAGCAGCCACCAGGTTTGTTTTCTCCCTATGACTAACTACCATGTATTGTATGTATTATGAGACCCAATACACCGATGATACTGGCATCATATATCACCCTTAATTTCATTTCTTGTCCCTCTCAAAGGCTGTTAAAGTTTCATCCTAGGTTGTATTTGCTAATGCTCTTAAATTGTAGAGAAAAATATTTTGAATACATTTTAAGAAAGATGCTTTTTTAACATATTCCTTCCACTAGTTTCTTTTCCCAACCACAGGACAATTTAAGTAGATTTCCTAAATTGACAGAGGGAGAAAGGAGGAGAGAAAGTCATATTTAATCCTATTTAAAAACAAAATTTTTACCATTTACCTTGTGATCTCAACTATTCATGATTTCTGAGTAACACAGTAATTTATGTGCATTGCCCTTACTGAGAATTCCTTTTTGGCAGCACAGTCTGTGTCACTCATTGCATGGAACTGAAAATACAGCTAAATAAATGAGTGAAGTGAATGAGTCAAGACTTCAATCTCCAAAGTAATTAATCCAAATTACTCAACAGAAGAGTGGCATACACAATGTACAAAGTATGACTATCAAGGGTACAAGATGCAACTACCAACTTATAGGTATATTAACACGGCAGAACAGATAACATTTCCAACAATACTCAAAATGGTTTTGCCACCATTTTTAAACCGCCATAGATGCCAGTTTACAAACAGGAATGTCGTTGCTAATCACATCTTAACACATCTAACATTCCCCACAACTGGTTTGGTACCACATGACTGATCCCCTGCTTTATTATCAGACTTTCCAGTATGACTACTGGCCACTGAAATCACCGATGGGCAACAGCAAATAGAAAGAATTGTCACAGTTATTTAGGGAAGTGTGTCAATGCTCTGAAGCTCAAAACCACTCCAGAAGTACTTTAAATGCACTGCCTACAGCCTCCAAGGCTACAGTTCTGTGTGTAACTTCTAGTACTTTTTTTTTAGAGGGGGTGTGGGGCGGGGAGTAGGGAACTATAACAGAAAAACAGGAATACTAGTTTAAAGGGCCCACTTCATAAAGACAACTTTCCCCTAATCCAGTAACATTCAACACACAAGATGAAAGCCCCAAGATTTTGAAAAAACAGTTATTTATTAGAACTCTTAACTGGAACTCCTTCTCCCAGGCTTCATTTATTCTGTATACATTTACTCAACCCCTACCAAATGCCAGGCACTGTAACAAACACAGCAAACTAAAGCCATGAAACAAAAAGGTCTTGCCCTCAAAAAAGGTGACAACCTAAAAGAGACAGATTGGAAATCAAATTAAAAATACAGTCTATGTGTTATGACAGAGGTATGAATGACTGGAGGGGAACGGAAAGGCTTCCTGAGACACAAGTCTCAGACAAACAGGAGTCAGCCTGGACAAAAGGAAGAAGCATTTCAGAAGAAGACACAAAGGAAAAGCATATGAAGGTAAGGTTAAGGAAGTGAGATATCATGGTCCACGGTTGGAAAACACCAAGCAGTTTGGCATAACACACACAAACGCTGTGTATGGAGGGCAGACGGAGCGATGATAGGCTGCTTCCAGAAATTCTAAAGAATGACACAGAAAAGGACCAAATCACAAGCCCCTTGTTGATACTCAGGATTGGATTTTATCCAAAAGGCAATGAGAATCAGGAGATCATTTTAAGCAGGAATGGGACATAATCTACTTGGGATTTTAGAAAACACTCTGATAGATGAATTCAGCTTTTCACCCTGTGGGATCTGAATTGCCTTTAAGTTGTTCAAGTAGAGATGCCAGGAAGCAGCTGGATTTGTTTGTCCTGTGTTCGTGTGCATGGGAGTGGTGATGCAGGTTAACAAATAGTATCTGGGAATCACCAGCTCCTGAGGAGATGTGGAAAGGTGTGGACATCATCACCTAAAGATAGTGAAAGGGAGGGGGGCAAACAACTATTAATAAGTAACTTGTATCAACCTATACAACAAACCTTATATCCAAGAATCATAAGGCCCAGTTTAGATCCCAGATTCAGCGAGGATTTTCCTGAGGAAGCCCCAGAGAATGACTATCTCTAACTTCTAAAAAGCACTTGTGGTCTCTATTATGTACTTGCTCATACCATGGCGTTCACATCACTGGGTACTTCACTGGCTTTCTTCTTATGGTCTTATCTGTCAACAAGTCTGCTAAGTTCCTTGAAAGCAGGAATTTTCCCATTTATTCAACCAATGCCTCAAAAGAGAAATGACTGATAAACAATACTATTGATGAGAGGCAAGAGCTGACTCCTTTTACGTCCTCTAAAAAAGCTGCACACACCGGGTTTCATTCCTTTTGCATAATGATGCCTGGAGGAAACAGCTGTTCAAGTATGTGGGTAATAAACACAGGGTGAAGACAGGTCCTCTCTCTAGAACGTGTAAGGAAGGGTCTGCATGCAGAGTTGAATGTCAAAGATATTCTCAGGATAAGACAGACTGGTAAAATAAGCAAGAACTGCACACAACAACATGGATGAATCCTGCACACCTAACCATGAGTGAAACAAGCCAGATTCAGAAGTATATGCATGTACCATGGTGCATACACTGTGGCTACTAAGCAAAGTGGTACATACAGTATGTATGCTTCTGAGTCTGGCTTGTTTCACTCACTGTGGAGTATACTGTATATAGGCAGTGGTACATACAGTATTTACTGTGTACTGTATACATAGTATACTCCACTCACATAAATTTCAAAAACAAGCACAACTGATCTCTAGTATTAAAAGACAGGAATGGGGTGGGAGAAGTGGCCCACAGGGGACAGTGCACAAGGGGCTTCCGGTAATGTTCTAGTAATGTTCTCTTTAAGAATCTAGGTGCAAGCCAGCACAGTGGCTCATGCCTATAATACCAACTCTCTGGGAGGCTGAGGCGGGAGGATCGCTTGAGCCCAGAAATAAGACACTAGCCTAGGCAACATAGGGAGACCGTGTCTCACAAAAAGAAAAAAAAAAAGCCCTTAAAAATGTGCCAGGCATGATGGCACATGTCTATGGTCCCAACTACTCAGGAGGCTGAGGTGAGAGTATCACCTGGGCCTCAAAGTAGGGGCTACAGTGAGCTGTGATTACACCACCACACTCTAGCCTGGGCAACAGAGCCAGATACCTGTCTCAAAAAAAAAAAAAAAATCAATCTGGGTGCTAGTGGCAAAGATATGCTCATTCTGCAAAACTTTATCAAATCCTTATACTTACGATTTGTGCACTTCTATGTATGCGACCGTTGAAAAAGTTTGTATCTATAGGTAAAAAGGGAAGTGGGAGTACTAGTTATGAAAAGTAACACAGAAGATGCCACAAAGAGAAAAAGCATGGGTGATGAGGCAAAAGAGAAAAGAAGTGCCAGAAAGACTGCAGAATGTGTTAGCTCAAGTCATTTAGGACACGAGAGACCTACTATTTACTCAAAGTCCTAATGAACCAAATTAGTTCTGATAACTATTTTGGTAAACTACAGCTACTTGAGAAAGTTTTTCTTAATCCTGGAATTTTCTTCAGCACCTACTGAAATACACAACAAATATATGCCACATGAATAAATAATATGTAAGTGAATCCATTCATAATCTCCCACCCTAATGACTAACAATACTAGTAAATTAGCTGGCCTAGGTTTAGTCTACAACATGGAACTAAGTTTATAAGTTTAGCAGCCTATGCACAAGGGCTCCAAATCTAAAAGCTGTCTGTCCCCCAACCAAATGAGCTAAATGGCACAGGTAAACCTACATAAGAATTATCCCCGGCTCCAAAAGGAAGTAGCATTACTTTTTCCTAAAAAATTAAATGCATTATCTCAACATTGTCTATAAAGCAGTCACTCCACCCAGTTCTCATCACTCTGTAGTTCCTTACCCTTCTCTAAATTCTTCGTAGCACTTGTCGCCAGCTGAAATTGTTATTTTTCTGTTAGTTTATTTTCTCTTCCTTTCCATAGTATTTTAAGCTCCGTAAGAACAGGGACCTGGTCTGTCTTTATACCACTGTACACCAAGAGCGCAAATGGCTGTGTGCTCAATAAAAACTTGTCAAATGACCACAACTACCCAGGTAATTTACTTTAAGGTCACCAAGTACACATAAGATCAAGTCACCACCAATAAATCAGTAAGTCCAATGAAACAGTAAACACAAAATAAATTATTACTCTGTTCCTGGGTAAAATGATCTTAAATTGTACCAGCTTTCAGCTTGGAAGGTTTGATAAAAGTTTGATTTGGAAGACAGGTAATTTTTATATATTTTTATGGAGAATTTTTATGAAAGACAAACACTACAACAAAAACAATGTCATGAAAGGAGCAAAACCACTGCTGTGGATTACCAGGAAACATGAGTAAGAGGCTTGGGCTTTGCCCAGTGTAGGTACCTTATCTTATTTCTGGGAGTTTTTCTACCTAAAAAGCATCACACGATGATGCCTTTTTGAAGCTTCCAGCAAAGATCATAGCTATGTTGTGTTTTTCCATAAAACTTCTACTAAAGTACTTCATGACAATTCAAGAGATTTTTGGTTGTCAGGGTATCTAAATTTAAGGGGGGAATGGATAGTTCAAAGCTACAACTGCAAAAAACTGGTAAATTCTCAAACAAGAGAAACGTATTACACACAAAACAGCTGCTTCTTCAACACTTCCAATTCAATATCCTGAATACCAAATTTTTTCAAAGATAATTATTTCTACACAATTTTATTCTACACCTAAAGTAATTTCCTCACTCATACTTGTGTATAAAAGCTCCAAAAACAGTCAGCTTTTCAGAGGGGCAGTATTCAAATAAACATGGATGAAATAAAACATGATCTCAACACAGCGATACATTTCTGGAGCTGAAGACCAGAAAGTTCTAAACCTATGGTAATTAGCCAAAGTAAAAATTTTCCAATTTTGCAAATGAATGTGATTAAGCAGTAGCTGAAAGTAAAAATGCAGGACTACTATCAAGGGAACACTAATCAACAACTATATTCAGCAATGTCTTGGTAATTTTTATTTTACAATTAAGGTAACATTGAATGCAGAGAAATAACAAGACAAGAAAAGTAAAATTAAATCACCAAGTCTAGGAAGCTACTCTGCCCAATCTTGAGAAATGCAACTTAACAAAACAACAGTTAGGGGCTGGGCAAATCCCAGCACTTTGGGAGGCCAATGGAGGAGGATCCCTTGAGGCCAGGAATTCAAGACCAACCTGAGCAACATAGCAAGACCTTGTCTCTTCATTTAAAAAAAAAAAAAAAAAACCACCACCACAACAAAAAAAACATCAGCTGGAAGTGTAGGAAGGTGGAAAATACAAAGAAAAAAAAAACACACACAGTTGGGTACATTCATGCATTTGTAGTTTTTTTCTTCTACTTTTAAAAGCCGGTATCCTCTTTCTTGAGACTGGCAAAGCAGGATGGGAAATACTACTTTACCACTTAAGAAAGGGATAGTGTTTCTCCCCCAGCCACTTGCCACCTTACACACACATTCTAACATGCACTTTTATTTTCTACCTTGAAAGGCTCAGGGTACATCAGCATGGTAGGGAAGCAACCTGTTGCCCATGACTTCTCCATTCTGTTCTGTTAGACTTACAGAACGGATATAACGAAACCATTTGACATGATGGAAATGTTCTAAAACTGGGTTGCCGTGATGGCTGCACAACTCTTTAAAATGACTAGAAATCACTGATTTGCAGACTTACAATGGGTGTTATAAGTAAATTATCACTCACTCCTGCAAGGCAGAAAGATCACTTGAGGTTAGGAGTTCAAGACCAGCCTGGTCAACAGGGCGAAACCTTGTCTCTACAAAAATTACAAAACTTTGCCGGATGTGATGGTGCACACCCGTAGTCCCAGCTACTCAGGAGGTTCAGGTGGAAGAATCGCTTGAGCCACGGAGGTTGAGGCTGTAGTGAGCCATGAGCATGCCACTGCACTCCAGCCTGGGTGACAGAGAAAGACCCTGTCTCCAAACAAAAGGATATATATATAACCAGAAAAGGCACAAAGAGTGGACAGTCTAGTTAGAAAAACAAGTTTATCAAAAAACCAAAGACACCCAACACATACTGATAATACATCTAAAATATAGATCTCTCCTGCTGCCCCTGAACCTCCACACAGCCTAGGCCACCTTCTTCCCTTAACAGATTCCTTAAGACCATCTCACCTTTCATTCTGCTCTATTGCTGCTCCAAAAAGAAAAAAAAGACCTCATTCTCAATCACCTTAACAATTCCACCTGCAGAACTAAAAATATCTGACGTACATGGTAATAGTGAAAAGGTGACAGGTGATTTTTTAATTCTCCTTGTCCAAAAGAAGTGGAGAAGAAGGAATCCTTCTAACTGATTCCCTAAGCCAGACCCCTGCTTCCGTACAGCCTTTATAATTGGAATTATGGTCATTCCCATACACGGCTTATCAACATTTTAACACTCCCCTCTCCTCTCTCCAATCCCTTCAGCAGCATCTTTCATATCCTACGAATTTAATAAGTGTTCTTCAGACGAATGGCAGTATTTTCCCAATCACATCAGCAATATCAATTCTACCCTCAAAGGGCAAATATAGTTCTCTATCATACTGGCCTACCACTAAGTCATAGGTGGTTTCCTTGGTTGACTGGTAGATGAAGGTGACAGTGATGAGAATGATCAAAAACTGCAAAATAACCACCGGCTAGCCAACTAGCTAGAATTGTTAAAATACATAACACCAGCTCAGAGCAATAAAATACAATTTCTGTGCCACGAAACAAATTATTCTAAAAATCACAAATATTGCCTATTACCCAGCATCCAAAACACAAGTTTTCTACTGCCATCAATCTATACCAAGTCTGATTAAAACTACACAAGATAGAAAATGTCAAGTTCATACTCAAACTTTTGAGGTACAAAAAAAATACAAGAGGGCCAAGAAAAAAACATGGCAGTAACCAGTATCACAAAGGGATTAACCAACAGTTAACACACAAGACAGGATAGGATGAAAACCTGTCAAACTCACTTCTCCACATAAAACCTGTTCATAATGTAGGAAAACCAAAACGTTATTTGCATTCCAACCAACGATGACTTCTGAATAGATCTAAAACACCAAAATATTGACAATAACCAAAATGAAACCAACTGTGGCCAGCTAAGAGTGTCATGAATGCACACAGTTTTCAGTCCTCACACCTGTTAAATCTGTATTCAAATTCTATTAAATGACATCAGAAAATTACTCGAAGACCCTTAAAGTAGACGCCTTTCCCTGTTCCTGAATAGACTCTAAAATATTTTCACTGTAAATAATTCAGTAGTTTTAACTAAGTTTCAACAGTCATCTGCGGCTCTGAAAAAACTTTAAACATACATACATACCTTTTTTAAAAGTCAACACCTTCCATGTGCTTCCGAAAAATTGATGAGTAAGGTTTTTTAAAATACATGTTAAAAGCTGAAATGCACTTCATTATGAGATAATCATTCCCAGCGATAAATCAGACATAAACTTTTGAATTTGGTTTACGTTTCTCTTCACCAGTAATGTTCTCAAGTTCTTAGGAGTTTCCTAATCATTTACTTGAACACCATCTACGGTAACACTCAAAGCAAAACCACAATAAAGAGGTTTGGCCTCTGAGGGCTTCTACATGTAAAAAACATTACTCATAAATAATATACAATCACTACTGCTTTAAATAACAAATACATTTCTAAAAACTTTCATGCCATTTGATGGAATTCCCTATTTTAGACAGCAAAACAAAATCTATGAAACTACTGATGCGTGTTTTTTACTTTAGATATATTCCATGATAATACAAAACACCGACAAAAATTTCTTAAAACAACGTATGGAGTAATATTTTTAGTTTTTGATTATTTTTATTCAAAGGTATCATCATTTAAAGAGTGCAATTCACAGAAACAATAATTAGGCCAATTAATCTCAGAGTTAGATTATTTTAGGTTGCCCAATAATCCTATTTAATCCCAAGTATAAATAAACCAATGAAACCTTAACATGACATATTCATCTAATCAAAGAACAATATCCAGTTGGAACTGTGAAGTACTACTACACAGTCACACTGAAATGTCACCAATTCAAAAATAAGTACCTGATAAAATGAGACTTTTGGCAATCAACTGTAATGTTCTAAAGGATCCACCAAAAACTCATTCTTGTCTCACACACACACCCAATGCCTGTTCATTAAATGACACCAAGAACAGTTTAACTTCAAACTCTAACGCCAATGAAACAAATTCAGACATAAATTAAAAGATGACCAAAAGACTACATGAGTCTTGACATTTTATCCAAGTATTTATGAATGTTAAATCTAAAGTAGTTAACTCGTTTTAACATCACATGCAGTTTACGACCTTCATCAAAATGAAAAGGAATTCTTTCAACATTCTTTTCATCATCACAGAGCTTTAAACACAAACTTCCACAGTCACTGCTCATTTCACCATTTTACAAAATCGTCCCCCATCACCACCCCACATAAGCTAGTCAAAGAAAAAAAAAACTGACAGCTCAGTCTCCCACAAAATGCACTTACTTTATCAAATACCGACATTTATTTTCAAGTGCAAGAAAGTAACAGACATTTGCAGCTCAAGACAGGAAAAGCACAGCCAGCCTTACTACCCCCACTAAATTTCTCAGACAAGAGAAAAGTAACTCGGGACAGGCAAATTAAAACCATTCTACACATGGCAAAAATATAAAACATCTATGTCCTACAATCCATAGCGATAGTACTGCTTCCTCTCTTCCCCAGCCAATACCAATAAGCCAATAGACACAAGTGTCAAATAAATCCAGTGTCCGTTTGAAATAAAATGAAAACCTGGAAAAATTCCCTCCCATAAATCATTTAGCGAACACAAGGCTTTTCACCCAACACTTAATACACTCAACCCAAAAACACACACAACCCACCCGCAAATACAAAAAAAGCCGTAATCAACAAGTTGGAAAAAGGGCAGAAAGTAAGGCTCACTACCCTCTCACTTAAAAAAAAAAAAAAAAAGTCCTTTAACAAAAGGTAACACAGATCTTCAAGTACCTGGTGGAGGTGCCTTTCCTCACATCGCAGATGCTGCATTTAAAGGCTTCAGCACTGTTTCTGAAGGTGCAGACGCTACAATCCCAAAACCCTTCGTCTGCGGCAGGTTTCGCTTGTCTTTTTGGCCTTCCGAGGAGTGGAGAGTGGGGGAAAAGGGAGGGAAGAGGCAGGGAGCAGGAAAACGGGGGAGAGACAGCAAAACACAGACGCGGGTGAGCCGTCGTAATTTCGCAGGAATCCAGTGCTGGAAACTTCGCTCGGGAGACCACCCACCCACCCTTTCCGGGGACTGGAAGAGAGAGCGAGGAAGGGAACCGGGCGCCCCCACTGGCACCCTGCAAGCCCCGGGCCCGGGCCGGATAGCCTCGCACACCAGGCGGTGGCGGCGGCGCCCCGGGAAGGGCCGCGGCGGGCGCAGGAAGCGGGCGGACTTGTGGACTTGAGCGTGGGGCTGGGGGGGCCGGGAGGGGAGCCGCGGGCCGGATCTGGAGGGGGCGCGCAGGGGCAGCCCGAGGCCGGCGACGGGGAGTGGGCCGGCTCCTTCCCTCTCCACTCCCAAGCTCGCGCCCTCCCTCCCTCCCCACCTGGTTAAATCCATCACAGTCTCCGGACGAGACTAGTCCCCGCCAGCGCCGCCTCCGCCGAGTGACTGACGAGGGGCGGGGCCTGGCGCCGCGCGTCACGCGCCGTGCGGCCAATGGGAGGGCGGCGGCCGGCGCCGCGAGGGCGGAGGCGGGGCGCGGGGGAAGGCGGGGCGTGGCGGACGTGGGCCGGGCGGTCGGTGTGCGTGCCCGGGAGTGTGTGCGCGCTGGGGGCGCGCGTGCCTGTCGGTGGCCCCGCGGCCCGGCGCGGCGGAGCGTGCAAGCCCGGCGGGGCGCACGTGGCCGCGCCCGGGAGCTGGCAACTGGCTTCGGGCCCCGCACGGCGCCCCGTGAGGCTGTTGCCGGGACCCCGGCCCCGAAGCCGCCCCGGGGAAGTAGTTCCACGCAGTTTGCGCGCGCCGCGGGAGCTTGCAACAGCCTCACCGCTCGCAGCGCCTCGAGGCTTGCAGTGCCCAGGGGCCGACAAGGTCCACCTTTGGACCGCGTTCCCCCGCGCCCCTCTGTTCCTCTGCCATGCGGAGCTTTGTATTTGCCTCTTCTGAAGTCCCTGCGTCCGGCCGAGACGCTGGCCCGAAGCCCCACTCCCTGTCAGGCCCCTGTCGCGGGAGGGAACAGTAGAGAAAGGGCGTGGCATAACTAAATGCCCCCAGGCCAGACTCTGAGCTTCTGCTGGCGGACTCCTCCTGGGATCCTCCTCTCCCCTAGAGTCTAAATAGGGCGTTTCCTTAGGGAAGTTGCTATTCAAATTCTGGCGACCACATGCCCGCATTAAAACCTCGTGCCTCAGCTCCTTCATCTCCAAAATGGGGCTCATCCTCCCAGGGTTGTTTTGAATATTCGGAGAAATCAGGCATGGAAGGTTCGCTGATGGATGCCTGGTATTCACGAAGGACCAAAACAAGATATTGGGTATTAGGAGCTATTATAACTGGGCCTGAATTGTGCACCATTTCCCCCGCGTTCGATTTTTGAAGTCGAGGAACAGGGTAGTGCCCTTCACTTTCTGCCCTGCTCCAAAAACGCTTGCCAAATTGACTTGAACGTGACTCAGGACCCTCTGTCCTCAGGCAGGGAGATCTGGTAGGAGGACGACCCCAGATGATAAAAGACACAGACGCGGCTGTGCTGAAGCCCCAGGTTAGGGGAGGGACGGAGTCTTAGAATGCTGCTAGGAGTTGGGGCCCGGGGGTGGGGGGATTGGAGTTAAGACAGACCCTCAGCCAGGTTTATATGCAAATATAAAATAGGTTGTTATCAGGACTGCCCCATGGAAGGGAAGCATATCAGGGCTTGCCACCAGGGAAGCTCACTGAGACTGAGCACCCAGGGAGCAGAAATTCCTAGAGATCAGTCCAGGGATCAGAAGGGAGAGAATAAAAGAGAGAATGAATGTGTCAACAATAAGTTTGATCAGCACGCAGTGTCCTCTCCAGGCAGGCGCACCCAGGAGGGCCAGGAGAAGCAACACTGTTTAGCAAGGGTCAGCAACCTCTCAAGGCCTCAATGCCACAGCTGCCTCCTTAGGGGAGGGATGAAAGAAGGAAGAGGAAGAGAGAGGGATAGCGTTCTAGGGGTAAAAGGGCCGTAGAAAGCCAAAGGGTACGTACACAAGCCATGGCCCAGTGCAGCTGCGCCATGGAGCAGCCTTGGCCTCTGGTGTCTCCCTGGCATGCTCCCAGGACTCTGCCCCTGGCATGAAGGTCGTGACAGAAACGGGGCACTAAGAAATCCTCACTGGAAGAGTGGCCTCCGGGGAGGTAGCTGGGAGCCATAGTAGTGGAAAGGAGACTTTGTTATTATTCTATACATAGAATAAAATACACAAATTTTCACACTGCAGCTTAGTGCATACATCTACACCCCTCTTTCCACCATTAGAACAATAAAACATTTTATCCTCCCAATGAGTCATCCCTCACTTAGGTAACCACAATTCCGACTTCTGTCACCAAAGATTAGTTTTGCCTGTTCTTTAAGGTCATATGCAGGGGTCATATGGTCTGTACTCTTGTGTCTGGCTGGCACCTTTCGCTCAGCATATTTGTGATATCCATCCACGTTGTTGCCTACATCAATAGTTCATTTTTGTTTGCTTAAGTGTGTAGAATTCCATTGCAAATACACTGTAATTTATCCATAGGAGGTTGACTGTTTTAGTATGTCGTTTTGTATCTTTGTCTTGTGTTATCTTTTCAAAAAAGAAAAAGTTTTTAAAAATGTGTTTAAGAAGGGCCAGGCACGGTGGCTCACACCTGTAATCCCAGCAGTTTGGGAGGCCGAGTGGGTGGATCACCTGAGGTCAGGAGTTCGAGACCAGCCTGGCCAACATGGTGAAACCCTGTCTCTACTAAAAATAAAAAAAAAATAGCCGGGCGTGGTGATGGGCGCCTGTAATCCCAGCTACTCGGTAGGCTGAGGCAGGAGAATTGTTGGAACCAGGGAGACGGAGGTTGCAGTGAGCCAAGATTGCACCATTGCACTCCAGCCTGGGCGACAGAGCAGGACTCCGTCTAAAAAAAAAAAAACCAAAAAATCAAAAAAATGTGTTTAAGAAAAACAATTTCAGAGTAGAGAACTATCTCTAGGAACTTATCAGACCCAAGGATCACCATGTGGTTGTAACTTTAGAGGCTCTAATTTCATTCAGATGTTGGAGGCAAATATCTATTGAAAGTCTCCTTGTAGTTGTATGAGTCAAATGGGACTATTTCTGGTACAGTGTGCTCCAGAGTGCTGTGGCTCTAGGCAGAGCGTACTGTGATTCTGGAGTGGGGTTTAGAGGCTGAGCTGGGTGGGGAACTAATTTTCCTCTAAGATGTCATCTTGGACCAGTATGGGGTGAGAGTAACAGTGAGAGTTGCCAGCCAGTCCCTGCTCCTCTGTTTCCTCCCTTGAACCTCCATTTCATATTTCATTTGACAAAAGGGTTCTACTGCTTTAAAAATTATTTGATTGAGAGGCCGAGGCAAATGTTTCACTTGAGGCCAAGAGTTTGAGACCAGCCTGGCCAACATGGTGAAGCCCTGTCTCTACTAAAAATACAAAAATTAGCCGGGCATGGTGGTGCACTCCTGTAGTCTCAGCTACTTGGGAGGCTGAGGTGTGAAGATCACTTGAGCACAGTAGGCGGAGGTTGTAGTGAGATGAGATCACACCACTGCACTCCCGCCTGGGCAACAGAGTGAGACTCTGCTTCAAAGAGAAAAAAAAAATTGTTTGAAACCCGTGGTTTTAGTGTAGATGCTGGTTAGAAGCACTGGCCAAGAAATGTCCAGTATAAATGTTTCCACAGATACATAAGACACATTCGAAGTCTACATTTTGACTTCCTTCCCCTCATTCGCTTCACTCACACCGGCTTCCTGGCTGTTCCTAAAACAGTTCCCTACCTTCAGGGCCTCAGAGCCTTCACACTTACTGCTTCCTTGGCTTGGAATGCTCTTTGCGCAGATACCCACATTCATTGTCAGCTGCCTCAATTCCTTCAGGTCTTTACGCAAAAGTCAATTCCTCACTGAGATTTTCCCTGGTCACGCAATCTACATCTGCATGTGTTTTGTTTCTTTTCCTTTCCTTTTCTTTTTTTTTTTTTTTTTTTTTTTGGAGACAGAGTCTTGCTCTGTTACCCAGGCTGGAGTGCAGTGGCAGGATCACAGCACGGCTCACTATAGCCTCAACCTCCTGAACTCAGACAATCCTTCCACCTCAGCCTCCTGGGTAGCTGAGACTACAGGCATGTAATACCACACCCAGCTAATTTTTCTTTTTTTTTCTTTTTTTTTTTTTTAAGTAGAGAGAGGGTTTCACCATGTTGCCCGGGCTGGTCTGGAGCTCCTGGGCTCAAGAGATCCTCCGGCCTCAGCTTCCCAAGTTGCTGGGATTATTGGCGTGAGGCACTGCACCCGGCCCAATCTAAAAATTTCATACACCAACCCACAACCTGATGTCCCATGTCCCTCTGTCCTGCTCTACTTTTCTCTCCTTAGCATACCCTACATTTGGCTCTTATAATGAGGAGACTTTTTCTCTAATGTACCCCACAGTTCAGTTATCTTGTTTAAGCAGATCCTTGCCCCAGTAGAATATATGCTTCATGATGGCAGGGATTTTATTTTTCTGCTGTGTTCCCCCCACCATCCCACCTAGTATATATCAAGTGCCTAGAACACTGACTAGTGTACATTCGTTGAAAAAAAAATCTCTTTCATTTAACAATATATTGAGTAGCAACTAGCTATCATGCTCATGCCAGGGAATGGAAGATCAGATAAACAAAATAGACTTCATTCCTAATCTTTTGGAGTTTACCTCCTAGTTGAGGAGCCAGACATTATA
The DNA here is from genome assembly GCF_000001405.40 of Homo sapiens. Lineage (NCBI taxonomy): Eukaryota > Metazoa > Chordata > Mammalia > Primates > Hominidae > Homo > Homo sapiens. Next base: position 72,451,433 of record NC_000003.12, read on the forward strand.
CAAGTAATTACAATTGTGACAATTGCTACAAAGACAAAATACGAGATGAGAGGTGAGAGGGTGCTAAGAGAGGGAGGTTGTTGATGTAGCCGGTGGAGCCGGGAACTCCCCTGAAAAAGTTAAGTTGCCCACAAGAAAAAAAGGCAAAAGCAGTCAGGTGTCTGGTGCTTTGGAGGAGCTAAAGGCAAGCAGCTGTGGCCAGAGTCCCGCCAGAGAGGAGAAATGAGGCTGGAGAGGCAGGTGGCTGGATAGATCCATATGGCAGGGTAGGGAGTGAGTTGGGAGTGAGGTCTTTATCCTGAATGCGATGGAAGCCACTGATGAGTTTACAAGAATATGTCTACCTGGGACTGTCAGTGTCTGCCTTAAAGAATTAGATGCTGGGAGAAGCAGACTCCTTGGAGGAGGGGAGGTAGTGGAAGGACCTTTAAAGTGGCCCAGATTCAGACCATGAAGGGCAGCTTGGGTGGGCTTCCCTCCTTTCTTCAGCTCAAGAAAGAAGTGAAAGCCACTGAGGCTTGCCAATGGGAAGGGCTGGAAAGTTATCAACTCAGGCTTCCTCCTGCCGTTAAATTTGCAAGTGCTACTCCCTAGACGGAAACCTGAATACTCACTAAGCCTAGGACTTTGAACCTTAGGAATCCCCAATGAAGGTATTATAAACAAGTGAGAGAAAAAAGGTTTGCTCCAAACACCTCAGTGCTTACCCCTGCCCCACCCATGATACACCTTCTTATGGTCTGAGTCCCACACCCTGATCGGGGGTGACATTTTCAACAATCTGCAGTGCAATGAGAAAAATAAAGGGTAAATGTATGAGTACTTTCCTATGACCAGATAAATTACCAATGGTTGATTCTTGGGAAAGACTATTTTTTATTCTGAGATGATGTTCTTTCACTTTTTTTCTTTTTTCAGAGGTTTGGGTAATTTAAGCGTCCCTTCTTTAATGGAATGATGGCAATAGTACGTGGCAGTTGCCTTTCCTAAAATGTCCTCAATTGACCAGATCACCAGTGGGCAATTCGGTGTTGATTTCTCAATTCTCTGCCCTCGCTGATTTTATCCGTGTAGTTTTAAGGGCACCAAGACCTAGATGATCTTAATGAAGCTTTCCGAGTTATGTGTGATTGAGGGGAAGAGGAAGGAGAAAACTGTATCACGAGGTGACTGAAAAAGCCACCCAAGAAGGAGTGAAGCCAGAAAGGTTAAAATGTCAATCCTAATAGCTAGGAATTAATGCCCTGCTTTGCACATAATATTCCTTCAGTGGCTTAAAAGAGAAAACTGTTGCTTGGAGCAGCTACCTACCTGGAGCTGGAGGGTCTTAGGAACTAGGGAGAACCCAGCTCATCTCACTTAAAGCCTGAGGCTTGTGCTGGTATCACTGGGTACATCTGGAGACTAATGCTGAAGATAAGATTAACTTCTAAAGAAGCTCCCCTGGAGTCAGAGCGAGATGGAACTTCCCTGACCATCTGCGTTGAACCTTCACCAGATTTTGCAACCTGGTGACATTTTACAGTGTCATCTGTGCACGTGCTTATCAGAGATGTGAAGTTTCATTGATCTGCCTCTTCCATAGTAGGAAATATCACAAGTCAAAATTGTCCTGGCTTATACGTCACACCCTCGACAAAAATTAACTCAAACTGTATCATAGACCAACATGTGAAACCTAAACCTATAAAACTTCCAGAAGAAAATATAGGAGAAAATCTTTGTGGCCTTGGGTAGGCAAAGGTTTCCTAGATATTAAACGAAAAGCACGATCCATAAAAGAAAAAGTTGATAGCTTCTACACCATCAAAGTTAAAAACTTCTCTCTGAAAGACACTGTTAAGAATATGAAGGGACAAATCAAAGACAGAAAATATTTGCAAAGCACATATCTGATAAAAGACTTATATCCAGAATATATGAAGAACTTTTACCGTGCAATAAGAAGACAAGCCACCTAATGAAAACATGAACAAGAGATGTGAGTGGACACTCCACCAAAAGATACACGAATGCACAATAGGTACATGAAAAGATGCTCGACATCATTATTCATTAGGGAAATGCAAATTGAAACCACAAAGAGACACCACTGCACATCAGAATGGCAAAAAAGACAAAAAAACAAACAAAAAAAACCACCTGACAATCCCAAGTGCTGGAGAGGATGTGGAGTGACCCTCACACATTGCCAGTGGGAGTGCAATATGGTACAGTTCCTCTGGAAAAACAGTTTGGCAGTTTCTTATAAAGTTAAACATACACTTACCATATGAGCCAGCAGTCCCACTCCTAGGGATTTACCAAAAAAAATGAAGACATATGTTCACATAAAAACCTGTGCTCAGATATTTATAGCAGCTTTATTCATAATCACCAAAACTTGGAAACAACCCAAATGCCCTTTAACTGGCGAGAAAATAAACAAATTGTGGCACATCCATACCATGGAATACTACTCATCAATTAAAAGGAACACACTACTGATCTATGCAATGTGGATGAATCTCAAATACATTATCCTAAGTGAAAGAACACAGTCTCAAAAGGTCACATACTGTGTGGTTCCATTTACGTAACTTTCTGGAAAAGGCAAAATTAGAGGGATACAGAACAGATCAGTGGTTGCCAAGGATTAGGGGTGGAGGGAGCATTTGACTACAAAGGAGTGGCAGCAAAAAAGAATGCAGGGGGAGGGTGGAAGTTATCTACATCTTGACTATGGAGGTACTTAGAAGATAGAATGCATTTGTCAAAACTCAGACCTGTACATCAAAACGAGTAAATTTTGCTACTCAGGAGGCTGAGGCAGGAAGATTGCTTGAACCTAGAAATTTGAGGCTGCAGTGAGCTATGGTCATGCCACTGCTCTCCAACCTGAGAGACAGAACAAGAACCTGTCTCTGAAAAAAGGTAAGTAAATTTTACTGTATATAAGTTACATCTCAATAACTCTGGATTGAAAAGTTCCCTAAGCATCTACACTCCATATTCCTTCCCCTCTTAAAGTAATAACCATAAGACCTAGCATCGTGTAGCTTTGCTGTCTGCCTGGCACTGTGAATAATCCTGTCCTTTCCAGAGTATTCTTCTTTTCAGTAATTTATCCAGTTACTCAAGCCATAATCCTTGGAGTTATCCTTGACTTCTCTCTTTTTCTTATACCCTACATCAGTCCAGCCTTTGCACTTGACCTTCAGTATATATCCTGAATCTGACCACTTCCCATTATCTCTATTGCTGTCGCTCCAGTCCAACAAAGAATTACTTCTCAGCCTCCTAACTGAAAAGAGGAGGACTTCTAGTCTTCTCTTCTTGCACTCTGTACTGTCAGGATATGCTTGGTTATGCTATGGTAACCCTCCCAAATCTTCGTGATTTATCCCAACAAAGTGATTAAAGGGATTTCTTGCTAAAGCCACTTGTCTGCAGGTCAACACCTCCACCCTGTCTCTCCTCACTCTTTGGACCTAGGCTGTGGTGGCCTGAATGTGTCCCCCACAATTCATGCGTTGGAAATTTAATTCCCAATGCAACAGTGTTGGGAAGTAGTGCCTTTGCAGAGGTGTTTAGGTCATGAGGGCTCTATTCTCATGAATGGATTAATGCTGCTATAAAAGGGCATGGCAGAGGGAGTTCATCCTCTTTGCCCTACTGCATTCTGCCATGTGAGGACACAGCGTTCCTCCCCTCTGGAGGATACAGTGTTCAAGGTGCCACCTTGGAAGCAGAGAGCAGCCCTCAATAAATGCTAGCACCTTGATCTTGGACTTCCCTGCCTCCAGAACTGTGAGACAATAAATTTCTGTTCTTTATAAATTACCCAGCAGTCTTGGGTGTTTTGTGATAGCAGCACAAACAAAGACCCAGGCTTTCTGAGCTGCATCCAGCTTGAACATCATTGGTGGCTGTAAAGGAGCTCTAGAGGCACGCATTCTGGCAACCAGCTGCCTGGCCTGGAAGTGACACAGTGACCTGTGCTCACAACTCATTGGTCAGAGTCTCATGGCCACGCTGCACAACAGGAAGCATAAACAGGAAGCCAGCATGTGCCCAGGAGGTAGAGAGCAAGAAATATTTGGCCATCGGCCTTGTGATTACCATGATTCTTTAAAGTCTTCTCTCAAAACCACGTCAAGAGATCCTTTTAAGATGCTGGTGACTCACCTGCACAAAATCCTCAAATGACTTTCATGACATTTAGATGAAAATCCAGAATCTTGACTCTGGCCTTCAAGACCTGCTAACTTCATCCACCCCTGGCTTCTTCACCCCCAGCTCAGCTCTAGGAACTTGGGCCCCTTGCTGTTTCCTGCCATGTCCGGCCCCTCCTCAGGGCCTTTCTGCCTGTTCTCCTCTGGATATTCCCACAGCTACATTGCTCTCATAGTCCAGGTGGATGCTAAATGCCCCTTCTTCAGGGAGGACTTCCCTGACTAGGACATCTTACATAGCATAATCCCCAGTCACTGCCACCCTCACCCTGCTTTATCTTTCTTTACACCCTTAGCATGACCTAGCACTGTATGATGGTGTGTGTGTGTGTGTGTGTGTGTGTGTGTGTGTGTATGTATGTTTTGGCCTGGTTCATCCAGTAGAATGTAATATTTGTTGGGACAGGGACTTTCCTTTGTTCAATCCTAGTTTGTGGGCCTGTCTCCCTGTGAGTTTTTGCCATAGCAGTCCAGCCACACATGCCAGAGCCCAGGAAATGGATGATGAACTTTAGTACATTCCAGTTTGAGCCTTGTGAATATTCAGGTGAGTGGTTCCCTATGATGGTATGATTTCCTTCAGTTTTTCCATAATTTTTTTTTTTTTGAGATGGAGTTTTGCTCTTTGTTGCCCAGGCTAGAGTGCAATGGCGTGATCTCGGCTCACTGCAACCTCTGCCTCCCAGGTTCAAGCAATTCTCCTGCCTCAGCCTCCCGAGTAGCTAGGATTACAGGTGTGCACCACCACGCCTGGCTAATTTTGTATTTTCGTAGAGACGGGTTTTCTCCATGTTTGTCAGGCTAGTCTCCAACTCCTGACCTCAGGTGATCCGCCCTCTTCAGCCTCCCAAAGTGCTGGGATTACAGGCATGAGCCACTGTGCCCGGCCGTGTTTTTTGTTGTTATTGTGATTATTGTTGTTTGTTTTTTGAGAGAGGGTCTCACTCTGTTCCCAGGGCTGGAGTGCAGGGGTATAATGTCATCTCACTGCAGCCTTGACTTCCTGGGCACAAGTGATCCTCCCACCTCAGCCTCCCAAGTAGCTGGGACTACAGGCATATACCACCATGCCCAGCTACTTTTTGTATTTCTTGTAAAGACGGGATTTCACCCTGTTGCCCAGGCTGGTCTCGAGCTCCTGGGTTCAAGCAATTCACCTGCGTCAGTCTCCCAAAGAGCTGGGACTACAGGCGTAAGTCACTGCGCCTAGCCAGTTCTGCAATGTTTATTAAAGCCCCGGGCCCAGAAATTGCTTCCCCAGCAGCTTGTTCTTTTTTTATTATTATTTTATATTTGAGACAAGGGTCTATTTTTCTCAGGCTGGTCTCGAACTCCTGAGCTCAAGAGATCCTCCTTTCTTGGCCTCCCTAGTATCTGGGACTACAGGCACATACCACTGTGCTCGGCTACTGGCAGCTTGTCCTTGATACTTGAATTTCCACCCTTAGAGTCAGAGTCATAGAATGTTGAAGATGGAATGAAGAGTTAAGACCATCCATCTAGTACTGTCTTAGTTCAGAGGCAAAAACCCAGGGGCAGAGAGATCACAGAGGGCCTTCACATACATTGTTGCCTCTCACAGCTGCCTCTGTGTGAATTACCATTGACACTGGCAGGGTATGTAGTTCATCCAAGTTCATTCCTGCAACTCTCCAGGTTTTGTACCTGGACTTCAAAACCTGCTTTTCTGATTGCAGATTCTATTATGCTGCAAATGGAATCCCTAGAACTCAAATATCCTGACATTCATTAAGAGTAAGGTTAAGAAAGAGACTTACCCACAGGAACATCTAATAATGTTCGGGTCTATGTACACATTGTTATGAGCTGAACTGTGTCCCCACCCCCACTCCCAAATCAATATGTTGAAGCCCTAGTCCTGGCTACCTCAGAGTTTGACTGTATTAAAGATAGAGTCTTTAAAGAGGTGATTAAGTTAAAATAATGCCATTTGGGTGAGCCCAGTCTGACTGGTAACCCTATAAGAAGAGGAAATTTAGACACTCTACATAGAAAAATGAAGACAAATGCACACACAGAGGAAAGACCGCGTAAAGACACAGCAAGAAGGTGGCCTTCTGCAACCCAAGGAGAGAGGCCTCAGGAGAAACCAAACCTGCTGACACCTTGATCTTGGACTTCTAGGTCCTGAACTGTGAGGAAATAAATCTCTGCTGTTTAAGTAGAACAGTTTGAGTTACTTTGTTACAGCAGACCCAGCAAACTTATCCACACATCATGAGTTTGTGGGTAGCTAAAGAGAGGCTGCCCTGGCCAGGTGCAGAGGTTCACACCTGTAATCCCAGCACTTTGGAATGCCGAGGTGGGCGGATGGCTTGAGCTCAGGAGTGCAAGACCAGCCTGCCCAACATGACAAAACCCTGTCTCTACAGAAGATACAAGAATTAGCCGGGCATGGTGGTGCATGCTTGTAATCAGCTACTCAGGAGGCTGAGGTGGGAGGATCGCTTGAGCCAGGGAGGTCAAGGATGCAGTGAGCTGAGATCATGCTACTGCACTCCAACCTGGGCAACAGAGCGAGACCCTGCCAAAAAACAAAAACAAGAGAGAGGCTGCCTATGAGATAATAATAACCAACACATAGGGAGTGCTTACTCAGACAAGGTGCTAAGCACTTTAGGTGTTAACTAATGAACTAATAACTCAATGAATATTAACAATAAGCATATGAGGTAGATTATATTACAGTGCCCCTTTTATAAATTAGGAAGTTAAGAAGCAGTAAAGTTAAGTCACTTACCCTGAGTCGCACATCTGGGAAGTGACTGGGCTGAGACTTGAACCGAGGCAGCTTGGGCTCCAGAGTCCAGGCTCTGAAGGAGCTAGTTAGTCAGTTATGATCATTTCTATCTTCCAGATGCGGAAACTAAGACTTAGACACTGGTCCAACCCCACAGCCAGGGTGTGGCAGAACCAGAATTTCCAGTTCTTTGTACTTCATCACAAACCAAATCCCTGGAACTCAAGAATCCTGAAAGTTGTTAACTGAAGGAAGGAAAGGGGCCCACCCGGAGGAGGAAGGGCAAAAATCTATTTATACACAAAACAGCTTTGCAAGGGGGAGAGGCACCTGATATAAAAGTTTTGGGTCACTTGAAGCATGACAGGAAGATGGTAAAATGGAGCCAGAATCTGAGAAGGCTGGGAAGAGGGGGAAGTACCAGCTGCAGAGGTTTGAAGGGCGCCATGTCCCTCACCTCTTCAGAGCTTCTTCTCCCTGTTGCTACCGCCAAGAGAAGAGAGGTAGGGTATCTTGCCCAAGGTCACACAACTGGGAAGACAGTTGGCGGGATGCATTCAGGTCTCCTGACTCCAAGTCCATTCTCTTCTTACTTTTATTTTTAGTCTTGACAGATATTTATGAAGTACCTACTATGAGCCAGATACCACGTGCTGACAATACAAGGATCACGGACACTGCAGGCCTCACAGTCTGGAAGAAGGAGGCACATGAGCAGGTGATGGGAACAGGGAGGTGGCCGGGTGATTGGTCACTTGTCACCCTATGTTCTTTTGTCTGCCAGTATTTTCCCCTTTCTCAAGCAGACTGTTGATGCTGCCCGTCTTAGGAAATGTGGCAGAGGAGAAGCAAAAAAGGCCCGTCAATCTCTGCCTCTCGTGTTCCCTGATCCGTAATTCTAAACCCCCGAAGTCCCTGGTAGGAGAACTGAGAGTAGGTGGGGGATAGACAAATGTTTGGAAGGAGGAAGGTCAGGGGAGTGCTTCCTCCAGGCACCGGGGAAGGAGAGAAGATGAAAAGTTCATAAGGTAGAGGGGGCTGTGGGCCAGAGAGGAGGGGGAGCCTGCCTACAAATGGGGCTGTGGGAAGGTGGCCGGACCCCGGAGCAGGAGTGGCAGTGGTTGTGTGTCTATGTACAGGCCACTGTGCAGAGCCTCCAGGATCTCTAGCCTGGGTTGGGCATTGCCAAGACAACTCCTGGACTTGAAGGGGCCATGAAGGGGAAACTAGGGATATCTCTATGGCAACCTGTGATTAACACATGCCCTGAGACCAGATAGACACCCCCCTTAGCACTGAAATTGAGTCAGGATATGGGTTCAAAATAAAAATCAAGGTGACAGAGAGAGAACAATAAGGAAAGACATTTCTGGCATGTCTGAAATTCCTACCTGCTATGTTATGAGAGACACACATCAAAGTGTATGGGAGCATACTGGCCAAGCAGTATGGTTCAGGGAAACAAGTCAGGAAGGGTATCCAAGGTCAGGGAACAGCACATGTGGTGACACTAAGGAGAAGAGCCTTGTGGACTGCAAGGCAACCAGTGTGCTGGAACTTGGAGTGCATGTGGATTGGTGGATGTGAGCATCCAGAGAGGTAAGCTCTGCCTTGAAGCATCTTACGAACCATGCTGATTGGTTGGATTTTATCTTGAAGACAACGGTGGGCTATTCACTGATGATGGTTAGATTTTATCTTGAAGAAAATGATGGCCTATTCACAGACTATAATTGGGAAATTTATAGAATTTACATTGAATTTTTTTAAATGTCTTTAGGAACAATGCAGATAGTAGTAGCTTGGATCAGAGTGAGAAAGGGAACAGAAGACCAGTAAAAATAACAAATAACTAAAAAAGACACGGAGAGGGTTTCTGGGAAAAAATGAAGAGATTTCCAACAGTAAAAGCTGCTGGACTTAATTCATGATTGGACACTCTGGATAAGGCAGAGGGAGGAGTCAAGAATAATACCCAGGTTTCTGACTTGGGTGACTGAGTGGATCGTGGTGCTATTCACAGAGATAGAGTCACAGGAGGAGAGGCTGTTTAGAGGAGGAAATATTGACCTAAGTTATAGATATGATGAATACAGTGTGTTATTTGGGACGCTTGTGTCTGCAAGTAGCAACCACCACAGCAACAACAAACCCATACAAACCGTGAGGAAATGTATTATTAATATTCAACATAGTTGAAAGCTCCAGTCCCAGATGAGGTACAATCAACTTGTTCGTAAGCACACAGATTCCATCCTTTTCTTACTAGCTTCAACCTGACATTGGTTCTCCTCATGGCTGCAGACAGTTGTCACCACTCCAATATTACAAGGTGCAGCATCGAAAGGAAGAAGAGGGACCATTTTTTCATGTGTCTTCTTAGGAGGGAGAAAAACCTTTCCCAGACGTCCCCAGCAATCTTCCCCTTCGTGTCTTACTGGCAGAATTGGGTCATGAGCCCACTCCTAAAATAATCACTGGCTTTAGCCAACCATCAGGAATGAAATGGCAGTTGGGGAGTACACCACCCCACCTCTACAAGGAGGCTGTGTCACATGCAAATGGAGATAGCATGAAAACAGTTGGAAACCAGCATCAGAAGACAGATTTTGGCTGAAGATATCATAGAGGAGTTAACTACAGGAAAGGCTGAGAAGAAGCCCCAGCTGAGACAGGGGCAGAGAGGAGAAAAAGGAGCCAAACACAGAACTCTGGAGAACACCTCTATTTAAGGGAGGGGCTACTTGAGAAGGCACCATTAGAGTTTAATAGCTGAGAACTTGACTCTGGATTCAAACAGACCTAGGTTGGGATTCCCATTCCTGCTACTTATTAGCTATGCCGCCTTGGGTGAGGATCCCTTAATCACTCAGAGCCTCAGTTTTCTTATCTTTTTTTTTAAATTAAATTTAATTTAATTTTTTCTGAGATGGAGTCTCGCTCTGTCACCCAGGCTGGAGTGCAGTGACATGATCTCGGCTCACTGCAACCTCTGCCTCCCTGGTTCAAATGATTCTTGGGCCTCAGCCTCTCAAGTAGCTGTGATTACAGGCGTGTGCCACCATGCCCAGCTAATTTTTGTATTTTTAGTAGAGATGGGGTGTCACCATGTTGGCCAGGCTGGTCTGGAACTCCTGACCTCAAGTGATCTGCCCGCCTCGGCCTCCCAAAGTGCTGGGATTATAGTCATGAGCCATCACTGATGTTTTCTTATCTTTAAAATGGAACCAATAAGCCCAGGAATGCTATGAATTGTTGATACGAAGAGGCATACAAAGCCTAAACACAAAGCCTTCAGTCCACAGTTGCTACCCCATAGCTGTTGAGGAAAAAGAGAGCAGCCTAGAAGAGGGTCTTAGAAGGAGTGATGGAGAAAGCTAGAGGATAGCCAGGATGGGATGGTGTCATTGAAGCCACAGGGTAAGAGAACTTCAAGGAGGAAAGAGTTGGCAATTATGTCATCTGGCTGAAGAGAGGTCAGGTCAGAAGAGGGCTGAAAAATGCCCTTTGGATTTAGCAATTAGAAGGTCACTGGTACCCTTGACAAGAACACTTTGAGTGGAGTGCTGGGGCTGGAAGCCAGGAAGCAGGGGTCAGCGGTCAAGCCCGGAATCCAAGCTGCCTGGCTGCCAACGTCAGTGTTCTCTTTGCTATGCCAGGAGCTGCTTCCTTTTGAGAATTCCCATTGAAGTCATGCCTCAAAAATACTCATTTGGAGAGCACTAAACAGTACGATTCCACAATCTGTGAATGAAAATGGCCCCTCTTCATCTTTTTAAATTTTTTTGTGTGGATAAAGCGAAGGTGGTTGTTTCCTTTCATTAGAAATATGTTATATCCTTTTGGAGGGTTTGTATTTACCATTTCATTGATATATTCTTCTTTCTTATATAACATATTTTGCAAAAATAAAAACAAACAAAACAAAACCCAAACAACATATGTGCTTTGCATGAAACTCAGAAAGTTCAAACCCCTCGCTCTGTGTACGTGTTTGAGGCAAAGTGTGGGACTAGGAAAACTCTAGGAGAACCGTGCCACTTGGCAAATCCTCCTTTAACAAATGATAGCAGTTGCATTTAAGATTCATTTGGTCATACGGATCATGTTTGTCAGGGCTGTCATTAAAAGCCTAATATTTCCCCCATTGCAGACTGTCTCCGAGTAATCCAAACGTGGGCAGCAGCTAAGCACGGTCAATTTCATGACCTCCTTCCTGCTACCCACCTCCCCCTCCCAGCTATCTCAACTCCCAAGTGGATGATCCCTCATCCCTAGCAACAACTGCAGCTGCTACTGTTTCTTGACTCTGGCGAAGAAAGTGGGCTTGGGGCCAGGCCTACTGTCCAGGGCTCCCAGTGGAAGATGCTAGAAGAGGGCAGCGCACACTCTCTCACCGTCAGTGACCCAAGTTCATCACCTTGACCAAACATCTGGATTACAACACACAGAGTTCAAAGGTCCAGAGTGTGTGTCTGCACCTGGCCAGGCTGTTTAAACGGAGCTGACTTAAACCAAACACCAGACCTCGGTGCTGTTATTTATGTGGAAGATTGGATGCCAAGTATAAATAATAACTACAGCATCTTCTCTCCACAGGCTTTGTGATTAAAGGATGCATATAAAGGATGCATATTCACCATCTACTGTGCATGAAGAGCTACCCACCTCTACTCTGAGTACCAGACTCTTCTCCCTAGCAGGCAGATTTCCTTTCTACCAACCGTTTTTTAATGTTTGTTTGCCTGAATAGTATCGAGACTCCCTTCTGCTGTGGAGCCCTCACTGGCCTCTTCATTTCAGGTCATCAGGTGGAGAGCACGCTGCAGAGAGGACTGTTCCCATGCCCAGGAGAGGCTTGCGAGTGAGCTCCGTGTAATCACTCACTGGCAGAATGCAGTGCAGGGGGCTGGGGTTACAGTCAGCGAGGAGCGAGGCACGATGATGCTTTGGAGTGGAAGTGAGCTTTCAAATCTCAGCAGCCCTGAGTGATTCCTCCACTTAGGGCCAGTGTGTGTGTGATGGGTGTGGTTGAGAGCTGCCAGGGGCACAGCAGGCGTGGCAGTAGAGGGACAAGTTAGACCATGAGGTTGCTGGGCACAGCACTGGACTTGGTTTTTCTGTTTTTAGAAAGAGCCCTCAAAATAGAGCATCATTTTTCCCACAAACATGATTTCACCTATTGTCTTGATTGTCATTGTTATCCAGTGTACTAAGTACTAGGGAACAGGGCCATTTGTGATAATATTATGAGGGAAGAGAAGACAAGGCTCAAAACCCCAACTAGGATTCTTCGGTTAGAGAGAAAGAAGTGATTGAATGGGAGCATTCAATCATTCCTTCGTTCGACACATACTTACTGAGCACCTATTATGTGCCAACACCACGCTGGTTACTAAAGCTATAATGATGAAGATGACAGATGAAGTTGCTCCCATCACAGAGCCCACTCTTCCATGAAGCTAGACTGCATGCCTACTGGGTGCCATGCCCTCCTAGATAACAGCCTTTGGAAGCAGATGAGACAATCAGACAAGTCACTTCAAAAATGTGTCACAAGCTGGGCGTGGTGGCTCACGCATGTAATCCCAGCTCTTTGGGAGGCCAAGGTGGACAAATTGCTTGAGGTCAGGAGTTTATTACCAGCCTAGCCAACATGGTGAAACCCTGCCTCTACTAAAAATACAAAAATTAGCAAGGCATGGTGGTGGGTGCCCGTAATCCCCGCTACTCAGGAGGCTGAGGCAGGAGAATTGCTTGAACCTGGGAGGCAGATGTTGCAGTAAGCCAAGGTATCACCGCTGCACTCCAGCCTGGTGACAGAGTGAGACTGTGTCTCAAAAAATAAAATAAAAATGTGCCGTGAGTGTGGTGATCAAGGAAGACCAGGAAGCTATGGATGATAAGAAGGAGACCTGGTCTAGTTTCATAGTTCTCTACTGGGGGAAGTTACTCTCCACAGGTGACATTTACAGTGTCTGAAGACATTTTTGATTGTCACATGGGTTGGCGGGGTTGCTACTGGCATCTAGTAAGCAGAAGCCAGAGATGTTGCTAGACATCTACAAGGCACAGGTCAGCCCCCGCACAAAAAGAATTATCCAACTCTAAAGGCCAGTAGTGCTGAGGTTGAGAAACTCAGGTGTGGTCCTTGGGTCAAGTAATGCTTTTGGGAAGAAGTGCAGTTTGACTTGAGAACTGAATGATGCCAGGAGTTCAGAGTGCTGAGAATTGATGTCCACCATCTAATCAGAGGAAATAGTGGAAGGAAAGAGGAATTCACAGGAGCTTGAGCTCAGGATACAGAGACAGTGAGGGGAGGTCGTAGGAGACGAAATGCAAAAATCAGTGTGTACTCAGAGAGACTAGAGGGCCTTCTATGCCGTGCTATGAAATGTGGACTTTATTTGGAGGGCATGATGGCTAATACAGTCTCCACATCATACCCCCCCTCACATACACACATACCCTCTTGGACATTTTTAAAGCCAGTGAGATGATTCAGTTTGCTTTTAGAAAACCCACTCTACCAGCAATGCAGATGATTGGAGAGGGAAGAGATTGGAGGCAGGTGAAACCTTATGCACTATAGAAATGATAAATGGAGGCTGTTGCAGTGAACATGGGGAAGCTGCAATAGACTCCTGAGAATAGAGAAATTTTTATACTTGGTGATGAATTGGATATTGGGAGAGAACGAATTGCTTAGGATGACTCTGGGGTTTCTAGCTGTGGGCTAGTATGAGTGGTGAAGTGTGTTATAGAGAAGCTTGTAAAGGGACACAGTTCAGTTTAGGAAATGCGATGTTGACGGTCCTATGAGGACATCCAGTTGGGCATGTTCTGCTCACATCTGGTGCTGCAAAAAGATCTGTCTATGAGATATGAATGGGACCATTGCTAGCACCCACAGATGGTAACCAAAATCTTAGAAGTGAAAGCAGCATGCCAGGAAAGTGCTGAGTGAGAGAAGAGAAGGCAAAGGGCAGAATGTCAGGGTTCGTAGGTAGGTAAGGAGGCAGAAAGAAGGGACCACAGAGGAGGGGCCAGAGAAGTAGAAAGAAAGAGCAGTGAGGCCCACTGAGGGAAGGATTCACTTTAGGAATGAGAACATGGTTAAGCTGTTTAATGGAACAGAGGTTCAGCAGAATGCAAAATCAGATGGAGCTATTGGACATGTCAATCAGGAGGTCATTGATGACCTTTTCAACAACAGTTTCACTTTAATAGTGAGGGTGGAATTTATTTAAAGACACTTGACTACCCAAATGTAGAGGAAGAAAATAAGAACAGAATGTCTTTATATCTCAGCAGAATTTGAATAGCAGTCATTTTCCAGGCTTGGCAAACAGAAAAGGAGTATACTGATTAATTAGCAGAAAACCAGATTAACAGTAGCCCAAATCATAAGAACAGTTATTGTATACTAAGAAAGAAGTCTGGAGAGCAGCAGCCTCCAAGTTGATTTGGCAGCTTAGCAATGTCATTAAGAATCTGGACTCTTCCTATTTTTCTGCTCTGCCATCTTAACAGTGTTGGCTTTTGTCCTCATGCTTGTATCTCCCTCATGGTCCCAAAATAGCAGCTTGCAGCTCCAAGCATCCCATGACGGTAGCTAAAGCAGGGAGGAAGAGGGCAGGGACCAAGATGAGGCTCACCTCATGTTCCTCTCTCCTTTTATTATGACACTTCCCCTTATGTCTCATTGGCCAGAATGCATTCACATGCCCTCACCTAGACCAACTAAGGTAAAGCCAAATGAGACTGCCATAAATGGCTTGCATTAATCAGGCTTTTTACCCTGGGGCTAGGCACGTGGCTGCCTAAGCAAAATTTGTGTTCTGTTCACAAGGGAGGAGGGGGACTCGCAATGGGGGTGGCCACCAATGGTGTCTGCTGCAGGAAATCATCCTTTCACAGGGTGAGGGCAAGCTATAGAGGGCAAACCAGAGGCCTTACAGAATGAGGCAAGCCCTTGGAGAGCTTCAAAAAGAGTAATTCGCTTCTGTAGTTGATATTCACAGCAGAAACATTTTAATATCCACCATTAATAGCATACCAATGTTGGGCAGAAGGCTGATTGCTTTGCAGAGCTTATATTCTACACCCCGTAATACCAAGAGCTAGGTAGTAATTATGAAGATGGTGCTGATGATAAAGTGTTCTTATTGATTGCTTACTATGTGCCAGGCACTTTATATTCATTATCTCAATTAATCCTCAAAATACAAGTGAGATGGATGCTATTAATATTTCCATTTTGCAGAGGAGAAAACTGAGGTATATGGAGGTCCAATAATTTGCCCAGTCTCTCAGCTAGCAGCATCCAACCCACAGCTCTCTCAGCCCAACCTCAGCCCAGCTGACTGCATTCTACTATCTCCTTACATAAAAAGAAGTCGCTGGAAGGTTTTGTTATACCCTGGAGGTGGAAGCAATTGCATGTGAGAATGGAAAATCTGCTGCCATGAGCATTCTCTAGGAGTGTCCTGAGTTTTCAGCAATTCCATTTTCCCACACAACTTTGTAACTAAAGCAAATACATCGGACAGCCCATTCTTACCAGCTTTGCACCCTTGTTAACAAGCTCACTAGTCTTACATTGTACTCCAGGGACCTGGAGAACGAGATCATTAAGCATGCTCACCGGATAAATGTATGCCATGGCAACCAGAGGTTCTCCTTGGTTGGAGCAGCCACACAGATGAGATTTGGGGGACAGTGAACAAATTCTGAGGGGATTCACACTGAGGAAACAGGGGGCCCCCAACAAAAGAGTACAAAAGCTGTCTTGGATGTTCAACATGTTTCCAACCAGAATTGAGGTTTGCATCTTGATTTCTGAGAAGAAGAGCTGGCATTTCTGGGTGTTATGTTCTTGGCTCTATGCTAAGCATTCTATTATACATGCATCAGCTCACTGAACCTCACAATGAAGTTATGAAGAAGAAGCTTTTACCATCTTTGTTGAGGAAAATGAGGCTTAGAGTGTTTAATGAATTTGTTTAAGGAGGTACAGCTAGTGAGTGGCAGAGATGAGATTTGAACCCACCCAGATCTGTCCCTCCAGACTGATCATTTTTACCTCCTACACTTTACTGCCTAGGTACTCCCTAGGTACTGCCATGCATAAATATCTCTAGGTATCAAATGAACACCTGGGGCAGAAGGAAGGAGATCTTAAAATTCACAGTCTTTCTGTCCCCTTAAAATCCAAATTCCATTCCACATATATTCTAAAATGTATATACTTGAGGATGAACACACATACACAATTAAAATCATGGCAGCATGTTGGAAAGGCATTTTAACAGTGCCTAGAAACAAAATACTGTGTAACACTTTAGCTGTGCCCATAGTGTCTTGTGGGTTGGAGAGAGGATTTTCACCTTCCTTAGAAAGAAATCAAAGACAGCCAGGTGCGGTGGCTCACGCCTGTAATCCCAGCACTTTGGGAGGCTGAGGTGAGCAGATCAGCCGAGGTCAGGAGTTTGAGACCAGCCTGGCCAACATAGTGACACGCTGTCTCTACGAAAAATACGCAAATTAGCCAGCCATGGTGATATACGCTTATAGTCCCAGCTACTTGGGAGGTTGAGGCAGGAAAATTGCTTGAACCCAGGAGGTGGAGGTTGCAGTGAGCCAAGATTGTGCCACTACACTCCAGACTGGGCTACAGAGCAAGGCTCTGTCTCAAAAAAAACAGAAACAAAAACAAAAACAAAAAAAAACTACAATAAAAAACCTCTAAGACAAGCCAGGCTTTCTCAGGAATAACACTGGATTTCCTTAGTTTGTATCTTCACTCAGTTGTTTTGCTAAACCAAGTCCCAAAGCTGCCCAGATTGCCCTCTGTGGATGGGACTAGGGGTGTGTGGGAGACAAGCCAGAAGGTGACAAAAGAAAACCCTCCAGTGAACATGCAGAAACCCAGTTCTAGGTACCAATATCAGCCCCTCTTTCCCTTGAGAATGACTTCTAGAATTTGGATTCCTCTCTCCAAAATAGAGATTAGAGATACTATCCAGAAATACAATGATCACAAGTCATAATCAAAATCTAAAGCAGGGGATATCTGAAACAATGTTATATCCATCCAAGGCTGCCCCTAGCCCACAAGCCACCCACAGCGTGGTTTAGGATGTGAATTGGAACACAGCATCTCTTCCTCTGGGCAGTACAGCCTTGTGCCAGAGTACATGATTTGGTGAGTGGAGGCCAGGCTGAATTTGGCCCTCACTGTGCAAGGTACGATAAAAAATGGCAGGTTTGACCCAGGTCTTGACTCAGATTTCCAGATTATTTTTCAGTTGTTAAAAGCAGAAAGCTGGGGGACACATTCTCACTCAGCTAAAAGGAAAAGGAGGGAAATTCTGAGAACTTTTTGGTTGTTGAATTACTTAAATCCTGCAGCTCAGCCTGGAAAGACTCAATTAAGAGGTGTTGTAGGAAATCCTCAGAACCATGAAAGGCCCAAGGCCATGTTCAAAATGCTTTCAAAAACTGTTAGAATGGAACCATTTTGTTTAGTTCCACAAAATTGGCATTGACCCAGCCAATACCTCTCCTTTTAGCCTCATCTCTCAGCCTCATTCACAATTCCTCATAGCACTGGAGGAAAGACAATACAGTTCTTAAGAGGACTGGGCTATGATTTAGGTTTACAATTGGCCATAGTACTTTGGAACTGTGTGTAGTTAGGCAAGTTGAGCTCACTTCTGTGAGCTCTGGTTTCCTTAAAGGATTATTATAGTGGATAAATGGGATAATAACGTATAAAGCACTTTATGCAATTCTTGCCCCATGGAAAATGAACAGTAAATAATAGCCATTATTAACCTAAGCAGTGCTGGAAGAAAGAACTCAGGAGTGATCAGAATATATGACCCCCTTTCTTTTCTTTTTCTTTTTTTTTTTTTTTTGCCTCAATACCAAGTTGGATTATGATTAGCACTATTAGAAGCATGTATGATTGGGCTGGGTGTGGTGGCTCACACCTGTAATCCCATCACTTTGGGAGGCCGAGGTGGGCAGATCACTGTAGTCCAAGAGTTTGAGACCAGCCTGGACAACATGGCGAAACCCTGTCTCTAAAAAACTTACAAAAAAAAAAAAAATTTGCCAGGTGTGATGGCATGCACCTGTACTCCCAGCTACTAGGGAGGCTGAAGCAGGAGGATCACTTGAGCCCCGGAGGTTGAGGCTGTAGTGAGCCGAGATCGCACCACTGCACTCCAGCCTGGGTGACGGAGTGAAACCCTGACTCCAAAAAAAAAAAGAAAAGAAATAAAAAAGAAAAAAAAAGTATGTATGATTGGAAAAAACATGACCACCTTTATATCTTTTTAAAAATTTATTAGGCATCTTCTCTGGCTGAGGCACTTAGCTAAGTATGGTAGTGAAGACAAAAATGAAAAAAATGTCCTTTCCCTTTAACAGGTTTGCAGATGGGTGAAAAAAAGAAGTAGCAAAGAGGCATCTGCTATTATCAGTTCAGAAAATATTCTGGAGGTGTTCTGTCATCTCTTCCCTGCCTCATCTGTCACTTGGAAGAGCCAGCTCCCACCATGTCATATGTCCCCTGATTCATCCTGGGTACAGCTGATTGGACCACAGCTAGACACCAGATCACACTAAGCCAATCAGATTCTGTCCTGGGAATTTAAAATTGGGTGAATTTGAATTCAGACTCAGGCCAGGCACGGTGGAGCTACTTTGGAGGCTGAGGCAGGAGAATCACTTGAACTGGGGAGGCAGAAGTTGCAGTGAGCCAAAATCGCACCACTGCACTCCAGCCTGGGCAGCAGAGCAAGACTCCATCTCAAAAATAAATAAATAAATGAATTCAGACTCAGAATCAGTTCCACAGAGTTGAAAGTGATATAAAATCAAAGCTGATGGAATTTTTGGCCCTGGGCATTAACAAGCAGAGAATTCCAGGGGAAAGCAATGATGAGAGGCTAAGTAGCTACGAAGAGAGAGGGAAAGAGATGGAAGGAATAGCCTTCCTTGGTTCCTAATGGTTTTTCAGCTCCTATGAGTCTCAGCTACCCTTTCTTTAATGGGGCTCCATGCATCTTCTCTTCTGATAAACCCTTTTTGACTTGAGCTGTTCATCACCCACTGGTTCCACACAAGGGCTGAGTGTGTGGACCTCTCTGATTAGATATAAGAAATTGCCAAAGGCCATTCATATATGGTCCCTTTAATCAAAATAACTGCCTCTTGAAAGCCTAATTAATCATTTGGTTTTAGTCCAAACAGCTGTTTGGCAATTGATCTCATTTGAAGTATCAACACCTTTTACTGGGAATACCACAGGTCTTGGGCCTATAGGCATGTGCTTGTTTTCAAGGCTGGCTTAACGGACCCTTGATGCCAACATCACCCAGTTATGCTGAAGACAGGGACATCTAGTCAGCAGTCCATACACAGTATCCATCCAAAAGATCTTTTAAAAAATCATAAACACTGTTACTTCAATCCAAGCACTCTTTCTAAATATCCTGAGCTCGCTGGTACACTAGCAACATTATTTTGCTATTGCCAGCACCTCTAAAACTTAATTCAGGAAAGTCTATGAAAGGGGTATTGTGTTCATGGAATATGTATATTGCCCGTACATCAATTGGCATCTTGGGACTGCTCTGGGGCACAAAGGTCAAAGTTTAGTGATGCATGGAGTTGTCATCCTAATGGTAAATATTGATTAGTAGCCTCAGAAACAACCAGCAGGCATTCAGTCTTTCTCCAGCCAGACGCCAGCCTCCCAAAGAAGGAGTGTCTTTCCAAGAGAGCCTTAAAAACAATGCATGGAACATTCAACCCTGCAATACACAGAGACACTGAGAGAGTGAATGACTGCTTCAGCAGAGTAAGTGGAAAACGATAAACAGCATTGTGCAGCGTCTGCATAGCAATGACACTTGGTAGGAAAGTACTGAAAACCAATAAATATCATATATATAGATATGTTTTCTATTGCTGCCATAACAAATTACCCCAAACTTAGTGAACTGAAAATAATACAAATTTATTTATCTTAGACGTCTGTAGGTCTGAAGTCCCAGTTGGCGCTACTGATTTTTCTTCCCTGGCTTTCACAGGGCCAAAATCAAGGTGTTAGCAGGGCTGCATTCCTTTCTGGAGACTCCAGCACTGAATTGCTTTCAGGGTTTTTCAGGTTGTTCAGTTCCTGACAGTTGCAGAGCCCAGA
This sequence comes from Homo sapiens, assembly GCF_000001405.40. Classification (NCBI taxonomy): domain Eukaryota; kingdom Metazoa; phylum Chordata; class Mammalia; order Primates; family Hominidae; genus Homo; species Homo sapiens. Next base: position 72,471,624 of record NC_000003.12, read on the forward strand.
TCCCCGTCTTCTTGCTGGCTATCAACTGGGGTGGAGTCTTAGCTCCTAGAGGCGGCCCATCTTCATTTTCATGCTTTACACGTTGCCTTTTCCAGCAACAGTGAGGTCCTCTCACACTTTGAATCTTTCCAACTTCCACTTCTGGCAAATCTCTCCTGCCTCCAGCCAAAGTTCTGTTTTTAAGGGCTCAGGTAATTAGATTGGACCCACTCAGCTCATCTAAGATAATGTATTTTAAAGTTTGTAACTTTAATTACATCTGCAAAGTCCCTTTTGTCTTGTAGTGTAACACACTCACAATATGTTCCAGGAAATTAGGAACGTGGACATTTTGGGAGGCTCATTATTTGGTCTACCACAATATATATACTTTTATATCCTGAAAAACAGGGTTGCAGCTGGAGCTCTAGTAGTTTCTGCCTTGCAATCTGACTGAGCAAATGCATTTGATGGTGTATTAGTTACCTATTGCTGCATAACAAATTACTCCAAAACTTAGTGGCTTAAAACAATAAATCTTCATTATTCTACACATTCCCTGTGTTGAGAATCTTCCACAGCTCAGCTGGGTACCTGTACTCCAAGACAGGGGTTCCCAACCCCCAGGTCATAGACTGGTACTGGTCTATGGCCTGTTAGGATCAGGCCACACAGCAGGAGGTGAGCGGTGGGCGAGTGAGCATTACTGCCTGAGCTTCGCCTCCTGCCAGATCAGCAGCAGCATTAGATTCTCATAGGAGCGTGAAGAGGGATCTAGGTTGTGTGTTCTTTATGAGACTCTAATGGCTAATGACCTGAGGTGGAAGAGTTTCATCCCAAAACCATCCCCACCCCCCAACCCCGGTCTGTGGGAAAATTGCCTTCCACGAAACTGGTCCCAGGTGCCAAAAAGTTGGGGACTGCTGCTCTGAGGTATCTCATAAGGTTGCAACAAGCTGTTCACCAGGGCTGTGGTTTCATTTGAAGGCTCAACATAGGGGTCAAAGATCCGCTTCCCAGCCTATTCACATGTTGGCAGGCCTGGGAAGATACATGTCCAAGTTCACTCATCTGATTGTTGGCAGACTCCTCACCATGGGAGTTCCTCCACAGGCTGCCTGAGTGTCCTCCCAACATGGCAGCTGGTGATCTGAAAGAGAGAGCCAGTGAACAACAGAGTAAGCACAGCAAGACAGAGTGAGGGAGCTCGAAATGGAAGCCACAGTCTTTTTTTAAAAAAAAACTATCTTTTTTTTTTTTTTTTTTGAGACAGAGTCTCGCTCTGTCACCCAGGCCAGGAGTACAGTGTCAAGATCTCAGCTCACTGCAACCTCCACCTCCGGGTTCAAGAGATTCTCCTGCCTCAGCCTCCTAAGTAGCTGGGATTACAGGCGTGTGGCGCCACGCCCAGCTACTTTTTGTAGTTTTAGTAGAGATGGGGTTTCACCCTGTTGGCCAAGCTGGACTCAAACTCCTGACCTCAGGTGATCCACCCGCCTTGGCCTCCCAAAGTGCTGGGATTAATCCAGGCATGGTGGCAGGCACCTATAATCCCAGCTATTCGGGAGGCTGAGGCAGGAGAGTTGCTTGAACTGGCAGGCAGAGGCTACAGTGAGCTGGGATCACACCACTGCACTCCAGCCTGGGTGATAGAGCGAGACTCCGTCTCAAACATAAAGAAAACTATCTTTACCATTTTTAAGTGTGCACTTTCATAGTGTTAAATATATTCACATTGTTGTGCAACGGACCTCCAGAATTTTCATCTTGAAAAACTGAAACTGTACTCATTAAACAACAACCCTCATTTCTGTTTCCCCCCAGCTTCTGGAAACCACCATTCTACTTTCTGTATCTATGAATTTGACTATACTAGGTACCTCATACACATAAAAGCATACAGTCTTCGTCTTTTTGTGTTTGGTTTTTTCATTTAGCATAATGTCCTCAAGGTTCATCCATGTTGTAGCATGTGTCCAAATTTCCTTCCTCTTTAAGACTGAATAATAGCTCATTGTATGTTGCTGTGGTTTGGATGTTTGTCCCCTCCAACACTCATGTTGAAATGTAATTGCCATTGGAACCATATGAAGAAGTAGGACCCTGAAGAGGTGATTAAGACATGAGGGCTCCACTCTTATGGGTGGGTTTAGTGCCTTTTAGAAAGGGCTTTGGGGAGTGGGTTCTCTGTCTGTGTCCTTCTGCTTTTCTGCCATGTGAGGAACACAGTGTCCCTCCCTTCCAGAGGAGACAGCGTTCAAGGTGCCATCTTGGAAGTGGAGATAGGGCTCTTACCAGACACCAAGCCTGCCGGCACCTTGCTCTTAAACTCCCCAGCTTCCACAACTGTGAGAAATAAATGTCTTTATACATTACCCAGTCTATGGCATTCTGTTATAGCAGCACAAAATGGGCTAAGACATGTGTACATGTCACATTTTAAAAATCCATTCATCCATCAGTAGGCACCGATGGGACTGAAGGGTCCGTGCAGAAAGATGGCTCAGGCCTCCAGTGTGCCAAACTTCCCTTTTGATAAGGTTTCCTAAACTTCCCTTTTGATTCACTTGATGGGGGGTGGATATTAAAAAACAGATTCTTGTATTCCTCCACTGGAAGTGGTAAATCAGTCGGCTTCAGTGGGCCCTGGGAATCTGTTTTTCTAAACAATTGCCCAGGGCATTCTTTTTTTTTTTTTTTTTTTTTTTTTGCCTTTTTAAAAAATTAAGGTATAATTCACATACCATATAATTCACCCTTTTATACAATTCAGTGGTTTTTATTATATTCACAAAGTTGTGCAACTACCACCACCATCTGAGAATATTTCATCACCCCATAAAGAAACCCACACCCATTAGCAGTCACCCCCGATTCCTCTCTCCCTCCAAGCCCCTGACGACCGCTGATCTACTTTCTGTCTCTATCGATTTGCCTACTCAGGATATTTCATATAAATGGAACCATGTGATATGTGGCCTCTTGCGTCTGGCTTATTTTACTTAGCATAATGTTTTCAAGGTTCATCTACCATTGTCCTGTATATCAATACTTCATTCCTTTTTACGACTGAATAATATTCCATTGTATGGATATAGCATGTTTTATTTCTTAGTTTACTTGTCGATGAGTCCATGAGATTCTTACCGTAAAGGAAACCTGGGGAAAGGCTACATACTAAATTGTACAGGGAGATCAAAAGCAGATAGGATACCCAGGATGCTTGTAAAAATGCAGGTCTCTGGACCAAACTCCAAATCTCTTGAGTTAGAATCAAGGGGAAGCCCAGAAATCTTTTTTTTTTTTTTTTTTTTTTTTTAAAGACAGGGTCTGGCTGTGTCTCACAGGCCGGATGCAGTGGTGTGATCTAGGCTGACTGCAATCTCCGCCTCACAGGCTCAAGCAATCCTCCCACCTTAGCCTCCTGAGTAACTGAGACCACAGGCTCGTGCCACCATGCCCAGCTAATTTTTTGTATTTTTAATAGACATGGGGTTTTGCCATATTGCCCATGCTGGTCTCGAACCCCTGAGCTCAAGTGATCTGCCTGCCTTGGCCTCTCAAAATGCTGGGATCACACGCATGAGGCACCATGCCAGGAAGCAATCTGTATTTTGAACAGTCTTCCCAGGGAGATTCTTCTGCCTACTGAAACTTAGTCTTGGAGCAGAAGTGAGGTGAAATGGGTAGCAGGAAAAGTGATTATTCCTTCCGAGAACATTGTTTCCAACAGTTTTTAAAGGTAATGTGATGAAATGACAGTTCAACATTTAGCAATATGACTATGATGAAAAGATATGAACAGAAACCACATGAACACAAAACCTTGAGACATACAGAGGAGGGAGTCAAAGATGAGGCCTTTTACTGTTTTTTCGGTTTTCTGTTCTCTCTCTCTGTAGGCCCTGCCCGCTGGGCAGGCCTGCTCCCAGATCAGCTTTTTCTTATATAAGAATTTAACTAAGTGGATCTAATGCCGTAGACTCTTAGAGCAGAAAAGGACTTGGAAGCTTATCTTGTCCAGTGGCTCCCAAACACAGCTGATCTTCCAAAGATTCTTTTGAAAATCCGGATTTCCAACATTCCCCCTTCCCCTTCAAAGTCTGGGACCTTGAAATCTGCGGCTTTGAAAAGCTCTCCAGGTGAATGTGATGGTCAGCCAGATTTGAGCTCCTCTGGGCCAACACTGTCATTTTTCAGAGCAGGAAATTGAATCAACATCAGCCAACTCAGGGAAAGAGCACTACCTAGAACTTAGGGCTTTTAGGTCCTCATGAATACTCTTTCAAGCCTGTGTTGTCAAAAAGTTCTAATCATTAGAATAAATACTATATGGAACCTAAGAATTCAGTTGTTGACACCAGGGTGTAAGCCTGTACACAAATGGACTGTTAGATGTAGGTCAGTCTTTGATACCATCGATAGTAGCGGGGCAATGTCAAATTTTGAAAGAGTGAATGATTAACAAAATTGTCATTGCCATATCAATACTATTTAGAATCAGCAACCATTAGTATTTCAATTCAGGTGATATCTCCCAATGGTCTTATTATTGTTAAAATTTAGAAACTAGAAATTTTGGTCATCAGATATATCATAAATATGGATAAAATTCTCACCCACATATATTTACTGTAAACCTGGAAAATAATGACTTTCCAGCTCAGTGGCTCTCCAATCTCACTCTGTATTAGAATCACCTGGGAGTGTTTAAAACCATACCCTTGACCAATTCTGACCTGCAGGACCTCAAGAAATAAAATCTAGGGCCAGGGCCCAGGCTCATGTGTTTTTAAACCAAGCTCCCCCAAGTTATTCTCATGCATAACCAGAGTTGATAACCACTACTGTAGCTCCTTAGATATCTAATAAAATGAGAATAATTAGAAAACTTTAAATTTCACATCATATTCCTGAGAAACATTTTAACCCAGAATGGGCTTATGAAGGATATCATTCTGTGATCATACAGCCTGGAAATTATAAGTAACATTTGCGCACCACTTTATAATTTACCACACACTTTCATGTACATTTCACCACCCAGGTCTGATTGTTTATTAAGTTTCTATGAAACCTTTTCTGTTTAAGTTCAAAGTGCTGGATTCTCCTGCCCATTCTAAAAATGACTCCATTAATGAGGCTTTTCTTTTTAGAATTTTAAATTAAGGAAAGTGAAAAAAATGTCAGAAAACAGGGCAGAAATGTTTTCTCATGGAAAACTGTACTATATTTAATAATACCAGGACTCCTTGAACATCATTATATGTTGAGATTGGGTTAATTTCAGCCTGGGAGATTCATAGACCCTTGGGGTTGAAGTAATGATAAGAAATGAAACAAGAGGGAAAAATTTAAGTTCTAGCCCAGTGGTTTTCAAATTCTGAAGTGCATGTGAATCAACTGGGGATCTTGTATTAAAATGCAGATTTTGTTTCAGTCAGGCTGGGGTTGGATTTTAGCATCAGCATTTTTAATAAGCTCCCAGGTGACATCAATGCTGCTGGTCTAGAGAGCACATTTTGAGATGGAAAGTTCTGGAATGAGGGACAGGCAGTAGGAAAGAAGTCAGGAGATCTGTGGTTTTCTTTTCCACAGGTTCTGCCTCAAAGTCACCAAGAGACTTTGGATAAGTTACTTCACCCCTCAGAACCCTAGATTTCTCATCCAAAAATAGGGCCGTGGGATTGGTCTAGATCAGAGATGACAAATACCTAATCCTTGTCACTGCTCTCTCAGATGCTGTGGGAAGACAGAAGAGCCTGGAGGCAGGATTGTAGTAATTTCTGGTCCTCCAGCCCAAAAAATGCAGGCTGTATCTTCAGAAAGCATTCCAGTTAATTGTAAATTGTCACATACTGCAAACTGTGACCCTGGATCTGATTGTCAAAGCAATTAGGTTTCAAGAGAGTTGGACATTCTCAAAGTGCTAGTGGATGCATTTTGATGGGGAAAGAAGTTGCCACAATAAGAGAGCCTGAAGCACCAAGAGCCACTTTGATAAGAAAGATGCCAAAAGGGAAGGAAGGAGTCTAGCAGGAGATTGGCAGGGGACCCACAGGGGACAGACTCAACCCATTTGATAATGTACGAGTCCTTGGGTCATCATCTGAAACCTTGGTTTTCCTGTGATGTGAGCTTCAGACCCCAAAACCTGGATTCCTACTAGAGAAAGACCACCTGCCACCACCCAAGCAGGAGAAGAAAGGAGACCCTGCTATGGGCAGAGCCCGGAGCTGCCTCCTACCCACATTCTCCCTTCAGGGCCCAGGTATCCTATCCAGGCCTGACCGATGCTGGGGCTGTGCTCCTGGGACTTCCCAGTGGGCTCCTGTGCCCCACTGCCTGGAGTCATGCTCCACCATCTCCTAATCTCATGGGAGGCCGTTCATGGGCAGAAACCTTGAGAGTCACGTGGCTGGCACTGCTTTCAGATTTTCAAGGTTTAGGGAGATATTCCCAGAGAAAAAAATACATATTCTTAGGCACACTGTGTCAAGGCATCATGCTAACGACTCTCACTTTTATCTCATTCAAGCACCAAAATGCTGCAAATTTAGTGTTATTATTCCTGTTTTATAGATGAGGAAACTGAGGCTCAGAGAGATAAACTCCTCCAGCTCATGCAGCTCAAATGTAGATGACCTGGCATTTGACTCCAAATCTGATGCTCATCACATTTAATATTACCTCACTGCCTCCCGACCCAGCACTTGGAAAGAATCCACAGAAGCTGAAATTGAGTAAGATTGATGAAACAGAGTGAATTTCATTTCATCTCTCTAGTTCAGGACAAAACAGATGCCCAACACTTTGGAATAGTCCTTGCAGTTCTTGTAATTTTTTTTTTTTTTTTTTTGTAACGTGGCCTAGCTCTTCTGTCTCCAGGTGGTGGCAACCTGACCTTGGGGTTCCCGAGTTACAAATAGATGACACAGAGAAGGTGCCTGGGACCCTGATTCTGCCTCTTGAGTGGGGTCTAGTTCCTTCTGGATACAAACTGTGGATGCCCCTAGCAACTTTCTTGTGGACAATCCCCCAAACCGTGCACTCAATTCAATCAAACACATTTTGAGAAATACAAGCTGCCAGACCCTGAGGCAGGTGCTGAGAGGCAGATACAGGTGAACAAGGCAGATGAGGCCCCCTCTCTGGGGCTGATCTTCTGGTTGGGGCATGGCGGGGCAGGGGAGCTGGTCACAAACAAGACATTTCATGTGTAAGGCATATGATGAAAGGGAGCACACAAGGACCCAACCTCAGCAGGCAGCTCAGAAGACCAAATGGATTGAATTAAACTTAATCAACCTTTCCCTGCCTAGAGGAACTTAAACCAAACGAGAGGGCAAGCCATTTCTGCCACCTGAAGCCAGAGCTGCCCTGCCTCTCATTTGAAGAAACACTCTCTACTGAGGTTGCAATAAATTCCCCTTCAACTTGGCTAACTGCTGATATGCAGAGCCTCTCTCCACCTGGACAGAGAAGCACCAGGCGTTTACACATGTGTGCACACCTGCACACGCACACAGATGCACAGCCTACTGCATGCTCAAGGTCATATTTCACATACTTCCTCCCCACAGGCGAAGCTGAGTGGATGAGGTTTCCTTCAGAGTTTGCCCTGGAAATGCTGTTAATGTAACGTATTTTAAAACCATGTCCTTTGTTCTTAGGGGAACATACTAAGATATTAACAGTGGTAGATCTGGGTGGGAGAAGTATGGGGGAATGGCTTTTCTTAATTTTTTTTAACTCCCAATTATTTCTATTTTATAGCTTTTCCATAAAGAGTGTGGGTCACCTGTGAAATACAAAAATTTAAAGAAAAATAAGATTTATCTTGCTACACTACAGCTGCTTTTTAATTCCCATTTGCCCTGGAAGACAAGCAGGCATAAGGTGTCTTTGTGGCTTCATGGCAGCTGTGAGGTATGATGGAAAGGACACTAAACTAGGAACCACAACACAGTTCCCAGCCCTGCAGACCTTTTTAACTTTGGGACTTCGGAGACGTCACTTAACTTCTTCAAGCCTTCATTTTCTCATCTGCAGCATGGGGCAGTAATTACTCTGAGGAGATGAAATTGGTGCACAAATGTCAAGTGGGAATATTAGTATAATTATTTACATAACTGAAAATTGGCCAATGTTATACTCATGTACAAAGAAGAAAAAACAATGGTTCTGAGAATTATAGCATAGAGGAAGTGGCCCTTGTCAGATGGCCCCAAATGATTCCCACCTCCTGGTATTCATGCCCTTGATAGTGTCCTCCCATGGTGAGGAAGGCTGACCCATGTAACCAATAGGATGTTGCAGAAATTAGAGCACGTGACTTCTGAGGCTGAGAAATATGGTTTGGCTCTGTGTCACCACCTAAATCTCATCTCGAATTGTAATTGTTGAGGGAGGGATCTGGTGGGAAGGGATTGGATCATGGGGGTGATTTCCCCCATGCTGTTCTCATGATAGTGAGTGAATTCTCATGAGATCTGATGGTTTAAAAGCATTTGGCAATTCCCCCCTCTCTCTCTTTCTCCTGCTGCCATGTAAGACTTGCCTTGCTTCCCCTTTACCTTCTGCCATGATTGTAAGTTTCCTGAGGCCTCCCTACCCATGTGGAACTGAGACAATTAAACCTCTTTTCTTTATAAATTACCCAGTCTCAGGCAGTTCTTTATAGCAGTGTGAAAACTGACTAATACAAATACGTTGTGACTCTGCCTTATATTCTCTTGGGTTATTCATTCTAGAGGAAGCCAGCTGCCATGTCATGAGGACACTCCAGTGGCCCTATGGAGGGGTCCTGCAAGTAAGGACCAGAGGCCTCCCTGTCAACCTGCCAGCAGGTGTGAGCCATCTTGGAAGCAGATTCTCCAGCCCAGATCTTCAGATGACCACAGGCCCAGGTGACCTCCTGACTGCAACCCCAAGCCACAACCATGCAATGAGCCACTCCCTCTTTCCTGCCTACCATAAACTGTGTGAGAGAATAAACTGTGAGTGTATTGTCACTTTGGGCTATTTAACTGAGCAGAAATCTGTTATGCTGCAATAGATAATCAACCCTTCAGCTTTGGAGCCATCTAGGAAGGTTTAGGGACCAGCATGGCTTTGGGAGGAGCAATTCATTCCAAGCCAATTTAATTTCCTCTCATGATGAAGTGACCTGGCATGCGGATAAGGGAGCAATAAGTGTATCTCCTCGCCTCTGGAGGGCTTTTAATTCAATACCACATGCCACTCTCATCAACATGCAGGGAGGCAGGGTCTGGGCAGTGGTTCATTGATTTGGCCCTAGGAGAATACACGTAGGAGCTCATCCAGGACTTGAGGGAGGGGAAGGAATATGGATATTTCTGTGATCTGAATGTGTCCCCCAAAATTCATGTGTTGGAAACTTGATCCTTAATGCAATAGTGTTGGGAGGTGGAACCTTTGGGGAGGTGTTTAGATCAGGAGGGCTCTGCCTTCATGAATGGATCAATGCTATCACAAAAGGGCCTGATGGAGGCAGTTTGGTTCTTTTTTTGCCTTTCCTTCTGCCTTCTGCGTGGGAGGGCACAGCATTCAAGACACCATCTTAGAAGCAGAGACTGGGCCCTCACCAGACACAAAACCTGCCAGTTCCTTGATGTTGGACTTATCAGAATCCAGAACTGTGAGAAATAAATTGATAAATTACCCAATTTGTGGTATTTTGTTATAGCAGCACAAACAGACTAAGATAGATACTAATACTAATACAATACCAACATCAAAACTGCTAGCAGGCTGGGCATGGGGTTCACACCTGTAATCCCAGCACTTTGGGAGGTCAAGGCAGGCAGATCTCTTGAGGCCAGGAGTTTGAGACCAGCCTGGCCAACATGGTGAAACACTGTCTCTACTGAAAATATAGCCAGGCATGGTGGTGTGTGCCTGTAACCCTGAGTAATCTTGGGAGTCTGAGGCACAAGAATCGCTTGAACCCAGGAGGCAGAGGTTGTAGTGAGCCGAGATCCTGCCACTGCCCTCCAGCCTGGGTGATAGAGCAAGATTCTGCCTTTAAAAAAAAAAAAAATGCTGCTAGCAATGCACTTCACTAATACTCATTTTACACTGCTAATACTTGTCACCCAGAAAACCTCCCTCCTGGAGAGCCCCAGGTTCTTCAGAACTCAGTAATCACTCTTTAACAAACAAAGAAAATGGTTTCAGCCCCACTGCAGCACTCTGACACATCTTCAAAAACTCCACAGATTTCCAGAAAGACATACCTTCTCCTGGTCAGTGGGGGTTACGCCCTCGGTCACCACTGTCATCTGGTCCTTAGCCATCATCCTCTGTTCCTGAAGCTGCCATTCTCTCTCCCCATCTCTGTTACCCCTGGACCACCTCACATCTGCCATGCCTCATAGCATCATGAACACAAAGCTGGTTCCCAAAAGTGTTTGTGGATAACGGAAGGGGTATTGCAGTCCTGCATATCTGGTCAATTACAGGAACACAGCATCCTGGTTCTTGGCTGGGTGCAGCGGCTCACATCTGTAATCCCAGCACTTTGGGAGGCAGGTGGATCACTTTAGGTTAGGAGTTTGAGACCAGCCTGGCCAACACGGTGAAACCCTGTCTCTACTAAAAATACAAAAAATTAGCCGGGTGTGGTGGTGCACACCTATAATCCCAGGCACTTGGGAGGCTAAGGCAGGAGGATCACTTGAACCTGGGAGGTGGAGGTTGCAGTGAGCCAGGATGGCACTGCTGCACTCCAGCCAGGGTGACAGAGCGAGGCTCTATCTCAAAATATTTTAAAAAGTAAAAAATAAATAAAAATAAAAAAAGCAATATAGCATCCTGGTTCTTGAGTTTTCTGGACTGTCCCTACACCGGGGGCTTCTCTTGCTCTAGAGATGTCCTTGCTAATCATTGCTCTCCTGAGCTGCCTCTGTTTTTCTCTGGACCCTCTCCTCTCAATCCCTTCCTGCTTCCCATCTCTGTGGCCTTGGCTTCTTCTTAACAAGCTTGCCACCCCCAACTTCAAATTCCTGTCAATTTGTTGTAAACAAGCTACCTCTGTTTGTGTCTTGCCTTTTCCCACCAGGGAGGTATAGACATGGTTAAAGACACGGCCTCTGGCACTGGAAGGCCTCCTTTTCACTCCCAGCTAGGCATTCTTCAAATCCTTCCTATCCCTATTTTACAGCTGACAAAACTGACTTCCGGGGGATTTGGTTTTGCTCAAGGACCCAGGGTCCTTCAGGGGTAGGTAGGAAAGATCTGGGACAACTCCCAGGCCTCTTCCAGGCAGAAGGAGAAGTAGGTTGGAGAATGCTAGTTGAGGGCACCTGCAAAAGCTAAATCAAGACTGCCTGAAGCTTAGGAGGAAGGAAATGTGTGTAGATTTAGTTCCTAGAGGGCTTATAAATAGGACCATTGCTCATTTGTCCTGAAAAGTCGCTGGGCAACCTTCCCGAGGTGAGGGGTGGGGGCGGGGCCACATGCCCTCCTGAGGTCATTTCTAGCTTGATGATTCACACGGCAAAATCCCAGCGTGGGTTCAGCGCCCCTCCCCGCACCCGCCCCGTGTACTTTCATTTTGCATTATGATTTTTCACTCAAGCTGATGCGAACCCAAATTGATGTCATTTCCCTCCCAATAAGCTCTTGACCAGAAAACATCTAATTCTCCATCTAGCTGGGATTTTTTTTTTTTCACTCAGTTTCTATAAAATCATGCTGCAGTTTGCCTCGATATTTTCTTCTCTTTTAAAGATAGCATTTGTCAAGGCTTATCTTCTGGTCGTAAAACTAATATATATGCTCACTGCAAAAGAATCTGGAACACAAGAGGCCTGAAAGAAGAAAATAAAAATTATATATAGCATCACACACGTAGACAAACAGGAAAGATCATAGTATGTTTTCTTTCTGTCTTCCCCTTGTATATATATCTTTAACATAATTAGATCAAATGCTTTTTTAAAAATCTATTTAAGAGTGAGAGGGAAGAATCATAGATTCTGGCTTCAGCAGAACATGTGTTTTAATAGGTTATATTTATTGAGGGCTGAAAATGTTCTAGGCACTTTACTCAGTGTGTATTGGTGGAATGTCAGCCATTTATGTTCATTGCTTTTCAAAATCCTCACAACAGCCCCTGAGAAAGATATTACTATCATGCCCATTTTACAGGTGAGGAAGCTGAGGCTCTGAGACGTCCCAAGAACAGCTGGTTCATAAAGCAGCTGGGATTAATTTTAATTAAAGTCATCTTGCTTCCACAGGCTGGGCTCTTAAACTTTTTATTTATTTATTTATTTATTTATTTATTTATTTATTTATTTACTTTTCATAGAGACAGGGTCTCACTGTGTTGCCCAGGCTGGTCTCGAACTCCTGGGCTCAAGCAATCCCCCCAACTTGGCCTCCGAAAGTGCTGAGACTACAAGTGTGAGCCACCACACCTGGCCAGCTATTAACCTTTATAGTATGTATAGAGTTTGTCACTTCATAGGGATAAGTGCTTCAATTGGGAATGCCATGAAGGCAACACTGGCCTGCTTCTCATGTAACTAAGAATTTTTTTTTTTTTTTTTGAGACAGGGTCTCACTCTGTCGCCCAGGCTGGAGTGCAGCGGTACAATCTCGGCTCACTGTAATCTCCACTTCCCAAGTTCAAGCGATTCTCATGCCTCAGCCTCCTGAGTAGCTGGGACTACAGGCACACACCATCACACCTGGCTAATTTTTGTATTTTTTGGTAGAAACGGGGTTGCACCATGTTGGCCAGGCTGGTCTCGAACTCCTGACCTCAAGTGATTCACCCACCTCAGCCTCCCAAAGTGCTGGGATTACAGGCACGAGCCACCTCACCGAGCCTGTAACTGGGAATATTTTAATCAAAGCACAACATACTCGTGGAACAAAGATCATGCTCCATTCTGACCTTCTGCAACCCTTTGCTTTAAAGAATATATAGGGAGAAAGGAAACTGGAGGAAAAGGTCATAAGCGTACTTGCCAGTGCTACTACAAGTTTGCCCATGCCTTCCTATAAGTGTTGCTATTTTAGTGCTTGATGGACATCTAAAGTGTCCCTGGGCATGGGGGAGCTGAGAGGTGCTGGGGCTCAGCACAGATGCTGTAAAGTGACTGCTCATTCTTTCTGTGGCCATTCATTGACTACCTACCGTGTGTCTCTCAGGCACAGTGCTCAGCATGTACTCCAAATGTAATCTGTATAAAACCAGCATGCCCATGGGGTCGGCTTCAAAGTGTTGAAGTGATATCATAATGTATTAGTCATTCTCATAAAGTATGCTCATAAAGACATACCTGAGACTGGGTAATTTATAAAGGAAAGAGGTTTAATTGACTCACAGTTCCACATGGCTGGGGAGGCCTCACAGTCATGGCGGAAGGTGGATGAGCAGCAAAGTCACGCCTTACATGGTGGCAAGCAAGAGGGCTTGTGTAGGGAAACTTCCCTTTATAAAACCATCAGATCAGGCTGGGTGCAGTGGCTCACGCCTGTAATCCCAGCACTTTGGGAGGCTGAAACGGGTGGATCATTTGAGGTCAGGAGTTCAAGACTGGCCTGGCCAACATGGTGAAACCCTGTCTCTACCAAAGATACAAAAAATAAGCCAGACGTGGTGGCACATGCCTATAATCCTAGCTACTCAGGAGGCTGAGGCATGAAAATCACTTGAACCCAGGAGGTTACAGTGAGCCAAGATCACGTCACTGCACTCCAGCCTGGGTGACAGAGTGAAACCCTGTCTCAAAAAAAAAAAAAAAAAACCATCAGATCTCGTGATACTTACTAACTACCTCAAGAACAGTATAGGGGAACCACCCCCATGATTCAATTATCACTACCTGGCCCCATCCTTGATACACGGGGATACAGAGATACAGCCAAACCATATCACATAATTCACACACACATACATACCACACACACCGTGTATCTGGAGGTGAAACATTATTTCAAAACAGCTCAAAATATTATACTGGCTCTATCTGTCAGGATGCTTTGATTGTAAGCAACAGAAACTGCCTCTACTGATCTAGGCAGAACGGGAATTTCTTGGAAGGATATTAGAGAGCACACTAGAGCAAAGGAATGGCTAAAAAGTCAGGCTTGGAGCCATTAGGCACCCAGCCTCTCCAGGAGGTTCTTGGCAGCAGAAAATGCTCAACAATCTCACTGAGCTGCTGTGGCTGGAATGAGAACACTCCAAGTGTTCTCTGCTTTGGGCCTGAATCCATGATTGAGATTTCAGGGAGGGAGTCCCCATTGGCCTTGCTGGCAGTCATGCACTGGGGAGGAAGGGCTGGCCTGGCTAACCATTCCACTAGACAATTTGGAAGATGGACCAGCAGCTGGGCAGATGACAAACAACGAAGGTCTTTGCATTTCTTGAGAATGATGACAGCCAACCACTGAGGCTGTGACAACACTTATAAAAAAAATCCCCCTTTCTCTTCTATCCATTTCTCTCACACGCTGAAGCTGCTCCACAGGATTTCTCCCTACAGTTATACGCAAACCTCACCCAACATCCACTCTTTTATACCCCGGCTGTGCAAAATGTATTCAGAGAACCAGCAGCATTTATAATCTCCAAATGTAATCTGTATAAAGCCAGCGTGCCCATGGGTTCAGCTTCAACATGGTGAAGTAGTATCATAATGTATTAGTCCACTCCTTACACTGCTAACAAAGACATACCTGAGACTGGGTAATTTATAGAGGAAAGAGGTTTAATTGACTTAATCTAGCAAGTTGGGAGCTTGCTAGAAATGTAGAATCTCAAACCTCACCCTAGACCTACCAAATCAGAATCTGCATTTTAACAATATCCCAGGTGGCTCTGATGCACGTGAAGTTTAAGAATCACTCATGGATACACTCTCTTCCTCTCTCCATTTCTTTTTTTTTTTTTTTTTCTTTGAGACAGGGTCTCACTCCTTTGCCCCAGCTGTAGTGCAGTGGTGCAATCATGGCTCACTGCAGCCTTGACCTCCCTGGGCTCCGGTGATCCTCCCACCTCAGCCTCCTGAATAGCTGGGACCACAGGCATGCGCCACCATACCTAGCTAATTTTTATCTTTCTTGTAGAAATAGGGTTTTGCCATGTTGCCCAGGCTGGTCTCAAACTCCTGGGCTCAAGTGATTTGCCTGCTTAGTCCTCCCAAAGTGCTGGGACTACAAGTGTAGAGCCACCGTGCCGGCCTTCCATTCCTTAATTATACAGATCAATCTAGTCTCTCACCAGCCTAAACAAATCCTTCCTCTGTAGCAAGAGGAAAGAGATGGGCTATCAATGACAAGGTTGCCTCTGGTGGGGTGATAGAAGAAATGTGAACATTTGCAGGCTCATAATTGTCTTGTAAACAAGGGTAAAGCAGACACAGTCTGTGACCTCAGCGAGCTCAGGTTCTGGAGGGAAAAGCTGGTCAGCCGGTCCAAATGGATATTGAGGTCTTCCAAGGCAGCATGGCATGGTTCTCAGGGCTAAACTGACTCTAGAACCGCTTGCTCTAGGGGAGGATCCTGGGGACAGAGGGACGGAATGGTAAATTAAGTTTCATTGGGCTGCACAGATCAGTTTGGAAGTCCTGTGGTCCTTTGAGTCCTCTCTGAAATGCAATGCTAGACAACAGTGCCAGGGTACTCAGGGTTGGTCTGTCTCCTCCTCCAAGAGAGCAAAGAAGGAACCAGGCCCAGGGACTCACCCAGAGGGGGCTTGGGAGCCAGTAAAATGAAAAACGTTGAATGTAGAGTTCCGAACGGTCTGGAATCCAGGTATTAATCTGTTGGTCCGTCATCATATTGGTCTTTGCAACATACAAACAAATCAAGCACGAGATTTCCCCCAAAGTTAGCAAGCTCCTGTGAGTCATTTCTCAGGAACTTGGTGGCAGACACTTGGCTGAAGGCAGCTGTGAGGAGGAATGTCCGTGGAGGGGGGTGGGGGGCGGTGGTGGCCACAGTCACGGGAGTGGCTGTGTGGGCGTGACTGTAGCTGGGACTGCTGGGCTATGAAGCTGTGGCTGTGTCTGTAGCTGGGGGTGGGGCTGTGGCCATGGCTGTGGCCACCAGCCTCACAGCAGTAGCCATAACAAAAGGAGGAGCTGCTGACTGGCCTCATCTCAGTGACCACATGGCATCATTCAAAGATTCGTGCTCCTGGTCCCTCAACGCAGGTAGAACTTTTGGCAGAGTCGGGGGAAACTGAGCTAAAGGCAGTGACAGGTTGTACCTACTTGGGCCATGGACCCTGAGGAACCTGAAAAAGATGAGGGAAGAGGTCCCTATCACACACTTTGGTGTTTTGTGGCTGCTGGTGGCAGTGGGGTCTGGCATGAGGGTGACCTGCAACCACACGCACCCAGCTCCTAGGTTCCTGGAGCTGACAGCGTCTGTGGCAGAGGGGCTTGACATGAGGATGCTGTCCCCAACTCCTCTGGTCCTACCCAACATTTTCCTGCAAGGTGGCCCTAACCAACCCCACCCGCATCATTCAAATCCGTGCTTGAAGGGACAACACCATCTCACCCTCTTCCTCATTTTCCATCTTTCTCAGTCCTTGCTGTTCACAGAATAGTCTCCTCTCTTCATCAGCCAGAAACAAACAAAATGCCTGTGCGAACCGATGCTGTGGTTTCACCAGCTTGGTCCTTCCACAAACAGCAAAACTCAGAGTTCAGTTTAGGTGCCTTCCCATCACCCCTACTAGAACACTTTGTCTCAGTAGCCACTGAGTTAACAGTTGTGAAAGCTTTTAGAGAAAGATACATTCTTGTGCTCTTGAAAGAGTATGATTTACATTTCTTTGACATTCTCCAGTTTCAAAAGCCACTTGCAAATGCCAGTACTTCGAAGCTTTATTTCTGTACCTACAAAGAAAGGCACCTCTCATAAAAGAGCTTTTTAAACCATGGCACTTTAGGAAGGTAGAACCTAAGAGGCACAAAACCATAATGATAAACAAACAAATCGGTTTGTGAAGTAGCTCAGGCCATGGTCCCTACTATTCTAGGGCCTCTTCATCTATGCTGATGGCGTAAGTTTACTGAGCATTTATTTGGTGTCAGGTACTCTTCTAAGCACCTTACCTGAATCATCTCATGTGATACTTACAGGAACTCTAGAACTCTAGACCAGTGATTTTCCTTTCTTTTTTTTTTAAGAGACAGGGTTGCTCGCTCTGTCACCCAGGCTGGAGTCCAGTGGCGTGGTCGTGACTCACTGTAACCTCAAATTCTTGGACTCAAGTGATTCTCTTGCCTCAGCCTCCCAAGTAGCTAGGACTACAGATGTGAGCCCCCGTGCCTGGCTAATTTTTAATTTTCATGTAGAGACAAGATCTCCCTATGTTGCCCAGTCTGGCCTCAAGTGATCCTCCCACCTCGGCCTCCCAAGTCACTGGGATTATAGGCATGAGCCACTGTGCTAGACCAGAGATTTTCAATTAGGGGTTATTTTGCCCCTTACGCAGGGGATATTTGGCAATGTCTGGAGACATTTTTGTGTGGTACAACTAGGGGGGATGCTATTGGCATTAAGTGCGTAGAGGCCGGGGATGCTGCTTAAACAACCTATGGTTCTTGGGACGGCCCCACACCAAAGAATTATCCAGGCCCTACTGCAATAGTGTCCAGGTTGAGAAGTCCTGCTCTCAGAGATAGGGATTATTATTCACCCCATTTTCCAGATGAAGACACAGAAGTACAGAGAGGTACTTCAAGATACTTAGGTTTATAAGCAAATATAATCAGCAAAAATGAGTGTTGGCAAAAGATTGAGAAAAGTTTGCCAATATATATATTTTTAATTTTTTATTTTTTCGAGACAGAGTCTCCCTGTCACCCAGGCTGGAGTGCAGTGGCCTGATCTCAGCTCACCGCATCCTCCACCTCCTGGGTTGATTCTCTGCCTCTGCCTCCCAAGTAGCTGGGATTACAGGCGTGCACCACCCACACCCAACTAATTTTTGTATTTTTAGTAGAGACAGGGTTTCACTATATTGGCCAGGCTGGTCTCAAACTCCTGACCACAAGTGACCCACCCACCTTGGCTTCCCAAAGTGCTGGGATTACAGGCATGAACCACCACACCTGGCCAAGTTTGCCAATATTTGGAATGAACTAAGAGTAGGAGGAAAAGAGAAGCCATTCGTTCTATCTCTGTTCTGTAATTTTCTGTTTTTGTATAACATTAATCTGTGGATCCTACTGAACTGACACATTGCAACAGCTCATGCGCAGTGGGGAGCTGTCCTAGACGCTTGTAGTGGCTGTAGCGACACTGCTTTCTAAACTCATTGCTTGCCTCCTCTTGACTATCACTCTGTTTTCCAATTTCACTGCCGCACTCCTCATTCTCTTCTCAATTTGCAACCTGTCCTTCCACTCTGTTAGGTCCATTTGTGATAGTTCAGTGTGTGAAGGAGGGAGGCCCCTGCCCTCTCGACCCAGCGCTTTCTCATATTAGACAGCCCGCATCTGTCTGGGAGGTTGTGGCGGATGGGGTAGGTGACCAGCTGTCTCCAGGTCTCTCCTGGGTAAAACCTCAGAATCATTGCAAATATTAGCTGACAGCCTATACAAGGAACGGGGCCAAAAGGAATTAAAAAGAGGATAAGCCTCCTTCCATATGGACTAGGATGAAAAAATGCTCACGATATTTTCAGTAAAAAAGCCAAGTACAAAACTGAATGTATTGATGATGATTTGTTAAAAGCTTTGCACTTTTGGATGTTCCTTTTACTAAATGAACATGCATTACTTTTATCGGAAATAAACAATACTTATTTTAGCAATAATGTTTTCTAAAAACAAACAAACAAACAAACAAAAAACACACAACAGCCAGGCACGGTGGATCACGCCTGTAATCCCAGCACTTTGGGAGGCCAAGGTGGGCAGATTATTTGAGGTCAGGAGTTCGAGACCAGCCTGCTCAACAAGGCGAAACCCTGTCTCTACTAAAAAACACAAAACTTGGCCGGGCACGGTGGCGTGTGCCTGTAGTCCCAGCGACTCAGGAGGCTGAGGGAGGAGAATCGCTTGAACCGGGAGGCGGAGGTTGCAGTGAGCTGAGATGGCACCACTGCACTCCAAGCTGGACAACAAAGTGAGACTCTGTCTCAAAAAACAAAAAAAAGAAAAAACAGGCAAAATTAATCTGGTGACCAGGACTGACTGGGAAGAGGCACCAGGGAGCCCTCTGGGGTGGCTTGAGAAGGACTGCCAGTTCCCTCTTGACTTCATCACCCAGCTCGCCACCCAGAGGGCTCCACATTTGCATAAACTACTCAGCAAAACAAACGCCCTTGGAAGTGACAGGAACCTGTGTTTCTAGAAGGCAGTTAAGCCACAATTTATTGGCACTCAAGCGTGCTGCTCCCTTGGGGTCTCACCCCCCAACCCCAAAACCATACTTACCTCCACTTCCAGAGGAGTTCTCATCATTACAATTGTATGGGGATCCCATTTCACCAACCTTATGCCTACAGTAATTTTGCTTCCCACTTTAAACCGTACCTCTTTGCCATGTCCCAGCTCTAGGGCTGAGCCAGCAGGCTTATTGCCTAAGGGAAGGAGAACAAGCAGAGAATAAAGAGGCCATTGATCAGCATTAGCGTCTCCAGGCTGACATTCTTGACCTCTGCGGAGGGACAAGGGCCTTGAAAGCAAGGCTTTATGGAGGAGAAAAGGTATTTCTCAACTCCTCAGATCCCTTCTAGCAAAGTCAAGCTGACAGCTCTAAGGAGATCTTCCCAATCAGAGTGTCTCACCACCCCCTGAGAGATTTGATAACCTCTGCCCTTGGAGCAGCCTGGCACGATCTGGACAGGTGGGGATCTCATTAGTCTTCTGGTATAGCCTCCACTGAGGTTCCAGATCCCCTCTTGGCCATGCAGCACATCATGCCCTTATTATTTTATATGTGTGCCACTCCATGAAAAAGGTGTTGGCCAGGCACAGTGGCTCATGCCTGTAATCCCAGCACTTTGGGAGGCCGAGGCGAGTGGATCACTTGAGGTCAGGAGTTTGAGGCCAGTCTGGCAAACATGGCAAAACCCTATCTCTACTAAACATGCAAAAATTATCTGAGCATGGTGGCACATGCCTGTAATCCCGGCTACTCGGGAGGCTGAGGCAGGAGAATTGCTTGAACTCAGGAGGTGGAGGTTGCAGTGAGCCGAGATCCCGTCACTGCACTCCAGCTTGGGCAACAGAGCGAGACTCTATCTCAAAAAAGAAAAAAAGAAAAAAGAAAAGAAAAAGGTGTCAAAGAACTGACCTAGATCCTTGAGTTTTGCCATTTGCAGAAATGCCCCAAACATGCTCATGCTGCCCTGGGAGGATGGTGGAAAGAAGGAAAATCTCAAGGGCCACTCATAAGGTCAGATGTCTTTAGGGAGTGGGGAGATTTAGAATCATCCAAGAAGTGACGGGGAAAATTTGAGAACATCAAGGTAAGTGGATCACATCACAGGGCACTGCGTGAGGAAGTCTGCCAGCCATGGGGGACCTCACCTCTGGTTAAGCACCATGTATCCCCAGGCCCAAAGCAATGGCACACAGGTGGTGGCAAGAATGTGGATAGAGGAATCTGAGAAAGATGGCTTGGCCCTCCATGGCCTGTGCATGGACTGTGGGGGACACCAAATTTCCCAGGGGCCTGGGCTGGGTCCAGGGAGATGCCAAAAGAACGCTGGCCTGTGATCAGGATGAACAGGCTGACACAGGCAGGGAATGCAAGGCCAGAAGCAAATGACCTGGAATCTGGTTGCTGGCCAGGGCCTGCCCCAGCCCATGGGATGCCTTTGTGCAAATTAGAAAAAGGCTTGCTCTTCTGACTCACACAGCCCCATGGGCTTGTGGCTTGGCTAGCAAAGCACTGGCTAGATTTCAGCTCTTCTGTGGACACCCTCATGGAGGGCGTAACTCTCACAGCACTTAGACATGACACTCATTCCAGGACATCACTACAAAAATCTGGGTGGAATGATAGTCCCCAGCCAGTCCAGGGAGTCTCTCAGAACAGCCATTCCTCACAGCCTGGGCGGATTCTGTTTCCCCTTCCACTTCCCAGTTTTACCCCAAATTCGCACATTCCTAAGTACCATCATGAAAGGATGGGGGGGGGGGTTGGGAGGAGATGAGAATTGGGAGGTGGGATTCAGAGCTCTGACTGCACTTCTCCCCCTCCTCAGTCACCTAATGACTGAGTGATCTCAGAGATTGGATAAGATTAGCCAGGTGTGGTGGTGTGCACTGACTACTTGGAAGGCTGAGGCAGGAGGATCGCTTGAGTCCAGGAGGTCGAGGCTGCAGTGAGCTGTAGTTGGGCCACTGCACTCCAGCCTGGGTGACAGAGTGAGGCTCTGTCTAAAAATAATAATAAAAATAATTAGAAAATAAGCTACATTTTCTTTCGTTTTTTCTTTTTTTTTTTTTCGAGATGGAGTCTCATTCTGCCTCCCAGGCTGGAGTGCAGTGGCAAGATCTCAGCTCACTGCAAGCTCCATCTCCCAGGTTCAAGTGATTCTCCACCTCAGCCTCCCAAGTAGCTGGGATTACAGGTGTGCGCCACCATGTCTGGCTAATTTTTGTATTTTTAGTAGAGACAGGGTCTCACCATGTTGGCCAGCCTGGTCTTGAACTCCTGACCTCAAATGATCCACCCGCCTCGGCCTCCCAAAGTGCTGGGATTACAGGCATGAGCCACTGTGCCCAGCCAGAAGCTACATTTTCTTTGCATATATAAGCATTGGGCAAATAAAGCCACATCCCTGCTAAACAATTTTCTCCCTCTTCTTACATTTTTTGGGAGGTGTAGGTACCTCTTACAGATAGAATGGGTGGCTGAATGCTGTTGTTTGTCCTGGAACTGTCCTAGATTTTGCTGATTTTCAGGATTATTATTAATAGCAACCCCCCCCACCAGCTTTCAGAAATGCCTCAGTACGGATAATATGGTCACCTATTAATAATGATACATCAGATGTTAGGTCTGCCTGCACAGCCCTTCCTTCTAGCTCAGGTTAACACCAAGGAAGAAGGGCAATGGCTGGGCGTGGTGGCACACACCTGTAATCCCAGCACTTTGGGATGCCAAGGTGGGCAGATCATTTGAGGTCAGGAGTTCGAGATCAGCCTGGCCAACATGGTCAAACCCTATCTCTACCAAAAATACACAAATTAGCCAGGCACCTGTAATCTCAGCTACCTGGGAGGCTGAGGTGGGAGAATTGTTTGAACCAGGGAGGCTGAGGTTGCAGTGAGCCAAGATCGCACCACTGCACTCCAACCTGGGTGACAGAGAGATACTCCATCTCAAAAAAAAAAAAAAAAAAAAAAAAAGTATAAGCACGGTGATGAAGCTTAGAAAGAAGAGTGATCCCTCTGGGCTGGAGAATCCAAGCTTAAGGATGAATTTGATGTGAATTTTGAGGGAGAATGATTTGGAGAAGAAAAGAGTAAGCTTTTGTAGACAGGAGAGTGTATGTATTAATTTCCAATTGCTGCATAACAAATTACTGCAAAACTTAGGAGCTTAAAACAAAAATAAATATGACCCCCCACAGTTTCTACAGATAGCGAATTTGAAAGTGGCTTGGCTGGATGGCTCTGGCTCAGGGTTGCTCACGAGATTGTGGTCACGCTGTTGGCCGGAGCTGTGCTGAGCTAAGGCTTGTCTGGGGCTAGATCTGCTTTCATGCTGGCTCACTGGGGTGGCTGGTGGCAGAGCCTCTCACCACATGGACCTCTCTGCAGGCTGCTTGAGCTTCCTCACAACATGGCAGCTGGCCTCCCCCAGAGCAAGGGATTCAAGGGAGAGCAGGGTGGAAGCTGCAATGACTTTCATGACTTAGCTTTGGAAGGCACACTCCATTGTTTCTATAACATTCCATTTATTACATAAGTCAGCCCTATACAAACTGTGAATAGAAAGAGGTGGGGCTTGTTGGGGACCATCACGGAGGCTGGCTCCCACACTGGGTGTCGCTAAGGCACAGAGGCAGATATAGGGAGCATGTGCTCAGAGAACAAGTGATTGAGCAGTTCGTCTGGAATGTTTAGTGACTTCCCTCCATCCTCAGCCCCAGCCAGTCCTCTCTAGCCTAAGTCCAGTCATCCAGTCTTGGAGAACAGTGACCCACTGGCACATTTGGCAAAATGAGCATTTACAAGTTCTTTCCATTGCTGAACTCTAGAGCAAAGTGTGAGGAAACATTTTGTTTCTGCCAGCATGAGAAATGGACTGTATAGGAAGCACATTGTTGCCTTATCTGGGAGATTAAGATTACCACTTTTAAAAAGTCTACTCCAGAAAAAAAATACCATTAAAAAACAATCATTTTAAATTCATTTTCACTTTCGACTTGAAGGCATTTTTCTCATTTTAAAAAATGATGTATGGCTTATGTAAGTTTTACAGGATGAAAAAGCATTAAGGAAAAATACACCCTGCACCGAGTTGCTGTCATTCTCCTCTAATACCTGACTCTTCTGAAACAAATGAAGATGAGGCTGAGTTTCTGGGAGTCTGTGGTCCTGCTGAGGAATGAAATGCAGCTAAGGTTGGGCCGACAGCATCCACTGCGGTTCCTGGCTGCCTGGCTCCTGGTGAGATCAGCATTTTAAGCAGGTTCAGGTAAGATCTGGGACACTTGGGTTTTGGAGTCACAACCGATCTTTGTTTTACTCTGTGATCCTGGGAATAGTAGCCCTTTTCTGGATTTTTCTCCACCCTTAGCTAATGTGTTAACAATGTGTTGTATCCTTGTCTTAAGTATTGTAGTGTTATCACTTAAAACTGCCTCGGATGTCCTTTTAGAGAGCAGTTCCTCCATGTATGACATTTTATTTAACAATTATTCCTTGTTAAATTCCAACGGATACTGTGAGACACATGGCAGATACAGCCCTGCCCACAGGGACCTTCCATTCTGGTGGGCAAAGAAAGGAATACTGAAATTTCATCTACAGAGAATCCACCCCAAGGTGAGCCCGCTATCTCTAAGACTTTCAGGCGGCACTAGAGTGAACTAACTAGAAGGAAGACTGGATAGAGATACTAGATAAAGAGATAAACACCAAATAAATGCAACAAATGGCCAAAAGGTCTAGAACCGTTTACATCTTAGATATCTGTATAATTTACCTCTCTTTCCCCATGTGTATAACAAATAAATGATATCAACTATTTGAGCTCTTAGAAATACATCCTTTCCACATTTACAAAGCTCAGAGAGTGAGTGCTCTCTATATGCCAGGCCTGGGGCTGATGGCCTCACATATTTTATCTCTGTTAACATATTTATCTCCCAACACACCTAGGGTAGGTCTTCTTTTTAATCCCCATTTCACAGATGAGGAAACTGCAGCTCCAAGTCAGTGTGGTGCATTCAAGATCACCCCAGTTAGTAAGCAACAGAACTGGGATTGAAATCCTGTG
Organism: Homo sapiens; assembly: GCF_000001405.40. Classification (NCBI taxonomy): domain Eukaryota; kingdom Metazoa; phylum Chordata; class Mammalia; order Primates; family Hominidae; genus Homo; species Homo sapiens. The sequence goes on from NC_000003.12 coordinate 72,496,068, forward strand.
GATCTGAAACTCTCAACTACCACTGTGTTAGTGCCAGTTACAACTTTTGGCTTTTAGTTGCCTATGGAGTCTATTTTGACATTAGCCAGAACTGAAATTTAGTTGTAGCTCCTATGAACTGCAACGGCAAACTGAAAAAGAGGAAAGAAAACAGCTTGAAACCTGTTTCAGACCCTGCATGAGGCACAGAACGAAGTCAGCGGAAATGAGAAGCCAGCTGGATTCTGCAAGTACTCAAGTGAGCGGGGGGGCAATGGGAACCAACTTAATTGGATGATTATTTCAATTATCTAATTAAGAAAGATTACAGCTGAACAAAGACAGAAAGGGCCTCCAAGGTGATTTAAAAAAATAAAGTATCATAAAAAGTTGATTAGCTGGGTTGGCCCTTGGAGGAATTGGGAGGTTAAAGGGACTTCCCATTGGAGGCCCTGGCCCTTGGGACAGTTAGTCACCAAGGGCCTCTCCTCTCTCTTCTCTTCCCTCCCCAGTTGAAAGCTATCTGTCTGCCACCTTAGCTACTACTTAAGACTCAAATGGTCAGTAGCCTCCTTCCTTCCTCCCTCCCTTCCTCCCTTCATTCTTTCCTTCCTTCCTTTCCTTCTTCCTTTTTCCTTCCTCTTTGTTTCTGTATTCACTTAGCAAACAAGCAAAAAGCAAAAAACAGTCAAGATTTCCTTCCACAGTTTAGGACAGCAGTTATAATCTAGTTACTGCCTCCTCCCCACCTCCATGCCTGGCTCGCATCTCTTTTAAAAATATATAAATTATTTGCCAGTGTTTAAAAATCAAGGGTTTCACATAAAAGTCTAGATCTCTGGTTTTATTAGAAAAATCAGATCTGATAACACTGGTTCAACCTTCCCAGAGGTCTGACTCCAAATCTTTAACACTGCGTATGGCCTGGCATTGTCCAATCAGAACAGATGTCAGGCAGGAACCACCAGGGTGGACAAGTCCGTGTATCCTGGCTGGAGTTTGGGACCTCTGCCCCTTCAGATGGGCCATGTGCTCTCCAACTCCCAAGGTCTCCATCTGTCCTTTTTCCTTCTTGACACTGAGGTGAAGGTCACCTGCCATTTATCATCACACTTACTTGACCAATTTACATTAAGGAGGGAGGAGATTGTTTCCTTGGCTTCGCCTTTGACCCTCAGTCATCTGCCTGACTGGAGTTGGCTTGGAGCTTATGATCCTTGGTTCAAGGAGCCAAAAGCTTTTATTCCTTATACAAATTTAACAAATATTGGTTGAGGGACTTCACTGTGCCATGTGTTCCAGCAGAGCTATTAAGAACCAGGCTGTAAGGCCGGGTGCAGTGGCTAATGCCTGTTATCCAGCACTTTGGGAGGCCAAGGTGGGTGGATCACCTGAGGTCAGTAGTTTGAGACCAGCCTGGCCAACATGGAGAAACCCCATCTCTACTAAAAATACAAAAATTAGCCGGGCATGGTGGTGCACACCTGTGATCCCAGCTACACGGGAGGCTGAGGCAGGAGAATTGCTTGAACCCAGGAGGTGGAGGTTACAGTGAGCTGAGATGGCGCCATTGCACTCCAGCTTGGGCAACAAGAGTGAAACTCCGTCTCAGAGCCAGGAAGTAGAGTCAACAGTTCTGGACTCAAATCTTGACTCTGTCACTTACTAACTATGTGACATTACTCAATTTCCTGATTTCTAAATGAGGGAGAATACTTATTTTCTTTATAATACGGTTGAAAGGATTCCATGAGAAAGCATAAAAAAGGGCTTTGCGTAGTACCTGATGCAGAGTAAACACTCAATAAACGTCCATCAGTTTTGGGAATTAGGACTAGCTAATCATCATCTGTATCTACAATATGATAAGCGCTGTGCTATGCACCCATGTGTGTTATTCCACCCAATTCTTATGAAATCTCTAGAGACATCTTAGCTTGTTTTGTGCTAAGATATCTCTGCGCTAAGATATCTCTTGTGCTAAGATATTTATGAGTTACCCACCTGCAACTGGGTAACTCATAAAAAACGGAAATTTATTTCTTATAGTTCTGGAGGCTGGGAAGTCCAAGGTCAAGGTACTGAGGGCCTGGTCTTCACTTTCTTTCTTTCTTTTTTTTTTTTCTTGAGATGGAGTCTCGCTCTGTTGCCCAGGCTGGAGTGCCGTGGCGCGATCTCAGCTCACTGTAAGCTCCACCTCCCGGGTTCACGCCATTCTCCTGCCTCAGCCTCCTGAGTAGCTGGGACTGCAGGTGCCTGCCACCACGCCTGGCTATTTTTTTTGTATTTTTAGTAGAGACGGGGTTTCACCTTGTTAGCCAGGATGGTCTCGATCTCCTGACTTCATGATCCACCCGCCTTGGCCTCCCAAAGTGCTGGGATTACAGGCGTGAGCCACTGCGCCCGGCCTGGTCTTCACTTTCAAGAAGGCACCTTGAAAACTGCATCCTCCAGAAGGGAGGAACACTGTATCCTCACATGGCAGAAGACTGAAATAGAGAGAATCCATTCCCACAAGCTTTTTACAATTCATAAAGGAAATTAATTAGCAGCATTATTCCATTCATGAAGGCAGAACCCTCATGATCCAAGCATCTCCCATTAGGCCCCACTTCCCAAGACTGTTGCATTGGGAATTAAGCTTCCAACATATACATTCTGAGGGAGCAAAAACATTCAAATCACAGCAAAAGGTAAATAGCATTATCCCCATTTTACAGAAGAGAATGCTGTTCTTCAGACATTGGATTTTGCCTTTAAGGACCCAAGCATGATAGGAGAGATAAGATATGCAGACAAAAGATAAATAGGGTTAAAAGAAAAAAGTACTCTACCAAACAAGAAGAGAGGAGTTAACTGACATAAAAGACGAAGAGAAGAGATTACTTCTTCCTGGAAATAAATTATAACATAATAAATGCTTCTCAAATTTTAATGTGCATATAAAATCATCTGGGGAACTTGCTAAAATACAAATTCTGATTTAGAGTTTGAAGAGAAGCCTAAGATTGGACATTTTAAACAAGCCCTGAGGTGCTACTGGTCCATGGACCACACTTTGAAAAACAAGCTAGTAGTGGCCAAGGAACTGGTAGCCAATCACAGTGCCCCATTTCCCTAGCCACAGTGATTGGTTCAGGCACAGGCATAAGAACCAATTGGCCAATTAGAGTCTTCTCTGGAATTATATGTAAATGTCAGGGGAGAGAAAACCTGCATATCCTTCAGGACCATTAAGTGGGGATGAAGAAATCTTGCATTGCTTCTAGCCAACCCATGCTGTATCAAGAAAGTATCTCTGTAGTAGGAAAGAATGAAGCCACTAGGAAAGAGAAAAACCACTACAGAGCCAACAGAGAGATGAAGAAAGAGAAAGAATCCTGATGACATCATTTAAATACTTGGTATCCCTGAGGCTAGCTCCATCTCTGGTATCCCCAAGTACGGGAGCAATATATCTTTTTTTTTTTTTCACTAGGTGAATTAGATTTTTATCACTTCCAAGTCAGAGTCCTGAATAAATCGGGTATTAGTTATCTTAGTGTATTTGTTATCTGTCACTGTTTAACAATTACCCCAAAACTTAGTTGCTTAACATGGTAACAATAAGCATGTATTATCTCTCACAATTTCTGTGAGTCAGAGATTTGATAGCAACTTAGCTAGGTAGTTCTGGCCCATATCCTCTCATGAGATTTCAGTCAAGGTGTCAGCTGGGGCCACAGTTATCTGAAGGCTTGACTAGGACTAGAAAATCAGCTTCCAAAGTGGCTCACTCATATGGCTGGCAGGTTGGTATTGATTGTTTGTGAGAAGCTTCAGTTCCTCCCACACTTCAGGCCTTCAGGTGGCCTTCAGGCCACCCAGAAGACCTCTTGAATGTCCTCAAAACATGGCAGCTAGATTCAGAGAGCAAGAGAGAGAATAAGAGAGAAAGAACACTAGGCAAAAGTTGTATTCTTTTTATAATCCAACTTCAGAAGTCACATAACATCGTTTTCTCACATTCTATTTATGAGAAGTAAGTCACTAAGAGTAGCCTATATTGAAGGGGGAAGTACACTCTGCTTTTGAAGGGAGAAATGTCAAGGTATTTGTGGACATATTTGCAAACATAGTTTTAAACTGCCACACTTAGCATGTCACATGGCTGGTTAACTGCAGAACCAGGATCTGAATTCTTGTCCTGACTTTGCCACCAATGGTCTGGGTGGACCTGGCATGTCAGTCCATATCTCTGAGTCTTGGTTGTCTCATCTGCCAAATGAGGAGGTTGGATCTGATCCATTCAGCCTTAAAATCCTACAGGTGTTTATATCAAAGATACTTAAGGCCATGTATGTTGGTGTCCTTGTAAGAGTCTAATTATCTTTGCCTTTGCTGTCTTCTGAAAAATGACTCTTGTTCATGAGGAACAACGATGTTTTTCATCTGTAAATATAACTTGTCTCATATTGTCCTAACCCCCAAATTTCATCAAGCGGGACTTGATTCAACCCGCCACTTCATTAAACAAATCCCGACCACCTATGAATGCAGAGGAACATGTGTGTTTTACCCAGGGCCATTTGGGCACAATCAGCCTGACACAGTTGCTTAATGAAGTCAAGCTTCAGATGATGAAGATTTCAGGATGAGATGGAAGATGAATAGGCACATGACAACACAGTTGGTGAAATATTTGGGGGGAAGGTGGACTTTAATGCTATCAATAATGATAATGATGATGATAATGCCTTTGAGAGCTTATGGTTTGCAAGCACTGTGCTAAGTATGCCTTTTATCTCTTCGGTCCCCATAACAACCTCATGAGAAGGTAATATTAGCACCATTTTATGGATAAGAAAATCGAGGCTAAGTTGAGTAGAATGAGTTGCACAAGTTCATGCAGTTAACAGAGAGGAGAAATGGGATTAAGCCTGGGCCCACTGAATTTATAAGACTGTGTCTTCTACCACTACACACAACTGCCTAATTCTTGTATGTGACCAAGTAGTCTCTCAGAACCCAAATAAAAGTCTTACGAGTAGGTCTGATTTTATTGTCATTTTCAATTTCTTTTTTTAATCATAAACTTTGGTCATCCTCTACATTTTAAAGAATGACTTAAAATCTAAGAGATGGCTGGGCACAATGGCTCACGCCTGTAATCTCAGCATTTTGGGAGGCCAAGGCAGGTGGATAACTTGAGGCTGGGAGTTTGAGACCACCTGGCCAACATGGCAAAACATTGTCTCTGCAAGAAATACAAAAATTAGCTGGTCGTGGTGGTAGGCTCCTGTAATCTCAGCTACTTGGGAGGCTGAGGCAGGAGAATCACTTGATCCCAGGAGGCATAGGTTGCAGTAAGCTGAGATCACACCACTGCACTCCAGTATGGACAAGAGAGCAAGTCTCTGTCTCAAAATAAGTAAATAAAATCTAAGAGTTGCTCATCATTATAAAACATTCATGAGGTTCCCCACAGTGTGATCCTGTATTTGGTAAAGATAGCTAAATAGACACAGCCTCAAACCCATCTACTTAAAACACTCAGTCAAGGGCAGGCCAAGATGGTGCCGTGAACTGGGTAGGAGATGCCAAGGCAGTTAGTGAAAGGGGAAGGAGAATTCATCAGAAAAGTTAAGGCCAGATGGGGAGCCAGGAGGCTTGTAGGTGGGAGAGGCAGAGGAGGGGACAATGTTGGCAAATATCATAAGGTCCTGGACCGAGGCTCAGCTGGCGGGTCAAGAGGGTAAGCAGTTGGCACCCTGTTATACCCAAGTCAGCCAGCACAGGCGACCCAGTAGAAGTTGCAGGGTTAGCAAGTGCCAGGGTCCAGGCAAGTGGAAATCAGGCTGACAGGTTGAAATCAGGAAGGCAGCAAGATCAAGAATAGGATGAGGGAGTCAGAAGGCACAGGCAAGTGGGCTACAGACCCATGGACAAGAAAAAGCAGGCTGGGCACAGTGGCTCACGCCTATAATCCCAGCATTTTGGGAGGCCAAGGCAGGCAGGTCACTTGAGGTCAGGAGTTCCAGACCAGCCTGGCCAACATGGTGAAACCCTGTCTCCATTAAAAACACACACAAAATTAGCCAGGCGTGGTGGCGCATGCTTGTAATCCCAGCTACTGGGGAAGCTAAGGCAGGAGGATCCCTTGAACCTGGGAGGCAGAGGTTGCAGTGAGCTGAGATTGCACCACTGCACTCTAGCCTGGGCAACAGAGCGAGACTCTGTCTCAAAAGAAAAGAAAGAAAGAAAGAAAGAAAGAAAGAAAGAAAGAAAGAAAGAAAGGAAGGAAGGAAGGAAGGAAGGAAGGAAGGAAGGAAGGAAGGAAGGAAGGAAGGAAGGAAGGAAGAAAGAAAGAAAGAAAGAAAGAAAGAAAGAAAGAAAGAAAGAAAGAGCAAGTGTGAGGATCTCAGAGACAAGGTTTAGGCAGTAGCAGAGAAATTCATGATGAGATGAAGAAAGACTTCCACTTCCACTAGTGGTGGGTTAGGCTGTTTGGACCAACCCTCCTTCGAGAAACAACTAAACATGCTGGATGAATTGAACATCTTAGAAGCACGTAAGAGTTAATCATATAGTAGGATATTACCAGGCCAAAACTAAAAGGAAAACAGGAACCCAAAGAGATAAGCAGAGCTGGGAAGTCACTTTGGAACCAAGGGCATTGGCTGAATCCAGTAATTTGAACTTTTGTTTTGATGGCCTTGTGGGATAAGAGAGGCAGAAATCAAAAGTGCAGTCTAATTGGAGACCCTCTCCATAATAACAGAGACCCCAAAGCCCTACACTCTCAGGAAAAAGGTGAACCAAAAATAAACTAGACCTAGCCAGGCTCAGTGATGCACACCTATAATCCAGCTACTCTGGAGGCTGAGGTGGGAAAATTTTTGAGGCCAGGAGTTCAAGACCAGCCTGGGACAACACAGAGAGCCTCCTGTCTCTAAAAAAGGACCCAGCTATTCTGGAGGCTAAGGCAGGAGAATTCCTTGAGCTTACAGTCCAAGACCAGCCTGGGCAATATAGCAAGACCCCATCTCAAAACAAAAAAAAAAAAGTGAACTAGGTGTATCAGATTTGTGGCCCAGATTCAGTGTTTGATTGTCCAGGCAACTTCAAACTTTGAACCTGGTTTAAGGTGGTCCCCAGACACCTGACAAATGCAGACACAGATCATCTCTGGAGGAAGGTACCTTTTCCCTAGACCTCAGATTACTCCTGCAAGTTATTTTTTCAGGTATAATGAGCAGCATACAATCAAAGATAACCAGGGATTAAAAGAAATAAGGCACCATGAACAAGAACAAGCAAGAAATAGCAGCCCGCAGAAATAGTCCTACTAAGACTTTAGATATTGGAGTTATCAGGCACAGATTAGAAACTAAGTGTTGGTAATATGTTTGCAGAAATAAAAGACAAGGTCAGGAATATATACATGGAACAGGAAATGATCAAAAGCCACCCAGCAGATTTGAAAAAGACTCAAGTAGAACTTCCAGAAACAATACAAAATCAAAAAAACTTTATTTTAGAGGCAAAATTAAATTCCATCATGGAAATTTCTTGGAAACAAGTGCAAGGCATACCTATTAAGATGATTTTTGGCTGCAAGAAAACAAGCACCCCACTACATGTGTCTTAAATGATGAAGATGATTTACTATCTTGTATAACAAGAATCTAGTCTTTGGGCTGTTTTAGGATTATTTCTGTGGTGAAATCTAGGTTTCTGTGGTGTCATCTAGGATCCTTTGCCTCTTTCCATGCCACAGTCCTCCGTGTGTTGGCTTTTATCTTAGATTTGTTCCCTCATGGTGGCAAGATGGCTGCAGCAGCTCCAGCCATAACATTGTTATATTACCTCATTCAAAGGCAGACATAAAGAAGGCTTTCCCCTATGAGTCTCTCTTTTATCAAGGAGGAAAGCCTTTCCCAGAAGCAACTCCACCAGACTTTCCTTCGTGTCCAACTGACCAAGAACAGGCCATGTACTCTAGCTACAAGGCAGGCTGCGAAAGTGAGTTGCTGACGTTTTCAGCCTCTAAAGTGGAGATGGAATCTGAAAGCCGGGGAGAAGAAGGAAAGAAATGGCTGCTGGGTCATCAGCCCTGATTCTGTGTAGGAACCCTTAGAAGGGGAATATGGTGACAGAGAGACAGAAAGATTCCAATATTGGAGTAGTTTGTCTTCAGGAGCATTGAGCTCCTCTTTCAGTACCATTTTCCCTCTTTTAGAACCATTGTCACGTTCCTTCCCTTCTCCAATCCATTCTCCTAAGATACCTGAAGACCTTTCTTCTCTGCATCTTCTCCTTCAGGAGGTAAAGAGGATCTTAAAAGCAATTGATCTGATAGTTTAAATTAGTTGTCTGTATTACTACTCCCATAAGAAGCATAAAGAGGAGAATCCAGGCTGGGCACGGTGGCTCACACCTACAATCCCAGCACTTTAGGAGGCTGAGGTAGGTGGATTGCCTGAGCTCAGAAGTTCAAGACCAGCCGGGGCAACATGGCAAAACGCTGTCTCTACTGAAAATACAAAAAAAAAAAAAAAAAATTCGCTGGCTGAAGTGGTGTGCATCTCTGGTCCCCAGGTACTCATGAGGCTGAGGTGGGAGGATCGCTTGAGCCTAGGAGGTGGAGATTGCAGTGAGCTGGGATCATGCCATGCACTCCAGCCTGGGCAACAGAGTGAGACCCCATCTCAAAAAAAAAAAAAAAAAAGAAAGAAAGAAAGAAAAAAGAAAACGAGGATAATCCAAAGGAATCAATACCACGGTGGTATTTCAGACACTGTTGGCTCATGAGAGACAGGGCCAAAGTAAGGAGAATTCGGGAGCAGTAAGTGTGGGGAGGCAGCATTCGGACTCAGGTATTATACATGCAAGACAGCCCGCGAATCACCCAAGTGGTGATGGAACACTGATGCACCTTGGTGGCTGTGGAGCAGGAGCAAGAGTGCTGGTCTTGGAGCCTGAAGCCTGGGGTGGCTGTTGTGACTTAGAAGCTGCATGGCTTTGGAGAGGGGGCTGCTTCTCCTGACCCCATTTTATTCATCTGGAAGACAATAAAACTTGACTCAATGACTTTTAAGGCCCCTTCTTGTTCTAAAGCAATAACAAAACCAAAATCAAAATCAAAAGTAACAATAGTGACAGAAGAGAATTCAAAAGAAATGGAAATAATGCTGGTGGGACTCTCTCCTCCTCTCCCAGGTCCACTTCTGTCTTTGTGTATTGGCTTTATTTTCGCCCCACATCAGGACAAAGGAGAAGGAGGAAGGCAGCAGGAGATGGAAGGGGAGCCGGCTGTCACTGCTACCCAGAGCTACAGGCTGTCGTCATCGGTCCAGCAAAAGAACAAAAGAAGGTCTCTCTTCCAGCATTTGTGTCTAACATCTTAAGGAAGCACCTTGCCCATTCACATGCCCATGCTTTATTAGCCAGGCCTGGGCCCTGTTGAGGGCATGGCAGGGACAGGGTGGGTAATGGATATTACTGTGATGGGTGCCCCCACCAGAACCACAGGAAATAGGAGATGCTATTACCAGAAGATGGAAATTTTCTGGGCAGACAAAAAGAAAAAAAATCTGCATAGTATAATTTGCCCCATTTATAACAATAAATTGAGGCCCAGAGAAGTTAAACACCTTACCCATGACACACAGCAAGTAACTGTTGCAGTGGTTTAAGCCCAAGTTTTCTACATCTGAGGTCTAGGCTCCTCCCACTGTACCTTAGTTCATCTTTGAAATTATGAAACCATTTCTTTGCTTTACTTTAAATGACAATTCTCTGTCTTTATTATCTTCTGAACTAGATCAAGAGATAACTTTTATTCATTTGTAGGTCACTTTCTATTACTGGAAAGCTCTTCTAATTAACCAGTAATATGCTCAACAAGGCATGGGAGGGGCAGAGATGTGGGGCAGGGCAGCCACTGAGCAGATGTTGCCAACGGCATCACTTCATACCATACTTTAGAGGACACAGAAAGGACGGAGAGGGAAAGGGGGGCTTCCCAAAAGAGCCCTAACAACCTTTGGTTTGTAAAGTGCCCCAGTGGTCTGGAAATCAGGGAGTGTGATGATGAATGGGGTTTTTTAATGAAGACACTTCCCAAACCTGGTAGATGATTAAAAGGTTGGGAGGTGCTTCAGAGTAATGACTAAGAAGTCTCTGCTAATTGTGCTGAAGGCACAGAACTTGTCACCGTGGCAGAAGGCGTCAGAGGCAGAGAGTATGTCCTGTGTGCCCATCACAACAGCTGCTCACAAAACAAGCATCCACGTGCTCCCATTATTGCTAAATGTCTGTTCAGCCCACATCGACTCTGATCTGGAAAACTGCCCCCTGCTTGTGTTCAGTGTTCCCACCTTGGTCACGACCTCTTGCCCTTGTCAACAAAGTCAGCCTTGGAGTTGGTACTTTCTCTTGGCAAGTGGGGAAATTTGAGCAAGAAGGAGAGAGTGCAGGTGGAACACGGTTGGTCCCTGTTCTGGAAGTCAAGAGAGAACAGCCCGGGTTTAGCCCACTACGTCCTTTATTTGGTCCACACTTCTTTAAAAAAAGGATTTGAAGGTTTTGTTAACCAGGTAGCTCCTGCAGCTCTTCGTGGACATGGGAAGTTCTATCCCATTTAACCAGGCGTGGGAGAATCAGACCTCAGAGAGCTCTGTGTGCTCCTAGCTCAGAACAGTTGGGTTAGGATGAAGCTCGAAGAGGAACATTTCCTGGCCGCCTACAATGTGTCACTTGTTACTCCCTCAGTGCCCCAAATCTTCATCTCTGTCAACCTGAGAGGACCCTAAAGGGGAGGAGAGCACAGTCAGCTTGGCTCCTCAAGGCTTCTTAACTTGAGCTGTCCAGCATCACCCTTCACCCCAAAAGGCTTCTTTCCTGGTGTATTTTTTTTTTTTTTTTTTTTTGAGATGGAGTTTTGCTCTTATTGCCCAGGCTTGAGTGCAATGATGTGATTTCAGCTCACTGCAACCTCCGCTCCTGAGGTCAGGTGATTCTCCTGCCTCAGCCTCCCGAGTAGCTGGGATTACAGGCATGTGCCACCATGCCCGGCTAATTTTGTATTTTTAGTAGAGACGGGTTTTCTCCATGTTGGTCAGACTGGTCTCAAACTCCCGATCTCAGGTGATCCGCCTGCCTCAGTCTCCCAAAGTGCTGGGATTACAGGCATGAGCCACTGCGCCTGGTCTTTCCTGGTGTCATTTTAAGTCAAATCCCAAAGTCCAGGCCTGGAACAGAAAACTAGCACAACTTCCAGAGCCTGAAAGGACAAAGCCCAGCCCCCCTGGACTGACACGAGCCTTTCACTTTCCTCTTCATTTCCCTCATTCCCTTTTGATCCCCCACAGGGTTCTCTCCACATTCCTGCCCCTTGGGCATCCAGCCTCTGTTTGCATCCTGCCCTTAATGAGGAGCCCACTACCTCCAGTAGCCCCATCTATTTTCAGACAACTCCAATTGTACTGTTTCAAAGGGTTTTCTCTGGCAAACTAATTTCCAAAGATGCCCTAGGGGTGAAGAAAGAAAAAGATTGGTGGATAAACACATTTGGAAAAAACTGCTTGTGATAATATCTTCCTAGAGATTTATTCCACAACAGTATATTCTGAGTTATGAGAAATATAGCAATTGAGAAACCTGTTTAACTTTGCTCAGCTGAGAATTCCTAAATTTATTTGATTACAGAGTCCTTTCTTCAAGAATCATCTACCAACAAGCTGGGCGCAGTGGCTCACACCTATAATCCCAGGACTTTTGGAGGCTGAGGCGAATGAATTGTTTGAGCTTAGGAGTTCAAGACCAGTCTGGGCAATATGGTGAAATCCCGTCTACACACACACACACGCACTCTTACAAAAAATTAGCCAGGCATGGTGGTGCGCACCTGTAGTCCCAGCTACTCAGGAGGCTGAGGTGGGAGGATCCCACCTCAGGAGGTTACAGTGAGCTATGATCACAGGCCACTGCACTCCATCCTGGGTGACAGAACAGGACCCTGTCTCAAAAAAAAAAAAAAAAAGAAAGAAAGAAAGAAAAATTATCTACCAACCCCCTGTACATCTTAGAAATGCTGTGTCACAAAGTTTTTCTGGGGCGGCAATCACTCCTCCTGAGAGTCCCACCTACTGACTTCCTTTCTAAGTTCTGAGGTACGAAGAACACGGCTGGTCCCTTCACAGATTGGAATATTAAGATTTAACCCATATTAAGCACTTAGAAGGAGCCAGGTTGGCCAGACGCGGTGGCTCAGGCCTGTAATCTCAGCACTTTGGGAGGCCAAGGCCGGCAGATCACGAGGTCAGGAAATCAAGACCATCCTGGCTAACACGGTGAAACCCCGTCTCTACTAAAAATAGCCGGGCATGGTGGCGGGCGCCTGTAGTCCCAGCTACTCAGGAGGCTGAGGCAGGAGAATGGCGTGAACCCGGGAGGCGGAGCTTGCAGTGAGCCAAGATGGAGCCACCGCACTCCAGCCTGGGCGACAGGGCGAGACTCCGTCTCAAAAAAAGAGCTTTTTACAAGTGACCCCACACCCCTTGTCTAACAGAAGGAGAAACTGAGGCTTAGAGGGGTTAGATGACATCCCATAGCTAGATAGTGGCAGAGGAAAACAAACCCAGCATCTAATACAAAGTATACAAAAACAGGAGAATGCTTAGCACATGGCGAATGTTCGATAAATGTTATTTATGTTGTTGCTCTTATTGCTGTTATTATTATTATTATTTTCTTTTACCATCCATCTGGCTCAGAATACTGTTATTATTATCTGACTTAAGAGTAAGTGCTCTTAACCTTGTGAAAAAGTTTTCCCATGTTTAGATGATGTCTCTTTCCTATCCATTTCTCCACACTGTGCAAACCAGGAAGAAGGATTGAACACCCAGGACATCTAATCTTTTCCAGCTTAAAGCAATCTTCCATTTGCTGGTTCCTCAGAAGAAGGACTGTCTAAATCCTCAGAAATACAGTGGAAATGAATCCTTCAAAAAGATCACCGAGGGAGAGCAGAGAAGAACAGGGGACTGGGGAGAATCCATCAGGAGGAGGAGAATCTTCCAGACCAAGGTTGGCAAACCACAGTCCCCAGCCCCATTCCGGCCCAGTCCACTGTGTTTGGTAAATAAGGTTTTATTGGAACACAGCCACACTCATTCATGTATGTATTTATTACCTATGCTGCTTTCTGCACTATAACAACAGAGTTAAGTAGTTTCAAAAGACAGCTAAAATATTTACTATGTGGTCCTTTACAGAATCGGTTTGCCAACCCTTGCTCTAGGTTGTGGAGAGGAGAAATGTGGGCTGGAGAGGGTTTGTGATCAGCTGGGTGTCTGTCTGTCTTTTATTGTTTTCTGGATGCTCTAGGAAAATCCAGCTAAGAGTTGCTAGGGGCCAGAATGAGACACCTTACAAGAACTTTAAGTAAGGAAGCTACGGCTCTCCACCAAAGTTAAGCTTTACGTCTATTTGTGATGGCTCAGAGCTGAGACATGCAAAGTCCTCTGAAGGTCACTGCATCACTCCAAGGTGAGACGCATGTGACTCTCAGTGGATCAAGGTGATGGCCTATCTCAAGAGAGACTGACTAGTCAACAAAATGGGGTTTGGTCAGCCTTGTTCACTGAGACAGAGCAGAGGTTATTGTTGGCACGACTCCATTCGGGCACTGGTCCAGGTGAGGGGAGGCCTCCAGTGGATGGAATATCTCAAGTGGGAAGACCATTTCTACAAGGCCTTCTATGTTGAAGGAGCTCTTAGCCTATTGTCCTTGAACAGTCAATCACCTACACAATGCCCTTGTTGCAACTCCACGATCTCGAAGCAACCTTCTGGTTATGACTTGGCTCCTTCCCGTGTAGGTCTGCCAATACCCCATATGCCTGGACGGGTTTTAGGGTGACTGAGAACTCCTGAAATTGTGTGTGCAATGTTGGGTATATGTGAG